>NC_000013.11:25908106-27158106 GCF_000001405.40 Homo sapiens | reverse complement strand
CTATTTCAAAATAAGGTCATATTCTGAGATATTGGGGCTTAAGACTTAAACGTACCTTTATTAGGGAACACAGTTCACCCAGTAAAACTAATGGCGCAATCAGGTCCATTGCAATTAATGTCAAGGAATATTCATTAAGTTGGGTTATGTGCTAGACCCTAGAGATTCAAAGCTGTTTAAGTTCCAAAGGGCTTGCAGTCTAGTTGGGGAGACCAGCTTTGTGTATAATAATGTAAACTGATACAAACTTGATAAGCTGTATTTTGATGTGTACAGGGAAGACAGACTGGTATTTGGAGTGAGGCCTGCATCAGTTGGAGAAGGAAGGCTTTTGGGAGTGGTGGGGAGGGAAGCTTGGTGGAATTTGAAAGGTAACTTGGAGAAAAATGAAGAGGACAAAGGTCCTGGCGAGGAAGTGAGAAGTGAATTAAAATAACAAGAGAGAAATAAGGTTAAGTGATTAAAATTACTTACATGATTTAATGTTTCAGTAATTTTGTCCTCAAACTTGTTAAATTGATTGGGTTCATATTGGTTTAGGGAAAAATCTTCTATAAACTTATATTTTTTTTAAAAAAAGGCATGTATATGTTGTTAAAAATCACATTTGTAGCTTACAGAACTCATTTTTGCTAAAAATGAGCTAATGAAAAGTACTTCTGATACAGCGGGTAAAGGAAAGTGGGAGAGATCATACCTAGAACATCCACTTTTTCCCAAAGTAATGACGGGGAATTATGTACACCTCTATATAATGACGGGATTATATACACCTCTTTGTGATCTTAGGTCCATTTCAACTACAGCATTCTGTTTTTTAGCTTAATGTATGTAAAACTTATCAAGCAAAAAGGGATCAGAAGTGGTTTTCTAGAAAATTTATTGAAAATAAAAAACCAACAAAACATGATTACCACATTAGTGAAAATAACTATTACGCAGAATATATTTTTGTAACATACCTGCTGTGAAGAAACTTCACCAATGTCAGTATTTACATTTCAGATTACTTTGTTATTATTAGTTCATTTTTTCCAAACAAAAACTGTGAAATCTATGAGATGGACCCATAGAGAGGAGTAGTCTGTTTTACAGGTAAGGAAATTAACAAATAGATTATTTCAGACTCCAGTGATTTGATTTTAGGATTCTGCCTGAGACCTCTCCGTATTTAGTCTAGTGCTTTTGCCGCCGGATCATGCTGTTACTAATGTAGGTGTAGATGCTTCTTCCCCCTAAAGACAACCATAAAATCATTTTTTCTCTCTCTCTCTTTTGTTTTTTTGAGACGGAATCTTGCTCTGTCGCCCAGGCTGGAGTGCAGTGGTGTGATTTCGGCTCACTGCAACCTCCACCTCCCAGGTTCAAGCAATTCTTCCTGCCTTAGCCTCCTGAGTACCTGGGATTACAGGTGCCTGCCACCATGCCCAGCTAATTTTTGTATTTTGTTTAGTAGAGATGGGGTTTCACCATGTTGGCCAGGCTGGTCTCAAACTTCTGACCTCAGGTGATCCGCCTGTCTTGGCTTCCCAAAGTGCTGGGATTACAGGCGTGAGCCACTGCCCCCCCAGCCTCTTTCTTTCTTAATACTCATAAATATCCAATCATTGTTGAAATTACCTGATTGTCTCAAATGATTATAGTTGGATCCATAATGATCATCGTTGCGTTTCGTCACTATATCTCTTAAATGTGGATCCCTGTTTCTTTTTTATTATAGTTTATCTTTTGAGGAAATCAGATTGTCACATAGCTTTTTTCATTTTCTGTACTTTGCTGATTGCATCCCCTTTGTGATGTTTAACATGTTCTTCCATCCTTTGTGTTTTCTGTAATCTGGTAGATTAAGAGGCCTGAACCAGATTCCTTGATTTTTTTTTTTTTTTTCCTTGCAGGAGTTGAGGTACAAGTGGTGGTGGAAAAACTTAGGTGATGTGTACTTCTGGTTTGCAGTGGAATGTCGTGTCTCTTTATAATGATGAGGCTGGCATTGTCAGAATGACTCTTCTGTTACGGAGCTGCTGGCAGCTTTTTACCTCATGGTTTTTAGCAACTGTTGATAATCATTGCCTAGATCCAGTGTTTCATTAGGGCTTCAGAATACAGTTTTAACTGCTTCTATAGGTTTTTTTTAAGAAATATTTTTAAAAACATTGAAAGAGAATGTACATCTATGTTATATTTGAAGCTACATAGAAATAAACTTTTTACATTTTCAGAATATTTTCATAGTTGTATTCCGAAAGTCATACATTTAGGCAGGCTAAAGTTTACAAATTAAGTTGAACCTTTTCCGCATCTAGACTTAATTTTGTGATATTACAAGTGAATGAGCACATGAAGTTCTAACAGATTTTTGCATCTGAACTATAATTAATAAGATTTAACTGATTATACACTAAAACTTGACAAAGTAGTTTTTCTTTTATTTTCCATTTTTTAATATGTTCCGCCTCAGGGTTATATATTTACTACTCCTGTGCTTTTACAAAAGCAACTTCAAATTCTTAGGCACAGGATTCTGAAAATTAGATGAACTAACCAGGTACAGTTACTTTAATTTTCAGATTTTAGGGATATTAGAGTGCATTTATTTGTATTTCTATTTGTAATATTTAAAATGGACCAATTTGTGTGTGCATTAGTTTCCAATGGGGCTGTAACATATTACCACAAGTTTAGTGGCTTAAAATCACACAAGTTTATTATTCTAAAGTTATGGAGGTCGCTGGGTGCAGTGGCTCACACCTGTGATCCCAGCACCTTGGGAGGCCAAGGCGGGCAGATCACGAGGTCAGGAGATCAAGACCATCTTGGCCAACATGGTGAAACCCTGTCTCTACTAAAAATACAAAAAATTAGCCGGGCATGGTGGCACGCGCCTGTAGTCCCAGCTACTTGGGAGGCTGAGGCAGGAGAATTGCTTGAACCTTGGAGGCGGAGGTTGCAATGAGCCGAGATCGCGCCACTGCACTCCAGTCTGGGTGACAGAGCGAGGTTCCGTCTCAAAAAAAAAAAAAAAAAAAAAAAAAAAAAAAAAGTTGTGGACATCAGAAAAAAAAAAAAGTTGTGGAGGTCAGAGGTTTATGTGGGTCTGGCTGGGCTGTGTTCTTTCCTGGAGCTGCAGGAGGGACTGTTTCTTTGCCTTTGCCACCTGGATGCTGCCCTTGCCTTTTGGCTCCTGGCCCCTGCAGCATCTTCAAAGCCAGCCATGACTGGCCAGTCTTTCTTTCATTACCTCCCTCGGACGGCGACTGTCCTGCTTCCCTCTTTCACTTACCAGACCCTTGTGATTACATAGGGCTCACCTGGGTAATCTGGGATACTCTCTCAAGGTCGTTTGATTTTAGCAACCTTAATTCCTTCTGCAACTTGAATTCACAGGTTCTGGGGATTAGGATGTGGACATTTTGAGGGAGGCAGTTATTTTTCTACTACCACAATGCGTCCACGTTTTTTTTTAACTTTAAAAAATGTATTAGAGGTGAAAATCAATTCCTGATATGCCTTTAATGAATTTTGGGTTATGGTGAAATATTGGAAAGAAGTTGAGTGGATTTGTAAACATACACCTTTTGTACTAAGTGAACATTAAGACGTGGTTATCTGTTCTAGTTTTGGAAGTAACGGAAGGAGAATTTTTACTTCAGGTACTGTTAGCACACTACCAGTCTCAGCAGGAGAAAAGTAAAGATGCAGTGGAACATTCAGGAAAATTAGCTACCAATACTTTTACAACTTTTGATAAGTAAGTAAATATAGGCTTGGTAGCATGAGAGGTTACAAAAATGGATGAAATGAATAAAACCTATGCTATATGCCCTTGCTCAACAGAGTATATGTAAAATATATTTTAGGATGTTAAGATTACATCAGAACCTTTTATATTTACAGCATAGTAATTTAAATGATGGTTCGGCTTCATTAAAAGATAATCTTGGAGGTTTAGAGAGAAGGCCTCAGGCTGTGTGCTTCCTAAGGAAGAAAGGGCAGAAAAGGGCAACTCTCACATTTTCTTAGGCAAAGTGGAAAGATGTGGATATTTCTGTGGGATGTGAAATAGATTTTTAATGGTTAAAGATAGTATCAGAAGAAGCTCTAATTTGAGGATTGCCAGATCTCTAAATATTTTTGTTTTGCAGTTATTAAACGACTGCCATAATTAGATTTGATACCTCAGTAAACTTACGAGAAATAGGATGAAACATAGAGCCTGGACTTCTAGAGACTTCGTTTTTCTCATTTTGCTTGTAAGTCTGAAGAAAACCAACAGAGCAAGAGAGGCTAAGAAAAGAGATGATAAGGAAGACAGGAAAGAATACCCAGTAAATATTGGTGTATGGGCTATGCTAGGTGAACTGTTAGGTATGAGTGGTTCTTACTTTTAAGGAAGATACGTCTTTTTGGGGAAATGAGACTTAAATTCACATCCAGCAGAACAGTATCAGAAAAGTGGGTGTGTGAGCTCCATGAGGGTGACTTGTGGAAGGGGAAAGGTTGAACATTTCATTCTCAAGTACTAAAAGGATCTGTAACTCTAATGTACCGATTAATGGATGATAGCACAGCTTTTTATTGTTATGGAAGTGACGTTTCCACTCTTGTCATTCCCATTTTTGGAGTTTATTGTTACTAGATTTCATAGAACCTATTTGAAACTAGAAAATATTTCTATTTCATTACTTTATATGTTTTTGTATGCATATGTATATATGTTTTATCTAAAAAACAAAATTGAAGACTTTAAAAGTGAATTTGAGTTTTGGACACTAAGCTTTATTTATTTACTTATTTTTTTTTGAGACGGAGTCTCACTCTGTTGCCCAGGCTGGAGTGCAGTGGCACGATCTTGGCTCACTGCAACCTCTGCCTCAGCCTCCCAAGTAGCTGGTATTACAGGTGCCTGCCACCACACCTGGCTAATTTTTGTATTTTTTAGTAGAGACAGGGTTTCGCCATGTTGGCCAGGCTAGTCTTGAACTCCTGACCTTAGGTGATCAGCCTGCCTCAGCCTCTCAGAGTACTGGGATTACAGGTGTGAGCCACCATGCCCGGCCAGGACACTAAGCTTTAAATGTTGAATGTAAACAATTAATCAAAAAAGACTCCAAGTTGACATACATATTCTATTTTCTTTTCTTTCTTTCTTTTTTTTTTTTTTTTTTGAGACGGAGTCTCGCTCTGTCACCCAGGCTGGAGTGCAGTGGTGCGATATCCACTCACTGCAAGCTCCGCCTCCCAGGTTCACGCCATTGTCCTGCCTCAGCCTCCTGAGTAGCTGGGACTACAGGCGCCCGCCACCACGCCTGGCTAATTTTTTGTATTTTTAGTAGAGACGGGGTTTCACCGTGTTAACCAGGATGGTCTCTATCTCCTGACCTCGTGATCCACCCGCCTCGGCCTCCCAAAGTGCTGGGATTACAAGCGGGAGCCACCACGCCCGGCACATATTCTTTTTTCTTAAAACAGCTTTATTGAGATATAATTCACATACCATGCAATTCACTCATTTAAAGTGTACAATTTAGTGGCTTTTAGAGTTTTGCATTTATCACCACAGTCAGTTTTAATCATCTTGAACGATACTTTATACCCTTTAGCTATTCTTTTTCTCCTCCTTCTTTCCTTTCCCTCCCCCTTCCAGCCCTAGGCAACCACTGATTTACTTTATGTGTTTATATAATTATCTGCTTTGGACTTTGGTATGTGGAATCATAGAGTATATGGTCTTTGGGACTGGCTGCTTTTACTTTGCGTGTTTTCAAGGTTCATTTATGTTGTAACATGTATCAGTACTGCATTGCTTTTAATGGACAAATATTGTTCCATTGTGTGGATATACTACATTTTGTTTATTTGTTCGTTGATGGACATTTGGGCCATTTCTACCTTATGGGTATTATGAATAATACTATTGTAAACATTGGGGGTGCAAGCTTTTTATGGACATATGTTTTGTTTTCTCATGTGTCTGTACTTTGGAGTGGAATTGTGGTTTAATCTTTTGAGGATCTACCAGACTGTTTTCCAGAGATGGACCATTTTATGTTCCTGCCAACAGTGTATGGCTGTTCCCATTTCTCTGCATCCCCATTGGTACTTGTTATCTGACTTTCTGACTGTAGCCATTCCATTTTGGGTGTGAGGTGGTATCTCATTTCATTGTGGTTTTGATTTGCATTTCTCTGATGAGTAATGATGTTGAGCACCTCTTTAGGTACTTATTGGCCATTTGTGTATCTTCTGTGGAAAAATATCTATTCGCATTCTTTGGCTGTTCTTTGAGTTGTCTTTTAATTGTTGTGAGTTTTTTGTTGTTTTGTTTTTGTTTTTTCAAGACAGGATCTTGCTGTGTTACTCAGGCTGGAGTGTAGTGACATGATCATCCCTTGCAACTCCTGGTCTCAAGTCATCCTCCCACCTCAGCCTCTGGAGTAGCTAGGAGTACAGGTGCATGCCTCTATGCCTGGCTAATTTTTTACTTTTTGTAGAGATGGGTTCTTGCTGTGTTTTGCCCAGGCTGGTCTTGAACTCCTGGCCCTCGGGATCCTCTTGCCTAGTCCTCCGAAAGCACTGGGATTACAGGCATTAGCCACCCTGCCTGGCCCTGGTGTAAGAGTTCTTTGTATATTCTGGATACAAGTTTCTTGTTAGTTACCTTATTTGCTAATATTTCCTCCCATTCTATGGGTTGTCTATTCATTTTCTTGATGGTGCCATTTGAAGCACAAAATTTAATTTTGATTTTGATGAAGTCTAATTTATCTAATTTTTTTTCTCTTTTCCTTTTTTTTGGGAGACAGAATCTTGCTTTGTCGCTGAATCTTGGCTCACGGCAACCTCCACCTCCCGTGTTCAAATGATTCTTGTGCCTCAGACTCCCGAGTAGCTGGGATTACAATTGCGCGCTACCATGCCCAGCTAATTTTTTTGTATTTTTAGTAGAGATGGGGTTTTGCCATGTTGACCAGGCTGGTCTTGAACTCTTGGCCTCAAGTGATCTGCCCACCTCGGCCTCCCAAAGTGCTGGGATTACAGATGTGAGCCACAGCGTCTGGCCTGATTTTTTTCTTTTGTCGTTCATGCTTTTGGTGTCATATTTTATAATCCTTTGCCAAATCCTGTGTCAATCCTTTGCCAAATCCAGTGTTTAAGAGTTTTCTGGGTGTTGCTCTTTTATGTACTTCTTTGATCTGTTTGGAGTTAGTTTTTTGTACATGGTTTGAGGTAAAGGTAACTTCATTCTTTTGCACGTGACTATCCATTTGTCCCAGCGCCAGTTGTTAAAAAGACTATTCTTTCTCTGTCTTTTGGAGTTGGCACTCTTGTTGAAAACCAGTTGATCAGAGATGTATGAGTTTCTGGATCCTCAATTTTAATTCATTGATTTGTATGTTTGCCTGTCTGCCAGTACCACTGTCATGACTGCAGTTATAGCTCATTGCAGTCTCGTTCTCCTGGACTCAAGTGATCATTACACAGGTGAGCCACTGGGTCCGACCTCCATATGAATTTAGAATCAGCTTGTCAGTTTCCATAAAATTAGCTGGGATTCTGATGGAGATCTCATGGAGCCTGTAGATCAGTTTGTGGAGTATTGCCATTTTAAGTGTTAAAGTCTTCCAGTCTGTGAACATGGTATGTTTTTCTCTGTGTTTAGATTTCCTTTAATTTCTTTTAGTAATATTTTGTAGTTTTCAGAGTTTTGAAACTCTGAAATGTTTTTTTCTTTTATATGTCATTCTCTTTTTTTGTTAAATTGATTCCTACTTATTTAAATCATTTTGAATGCTACTGTGAATGGAGTTGTCTTATTTTCATTTTCAGATTGTTCAGGACAAGCATATATAAATACAATTTTTTGCTTTATTATTTTTAATTGACATAATTGTATGTATTTGTGGGGTACAGTGTGATATTTTGATACAGGTATACAATGTGTAATGATCAAATTGGGGAATTAGCATATCCATCACTTCAAACATTTATCATTTCTTTGTGTTGGGAATATTCAAAATCTGCTCCTCTATCTATTTGAAAGTATACAATAAATTGTTGTTAATTATAGTCACCCTGCAGTGCTGTAGAACAGGGATCTCCAACCCCTGATCTGTGGCCTGTTAGGAACCGGGCTGTACAGCAGAAGGTGAGTGTCCAGCGAGCAGCATTACTGCCTGAGCTTCACCTCTTGTCAGATCAGTAGAAGGCATTAGATTCTCAGGAGTGTGAACCCTGTTATGAACCGCGCATGCGAGGGATCTAGGTTCACATTCCTTATGAGAATCTAATGCCTGGTGATCTGAGAACAGTTTCATCCTGAAACCATCCCCCACTAGTCCATGGAAAAATTGTCTTCCACAAAACTGGTTCCTGATGCCGAAAAGGTTGGGGACTGTTGCTGTAGAACACTAGAACTTATTCCTCCTATCGAGCTGTAATTTTGTATTCATTAACCACCCCTTGGCTACTCCTCCCACCCCCCACATCTGCAGCCTCTACTCTAGTAACCACTATTCTACTCCATAGTTTTATGAGATCAATACAATTGATGGCTATGTATTAATTTTAGAACCCGCAACCTTGCTGAACTCGTTTATTCTAGTAGTAATTTTTTAGTGGATTCTTTAGGGTTTTCTTTATATAAAATCATGTTACATACAAATAAAGATAGGTTTACTTCTTCCTTTCAAATTTGGATGCCTGTTTTTCTAACTGCTGGCTAGAACCTATGGTACAGTATTGAGTAGAAGTTAACAAGAGGGAATTTTCTTGTCTTTTTCCTAATCTTAGAGGAAAAGCATCCAGTGTTTTCGCTATTAAGTAAGATATTAGCTGTGAGTTTTTTATAGATGCGTTTTGTCAGATTGAGGAGCTCTTTTCCTCTTTTATTTTATTAATTCCGTAAATCAATCTTTTCTTTTGTTAAGACAGGGTATTGCTCTGTTGCCCAGGCTGAAGTGCAGTGCTGTGATCTTGTCTTACCACACCCCTGCCTTCTGGGTGAAAGTGATTCTTCCATTTCAGTCCCCTGAGTAGGTGGGACTACAGGCGTGTGCCACCACGCCTGGCTAATGTTTTGTATTTTTGGTGGAGATGGGTTCTCACCATGTTGCCCAGGCTGGTCTTGAACTCCTGAGCTCAAATGATCCGCCCCTCAGTGTCCCAAAGCATTGGGATTACAGACATGAGCCATTGTATCTGGCCCATAAATACAATTTTTATTGTATTCAGAGAGGAATTCTTTTCTATGTTTTTATCATGACAAGGTGTTGGATTTTTGTCACCTGATTTTTGTGTGTGTGTGTGTGTGTATTAAGATGATTCTGTGATTCTGGTTTTTTAATTCAATTGATATGCTATTTTATGTTAGCCCATTTCAACCTACCTCTTTTGTGCTGTTATTATTATTTATATTATATATATATATATAATTTTTTTTTTTTGAGTCTCTGTCACCCTGGCTGGAGTGCAGTGGTGTGATCTGGGCTCACTGCAACCTCCGCCTCCCGGGTTCAAGCAATTCTCCTGCCTCAGCCTCCTGAGTAGCTGGGATTACAGGCGCCTGCCACCACACCTGGCTAGTTTTTGTATCTTTAGTAGAGACGGGGTTTCGCTATGTTGGTCAGGCTGGTCTCGAACTCCTGACCTCGTGATCTGCCCGCCTCGGCCTCCCAAAGTGCTGGCATTACAGGCGTGAGTCACCATGCCTGGCCTATAATATATATATATAGTTTTATACAGTTGCTTTTTAAATCAATTAAGAGAAGAAAGAAAAAATACACATTTATAGTGTCCTTTATAATTAACAATTGCTGTTACAGGTACTCTTGTATGTTTTTTCATGTGGACTTTACTTGCTGTTTGAGAACACTTGCTTCTAGCCTGAACAACTTTCTTTAGTATTTCTTGTAAGGTATGTCTGTTAGCATAGGAACAACTTCTGTTAGGTTTTCGTTTTAGAAAAGTCTTTTTTTTTTTTGAGATAGGTCTCGCTCTGTTGCCCAGTCTGGAGTGCAGTAGTGCGGTCACAGCTCACTGCAGCCTCAACCTCTTGGGCCCAAGTGGTTCTCCCACCTCAGTCTCCTGAGCAGCTTGGGACTACAGGTGCACACCACCACGCCTGGCTAATTTTTAAATTTTTTGTAGAGATGGTGTCCCCCTGTGTTGCCTAAGTTGGTCTTGAACTACTGGGCTCCAGTGATCCTCCGTCCTCAGCCTCCCAAAGTGCTGGGATTACAGTTGTGAACCACCATGCCCTTATGGGAAAGTCTTTATTTCACATTTAGATGGAAGCATTGGCAGATTCAGCATTGTTGGTTGACGGTTTTTTAAAATTTTTTTTTTCCTTTCTTTGAGCGCTTTGAATATATTACCCCACTGACTCATAGCTACCAGGTTTCTGCTTAGAAGTCAGCCTTTCGTCTCAACTGGAGTTTCCCTTATAAGTGATGCATCCTCTTTTCTTGCTGTGTCTTTTTGTCTTTGACTTTCAGCATTTTTATTATCAAGTGTCTTATTTGTTGATGTTTTTGTGTTTATGACATACACTTTGTTTTTCTTTTTTACATGACATATATTCTTAAATTCTAGTTTATGCTAAATGCCTATATGTTTCAGTTAAGTATTTTTTTAAAAATTGGACACCTCAGTTATAATGTATCAACTTTGTTAGCTAGAATTTTTAGATTATCCAGAATTGTTATGTCTCAGCTGATAATATATTACTATACTTAAATATTACAAGCATTCTCATAGAAGACATTCGTAACTAAATTGGAAACAAACTAAAATAAAATGGCGATATGCATTCCTTTCCTGAGTTGTGTTTTGCTTAGATTAGGTATCATTCTACATGTAAAATTGTGCAGTGCTAGCTCTTTAAAAAGGCAGTGGCTCTGAGGGTGTAGGCTGCGTGGAGTTTATACCATGGTGTATTCGTTTCCTAGGGTCTTTCCTAACAGATACCGTAAATTGAATGGCTTAAACAGCAGACATTGGTCATCTTACAATTCTGGATTCCAGAAGTCCAAAATCAGCATCTCACCAGGACCATGCCCTCTCTGAAGGTGCTGGAGAAGGATCTGCCCCAGGCTTCTCTACTTGCTTCCGGCAGCCTCAGGCATTCCTTGGCTTGTAGATGGCCCTCTTTTCCCTGTGTCTCTTCACATCTTCCCTGTGTCTGTGTCCAAATTTCCCTTTTTTATAATAGCAGGATGCCAGTCATACTGGATTAGGAATTACCTTCATGACCTCATTTTAACTTGATTAGCTTTGTAAAGACTATCTCTAAATAAGGTTACATTATGAAGTACTGAAGATTAGGAGTTCAATTTATCTTTATTTAGAGGAGGGGGTGCATAGTTCAATGCATAACGGATGAATTAAAGGAATATTGCCATCTTAAGTGCCTTCTGAAACAAGGTAGGAAATTAGGGAATCATACTTTTTCAAGGGGAGTAGCAATTGGTTCATTTTAGGTATCTTTTTAACTGACTCTGAACCTACTTATAAGCCAACATCGGAGCTCTGCAGTGGTGGAACTTACAAGTTAATTTTGCATTAATCTTATAATGGCTGACATTTCCTAGAAGTGGGTGTAGTTAACTAATTGCTTGATTCTATCCTCTCCATAACTGCTCACTCCTCTCCCTACCTTATACCCCTAGCCTTTAGCCGTGTGCGTTATTACATAGGTGCTTTTTTTTGAGACAGAGTCTGGCTTTATTGCCCAGACTGTAGTGCAGTGGCATGATCTTGGCTCACTGCAACCTCTGCCTCACGGGTTCAAGTAATTCTCCTGCCTCAGTCTCCCGAGTAGCTGGGACTATAGATGCCCACCACCACACCTGGCTAATTTTTGTATTTTTAGTAGACACAGGGTTTCACCATGTTGGCTGGGCTGGTCTCGAACTCCTGACCTTAAGTGATCCACCTACCTTATCCTCCCAAAGTGCTGGGATTACAGGAGTGAGCCATGGCCTAGTTACATAGGTACTTTTAAAGAAATTTTACTGTTTGATTGATTATAAAAGAAGTATAGTCAGTGTGTAATGTGATGTGTAAAAAGGTGTAAAGAAGAAACTGAAAGTCACCTATAACCCATTAATAATTACCTGTAACTGGTATTGTTGTGAGTGTGCCCTCAGTTTGTTTATGGCAAACATGATTTTTAAAACAAAATCTGGATCATTAAATATTTTCTTAACATTATTCTGTAGACAATTTCATTAATTATAAGGGCTAGTACTCTCAAGATTTTTTTTGCTTTTCTTCCATTTTGTAACCTCTTGGGGACCAAGACACATTTCTTTTCATTGTTTCTCATTTTCTCTATTGATAACAAAATTTTGTGGTATAGAGTTACAGACTTTTGTTGATAAAGAAGGGACTTTAGGACAACTAGATAAACAACTTTATGAAACAACTAGATAAACAACTTTATAAAAGTGACAAATGAGTATTGCAGGGGAACTAAGTCTGAGATCATGATATTTCACAGTGATGAGCAGATTCTAAATGAACTCCTTCAGCATAGTAATTTAGATTGAAGTTAATGTGGGAGCTAGTTTGAGTTTAGGTTATTATTAAATATCTTTATAACTGAAAAGCTACTAACCTGGAATAACAGGCATTGGAAGAAAATGGTTATGCAGGAAGCCTAACTGATTGATTTCTAAAGATGATTTTTTAAAGTCAGTTGTTGGGAGCTTGTTATTCGTGTTCCATGGAAACAATGTTTAATTTCTTGGCCAAATGGGTAAGGTGTGTTTTAGCACTATTGTTACTATAGTTCAACATTATGGAGAAAAGTTGATTCTTAGGAGCTACCATTGCCATATGGAGAAAAACGTGGTCCAGAATTTCATGTTTTTGGCCACCTGTCATTCTTCAAGAAGGAAACTCACTGGGAAATACCTTACACTTCTATAGTTGAGGAGACCTGCGATTTGGAAGGAAAGGAGGAGGTTCAGTGAAGAGTGGGATGGCTACATTTGATACAGAGCCCAAGACTTGTGTTCAAGTCCCCTCTGCTGCAGGGTCTCACTCTGCTGCAGGGTCCAGCCCAGGCTGGAATGCAGTGGTGCGATCGTGGCTCACTGCAGCCTCGACATCCTGGGCTTAGGTGATTCTCCCACCTCTGCCTTCTGAGTAGCTGGGATTACAGGCATATGCCGCCATGCCTGGCTGATTTTTTTTTTTTCTTTTTTTGGTAGAGACAGGATTTGGCCCTATTACCCGGGCTGGTCTCGAACTCCTGGGCTTAAAGGATCTGCCTGTTTCGACCTCCCAAAGTGCTGGGATTACAGGCAGGAACCACTGTGTCCAGCTCCTCCCGATTTCTGGGGGAAAAAAAAAAAACAACAAAAAACAAAACTTCCAAAAAAAGTTTTCTGTGGTCTTTCTGTTTTGTTTTTTTGAACCACAGTCATTCCATCTAGGTTTATGCTTTTGATTGTTACATCTCTTTAGTCTCTTTTATTACTTTTTAAATTTTAATTTATCTACTTTGCTAAATGTATTTACATTTCTCATACTTAATCTTTAGTCTCTTTTAATATATAGCAGTCTCAAGTTGACCTACCACCTTTTTTTTTTTTTTTTTTTTTAAAGAGAGTCTTGCCCTGTTGCCTAGGTTAGAGTGCAGTGGTATGATAATATTAATAGCTCACTGCAGTCTTGACCTCCTGGGCTCAAGCGAACATCCTGCCTCAGCCTCTTGAGTAGCTAATATTACAGGTATGCACCACCATGCCTGGCTAATACTTTATTTTTCTGTAGAGGTAGGGGTCTCACTGTGTTGCCCAGGTGGTCTCAAACTGGGCTGAAGTGATGCTTCCACCTTGGTCTCCCAAAGCACTGGGGTTACAGGTGTGAGCCACACACTTGGCTGACACTTTTTTTTTTTGGGAGTCAGAGTCTTACTCTGTCACCCAGGCTGGAGTGCAGTGGTGCAGTCTCGGCTCCAACTTCAGCTCCCAGGCTGAAGTGATCCTCCCACCTCAGCCTCCCGAGAGGCTGGGACTATAGGCATGTGCCACCACACCTGGCTAAGTTTCATAGTCTTAGTAGAGACAGGGTTTCCCCATGTTGCCCAGGCTGGTCTCGAACTCCTGACCTCAAGTGATCCTTCCAACTTGGCCTCCCAAAGTGCTGGGATTATAGGCATGAGCTACTGCACCTGGACTGCCTCTGACTTTTTGAACAGATAAGACTGATTGTCTCACAGAATGACACTATCTGGATTTGTCTGAACATTTCCTTATGGTGTCTTTTAATTTGCTCTTCTATCCGTTATATTTTCTATAAAGTGGGAATTAGGTCTAAAGGCTTGATTAGACTGCGAGTAAACATTTTTGGGGAAGAATAATTTGTAAGTGATACTGTGTTCTTCATATTGCAGGTTATCATGTGGAACATGATGGCAGTTGTATCACTCTGTGATGCTGAATTTGATGATTTGATTCAAGTGGAGACCACCAATGTCTTCATCATAAGGGAAATATTTCACTTTGCAGATTACCATGTAATCTGAGGGATTTGGCAGTTGACCAATAGCTTTTTCTCCAGCACACCCATTGATGATTAGGGCACTTACAGTTATTTTATTGGGCCCTGCAAAATGGTATTTTTCTAATTCTGTTGTTTTTTTCATGTTTATTAGTAGGCATTCCTCTGTAAAGAAGAACTTTTTCTCATTAACTAGTGTTGAACTGTTGTTTCTTCAGAAAAGACAAAGTAGATAATGAAGTCTTTAGTTGCCAGTTTTCAGAATAAGGAATCAATGTGATACTCCCTACCCATGCTGCAAATGAGTTTTTCCCCTTTATTGTTCTCCTACTTCTTTTTTGTGTCATGATAGATTTTTATTTATTCAGTGTTTAGTTGTTTGATAATAATCAATTACAATCATTCTTTTTGATGATGTTAAAATTATTCTCGATTTTGCCACTGGAAACCCTCCAAGCTGACTACTACTTTATTGTTCTTTCACTCTTTTTTTTTTTTTCTTTTTTTGAGACGGAGTCTCACTCTGTTGCCAGGCTAGAGTGCAGTGGCGTGATCTTGGCTCACTGCAACCTCCGCCTCCCCAGTTCAAGCGATTCTCCTGCCTCAGCCTCCCAAGTAGCTGGGACTACAGGCGTGTGGCACCACGCCCAGTTAATTTTTGTGTTTTTAGTAGAGATGGGGTTTCACCATGTCGGCCAGGATGGTCTCGATCTCCTGACCTCGTGATCAGCCTGCCTCGGCCTCCCAAAGTGCTTGGATTACAGGCAAGAGCCACTGCACCTGGCCTCTTCCACTTCTTTTTTGTGTCACGATAGATTTTTATTTATTCAGTGTTACAGTTTTTTGATAATAAATTACAGTCATTCTTTTTGGTGATGTTCAAATTAGTCTCGATTTTGCCAGTGGAAGCCCCTCCAAACTGACTACTGTAATTTTTTTGATAAATCTTGAATTTACAGAAAAATTGCAAGAATAATGCAAGAAGTTCCCAAATACCTTTTACCCAAATCCAGTGATTGCTTATGTTTTGCTAAAGTTGCTTGACAAATGTATATTTGTGTGTACATTCGTAAAAACTTAAGTGCACATTTCCCAGTAACAGGGACATTCTCTTTCATAAAGATGGTATAATTTAAAACATCAATGCTGTCATCTAATGCACAGCATATTTTTAAAATTTAATCAGTTATCTCAGTAATGCCCAGTATCAAAGATGATCATGCATTATATTTGTCATACATTTTTAGTGTCTTTTCATCATTATTCTTCCGCCTTTTTTCGTCTTTATCGACTTGGACATTTTTGAGAAGTACAAGTCAATTGTTTGGTATACCGTTCCTCAGTTTGGGTTTGGCTGCTGTTTCTTCATGATTAGATTCAGGTTATACATTTTTTAGCAGACCATTTCTACTGGCCTGCCAGGCTTTTCACTGTCTTCACTGTCATTGCGTGTGTGTGTGTCTGTGTGTGTGTTTTTGAGACAGAGTCTCGCTCTGTCACCCAGGCTGGAGTGTAGTGGCACGATCTCAGCTCAGTGCACCCTCTGCCTCCTGAGTTCAAGCAATTCTCCTGCTTCAGCCTTGCAAGTGGCTGGGACTGCAGGCACACGCCATCATGTACCACGCCCAACTAATTTTTGTATTTTTTTTTGGCCTCCCAAAGTGCATGATTACAGGCATGAGCTACCACGCCCAGCCTCTTTCAGTGTGTTTTGACTTCAACTCATCAGTTGAGATCAGGTGTGGAATTTTCCAGTTGTGGTGTTATGTTAGCACTCAAAAAGTCAGATTTTGGAACATTTTGGAGTTCAGATTTTCAAATTAGGGATGCTCAACCTCTACTAGTAGTAGGACTGTCATTCCTTCTCTGTGTTTTAGTTGGCATTCTACTGCAAGAAAAATACTTCCTTTCTGTCTATTCATTTATTTTTTAGAGTAGCATGGACTTTTGTTTTGTTCATGTGACTCATTATTATTATTGATTTTGATACCCAAATTGTTCCTGATGGGACCAATAGCTTCAAGCTGGCTCCTGTGTTTGTTTGTCATGTTTTTATCATTCTTTGAGCACTTTCTAACTTCTTGGTATAAAATAGAATCATCTTGTATCTTCCTTTCTCCAGCCTTACATTCTAAAGTGTCTTGATTTCTTTTAGTGGAGAATGGTATTTAGAAACCAAGATGCCGATTCTATGTGTGCTCATTACTACAGAGGTGTCATGGTTTTTAATCATACGTTCCTTTTAGTGGACATAGCAAGGAAATGTTTTAAAAAGTGACTTCACAGCCGGACATGGTGGCTCACGCCTGTAATCCCAACACTTTGGGAGGCTGAGGTGGGCAGATCACCTGAGGTCAGGAGTTTGAGACCAACCTGGCCAATATGGTGAAACCTGTCTCCACTAAAAATACAAAAATTAGCCAGGCATGATGGTGCGCACCTGTAGTCCCAGCTACTCGGGAGGCTGGGGCAGAAGAATTGCTTGAACCTGGGAGGAGGTTGTTGCAATGAGCTGAGGTTGTGCCACTGCGCTCCAGCCTGGTGACAGAGCAAGACTCCATCTCAAAAAAAAAAAAAAAAAAAAAAGTGACTTCACACTGAAAATTTCAAATCACATTAACCTCAGTGTTTTTTTTTTCTTCGAATCTTCTATCTTTTTAATTGGAATAGCTACAAAAGGCGTTAGAGAGATTCTTGTGTGACGTTTCTGAAGTTCAGTAATACTCTAATTTTAGTGTGTCATTTTGGTTGGAGAATCATTGTCAGCTGACTTGGACATAATTGTCAACTCTAATCTCTTGTTAGAGCAAATGAATATTTTGCAATTTGAAAAACTGGAATTTTAAGTTAAAATCTTTGAATTTATTATATCTAAAATTGCTTTATATATGAAGAAAGAATAGCATTAATCAAATTTCTGCTCTGTTTAGGATTTGAAGTGCTGACTTACAGAGAAGACTTCAGTTTTGTTACTTATAAAATTAGGATAGTATCTTCTAAGGTTATTTTGAGGGTACATGATGTATATAAAGTTCCTAGTAGAGTCCTTGGCCTAACCTAGGCACTTAATAAATGGTACCTAGACTATTACACTATTGTTATTGTGCCCTATAGTGTCTGTAGGCATAGAAGCATGAAAAAATACTTCTTTGCTTAATATTCCTTATTGATGTAGATTTAAGATTTCATATTCTAAAAGTTTTGACTGTGTGTTTTCATAACTGTGCTGAATTGAAAATGAAAATTTCACATAAATGTAAACTTCAATGAGTTTTCAGACAAACTACACGTGTACTATGCAACTAGCTCCAATATTAAGAAATAGAACGTCATCAGTACTTCTGAAACCACTGTTTCGCTCCCTCCAGTCACTACACAACATCTTTGCTTTCAGGGGACATTGCATGAGTTTTATGTCTTTTTGTTTATTCTGCCCTACTCAAAACACGTAGGGAAAAAAAACTATTTTGGGGATTAGAATTGCATTAGATGAGAAACTTGAAATGAGCTTTGTCAATAGCTTTTTATGTTGCATAGTGTAATTTTTAATGTAAGTACAATAGAAATGTATTTTGCAGGTAGGGAGTGCAGTTTTAATTTTTATTTTACTCTGTTAGAGGGTAATTAGTAGAACCTTTTTGAGAAACAAGTATGTTAGAACATCTTTTTTACTATCACTTGTTTATTGTCTGTGAACAACAAAGGCAGAAACTCTGTTTCCCTTTCTGTAAGGATAAGTCATAACTTTGTATCACCTGTCCTTAGCATAGTTCCTGGCACACATAAGCCATATAAGAAAATGTTTTTAAAATAAATATGTGAATCAGTCTAGGTGAGTACATGTTAGCACTTGTATGTGACTTCACCTGCATTTATTTGTACATGAAAGAATTTAGGGTGGGACTTGCATGTATGAAATTGCTATAGGAGAGCTCTATTTTCATTATCAGTTTATACAAGAGTGACTATATTTTTATTTCTGGGGGATGGAGTCTTGCTCTTTCTCCCAGGCTGGAGTGCAGTGGCGCGATCTCGGCTCACTGCAGCCTCCGCCTCCCAGGTTCAAGCGATTCTCCTGCCTTAGCCTCCTGAGTAGCCGGGACCACAGGTGCACAGCCCCATGCCCAGCTGATTTTTGTATTTTTAGTAGAGATGGGGTTTCACCATGTTGCCCAGGCTGGTCTCAAACTCCTGACCTCAGGTGATCCTCCCGCCTCCGCCTTCCAAAGTGCTGGCATTACAGGCGTAAGCCACCACACCCAGCCAAGAGTGACTATTTTAAAAAACAATTTGATGCTAGTATGTAGCGTAAGCTGTAGGAAAATTACAGTTGTAGGAATATAGGGTATATCAGCATTATAGAAATTAATTACTCAGATGAAGGGTAAGGTATGAATCGATACATAGAAAGCTCTGTTAAGTGTGTCTGCATGTTAGGTATGGTATCTTGATCTGTATGTTGAACTGGTTTCCCAAAGAAATCATAAATCTGGGAAAAGTCCAGCAAAATGTTACTGATATTAGAAATGGATGCAAGTGTAACAAAGTAAAAAGAATAAGAATCTTCCTTGGGAAGATACTGGTTAATATATAGGATGCGATTGTAAGGCTGAATGATCATACACCTTACCGTTGAAACTGTGACACCTTGGGAATGGAAAGGCATGCTATTAATTATGCCATGACAACTGGTGCAAACTTTCTGGCAAAGTGGGACATATGGTCACTCTGTTACAGGGTGAATATGGGTTTCTCTGTTGTATCCTGGAATTCTAGAATTAACATTTCTTTAAACTCAAAGGGAGTAATAGTAGAATAACTGAAAAGGCAAACACTACCTGAAACATAGCAAATGTGGCACTTTCAAACTGAAAATACGAAAAAAATTGTAGGTAAACAGCCTGTCACATGGCAAGAGTGACACCATCTTGAAGTGAAACCAGTCATAATGACCAGTGTTTGACTCCTGCATACCAAGGCTTTCCCGCAGCAAAGTCAAAAACAATGCCTGTAGCATTGATAATGCCTCATGGAGGTGCTTATCTAACCTCTCCAGTGGTCACAGGTTTCCTAAGAAAGTCTGAGGCATGTCAAGCTGCTCATGTGTTTGCCCTAAAAGCTTGCTCTATAAAAGGTGTTTTCTGGAGGGCGATACAGGGGATACACCATCTCTCAGCTGCCCAAGACATTGCTTCTGTTCATAAATTTACCATCTGAGCCTTTCCTGGAATTTTCAGGCCTTTAATAGACTTGTTCATACATCTTTGTTAAATTTTTCTTTCTGAGAAACTGGATTTGTTAGCCTCTTTCTTCGGCCTCTCAGCTCCCTGAGCCTTTCGGAGTATGTTTGCCATATAGGAGCAAAAGTTTATAGTTAAATGGATGGTAGCAGTATTCTTCTGTGCTGTGTAACAAATTATCACAAATTGAGCAGCTGAAGTGAACTCATGTTATATAACAGTTTCTGTTGTAGGTAAGCCGTGCCCTCTGCAAGGCTGTACTCAGTGTGCTGGCCAGGGCTCAGGTCACATCTGCAGTTGCAGTTGGTAATGGATCTGCTTTCAAGCTCACTTAGGGTGCTGGCTGAATGTTTTCTTGCAGCTGTTAAGACTAAGTGAAGGCTCTAGGCTTTTTCTGGTTCCTAGTTGGCAGCTGCCCTCAGTGCTGAGAGGCCGCCTACGGTTCCTCGCCATGTGGCCCTCTCCATAAGTCCTCTCAGCGCGGCAGCTTGCTCCTTCCAAGCCAATGAGGGAGTCAGGGAGCAAGTCTGCTAGCAGTATGGAGTCTTACATTATGTCACATAGTCACAGAAGTGACATCCCATCTCTTCCGTCATTTTCTACTGGTTAGAAGCAATTCACAGGTCCTGCCCATATTCCAGGGGAGGCAATTATACAAAGGCATGGATACTAGCAGGCTGAGATCGGGGGAACACTTTAATTTCTGCCCACCACAGCACTGCATTCACAATAGCTTATCAGTGAGAAGTCTCTGACTGAGGTTTAATCAGTGTGGTATCTTACTTATGATTATTTTTGTGAAATCTAGTATAGTTTGTTAGAACATGTCTACTTTCATTTAAGTATACATCTATCTATTTACAGCACTTTAAAATTCATTTTTGATGGTGAGCACAGTGAGTACTGTGGCTTGGGATAGCATATCCATTTCTATAATATTGACAATTGATTTTTTTTGTTTACTAATATCCCCACTTAATAGATCATTGATAACTGAGTCTTTTTATAAAGCGGATTGAAGATGGCTGATTTATTATGACATCTATCATGTATAATCATGACCTATCTCTAAACATAATTAAAGTGTTCAGGTTCTTCTTTAATGACACCTAGAATTATTGTTTACTTGAGGTTGTTTTAGGCTCATGAGGCTTCCTTGGACAACCCTTTGTTCAAAATGAAGGAATTGAGGGAATATATTTTGTAATATGGAAGACTACTGGCACACATCACCTAATGTGAAGGGGTGTCTCTTTCTGAACAAATGCAGTTTGTTCACTATCTTTGTTCAATATCTTTGTCACTTATTTGGCAGTTAATCATGTATTTTGCTTTAACCATATCTAGTGTTTTTTTATTATGGGAAAACTTAAATGTATATTGAAGTAGACAAAATAGTATTATGTACCCCCAAGCACCTATCATGCTTTAGTTAACGCAAAAAACACCTCTTGACCAATGTTGTGTCTTTTTTACTCCCTCTAACTTAAACCTTCCCAGATTCTTTAGGGGCAAATCCCAAATATCATTTTATTACTTAAATATTGTATTTTTACCTTTTTAATATGTTTGATCTAGGTTTTCCTTTTTTTATACTGAATGCTCCCTGAGCATATGGACCATATAATGCATATATCAAGTTTTAGCCTAGTGGTGCCTTGTGGGTAGTCAGTACATATTTGGAAAGCTAAACATAGGTATACACTTAGAAGTCAGAAAAGTCTGTCTTCTCTAATTTAACGTGAGTTGACTCTACAAACTAACCTAGGATAATTACCTATCTATTCTCTCCATTGAAGAAGAATTTCACTTTTTTGAATTACCTAAAGGGTATGTATGTATGTATGTATTTGTTTATTTGAGGCGGGCTTTCATTCTTGTTGCCCAGACTGGAGTGCAGTGGCATGATCTTGGTTCCCTGCAACCTCCGCCTCCCCGGTTCAAGCGATTCTCCTGCTTCAGCCTCCTGAGTAGCTGGGATTACAGGCATGCGCCACCATGCCCGGCTGATTTTTGTATTTTTAGTAGAGATGGGGTTTCGCCATGTTGGCCAGGCTGGTCTCGAATTCCTGACCTCAGGTGATCCACCTGCCTCCCAAAGTGCTGGGTAATTACAGGCGTGAGCACCGCGCCCCGCCAAGGGTCTTTATTAAGGTCTGTTTTCTTCTTGTTGTAGACTTGGACTTAGGAGCCTTGAAGTTTTGGTGCTTCTCTAACGGTCACAGTTTGTTTTGAAAGGAAGGCAGTGGGTTAAACAGAACATGGAAAGCGGTTTACTTTATTGTAATCACCTAACTCTCCCACTCTCAGCAGTGTGACAGAAAATTGGGGTCTGTTTAAAATAATATTTTGATCTCAGGGCAGGAATCATTTGAGAATCCTACAGCAGAACCCATGGTGCTGCCTGAATTTTATGTAAAATGAGCCCTGTTAAAACAAAGTTCATGTGTTTTGGGATGGGATATTTTAAACTTCAACTTGGAAAGTAAAGAAAAGCATGTTTTCCTTCTTTGCTGCCTTCTCCCCTCCCTAGCTAGCTTCTGGCAGTAAGTGTTTACATGTGGTTATATACCCATATGTATAATAGCAGCAGATTTGTAATTTATATATTCTTTAGACTAATATTTATTTAATTTATTTTTTTGAGACAGAGTCTCACTCTGTCACCCAGGCTGGAGTGCAGTGGCGCAATCTCGGCATACTGCAACCTTTGCCACCCTGGTTCAAACAATTTTCATGTCTCAGCCTCCCTAGTAGCTGGGATTACAGGCGTGTGCTGCCATGCCCGGCTAAGTTTTTTGGATTTTTTGCAGAGATGGAGTTTCACCATGTTGGCCAGGCTGGTCTCGAACTCCTGGCCTCAAGTAATCCATCTGCCTCGGCCTCCGAAAGTGCTGGGATTATAGGCGTGAGCCAGCATGCCCGGCCTCCATAGACCCAATACTTAAACGTTTGAGTATATAAATGTTTAGGGATTGAGATATAATTAAAAGTTTACTTAAAAAATTTATAAATGTTGTTACGATAGAGATTTGAGATCAAACAAAATAAATTCTAAATGTTTTCATTTTATGATTATTTATTTATCTGAGACAGGCTTGCTTTATTGCCCAGGTTTTGTGGTCTCGGCTCACTGCAACCTCTGCCTTCAGCTATTGATTTTTCCACCTCAGCTTCCTGAGTAGCTGGGACTACAGACGCACTCCACCATGCCAGCTAATTTTTGTATTTTTCTTAGTAGAAATGGGCTTTCACCATGTTACCCAGGCTGGTCTCAAACTTCTGGGCTCAAGGGATTTGCCCACC
Source organism: Homo sapiens (assembly GCF_000001405.40). Taxonomy (NCBI): domain Eukaryota; kingdom Metazoa; phylum Chordata; class Mammalia; order Primates; family Hominidae; genus Homo; species Homo sapiens. The sequence continues at coordinate 27,135,052 of NC_000013.11, read as the reverse complement.
TCGTCCTCCCAAAGTGCTGGGATTGCAGTCATGAGCCACAGCACCTGGCCTTGTTTTAGGATATATTTTTATTTGAACTGTTCATAGATATCTTCAGCATCTGTGAAACATTTAGTTAGAACATGTCTACTTTCATTTAAGTGTACGTCTGTTTACGGCACTTTAAAATTCATTTTTGATGGTGTCAGTGAGTATGGCTTGGGATAGCATTTCCATTTCTATAATATTGACAATTTTTTTTGTTAGCTAATATCCCCACTTAATAGATCATTAATTACTGACCTAGTCTTTTTATAAAACTGATTGAAGATGGCTTATCTATTATGACGTCTATCTTGTACAATCATGACATCAAATCTCTAGGCATAATTAATAAACTGTTCAAGTTCTTCTTTAATGGCACTCATAATTGTTTATTTGAGGTTTTTTTAGGCTCATGAGAGTTCCTTGGACAACCCTTTGTTGTTCAAAATGAAGTAATTGAGAGAGTATATTTTGTAATATGGAAGACTTTAGGGGACCTGATTAGAAAGTAACTCTTCTCTTTTCTGACAGATTTGGGAGACAGCTTACCTTTTATGTGGGCATGGCAAAGTATGTTTTCTTACCTTGAAACTCATTGAAATTTTATTTTTCCACCCTCTCAGTTGCTGACTTATTCTCCTCTTTTTTTCTGTGTCTCTTTTCAGAATATAATAGAGAATGAGCTTATATGGCAAGCCAAATGTGATAGAGAAATTTTAGAAATTGAACTGCTTTTGATCAAAACGCTTTCTTTTATGCTACCTTTCTCCAAATTCTGTCCTATAAGTTGTTAGTAACCCTATAGAGAGAGCTTCTTTAGTCTTTTTCATTTATAGGGCAGTCACACATTTCAGTCATAATGTGTGACTAATTAAACATTTATTTTTCACAGGGTCTGGCTCTGTGACCCAGGCTGGAGTGCAGTGGCCTGATCATAGCTCACTGCAGCCTTGAACTCCTGGGCTGAAGCCATCCTCCTGCCTCAGGCTCTCAAGTAGCTAGGACTACAGGCATGTACCACCTAATGGGCATGCCCAGCTGATGTTTTTATTTTATTTATTTAGAGATGGGATTTCACTGTGTTGCCCAGGCTGGTCTCAAGTTCCTGGGCTCACGTGATCCTATTGCCTTGACCTCCCAAAGGGTTGGGATTACAGGCACAAGCCACCACTCCCAGCCCCAAATATTGCTTTATAAATTAGAATAAAATTAGGACATTTTTCTGAATATAATTTTTTTTTACATTTCTATATGTAGTATTTAAGAAAACTGTTGGTGATTATTAGTGAAATAGTGGTCTGAATGAAACCTGCTTTGGTATGGGCTGAGAGTTTCCGATCAGATTGATTTAGCTCCAGGTATTTCTCCCATTATTGTAGAATTTTTTTTTTTTTTTTTTTTTGAGACAGAGTCTTGCTCTGTCGCAGGCTGGAGCGCAGTGGCGCGATATTGGCTCACTGCAAGCTCCGCCCTCCCAGGTTCATGCCATTCTCCTACCTCAGCCCCACCGGTAGCTGGGACTGCAGGTGCCCGCCACCACACCCGGCTAATTTTTGTATTTTTTAGTGGAGACGGGGTTTCACCATGTTAGCCAGGATGGTATTGTAGATGTTTACTAGCAAAGCTTTTTACGTAATTTAGATGATAATTTATATTCTGGGAAGAGTAGACTACTTTGAAGTAATACTATTCTTGTTAAACTATGTTATAAAGGATCCTGAGATCAGTCTAAGCATGTGCACACCCATTCTAAAATTTTTATAGAAATAACAGAAAGATGTCATGTGAGTGTGGTGAGTGTGGTGTTTGCGTTAAGTTTATTGAACTGGAATAGAGCTAGAGGATAGACTGTGTTATTAATAGATCAGATATTTTTGAGGATTCCTAGAGGATTGCAAGATAGTAAATAGGATTAGAGAGACAACAGCTAGTAGAAAAAGTTACAGCAGGAGAGAGAATAATTAATAAGTGTTAGTTAACAGCTGACCCTGGGCTTCTTGAGAGAGCCCTGGTGGAAGCTTGAGTTTGGAATCAACAGTTCATAGTAGGAGCATGGCTGTGTTGCCATCACCATGGTAATTAAAGAAGTTCATTCAGAATAGCTGGCTCAATGGAGCCTCCTTTCTGTCCCCTTCAGAGTGGCTGGTTTGCCAGGCTTTCACCTTTAGGATAAGGCTAGAGTCATGGTCTTGCCAGAAAGTGGGTGATCTTTTGTCTGAGGAGTGCGTGAGAGTGGAGAGAGCAGAGAAGAGCTCATACATAGCACTTTGGTTTTTACAGCAGACACAGGACAAGGACATTCCTATTCTGAGTACTGCTCTTCTTGTTAACGTGCCCACCAGCTCCTCACACACATAGAACTTGAAACCAACGATCTTTTAGGACAGCCAGACCTACGCAAATGCAGAGGAAACCCTCTTGAGATACTTACACTAACCATCTTTCATTCACAAAGCCGTACAGCCAACCAGGGATTTCCAGACACTTGAGGACAACCAAGAGATTGGAACATGGAAGAGTCTCCTTCGAGGGGCAGTAATTTAATGAGTGAGGGCTATATTTCTGTTCCTTTGCTTTTTCTTTTTCTTTTCTTTTTTTTTGCCTTCCTGTACTGCTTTTTATTGGAATGATATTTTATGTTTTGCTAGTAACCTATACATTTTTTAACATGTGTAACTAAAATTTTCTTGTTTGAAGTTACTAACATTTCTACTGGCCCCTCTCTACTTCATAAGCCAATCTCCTTTGCACACATTAGCTACCCTTCAAGTATCTACTCTTTCTAGTTAATTGCTTTTTGAATACACCAAAGATAAAGCATGGAAGATATAATTATAGAAGCTAATGTAAATGTTATAATCCCTGAATATATGAGTAAGTGGCTGGGAGGTGGAGGAAATGAGGGATAGCAGGAAAGGTGAATGTGCTTATTTCCTTTTGTTTCATAGCCCGGATTTCTTACGTGCTATATGAGAATTGGTAAATCTAGCTAAAGATTTAGATGTAGAACCAGTAGAAGCACTAGAACAATACTCTACCCAGTGACACGTAATAAAAATTAGGAGGTGGCCTGTGGAAGGAGAGTTGGGAGGTAGTGTGTGTGTCAATTTCTCTTCTTGCAAAAGCACAGAATTAAGAGCTGTTGACTGAGGCATGCAATATATTATTTAAAGTTATGATAATCATTATTAAGAACTAAAACCGTTAATGGGTATTGTCTCCAGGGAAATGAACCTTAAGAGAGGGAGTGGTGAATAATACTTTGAGTTTTACACCCTCTTTACAGTTTGAATTATTTTTAGATTGTGAACTTAGAGTACTTATAAAATAAAAGGTTTTATACAAAGCATATGAAAGGGATTTGGTGCTTGTTCTGATATTTTAACTGTCCATAGGAAGCTAACCTCAGACTTTTACATAGGTTAAAGAGTGGTCTCTTTTCCATTTACATAGTGGCTTTCAAAACCAAGTGTACTTGAACAAGGTACTTCACTCTACTGGGGCAAGTTTCCATCACGTTGCTCACTTTGGTAAAATGATTACTTAGAAAAATCCAAATGACTCATGTTTCTAGTCATACCTTTACATAATGCTTTACGTTTTACAGCACTTTCACATTCACTATTTGATTTCTGTAACCCCGAGGTAGGCAGAGTAGGTATTTTCCTGTATGATATGGTGAGGAAACTAAGACTGAGAAAGTGACTCACCCAGAGTCACGTGGTTTGAGAAGTGGTGGTGGAGCTCACTGCTCACCCTCTCACCAGGAGGGTTTCACACCTGTGCAGCCTTCTGGCCTGCTATGGCTAAAGTGTCTCTTACCAGTTCTTACCTTTCTTCTTTGTAATGTACCCACACTCAAGTTCCCATATTGACTGCTTCCTGCATTCTGAATTTGTATTCAAATTGTGTTTAACATATGTAAATCTGTGCTTATTTTAAAAAATGAATTTTACTGCATTTTGAAAATGCCACACATAAACTTTGAGTGTCATTCAGCTCTTGTTATTTCTATAGCTGCACAACACTATTCCTTCCTTACTTTCATGAACTGATCTTTTCATCCAGAATTTTTCTGACACCCTTGTTTTTAAGCGTCACGGCTTGCTGAAGCAAAGTGGTGGAATTTAAATGTTGTTGCCTTCAAGAATTAGCTAATCTTTTGGACTTGTGATACTTGTGTAATCTTTTTGGACTTGTGATTTGACCTCATTTGATCCCTGCAGAAATGGTTCTCATCCAGGAAATTTGAGATTTCAACAAGTGACTCACTGAAAAAACCACGTTAGTCGTGGGGAAGTAAGCGTGCTCAGCTCTTGTTTTGGGACCCCAGTGTGATACCGTTGATACGATTGATTTAATAATACCTTTGACTAGTCATTCCAGTGTCTGGAATTCCTCAGGGATGGTTTCTGTCAAATTCTTTTTTCCTGCAAATACACCATATTTTCCTTTTTTTTTTTTTTTGGCATGTTTTGTGATTTTTTTTGTGTGTGTGTGAGAACTGAACAGTTTGAATGTTGTAATGTGGTGACTCTGAAAATCAGATTCTCCACCTCCTCAGTGATTGCTTTTTTGAGGCTTGCAGTCATCCATTTGTATAATGACTTTTCTAAACCAGTTTTGCAAAGTCTGTATTCCTTGTTGTGTGTGGTCACTGAAGTTTCTGTCTTACTATCTCTGGACAGCTATGACTTGATAGAGATTTAGTATAATGTCTGGATCCCCATCCCCCTCAATAAAGGGAAAAAAACAAGAAAGGTTGCAGCCTAAGGGGACAGAAACAAAAGCAAGAATCTGTGCTGTTTCCCCAGGCTACTGCCAGAACTGAGCAAAATGCACAATCCTAAATTGTTGAGGGCAAGGTTCCCGCTGCCAGCCCTGTTACTAGGCAGCTGCTCTAGGAGGTGGTCCTGTGCCCGCCTCTGGGGATGCTGAGGAGTAGGGAATAGTAGCTGGTTTGCATGCTGTGCTCTCTTCTCCCTTCATCAACTACTGCCCTGGGTGTTTAATGTCTGATTAGGTTCTAAGGTTCAGAATAGTTGATTCTGATGTATTTTTCAGCTTAATGGTTTTGGTGGAAGGACTAACCCTGGGAGCTTTCTACTCTGCCATTTTTCATGTTGGTCACTCCACTCGTATGTTTTGGATGTGACCGTGCTTCATGCCAGTTGGCAGCCAGTTCTTTTCTACTTCCCCACCATTTATCAAAGAGTGGTGCTTTCTTGTTGTTGAAAAGACCGAAACTACATTAATGGAATAAAGTTCTTTGCAGCATTTCTCTAACATCCTTCACAAAAATTATGCATACATTTATTTTTATTTGCTATTATTATTATTAAGAGATAGGGTCTCACTCTGTCGCCCAGGTCATAGTTCACTGCAGCCTCGAACTCCTGGGCTTAATGATCCTCCTGCCTCAGCCTCCCGAACAGCTGGGACTACAGGCGTGCTCCACAACATCCTCTGTAGAGACAGAGTCTTGCTATGTTGCCCAGCCTTCTCTAGAACTCCGGGCCTTAAGCAGTCCTCCTGCTCTGACTTCCCAAAGTGCTGGTATTATGGGCATGAACCACTGCACCTGGCCTACGCATAGCTTTAGAGTGACACTGTCATTTTATGAGCTGTTGATGGTGTGGTTACTAAGAATGGTTTTTATTTTTGCAGAACTTAAAAGTTGTTTTCAGTTCTTCCACAGTTTTATAGCTGGAAAATGGTAAGAGAGAACCACATTTTATAGGTCAGGGGAATCGAGGTCTAGAAAACAGGACTGGCAGAGATGCTGCTTTGTTCTTTCCACTTAACTGTGGTTTAATATAATATTCCTGTTGTCTCAGTGACACGGAAAGAGCTACAGGTCACTTTCTTATTGTGGTAAGAATGAAGAACTCTTTCTAGATAGTTCACAATATGAGTACTTTTTTTTATTTGAAGTGTATGGAATATTCCGAGTATTTGATAAAACTATGTAAGTTTGATGATAATTTGCTTTTTATTAGGGTGAGTCAGAGTCTGCATATGGAATCTGGAGTATGAACTCCGTTACTATTAAACTAAGTCAGTCCATAATGTAATTTGTTGATTTTGGTTTCACTTGAACTTAATAATACCTTGTATTTATATAGTGATTTTCTTCTCAGGAGTGGTAGGTACTTTACAGATACTTTATTATACTGTAACATAGGTGCTGGGAAAAATAGAAGCGTTCATGTTTTTATAAGTGGAAAAGCATCAACACAGGTTTTCTCACTGAGCATAATCACAGAAATCTGTTATCCAAGTCAGGTGTCTGAAGGGTACGCAGGGTGGCAATCCAGGGATCCTTGCTTTTTATAGAGCTGAAACATTATTTGGTGGAATAGATATAGAAATTATCAAGAATATGGTAGAAAGAGCTTGATGAAACATTCTTGTAATTTGTTCACCAAAGTGGGTGAATCCCTGCATTGAAGACAATGTGAAGATGCTGAAAAAACACATCTTGCCCACCCTTTTTGCCTTAGGTAAGGTGCCAGTTACGGAGTTCAGATATAGTTATGTTTTAAATGTTAGCTATCCATGAGAGTATTTTATTAATTTTTTGAAAGTTTTTTGTATTGTTAGGAAAGTAGGATCTGTAAAGTTTCATCGTGCACTCAAGTATGTTCTTATGCTGAGTTTGGTCATATTTGAGAATTTTCCTTTTGATGTTATTGTTAAGCCAAATGTGAAGGCTTGACAGAGTGGTTCTTGGAAAAGCCAGTATTATTACTACTGTTACTTCTAACAGAGATGAAGTAATGAGATTTCTTTCATTAGCTCATTGTCTCATTGTGAACATTTACAGATCAAAAGCTTGTTTTTCGTTCGTTTATTTTTTTGGCATCCAGTGATCTTATATTTCCATATCTTGACTGAGTTAAAAGACTTAAGGTAAATCCGAATCTTCTTTTGTTCTCTCTAAATATTCTCTATAACACATTTAGCCATGAATTATGTGGTGAAACTTTTCATTGAAAATACTGAATAAAATAATCGGAATACTGTGCTTTTTGACATGTCTAATAGGAACATTGAGTTTCTAGTGGACGTTTGAACTTTTGAAAGTTAAAATTACATGCCTGTTGGTTTTGGCTTAGTTATTTAGCAGTGAATTATAATATTGATTCAGATATGTAACTTGTTTTTTATTACATAAGTGGAGTCCTCTGAGTAAATTTAAATTTGCAGTTACTTGCGCAGTGATTAATCATAGAATTGGATTTTTTCTGAAGAGATGAGAAATTTAGATGTTTAATATGTTACATATGTGCTTCTGTGGTGGCAGTTGAAGGAGAAAGTAAACTACTTTTAATTTCTTCTGGGAAGAAATTCAGTTTTTGAGAACTTGCCAGAAATCTTCCCTATCAGGTTGAAGATTTTTAGGAGGGATATGGAGGGTAGGTGGGAGAATGGGATGTATACACAAACATAAACACTACTGGACGGCAAAATTATATTGTTTCTCTTTCTTCCTGCAATGGAACAAATGGTTTTCAGAAGACCTGTGATAGGAATAGAGGCAAAGGCCCTTTGATCATGTGATTATTAGAGCTTGATAACTGGTTGTACAATATTTCATTTCTCTCAGACTTAGCAACATGTTCTGACTTCTCCATTAGTGTTGGCAGCTGAACCTCTCTGTTCCCTTTTATGTCATTGGTACCATATATCTTACTGAGGGTCACTTTGCTTTGTGCCGATTTCTGATTTTAAGCCTTTTGCAAGCTTCTGCCATGTGTACCACAATGGTGCAATGCCAGTTTTAGGTCTAGACCCTTCTACTTTTTATGGTGCACATTTTAACTTTGATGGGATAGTTAAAAACTATGAGATTTCTTTCAGTAGCTCATTGTCTCATTGTGAACATTTACAGATCAAAAGCTTGTTTTTTGTTTTAACATAGAGGAGGCCACTAGAGGAGGAAGTATAGACCAAGACTCTTAGGATGACTGCAGATCAGTGCAGAACCCCCAGATACTTTCCCTCCCAGCCACAGAAATTGTGTCAGGACTGTGTTTTTTGAAAGACTCATCTGAAGGAAGGAGTAATAGATGGCATTGTAGTTGGGATGGAGGAAGATGGGCAAAGGAAGTTTGCTTTGTGCCTGTTGTGCCAGGCATTGTTCTGAACATCTTCTATACATTTTTCACAGAAACAAGCCATGTTGCAAGTCTTGTTTGCCCTTTTTTGCAGATTAGTAATTTGGAGCTCAAATGTTTAGAACAAATATTTGTTCTAAATTTAAACTTTGGTAACTCTACAGTAGTGCTGCTATTTTAGAATTGTAGCATTTTGGGTTTGCAATAGGTGCTACAAATCTGGTCTCCTGTCTTGCTGATGAGAAAACTGAGGCAGTGTTTTATTGCAGTGGCTCAGTAGTTTAGTTTATATTAGAATGGGGACACGAATGCAGCCTCCTGGTTTGAAGGCTGTCACCCAGTCCCCTGCCCAGCCTGCGGTTGGAACGTTTAAATGCCTACTCTTTGTAGTTCAGGGTTTTCATTGTACCAACATGAAAAGCTATAATGAAAATACCCCTAAAGAAAGAGTCAAAGCCTGGCTTGTTTAGTTCCATCTGTTTGTGCTATTCCTTTCTGTTTGTTTGTTTTCCTTCTCACAGGCCCCTCAGCTGCAGGTCTGTTGGAGTTTGCTGGAGGTCCACTCCAGACCCTGTTTGCCTGGGTATCACCAGCAGAGGCTGCAGAACAGCAAATATTGCTGCCTGATCCTTCCTCTGGAAGCTTTGTCCCAGGGGGCACCAGCCTGTATGAGGTGTCTGTCGGCCCCTACTGGGAGGTGTCTCCCAGTCAGGCTGCACTCCCAGTCAGGGACCCACTTGAGGAGGCAGTCTGTCTGTTATCAGAGCTCGAAACACCATGCTGGGAGAACCACTGGTCTCTTAGACCTGTCAGGCAGGGACGTTTACGTCTGCAGAAGCTGTCTGCTGCCTTTTGTTCAGATATGCCCTGCCCCCAGAGGTGGAATCTAGAGAGGCAGTAGGCCTTGCTGAGCTGTGGTGGGCTCCGCCCAGTTCAAGCTTCCCTGCTGCTTTATGCTGTAAGCACAGAACCACCTACTCAAGCCTCAGCAATGGCGGACGCCCCTCCCCCTGCCAAGCTCCAGCGTCCCAGGTCAATCTCAAACTGCTGTGCTAGCAGCGAGCAAGGCTCCCTGGGCGTGGGACCCATAAGCCAGGCACGGGAGGGAGTCTCCTGGTCTGCCGGTTGCAAAGACCGTCAGAAAAGCACAGTATTTGGGCAGTAGTGTACCCTTCCTCCAGGTACAGTCACTCACAGCTTCACTTGGCTAGGAAAGGGAAATCCCTTGACCCCTTGCGCTTCCCGGGTGAGGGGACGCCCCACCCTGCTTCCGCTCACCCTCCGTGGACTGTACCCACTGTCCAGCCAGTCCCAATGAGATGAACCAGGTACCTCAGATGGAAATGCAGAAATCACCCGCCTTCTGCATCGATCTCGCAGGGAGCTGTAGACCGGAGCTGTTCCTATTCGGCCATCTTGGAAGCAACTCTCAGTTCCATCTGTTTGTGAAGCCTTTCCAAGTTCTCCAGCACTCAGTGTTGTTCCTGTCCAGACTTGCTATAGTACATCCTGTGTTGTGACATAGTTTTGACACTTATTCTCTTATCTCTACATCTTTAAATTTATTTTTAAATGGATTTTTATTTATATGTAATCATGAAAAGCTAATTTTTATTCACTCTCTACTCCCCAGTTGAATTATGATTTTGAAATTTTTCTTATGCTTTTGTATATAAAATTTAAAAAATTTCAACTTAGAGTGATAAATAATATGAAACCCAATACATACATACATACTTACATATTGAAACAAAAGTTTCAGAAGACTTTGTTTACTCCTAATAAAGATGTGTGTCTGATCTGTTTTACTGAAAAAGAAGATGGTAGTGGTCCACTGCAAAGACCTCACCACTCACTAATGGGTGTCACACTTTAAAAGTCATGTTCTCCAGTTACTAGCACAGGGCTAGAGAGAACACAGGTAGTCAGATACTGAATTTCACATAACCCAAGGCCTACTACTTTGATACTCTTTTTATGATTCCTCAAACTCATTGTATAATGTGTTTTGTCATAAATATTCTCATTGCCTTTGATTCAGTTTCTGGGCACATGGTGTTTTCTAGAACAGGTATGAGGGTTAAGCCTTCTCTTTGACTCTTCGCCCTTTCTCATTTATGAGATGAACTTGTTTCACCTTTATACTTTGGATTCATCTTTTTACAGCTCACATTCACTTCTTTGTTGTGTTTATACCTTCACACCGTCACATGGGCTGCTTCCTGTGCCTCCAGAACTTTTCTTATTTTACCAGGTCACGTGCTTTTCCCACCTCTGGGAAGCTTTTCCTGCCTGATTTGGCGGTTCTCCTTTGTGTACTGACCTGATCTAACTTAAAATGATACATGCTGCATTCTAAAATATGACTTGAAACATGAAACTGGAACAGTGTATTGAATTTTCTCTTTATTTATATTAAAGTTGTGTGGAAACTAATAGTTTGGCTATTTAAATACATTTTCCAAATGATAGATGCACATTCTTTTATGTTTTCATCATTTTTAATTTCTTGGTAAGGTGTATTGTTCTCTACTTTATAAAATAGTATATACTGAATATAACTTTTCAAAATGACATATCCTCATAGACACCATTTTTTAGCCATAATCTGGTTTTAGATGTAGATATTGTGGGCCAGGAGATTTTTAAGTTAAGGAATTACATTAATTCCAGATTGAATTGTTTTCTTGAAAACATTCCTGGTTGTTAGTTTACTTTTGTGTGATTTTTATCTTTTTCATAATGGCAGAGTGAAAGGAGTGAAAGGTAGTTAGTTGTATGTTTTCCATGATTGACTATGTAAAAATTATTTAATTGCAGGATAGCCATCTCCCAGATTATTTTTTTCCTATTTGCAGATATTTTTGGGTTGCTCACACATTTAATATATAGTTACTTTTATATTATCAAAATAATAGGTCAAAGGTATCTTTGTAATTTCAACCTATTATTATTTCACTTGGATGGTGATTTCTGGGTGTGAAAAGGACAAGACCTCATCTTTTCAAGAATTCATACTAGGTAAGTTAAAGGAGATACTTGCCCCATTGCCTATGTATTAGTCCATTTTCATACTGTTGTGAAGAAATACCTGAGACTGGGTAATTTATAAAGAAAAAGAGGTTTAATGGACTCTCATTTCCACATGGCTGGGGAGGCCTCAAAATCATAGTGGAATGCAGAAGATCAGCAAAGGCATGTCTTACATGGCGGCAGGCAAGAGAGCGTGTGCAGGGGAACTGCCCTTTGTAAAATCATCAGATCTCATGAGACTTATTCACTATCACAAGAAGAGCATGGGAAGACCCATGCCTTTGATTCAGTTACCTCCTACTGGGTCTCTGCCACGACACGTGGGAATTATGAGAGCTACAATTCAAGATGAGATTTGGGTGGGGACACAGCCAAACTATATCAGCCTACAAATTCTTAGTATTGGATGGCTATTGTTGAGGATATGATGCTATTTCCTAACTCATTCAGGACTTTGTTAATGTTTGACTTTTAATAGACTATCCAACATTGTATATTTAATGTTTTAATGAAATTGGAAGAGCTGATAAATTCATATGTTGCTAAAAATGTGGGGATGGAAGGTACTATAGACAGAAGTTTTACATCTGAGGAAACTGAGGTCTGGAAAGAATGATTTGTTACAGGTCATTTATAATTTAATGTCATGGCCAAGACCAGACTCAAGTCTGTAGCTTTGCTAGTTCAATGATACTTGTAGTATACCATGGTCTCTCTACAGCAGTTCTGTAATGAATCCATTCTCCCATGAAATCTTCTCTGTAAAATATTTTTTTTTTTTTTTGAGATGGACTCTCACTCTGTCATCCAGGCTGGAGTGCAGTGGTGCGATCTCGGCTCACTGCAAGCTCCGCCTCCCAGGTTCACGCCATTCTCCTGCCTCAGCCTCCCAAGTAGCTGGGACTAGGCGCCTGCCACCAGGCCTGGCTAATTTTTTTGTATTTTTAGTAGAGACGGGGTTTCACCATGTTAGCCAGGATGGTCTCAATCTCCTGACCTCTTGATCTGCCTGCCTCGGCCTCCCAAAGTGCTGGGATTACAGACATGAGCCACCGCGCCTGGCCACGTTTCCTGTTTTTAACGAAACTTGAGTTTTCATTAATAACCTTACATTGACAGGAATATTGGCTAAAAAGTACTATCTGATATTAACCTTGTTTAGTTCTTAAGCACACCCATTAAAATTTTTTTACTTAAATATTTATTTATTTATTTATTTATTTTGAGATGGGGTCTCACTCTGTCATCCAGGCTGGGGTGTAGTGGCACACTCCCGGCTCACTGCAGCTTCCACTTCCCAGGCTCATGTGAACCTTGCATCTCAGTCTCCCAAGTAGTTGGGACTACAGGTGCATGCCACCATGCCTGGCTAGTTTTTTGTATTTTCGGTAAAGATGGGGTGTATTAGTCCGTTTCCACACTGCCAATAAAGATGTACCCAAGACCGTGAAGAAAAAGAGTTTTAGTTGGACTTACAGTTCCACATGGCTGGGGAGGGCTCAGAATCATGGGAGGAGGTGAAAGGCACTTCTTACAGGGCGGTGGCAAGAGAAAGATGCAAAAACAGAAACCCCAGTTAAAACCAGTTCTCATGAAACGTATTCACTACCACGAGAACAGTATGGGGGAACCACCCTGATGATTCAAATTATTTCTTACCAGGTTCCTATGGAAGTACAGTTCAAGGTGAGATTTGTGTGGGGACACAGAGCCAAACCATATCACGGGGTTTCGCCATGTTGCCCAGGTTGGTCTTGAACTCCTGAGTCCACCTGCCTTAGCCTCCCCAAAGTGCTGGGATTACAGGCACGAGCCACCATGCCTGGCCACACCATTGAGTTTTTACTTCAGCTTTTCCAACTTTTATATTTTGAAGTTGTATTTAGTTCTTTTTAAAAGTCTGCTTAGAGTCTCATCTTTGTTCTTATAATCAATTCATTGCCATTTCTTGACACATATGAGACATTTGTTTTACATCCTGTGTCTGTTAATTCTGGTATTTAATTTTTTTTTTTGAGACAGAGTCTCGCTCTGTCTCCCAGGCTGGAGTGCAGTGGCATGATCTCGGCTCACTGCAAGCTCTGCCTCCCAGGTTCGCGCCATTCTCCTGCTTCAGCCTCCTGAGTAGCTGGGACTACAGGTGCCTGCCACCATGCCCACCTAATTTTTTGTATTTTTAGTAGAGACGGGGTTTCACCGTGTTAGCCAGGATGGTCTCGATTTCCTGACCTCGTGATCCACCTGCCTCGGCCTCCCAAAGTGCTGGGATTACAAGCATGAGCCACCACGCCTGCCTTAATATCTTCTTGAGTTTCATTCTGCTGTCTGCATTTCTTCATGGGGCTCTTATTCATGGGGCTTTCTTTTCCTGTGTGTTTTTGTAATTTTTGACTTATGAACTCAAATCTCTTGGCTTGTATTTGTAGGAATTCTTCGTGGGTGGATTGAATTTGTCTCATTCCAGAGCGAATTTGTAATTCTGCCTTTTGTGGAGTGGAAGAGGTGGAAGGAGGGCACTCTCAATTTAGGATTTCTTTGAATTCTCTACTGAGGTTTTTTTTTTTTTTTTAAGATCACATAGTCAGTGGAAATTTGGGTCACAGACTTTTACGAGGGCCTAGTTATGGTTATGAATTTTGGGAAGATGTTTCTCCTTTCTCCCTGTCTCTACTCCTAAGTGCCAAGGACAAGTCAAGCAAGTTATCTTGCTGTTTCTTGTGGTATGGGATTATTACTGGTTCCCTTATGCATTGAAGAGAAACCCTTTAGAGATCTCGGCTTCATGCTCATCTCTCCTGTTGTCCTCCCTGTCTTGAGTGGACCCTAAGTTTTAGCATCTGTTTCCTGCATACCGTTCCATTCAGCTGTTAGAAGAGAATTTAAAGGTCACTAGGGTCAGGAAATACCAGCAGTGGGAAGTCTTTGGTGTTTGCTTATCTCTCGTAGTTCCCCCATCACTTTTGTTTTTTGATTTCTGCAGATTATTTTATCACTAGCTCAGTTAATTATTATTTTTTAAATTTCACCCATCTTTTGGTTGTTTTCATCAGAAGGGCCTGAGTATCTCATTACTTCTTCATGATGAATTCTATAGTAAGGGTACTAAGTCTAATCTTTTGCCTAAGTTACAAAAATGGGGACAGAAGTCAGAAAAAAATGTCTTCTTCCATTTGTGTATGTCATGTGCTCAGACAAAAATAAATTAATTCTGATACCTATGAAGGCTCCAGAGCAGAACTTTTTTTTTTTTTTTTAGATGGAGTTTTGCTCTTGTTGCCTAGGCTGGAGTGCAGTGGCGCAATCTTGACTCACTGCAGCCTCAGCCTCCTGAATAGCTGGAATTACAGGCGCCCACGACCACCCCTGACTAATTTTTTGTATTTTTAATAGAGATGGGGTTTCACCATGTTGGCCAGGCTGGTCTCGAACTCCTGATCTTAGGAGATCCACCTGCCTCATCGTCTCAAAGTGTTGGGATTACAGGCGTGAGCTACTGTGCCTGGCCTGGAGCAGAACTTAACTCACCATCACGCCTTCTCTTTATCCCAGTAAAGAATCACTGATTTCATAAAAGCTATTGTTAGTTTTGATAGGGTCGTACTTCTCAAATGTGGGAATGGAGCTATTATTATTGAATGTTTACTTTTTCTAGGCTCACTTTAAATTTTTGGGTGATTATGTGACCATTATGTGATGTAATAGAATTTGTCAGCCTTCAACAAAATCCTTCAGGAATGTCTTAAAGATGGTAACAATCATACAGTAAAATTTTGACTTTCCAGTTGGTTTTTCACCAGTTATATCTAACTTTGGTGTTGAAAACACTGTTAAATTTAAAAACAACTTAGCAGAAACCAGTTGCTTAGTATAATCTTTTGCCTTTTTAGTTAGCGTTAGGCTAGAGAGAGGAGTGTACCCTGATCATTTCTGTTAAGGAAAACCTTGAATGCATGCAATAAGCATGCTTCTCCTGCATCTGCAGAATCTGCTGCGCAGTGTCATTACCACAGGAAGGCATAGTTTATGGTGCTATGCCTTACTTTAGAACTGTAATAAGGTGAGTGCTCTTCTTTCTTTGTACTTCTCATTTCGATCTGCTACCGTCAGTCTGTCCTAGCCATCATTCTTCAAGCTGTTGAATTGTGGGCTTGGCATATATTGGTTGTCTTAGACTTCCCTGGAGTTTTGTGTTAAAACAGTAATGTCTTCAGAAGCATTCATGAAAGTGATCGGAAACGATAGAATGTTGAGTGAGAAGGGATTTTAGAAATCACATAATCTTTTAATTTTCTGAATAGTTTTAGCCATGAAAATCTTAGTTCATGTAAAGCCTTACTTGAAAACCCAACAGATAAATTTGGAACTGGGAGTTTTGAAAATCACTGAGGATTCTGACCCCTTTTATTTTGCAAGTGAAGATTCTTAAATCCAGAAGGGTTAAACGATGATGATCTACAGCTCTTTCCACCTTACTCCTCTTGGCCTGCTGTCCTCAGACTTCTGAATTGGATTATGGTTCTGCTTTGTTGTTAGGCCGTGTGGGGGAGTACAGTGATGATACCTCTGGGGGCCGCTTCATGGAATTGGCTCTTGTCTGCCAAACTAAGGAGAGTATCTATTTTTTTGTATTATAGCTGTCTTGTTTTGTCTTCTGATTTTTCTCTTGTCATTTCTTAGCTTTTGCACGGAGCAGAAAAGATGTATTACTGTGACTAGTTTATTTTCTTTTTGTTTGAAGGGAAGGGTAAGAAGAGGACCAACATTTATTGGACACCTGCTTGTGTGCCAGGCGCCACCAGCTGCCTTAGAAAAGTTAAAATTCTGTTATAGTCACCCTATAAAGTAGTTGCTAACATTTTTCTTTAACAGTTGGGAAACTGAGGCAGAGAGAGACAATACCTGACCCATAGTTGAAACTACTGTGAGGACAAGGGAGTGGGAGAAGAGCTTACTAAGCAGGCATGAAAGTATGTGGTACATATGGTGACAGGTGGACATGTGGGGTGGTTAGAATACAAGGCGAGTGGCATGTGATTCGGCTAACAGTAGAGAGATAACCTTCACCTGTTACCTTGTTCTTAGTGTGTCTTAAAGGCCAGAAATGCCTTCCTAAGGTGTATGGACTGGTATTTTATTGTTCTAGATGGGTAAGTATTTGAGGTTGTATTTTGGTTGATGGCACCTTTTCTTCTGTTTTGGTCGGGGGAAAGGATTATACTCATTTGAATAAGCCAGTATCAGTTTGAATTTTTACAACAGGTGGTAAAAACCTGGGTTTGTTGGTTATTTTCAACATATGTCAGGGACTTCTGTGACAAAGTACTTGAGCTGGCAGGGTGAGGGGTAGTAGGGCTTGCAATATTCCCATCAATTTTTAGTGGATTGTGAAGTTGCTGTAATAATTGAATTTGGTATTGTTATGACATATTGCTATCCAAATTTAGAAATAAATGATATCTATTAACTAGTGATGGTATTAAGGTTTTATATAAAACTTAAAATTGATTCCCAAGTCAAAAAAATAAAGACAGTATCATGTATATAGAAGTGCTGGTTGGCTGGAAGATAATAGAAGAAACGTCTTGTTTTGGTGGAACTTGACTGCCAACTCACCATGTGCCTTTATCAGTCCCCTTTTCAGCCTAGAGCTGTCAGGAAATTGAAGATGCATGTCTAACAAAGGTTCTGGGCTTCCCAGATTTAGGAGTCTCATGCGGAAAGGAAGCAGCAGGTGTGGGATTCTGAGTACTGGTGCGTTGTTGACCATATGCCCAGTGTAGCTGAAGAGGCATGTTGTCTCTGCAGCTCTTCACTGTGACATTTTGATATTTTTTGAGCAATGTCCCGGCAGTTATATTTATCTAGTATGTTTTCCCGGGAATTTTCAAGGTAAACATATTCAGAGTTATATTAACAGAATTGCTTTTATTTCCCTTTCAAACTACATTTTAGAATCTGTTTAGTTGTATCTGCTTGTGTGTCATCCCCCACCATGGTGCTCAGGGCCACATTTCTCCCCCTCCCTTTCACATGGTCGTCGGGGACCACAGGTGCACAGAATTGAGTTGATCACGTTCTTGAAACTGTGACACGCTATGATTGTCTGTGCGAGGTCCTTGTTTCTTGAATTTTGTTTTTTCTCCTTTGCCCCATTCCCAATTCCATGGTCCATCCCTCTTCCAGCACTCACTCAGGTATATAGTATATTTAATATACATTCTTCGGTCTGCTTTCCGTGTGCTATTAAACACACACACACGTTGGTGTTTTATGTTAATCTAATTTTTCTTTTTTTCATTTAACATTGTGTTTTTGAGATACTCATGTTTCTGTGTGTAAACCTAGTTTATTTATTCTGGCTCTCCTATGTAGTATGCTGTCACATTTTATGTATCTATTTCCCTAACAATGGCCCATCTAGACTGCTGTCAGCTGCAATCATAAATGATACTGCAGTAAACATTCTTGTCAACTTCAGTTCTGTGTAAGAATTTCAGGTTTATACTTCAGAATTCCTAGGCCACTGAGCATGTGCATATTTATATTTAGTTTCACAGAACTTCAGCTCTGAGAGATGTGTGCTATCAGATTACACTCCTGTTAGAGTACATGATACAGCAGGAAATTTCATTCATTACTTAGAAAAAAAGAACATGTTATGAATGTAATTCCTTGATCCAGGCTTTGGTTCTGTGAGAAGAAAGTTCCTATAAACGAATTTTTAGTCATTATCAAAAGCCTTTACTCTTCAATATCATTCTTTCTTTTCTCCTTTTTCTTTTCTTTGTGTTAGGTAGCAATAGGGATCACAGATAGTTTTTTTTACAGGGTGTCTCTGTAACACCTGTGTAATTGTGACAATATTATGAAAATACGATCATGTGTAACGATGGGGATATGGTGTGAGAAATGTATCGTTAGGCCATTTCGTCATTGTGCATGCGAACATCAGAGCGTTCTTACATAAACCTAGGTGGTAGAGCCTACTGCACACCTAGGCTAGATGGTAGAGCCTGTTGCTCGAAGGCCACAAACCTATACAGCATGTTCCTGTATTTTCTAGGCAATCGTAACACAGGAATAAGTGTGCATCTGAACATATCTAAACGTAAGAAAGGTACAGCTAAAAATACGGTGTAAAGGATAAAGACGCACCTGTGTAGGGCAGCTCCATCGTAATGTGATAGGACCATCATGTTGCGGCCTGTCATTGACTGAAGTGTCATTATGTGGTGCATGACTACTATAAATACTAAGATTTTTGTTTTTCATTTTATAGGGCGCCAATGCTTCGGCATTAGAGAAAGAGATTGGTCCAGAACAGTTTCCGGTCAATGAGCACTATTTTGGATTAGTCAATGTAAGTATCCATTGATACGCTTTTAGAATCATGTTCGGAAGCAGTTTTAAAAACGATGAATGCATTCCATAAGTTATTAAAGGAAAATTGTTCTTTTCTATTAATAGAATTAAATGCTAAGAGACTTGATTGGGAATTTTGAAATGATCTTTAAGGGAAGGGAAACAAAGTTGCCTGACATCTTTTTTTTTTTTTTTTTTTTTTGAGACAGCGTCTTGCTCTGTCGCCCAGGCTGGAGTGCAGTGGCGCGATCTCGGCTCACTGCAACGTCTGCCTCCCGGGTTCACGCCATTCTCCTGCCTCAGCCTCCCGAGTAGCTGGGACTACAGGCGCCTGCCACCATGCCTGACTAATTTTTTGTATTTTTAGTAGAGACAGGGTTTCACCGTGTTAGCCAGGATGGTCTCGATCTCCTGACCTCATGATCCGCCAACCTCAGCCTCCTAAAGTGCTGGGATTAGAGGCGTGAGCCACCACACCCAGCCAGTTGCCTGACATCTTAAAATCTTGGAGATAGATAGTTTCTAACTTGTCAATCTGATCATCCCTATTTTGTCAGAAATTTCTCATAGCCAAAATTTAGTATTAATATATAGCCTAGTCTAAGTGATCTCTTGATTCTTTGAGAATGATTTACTTGATTAAATGGTACAAATGTACAAGTATACATTTAGCTGTGCAAATGCCTCCATGTGTCTGTGGGGTATTTGACAATTTACTTCTCTCATTGTACCAGTGCTAGAGATATAAAAGTGTGAAATGTGGGGAAAAAGCACATCCCAGTTCTTATGGAGGTAATTCTAGTAATTACACGTTTTTAAAACTTTGGGAAAATTTGAGAAGTTTTACCTGAATGTTACCTGTTCTGAGTCACTGGGGAGTATCACAAACTTGTGCTATATAATTGTTGTGGTAGTTTATTTTATACTGTTGTACTGTACTATTAGGTGAATCCATGGCAGGTGTTTTAAAATGCATATATTGATAAAATAGGTAACACAGTAAGTTATATTGAACAGATTGGTGGACTCTAAATATTAGTCCCTACATAGGACATATTAGATGGGTTTCTCATGGATTTGAGGAAAGCGGTTGAAGTGATGTGTGTGATTCCCTGTGCTTTGGGAATGTCTCTGTGCACTATGCATAAAACCTATAACAAAGAATCAGCACTCCCTTACCTTTCTCTCTCTCCAGAACAGGCTACTCATTACTCCTCTCACTTATTTTTTTCTGGAATTTAGCCTTATATTCTAATTTAAAAAACAGCATTTCAGTTAGAATTCTCAACAATAAAATTAAGACAAGCAGGAGAGAAACTTACTAAGAGACCATCAGAGGACGCTTTGTCTTTATCCCCTGGAGAGATTCATTTGATCAGTAGAAATATAAGCTTCTGGTCTCTGTGTCTTGTTATTATATATAAAATTAACATATCTACAGGGGCCACAGCTCCAACTATTAAAGGTTGGTGAACATTGTGAATTATGCTCAGAAATAAAACTGTGGTCAGAGTAGATGCAGCAGAGCTAGTAGAGTGGTTAATTCCATGCAGCAGGCTGGAGTGTGGTGGTGCCATCACAGCTCACTGCAGCCTTCACCTCCTGGGCTCAGGCAATCCTGCCTTAGCCTCCCGAGTAGCTGGGACCACAGGCACACACCACCATGCCTGTCTAATTTTTAAAAAATTTATTTGTAGAGATGGGATCTTGCTATATTGCTCAAGTTTGTTTTTTTTTTTTTTTTAAAAATGGAGAGGAGGAAAATACCCACAGATTAACCTAGCAGAAAATTAAACAGAGTAGTTGCTCTTAGTGCTTTAATGACAACCTGTTTTCTGTTACTTTCAGTTGCAGATATTTTTGTCTCAGAAGAATATTGTCACAGATAATGGCTCTTATGGCAGCTTACTCTTAATTACCTGTCACTATAATTTGTATAATACATAGAATGAGGATTTCCTCTCAGCTTATCTCCTGTAGATACAATGCTATTCCTGATATTATTGGAAGTAGAGAGGAGAAATACTAGTGTAGCTTGAGGACCTTTGGATGGGGAAAGGAGCCTTTGGAAGCTTTCTTTTGCTGTAAAGTATCCCACTTACAGGCCAGCTGTTAGATAGTCAGCAAAATTCTTAGATAACAAGTTGTTTTAACCTGATAAATTGCCTTTTTTCCTTTTATATTGTAGCTGGTTAGTACTTATTTTAGTAGAGCTGATAGAGAGTGATTTAAACCACAATTTAGTGTATCTTTCTTACTTGTAATATAGTCTGTGCATTTTTTTGAATAGCTTTTTTTTCATTGTTTTATTGTATGGTTCTTTATTAATTTTCTAATACAGGTAGGCCTCAACACACAAGTAGCCTGGCCTCAGTAAGTCCATTTGTGAGGGTACTGTGAAATATGCTTTTCCTGTCTTCTAAGGTTTTAGGTTGTTTGTTTTAAAAATAACAAAAAAAGAAATGTGCTTTCCCTTCAGAATCTTTATTATAAAATTATGATTGCATTTCTAATCTGTCATATAAAAAGCTATTTAACCTGAATTGCTACTAGTCATTAGTTGGAGCAGGGTCCATTATAGAAATAAATAAAAATGAAACTTTCCATTTTTGGGTTATAAAGTTCATTAGGCAAATGTCTCTTGGTTCTCTTTTCTTTTGTATTGATTTCATTCTCATTCAGTTTCTCCTCATCTGATGGCCATAGGTTACTTGAGGTTTACATTGTTGGAGAGTCCAGAAAATATCCATATCAAACCTGGGAAAAGAGCTCTGGCCCAGGTCCTCTGCCTAGACTGTACCAAGCGTCCAGCCCTGTTTTAGGGGCTGTAAAAGGGCTTTGATTGATAACACGACAGTAATTTGCATAGAGAAGAGAAAGCAGTTCCTACAAGGAAGCATGGGGCAGTGGAGTAAGAACATAGGGTGAGGAACTGACGTCCATTGGAGTATGAAAAGATGACTTCTGGGTGAGGTACTCAATGTCTGGTCTACTCTGCTGGAGTAAGAAGCGTGGTGGGTAGGGGGATGTGGAAATACAATGTTCTAAAATGTCACCTAAACAAGAACTGGTTGGTGCAAGAGGGCATTCCCTTAGAACATCTTAGCATGTTCACAGAACAGGCACCATCACCCAGGCCCAGCATGGGGGACAGGGAAGAAGTTGTGCTTCTTCAAAAACGGTTCCTTTTCAACATTTTTATTTTTTATTTGTCTGGGTTTTTTGTTTGTTTGTTTGTTTGTTTTTGTTTTTGTTTTGAGAAAGGGTCTTGCTCTGTCACCCAGGCTGGAGTGCAGTGAGTGATCATGGCTCACTGCAGTTTCGCCTCCCTGGCTCACTGCAGCTTCACCTTCTTGGCTCAAGCCGTCCTCCTGCCTTTACCTCCTGAGTAGCTGGGACTACAGGTGCACACCACCATGCTCAGCTAATTTTTTAAGGTTTTTGTAGAGATGGGGTCTCACTATATTGCCCATGCTGGTGTTGAATCCCTGGTCTCAAGCGATCCTCCTGCCTCAGCCTCCCAAAGTGCTGGGATTACAGGCATGAGCCATTGTGCCTAGCCTCAGTATTTAAACAAAGTAATGCTATTGACATTATGGTGGTTAAAACTAGTAGTCTCCAAATGAAGTGTGTAAGATGATCCATTGGGAATAGGAAGAAAATATTAGCATTTCTGATGTTTATTTTTATCTAAAAATGGTAGACTAAGCATTATTCTTAACATATGGATGAGACTGGTGCCTATACTCTATCTGTATATGATATGGTTGTATGTTATTTCAAGTTCCATGATGTCAAAGGGTTGATGGCATCATCTCTCTCATTTGTTTCTGCTGTGGCAGATCTATTATAATTTAAATGTAGTTTTAGAGAATTATATGATTGAATTTTAGTTAACTTAAAAGGTTGTTTTAAAAGTTATTATTGGCTGGCCACAGTGGCTCATGCTTTTAATCCCAGCACTTTGGGAGGCCAAGACGAGAGGATTGCTTTGAGCCCAGAAATCTGAGACCAGCCTGGGCAACAGAGTGAGACCCTGTCTCTTAAAAAAAAAAAAATGCTGGGAGCATTTTGCATGCCTGAGTGCCTGAGGTCCCAGTTACTCCACAGACTGAGGTGGGAGGATCTTGAGTCCAGGAGGTTGAGGCTGCAGTGAGCCATGATCATACCACTGCACCCCAGCCTGGGTGACAGTAAGACACTGTCTCAGGAAAAAAAAAAAAAAAGTAGCTATGAAATGATGAAGGGCCAGTAACTGTTCTGAGTGTTTTATGTGATGATTCATTTAATTATTTAAGAAATTCTAAGAGGTAGGTGCTGTATTACCCCCTTTTTGCAGGTGAAGAAACTGGTAAACAACAGTTTAGTAATTTCCCAAGGTCAGATAGTGGAACCAGACTTGAACCTAGACAGTTTGGTTTCAGATCTTATGTGCTTCATTACTGTGCTGTGGGGCTCTCAAGGCAGGCATTTCCTAAATGTATTCAAACTAATTTGGTAGATAAGACTACAAATTGGATACCATGATTTAAAAAGTAAAGGTAGGTAGTGAGACTCTCATTCCCTTGCACCTATGTATCTTTAGGAAGGTATCTTTTTCAGTTTTGATAGCCATTAAAACCACATATCCAAATAACTGAACATCACAGACTATCAAATTGCTGTTTTAAAATCTAAAGCCTTTACAAAAATACTCAATCTCATTGCTCTCACTTAAGACTAATAATTTTTCATGAAAATAATAGTGTGTAATAAATAAGACAAACATCTAAAATGTGCATTTTCTTAATTGCATTCCTTTACATTTTTAATATACATAGTATGTATAATTTATAAATGTGTAAGGGATGTGCGCTCAAAATGGTCTTAGTAGTAGGTATATAAAAAATACTTGCGGTGGGATGTTTGTTAAGGTTTGGAGAAGAAGGCATTAGAGAAAGCTCTTTGAAAGCAAGAATGAGATTGTATTCACTAAGCAATCAAAAAATCAATGATAAGACCTCGAGTAGGGTGGCAACTTTTAAAATTTCTTCTCCCTAATTTAAACCTACCTTTGATTTTCAAAACCAGCTGAGATAACACAGCATAGATTTCAGCACTAAAGCAATGTTTTTTTGTTTTTTAAGAAATTGAGCATTCACAAACAAGAATATAGAGAAAATCATCCCAGAAAACCTTTTGCATGAAGGCTCTACTCTTGAAAGATAATTTTTAGGTCTTAGGACCTTGAATGAAAGTTAATATTAAAAATCAAGAAAATTGAAGGAAAAGTTTCAAAATTATTAAAAAGATTGAAAGTCAGCTTATTCTGGAGAAAGAGTAGTATTTTCAACCTTTTAATTTTTCTTTAATGGGATTGATGAAAGTAAATAAAAGAAGACTAATGGCAGGCCTCAGAGAATTGATTATAATATTACTGTTGCTTTATATTCAGAAGATGAGCAAGTCATGTTGGACAGAAGTGTGAGCCTGACTTCCAGTAGTCTACAAAATAGAGACTCCCTCTAGTTTTTTAGCCTATCCTATTTGCTTCTCATATTTTTTATAGATAGGTCAATCCTCATTATCATAATATTTCTGGTATACTTGGAGATGATCTCTTTTGCTTTCATCTCCCTGCTCGGTGGAAGTTGTTCAATTCCCCTGTTGCCTATTCCAAAATATGGAGATTGTATCTTCTCTTCAATTGATATAACCAGATTTGTTGGTCGTTAGCTTGATTAGATTGTAGTACAAATACAATTTTAAAGACAGATTTATACTGGATACTGGGTAAATTAATCTTAGTAACATTCAGTTGTACTTAACCCCTGGGTAGGGTTCATTGAAGTGTATCTGTAGTTACATTTATGATCATTGATATCAGTACGCTTTAATCACATACCTCTTAAGCTTAAGCGCCTCTTTTTCTGAAACCAGTGCTTGTCTCCTACTAGCAGTGTAGATATGAGAAGTCATTGTCCTCACTAGGTCTCAGGTCCTCAGCTGGAGAGGGGTTGGATCTCACAAGCCTCTTCAAAAAGTTGGTAACTCCTGTTTCAGTGGGGCAGAGGGATCTTATTTGTTTAATCTCTGTGGAAAAAAAGAAACATATTCAGACAATTAGGAGATTGAACATAGCAGAGCTTTGTTTTATCCCCTCAAATTATTGGCTCTGCCTAGTGTCTGTCTTCCCTATGAACTTATCTGGTTAGGTCCTTTATTTGCAATGATTGTGACACATAATGACATGATTATACAATTTACCTCAAAGATTAAACACCTCCTTTGAAAAGCTAGAGTAGGAGAGGTAAATATAATGAATCACTATGAACCCATCAACCTAGCTTGAACAATTACCAATATTTTCCTTCTCTTCCACTTATCCTTTTTTTTTTTTTTTTTTTACCTGGAAAAGGAAATCCTAGTCATCATGGCATTTTGGCCATAAATGGGACACGTTTAATTACATGTCTCAAAGTGGCAGGAACGTTTTAAAAAATATGATCACCTAATGATCACACCTAACAAAGTCAACAATTTCTTAATATCATCCAATGCAGTGGTATTGGATTGATTCAAGTATCTTCTTTTGTCTCAAAGATGACTTTTTTTTTTTTTTGGAGACAGAGTCTCACTGTGTCGCCCAGGCTGGAGTGCAATGGCGGCACCATCTCGGCTCACTGCAACCTCAGCCTCCCGTGTTCCAGCGATTCTCCTGTCTCAGCCTCCCGAGTAGCTGGGATTACAGGAGTAAAACGCCCGGCTAGTTTTTGTATTTTTAGTAGAGACGGGGTTTCACCATGTTGGCCAGGCTGGTCTTGAGCTCCTGACCTTAATCCACCCACCTCGGCCTCCCAAAGTGCTGGGATTACAGGCTTGAGCCACTGCGCCCAGCCAAAGATGACTTTTTATAGTTGGTTTGTAAATCAGGATCTAAGTAAACTCCAGCATTTACATTTGCAATTTGATTGTTGTGTCTCTTGAGTCCTTTTCAACCTTTTTTCAAGTCATCAATTTGTGGAGAAACTAGGTCATCTGTCCTAGAGACTATTCCCATTTCAAACTTGGCCTTTTCCTTCTTTGTGGTATTGTCTCTTTCATTGCCTGACTGTTGACTGTCTTGTAAATTAGTAGTTACACGTAGAGACTTGATTAAAGTTTAGTGATTTTGCTTAAGGCAAGAATACTTCATAGGAGGTAAGATATATTAAAAGACACACAATATTCAGTTGTTCACTTGAGCAATGCTGAAATCGCTGGGGTGTTTAGGTCTGTTCACTCTGTTTTAAACATCCCCATCAACTTTTAACCTAATGCTTTGAGCATCCATTGATAATTATTGCTTAATCCATTATTTACAACCATTTCTTCTGATTTTATTCACTGGACTTATTTTATAAACAGAAACTTCCTTCATCAACTGTTTAGTGCCCCTGAAATATGGTTCTTATAAGAAAGGCAAGATGAATCTTGAATGTTTTTCCTTTTATATATTAGTTTGCAATTGTCAATGGAGACTAAAGAGGGCTGCTTTTTAAAAAAATGTCATTATGTGTATATACACACACACACACATATGTATCTTTTTTTGTGGAGAAAGTCTCATTCTGTCGCCCAAGCCCGAGTACAGTGGTACCATCTTGGCTCACTGCAACCTCTGCCTCTACCACCCCAGCTTCCTGAGTAGCTGGGATTATAGGTGCGTGCCACCACACCCGGCTAATTTTTGTAATTTCAGTTAGAGACAGGGTTTCACCATGTTGGCCAGGCTAGTCTTAAACTCCTGACCGCAACTGATCCACCTGCCTTGGCCTCCCAAAGTGCTGGGATTACAGGCATGAGCCATTGTACCCAGCCTAAAATGTCATTTTAAATTTATGAATTTTTGTATAGTTGGTGTGTTTTGGTCCATTGCAGTAATCCTTTTGTATTAAAGTTGACACTTATATTTAAGATATCCCAGGCTAATCTTGCACATTGTACATTTCTTTTTTTTTTTTTATGCTTTAAGTTTTAGGGTACATGTGCACAATGTGCAGGTTAGCTACATATGTATACATGTGCCATGCTGGTGTGCTGCACCCATTAACTCCTCATTTAGCATTAGGTATATCTCCTAATGCTATCCCTCCCCTCTCCCCCCACCCCACAACAGTCCTCAGAGTGTGATGTTCCCCTTCCTTTGTCCATGTGTTCTCATTGTTCAATTCCCATCTATGAGTAAGAACATGCGGTGTTTGGTTTTTTGTCCTTGCGATAGTTTCCTGAGAATGATGATTTCCAATTTCATCCATGTCCCTACAAAGGACATGAACTCATCATTTTTTATGGCTGCATAGTATTCCATGGTGTATATGTGCCACATTTTCTTAATCCAGTCTATCATTGTTGGACATTTGGGTTGGTTCCAAGTCTTTGCTATTGTGAATAGTGCCGCAATAAACATATGTGTGCATGTGTCTTTATAGCAGCATGATTTGTAGTCCTTTGGGTATATACCCAGTAATGGGATGGCTGGGTCAAATGGTATTTCTAGTTCTAGATCCCTGAGGAATCACCACACTGACTTCCACAATGGTTGAACTAGTTTACAGTCCCACCAACAGTGTAAAAGTGTTCCTATTTCTCCACATCCTCTCCAGCACCTGTTGTTTCCTGACTTTTTAATGATTGCCATTCCAACTGGTGTGAGATGGTATCTCATTGTGGTTTTGATTTGCATTTCTCTGATGGCCAGTGATGATGAGCATTTTTTCATGTGTCTTTTGGCTGCATAAATGTCTTCTTTTGAGAAGGCACATTGTACATTTCTTATCGCAGATCTTGTATCAGCCATATCTTCAAGGTGTCCGAGTTCTTTTGGATGGGAAAAGGGTGTTTAGAGAACACAATCTGGGTATAGGAGAAACTTGTTGCTGCCACACCTTTTCAGTGGACAGAATTTGAAAACACGTACACACAAACATGCATGCATGCACACAGACATACATTTTCAGAGTTATAAGTTTATGTTGATATTTCTAACTGAAGTTTACAAGGCTTTTATTTTTCTGATTTTTATTATAGCATCTTTTTTTCCTTTACATTAAAAATTTTGGTTCCTAAGGGTATTAACATAATTCCTTGTTTGCTTTGTCCTATGATATAGCTACAATAGTTTCAAAATAACAATATCAATAAATTTGTTTTTTTTGTTTGTTTGTTTTTGAGACAGAGTCTCACTTTGTCATCCAAGCCGGAGTGCAGTGGTGCGATCTTGGCTCACTGCAGCCTCCGCCTCCCAGGTTCAAGCGATTCTCATACCTCAGCCTCCTGAGTAGTTGGAATCACAGGCATGTGTCATCATGCCTAGCTAATTTTTGTATTTTTAGTAGAGATGGGGTTTCACCATGTTGATCAAGTTGGTCTCGAACTTCTAACCTCAAGTGATCCGCCTGCCTCGGCCTCCCAAAGTGCTGGGATTACAGGTGTGAGCCACTGCGTCTGGCCAGTAGATTTTTTGTTGTTGCTGTTTTTGTTTTTTAAAATGATTAGACTATATCTCATTAGGCATGTATGGTAAACATTCTTTAAGTCACCTGAAATAATTAATTTCTCTTTATTTCTACCATTAAATCCATATACATTTAGGTTTTGTTTATTTTTGTTTTTAATTTTAGACATTTCTTTTTTATTTTAGAAAAGATAGGGGGTACAAAGTAAATGTTTTATAACAACATTCTTTCAGAGAAGTCTCATTTTTATCCATCTCTCCATTATTTTTCCTCTTCTCCTATAAACATTTTTGTTAGCTTTTTGTTTATCCTTCCTCATTTTTTTAAAAAAAATAAATGGTCTATGGACATACATTTGATATCACCCAATCTTAAACATTTTTCTCTGCCTAGCCTTTTTAACCTAATACTGTATATACTTGATTTCACCCCATAGTAGAAATATGAGAATTATCCTCATTCCTTTTTTATAGTTTCATAGTGCTCCCCAAATCTTCATGACTGACTTTTAGCTGTTTTATAGCTTTTAGAGCCAGTGTTTATTAATGGAAGGGAAAAGGAAGGCAATACATATTTATGAAACTGTGTGTCATTTACTTTATAAAGTAGGTTTATTTCCCCGCCCGCCCCCTCCCCCGTCTCGCCCCAATTACTAGAGTGGAGAGGAGTAGAGTTCAGTAAGATGTAGTGACATACCCCAATGACATGGCTGGTAAGAGAGAAATTCATAGTTAAGGATTTGATGTCTTTCCAATACATCATGAATACTGTGACTTGGCATTTCAGTGGTTGCTAGACTGTCATACTGGTGACTTTTTCATGTAACGTTTCAGGGGATCTTGTTTTTTTTATTTTTTGTTTTTGTGTGTTTTAATTTGGATGTACCTAAGAACCTGATAGAAAACTTTACTTTTGTGATTTCCAAAGAATTTTTGAGAGTTGTATTTTAAAATGTATAATATAATGCAGTCAGTGTTATAGTAACAGTAGTAACCGATTGTCATCTCTTTCTGTTCTCAACCATATACCGGGAATTTCTCTCTTGAAAATGTGTTGCCCTAAATTTAACAAAACTTTTTTTTTTCTGTTGCAGTTTGGGAATACCTGCTACTGCAATTCAGTTCTTCAAGCACTTTATTTTTGTCGTCCATTTCGGGAAAAAGTTCTTGCGTATAAGAGTCAACCTAGGAAAAAGGAGAGCCTTCTTACATGCTTAGCAGATCTCTTCCATAGCATAGCCACTCAGAAGAAAAAGGTTGGAGTAATACCCCCTAAGAAGTTCATCACAAGATTACGGAAAGAAAATGGTAATTCTACTTCCCACTGTATTAATGACATACTAGGAAGGTTAAATATAGTGTGCCATAATTCCAGCACTTACTGAGCATCATCTGTATGCCTGATAACATGTTAGCTGTTGAAGAAACAAGGATGACACGCCTTTCTTCAAAGAGGCACTCGTTTAGTGAAGGAGATAGTCTTACAGTAATTAATACAAGATACGGTTAATGTTTGCATTGCGTTATACAGTGATAAAATTCTGTGTGGCAGCAAATGAGAAATCACAGTTTCTCTTTTTGCTTGCTTGGCTTTTCTGTCAAGAATGAAGGGTTTTTGTTTCTTTTTTTTTGCATGCTTATGCATTTGTTTTCATAATGCTTTCATGTGTGTTAACTCATTGGATCCTTGCAGTAGCCTTAGATAGAGAGCATGTCATTTCCCCCATTTTAGCCGTGAAAAATCAAAACCTAAAAAAGGCTTGCCAGGAGCCACACTCCGGGGAAGGAGCTAGAAAAGACCTTTTGGCTTAGGGTAGATAAGTTTTAATCCCCCAACCCCTTTTTAAAATAGTTACTGAGTAAGCCCCACCTCCCTTTTCTTTTTTGAAATATTGTTCATTTAATTTTCACATGCCAATAAGTTGGACATTATCACCCTATGAAATAACTGAGGCTCAGAGAGGTTAATTCGTCCAAGGTCCCACAGAGTTAGTAAGTGGTGGAGCTGGTATACAAACTTACTTCTCCCTGATATGTAAGCCCAGTGTTCTATCTAATGTGGGACACTGCCTCAAAAATTCAAATGGAATTTAGATAACATGTAGAATTCTGGCTTTTGTTTAATGTAGGCATTTTAATCATTGTAGAAAGAAAATTGAATGGCATTTTTAGTTGATTTGTTACCTATTAAGTAGACGCTCACAAGCAGGATTTGGGAAGTCATTAAGATGGATTATTAAATACCCTATTGCGTAATCCTGCCTTTAAATTAGTCAGTTGACACTGTACACAGTGAATTGAGGTAAGCCTGGATCATATCTAGTTCGCTGAAATATAAGATGACCCAGAAATAGGCTATAGGCTATTATTCTTGAATTTGATACGTTTGTTGAAGATTTGTTCATTTTCCCCACATACACATGTAGAATAATTTGATTAATTGCTCATAAAAATACATCTTGTTTCCCCTAATGAAAGCTAAACGTATGTACTTTATTAGATTATAGATCTGTTTATCTTGTTTTTTTAGAAAATCAAATATAACCTTAATGCTCAAATGTGGATTGAGCAGTTAAGTCTTCTCAGTCTTTTTGTGTGTGTCTGTACAAAACTTTAAAAGTTTTGTCCTTGTGGAAAATTTATGTATTTGGTAATTGAACATGGCACCCTTTCTCAGTGACTTTATTAGTATTTTAAAAATGTTCAGTGACTGGACACGGTGGCTCACACCTATAATCCCAGCACTTTGGGAGGCCAAGGTAGGTGGACTGCTTGAGCCCAAGAGTTTGAGACTAGCCTCAGCAGCAAAGCAAGACCTTGTCTCACAAAAAATTTTAAAAATTAATCGGATGTGGTGGTGCACATCTGTAGTCCCAGCTACTTGGAAGGCTAAGGTGGCAGGATCGCTTGAGCCCAGGAGGTTGAAGCTGCAGTGAGCCCTGATTGCGCCACTCTCCAGCTTGGGTAACAGAGCAAGACCCTGTCTCTAAAAAAAAAGAGTTCAGAAGTATGCAGCTCATACAGAGCATACATTATTTCCCTTTTCATTTAATAGTACATTTCTCTTGGCCTTATTAACCTATCACATGGGCTCTTTATACAATGATGTTATCTTAGTTAGATTGACCCTCATGCTGAACAGAGGTAAAATACAGTTACATACTTATGGCTTTATATGTTTGTTTGTCAAACCTGGGGTATTTTTACAGTGTTCGTTATTTTTTCCAAATGGGCTTTTTTTCTTTTTTCATCTCTTTCTCTCTCTGTCTCTCTCTCTTTTTTTTTTTTTTTTTGGTAGAGATGGGGTCTCATTATGTTGCCCAGACTAGTCTTGAACTCCTGGCCTCAAATGACCCACCTCAGTCTCCCAAAGTGTTGGATTACAGGCATGAGCCACTGTGTCTGGCCTTATTATTATTATTATTATTATTTTTTTTTTTGATAGTTCAATAGTTACTAATTCTTTTTGTATTTAGGCAGATTGAATTGGTAACACAATAGAGTTCTTAAATACTTCTTTGAAAGAGACTGATTCTAGAATAAATATTCTAAGCCCATCTTCTCATAAGTTTTGCTTCATTTTTCTAAACTTCAGAAATAATGCTTAATAGAAAAGCCATTTTTTTAATAGAAAAGCATTTTTATTATTTGATGTTGCTGACATTTGCAAATATGTTTTGAAATATATTTTTGGCTTTTGAATTTTCCCTTGAGAATTGTGTAGAGAAGAATATACAAATCAAAGAGGATTTAATATATTATTCATTGCATATCTTTCCTTCTGAGATTTTGTTTGTTTTAAATCTTTGGAAAGTATGTTACTCATTTCAGTATTTCCACTGACTTTCACTGGTAGATGGTTCTTACTAAATTAATTTCCTGCCATACTATGTTAAAAATTTTATTCTCAATAGATATTAGCCCCATATTGTTTTAACCACCATTGCTTTATGTTACTAATCTTTTTGATGGTCCTGGAAAGAACTGATTTTAATTTCTATTTATTAATGAATTTTTGTTTTTACAGTTTTAACTCATGTTACCTAATCATAGCATAAGAGGACTGTTGCACAGTGCTCCTGCATAGAGTACAGCAACAGTGGCTCCATGCATGTTACCTGCTGATGGGATGGATGCTAGCTGAGTGTTTGAGTAGACTAATCATGATAGATATATTTCCTGTTGTGTGCCAGACACTGTTTAGGAACTGATGATACAGAAATATGCCTTCAGGTACCTGACACCCTCGTGGGGAAGCAGACAGCCATCAATTGTGTGATGTAATGTGTCACTGTCACGAAAAAAAGAAGACTGGGAAAGGGGACAGAGGATGAGGGAGTTGCTAGTTCATATGTCAGTCATTGGGAAATGTCCCTGATTAGGTAATGTTAGATCAGAAATTTGAAGACATCATTTTAAGATCTGAGGCAAAAATGTTACCATCAGTAGGAAGAAAGTGCAGGTTGCCTGAGTGCTTGAAGGATGGAAAGAAAATTAGCATGGCAAGAGTGGAATAAGATGAAGATAAAGTCAGAAGAACAGGGGCCTAAAGCTTGGGTTTTATTTGGAAAGCCATGGGAAACCACGAGAGGGTTCTGAGCAGGTGGGTGATACGTTCTGATTTGTTTGAGAAGACCCTTTGGCTGCTGGGTGGGCCTGGGCAGCATGAGAGTAGAGGCAGGAGACCAGCCTGGAGGCTGTTGCAGTACCCAGGTAGGAAATGGAGTCCTCTCTTTACAGGTACTGCCTGTGGGTGATCTACTATTATTTTGGAAGAAATACAACATAGGATGGTGATCTGATTGTGTTAGCTAGAGTTGACCCTCAACTGGACTGTTTGGGATCATTTTAGGTGGGCCTGAGGGCCACATCAGCTGGCATCTGTAGTTGTGTGCTCTGACTCACTGAACCTTAGCAGTGTCAGTCATTTCAGTTATTGTTTGGGGGCAGATCTACTTTTCTGTCATCATCTTAGTTGTTTCAATCCCTATTGTCCATTCATTCATTCATTCATTCATTCATTCATTAAAAAATGGGAAATACATCTCATTATGTGGCAGGCACGGTTGTCAGTCCTAGGGATGAGATAGAAAGGGTCCTTGTTCTTAAGGAACCTGCATGGACAAGCAGCGTTTCATGTGCCGTGGAGAGATACAAAAACAGATAAATTTAAGTCTTGGTCTCCCTCAAGTGAGGAAATTTTAGTTGTTCACAAATAATACCTGTTAAATATATTTGAGTAAATAATTTCTTATGTTTATTTCAAACAATTCTTTTTCTCCAAAAGAGCATAAATGGTATTTTGTGTAATGAGAGCTTATAGCTATTTCTGAATTATGAGGAGAACATAACCTATTTTTAAGCAGTGTTTTTCATTTTTTTTTGCATTATTGTTGCAGCTATATCAGGACTATAGTAGTTTATAATCATACATTTATTTAATAATGAAATTGTCTGTCTCTCCCACTAGACTGTCAGTTCCATGACGGAGGGAACCCATTTGTTTTTGCTCACCATTGTATTCCCAGCACATAATCCAGTTCCTGGCACATAGTAGGTGCTTACTAAATATTTATTGAATGAGTGAATGAATGAATGAAATTGTTTAACTTCCAAAGCAAGTTTGAAGTCCACCTTTCCCATCATGCTACTTAGCAAAGAAGAAAGCAAACCATAAGAAAACCAGGGTTTTAAAAATTAAATATAATACAGTTCACAGGGATTGTCCTGAGGTCATTCATCAGTGTTATTTTGATGTTTATACAGTCCTGGTTGACGCTTTTAAAACTATAATGGCTGCTTTCACATACAGCAAAATTCTGGCATATTCAGTATACTCTAAGGAAAATGGACTACAAATAATCTTAGAAATATTTCAACAAAAGTTTAAAGATTATTTTTTTGGTTTACTTTGCCTCTCATTTCCAGAGCATTCAAGTCATTGGAGGTATTTTTGTGAATATGAAATCATTGCTCTGTGTTAAAAGAGCATCCAGAAAAAGATGTACATTTTTAAAAAGCAAAAACATTTGCACATTTTTGCTTAAAAAGTAATTATTTTGAAAAACATGTATATGCTAAAATTCTTTTCAACAGGGAGAAATTAGGCTACTTCAGATTGTGGCATCAAGCCAATATGTAGTTAGCCGCTGTAGGGAATTATTCATCTCTAACCTTAACTAGGTCCTCAGCAGTGTTTATAAAATCTTTTTACTAGTTCTCCCTGATTATTCTTCTTTTTAGATTCCTCTAGGACTTTTCCAGTTGGTTTCCAACTTTTCTTCAGCCCCTCAACTCAACTTTAGCATAATTATCTTCCACTCCTTGCCTTAGTGGACCTGTTTGAGGTGGGTGGTTCCAGATTTGTGACCCGGAAATGGGTGGGTGAGTGAGAGATAAAGGTTCTTGAATTGTACGGGATTGAGGTGCATGCACGTCAGGAAGCTGCCTAGACACTGACATGTCAAGGTTGGTGCAGGAGGCAAAGTGGAGAGAGAAACTGAATCAGGCCATCAGTGGATGAGGAGGAGGGAGATGACCTCAGAGAGAGGAGGGTTGAGGGTCATAGTATGGCTGTATCTTGGGCACTTTTGTGATTGAGAGCAAGTAGCAGTAGGAAACTAGAAAATGCCAAAGGTTGATAAGGCGAGGGAGTTTGTTTAGAACAGAATGGAGGACCTAGAATGAGCAACTTAGAAAGGGTTGGGAACAAAGAAAATCCCAAGGATGAGAAAGGAAATAAGGTGCAATAAGCAAATGAGAGTAGTAGAGGATAGGAGATTGAGGCTGAGAGGGGAAATGGTTATTATTTTCAGGGACGGAGGATTATTGCATTGAAGGGCAAGGTTAGATAATTTGCTTCAGTTAGCTTAGCTGTGGTCTAGACTTTTCCAATTGGTGGAACCACGCAAGGTTCTATGCATGACTTGGCCCGGCCTCGGAGGGATGGAGTGGACTGCTGAGAAGATTTTTGAGTTGCAGGCTGTCTCAGTGTTGAGAGAGGTTGCATAGACTTCTACTCTGAGCAGGGAGAGGGGAATGGTGTCCCAGTGCTTTAGATCTACTATCTCTTGTGGACAAAAACCCACACACAGTGTACCAAATTCAAGATTAGTTGTTAAGTCCATGTAGGCTAGTACGGAGCTCTTAGAACTCATGACTTTTATTGTTTTTAAACATAACATGGGGATTTTGCTAAAGGCTAATGGGTCCCTCAGGCTAAACTTACAGCAGAGAAGTGAACTGTGGCTTCAGTTGCATTCTTAATATTATTGTATTTGATTTGAGACCCAAATTTGTGGAATGGATTTGGATATATGAAAATAACTAAATAATGAACGTGAAAAAAAATTATTGTGAATTTTACCATGTAATGCAAGAGATATCAGGGAAAATTCCTAGGGAGAAAGATTCAGGGTCTATAAATTAAACTTGTCTATTTGCAGTGTGAAACTGAAGGAAAGGAGACTTAGTGGGTTAAGTGAAGGGAGGTGACTTGAACTAGGTAGATTTAAATGGAAATGGAACAGACTAGACATGCAGGAAATGAACTTTAAAAATTGAAAGGGTTTGGGAAGTAATTGTTTATGAAGAATATGCAATAGACAGGCAGATTGCTTGAGCCTAGGAGTTCAAGATCAGCCTGGACAACATAGCGAGACCCCCATCTCTTAAAAAAATAAAGGAATGTGTAACAGGCAGTGACAGGGAGCGAGGAAGTGGACTTTTTGTATGGAAAGCTCTATGTTATTTTTAAGCATGCAAATAATACATGCATACATTCTTACAATAACATTTCAGTACCAAACAAACCTAGAAGTTTCCCTGAGTGCTCTCTGCTTCCTCCCCAGCTCCTCAATCTCGTCTTCCTTTGAAATACCTTGATGCTACCAAAAACCCTTTTCTATGCACTTAAATATATATGTCCAAATAGGAAGCCACAGTTACATTTTATGGGAACTATTTTTAGTGGAGATGGGGTTTCACCATGTTGGTCAGGCTGGTCTTGAACTCCTGACCTCAGGTGATCTGCCCCCCTCAGACTCACAAAGTGCTGGGATTACAGACATGAGCCACTGCTTCCAGCCGGTTGTTTGTTTTTCATGAGTGGGATCCACATGTGTTCAGCATCCTTGTTTCACTTTCTGTTTTGGAAGTTTTGCCATGTTAATTCAATGGAACTGTTTCCATTTTAACCGTTGCCCAGCATTCCCTAACAAAATTATAGCATAATTTAAATAAATCATTCTCCTGTTGATAAACATTTAGGATATTTTCAGACTTCTGCTGTTATAAATAAGCAGCCGTATTTATGCTTGTTTTGGTACATGCACAGATACTTACCTGGCATCGATACCTGGGAGAACTAGGTTGCATTATTTTAAATCTGTTACCAAAATTGCCTTTACAACGTGCCATACCAGTTTATACTCCCAGCAGCAACAGTTGAGAATGTCCATTTCTCCATACTCAAGCTAACACTGGATGGAAACTAAGTCAATTTTTATTTTGCCAAAGTGATGGGCAAAATGATATTTTGTCATTGTTTTAATTGTTATTTCCCAGTCCCTTGTCATGTATTATTTAGGCATTTGTATTTCTACTCTGAATTGGCTATTTTCCTTTGCCAGTTTTTAAAATTTTTTTTCTTGTTTTGTAAAGGGTTTTTTTTTAAATATTCTGTATATTAAACCTTTACATAGTCTGGATATTAATATGCAAATAATTATCCTTGTTCGTCACTTGTCTTCATTTATGTTGACTTTGCCATACAGAAGTTCATAGTTTTTACATAGTCAGTCTTTGATGTGTTTTGTATTCTGTTCAGTAGCAACAACAATTATATAGGTTGAGCATCCGTAATCCAGAAATCTGAAACTTTTTGAGCTGCATGATGCCACATGGGGTGGCTGAGGTAGTAACAACTTTACTTTCTGATGGTTCAGTGTACACAAATTTACTTCCCTGCACAAAGTTTTTAAAAATACTATATGAAGTTGCACTCCATCCTGGGCAACAAGAGCAAAACTCCATCTCAAAAAAAAAAAAAAAAAAGTACTATATAAAGTTACCTCCAGGCTATAAGGTGTATATGAAACAAATGAATTTCATGTTTAGATTTGAGTCACATCCCCAAAATATCTCATTATGTGTATGAAAATATTCTCAAATCTGAAGCAGTCTGAAGTCCCAACCACTGCTGGTCCCAAGCATTTTAGATAAAGGATATTCAACATGTAGTGATATTGCCAATATTGTTACTGTGGTTGTTGTTGAACAGAATACAAAACCTATTGTTGTATTCTAAGCACTTTTAATCTTCCTCCCAGCCTTGTGAGGTACAGGTACTGCTGTGAGCCCCATTTTTCAGATGAGGAATTATGGAACAGGGAGCTTGAATAAGTTGCCTATGCCACGCGTGCAGTTAGAAGTAGAACCATAGCACCAACCCAGACAGCCTTGCTCTAGCAGCTGTGCCCTCCTACCCCCATAAAAAGCTTCACTCATTCCCTTTCTGTTTTTACAATGACTTTGCAAAGAAAGATGGTATTCTGTTTTGTTGTTGTTGTTTTTGAGATGGAGTTTTGCTCTTGTTGCCCAGGCTGGAGTGCAATGGCGCAATCTCGGCTCACTGCAACCTCTACCTCCCGGGTTCAAGCGATTCTTCTGCCTCAGCTTCCCAAGTAGCTGGGATTACAGGCATGTGCCACCATGCCCAGTGAATTTTTTGTATTTAGTAGAGACGGACTTTCACCATGTTGGCCAGGCTGGTCTCAAACTCTTTACCTCAGGTGATCCACCTGCCTTGGCCTCCCAGAGTGCTGGATTATAGGCATGAGCCACTGCGCTTGGCCTGCTTTTTTTTTTTTTTTAAACTTACTATGGGATTGAACATTTTCTCATGTTTTTTAGCCTTTTGATTGTTTTTTTCTTATAAATTGATTGCCATTTATAAGATTGTCCAGTTTGGTTTTCTTTTATATGAGATTTGCTTTTATATGTTGAAAATGTTAATAATTTTCAGGTTTCACTTTTTTTAAAACTTTTTTAAAGATTTCTAATACATAGAACTTAATTTTATGTAGTCATATCTGTATCTCTTCTAAAATGTAATTGTTAATTTGTTTTATCTTAGACTTTCCCTAAATTTTTTTCTAAATTTGTATGCATTCATTTTTAAAATGTAAAATCTTTCTGGAACTTATTAAATGTACATTGAGGATCTAAAAATAAAATGTCCTAAATAGGTAATTTTTCTCAATGCATTTTATTGACCAATTCATGTATGTTCTTGTGTGTGGGCTTATACTGGGCATTACTTTGTGTGTGGCATGGTGGAGTCAGGCTGCCCAGTTTGAATCCTGGCTCTGCCATTTCTTGGCAGTGTGACTGTACTCTGTCTCGTCCCATTTTCATGTTTACAAATAAAGTTAATAACAATATTACATGGTTGTTGGGGATCAAATGAGATACTGCCTCTAAAGTCCTTACTGTTCTATGGTAGAGTTGTATATTGCCAAGCACAGGGTAAAGCACGCTTGATGTTAGCACCACCAATATTTCAGTTATATTTACTCATTTGTGTAACTGCAGGGAACGTTTTGTGGAATTATAAAGTCTCACATTTGGAAGGGACTTGAGATTATCTGGATTATATAGATAATTCTTGATAACATGATTCTTAAACCTGACTCTACATCAGAGTTAGTTGGAGGAGCTTTGAAAAGCCCCACGTTCTGGGCTTACCCCTTATCAACTAAATCAGAATCCCTGGGATGTATGGTTCAGTAATTTATTTTTGATAAACTTTGTGGGTCTAAAGCAGTTGGCTTGGCATTGGCAAATGGTTGTCCAACTTCTGCTTTAAAGCTTGCCAAGTTGAAATATTTGTGAAATAATAAGTCAGGTAAGCTAATAAGCAATTTCTTCTTAAATTCTCAGTATCTGTTATGCCAATATATAAGGATAGGTTTTGCCCTTTTCTCAGGATCAATTAGTAGTATTTTTAAACAAGATTTTAATTAATTTTACATTTTCCCCAAATACAGATAAAAGTTTTAGATGCGAAAGTTATTTGTTATACATTACAAAAACATTGTGCATTTATATTTTAGTTCTGATCCAATACTAGATATTCTTTTATAAATTGGTTTTTTATGAAGTTATGAATTCTGAAATAATTCTCTAATATAATGTTTTTATTTTCAGAGCTTTTTGACAACTACATGCAACAAGATGCCCATGAATTCTTAAATTACCTACTAAATACAATTGCTGATATTTTACAAGAAGAGAGAAAGCAGGAAAAACAAAATGGTCGTTTACCTAATGGTAATATTGATAATGAAAATAATAACAGCACACCAGACCCAACGTGGGTTCATGAGATTTTTCAGGGAACATTAACTAATGAAACCAGATGTCTTACTTGTGAAACTGTAAGTATATCATACAATTTTGTATAGAGAAAAATTGAATTACTATGTTAAAGGTTGTTCTTTGAGAAAGACAGAATGGAAGATGAACTTGAAAGTTGTAATTCTTAGGTATAGGAGTTAAAGATGTATTTTTCAGTTAAAAGGAATCTGTCTGTATTCTTAATGTAATGTTGCTTATTGACAATGAATACCTGAGGTGATAGAAAGATACTTACTGTAGCTTGAACTGTTTGATTTTCTTTCAGTTTAGGAGGCCATAGAACCATGTTGTGGAAATTATGTCTTATGACATAATCTCATAGGATCATACAGATCAGGGAGGCATATTAATTCGTTTTTCCTTTTTCTACGATTACCTTTAGTATCCATTGTTGGGATAAAAACTAAAGCATACAGTGTACCCTCAAGGAGGGGAAAAAATCCCACTTGCTGGACACTTTGTAAAGATGAAGCTTGAAAATTGTTACACCCAGGCTGGAGTGCAGTGGCCCAATCTCAGCTCACTGTAGCCTCGACTTCCTGGGCTCAAGCAATCCTTCCATCTAAGCCTCATAAGTAGCAAGGACCACGAGCACGTGCCACCACACCCAGCTAATTTTTAAATTTTTATTTTTTGTAGAGACAGGGGTCTTACTGTGTTGCTCAGGCTGGTCTTGAACTCCTGGGCTCAAGCAGTCTTTCCACCTTGGCCTCTCAAAGTTCTGGGATTACAGGTGTGAGCCATTATGCCCGGCCAGTCATGTTCTTTATAGCATTTTCCCTATTCAGTACAGAATCCAATTTAGAGGGGGACATTGCATTTAGTTGTTTCTTTAGCCTTCTTTAACCTGAAACATTTACATGGTCTTTTTTTTTTTGAGAATATGCCTCCCTCACCTTTTTAAAATCAGATGTTCTCATATTTAGTTTCTCTGATGTTTCTTCCTAACTAGATGCAGGTTATGCATTCATGGCTAATAATAATATATCATTCATGTTGTGTTTTTCTCGGGGCATCACGTCTGTAGGCACACAATATCCATCTGCCTCTCATTGGTGAAATTAATTTTTGATCACCCAGTCAAGGTGGTGGTGTTTCTCCATTTGATTTATTTATTTGGAGACAGGTTCTTGCTCTGTCGCCCAGGCTTTAGTGCAGTGACACTGTTATAGATCATTATAGCCCCAAGACTCCTGGGCTCAAGTGATCCTCCTGCCTCAGCCTTCTGAGTAACTAGGACTACAGTGCATGCCATCACCCCCAGCTAGTTTTTAAACTTTTTTGAGACAGAGTCTTGCTGTGTTACCCAGGCTGGTCTTGAACTCCTGCCCTCAAGTAACCCACCTGCCTCAGCCTCCCAGAGTGTTGGGATTACAGACATGATCCACCGTGCTGGGCCAGTTTCTCCACTTTATGATGACTTTTTTTTTTTTTTTTAAATCCCCTTGCAATTAGTAGGCAGTCTGTGGGGAGACACAAATACCTCCCTCCTCATCAAAATCTCACCCAAGATTTAGCATGCATTTATGATTTTGCCTGATCTCATCTTTACTGTGACAGTTGTGCTGCTAGTTTTTAATAACATTGGAAAATAGGGTCCACAAGCAAGAAAGCTAAGAGTCCTGTAAAGTCTCCATAGTTTTGCCTTTTCCAGAATATTGTGTAGTTGAAATCATATAGTATGCAGCCTGTTTGGATTAGCTTCTTCCACTTAGCAATATGCATTTAAGGTTCTTCCATGTCTTTTTAAGGCTTGATAACTTATTTCCTTTATTTTTGGCTGAGCAACATTTCCACTGTAAGGATGTGCTGCAGTTTTTAAAGTTCATTCACTTACTGAAGGACGTCTTGGTTGCTTCCAAGTTTTGCCAATTATGAATAAAGCTGCTATAAACATTTGTGTGCAGGTTTTTGTGTGGATGTGAGTTTTTACTTCCTTTGTGTAAATATCAAGGAGCAGGATCACTGGATTGTATGGTAAGAGTATACTTAGTTTGATAAGAAACCAACATTCTGTCTTCCACAGTGGCTGTACGATTTTTCCTTCTTACCAGCAGTGAATGAGAGTTCTTGTTTCTCCACATCCTTGCTGACATTTGGTGTTGTCAGTTGGATTTTGGCCATTCTAATAAGTGTGTAGTGTTATCTCATGTTAATTTGCAAGGCCCTAATGACATATGATGTTGATCATCTTTTTGTCTGCTTATTTATCATCTATATCTCTTTAGTGATGTGTCCAGATCTTTTGTCCATTTTTTAATCAGGCTGTTTTTCTTTGAGTATTGTCGAATTTTAAGTGGGTTTTTTTTTTCGGGTATAATTTTGGCTACTAGTTCATAATCAGGTGGGTCTTTGGCAAATATTTTCTCCCAGTCCGTGACTTGTTTTTCATTCTTTTAACACTGTTTTTGGCAGAGTGGAAGTTTTTTTTTTTTGAGATGGAGTTTCGCTCTCGTTGCCCAGGCTGGAGCGCAGTGGCTCACCGCAACCTCTGCCTCCTGGGTTCAAGTGGTTCTCTTGTGTCAGCCTCCCTAGTAGCCAGGATTACAGGCACGCGCCACCACGCCCGGCTAATTTTGTAATTTTAATAGAGACAGGGTTTCTCCATGTTGGTCAGGCTGGTCTTGAACTCCCGACCTCAAGTGATCCACCCACCTTGGCCTCCTAAAGTGCTGGAATTACAGGCGTGAGCCACCGGGCCTGGCTGGCAGAGCAGAAGTTTTTAATGTTTTAATTATCAGTTTTTAATTTTAATAAAGTCCAACTTTTTCTTTCATGCATTATACTTTTGGTGTTGTATCTAAAAAGTCATCCATAAACTAAAGGTCCCTTAGAATTTCTCCTATGTTATCTAGGAATTATATAGTTTTTCATTTTATATTTAAGTCTATGATCCTTTTTGAGTTAATTTCTGTATAAGGTATTAGAAAGTTTATTCTGGGTTAATTTTTTTGCATGTGGATGTCCATCTGCTCCAGCATCATTTGTTTAAAAGACAATTCTTTCTCTGTTGAATTGCCTTTGCTCCTTTGTCAAAGATGAGTTGACTCTTATTTGTGTGAGTGTATTTCTGGTCACTGTCTTCTGTCCTGTTGGTCCGTATATCTGTTCTTTCCCCACTACCACACTGTCTTGATTACCGTAGCTTTAGAGTAAGTCTTAAAGTCAGGTAGTCTCAGTCCTCTGACTTTGTTCTTCTTCAATATTTTGTTGGCTATTCTGGGTCTTTTGCCTCTCCATGTAAACTTTAGAATCAAGTTCGTCGATATCCACAAAATAACTTGCTGGGATTTTGATAAGGATTTTGCTGAACCTATAGATGAAGTTGGGAAAAAAATGATATCTTGACAAAGTTGAGTCTTCTTATCTAAGTACATGCACTGTCTCCCCTTATTTACCACTTTTTTTGCTATCTTTCATTGGAGTTTGGTAGTTCTTCCTCATATCAATACCATGCGTGTTTTGTTAGATTTATATTTAAGTATTCATTTTGGGGGGTGCTAAGCACCAACTATGCCAGGTAGAAGATGGTAGAAGATGAGTAAGACATAAGCCTCTGATCACAAGATACTCCTATGGTAATGAAGACTGGCAAAGCAGTGTTCAGGCAGTTCCAGTACAGTGTGTTATCGTATGTGTATGCACAGGATGCCATGCCAGCCAGAGAATAGTAGACCTAACCCAGGTGGGAGTGGGAAGGATTTGGACAGGTAAAGGACCAGCTTCCTGGAGGAGCTCATGCTTGTATTTTAGAAATGCAATTGGTAATGTCTCAGGTGGTAGGAAGCTGGTGTCTATAACACCCTTTTCTGGTGTTCTCTATGAGGGTTCCTTTTCAGTCTCATTCCTTGGCTTCTCTTTTTCCATTCTTTAAATGTGGGTGTTCCCCAGGGTTTCATTGTCGGTTGCTTCTCACTCTGAATTGGGAGGATCATGATCATGTTCCATTTTATTATCACATGTGCTGATGAGTCTCAACTCCAGATCTCCACCCTAGACTTCTTCCCTGAGTTTTAGACTGGGATCTCCCCATATTGTGCATGACATGACATTAGGACATATTAGTCCAATAGCAGCCAGATGTCTTTACAACCACTTTGAAAAGTGGAATACTGTCCTACTTGATGACCGCTTGGCACCAACTCAATCGCAAATATAAACGTAGTAACTCATGCACCCAGGTGAT
The DNA here is from genome assembly GCF_000001405.40 of Homo sapiens. Lineage (NCBI taxonomy): Eukaryota > Metazoa > Chordata > Mammalia > Primates > Hominidae > Homo > Homo sapiens. Next base: position 27,091,434 of record NC_000013.11, on the reverse strand, counting down.
CTAGAGCATCCTTGTGTCTAGGTTTTTACATGATCATAAAAGGAACATTTCAAATGAAGACCCCTGAGGCAGTGTCTGAGGACTTCATTTTGAGGAATACAAAATTGATTTTGAGAAACACCAGACTGTGTAACTTTTACTTCTCTGTAGCTTACATGTAAATTCCGGCCTGATCTGGCTAGCCTACCTCTGCCATACTATCTCTTGTCACCCTACCCACTTTTCTACAAAATTGATGTGTTTTCCTTAAACATATCATGTCCTCTTTTTTTCTCTCTGAGTTGTCTGTGTTCCCTCTTCTTTTTCACCAGACTTTTTGAGACTCAGGTCAGTTATCTTGTAGTGTTGCTGTATCTTCCATCGTACAGTGGAATGGCATCTTACAGAAGGGGTTTCGGTCCTATGGTTAGCTTAATGTTGAAGTCAGGGAAAGTCAAAATCACCATTGGAACTCCCTTCAACTGTCTATAAAATACACTATGCACAGTACCTTGGTTTACGTATATTTGCATAAATACATACTTTGTATAGTCACATGTTGTATGACAACTTACTGAGTTGTTCGATGAACAACTCTATGTGCTAATAATAATTTTGATGTATTAAAATGGGAAAGCATTTGCTTAACTGAGTGGAGAGGCACAGGTTGCTGAGTCAGACGTATCTCCTGTTGCACACGTACCTTCAGGATGGACTTGCTGAAGGAAATAGCTAGGAAGATTTATGTCTAAAGTTCTGTCCTATTCCAGTTCACATGAGCAAGTGATAACTTTATAAGAAGATTATTTACCCATAAATCAAACAAAACTTTATATTAAATTTTTAGGAGAAATAAAGTCAGTCACAAATGAAGAATGTAATTTAACATTTTGGGCTAAATTTTTTTTTTAATGACAATACAGATATCCTGTCCTGTGTGAAGCATTTTTATTCAGTCTTGGCCTATGTTTTTTTAAGAATCAGTGTATATGGTACAGTTTATTTCATGCTTTAAAATAACACAAAGACTTTGGAAAGTCATGAACTCTCACATCATACTAGCCTTTGCCAGTGAGAGTCAGTCAAAAGTGTACTTTGGTGTTTTATTTATACATCTGGTAGGGGTTATTTATTCAGTGTCCTTTTGGATAATCCAAATTAAGTAGTTCTCTTTTGAACTTGAGGGAAAAGAATTGTTTACTTACTGATAATAATAGAATGGCATTTAATTCTGTTAATTGGGAACTGTGGTTTACTAGTATTTGAAAAAATCAAAGACAATTCACTGTTTTTACAGATAAGCAGCAAAGATGAAGATTTTTTAGACCTTTCTGTTGACGTGGAACAAAATACATCAATTACTCACTGCTTAAGGTATATGTAGAATTATTTAGTTTGAAATTTAATAATTATTTTTAGTCTGGAATATTTTTTAAGATACATGATTTCCTGGTATCTACAAAATAAATTTGTTTTGAATTTCACACAGGGGTTTCAGCAACACAGAAACTCTGTGCAGTGAATACAAGTATTACTGTGAAGAGTGTCGCAGCAAACAGGAAGCACACAAACGGTAATTTTAGAGCTTTATGGATTTTTAAGTGATTTTATTTTTTGTAATTGATGTTGGAGGTGGGCTTAGAAAAACAATCTAGGAAAATTTACATTGAGTAAAAATTCTTAATTCTATCACTAACAGTTAATGTTCATTAAGTATTACTAGGTAAATGATATTCTACTCAATGTTTATTTTACAAAAACTGTGTACCCTGAAGTGATTTCCTATGTCTAGCGATTATTTAATCATCATAAACCAGTACAGTTAAAATATTTGGCTTTGAGGCTTTCCTGATGATGTAAACTTTTTTCTTGGTGAAGAGGGTTGAGGGAGATAGCACTCCCCATTGCCCATCCCCCACACCCCCAGTTTCTGCTTTTCCTACATAGGATGTTGTACATTCTCTTAGCATGTTATTGTAAGACTGGTTTGGTATCAATAAATGGAATAATAAACATCATCATCATCGTTACTTCTTATTTTGAAACAGTCTCAAACTCAGAAAAGTTGCATGAATAGACCAAGAAAGCTTTTTTACCCTAAACCATTTGAAAATAAGTTACTGATATGTACCTCATGGCCCCGGCACTTTAATAGGTATTTCCCAGCAACAGGGACGTTTTCCTATGTGTGCACATCCATCCAAATCCAGAAAGTAACACTGACATGCTACTGTTACTGCAAACCTTATTTTGGTATCACAGGATGTACCGGTAATGTCCTTTATAGAAGAAGGATTCTGTCCAGAATCCCACATTACATTTAGCATTCGGTCTCTTTAGTCTTTTTCAATTTGGAAAAGATTCTCAGTCCTTTCTTGACATTAATGATTCTTGACTTTTGATAATCATAAGTTAGTTATTTTGTAGAATGTCCCTTATTGGAGTTTGTCTCGTTTTCCTGTGATTAGATTCAGGTTATGTATCTTGGACAGGAATCTTACAGTGTTTTTCTCATCATGTCCTGTTAAGTAGCATATGTGACTTGATTTGTGCCATGTGTTGGAGTATCCCCAAGATCACTTCTAGGACAGGTGATTTCCTAGAAGGACTCACAGTGCTCAACATCCAAGCGTGCTCACAGCTAAGATTTATTACAGGGACGGGATACAAAACACAGTCAGCAAAGAGAAAGCCAGGCAAGCACCCAGAAGTCAGTGCCCCAGTGGAGTCACAAAAGACTATTAATTCTTCCCACATTGAATTGTGACAACACAGGAAGCTCATTACAGACTGAGTGCCCTGAGTTTTTATTTGGGGCTAGTCATGTAGGTACCCTCTGCCTACCATGCCCCCAAATTCCAGACTCCCAGAAAGAAAGCAAGAGTTCAGCATAAACTGTCTTGTTTGTTCAAACAATTTAGGCACAGCGAGACACTTATTATTTGGCAAATGGTGGGAACATGTCCAAAATCCAAGTTTCCAGATGCTAAAAAGGACCATCCATGCAAGCACGCCATTTTTTTTTTTTTTTTTTTTTTTGAGACGGAGTCTCGCTCTGTCGCCCAGGCTGGAGTGCAGTGGTGCGATCTCGGCTCACTGCAAGCTCCGCCTTCCCGGATTCACGCCATTCTCCTGCCTCAGCCTCCCGAGTAGCTGGGACTACAGGCGCCCGCCACCACGCCCGGCTAATTTTTTGTATTTTTAGTAGAGACGGGGTTTCACTGTGTTGGGATGGTCTTGATCTCCTGACATCGTGATCCGCCTGCCTCGGCCTCCCAGAGAGCTGGGATTACAGGCGTGAGCCACTGCGCCCGGCCGCAAGCAGGCCTTTCTAAGGATAGTTTGAGGCCATGTGAATCCTTTTCTGAACCTCCCATTACTGTTCTTGGCTGTTATTGAACATTTGAGTGAATGTTCCCCAGATGTTTTACAGAGTTCTTCACTTAATCTTTATTTTTTCTCATTGTAATTTAGAAGTATTTTATGTGGAAGCATTTTGAGATTGTAAATATTTCATTCTTCATTGAACTTTCATTTTATTCACTTTTAAAATCTTACAGTGGACCCAAAGGTTCCTGTTTTATTCAGTGGATTGTTATCCATTAGCATTCTTACTTCCATGCTCACATTATCTCCAGTCTGGCCAGGGGGAGTTCCTCCAAGCTGGCTCCTCTCTTCTTGATGTGCCCAGTCATTCTCCAGTATTTCTTTCCTTTCTGACTCAAGCTGTTCAGGCTCATTTTGCTCTTTCTTTGCCCCTACTCTGGAACAAGCCATTTCTCCAAGGAGCCCTGGTTTCTCTTAGGGGAAAACAATAAACTAGGACCTTGTACAGTTGTGCTCGTTGCTATTGGGATGTCATTGTTCCTGAGCCCGCTTAGTGAGCAGAGCTAGAGGATAGATGAGTATTTATAAATACACACACACTTTTCACATCTGCATTTATTTCTCTTCTACGTCTATTGATCTCTTTATCTGTACTGAAAACCGTGAATACACAGTGATAATCTTGTAGCCACCACCACAGTATTTGTAATTCCTTTTTCTGACAGTACAGTTGGCTGCTATTATCCTTACTAGATTTACTTATTTGGTCATTGCACCTTTAGGTAACCCAGCTTATTCTCTCTGCCTTCCTGCCCCCGCTCCCTGCATGCACACGAGCGTGCGCGCACACACACACACACACACACACACACACACATCCCTCCCCACTATATTTACTTATTTGGTCGGTGCACCTTTTGTTAACCCAGCTTATTCTCTCTGCCTTCCTGCCCCCGCTCCCTGTATGCACACACATGCATAAACACACACACACTCTCACACACGCACACACACACACACACACACACAGCCCCTTCCCCTCTGCTTTGACTTCCCCCTCTCCTGCCTGTACAGATGTCTGTGTTATTTGGCCCCATCAAATAGTTGAATTGAGTTGTTCATTAAGGGAGGGGAAGAGCTCAGATTTTTAAGTGATTATATTTTTGTTTTGGACACAGACATTTCCTAGGAAGGAAAGTGTTTTTGGTAATGGACCACGGAATCAAAACAGATTACTCACTGTTTCTGTCCATTAGTGCATATGATGGGGAGCACCTCAAAGAAGTTTAGTCAGAGGGATAGGGGCTAAAGCATTACATTCATCCTGAAAATGCCTTAGAAAGTACCTAAGACCGTTGGATAAGTAAGAGTCAGGGACTAAATGTAGCTAAGAGAAATACAACTTTCAGACTTTACTGACTATATGGAGGAAGGCCCATCTGTGAGCAAAAGCCACCCTTTCCCTAGAATGATGGTTATACAAGTAATCACATGTGAGTAATTGAGAATTGTCTGTAAAATCGAGCTCTTTGTTTTAAAGACATGAAATTTTAATGTATTAGAAAATACATGAAGAATGTATATTCTTTGTAATTAAATTAGAAAATACGGATAAATGTAAATCGAGAATCACTATAAAAGCTATAAAATGTTAACATTTTTGTGTATATCTTAGATTTTTAAAGTGTGTATGTATATACACACATAGTCCCTAAAATGCTATCAAACTTTATGTACAAGTTCGAAACTTTTTCACTTAAAAAATTGCAACCATGTTAATGAAAAAATATTTTTATATCCTTCTTAGGAGGTGCTGCATTGTGTGTGTGTGTGTGTGTGTGTGTGTAATTATATATATGTGTATGTATATGTATATGTGCATATATATAAAATATATGTATATGTGCGCATATATATATATATATATATATTTTTTTTTTTTTTTTTTTTTTTTAAAGAGACAAAAGATCTCTCTCTGTCACCCAGGCTGGAGTCCAGTGGTGCGATCTTAGCTCACTGTAGCCTCAGACTCCTGGGCTTAAATGATCCTCCTACCTCAGCCTTCTGTGTAGCTGGGACTACAGATGTGTGCCACCGTGCCTGAATAATTTATTGAATTTTATTTTTTATAGACGGGCTCTTGCTATGTTGCCTAGGCTCATCTAGATCTCCTGGCCTCAAGCAGTCCTCCTGCCTCAGCCTCTGGTGTAGCTGGAATTACAGGAGCTAGATACCACGCCTGCTGCATAGTATATTTTTTTTGTATGAACATACCATAGTACCATGTATCTACCAGTTGTCTAAATCCAACAATTTAGATTTTTTACACTGTTATAAACAGTGATTTGATGAACAGTTTTGTGTGTATATACACATATTCCCCACATATTTTTGGACACTTTGTAGGATAAATTATGCATAAGTTTCTGGAAAGACAACTTTACAGAAGTTACATATTTCTCATTAGGATCTAGTATCAACCTGTTAATTTATGGTGTGATATTGAGCAATTCATTTAATATTTTTGACCTTTACTTGGATGAATTCACTTCTGAAAGTTTATAGTTCTCCGTCTTGGAATAATAGGATAAGCTTGTGTTGAGTATACAGACCATAGTTCTTAGTAAAAAACCAAAAATCAATTTGACGGCCAGATGCGGTGGCTCACGCCTGTAATCCCAGCACTTTGGGAGGCCAAGGTGGGCAGATCACCTGAGGTCAGGAGTTCAAGACCAGCCTGGCCAATATGCTAAAACCCCGTCTCTACTGAAAATACAAAAATTAGCCAGGCGTGGTGGCACACATCTGTAATCCCAGCTACTCTGGAGGCTAAGGCAAGAGAATTGCTTGAACCTGGGAGGCAGGGAGGCAGAGGTTGCAGTGAGCTGAGATGGCGCCACTGCACTCCAGCCTGGGCAACAGAGCGAGACTCCATCTCAAAAAAAAAAGAAAGAAAGAAAGAAAGAAAAAAGAAAACATTCCATTTATAATACTATTAGAAACAATAAAATACTTAGGAATAAACTTACATGGCAGAAGACTTGTATATTGAAAATTATAAGATGTTACTGAAAGAAATTAAGACACAAATAAATAGAAACACATCCTGTATTCATGGATGGAAGACTTAATATTGTTAAAATGTCCATACTACCCAAAGCAACCTAGAGATTCAGTGCAGTCCCTATCAAAATTCCTATGGCATTTTCTGCAGAAATAGAAAAAAACATCCAAAAATCCACATGGAATCACAGAAGACCCTAAATAGTTGAATAATCTTGAGAGAAAAGAACAAAGCTGGAGGCATTAAACTTCTGATTTCAAAGTATATTACAAAGCTAAAGTAATTAAAATAGTATGGTACTGGCCTAAAGACATATATAGACCAGTGGAACAAAATGACCCAGAAATAAAACCATACATATACAGGCAACTGATCTTCATCAAGGGTGCTAAGAATGAATACATAGTGGGAAAAGGATAATGTCTTTAGCAAATGGTTTTGGGAAAACTGAATATCCACACGAAAAAGAATAAAGTTGAACCCTTACCTTATGTCATCTACAAAAAATTAGCTCAAAATGGATTTAAGACCTAAAACTATAGAACTCTTTTTTTTTTTTTTTTTTTTCATCTCACTGTCTCTCCAGGCTGGAGTGCAGTGGCATGATCTTGGCTCACTGCAACCTCCAGCTCCCGGGTTCAAGCGATTCTCCTGCCTCAGCCTCCTGAGTAGCTGGGACTACAGGTGTGCGCCACCATGCCCAGCTAATTTTTGTATTTTTAGTAGAGACGGGGTTACACCATGTTGGCCAGGATGGTCTCAATCTTTTGACCTTGTGATCTGCCTGCCTTGGCCTCCCAAAGTGCTGGGATTACAGGCATGAGCCACCACACCCAGACAGGAATTTGTGTGTGTGTGTGTGTGTGTGTGTGTGTGTGTGTGTGTGTGTGTGTGTATGCAAACATGGATTTATGAGTGACAGACTTCAAGTGCATATTTTTTTTGTAGTTAAAAAGATAACAAAATGTATAACCTAGTTTGAGACCAGCCTGGCCAACATGGTGAAACCCTGTCTCTACTAAAAATACAAAATTTAGCCAGGCATGGTGGCAGGCGCCTGTAATCTCAGCTACTTGGGAGGCTGAGGCAGGAGAATCACTTGAACCTGGGAGGCAGAGGTTGCAGTGAGCCGAGATTGCGCCATTGCACTCCAGCCTGGGTGACAAGAGTGAGACTTCATCTCAAAAAAATATATATATATATATATTCTCCCAAAAAGGTTCATCCCGAGAACACTGAAGAATAATTTTTGGGAATGTTAATGATGTGCCACAAAATTAGTATTTTATGATCAAATGAATTTGCTTTATAATATTTTATCTAAATATTCATGCTCCTGAAGACTCACAAAATAAAGGAAACTTTATCCAGCTTTTTCCAGAATTTACTTGCACATAGACTCCATTTATATAGCATGCCTATTGAACTCTGTAAATAGTGCAGTTCAGGAAAGATAGCAGTGTGGGAAATGTCACTCTAATGGTCATATACGTTTATCCCATGGGAGGTTAAAGCATATAGGTGAGAGGAGAGTGATCGCCCTGGGGAACTGTAATGAGAAAGGATTGATGGCTGTTTCAGTTGTTGTTTTCCTGTCCCTGGCTGCTGGCATGGGGGCAAGGGGGAGGCTGAGGCTCAGGTCTTAGAGAACAGAACATTGCATTTCACTTCACAGCACCTTGCAGACCCTGTGGTTTTTACAGATTGAAGGTTTGTGGCAACCCTCTGTTGAGCAAGTCTATCAGTGCCATTTTTCCAACAGCATGTGTGCACATTTCCTGTCTCTGTCACATTTTTGGTAATTCTTGCACTATTTCAAACTTTTTCATTATTATATTGTTACGGTGATACATGATCAGTTATCGTTGATGTTGCTATGGTAACTGTCTTGGGAGCACCATGAACTGCACCCATTTAAGATGATGAACTTAGCCAGGTGCAGTGACTCACACCTGTAATCCCAGCACTTTGGGAGGCCAAGGTGGGCAGATCACCTGAGGTCAGGAGTTTGAGACCAGCCTGACCAACATGGTGAAACCCCATCTCTACTAAAAATACAAAATTAGCTGGACGTGGTGGCGCATGCCTATAATCCCAGCAACTCGGGAGGCTGAGGCAGGAGCATCACTTGAACCTGGGAGGCGGAGGTTGCGGTGAGCCGAGATCACGCCATTGCACTCCAGCCTGGGCAACAAGAGTGAAACTCTGTCTCAAAAAGAAAAAGATGATGAACTTAAATGTTGTGCGTTCTGACTGCTCCACCCACCTGACGTTTTCCCCCTCCTACCTCTCTCTCAGGCCTCTTTATTCCCTAAGACACAACAATATTGAAATTAGGCCAATTAATAACCTTACAATGGCTTCTAAGGGTTCAAGTGAAAAGAAATATTTACATGTCTCTCACTTTAAGTGAAAAGCTAGAAATGATTAAGCTTAATGAATAGGGCACGTTGAAAGCCAAGATAGGCTGAAAGCTAGGCCTCTTGCACCAAACAGCCAAGTTAGGAGTGCAAAGAAAAAGTATTTGAAGAGAATTAAAAGAGCTACTCTAGTGAACCCACAAATGATAAGAAAGCAAAACAGCCTTATTGCCAAATGGAGAAGTTTGAGTGGCCTGGTTAGAAGATCAAACTAGCCACAACATTCCCTTAAGCCAAAGCCTAATCTAAAACCAGGGCCTGTCTTCAGTTCTATGAAGGCTGAGAGAGGTAAGGAAGCTGCAGAAGAAAATTTTGAAGCTAGCAGGGGTGGGTTCATGAGGTTTTAAGGAAAGAAGCTGTCTCCATGAGATAAAAGTACAAGGTGAAGCAGCAGTAAGTTATCTAGATTGTCTAGCTAAAATAGTTGCTGATGGTGGCTACACTAAACAACAGATTTTCAATATAGAGGAAACAGTCTTCTATTGGAAAAAGAGGGTGTTTAGGACTGTCATAGCTAGAGAGAAGTGAGCGCCCAGCTTCAAAGGACAGGCTGATTCTCTGGTTAGCGGTTAATGCAGCTGGTGACTTTTAAGTTGAAGCCAGTATTCATTTACCATCCCTAAAATCCTTGAGTTCTTAAGAATTACGCTGAATCTACCCTGCCTGTGCTGTAGAAAAGAAACAAAGCCTGGATGACAGCACACCTGTTTATAGCATAATTTACTGAATATTTTAAGCTCACTGTTGAGACCTATCACTCAGAAACAAAGATTTCTTTCAAAATATTACTGCTTATTGACAATACATGTGATCACCCAAGAGCTCTGATGGAGACGCACAAAGAGATTAATGTTGTTTTCATGCCTGCTAACATAAGATCCATTCTGCAGCCCATGAATCAATGAGTTATTTTGACTTTCAATTGTTATTATTTAATATTTTTTAAGTCTACAGCTGCCATAGATTGAGATTCCTCTGATGGATCTGAGCAAAGTAAATTGAAACCCCTCTGGAAAGGATTCACCATTCTGGGTGCCATTAGAATATTTGTGATTCATGGGAGGAGGTTAAAATATTAACATTAAAAACAGTTTGGAAGAAGTTCATTCCAACCCTCATTGATGACTTTGAGGGATTCGAACTTCAGTGGAGGAAGTCACTGTAGATGTGGTGGAAACAGCAAGAGAACAAGAATTAGAAGAGGATCCTGACGATCTGACTGAATTGCTGCAATCTCATGATCAAACTTGAATGAATGAGAAGTTGCTTCTTATGGAAGATCAAAGAATGTGGTTTGTTGAGATGGAATCTACTCCTGGTTAACATGCTGTGAACATTGTTGAAATGGCAACAAAGGATTTAGAATATTACATAACCTTAGTTGATAGCAGCGTCAGGGTTTGAGAGGATTGACTCAATTTTGAAAGAAGTTCTGTGGATAAAATGCTGTCAAACAGCATCACATGCTACAGAGAAATCTGTGAAAGGAAAAGCCAGTTGATGTGGCAGACATTCTTGTCTTATTTTGAGAAATTGCCTCAGCCTGGATCTTGCAGTGAGCCAAGATCGCGCCACTGCACTCCAGCCTGGGCGACAGAGCAAGACTCCGTCTCAAAAAAAAAAAAAAAAAAAAAATTGCCTCAGCCACCCCGACCTTCAGCAACCACCATCCTGATCAGTCAGCAGTCATCATCCTTGAGGCAAGACCCTCCACCAGCAGAAAGATTATGATTCACTGAAGGCTCAGATGATCATTTTTTAAGCAATAAACTATTTTTAAATTAAGATATGGACTTTTTTCAGACATAATGCTGTTACATAATACACTACAGTATAGTATAAGCATAACCTTTATATGCACTGGGAAACCAAAAATGTGTATGACTTGCTTTATTGCGGTCTTCACTTTATTGCGGTCCTCACTTTATTGCGGTGGCCTGGAACTGAACTTGCTGCGTGTCCAAGATATGCCTGTATTTCTGTCACTACTCTGTGGGATCCAATGATTAGTGACAGTACGCTGGGAGCTAAGCTCCTTGCCTTCTCATCTTTCCTCTCTCAAGTCTCTTTACTCTCCCTTTATTCCGTGTGTGCCTGACCCCACTTCTGGGACCAGTCCTGTTCTTACCAGGTATTGAAGAAGATCCATGCATGGCCAGGTGACTCAGCATCACATTGTCATGGCCACAGTCCATCTCTGAGTATCTGCCCTAGATTTAATGATTGAATGGCTTCCTGTTTGTGAGATGAAGGCCCTACCTTTTGCTTCATTTTCCTAACTAGATCCATATCTTATTCCCCTGTAGCCAGTTCCAGTAATGGTAACTTGTGTAGTATCATGTCAAAATCATATCAGCAATAGGGATTTGCTTTGCTGTAGTCAGCATCTGCAACCACCTGTTGGCACACACACCCCCATGCAAGTCTTCTGGAATCTGAGTTGGGTGGGTCCTTCCATCTGTTGAGAAGTTGATGCCTCCTGCCTCCCTGCCTGCATGCCTACCTGGATCTCCAGATGTCCATCACTCAGTACTATGTTTTATATACATGTTGGGGTATGTCATGAGCCTCATTTGTGCCTGTGACCCATCCCCCATTTTAACACATGCTGGAGTTCAGGTTCTGCTGCCTAAATGTCCTCTCATTGCTTATATCTCACTGAGTCACCTTAGTGTCTTTCTCACATAAAGCATTCTATTTGCCCTGACCCCCTCATTGTAATGTGTCACAATTAATCCTTGTTGATGGTACATTTTAAAAGGGCATGGAATTCAGTCCTTGGAACTGAATGTCTGTACAATTATTAAGCTTTTCTGTGTGGTCAGGACTTCTCTGCTGACAGGATGTTGGTAAGTTCTTAAGTGCCTGTGGCTGGGGTATTGCATTCATCTGTGGCAGAGCTTGCAAATAGTGTCCTCTGGATCAGATTCCATCTAAAGAACTCTGGCTCACACAATTTATAAAAATAGGAAATTTACTTTAAAAAACGTTTCTGACTATTGAGAAAAACAGTTCAGATTCCACTGGATTCCAGGGTCTGCATTCCATCCCATAGTGGTGTTGCTTGCCTGCGGCTGGGTAGTTGGTATTCCGGTTGAGGGTGGTTGCAGGCAATGTCAGTCCTTCCTCCAGCTCCTCCCCTAGTCCTTTGGAATACTTAGCACCTGATGGCTCTGGGAAGGACTCCCCCTTGGGCTACTGGAGAAGGGAGTTTCTGGAGTTTGGTTCAAATTCCAAGTCTTTGACCAGTCACTGACAGGTGCTAAAGAGCATATAAAACCCCAGCTACCTTGTGGTCAAGAGAAATCTGAGGTGAAATTTAGACTCTGGGGTTCTCTGACACTGAGCTGAAGCCACTCTTCCTGGGATTTTGCTTGAGATTGAATCCTTACCTGGTTTCCTTCCCTCTCCCCCCACTCCCCCCCGCCCCACACAGGGAGCACGACATTAAATCACAGGCCTGGGACTTTCTGTCTCAGGGTCTGCTCTAGGGAACAGGACCTAAAATGAGAGGATGTTGTAGTCTCATAATAATCATCCATTTAAAAATATATTCTAATTTCCCTTGTGATGTTCTGTTTGTCCTATGGCTTATTTGGAAATGTGTTGCTTAGTTTCCATATCTGGGGGGATTTTCTAGTTTTTTTTTTTATCAGAGGACATACTCTGATTTCATCTTTGAAATTTATCGAGACTTCTTTATTGTCCAGTACATTAGTGAATGTTTCGGTTGAACTTGAGAAGAATGTGTATAGTGCAGTTTGAGGTTGAGTATTCCATAAATGTCAATTAAGTCCATAGTTAGGGTGTTCATATTTTCCTATCCTTACTGATTTTTTTTGTTAGTGAGAGAAGTCTGTTAAAGATTCCAATTCTGATTATGCACTTGTCTATTTCTATAATTCTTTCAAATTTTGGAGCACATGCTTTTAAGATTGTTATGTTCTCTTAGTTAATTGACCTTCATTATTATGAAGTATTCTTTATTTCTGGTAAGACTCCTTATCTTGTATGCTTTGTCTGACATTAGTATAGCCAGTTTACTTAGGATTAGTGTTTACATGGTATGTCTTTTCCCATCCTTCTTTCTTTTTTGAATAGTTTTAAATTATAACTAGACATTATCAAGAAAGGCAACCCCCTGTTATGTTAGAATACAACATGGATGCAGTTTGTCATTTTAAAGATGTAAAAGCAAGAAAATGCATACAGTTATGCTCCGTATCAGTTGGTTCCAGGACCCTCACATAGAGCAAAATGCATGGTTGCTCAAGTCCCTGATATAAAATGGCATAGCATTTGCATATGACCTATGCACATCCTCCTATGTACTTTGGTACCTAATACAATGTAAATGGTATATAAGTAGTTGTTACACTGTATTTTTTTAAATGGTATTATTTTTGTCTTTTTAAAAATTTTTTTTACTTATTTATTTTTTGAATATTTTCAATTCATGGCTGGTTGAATCTGTGGATGTGGAACTCCCAATATGGAGGGCCAAGTGAATAATAGAAATTCATCCAAATTTTAAGTAGTTGGTTATGTGGTCAGTAAATGTCATTAAAAAAATAAATTTAAATAGAAAATTAATTTATATCTGTTTACAGAAGATTTTTTAAAAATCAGTGTTTATTCAAACTTAAAAGGAAAAAAATGTTCTCTGTCCTCCTGTTTTTCCTTCAAAATGTTTGTCTTTTGTAGAAAACATTATGTTCTAAGACCACTTTTTTTTTTAAAACAATGACAGTGATCAAGACCTCCCTAATGTAACCTCCCTCCCCACAAGTTTGAATGGAAGGAAAGCCAGAATCCTATAAATTCTTTGGTGTTTTGGTGACCTTAGTGTTTTGAGCAGGAAATCAACTTCTTTTTTCTTCCTTCTGCTGCAAAATCTACATAATGAGTTTCAGACTCCTTACACGTATGTTCAAGCAGTTTTCTGCTTTTTTTTGGAGCCATTTCAATATGAGGGAAATTTTGTAAGCTAGTCTCTCATCATCTTTAAAATATGGCTCCACACATATTTTTGCTTGACAATTCCATGGGTAGTTGGTTTCTTTGTGGTAGCCAGCACTTCTCCTCTGGGAGGATCTTTGGCAAATAGGATTCATATTCTTCATGTGTTATCTTATTAAACATATTGTATCTGCTATTATTGAGATATTTTCTCTTTTCTGCATTTGGACTCCTCCCCTTGTGTAATTTCTAAAAGCACATTTTCCCTAACCATCGGGCCATGTTCATTCTCTTTCCTCCTCCTAATCTTACCTGACTGCCATTTATTAATAGTGCACTGACACTCATTTTATGCTCAGAAAATTCTTCTTTTGCATCTACCATCCATTGGAAATTCTCAAAGGATACCTTGTTGTTTTGTAAAGATTTCTTTTCAGTAACTCTATGTGGGTTTAATAAAAGGTCTGATGTTTCATAGTTGAATTATATTTTATGTATAATTTTATATCCTGACTTCTTAAGTATTTTCTTATGTCACCTAGAAACTTTCATCAGCATTGTTTTATTTAAGTTGTACAACACTCGGTTATGTTTGAATTCTAATTTATTTCCACATTTCCTGTTGCTGAATAGTTGGGATTTTTTACAATGTAAAAGAACTCTAATAGGAGATTATTCTCATAAGGGATGTTTTTGAGATTATACATTTAATTGTATTTCCAGAAATAGGATTACTGAGACAAAGGCCATAAAGGCTCCTAATTTATATTGGTGGATTGCTTTCTAGGAGTGACTAGGTGTTTACCTTTACTTTGGCTAATGTTTCCAAAAGGCCAAGTTCATTCACTAGTAAGTAATTTAGGAATAATAAGCTATCCACCATATTTAAGAAGTGTAGAATGCAGATTTAGTATAATGTTATAAAATGATTTTTTTTTTCACTTATTAGAGGCAGTGGCTTACCATATATCACTTCTTTAAATTGTGAGGAGTATTTTGCTTCACCAGACCCATTTAAAATTCAGTTCTGCAGCATTTGGCATCTATCATATGTCAGGCATGTTGCTAGATAGTGGGGAAATAAAAATGAAGGGAATGCTTTCTAGCTGCCAAGAGTTCAGGGCCTAGAAGAAAAGAACCATAATCACCTAAAATTGTTACCATGTAATAAGCTTGACATATATAAAGTGAACCTGTAAGGTGCTGATGGAGGATTGAAGAGAGCAGGTGTATTTGTGCCAGAGGGTGTGACATTTGAGCTGAGCCATTAAAAGAAGAATAGATTTTTAGGTGAAGTAGGAGTACAAAGGCACTCTCAGGGAGAAATGGCATTTAAAGGCATAATAAAGATTGTTTAGAACATGAAGAACAGCCTGTGTTTCACAGTTAAAAACTTAACTCCTAAGTTTCCAGGTTATTTTACTCCCTTTCTAGGATATACATTGTCATTTTTCTTAATATGGAGTTATTTCTTGTCTCTGACAAGCACCTTGATTGGTCTTTAGTGCTTTTATTGTTTTAGTCTCCTATTGTCAGTCTGTACCTGCATCATATAGATTGATAGAAAAAATAGATTTCAGTCTACCCAAGTCCAAAGGAATTGTCAGTTTCAAGAAACTTGTTTTCCCTCTACCACTCTTTTTTTTTTTTTTTTTTGAGACGGAGCCTTGCTCTGTCACCCAGGCTGGAGTGCAGTGGCGTGATCTCAGCTCACTGCAACCTCCGCCTCCTGGGTTCAAGCGATTCTCCTGCCCCAGCTTCCCGAGTAGCTGGGACTATGGGCGCCTGCCACTATGCCCGGCTATTTTTTGTATTTTTAGTAGAGACAGGGTTTCACCATGTTAGCCAGGCTGGTCTTGAACTCATGACCTCAGGTGATCCACCTGCCTCGGCCTCCCAAAGTGTTGGGATTACAGGCGTGAGCCACCGCGCCTGGCCTTCCCTCTACCACTCTTGAGCACCCCGTGCATTTAGCCTTATTATAAGAGACGTGTGTTTGAAAAATACAGATTCCTTAACCAAGGACTAACGCCATTCCATCTGTTTTGGAGCCATATTGAGTGCTGTGTCAAATTATGTGGTGTGACAATGATGGGTAGGGTGGGGTCATATTAAGATGTTCAGAATGTTGTTTTGTCAGTATAAAAATAATTGATAGAAATGTGCAAAACTGGGCATTGCTGGGCTATTAAAACTGACCATTGTCTATCTGTTCATTGGATATCGTAAAGTTTGATAATTCAAGGACATGGTGGATATCTTTTATGAAATTTTGTTTTCATTTTTATTTTTAATAGGATGAAAGTTAAAAAACTGCCCATGATTCTAGCTCTACACCTGAAGAGATTTAAATATATGGATCAACTTCATCGATATACAAAACTCTCTTACCGGGTAGTTTTTCCTTTAGAACTTCGTCTGTTTAACACTTCAGGTGATGCCACCAATCCAGACAGAATGTACGACCTTGTTGCTGTTGTGGTTCACTGTGGAAGGTAATTGCAACTCCGGGGACATAGTAGTGGAATTCCTAGGTTAGAAGAGCAGGGTACATTCAAGATGTTCATGAATTATTCATATATAGAACTTTTAGAAATTCTGTATTCTCTCAAGATAATTTTATTTCAAAATGGAGTTTTAGCTTTATGTTTTATCATTTCTTAAAAATTTTATATGTTAAAATATATTGTTTTTATTTTTATTATTTATTACTCTACAAGTACTATATCTGATTTCCTAGAACTTTGAGATCTGTTAGTTTTTCTTTTCCTTTTTTGGGGTGTGTGTATAGAGGGTTGTTGGTTAAAATAAATCACTTCTGAGTTTAATTGCGTATGTTCAGCATATCAATGGTTGTAAAAAGCATTTTAAAATGGCATTGGAAATAATCTTCAAAGATTCATTTTTTGATTTTACCTGTGTGTGTATTTATCATTTCTTATTAGCCAATTTTGCTTTCTGTCTTCTTCTCATCTTCTTTTCCAACATGGTATACACATCTTCTCTGTATGAACGTACATACCTATAATTGGCCTTATTAAATACCTCAGAAAATTCTCAAACTGCAAGAGCATCACATAATCAAAACTTGTATTTGGAACATAACTGTCTTCATTGACTGCTTAGAATTTCCTTTAATAATTTTAAAGCAGGCACTCATCATTTTCCCCTTGGTTTTGGGAAACTTGTACTAACAGCATGTTTTATCCAAATAAAAAAAGTTACAGCTTTCTCATCTTCAGCCCTCCTCCCAGCTCTCTGATTAGAATTTTTTTTTTTTCTTTTTGAGATGGAGTCTTGCTCTGTGGCCCAGGCTGGAGTGCAGTGGCGCCATCTCGGCTCAGTGCAAGCTCCGCCTCCCGGGTTCACGCCATTCTCCTGCCTCTGCCTCCCGAGTAGCTGAGACTACAGGCACCCACCACCACGCCCGGCTAATTTTTTGTATTTTTAGTAGAGACGGGGTTTCACCATGTTAGCCAGGATGGTCTTAATCTCCTGACCTCGTGATCTGCCCGCCTCGGCCTCCCAAAGTGCTGGGATTACACGCGTGAGCCACCGCGCCCGGCCTCTGATGAGAATTTTTAAGGACAATCTGGAGGGAGCAAATGCTCTTTAATAATCGTCTTCTTCCTCCATTGCCTGGGTCAGCCTTGGGTCCCGTCTTTTATCCTCAGCAAGAATCTTTCTTCTACTTCTAAATTAAGAGTGATCACATCTTAAAGGAGTGAAGCAGTGTCAAGATTACTTAAAGAACCTTGGTGTAGTGATTCAGACCGGGTTTTCAGAGTGAGAGAAACTTGGATCTCAGTACCATTTCTGCCAATTGTGGGCAGTGTAACGTTATGCATAGCTTCCTGAAAAGCCTTCAGTTTTCTCTTCTAGAAAATGTAAATAATACTAATTACCACATTGCTTTGTTAGGATTCAAAGGGAGATGTAAATCGCTTAGCTACTGCTACTGTTCTATTAACAAAAATGTAATATTACCTTCTCACATCTTAGCTTTATAATATTTACTTTCTCACACCGATTAGCCTCTTCAAATTTAGTGACAGTCCTACTCTACTTAAATCATGCTAGATTTTTAGAATTGCTCTACTCACAATATACTGAGCTGAGATGCCTGACTCATTGGGGAGGGGTCCCCTCCCCACTCTCCCCTTTTAAAATTAACCCAACTCTTTCCCCAGCCTTAAATCCTTAAGTCTCTTGACCCTTTCCCTTTTTAACCTTTTCTTTGGCCTCACTTGCTTCTCCCAACTTGAACTCCACAGTCAGTTATTTAAAGCATGTTCTCACAAGCACTGTAAAATCCTCTTGCCAGCTGTCTGAATCCCTACTGTCAGAATTGTTGCAGAAAATTGCAGAGAGATGTTTATTGACTTTCCTCACAGCCCTGGTGGTCTGCCTTCACTGGGAACTCTCTCCTGATGGAGTTCTGCACAGCAGGTCTTTGGTATCCCGCCCCCACCCCAGGGTCTTACTCTTTCTCCTGTCTCACTCTCATTGCCTCATGCCTTCCTGCCCCTCCGCTCTGGAAGTCTTCCTTGACGCTCTTCTGCCCAGCCTCAGTCTCCATGTGGTGCTGCTCCATTGTCTTCACATAAATACTAGACGTGCATTGCTAGCCCTGTCTTAGTGCTTTATGTACTCTCTTAGGATGTATGTCTACTTCCCTTATGAGAACAGGTGCTTTTTAAAACAGAAAATAATTTGCTCACTAATAAAAGACTAATCATATTTTAGAATCTTTTTCCATTGTGTATTTTATTTATCAGACTTATTTGTAGATTTGCTTCATATGAAAGTGTGGAGGGTGTGCGCAGCCTCATTATCAGCATGTCAGTTCCAGTTCAGCTTGCTCCTTCTCTGTCCCCGGTGCCCAGCCTAGAAGAGACTTCTAGCAAATGTTTGTTGACTTAAGTATTACCCTTCAAGCCCATGTCAAAACTGGGCACCATTTCGTGATTTCCCATCCCTCTCTCCCTTCTACCTCCTGTCTTGCTGGATGAGGTCTCTCCTGTGGCTCTACTTTTATATCATATTCTTCCTTGGATTATGTTTTTGGAGTAGTTATCTATTGTACTGAAGGGGTATTTGGGCAAGCAGTTGTTGGTATCTCTTTAATCTCCACAGCAATCAATAGTTATTTGCATACCTTACGCATTTGTATCTACTCAACTGAGTGTGTTTAATGTCCAGAAATCAGATGCCTAAGAAACAACTTCCTTAGGTGGAAGTTCAGCCCTTCATCTCTCATTTCATTTTTAGTTTATGAAATTAACTTTTGTCTACTGTTCCTCAAACTAGTTCTTTGCCAAAGGAAAAAGCCGCCTAACTTTTTTCAATTTACCAGTCCTTACCCCACCCACCTCCTTTCCTTCCACCCTGTGTTCTGCAACCTTTCTTTGATTTTTCTTTATTTCACCTTTTATAATTTTGTTTTCATTTCTGACCCTCTCCCCATAACACACAAGACCCTTTAGATGAGCCTAAATAAATACAGAAATAGACTTAAAGCATTAAATGCTTTTTTAAGAAAAAGTTTTGATGTGTCATCCTCCATAGTTAAAAAAAAAAAAGTATTTTTGTTGGTGTCATTCTGTCAAAGATATTTATCTCACCTACAGGATCAAATGATCTGAGAAACATAAGATATTATAGTAGGTGGCTTATTCTAATATCTGGTCACTACTTTTAAAATAGTGTTCACCATAAAGAATAATTTGTGTTGAAAAGGATTTTAACTTCTGTATTAATTATAGAATTACAATTTAATAAATATAATTATATGAGCCTTTATAATGAACCATACTTAAACTGGAAGAGGTTAAAACCTTTGTCATATCCTTTTATAAAGAAAAGGAATTATGCTTCTTTTATTTTTATGTATATCTACATTTATATATTCCAGATTTGTTTGAAATGAGATGCAGGGGCAATCATAGTCATAGTTATAATGGTATTAAGAATTAGGTACTTAATAATGACTTACCATTGAGCAAAGGTCATTTGCTTTTAAAGACATTTTATGAAGTTCAGGCTTGATTTTGGAACCAAGGATTTGATATCCTTGCCTGTTTCAAGCATCATATTGGATCTTTCCTCAAGAAAAAAACCATTACCAAGGGAGTGAGACTTAGAAATAATTCTATATGCATTGTTTTATAGTCCAACTCAGCATGTTCTGCTGTGATCCCCTCCCTTATAAAATGATAGAAAAATATGTCTTTTATTATAGAAGCAAAATTGAAAATTATTACAAAGACAGTAAAAAATTTCAGTAATATAGCTGTATGTGAAAAGAATACTGATATATCTCTTAGAGTACTAATTATTTGATTTTAAAATTGATGACCAGTTCAACTCAGTGTAGCTTTATCTCTTTTGGCAAGAATAGGTAAGGGGTATAAAAAAGAAGCAGTTCTTTTTTACTGCTATTTATCTGTTTCTGTTTCTTTATAAAACAAAATTTAGAGCATGAAAGAGTAATATTAATAAATATATTGAATTAACTTCTTCTTCGTTTGTTTTAGTGGTCCCAATCGAGGCCATTATATTGCAATAGTTAAGAGTCATGATTTTTGGTTGTTGTTTGATGACGACATTGTAGAAGTAAGTAGTTTCTTAATTTCTTATTTTTGAAAGTTGTATGCATATGTTGCTTTTCACTTTTTTCTCATAGTTTTTCATTTATATATGACTGGTGATGATATGAGACAAATGTCTGGGTCTATAGATTGTAGTCTAATTCCTACTTCTTACTCTGCAACGTCCAAGCCCAGCAGTTGAGTGGTCACCTAACCTTTACACACCTAGAATAAAACAAGGGAGGCCAGGTGCGGTGGCTCACGCCTGTAATCCCAGCACTTGGGGAGGCTGAGGCGGGCGGATCACCTGAGGTCGGGAGTTTGAGACCAGCCTGACCAATATGGAGAAACCCTGTCTCTCCTAAAAATACAAAATTAGCCGGGCATGGTGGCGCATGCCTGTAATCCCAGCTACTCGGGAGGCTGAGGCAGGAGAAGCGCTTGAACCCGGGAGGCGGAGGTTGTGGTGAGCCGAGATCGTGCCATTGCACTCCAGCCTGGGCAATAAGAGTGAACTCCGTCTCAAAAAAAAAAAAAAGAATAAAACAAGGGAAAGCTTTCAACAACAGACCTGGCTTTAAAAAAAAAAAATTAAGCCATGTAACATACATACAGTAAAGTATACAAATCTGAATTTGATGAATTTTTATACATGTGTCCCCCCATGTCACACACACATGGCCATACTCACACACTCACATTTGTAACTACCATCCAGGTCAAGATACAATTCATTTTCAACACCGCAGCAGGCCCCCTTGTTCCTCCTTCTGGTCAGAACTTACAGCTTTCCTCACCTCTACCCTCCTGGAGCCTGCTATTTGGACTTCTATCATTATGATTAATTTTGCCTAGGCTTGAATATAAATGGACTCACATAGCATGATTTCTTTTGTGTCAGACTTTATTCACTCATTGATATATTTGTGAGATGCATTCTTGTTGCCTGCGGTAATAGTAGTTCTTTTTCACTGCTTTGTCATTTTCTACTGTATGAATATACCAAGTTAGAAATTTGACTTTTTGTCAGTTAATGACTATTGTGAATTAAAATGCATTGGTCATCTTTTATAAGCCTTTTGCTGGACGTATACACTCATTTTTCTTGGATATATGTTAGGTTGGACCACTAGAAGTTGCCTTTTTGTTGTTTTGGGAGACAGTCTTGTTACCTAGGCTGGAGTGCAAGGGTGCGATCTCGGCTCACCACCACCTCCACCTCCTGGGTTCAAGCGATTCTCCTGCCTCAGCCTCCCGAGTAGCTGGGATTACAGGCATGCGCCAACACGCCTAGCTAATTTTGTATTTTTAATAGAGATGGGGTTTCTCCACGTTGGTCAGGCTGGTCTCGAACTTCTGACCCCAGGTGATCTGCCCGCCTTGGCCTCCCACAGTACTGGGATTACAGGCGTGAGTCAGTGTGCCCAGCCTAGAAGTTACCATTTTGTTGGTCCAAAATAGTTATTAGTGGTTTCATATAATTCATCCTGTACCTAGAAGTAGAATTGCTGGATCAAAGGGTAGTTGTATGTTCAGCTTTAGAAGATAGGTATTTATAAACATTTTTTTGGTGTGCCCTGCCAGCTGTGTGTGAGAGTTCCATTTTCCCCACATTTTCACCAAATACTTGGTATTGTCAGTCTTTTAAATTTAAGCCATTCTGGCTGTACAGAGCTCATTTATGTACTAATGTTTACATTTTACCTCACAGAAAATAGATGCACAAGCTATTGAAGAATTCTACGGGTTGACATCAGATATCTCAAAGAACTCTGAGTCTGGTTACATCCTTTTCTATCAGTCTCGGGACTGAGAGGGAACCGTGATGAAGAGACACTTTCTGCCTCATTTCTTCTCTGGTTATTTTGGAAAGGATCAAGCACTGATTTTTCAAGAAAAGAGAAATGCAGGAAGCTCAGGGGGCAGTAGCACACTTTGCACACGATAAAGCAAAGACGATGGATTGACAAGCCCTTCCGATCATGGTAGTTGATTTATTTGCTCAGGTATCATGCTGTCTGTACAGTTCCATACAACAAGGAGGTGAAATCAGAGATACCAGCTCCTCTTTTAAAACAGCCTTCCAGTCATTGGCACGCATTTTCTCTTTATTAATTGCACCAATAATGCTTTGAATTCCTTGGGGGTGCAGTAGAAAGAATCGGAATCTGTGCCGTATTGATAAGGAGATGATGTTGAACACACTGCATAAATTTGCCTGGTTCAGTATGTATAGAAGCATATTCAGTGGTCTTTTCAAGAGTAAACCAGAAATACTTTTGGGCCCAACACTTGCAGTTGCCTTCCTGATGTAAAAACTAACATGCTAGATAATCCAGTGTCGGGAAGACAAAGATGTTTTGCTTCTCTGAAGAAGCTTATAATAATATACAGTATATGTATATGTAGGGAGCAATTGGTCAAAAGTGGCTTTTTGTTTCCCCAAGGGGAAAGACTGGCTTTGTAATTATAATTTTTTCCTTATTTATTTTACTTAAAACTGGTAGAGTCTAAGTATTATATGAAGTGCCCATGATTCTGTCAGTAAATTTGAACATATTTTTATTAGTTAATGTCAGTTTAAGTTGTCCTTTTGTTTGTTTCTATTTTTAAGGTGAATTTTAATTTCTATCTGAAATCAGTTAAGATACCTTGAGAAAAACTGCAGTGAGAGGAGATAAATATCCTTTTTCAGGAGGAACTGATATCTCTGGCTAAATATTTGTCCTTTTATTATGGTTTCTAAATCAGTTATTTTCTTCAGCTTTAATTTCATAAAATTAAAAAACTATTTTAAAAATTCCTGTAGTTGTTGGAATAATTAAAAATTCTGGTGCAGTGGTGGTATACCAATCTTTAGAATTCTTAAGTATTCTAATGTTTCAAGTTGAGATCATGCTTGGGAAAATCATGTCATAGCATTTATGTTATTTTCAGATGCCATTTTTTACCCTGGAAAGAAGTCATAATGTTCATCATAACCCTAGCAGCCTGGATAGTGAGCTAAACAAACCCTTCAAAGATTAAATTTTAATCAAGTAGACCGGGAATACAAAAGACAAGTCCTTCCTTCCCTTCCCCCCACCTTTACAAATCTTACTGGAAGGGTGTTCAGAAATTAAAATCTGTGTTTGCTAAGACTTCATTCTGTTGGGGGTTTTAAGAAGTAATATATGTAACATAAAATATATGTAAACGATTGCAGTTTTTTTGGACGTTTTTCCATGCATCAGTAAGTTGTCTGACAGTAGCCAAATGTAACTTGCAGAAAATTATTGAAAATTATATTCAGAATAATAGCAATCAGGCCTTGGATGTTCTTTATTAAACTCTTTTCAGGCAGTAAATTTAAAAAAAATTGTCATTTTCTAAAGTCCTTTTGCTAAAACTGTTGACTATGGAAAACAACAAAAAGGAATTTTTTAGTCTGCTGCTATTATTAACATTTATTATCTGTATCTTTTGGCTCAGGAAATGACTTCACCTATTTTTTCCATAAGCAGACCTTTAACAGAGTCACTTAATTGGGCTGCTTAAACAGATGTTCTGGGAGAAAATTATAATATTTAGTATTTGTACAAAATATCAAAAAGTATTTTGACAAGTTTCTTTTTAAGATAGTTCCTAAAGCCTTACCCTGGCTAGAGGTGTTTTGTACAAATTATATATAAGCCAGCCTGATCTACCAACATGCCACAGAGAATCACAATCAACAGTGTGGGGAAAGTCAGGGCAGTGGAAGTGGATGCACTCTTTTTATTTTGAAGGCTTAAACCAAATTGTCTTGGAATTAAAGCTGTATTTCTGCAGCTTTCGGTACAGAGAAAAAGAGGAAAGTGAAGCTGTGTCAGTTTTAACATTAGCTATATCAACATGTTTAAGAAAGATAGATGAAGTCATTTGCATAAAGGTACAGCATTGAAATACTATGTTGTGTTTGTTTTTACATTTTTGCATTAAAAAAAAACATGCCGTAAAAGCCAAGTTAAATTTCATATTAAAGCAAGTTCTAGTGTATGTGTTGAGTTCCTGGTAATCACATACTTGTTCACATCTACACCGTACTTCATAGTATGATTTGTCAGGGGAGGGATTGTGGGGTGACAGTTTTACATTTACTTTTTCTTCTTAATGCAGCTGGATCTAAGTAAAATGTTTTGAAGTTTATCAGAAACTAAATGTACTTTTAAAACGTATAGGGTCAGGGTTGGGGGAAAAATACAGGTATAGTAAGTAAGAAAAGTGACCCATGAAGAAAGCATCGTGAGGTTGTATGTTGGTTGACTGTGATTAAAATGCGGGGCTGGTGTAAGTTGTAAGTGGTGGCTGATTGCCGTGTAACTATGTACATGATTGTTGGGATGGCTGTCCCATATTTTGTATATTGGAATAAAAATTTCTATAAATTATTGTAACTAAAAGTAAATATTCTAAATTAAGTCCCACTTCTTAAGTCACATGGCTTCTGTCTTGGAAATTTTACCTTTAAAAGATTATTTAAGACAGGAACCAGGAGGCTTGGGAACAGGGAAAGAGGGAAATGTTGTATTATGTGGGTCTTGGGGCCTCTAACCATCAGTATAGGGTTTTTTCTTTCCTTGATGGCAGTAGAAAGACCTCATTTTCATAACATAACTACTCTTGATACTTTCTTTAAAAACACTTTTTATTAAAGATTCTATCATGAGGTATTTGGCTGGGAGCTGGGAGGCTAAAGCGCTCATGTCCTGGCTCTTCAGTGAATTTAACTGTGTGACCTTGGGCAAGTCACTTAACCTCTCTGTGCTTCAGTCTCCCTGTCTTGTAAAATGGGAGTAATACCTACCTCACAGGGTTGTTGTGGGGATTAATTAGAGATAATGTCTGTAAAGCATTTAAGGTTCTTGAAGAAGGCACTATATAAATACAAAATAATATCTATTAAAGTTGGTTTATTTGTGCCTGTGGGTTTCAAGTGTGTTTTTTCCTTTTTGCCTAAAATGTATTTACAGATTAGAAGTAGACACTTTGGAAACTGTGTTACTGCTTTTGCCCAAGCTCCTACTTCTGTATCCAAAGAGATTTTCCCTAGAACAGAATTGCATGTGTGTAAAACAACATTCTACATGTGCCTGCATTTATTTAGCACATAGTAGCTTGTGTCACCTTTCTGTGATAGCATGTCTGAAAAGTTCAAAGTTTAAATTTGAACATTGAGAGTCATAGAATCTTAGAGGGTAAAATAGGTAAAATACCTTAAAGATCACTGTTTCTCCTGCTCCTCCTCCTTTCCTGTGTAGTAATTGCTCCTGTAAAATCTGTTTTCACAAGTGGTCAGTCAACCTGCACTTGAGTGCTGGAAGCCTGTTCCATTATTGAGTAACTTGAGTTGTTATTTATGTTGCCATTATTTTCAGCCCATCCTTCATTCTCCCAGTGTGCTTCTGATCTCAAGGCTGATCTTTGTATTAGATGGCTTTCAGAGACTTCATCCTTCCTGGGAGCCCTATTCTGGAAGCACTGTTTTTCATTCATGTCTCTGAAAGAGTGTTCCTAGAACAAGCACAGTGACAGGTGAACTATACTGTCAGTTGGGACCTACGATCACATTCTCTTTTCTAAGCGTCTGTATCACACACTTCATATTGAACTTGTAGTAAATGAAATCCTGTATACCTAAAAGTTTTCGTGAACTATTGAAAAGCTGAGAGTCCCTTGCCACACACCTTTTTTCATGATTCCCTGTTAGCGGTACCTGTGCCTGTTAACATGTCAAGGCTTTCCCCATCTCTCTTCATTCATGTGTTTTCTATAATAACTGCATCTGTTTTCTGTCTGCAGAGCTACTGAAGTAACAACCCATCGCTTTTGGGTGATAGCCTGCTATGTGATCGCCCCTGTACTCGATATTTTACTTCTTTTAATGTTAATCTTAACCACATCTGTGAGACAGTGACATCCTCATTTTACAAAGGAAGAATCTAAGGTTCTTTAGAGGTTAAGTAACTTTCTTAGAGCCAGTCAGCTGGAAAGTAGCAGGTCCAGGTTTCAAGTAGGTATAACTCCAGTGTCCAGGCTCCTAACCGTGGCTATCCTTACCAAAAGATTTTTGTTGTTGTGGTAAAAAAAAAAAACAAAAAAAAAAAAAACAAAACTAAAAATTACTATTTTAGCCATTTTTAAGTGTCCAATTAAGTGACACTGAGTACATTCTCCATGTGCAGATACCACTGCCGTCCATTTCCAGAATTCTTTTCATTGTCCCAAACAAGAACTCTGTACCCATTAAATGGTCACTCCCCATACTTCCCTTCCCCGCGGCCTCTGTGAACCTGCATTCTGCTTTTTATCTTGATGAACTTGCTCTAGGTGCCTCATAGAGGTGGAATAATCACTATTTGTCCTCTTGTGTCATTTCACTTATTTTCAAGGTGCATCCATGTTGTGGCATGTGCCATAATTTCCTTTCTTTGTAAGGCTGAATAAGACTTCATTTATGTATATACAACATTTTGTTTATACATTCATCCATTAACGGACATTTGGGTCTTTTCCACCTTTTGGCAGTTGTGACTAACGCTGCTGTGAACATTGGTGTGCAAGTATCTGTTCGAGCCCCAGATTTCAGGTTTTCTGGGTATAGATCTAGGAATTGCTGAATCGTGGAATTCTATAAAGAACTTTTTGAGGAACAGCTATATTGTTCTCCACAGCGGCTGTACCGTTATGCATTCCCACTAGCAATGTACCAGTGTTCCAGTTTTTTTACATTCTTGCCAATGCTTATTATTTTCTGAGTTTTTTTTATAATAGCTATGCTAATAAGTATGCAAGTGGTATCTCTTTGTGATTTGATTTGCATTTCCCTAATGCCTTGTCATGTTAAGTATATTTTCATGTGCTTATTGGCCATTTGTGTATCTTTGAGGAAATGGCTGTTCAAGTTCTTTGTCCAGTTGTTTGCTTTTTTTTCTGTCGAGTAGTAGGAGTTCTTTATAAATTCTGGATATCCCCTTATATGTACAGTTCGCAAATATTTTCTCCCTTTCTGTGGTTTGTTTTTTCACTGTCTTATAGGTAGTATCCTTTGATACACAGTTTTAAATTTTAAATTTTGGTGCAGTCCAGTCTGTCTTTTTTCTTTCTCCTTCCCTTCCTTTCCTTTCTTCCCTTCCTCCTTTTTTCTTTCTCCTTCCCTTCCTTTCCTTTCTTCCCTTCCTCCTCTTCCTTCCCTTCCTCCTCTCCCTCCCTTCCTCCCTCCCTTCCTCCCTTCCCCCCAGGGTCCCACTCCCACCCAGGCTGCAGTAGCACAATCACAGTGGCTCACTACAATCTCAAATTTCTGGACTCAAGTGCTCCTCCTGCCTCAACCTCTCAAGTACCTGGGATTATAGGCCACCACACCTAGCTAATTTTTAAATATTTTGTAGAGGTGGGGCTGTCACTATGTTACCCAGGCTGCTCTCACCTCCTGGGCTCAAGCAATCCTCCCACTTCGGCCTCCCAAAGTGCTGGGATTACAGGTGTGAGCCTCCTCACCTGGCCTAATTTTTCTTTTGTTGTCTTTACTTTTGGTATATCTAAGAAAGCATCACCAAATCCAATGTCATGAAACTTTTGCCCTGTGTTTTCTTCTAAGAGTATTATTTTAGCTCTTACATTTAGGTCTTTGATCCATTTTGAGTTAATTTTAGTATGTGATGTAAGGGTCAACTTCATTCTTTTGCATGTAGCTACCCAGTGTTCCCAGCACCACTTACTGAAAAGACTGTCCTTTTCCCACTGAACGAGGTGCCAAAATCAGTTGGCCATGTATGCTAGGGTTTATTTTAGGACTCTCTTTTGTCCCATTTGTCTGTATATCTGAGCTTAGCCAGTACCACACTGTTTTGATTAATGTAGCTTTGTAGTAAGTTTTGAAGTAAGGAAGTATGAGTCTTCCAACTTTGTTCTTTTTCAAGATCGTTTTGGCTACTTAAGGCCCCTCAGAGTTTCATGTGAACCTTAGGTTTTTCTGTTTATGCAAAAATTGTCGATGGGATTTTCAAAGATTAAATTGACTTAACAATTTTAAGTCTAATCTATGAACACTGATGTCTTTCCATTTATTTAGGTTTTTAAGTTCTTTGACCAACCTTTTGTTGTTTTTATCATACAGGTCTTTTTAAGTATTTTATTATTGATCTATTATAAATGGGATTATTTTCTTAATTTCCTCTTAGGATTGTTCATTGTGTATAGAAATGCAACTGATGCTTGTTGGTTTTGTGTCCTGCAACTTTGCTGAATTATTAGCTTTATTAGTTTTTTTTTGGTGTGGAATCTTTAAGGTTTTCTACATATAAGATCATGCCATTTGCTAACAGATAATTCTTTGTTTTCAAACTTTTTTTTTTTTTTTTGAGACGGAGTCTCACTCTGTTGCCCAGGCTGGAGTGCAGTGGCATGATCTCAGCTCACTGCAACCTCCACCTCCCAGGTTCAAGCGATTCTCCTGCCTCAGCCTCCCTAGTAGCTGGGCCTACAGATGCCCGCCCCCATGCCCGTCTGATTTTTGTATTTTTAGTAGAGATGGGGTTTGACCATGTTGCCCACGCTGGTCTCGAACTCCTGACCTCAGGTGATCCACCCTCCTCAGCCTCCCAAAGTGCTGGGATTACAGACGTGAGCCATTGCGCCCGGCCTGTTTTCAAATTTGGATGACCTTTATTTACTTGTTTTGCCTAATTGCTCTAGCTAGAACTTTCAATACTACATTGAATAGAAGTGGTGGAAGTAGGCATTCTTGTCTTGTTCTTGTTTTAGAGGAGAAGCTTTTAGTATTTTATCATAGTACGATACTATCTGTGGGTATTTAATATATGGCCTTTATCATGTTGCTATTTCAATTTGGGTGTGGCTTTTTTTTAAATCAAGGGTATTGAATTTTGTCAAATTTTCTGTATCAATTGAGATGATCCCTTTTTTTTTTTTTTTTTTTTTGAGACGGAGTCCTGCTCTGTCACCCAGGCTGGAGTGCAGTGGCGTGATCTTGGCTCACTGCAAGCTCCACCTCCCGGGTTCACACCATTCTCCTGCCTCAGCCTCCCGAGTAGCTGGGACTACAGGCACCCGCCACCACGCCTGGCTAATTTTTTGTATTTTCAATAGAGACGGGGTTTCACCATGTTAGCCAAGATGGTCTCGATATCCTGACCTCGTGATCCACCCACCTCGGCCTCCCAAAGTGCTGGGATTACAGGCGTGAGCCACTGCGCCCAGTAGATCACATGTTTTTTTTATCTTATCAGTGTGATATATTATAGTGTTTTTCATATGTGAAACTATCCTTGTACTCCAGGGATAAATCCACTCGGTTATTGTGCATAATACTTTTAGTACGCTGCTGAATTCAGCTTGCTAGTATTTTGTTGACAATTTTTCCATCAATATTGATCAGAGACTTTGGTCTGTAATTTTTATTTCTTGTAGTGTCTTTGTCAGGCTTTGGTGTGGGTAATGCTGCTGTCATAGAATGAGTTAGGAAATGTTCCACCCTCTTCAACTTTTTGAAAGAGTTTGAGACTATCAAAAGATTTTTTAGCAATAACCAGTACTTCCATCCTTACTGTAAGTCATTATTAAGAAAGATGAAGGCCTAGTTTTTGCTCTTGAGGAATTTGTCATATGAGAATGAATCAAAGGAAACCTAGAAAAATCAGCTGTATAAATGGACATATTTATACAACTCTACAGGGTAGGTGGAGGAATGCAGAGTAGGAAAGTATTGGTGAAATCACAGGGATGCAGTCAGATTGTCCAGCCCAAAATGGGAATCTGGAAATCAACAGCAGTCAAAGGGACTGGAAATACTAAGTATAATTGCAATTTAAGAATATTAACTTATGATACTATTGGGTAATAGAATTTCTAAGACTCCATCAAACTAAATTTTCCCCTTTCCTTTCCCTAAGGAAAGGCCCTAAATTACTCTTGAGGAATTCTCACTCAGGCAGCCACTGTAGAGCCCCAACTCCTGAGAAAAAGATTTTACTCTATTTTGTATCATATACATCTGTTATAATGCATCTAAATAACTGGATCCTTTAAAAATCATCTGTTCTGGCCAGGCGTGGTGGCCCATGCCTGTATTCCCAGCACTTTGGGAGGCCAAGGCAAGAGGATTGCTTAAGCCCAGGAGTTCGAGACCAGCCTGGGCAACACAGGGAGACCTTGTCTCTAGAAAATACAAAAAATTAGCCAGGTGTGGTGGTGTGCACCAGTAGTCTCAGCTACTTGGAGGCTTGAGCCCAGGAGGTTGAGACTGTAGTGAGCTATTATCACACCACTGCAACCCAGCTTGGATGACAGAGTGAGACCATATTTCAAAAAAGAAAAAAACCTGTTCTCAACAATTTGTCATATAATTAAACTGTGGTATAAAACATAACTGAGGAAAGCTCATACCTCCTGCTTGCTTTCCATTAGCCAAACTGTCTTAAGTAGTGCCGCTATATTGATTTGATCAAATCTGGATGATTAGTAGAATGTTTTGATTCCTGAGATTGATCCCTGAAGATTTTGATCCACTGCAGATGAGAAAACTAGTTTTCAGAAGTTCCCCGGTGATTCTGATCAGCTGGGTTTTGGTGATTAGAATTCCGTGGGATGCAATTCGTCTGGAGTTCTCTAGCGTGTTCCTGTAAGGTCTCTGCCAAGCCAGAGTTGATCTGACATGGGGAGAGTTGTCAGAAAACCAAATCATTTCAGGATTGCTCAGGGAAAACTTACACGGGGTGTAGCACCTGTCTTCTCATACATCGTTTGAAGAGCTGCTGTCTAGGGGATGTTTTGCTTCTAGGGTTGAATTGGGACTGCATTGAAAAGGACAGAGAGCCACATACTGAGTACAAGTAAGAGCTTCCTGGTTGTTCAGCAGGGAGAGGAGCTGACATACTAAGAAATAAAGTGTCAAACGTACGTCATTAGACTGTTCATAGGTGGGGTTCTTAACACTGGCTGGAACAAGCTTGTGCAACCCGCGGCCCATGGACTGTAGGCCGCATGTGGCCCAACACAAATTCATCAACTTTCTGAAAACATTATGAGATTTATACATGAACCTTTTAAAAAAATTTTTAGCTCATCAGCTATTGTTAGTGTATTTTATGTGTGGCCCAAGACAGTCCTTCCAGTGTGGCTCAGGGACGCCAAAATATTGGACACCCCTGGGCTAGAAGGTTGCGCAGGATAACCTTAAGCTTCTTCCCAGGTGAGGCAGCTAAGACTGGGGAACTTACCCAAGGTCACTGGTAAATGGCCAAGCTAGTGCCTGAGCATATATATATATATATTTTTTTTTTTTTTTTTTTTTTTTCGAGATGGAGTCTTGCTCTGTGTCACCTAGATTGGACTACAGTGGCATGATCTTGGCTCACTGCAACCTCTGCCTCCCGGATTCAAGCAATTCTGTCTCAGCCTCCCGAGTAGCTGGGATTACAGGCGCCTGGCTCATTTTTGTATTTTTAGTAGAGACAGGGTTTCACCATGTTGGCCAGGCTGGTCTCGAACTCCTGACCACGTGATCCACCTGCCTGGGCCTCCCAAAACGCTGGCGTTTTGGACCTGGGCCCATATTTTCTATTCCAGGGCTCATATTTAGTTCTGCATTATGCTGTCCTTTGTCCTTTAAAATAGCTGGACCTAGAGTGCTGTAACACACTATAGGGAGAGTTTACATTGCCACTGGTCATTAGGATGGCAACTATCCCATCACCAGTTCCTGACTAGAACAGAGGTGGGTTGAACAAAACACCAGTCTGAAGATTTTAGAGTGGCAGTCAAGTTTATATCACCTTCAGTGTGAGCAGGCGGGGTGGTGTCAAAGTGACATTACTGGTGTTGGGTAAGTCTATGCTGCATTAATAAAACACTTCCCACCATCTCTCAAAACACCTTCCTTTGAAGATTCAGGTTCTTCAGACTGAGGAGCCTCTGAATCGTGACTAGCTTGATAGAAGACTTTACATTAAAAAGTAACTGAGAGATGGTCTATTCACCTTGCATGACTGTGCTATCTTTAATCATCAATCTTTGAAGTGCACACTGGGTCATTCGTAAGCAAGATTACAGAGAATAAAATAGAATTTTGATACCACTGTATTCGCCATGTCATTACAAAGTCTGTATCCACTGTCAGGCCCAGAAACAAGACAGTAATATACTGTCTGCACATTTTGAGATGAGAAATGCAATGATTGTGTTGTTTTTAAACTAGTTGCTGGAACTTTTTTTTTTTTTTTTCTGGTAGCTTTTTCCTTCAGTTAGAAACCATTTTCCAAACAATATTCTTAGGCTACAAAAATGAATGTTTTTGTGGGTGGACTTTTACTGGATGCTAGTTATTTATAACCTATTGAAGTTTTACATTTAAGAAGGAAAAATGATAGAATGAGGAGGAAAGTAGACATAAAATTTCATGTCAATGGAATAGATTATTATTCCGTTAGATACAATAGATTATTATTCCATTAGATGTAATGGAAACCTCAGAAAACAGCTGCAAATAAGCATCTGACTTATTTTCCCAATACTACATATGTTTATCATTCCCTAAATCATCAGTTGTTGCATTTTGATTAAATTGGTTTGTTGAACACATGTATTTTTAAATTTTCTGCAAAAAACAAATTCCTATCATGAACACAAAGTAGGGGCATCGCAGTATCTGGATTTCTACACATTATTTGTACTCTGTATTTTACTACCTATTAAACTATTGATTAGAACTGATTTGAAATTCCATTAATTTACCTTTCCGCGTGTGAAGTTACAAATCGAGATGAGGTTTAGGATCCTGTGCCACAGTGTGCAGGGGTTGGGAGATGAGTCCTTGTAGAAGATACTGCTGGGTGTGGAGCAGAGTTCAGAAGGTGACAAGCCTTAACCATGGGAGGGAGTCCTAGGGGAGGATGCCTGCGCTTCCCTGGCTTGCACAGCTAGGTCAATGGAGGAGGCTTTTGCTGAGAATCTAGGAAGAGAACCAGCTTTGGGGGCATGAGTGTTTCATGGTATGGATGTACCACAGTTTACCAGCATTCGCTTTTAATAAATTGACCTTGCTCAGCAGTTCTGGGAGCTGTAATGGAATGAGAATAATTGGAATTCACATGCCCAGGGTATACCTATTAGCCTATCCCACATCCCACATGTGCAAAACTTAGTTATTAGGATTTGAGATTAGGTGGAGTTGAAATGGCTATTAGGATTCTTAATTAGACTCTGTTTTTGGTGTGCTCACAAACTGTGTTATAAAGTCTATAGTGATTCTGAGGCATTTGATAATTGAGGACACACTGGTAAAACCAAACTAACAGCCTCATGTTGAAGAGTGCTGGTGAGTGGCTATTGAAAATTTCTGCCAGAAACTAGTTGCATCTGTATCATTTGATCTAGCATAAAACATTTCCTTTTCACTTATGGAAAGACACATCTTAAAAACCCTTGAAAGGGTTTAGGACAAGAAAAAAAATTCATTTGCTTGGCAATTTGCACATGTTTGGAGAGTTTTGTGAAGTGAACTGACTGCTAGATAGGTTAAAGCCAGCCTAATAGCAAATGGAATTGACCTGGATGTTGCTCTCTGTCATAGATGCAGATGTTTCAGGCAAACAGGAGGTAAGATGACTCGAGTGCAGCCTTTCAGCCTCATCTGGTGCGATAGCCCCTTGGGGTTAGGTTTGCTACCAGGCTCTCTAAGGAAATTCTGTCGTCAAGAGTTATCTGTGGCAGTGTCACTTTCTCTGACACAGGTCTGTTGGCATCCTTCCCAGCACCAATCTAGATCTGGACTGGTGATCACTTGTTGACCATAAGGTGTTTATTATTATTATTATTACTGTTCTGTTTTTGAGGCAGAGTCTCACTCTGTCACCCAGGCTGGACTGCAGTGGTGCAATCATGGCTTACTGCAGCCTTGACCTTCGGGGCTTAAGCAATTCTCCCACCTTAGCCTCCTGAGTAGCTAGGACTACAGGCAACTGCCACCATACCTGGCTAATTATTTTATTTTTTGTAGAGATGGGGTCTCACTTTGTTACCCAGGCTGGTCTTGAACTCCCGGGCTCAAGCGATTCGCCTGCCTTGGCCTTCCAAAGTGCTGGGACTACAGGCATTGAGCTACTGCATCTGGGTGATCATGTTTACTGCCATTCCTTTTGTTATATTTGATTTAATTTTTTAATTTTTTTTTTTTTTCCTTAGAGACAGGGACTTGCTCTGTCGCCCAGGCTGCAGTGCAGTGGTGTGATCATGGTTCACTGCAACCTCAAATTCCTAAGCTCAAGTGATCGTCCTGCCTCTCAGCCTCCTGAGTAGCTGGAACTACAGACATGCCATGATGCCTGGCTAATTTTCAAATTTTTTGTAGAGATGCGGTCTCGCTGTGTTGCCCAGATGGGTCTCAAACTCCTGGCCTCAAGTGATCCTTCAGCCTCAGCCTCCCAAAGCGCTGGGATTACAGGTGTGAGCCACTGTGCCGGGCCATGCCTTCTCCTTTGTATGTTGAGCTAAGCATACACACTTTAAGTAGGCAGTGAGCCAGCTCTTCACAGCCTCATGACCTTGAACAAGTTGCATAGCCCTCCTAAGCCCACATTTCCCATTTGTAAAATGGCTAAAGTAATACCATCTTGAAAGACGTGAAACTCAACTGAGAAACTTAACCTCACACAGTTTGTGGCAATAATTCCCCAAATAGTGTCATCTAGAAATATGCTAAAACCCAACTGTAATTACCCAGATATTTATTGAACATGCGTTATGTGAAGAGCATCGTTATCAGTTGTTGCAAGGAATGTAAAGATGCCTAAGGCAATTTCCATTCTCATGGCGCTTTCCGATGTAGAAGAGGAGTTTTTGTTGTTAAAGGCTAGACAAAATCTATGTAAAATGTCCTTTGGGTTCAGAGAAAGGAGTTACCAGAGGAAGCCTGCTGTGGTTAGGAGTGCAGGTTCTAGAGGCAGATCACCTTCATGCCCCAGCCCCACTCCGGGTGTTATCCTGGGCACCCGCGCCTCAGTGTCCTTATCTATGAAACAGAGAGCGTTATGGATGCCTGCTTAGCTCAGTGTTAGGAGGATTCCATGAGTGAGCATTTAGTTGAAAGTGCTCCGTAAATGTTAGTAATTATCTGTTCATTCAGCACATATTTATTGAGTGCCTACTGCATTCAATTACCAAGAACAGCAAGTTGAGTGAGATTTTGTATATGCAGTTTGGTGAAGGAAACACAAATCAGTAATGAGTTGCAGGGATACAAAGTGTTGAGAGCCATAATGGGAGCATAAATAAGATGATGCAGGAACACCGGGAAAAGGCATCTAAATCATATTACTGAGCAGAAAAGGCCTCAGGGGAAATAGCACGTGAACTGAGCTTCCAAGAAGTCAGGGTTATTTAGATCAAAGATAGGGTGGAGGCGGGCGGCATTCTGGGTTTCAAGAAAACAGTCCATGAGAAGGCATGGTGGCACACACAAGCATCACACGTCTGGGAAGTACAGCTTTCATGTGGCTGCAGTACACTTGGCAATATTTGGCGAGAAAAGGAGGATTCTAATCCCCAAGGGCCCTTTTTATCCAGGTAAGGAGTCTGGATTTTCCTAAAATGGACATAGGGAACTTTTGAGGAATGTTAATGACTGATTTCTCACGATGACATTTTGGTAAGGTCATTTCAGTGGCAGCGGAGGAGGTAGATTGGAGAGGAGAGCCTGACTGGAAGAGAAAGACCCCTGAGAAGGTAGTAGGAATCCCATTGAGAAGGGACAGGAACCTGGACAAGGTGAAGGCACTGGGGTTGGAGGTGGGGGCTCGGGACTCCAGGTACTGAGGGCAGTCTAGGGCGTGGTGGAGAGTTTGCCATGGAAGTAAGCAGGAGGGAGTCTGCTCTTAACCACAAAAGTTGATGTTCTGCAGGGCTCTGTTCTAGGCAGTTTGCTTTGTTTAGACTCTTCTGAAACAACCATGTCTGCTCCCATGGCTTCAGTTATCATCGGATAACAGTGCCTACCAAACCTTTATCTCTAGCCCAGATCTCCCAGGTCCCAGGCCTGTGTCTCCAGCTGTGTCCCCTGTGCAGTTTTACCCAGTTATGACACAGACACCCCAGACTCAACTTGCTCTACCTACTTCCTGCCCCAACACTGACCTTCCTGCAGCTTCCCTCACCCTGCACGGTGCCATCATCCACCCATGTGCACCTGTCATTGGCTGGAAACCTTCCTTCAGTCCTTCATCTTCCTCCTGCACAGACATTCAGACATTGAGCAAGTTCTGTTAGTAGGACTGGCTCTGCAAACTCTCCTGAACCTGTCTTACCTCTCGTCCATTGCCCTGGTGAGGCTAGTCACCTGGGCCTCCTGCTCAACCTTTCTGCCTGCAGGCTTGGCCTTTACAAACACATTCTCACAGTGAAATTTGAGGGCTCTTTTTAAAGTGTACACATTTATTGAATAGATGCTGAAAGAACTCTCTGGCTTAAGACACTGCAGTGACTCCATGTTCCTCTGAGCAAAATCCATTTTCTTTAACCAGGTCCCTGAGAGCTCAGCTCCTAAACACCTCTGTCACTCTGTCTCTTGGTCTCTCTGTCTCGTCTCTCTCAGGCACACACACCCTCACCCTGTCTACAATCTGGGCATCTGCCATACTGACTCAGTCCCTGGAATGCATTGTGCATGAGCCCTCTCCCTGCTAAACCATGTGCATGTGTCATTTCTCCTGCCTGGAAAGCTCCCACCCCACCCCAACTTCTTACTTTGAAAACCCAGCCATCCTTCAGGTTTCAGCTTATGTCGCCACCTCAGGAAGTCTTTCCTGATTCCCTCCTGAGTGTTTCCACAGCCCCAGCACTTCCTCCGTCCCAGCACCTCCACACTGAGATGTGACTGCCTGTTGACCCGGCTGCCAGCTCATGACCTCACACCACCACCAGCAGACAGCCTCCCTACCTCAGTGGATTCCGCATTGTGAGGGCAGGGCTGTGAGCAATGTGTGCATCTTGTCTGCATGTGCCTAAGGAATAGCAAATGAATACATGAACGAGTGGGTAACTGGACTTCTCATTTCTGGCTTGGGTGACTAGTTAATAGCACCTACACCTAGAGAACAGGGGAGGATGAATTCCTATTGGGGAATGGTAATGTTTGATCTTGAACTTAGTGAGCTCCTGCTGGATTGAGTCCCTGGAAGGCAATGTGCGTGAGCCTTCTCCCCACTGAACATGTGCACGTGTCATTTCTCCTGCCTGGAGCACTCCCACCCCACCCCAACTTCTTAGTTTCAAAACCCAGCCATCCTTCAGGTTTCAGCTTATGTCTCAAGCTTCAGCTTATCTCCTGCTGGAGATGCCCAGCAGGTGGTTAGACACGTGGAGCAAGAGTTCAGGGAGGGCAGCGCTAACCATGGGCTTGGGAGTCATTAGTGTGGCATTGCTATTTGAAACCATTAATTTAGAAGAGGAAGTGTGTGTAGATTAAGGTGTACAGGGGGCCCTGATGGTGTCCTGGGGAACACGGAGGAGGTGCAAGTAGGAAACCCACAAGGCAGACAGAAAAGGCAGCAGGGAGAGACCCGGAAGAGAGTAGCCCACAGGGTCAGATGATGGACAGCCACGCAGGATAAGGATAAAAACATGTCCCTTGGATTTGACAATGAGGTCACAGTTGATCTGGGGGTGGGGGTGCGAAGCGCAAGCTAGATTGCAGAGATGTGACTGCGTGGGCAAGAGGAAATGGAGGGCTGGGCTGACCACTCCTTCCAGGAGCTGCCTGGGAAGGGGAGCAGGGAGCAAGTGAAGGGAGGGAAGGCAGGGAGTTGCAGCCCTTTGCACATTCCATGTTTGTAGGGTCTGGTATTTAAATTTTATTTTACAGTCCCTGTCATTGCTTTTTTCTCCCTGGTGTGGTAGAAACATCTCATTAGAGATAATTTAGAACACACAAGATATAAAGAAAAAAAATGCAACTGTAATTAACTCAGACAGCCAGTGCTGACATGCTGGTAAATTTCCCTCGAGTGTGTGTGTCCGGGTGTCCCCAGCCCTCCGTCCTGATGAAAGCACCAGGCCTGTGACATATGCATAGAAAGGGCTCAAACCCATCCCACTCGGGTGGGAAGTCTGGCCCCACTGCCAGCACCTCCTTCTTCCACACACATTATCTCTGGGGATTCTTGCTGGTTGGGGAGGTGATGAGGTTTCCTCCTAATCATTTTTTTTTTCTTTTTCAGATTTTCTAAATTTGCTGCCTTTTAAAAATCACTTTTGTGTGGAGGAAATGCAAGCCTTCTTATTTGCATTCCCTCCATCTGTCCTGTGTGTTCCAGCCATGTAGCAGTGAGCCGCTCCCTCCTAATCAGCCCCAGGAAGCCCTCTGACTCCCAAAGCCACTGTGCTTTTTTTCCTCATACATGGAGGGTTGCTCGGGGAAAATACATTAAGTAAATGCATGACTACATCCCCATGTCATTAGAATCCATCTTAATGGATGTATAATTTTCCATACATTGGTTATTTATTTGGTGGACATATGAGTCCATTTTCTATTCCTTAGAATAGAATATCTGAAAGGGGTAATTTGTAAGAAATGAAATTTGTTTCTTACGGGGCTGGAGGCTGGGAAGTCCAAGGTCAAGGGGGTACCTCTGGTGAGAGCCTTCTTGCTGGCAGGGACTCAGGTCCTGAGGCAGCAAAGGGCACCACCTGGTGAGGGGCACTTACTTGGTGGGGGGCTGTGGGTGCTCACATGCTAGCTCAGGTCGCTCTTCCTCTTCTTACTAAGCCACCAGTCCCACTCCTGTGATAACCCATTAACCCATGAATGGATTAACCCTTTCGTGAGGGCAGAGCTCTCATGATCTGATCACCTCTTAAAAGGCCCCACCTCTCGATACTGCCACATTGGGGATTAACTTGATACCTTAATTTTGGAGGGGAAAATGTATAATAGCCCATGGCTATGGTTTATTCCATATATCCATATATATATATATGTGTGTATATATATATCCATATATATGTGTGTATGTGTATATATATATATATCTCCATATATATATCTCCAACATGTATATACATATATATAATCCATCATATATATACACATATATATCCGTCATATACACACACACACATATATATATCCATCATATATATATATCCATCATATATATATATCCATCATATATATATCCATCATATATATATCCATCATATATATATCCATCATATATATATATCCATCATATATATATATATATATCCATCATATATATATATATATCCATCATATATATATATATATCCATCATATATATATATATTTTGGTGTACCCATCACCCAAGCAGTATACACTGCACCATATTTGTAGTCTTTTATCCCTTGCTCCCTCTCACTCTTCCCCACAAGTCCTCAAAGCCCATTGTATCATTCTTATGCCTTTGTGTCCTCATAGCTTAGCTCCCATGTATCAGTGAGAATATAGGACATTTGGTTTTCCATTCCTGAGTTACTTCACTTGGAATAATAGTCTCCAATCTCATCCATATATATCCATATATATGATGGAATACTACTCAGCCATAAAAAGGAATGAATTAACAGCATTTGCAGTGACCTGGATGAGATTGGAGACTATTATTCTAAGTGAAGTAACTCAGGAATGGAAAACCAAATGTCCTATGTTCTCACCGATATGTGGGAGCTAAGCTATGAGGGCACAAAGGCATAAGAATGATACAATGGACTTTGGGGACTTGTGGGGAAGAGTGGGAGAGGCCAAGGGATAAAAGACTACAAATATGATGCAGTGTATACTGCTTGGGTGATGGGTACACCAAAATCTCACAAATCACCACTGAAGAACTTATATAACCAAATACCACCTGTACCCCAATAACTTATGGAAAAATAAAAATAAATATTTAAAAGAAAAAAATAAAAGCATGATGTTTCATAGGACATCTAGACTGCATCTTGAAATTAGGAACTGGGATTGTGAACTGAAATCATTTTTCCACATAATATTGCTGCCTAAAAAACTAAAATTTAATGGTGTATGATAACCATTTTACTATGTTCATAAATTTTCTGGTTCAGGACACAGCAGGAACAGCTTGTCTCCGCTCCTCAATATCCATGGCCCCAAGTAAGAAGACTCGAAGGCTGGGAACAGCCCGATAGCTAGGGTCCAGGTCATCTGAAGGTTGATGTGGGTTGTCAGCTGGGATCTCGTCTGAGCTGTTGGCTAGACTACCTATGCCTGTGGTCTCACACATACCTCTCCATGTGATCTGTCCACATGGGATAACTTGGGCTTCCTCACAGTATGGCGGCTGGAATCCTGCATGAGCAAGGCAGAAGCGCAAGGCACTTTTATGATCTCCCCTCCAAAGTCACATAGCAGTACATCTGTCACAGTAGGTTGGTCAAGGCAGCCCCAAAGGTCTGCCCAGACCCAAGGACAAGTATGCCATGACATGGTGGAAGGGATGTCAGGGTCACTGCAAGAACAGGTGGCCTGGAAGAAAGATTGCTGCTGCCACACTCAGTGCCACATTTCTTCTCTAGTGGACCTCGTGGAGGAGACCTGTGATCTAAAGAGCACGTGAGGATATT
The DNA here is from genome assembly GCF_000001405.40 of Homo sapiens. NCBI lineage: Eukaryota > Metazoa > Chordata > Mammalia > Primates > Hominidae > Homo > Homo sapiens. The sequence goes on along the minus strand of NC_000013.11, from coordinate 27,050,460 downwards.
TATTTAGTAAAAGCTTTTCGGGCATATCTGTTATAAAAAGGGCCAGGACAGAATGCACTGAGGAAAGAAGTAAAGACCGGGGAAGGGATTCCAGGCTGTGGAGGTGCCACCAGTCAAAGGTGTTGGGAGCAGGTTTAGATGCTGGCCTTGGTCACATTGTGTAAGGATGTTTCACGGTCATATGCCATTATTCTACCTGCAGGTAAGTGTCCCTGGGTCTGATGCTGCAATGGGCACAGAAAATAGAAGCAGGGAGAGGGTGCATTACCTTGCATATAGTAAGCAATACACACACACACGTGCACGCATGCACACATGAGCACTGCAACTTTTCTAGACAGAACACTGGTTGGGAGGCTCCCTTGCCTGTGGCTTTCACCATGAACTCCTGAATGTGGGACTGGCAGGTTAGGGATACATGAGAGTCAGTAAAGAAAGTGCGGTTTGGAAGCAATCTCTGTCATCTTTTGGTGTCGAAGTATTAAATAGAATCAGCCAACATATTAGTTGCTGAAGTTACAAATCAGTGCATTTCCAAAGAGACATGAATGTAGTGCTCCAGCAAAATTTTTTTAACTTAAGATATAAATGGCCGGGTGTGGTGGCTCACGCTTGTAATCTCAGCACTTTGGGAGGCTGAGGTGGGCAAATCGCGAGGTCAGGAGTTTGAGACCAGCCTGGACAACACAGTGAAACCCCATGTCTATGAAAAATACAAAAATTAGCCAGGCGTAGTGGCGGGTGCCTGTAATCCCAGCTACTTGGGAGGCTGAAGCAGGAGAATTGTTTGAACCTGGGAGGCGGAGGTTGCAGTGAGCCAAGATCGCACCACTGCACTCCAGCCTGGGCGACAGAGCTAGACTTCGTCTCAAAAAAAAAAAAAAAAAAAAAGATAGAAACCAAGCACAGGTGGGTAGATATTTGAAAATAAAACAGAATTATCCGTGAGCCTTCTATTGTGGTTAAAAGAAAAAAAATGTCAGCTTCCTTGAAAAAGAGTGTCACGTTCAGGGCAGATATTTAAAATAAGAAGGCCATTAATTCATTGATTCATTGAATAAATATTTATTGGGCACCTAATTTGTGCTCAGCATTATTGCAGGCAATAAGGAAGGGAATGAGACACCTGCCCTCATGGAACTGACCTACTGGGGCAAATGATGAATTTACTAGGTGGCGTGGTAGGTATGAAGGGAATGAACAAGGCCACGTGCTAGGATGGCCATGCTGGGGAGGCCTGCTATAGACTGGGTGACCAGGGAAGGCCTCTCTGAAGAGGCAACCCTTGGGTGGGACTTGCAGAATGAGAAAGCGTGAGCGTGCAGGAGCTAGGCGGGGATTGTCCTGGGCACAGGGGTGCAAGTGCACAAGCCCTGAAGTGGGAATGAGTTGGAGGTGGAGAAGTCCTGAAGTGGGAATGAGTTGGAGGTGGAGAAGTCCTGAAGTGGGAATGAGTTGGAGGTGGAGAAGTCCTGAAGTGGGAATGAGTTGGAGGTGGAGAAGTCCTGAAGTGGGAATGAGTTGGAGGTGGAGAATGAGGCGGGGGCTGCTTCAGTGGGAATCCCAAACACGAGTCGCTTTACTTCTATGACTTCAACATCGCGAGTTTTTTGTTGAATGCAAAATTGAATAGTCATTGGGTTTGTTTTTTAAGTGACTTAAAAATTATTACATCTGTTTTGTGTGCACCTCACAGAAAATTTGATGAAAGGAGTGAAAGAGGAAATCAAACAGCTAGCCAGTTGTTCCAATGTCATTCATCAAATAAAACCTCTCCCCCACTGGTGTGAAATGCTATCTCTGTCATGTACTGAAATCCCATATGATTTGTAACGACGGGGCCCTCTCTTCAGTTTGTTTGTTTTGTTTGTTTTTATTTTTTTTTTAGATGGAGTTTTGCTCTTGTTGCTCAGGCTGGAGTGCAATGGTGTGATCTCAGCTCACCGCAACCTTTGCCTCCTGGGTTCAAGTGATTCTCCTGCCTCAGCCTCCTGAGTAGCTGAGATTACAGGCACGTGCCACCATGCCCGGCTAATTTTGTATTTTTTTTTAGTAGAGATGGGGTTTCTCCATGTTGGTCAGGCTGGTCTTGAACTCCCAACCTCAGGTGATCTGCCCGCCTCGGCCTCCCAAAGTGCTGGGATTACAGGCGTGAGCCACCGCACCCAGCCCTCTCTTCAGTTTTATCGGTCTGTCTGATTCTGTTCTTGGGACCATACTATTTTATCTGCTATGATTTTTCATGTCTTAACTCACTTTATTGAAAAGTAATAAGGATGACTATGTAGGCATGTTGAGTGTTTTCTTGGATTACTGGTATTATGTTTTGGAAGGGAGTATATTTAGGCACTGATTTTTGTTGTTATTGCTATGGAACACTAGTAGCATCCCAGGGAATATACATGTTTGTTAGATTCCAGTTTGGGAAACACTAAACTTGTACTGTCTTGCTTCCAAAAGACTAGAAGGCTTGGGGTTGACCCTAGAGGAACTCAGATTCACAGAGCATTTACTGACCACCCGCCACGTGCCAGGCATCATACCAGATGCTTTCGAGTGCATCGTCTCACTTAACCCTTCCTCCAGAGGTTAAGTGACTGTGTTACAGCGAGCGCCCAACATGTACCAAGTGACATGCTACGTGCTGGAGATGGGCAGTTACTTCTACACATGTTCTATCCTCCGGTCAAATTGGACTGCTTGATGTACCCCCAAATAGTCAAAATAATAGCATATTGATGGAGAGCTTTCTGAGTGCCAGGAATCAGGCTTGTCACTGAACGTGAATGATCTCGTCTTACCCTCACAACAACAGTGCGCTCTCTTGTGGGTACACCTTAACTCCAGGCTTTCGTAAGTGGTATAGAGGAAAGGGCCTGCACCTTGCAGTTAGACCGAATTGGTTCTTATTTCATGGATGAGGCCATAGAGGTGTGGAGGGGTTAACTTACTTGTTAACAAAGTGGTGAAGCTAGGATCTGGACCCAGGAGAACGCAGGCTCGGAGTGTAGAGCCTGCACAGACTGCCCAAGCTCTTCTGCTTGCCGAGCCTTAGAGCGTGCCATTTCCCTGCCCTCGTTTCCATGTATTTAGGTTCTATGCATACTTCGAGGCCTCTCTGTCATGTCAGAGATGCAGCTGTTGCTTTCTTCCCTCGCCCATGATCTGCTGGGCTTGGCGCTTGGCTAGCCGGGCTGCTCTATGGAGCTCAGCCTCCTTGAGGGCGGGCCACACTGGGGCATATCTCTGGCAGCCCCAGAGATATGTGGCACAGTGCCCTAAAACAGAACGGATATTTGCTGAATGTCAAATTGACTCTGGAGGGGCCAAACCCAAGACCTTACACGGGGAGAGGAGTGGTCGAAGGTTGGGCCTGTCATTATGGAGAGACAAGAGGTCCTCTCTTGGGATACTCTTAAGTGGTACAGAGAAATCATATGAGGCTGAGGTTAGAGCTGAATTGAAAATTGGCCACATCACTTATTAGCTGTGTACCCTCTGGAGCTCAATTTCCTTGTTTGGGAATTGTGAGATTTATGTAAGATGAATGCACTGAAGGTATAAAAAGTCCCTACCGAGGTGCTGAGGTTATAGCACTTCCTTCCCCCATCTCTTTAACTCAACACATCTTTATGAACCTCCTATGACACTTAAAAAACAGTGCTAAACATTGGATTTCTCAATTGCTCCTAGGGAATAGCATTTCAAGGTTCAGTGGAGGAGAACCCCAAGAGCACCAAAATGGAAAGATGATTTGTAAAGCTGAGGAAAATGTCCAGCTGTGTTTTTATGAGGACTCTCACTGCACTGATATGACAGATGACACCTTCCCTCAACACTGTTCATCATTGACTGCTGAGGGCTCCTTCTTCAGTTTATAACAGGATGGTAACTTCATAAGCAATGTAGGACTTTCACAGGGTTCCACACGAAGCGTGTCTGGATAATTCAGCCAAGCTCTTCAGTCTCCAGCAGTGATGGAATCAGGAGCTCGCTTGGCCAGCCCTCTAATGACTCAGTCACAGGGTCATCCACTTGGGGGTGTGAGGAGAGGAGGCTTCTCCCCGCAAGTGCTTTCGGGGTGATGCCGTAGATTCTTTGTACCTCAGGAGTTACTTTTGCAATTAGAGGTTCTCTCTCTCTCTTGGTATTTTATGCATCTAATTCTGCTTTTCTATGCATGAGTCTTGTCGGATTCAGGCACAGCAATAAGTCTCCAAAATAGGGTCAGAGTGAGTTTAATGAAGAAGTTATTGTTTTCTTAAGGATGAAAATAAACAGAGAGAATGCCTTATTACATAATCAATAACGTCGGCCTCTTGATTAAAACACAAATGCAATTTAGCCCGAAATTATTCTCTAGTTTGATGTTCTACAAAATTAGATTACGATAATAAATGATTGGACCTCTTAAGCACAGGCAGGTGTCCACACGCTGATAGCCTCTGGAGGAGCAGGCTTCCCAATCCGGATTTCCTACGGATGAAAGTTTAGGAAGATGTAGTACTGATCCCAACATCTCACTCATAGTTTCTGCAATTATTAAAGGCTAAAAGACAACACACATAATGGAAAAGCTTAGACTTTTGGAATCGGAGGCTGGATTTAGATACTAGTTTCTCTGCTTAATCAGCTGTGCAAATTTTGTTTCAAGTTACTTAATCTTTCTGAGCCTGTTTTCTTAAAATAAAACATTTTGAAATGGGGTAACAATAGCCACTGTACAGAGTTGTTTTTATGTCTTCACATACTGAATGTGAAAGTATATAACAGTGCTTAGCACATATTAGGCCCTCAGTATATGGTAACTAATAATGTTACAAGTGCTTATTAGCCTAATACAAAACCGAAGACTGTTCACATAGGTTCCAGCATCTGAGGGCTCCATCAGTTAGGTACACTAAGCCCATGGTTCTCGACTTTTGCTGCTCACTAGAATCTTCTGGGAAGCTTTTAAGAAAAGCTGTTGTTCCGGCTCACTTCTTAAAGACTCTGATTTTAACTGGGCTGGGGTGAGGCTGGGTGTCCACATCCTCTTACGCACGGATGTTGTGCACAGCCAGGGCTGAGCAGCACTGCCGCGGATCCTCAGCTGGGACTAGCTGGCCAGCCTTCATGAAGTCTCGCAGAGGTATTTACCCTGGGGGTGGGGGTTACAAAGGTCTGGGGTCTGGCTTTTGCACTGCCCAGTCCAGAAAGCATCTCATCAGAGCCCTCGAGGTAATTCATGCTGAGAGTGAGTGTCATCTTGGTAATTTATCATGAAAAATATAGCTGTCCCACAGACTAAGTATTTGCATTGGCCTGAACAGCATATTCTCTCTTAAAGCAGACTCCAAAGGAAGATGATCACAATGACAGAGCAGAGGAAGTGGTTGTATGGTTTGCATGTTATCTGGCATCTGGTTTGACGGCCCATAAAGGGGGTGTGCCTTCAGGCAGGCTGGGTGCTCCTTTGCTCCCATGGGGGTCCTTTCTCACCCATGAACGGAGTCCACATGGGCAGATCCGGGTTTTGCTGCTAGGGCAACCCTTTCCATGTGCTCCGGGTCTCCCTGTCCGTCCCCCTTTCTGCCCACCACGGTCACGTTATGTCATGTCAGGAGCTTCATTCAAGTCAGCCACAACTCTCAGGCCTGGAAAACCTTTTCCCCCTTAGAGTGATTGACGCTTTCCAGTGATCCCTTCACTCTTGGTTTTGTGGTTCTGCTATCATCAGGCCATTTAGAAATGGATCCCATACTGTGAGTCCAAACAATAGGCCCCGCCCAAATCTGCATCTTACAAAACAACTTGCTAGTGTGCCAGAAAGCGGGGTGCTGTGAGCCTTAGCTGGGCTTGGATGAAAGGCAGGTGTCACAAGTTTTCATGTGCATGCCCAAGAGGAAGGGACTTGGCCTTGACCGTCACCTGTTTCGTTCCAGGGGGCATTGTGGCCTTGAAGGCTGTAACTAAAATGTCTGCAGGATCATGAACATTTGGCTTTGCCTTTAGCACCTGCGACCTGATCCCGCCCTTGCCTGTCTGACCAGGGTGCAGCAGGGAGGAGTTGCCGGGCTTCTGGAGCCCGTGCATCTGGGAGGGACGGAGGGAGGATGATGATGACAATGACAATGCCCTGTGGCAAATGTGTGTGTGAAGGTCAGGACCCCAGCAGTGAAGACCTTAGAAGAGGGTGTCCTTGAGAGACAGGAGGGAGCGTTGTTGAGATCCACAGGTGGGCCAATGTTTTCCATGGGGGTCTGATGGACAAATGAACAGAAGAACCCATGATGGTGACACCTGGGCTGGATAAAGTTACTAAGTCAGGAAAACAAGAATTAAAAGTGAGGACTCACTCTGGGTTCAGAAGCCTGTTTGTAAAAATACCTGGAGGTATTAATTTGTGCAGGATTGAAAGGACCACAGAGAAATTGAGAATGACATTACAGTCATTCTTACTCAAGAATGAAAACCAGGCCAGGCGTGGTGGCTCACACCTGTAATCCCAGCACTTTGGGAGGCCAAGGTGGGCGGATCACCTGAGGTCAGCAGTTCCAGCCCAGCCTCTGCAACATGGCGAAACCCCATCTCTACTAAAAATACAAAAATTACCCGGGTGTGGTGGTGCATGCCTGTAATCTCAGCTACTTGGGAGGCTGAGGCAGGAAAACTGCCTGAACCCAGGAGGCGGAGGTTGCAGTGAGCCGAGATCATGCCACTGCACTCCAGCCTGGGGGACAGAAAAAAAAAAAAATGAAAACCAAGTTCAGCTTACTAATGATACAGGCCAATTCTATGTCTAGAAACCCGACATTCACTGTGGCTCTTATATTTACTTCAGTTCCTTCCTTCCTTATATTTACTTCAGTTCCTTCCTTATATTTACTTCAGTTCCTTCCTTCCTTATATTTACTCAGTTCCTTCCTTATATTTACTTCAGTTCCTTCCCTCCTTATATTTACTTCAGTTCCTTCCCTCCTTATATTTACTTCAGTTCCTTCCTTCCTTATATTTACTTCAGTTCCTTCCTTCCTTATATTTACTTCAGTTCCTTCTCATGCAGGAATTTTCCTTGGCTGGGAAAGGCTGAGGGAAATTTCTTGTTTGGATCCTTGTCGCATTTCGCGCTCTAATTTTGCTTTTCCTATTCTTTTCTGTGGGTGGCATGCCAGTCCGCATCAGAATGAGCATGTGCCTGTATCCAGGATTTGCATACTACAGAACCAGCTCTGTCATCCAACCTCTTCTAAGCTGACTCATGGAGCAAATGTGCCAGCAGATCCCCATGGCCCGGTGACCACAGGCAGTTTTCCTGCTCAGCTGCACGCTTTTGAGTTGAGTGGTGTTTGTCCCTACATCAGCTTATGCCTGTAATACATGTTATTGTGATTCAGTCATTTAATTACAGATTATGTAAGCAAATTATGTAAACCAATATAATGAGCACAAAAAGAAAGTTGTTTCTTGAAAACTAAGTTGAATGATTTAGAAAGACTCACTAAGGGCAAATTGACTTAAACATTTGCTTTCAATTAAGTGTACGGAAGATTAGGGGAATATAATGAAAATAAGGAAGGCCTCTGTGCTGAAATTGCTTTTCATGAGTCTTTAAGATCTTATGATGCTTCTTTAAAGAAATTAACATTTGGGCTGGGCACGGTGGCTCACGCCTGTAATCCCAGCACTTTGGGAGACTAAGGCAGACGGATCACAAGATCAGGAGTTCGAAACCAGCCTGGCCAATATGGTGAAACCCCATCTCTACTAAAAATACAAAAATTAGCCGGGTGTGGTGGCGCGTACCTGTGATCCCAACTACTCGGGAGGCTGAGGCAGAAGAATCGCTTGAACCCGGGAGGCAGAGGTTGTAGTGGGCCGAGATTGTGCCACTGCACTCCAGCCTGGGCAACAGAGCGAGACTCCATCTCAAAAAAAAAAAAAAAAAAAAAAAGAAAAGAAAAAGAAAAAAGAAATTAGCATTTGGCAGTGGTTCATGCCGTCATGCCTGTAATCCCAGCACTTTGCCAGGCTGAGGTGTGCGGATCACCTAAGGTCAGGAGTTTGAGACATGGTGAAACCCCGTCTTTACCAAAAATACAAAAATTAGCCAGGTGTAGTGGTGCGTGCCTGTAGTACCAGCTACTCAGGAGGCTGAGGCAGGAGAATCACTTGAACCCAGGAGGTGGAGGTTGCAGTGAGCCGAGATCGTGCCACTGCACTCCAGCCTGGGCGACAGAGTGAGACTCCATCTCAAAAAAAAAAAAAAGAAAAGAAAAGAAAAGAAAAGAAATTTACATTTGGCAGTGGTTCATGCCTGTAATCCCAGCACTTTGGGAGACTGAGGTGTGTGGATCACCTAAGGTCAGGAGTTCGAGACATGGTGAAACCCCGTCTCTACTAAAAACACAAAAATTAGCCAGGTGTAGTGGTGCGTGCCTGCAGTCCCAGCTACTCGGGAGGCTGAGGCAGGAGAATCGCTTGAACCCAGGAGGTGGAAGTTGCAGTGAGCCAAGATCATGCCACTGAGCTCCAGCCTGGTCGACAGAGTGAGACTCCATCTCAAAAAAAAAAAAAAAAAAAAAAAAGACATTAACATTTGAAATTGTGGCGAATGCTTTCTAGGTGGAATTTATGCAAAAAAGGGGGCAAGCTCCCTAGTGGAGGCACCACACTCAAAGAAAGGCTTTGGCCCCACTCAAAATACTGGCAAGTGAATTTCCATATGTGTGTTTTAAGTTAAAATAAAATGTTTAAACTATTTATATAATTTTTTTATCATTGATTCATTCATCCGATGCCTATTTTATTGGGTGTCTGCTATGTGTTGGTATTCTACGTTCTGGGAATGCAGAAATGAATGAAACCAACAAGGCCCCTGCCCTCTTAGGATTTCCATTCTAGGGAAGGAGCCCGCAGCAGACAAATATGTACTCTGTCATATGTGATACATTGCATCATGCACGTGGATGCCCTGTGCAGGTAGGTGGAGAGACAGTGATGGGTGAAGAGGCTGATGTGGTGAGCATCTCTCTAAAGAGGAAGCATTGGAGCAGAGATGGAAATCAAGTGAGGGCTGGGGAGCTAGGCCGAGATATGGGGCAGAAGGACCTCTGAGGGGAAGCCCCGAGTTGGGCCTGGGCTGATGCATTTCAGGAAGAGCCAGGGGGCAGCCTGCCTGGAGGGGCCGATGGGAGGTCAAGAGCAGGGTTGAGAGCAGGGAGACTGCAGGGCAGATGGCTCAGGCCTTGGGGATCCTGGCGAGGACTTTGGCTGTCATCCTGAAAGCCATGGAGAGCCCTGGGGTGTTCTGCGGAGGAGACTGGCCAGGTCAGGTCTGTTTTATTTTCAAAGGTCACCCAGGATGCTGTATGGAGAACTGACTGGAGCGGGGCAAGAGTGGAAGCAAAAAGTCACAAAGGGAACAGAGAAGGACCAGTGTAGGGTCCAGGACTTCCTGGAAAGGACAGTGGGAGACTGTCCAGGTGCGGAGTGTGGGTGGGAGCATCCAACCCCAAAAGGTGCCCTGGAGGCAGAAGCTTCCAAGGACCATGCAGACAGAAGGAGGCTGCAGGGCTGGAGGAGGCGGGAAGGAAAGGAGGTGAGACCCACAGTCCTCGCCCTTTGCAGTAGCTGGAATGGAAAGGCAGGAGGGACGAAATGGGGCGCAGGGAGGATGTTATCAGGGAGGAGGGAGGCCCTAGTTGTGACTGGGGAGAGGGACCCGCCTCCCCGCTGTTGGGCCCAGCTAGCTGCACCCCGCTGGACACAGGCCTGGCCACCTCTCCTACACGGAAGTTGAAGGTGGAGTTAGCTCCATTTACTTCCACAAGAGAAAGCAGAGCTTGATTTCACTGTTAAAAGCCATTTTCCCGACCTGAGAAGTGTTGGGCGCTGTCTCCTTCCTGTCTTCTGCCCTGTGGCTTTCTTTTCCCTCTAGTGAGGAGAGCAGAGTAAGGAGATTTTTTTTTTTTTTTTTTTTTTTTTTTTTTTTTTTTTTTTTTTTTTTTTTTTGGAGACGGCGTCTCGCTCTGTCGCCCAGGCTGGAGTGCGGTGGTGCGATCTTGGCTCACCGCAAGCTCCGCCTCCCGGGTTCAAGCAATTTTTCTGCCGCAGCCTCCTGAGTAGCTCCCAAAGTGCTAGGGTTACAGGCATCAGCCACCGCGCCTGGCCGAAGCCTGCTTTTTGTTAGTCTCTGGGGCAGACCTGACTCGGGCCAGGGAGCTCTGGGGAGCCTGTGGTCGGGCCTGCGGAGCGTCAGGGAGCACGGGCCTGCGCCCTGGGCCTCTCCTGCCCAATTTTGGCAGTCACTGTTGGAGAATGCAGCAGCTGAGCTCCTTGTTGGAGGAAAATGAGCCTAAGGCTTATTTTCTCAGGCTTTAAGTAAACGCTCTGCGGTTTAAAAGCTTTTGGAAAATGCCTGTTTATGGGAGTCTATTTTATGTACAGGTGTCAGCAATCTATCTGGAGAAAAAGTGTTTCCTGGAAGCCTAGGAACATGGCTGGGACCCCCGGGTGGACGGGAAATGCCTCAGCTCCAGCTCACTTTTAGGGACCAAATAGTTCTGGCTGAGGAATGGAAGGAGCATGGTCGGGGGATTTTACCCCAAAGGCCTGGCTCTAATATTTTGCCCTGTTTGCCTCCACCTTTGGGACTGGGCTTTGGGAACAGACAATGCCACAGGGTTGAAGAGCCTGAGTGTCTGAATCTTGCCCTGTTACAGCCCTCTCTCCCCTTGATGTCCTCAAGACATGGAGGTCAAGGCAAATGTCTGCTTTGGATCCTGATAAGCTAATGTGGACCGTGTTGAGAATGCCTCTTTATTGGGCAGGCTGGGGGCCCAGGACCAAGTCACGTGGCTGTTCCCCCAAGCCCACGCATACATCTTTCCGTGGGAGGAAAAGCCTATCTGGGAAGAAGCTGCCCACCAGGAAGAGCCAGGGGCTGGGAGCCTTCACCCCAGGACCTGAGACATGGCAGGTCTGGACCAGCTGCTACCTAGACCACCTGGGGGTAGGGGAGACCCCCATAGATGGGGAGACCGGAGGCTCCCTTGCCTCTCAGCAGGTGGAGGGAGAGAAGAGAGGCAGAGCTTCTCTGGGCAGGACAGTCCCAGCCAGGGGCACTCGACCCCGTTGGCCCCAGCCTTTCCCACATTTTTGATAACATTGTTTTTATTGGTAAATACGCCTCACATACATAAACTTGCGTAAAAGTGTGTGTCCAGTTGAATGAAGAATTATGATGTGGACACCTGGGTAATACTCCTTAGGTCAGGAACTAGACTAGAACTTGCACCCTGGAAGCCCCTGGGTGTGTCTCCCCGGCCAAACCCTTCCTCCTTGCAGAGTCATCATCCTCCTAGCTTTTAGGATGGTCATCTCTTTTCTTTCCTTTATAGTCTGATCGCTTATGTATGTATTCTTAAACAATGCACTTTAGCTTTGGCTGTTTTTCAGCTCTATAGAAACGGAATCATACTCTATGGATTCTTTTTTTTTTTTTTTTTTTTTTTTTTTTTTTGAGATGGAGTCTCACTCTGTCTCCCAGGCTGGAGTGCAGTGGCGCAATCTTGGCTCATTATAACGTCCACCTCCTGGGTTCAAGCAATTCTCCTGCCTCAGACTCCTGAGAAGCTGGGATTATAGACGCCCGCCACCATGCCTGGCTAATTTTTGTATTTTTAGTAGAGGTGGGGTTTCACCATGTTGGCCAGGCTGATCTCGAACTCCTGACCTCAAATAATCCACCCACCTTGGCCTCCCAAAGTGTTGGGATTACAGGCGTGAGCCACCGTGCCCGGCCTGGGTGCTTTTATCTTGCTTCTTTCCTTCAACATTGCTTTTTGAGATGCATCTATATGTGTGGCTTAAGTTCACTGAGTTTTCATTGCGGTATAGCATTTTCTTGTATGAATCTGCCACAACTACTTATTCACTTCCCTGTAAATGGAAAATTGGCTGTGGAATGGGTTGTTAGCAGTGGACAAGGCTGTGATGAATATTTCTGAGGGTGAGTCACTGTGCACACGTGCTCAAGTTTCTCTATAGTCTGCACCTAGAATTGGAAGTTCTGGATTTCCATATCCATAATTTTAAACATAATGCCACTCTTTTCCAAAGGGATAAATTGGGTTGTCCAAATCTTCATGGGTTTGTCTATTTATCATTTTAGTTTTGTCATTTTTTTGCTTTATATATTTTGAAGCTATGTTATTAATACATAAAATTATATCTTTTGGTGAATTGAGCATATTCAAAAACACTTTTGGCTTACATTCAAAAATGTCCCTAAGAGCACTGTGCACTGCCAACACTGAGCAAGAGCCCCGTGTAGAAAACTCACCAAATGGTATCTTCGTATCATTAAGAAGTGACCCAAATGATCTCTGCTAATGCCTTTTGCTTTTAAGCCTATGTTGTATTTGTAACAGGATCTTGGGAAAAAGAGACCACAGAAGAGCAAAGTTGGTAAGTGTGAGCCATAGAAGGTTGGAGAGAGGAGCAAGGTTGCTCCCCAGTGAGGTCTTGGCCCCTCTCCCTTCTCTTCGGAGATGGCATCTTATTATAATTCCTCCAGGCTCAGGGATACAGAAGTGTCCTCAGTTCTCTCCCTCAAGGGAACTGGAATGAGGCACAGGAGGTGGAGCAAAACCTTGAGGACAGCCACGTGCACCTGCCGGTTCCCAGAAGCTGAGCAACAGAGACCCAGCTGTGCACAGCTGTGGCCTCTCCACATGCTCACCCGCCACCCCAGGGGAGTTGGTGGCTGGTGCCTCCCTCCCTGAATTTTTTCCTTGCGTGTTGATTTTCCTTGAGCTCTGGGTGTGAGAATGCTCTCAGGTGCTGTGTTAGAATGATGTGCTTCCTCTCAGCTCACACAGAGGGCCAGATATTTGTCAATTTTGTTGTTCTTTCATTCATGTATGTATTAGTCAATCAGTCAACAAGTATTAATTGAGCACTGCTCTGTGCAGGCATTGGGCTGTTCTGGTTCTTCTTTTTGAGTTTCTTGGTCGCTGTTTATGGACAGTAGATAACACTGTGTTTGAAAGGCCAGAGATGCACTCTGAGGTCCTGCGGTGGCCAGGAAGGCTTTGGCCAGTTAGTAGGGGAGGGTGAGCAAGGGAGGTCTCCCCACTTCCTCGGACTCTTCTCTGTGCAAGTCGGAAACCTCTGATGTGAACATTTCTTGCTACAGGATAACTCTGCTCCTGAGAACCAAGAAGGCTGGTGACAGGAAAATGCCCCCCTGAAGCTGGCTGGGGATCTCACTTAGGGGTGACATAAAGTGAGGGATGTGCTGCCAAATGTCCTTGATTCTTTCTCCCCAAACTAACAAGATCTTAATTAAGCTTCACTCCGGCAGACAATTCAGAGATAAGCTAAGTGCCAGTTGCCGGGGCGCTTCTAGAGGCCAAGGCTTTAACAGCCACCATCCAGTCATGGGAAGACTAGGACTGGGAAGTGGAATTTTATTGCCAAAGTGGGATGCTTTTGAGAGTAAAAGAGGTGCTATTAATACGTATACAGGAATAACAGCTGTAAACCAGAACTGTCTTAGGCAAACTGGGATGTATGATCCCCCTTTCTAGAATGGTGTTTTTCAGAAGCACTCTGCAATGCAAAAAATGTAGTCTGCTTTTCGGCATGTAACTCAGAACTCCTGCTGATGAACAGGAATCCTCCAAGACAAATCTGACTCCTGCTTCCATTTCCCCTAGAGCACAGAACAGGAGCACAGCCCCAGATGCTGCTGGGTTGGGGCCACTTTATAAAGCCCCTCTGGACCTCCAGGACATGGAAAAGATGCATGCAATGCTCCCCTGGGGAAGTAGCAACCAGCCTGGAATCTCAGGGACTCTTTGAAGATGTGCGGGCAGGAGGGAGGAAATTCTTGTAGCTGGGTGGGGTCAGAACACAGGCCTTTGCTCCACACTGACATTTTCTTCAAAGGTCAAGAATGTGTTTGGGCTTTGTAGATGTTTTGCCAGAATATGATTTAGGGGAAGTTCCAAGCCCGGAGATTCAGTTTTTAAGTCGGCTGTCTTCTGTTTCCATGCCACAGTGCATTCATTGATAGTATTTTTAGAAAAGGATCTTTGAAAATGGGAAGGCAGGTATGACAGCAGGGTGATTCATTGGCTGTGCCTCTGCACTGGATGTCTTGGGGGCTGGGCATGAGGTCCCGGACGCGTGTGGATCACAGAAGGGCATGGGCTGGTACCATGAAGCAGGCAGGAACCCAGAGCACTGCAACTGCGCTGTGAACTCTTAGGTAGACCAGAGAGGTGAGGCGGGAACCTGGAATTTGGATGTACTTGCAGAGCTGGGATGGCGCTGACACAGCCTCCTGTGTCACAGCTTCCATCTCGGTGCGCGGGTCAGAATGAGCACCAACGCACACGCAGGATCATGACTCACCTCCCGCCTGTCCCCCCTTGCCTTGCTGTCAGGCCTTACTGCTGAGATACCACGTGTGTAGTTCTATGTGTGCTTGGGCACTCAACAGAGAGAGAGCTGAGATCTGCTCAGCTTTCTACTTAGCCAACGAATGTCCCACCTTCTGAGACTTCCCAGGTGCAAAACCCAGCATTCTCCTCCTAGTGAGAGGCAGCTGCCCTGCAGGGATGGACAGGCACTAGCTGACCCTCCAGGCTGAGGCGATGACAACCGGGAAAGATTTTCCATGCCTTTTTTGGTTCTACAAAAGAAAAAAAAAACAGGAAGACTGAAAGAATGGTTTATAATTGATTCTTAACAAGGAAGGATAATTAAACTAATAATAGTGCTAACGATAATAATTACTAGATGCAGTAGCAAACATTCTTAAATTCAGCATTTCAACTAATCCTCACAAGGACCCGCTGAGGTTGGTATCATTAGCTCCATATTTGAGCTGGAGAAACAGAGGCAGAGAGAGGCTGAATTGCTTGCTTGCCTGACATCGCACTGCTGGGAAGTGGCGCCAGTGTGGGAGCTGTCCTGGTTCATGTGGGACACAGGGACAATGACAATTGGCCAGACAAGAATGTCCTTGGGCTCCCACTATCAAATCCCACAGCTTCCCCTGTGTTTCTCTCTATTCTTTCCCCTTTCTAAATCGTGAGGAAGGCAAAGGTGGCCCTGCCTGTCCCAGGCTTGGGCATACTGAGGGGCCCTTCTCCTCTCTCTGCTCCAGCTTTTCTTATTCCCCATCGGGTCCTCCCATCAGCACTTACTGTCTCACGTCTCCCGTGAAAAAGAAACAGACAAAAGCTCTCTTCCTGGGGGGCTTCCTCCCTCTTCTCTGTGCTTCCTTCCTGTGCCACTAAATTTCTAGCAAGAACTTGGGTGCGTCCACTTCACAGCCCGCTGCCATTTGCATTCTGCCCCCATCAGCACGGCCCGGTCACCCATCAGCTCATAACTGAACCCAGCGTCCGCCTCTGTCCCTGTCCCGCTCGCCTTCTCGGAGGATTCGAGAGCGGCCACTCCTTCCTGGCTGCAGCGCTCCCCTCTCTCCCTTTCCTCACGACACCTCCTCCTGATTCTCCCTCTCTTCCCCCAGCCGCTCCTTCCCAGTTTGCTTTACAGATGCTCCTCTTCCTGCCCACTCGTGAGGCTGAATTTTAGGTGTCAGCTTGACTGGGGCGCGGAGTGCCCACATATCCTAGGTTTGTCTATGAGGGTGCTTTTGGACCAGGAGCATTTGAATGGGTGGGTGGAGCAAGGCAGATGGCCCTCCCCAGTGGGTGTGTGGGCCTCGGCCAATCTGCTGCCGGCCTGAATAGAACACCAGGCGAGGGAAAGGAGAATTTACCCTCTCTGCCGGACTCTTCTGGAGCTGGAACCGCAGTCTCCCGCTGTCGAACTTGGACTAGAACTTACACCATCAGCTCTCTTGCTTTTCAGGCCTTTGGACTCAGACTGGAACTGGGTCTCCAGCTTCCTGATGGCAGATCTTGGGACTTCAGTCTTCACGACTGTGTGAGCCAATTCCTTATAATAAATCTCTTTATATATGTATTTATATATAATCTATGGGTTATTTCTCTGGATAACCCTGAATAATGCACCCTTCCACAGTGCTGGTGTCTCGGAGCACTCTTCACTTCTCCTTGCTCCTGTAACCCCATGTCTGTGATAACAGAATTTGTGTCACATTGTCATAAGCCTAATAACATCCTTGAGGGCACAGATTGCATCTTATTCATCTACCTAAGCCATAATAGGTGCTCAGCAAGCGTTTGAACAAATGAATGAACAAACTACAAACTTGAAGACACAGAGAACCAAGCATAATACATATGACCATGAGTGATTCTCATCCACCGTCCATTCAGCCCCTGCTGATGGGGATGCCATCCATGGGGACTGCCATCCAGATGCAGAAAGCTAAAGATTCCCTCCCTGAAGGCTAGACACAGTGGCTTACACCTGTAATCTCAGCACTTTGGAAGGCGGAGGTGGGAGCATCATTTGAGGCCACAAGTTCAAGACCAGCCTGGGCAACATAGCGAGACCTCGTCTTTACAAAAAAATTTTAAAACATTAGCCATCTGTGATGGCGCACATCTGTGGTCCCAGCTACTTGGGAGGCTGAAGCAGAATAATTTACTTGAGCCCAAGAGTTTGGGGCTCCAGTGAGCTACGATCGTGCCATTGCATTCTAGCCTGGGTGACAGAGCAAAACACCTGTCTCTTAAAAAAAAATGAAGATAAAAATAAAAAATAAATAAGAATGAAATAAGATCCCCTTTCTGGTCCTCTGCACCCAGCACCATGAGTCCTACTCACATCCTAGGGTCATCACAGCAGGGATGTGCCCTGGGCACCTCGGACTTCCTCTGACCCTAAAGTTAAGGCTTTTACCTCCACTGCTGTGGTTATTTTAAAAAATCTTTCAACCATTTTTGTCTCTACATTGCATCACACTGCTAAAATGGGGTCTCTTCTCTCTGGTCAGAAAGGCAAGTGCTCAATTTTTCTTACCCGTTACACTGCAGGAAATGGGCTTAGTTCCCCGTGCTATACTGACTCCAAGCTGGCTGAACTGGCATTTCTTCTATTTGTGCCTGGTTTTTGTTTTGTTTTTCATTATTTTTTTGCATTTGGCATTTTTTCCATTTGGCCACCCCAGGCCTTGAGCCTCAGGACTTTACCATCACACACTGGTAAGATAAGAGGTGCCTTACCTTACCACACTGCTTAGTTTCCTTCCAGTCTCCTGCCTCAGTCCCTCTCTATCTTCCCCGTTTGATTTCTTTATTAATTATGGGCCAATGTTTGTCTCTCTCTGGATTGCCCCACCTGCCCCTGCCCCAGAATGTAAACCCTTAAGATATGTACTTTGTCTTGCTCATAACTGTATCCATAGCACCTAGGACACAGCTTGGCCCAATACATATTTATTGAATAAATATCACCAAATGAATATTTCTGTATTTGTTGTTGTTGTTACTGGGTTTAATATTCTGACCTGGACAAGACAGAGCTGTGTTATTTCTCTAGGTTGTCTGACTCTAAGGTCTTGGTGATCCCTCTGGTCTTGAAACCCCTCTGTGCTCTCTTAGTGTTCAGATGGGCAATGCCTCATGGCAAGACATCTGTAGGAAAATTTGGGGGTACAGATTGTGTCTTATTCTTCTACCTAACCCATAATAGGCATTCAGAAAGTGTTTTAACAAATGAATGAACAAACTACAAACTTGAACACACAGAGTAAATATCTTTTCATTCACGTTACTCGGCCATTTTCTTGATGGTTGACTTTTAGGATGTATATAATTCAAGAACCAGAATATATAAAGTTATAATTGGTAGGCCATAATAGTCACCATGGAATGGTTCCCATGGAATGATCCTCATCATTTTTGAGTTAATTTTTGTGTAAAGTATGAAGTGTAGGTCAAGGTTCATTTATTTTGCATATGGATGGCCTACTGTTCTGTTTGCTGAAAAGATTGCCTTCTCCACTGAATTGCTTTCGCACCTTTTAAAAAAGTCAGTTGGCCATTTATGTGGGTCTGTTTCTGAATGCTCTCTTCTGTTCCATTGATCTATGTGTCTGTCCCTTCACCATGACTGGATTGTGTGTTTACTGTAGCTTTATAAGTCTTTGAATCAGGCAGCGTGATTCCTCCAACTTCATTCTTCTTTTTCAACATTGCTTTAGCTATTTTAGTTCCCTTGCTTTCCCAGATATATTTTAAAATCAGCTTGTCTATATCTATTTTTAAAAGTCTGCTGGAATGTATCTACTGGAATTGTATAAAATTTATACATCAATTTTGGGAGAATGACAACTCTACTATGCTGTGTCTTCTAGTTCATAAGCATGACTGTTTTTCTTTCATCTCCTTAGATCTTCTTTGAGCCCAGCCTGGACAAAATGGTGAGACTCAATCTCAATTAAAAAGAAAAAAAAATGAGTAATTTTTTTTAGAATAAGTATGTCCCATGCAATACTTGGGACATGCTTACACTAAAAAATTAGTCATTCTTTATCTGAATTTTGAATTTAATGGGGTATCTTACACTTTTATTTACTAAATATGGTAATATTAATTATTTCATTTTGGGGGAAGCTATGACAAATGGTGTTTTTCATAATTTTGGTTTTTCATTGTCCATTATTGGTATAGGGAAATATGCTTGATTTCTGTGTGTTGACCATGTAGCCTCTGATATTTCTGAATTTACTTATTGGTTCTAGGAGGCTTTAAATTTTTTATTTTATTTTAAAAATTCCTTGGGATTTCCATGTTGTCTTTGAAGGATGACTGTTTTGTTTCTTCCTTTCTGTTTTTTGTTCTTGCGTTATTGCACTGACTAGGATTTCTAGTGTGATATTAAATAGGAGCAGGGAAGGTGAGGTCCTTGCCTATTTGCCACCTTAGGAGGCAAGCATTCAGTTTTTCCTTTAGATGATGTTAGTTGTAGGATTTTTGTAGATACTCTGTATAAGGCTGAGCTAATTTCTTTCTGTTCCTAGTTTGTTGAGAGTTGTTATCACGAATGGATGTTGAATATTGTTGATTTTCTTCTACATTTATAAGCATATTGTTTTTCTGTTTCCTCCCTTCTTCTTGCTTTGGGTTTATTTTCCTCTCTTTTTCTAGTTTCTTAAGGGTTCAGCTTAGATTATTTTGTTGAGAACTTTCTTCTCTTCTAGTCTAAGCATTTCAATGCTCAACACTGCTTTAGCTGCATCCCACACTTTTTTTTTTTTTTTTTTTGAGATGGAGTCTTGCTCTGTCACCTAGGCTGGGGTGCAGTGGTGTGATCTCACCTCACTGCAACCTCCGCCTCCTGGGTTCAAGCAATCCTCCTGTCTCAGCCTCCCAAGTAGCTGGGATTACAGGTGCATGCCACCATGCCCAGCTAATTTTTGTATTTTTAGTAGAGACAGGGTTTCACCATGTTGGCCAAGGTGGTCTCGAACTCCTGACATCAGGTGATCAGCCTGCCTCGGCCTCCCAAAGTACTGGGATTACAGGCATGAGCCACCACGCCCGGCCTCCCCACCCATTTTGATATGCTGTATTTTCATGTTGTTTCAATTCAAAATACTTTCTAATTCCCCCTGAAACTTCTTTTTTGAACCATTATTTAGAAATGTGTTGCTTCATTTTCACGAATTTGGAGATTGTTCTGTTATCTTTCTGTTATTTATAGTTTAATTCCATTATATTCCATACTTGGTATGATTTTAATTCTTTTACTTCTGTTAAGGTTTGTTTTATGATCTAGTACATAATCTATCTTGGTGAATGTTACATTTGCACTTTAAAAGTAGTTATAATTTGCTGTCGTTTTGTATACTATTTTATAAATGTCAATTGGATACAGTTGATGTATGGATTGTTTAGTTCATCTACATCCCAGCTGGTTTTCTACTAATTCTATTTATGAACAAGAGATGACTGTGGAAAATCTAACTAGATTTGCAGATTGGTTTATTTTTCCATTTAGTTTTGCCAGTTTTTGCTTTTATTATTATTTTATTTTATTTTATTTTTTTAAAGAGATGAGGTCTTGCTCTGTTGCCCAGGCTGGAGTACAGTGGTACAATCATAGCTCACTGCAGCCTGAGCTGCTGGACTCAAGGGATCCTCCTCCCTCAGCCTCCCAAGTAGCGAGGGCTATAGGCGTGTACCACCATACCTGGCTAATTTTTTAATTTTTTGCAGAGAAGGGGACTTGCTGTATTGCCTAGGCTGGTCTGTAACTCCTGGGCTCAAGTGGTCCTCCCACCTGGCATGCTTCTTGTATTTTGAAGCTCTATTTTTAGGTGCCTACACATATAGGATTGTTTTGGCTTCTTGATTAACTGACCCTTTTATCATTACATAGTTTTTCTTTATTTCTGACTATTTTCTTTGCTGTGAAGTCTACTCTGATATTGACACTTAGCTTTCTTTGGTTTGTGTTTGTAGAACATATCTCTTTTCATCTTTTTATTTTTACTAATATCATAATATAGAATATTTATATTTAATGTAATTAGTGGTATTTTAGATTTAGTCCTACCATTTTATTATTCGTATTCTATTTCTTTTCTCATTCTTGTTTCATTCTTCTGTTTCCTCATTCCTGCCTTTTGCTAGGTTATTTAATTATTTTTAGTCCTTTTAATTATTATTTATCTCCTTGTGCAGTTTTTACTTATTGCTCTAGGGATTACAATGTAGAGGCTTAACTTCTCACAGTTTACTTAAAATCAGTATTTTACCACTTAAGTGGAGTGTGGAAATCTTACCACCATATTGGAATCTTTACCACCCCACGCCTCTTATTACTCTTGTCTTACATCTATATACATTGAAAATTCCATCAGACAATGTTATAATTTTGTCTTTTAACTGTCAAATATGGGTTAAATAACTCAACAGGAAAAGCAAAGTCTCTGATATTGACCTTGATATGTACCATTTCTGTTGCTCCCTTCATTCCTGATGTTTCAGGCTTCCTTGTGGAATCACTTCCCTTCTGTCTGCTGAACTCCCTTTAGCAATTGTTCTAGAACATGTCTGCTGGCAATGAATTCTCTTGTTTTTTCTTTATCTGAGAATGTCTTTATTTTAATGTCTTACTGATGGATATTTTCAGTAAATATAGAATCGTAGGTTGACACTGTTTTTTCTTTCAGCGCTTTGAAGATATACACATCCCCTTTTTGCTCTCGTGGTTTTTTAATGAGAAACCCGGTCAATTGAATCATTGTTGCCCCTTAGGTAATATGTTTGCTCAGTGTGAGATCAGCCAATACTGTCTTACTGTTATTGGCTGCTTTTAATCATCACTTATCTTAAATCTAGTATGGAGCCTAAACCCCTCAAATGCACTACCTCAAGTAGGTCATCTGTACTCCGGTCCCAATTCTTGTAGGTTCAGTAAACTAACTTTGAGAAAGAAGGGAGTAAACAGATACTCCTCCTAAGCTTACAGACCCAACTTCAAAACCACATCTCCACCCAAGGACCTGGATTCCCTTTCACTGTGTCCACTGTGTCTTTATTCCCTCTCTCTCCATCCTTCCCCTTACTGTCACTGACTGATATTTGAAGGGTAGAATTATTAGGGAAGAGAATAAACCTGGATGTCTCTTTTTATGTGACAGGTTAACAGTTAGCCCTAGGCTTTATTCTGTCTTGAATTTGTAGATAAAGTCTCTAAATTCCTTCAGGCTGACATAAAACAACAACCTGTTTTAGCTTTTAGGGTGACCCGAGACCAGTTTGCAGGAACGTTTATAAACAGGGTAGTGGGAGTGTTGGAAGGCATGTCCAGGCCTGACGGCTGCTGGTGGTGACAGCCGGAGACAGTTTTGACAGACGCTTATAAAAAAGAAAAGAACAGAAAAACAGGTTGTGAGAGTTCATAGGCCAATTAAGTAGAACATTTCATCTCATTCCTTATGTTGTTTTCCCAGGGACATAGAACTAGGTTTTCCTCCACGAGCCATGGGCTTCACCTGGGACACAAGGCAGGTGTGGAAGGACCCCGGGGAGGTGCCAGTGCTCACCTCCAGGATGGCTGTCTGTGGCATAACCCTGCATCAGCAGCAGCAGTTCCTGCTTTTTCAGAAATGCAGGAGCACCAGCTCTAGTAGGCATCTACTTCCAAAATGTAGTGTGTGGAGCATACCCTCCTTTCCCCAAAAACCCTTATTAAGCATTATTAAGTGCAAGACACTGCCCACAGCTAAATTATCACATTAAAAATGGCTGTGATGCATATTGGTGCTAATCAGAGTGACACAACTCCACGAGGCATATATAAGACTGAAATTCTTTCTTTAATTTTGAGAGGAACTCTAGGGATAAAAGGGAAAATGCCCACAGTCCAAACGTCTACTGTCTGCTTGGGATTTCTTCTGAGTTCTTACCTATGTGACTAAGCAAGTTGAGCACGTCTTTGTTGGAAATAATGCCAAGGAGGCATTGACATTGGATACTTTTTAAGTTTGAAGTTGATGAGTTCGTGGAGTGTTCATCATCCCTTTTGAGCTACGCAGAAGCAGAACTCTAGTGTCTCCACGACTCTTGTAACAGCTCCCCTCAATGTGTTTCTTTTCAGAATCAGGCTCTTTGCACATGAGGCTTACTCCTAATCAAGCAGATCCTTTTTATGGCTAAGGAAATCTGAGCCTAAAGAATTCTGCCAAGGCTCCATGCTACACAGTTAGCCCTGGTATTTCTGGCTCAAGGCAGGTGATTGCTCCACAACTCCACCCAACATCTTTTTCATGACTGTTTTCGTCTTTTTCACTCTGTTACTCTCAGACAAACTATCAAGAGGAGACTCTCGTTTGCTTGGAGACTTTGCTTTCTTGGAAGTCCTGGAACACCTGCCAAATATTCCTGCACTTTAAGGTCCCCTTAGGTGCCTTTGACCTCTCCCTCACCTCCTGTCTGCACCTGCATCATGGCCTAGTCTGTGCTCTGCTGGTTGGCAGAGTCTGCATGTCATTGTCTTTGAATTCAGGGTTGGGCCCCAGCTGGGATACTGTAAGTGCTCAGTATGGACAGAGCCTCCCTCCCTCAGCTCCCACTATTCCCGACAGTCCTTCTGCCCACCTCTCAGCTCCTGACCATGCTTCATAGTACCCTACCTGGCTTTCTTCAGTACTCTGCACTGTCTCTGACTGCCAGGTCTTTGAAGGCACCTGAAGCCTCTCCTGCCCTCCGTCCCACACATTTGGGGTGCAAGGCCTCTGTGCTCCAGTGCCCTGATGCAGACTGTGCTCAGACAACACCACATTTCTTCTCTGCATTTCCCACTACTAGAACCATGACCCTGAGGACAGTGAGCACTCAGAAAGTACCCCATGCCCAGCAGTAGGCAAAGCCCTGGGAATGCAACCGTGAATGGGAAGTAATTCTTGTCTTCAGGAGCTCCTGGGCTGTTAGATTAGAGTTGATTAAAACTTGATTCTTTTGTTGCCAAGACAAACAGTATGAAAAGGATGGAAAGTGTCCCTTGTTTCAGCAGTACCATGGTCACTTGTGGCAGGTGAGGATGGGTGGTCTTGCAGAGGACCATGAGTCATGGGCAGACGGGCATGAAGGCAGTGAAGGTGGGCATAGCTGTTGATGAGCTTGGCACTGAGGCAGGGATTGGAGAGCTTGTCGGGGGAGCCAGAGGCAGGGGAAGTAAAAGCAGTGATCGATTAAAGCTGTTACTGCTTTCATTGTTATTAACAATGGGAGATTTGACCACATTTAAAAGGTGGCAGAGAAAAGATATCATAGGGGAGACTGAAGTGTAGAGGAGGATGGATTCTTGGTGAAATGAATGTGCTGCATTAGTTTCTTGTGGCTGTTGTAACAAATGACCACAAAACAGCAGAAACGTCTTTGCTTGCAGTTCTGGAGGCCAGAAGTCTGCAATCGAGGTGTTGGTTGGCTGCACTCCCTCTGAAGGGCTGCCTCTGTGGCCACATCACCTTCTCCTCTTCCTGTTAACGCTCCCTGTACCTCACTTTTTCTTTTTTTAGAGACAGGATTTTGCTGCGTTGCCCAGGCTGGTCTCGAACTCCTGGACTCAAGCGATTCTCCTGCCTCAGCCTCCTGAGTGGAGGTACCTGAGGACTACAGGTACGCACCACTACATCTGGTAACCTCCTTCTTATAAGGATGCTTGTGATGACATTTAGGGCCCACTGGATAACCCAGGATGATCTCCTTATTGCAAGGTCCTTAACTTGATCACACACCTGCAAAGAACTTTTCTCCAACTAAGGTAACATTTAAAGTTTCCCGCGATTCGGACCTGCAGTCCTGGGGGCTGTTATTCAGTCTGTTACCACTGTGAAGAAGGGAGGCGAGGGGTGGGATCCTCCATGTGGGTGGAAGCGTGGAGCTGGGCAGGAGGAGGGACCCTGTCCACTGTTAGAAGAGGAGTTGCAAGGATGGGTGGAAATGCAGACAAGTTCAGAACAGGAGCTGGGGGTGCAGAGTTGGCGGGGAGAACTGGTAGGAAAGGGCTCAGAAGAAGATTTAAGACTGTGCGAAATCACTTTTTTTTTTGGACAGAGTCTCGCTCTGTCACCCAGGCTGGAGTGCAGTGGCAAGATCTTGGCTCACTGCAACCTCCGCCTCCCGGGTCCAAGCGATTCTCCAGCCTCAGCCTCCCGAGTAGCTGGGATTACAGGCATGCACCACTGTGCCCGGATACATTTTGTATTTTTTTAGTAGAGATGGGGTTTCACCAAGTTGGCCAGGCTGGTCTTGAACTCCTGACCTCAGGTGATCTGTCCGCCTCGGCCTCCCAAAGTGCTAGGATTACAGGCGTGAGCCACCGTGCCCGGCCATGAAATAACTTCTGAGAGAATTAGAAGTGACTGTTGATGGGGAGGAGAACTTCCAGGCAGTGCGAGGGCCACTTGTAGCTGGAGGCCATGGATTGGTGGTGGCACCAAACCCATGCTAGGGAGACATTCTCTGATAGTTTAAGCAACCTGGGTGTGCATGTGTGTGTGAACATAAGGCAGAGAGCTGACTCTATTCTGAGTCCCGGTTTAGCAGGGCAGGTTTGCAGGGAGGATACAGCAGGATCAAGGGTGCTGGAGCAAGTATGGTTTAAATGATGGCACAGCAATGGTTTAGGCTGCACAGGACGGTAGGAAATACAGGGAGGAGTCCAGACTGACTAAGGGACTGGCCATCTCGGAGCTGTCAAAGAGCAAGTATAGTGGCTGTTGCTGGAATGACAGAGTTAAAGTTCCAGAATTGCCAGAGCTCGGGGTGATGAGCCAGGGGCCTGGGTCTGCTTGTGATGTCCGCAGCTGAGAAGAAAGGGGGTAAAGAGCTCTGGGGCAGCCTGTGAGATGGGCCACCCAAGTGGTAGATGAAATCTTCCAGGACCACCCCAGGACTTACAGAAGGAGGGAGAACAGGCATCAGGACCCGTGGCCTTCTGGTGAACACAGAACAGACCCGTCTCGAGGTTTCAAACCTAACTTTGGTTTCTTCAACGCAGACCTCTGCCGAGGCCCCAGATGGTAGGGGAAGTTAGCATTTGTGTCAGCTGCTGTTCCATATCGGGCGGCAGTTTGTTCTATGTTAAAAGAGGTAGCTAAAGGTTAGCACAAGCCCATGGCTGGCAGTTTCAGAACAAAGGAAGAAGACGTGGTCTATTCAGCACTTCCAGCCTGATGTATGGTTCTGTTGTGTAGGATAGACATTTATTTGCATAAGGGCAGGTCTTTGCCCAAGAGGTCTGCTGAGCTTAGTCTGGGTAGCTGATGGGAGCCCCAGTAGCCAAGGTGAGAATAAACACAAGGCGAGGGGCTGGCAATGGATGACTGGGGAGCAGCCCTCTGGATCTCTGGGCTGACCGGCCAGAGAACCTCCCTTATGACTGTCTGGGCTGGGTTTACCCTCCAGCAGCAAACCTGCTATGGGGAGAGTCAGAAACTGCAAACAAGGGAGGGCCTCGAACCCTGTAGTACAAGGTGGTCATGTTCTAGAGGTGATGTTTGACTCTCAGAATTCATATTATATACGAAGTAAATTAAAACATAGAAATAAGCACAAAGTATCAAGGCAATGATTTCTTAAAACACATACGTCTTTAACCATTATTGCATATTTTGCCTTAGAGTTTGCAGAGTCCTCTTTCCAAAATTAACAGGGTGAGGTTTCAAGTTCTTCTTTTATAGCATATTTGGTCACATCTAATTTCTGCTCCAAAGTTAATGATTCCAAGCAAAGTTTATACCACTTGCACATAGTGAATACTTGGATGACATTTTTATAGGTTCTGAAAATACTTTAAATTATAATGTTAGTGAATGATAAAATAATAGCACACTCATCATCCAGATTGCTCTAAGGGCTTCTGAGGTTCAAGCACAGCCTGGCTCAGGGTGAGATAAGCCCAGGGATTTCAGCTAAAACGGGGCCACCTTGGATAACAGCATATGCACTACTTATAATCACCTTCCCACCAGCTTTGAAATGGTGTGATTTTGATGAATTCTTACAACCTGGAAACATTGAATTATCAGATTTTGCAAACCAAGTGAGGCTTTATTCATGTTTTATGTGGCACCATCTCAACTTTGCATGATTCACATTAGCATGAAATGTATCCTTTTAGTCATCCAATCTTTTTGCAGCACCTTCTGGGCCCCAGGCCCTATTTTGTAGGTGCTGGAGATTCAGCAGTGAACAAAACAAAGCCCTCACCCCCGAGGACTTTATAGTCTAACGGAGAGACTGAAAATAAACAAATAATAGATACATAATGTGATGTCAGCTAAGGGTAAGTTCTGTGAATAAAAGTAAAGCATGAAAAGGGACAAAGGAGGCTAGACGAGAGGTGCTCTTTCAGGTAGGGCACCAGAGGGAGCTATGCAGATATTGGAGGGAGAGCATTCTAGACAGAGGGTGCAGCACGCAACAGGTGCATCACTGTGACTAATTAGCTTATAAAGGACAAGGTCTGGCGTTGACATAGAAGGTGGATTAAACCCACCGGCTATGGCATCAAAGCCCAGTTTTGGCCAGGCAGAGTAGCTCTCGCCTATAATCCCAATACTTTGGGAGGCTGAGGCGGGAGAATCACTTGAGGCCAGGAGTTAGAGACCAGCCTGGGCAACAGAGCAAGACCTCATCTCTACAAAAAAATAGACATAAATTTTAAAAATGAGGGAGGATTGCTTGAGCCCAGAGTTGGAGGCTTCAGTGAGCTATGATCGTGCCACTGCACTCTAGCCTGGTGACAGAACAAGACTCTGTCTCAAGAAAACAAACTAAAAAAACCCCAGCTCTACCTCCTACTGTGTGTCTTCAGGGAAGTAATGTAATTAATCATTCCAAGTCTGTTTGTTTATCTGTTGAGTCAGGATGATAGTAACACTTGGTTCATGGGGTTGTGGCCTTATCTTTGGCCCTAAGATGTAGGATGTGCCTCAAACAAGAGGGCTGCCACTGTTAGTATTATAATCACCAGGAATAATAAGCCCTTTGAAAGCAACATTTGTGTGGTTGCTACTGTCAACGCATGGAACTTGGGCAGAGTACCGAGGCTTGTTTCTGCTGGTAAATGTCTCCAAAATGTAAACACATCTGTGGATGTTCAAACACACTCCCTCCCCTCCTGACAAGTGCTGGTCAGGGCCCAGGGCAAGAGAGCTCAGCTCAGAGCAGCCAGGGAGAGTGGAGATTGAAGTGTAAACAGGACCTCGGTGTAAGAGGATGTGTTCACTGCTTTCCCGTGCAGACCCCTCACCAACTGCGTCTCCGGCTGACAAAATGAATCCTCCCTAAGCACTGCTGCTGTGACAGGCAGAGCCCATGGCACTGTGCACAGAGCCAGGCCAGGCCTACGTGGCAGCTACTGACTCACCACTGCAGGTGCTATCTGTAGAGCTGGCCGGGGGCTGCCTCCTCACAGCTCCTAGATGTCCAAATGCCCTGAACCTTTAGCCTGGCCTGAGGTGACCAGAGCCATTGGGTAGAGCACCTACTGAGTACAAAGCCGGGAACTATGGTTGGCAAAAGGGAGAACTTAGGTTTCCACACATCTAAAATGCAAGAACTCATTCTTATCTGATTCCTGTTAGCACATGCCAGCTGTGTTATAATTGCCTGTTAGCTTTCCTGTCTCTCTCATCAGAGTGCGAGCTCCTTGAGGGCAGAAACTACACTCTTGTGTCCCTAATGCCAAAAGCCTAATAGACGTTTAAGAATGAGTAAATGGATGAATGGCTCAGATGTCATGAAAAGAATTCACAATAATCATTGGCCTTAATATGACTGTGTATTTATTTTGCACTTTATAGTTTACGATTTATAGATCATGTTCTTATTTATTTTATTTTATTTTATTATTTTATTTTATTTTTTTGAGACAGAGTCTCACTCTGTCACCCAGGCTGGAGCGCAGTGCTGCGATCTCGGCTCACTGCAACCTCTGCCTCCCAGGTTCAAGCGATTCTCCTGCCTCAGCCTCCCGAGTAGCTGGGATTACAGGTGCCCGCCACCATGCCTGGCTAATTTTTGTATTATTAGTAGAGATGGGGTTTCACCATGTTGGCCAGGCTGGTCTCAAACTCCTGACTTCAAGTGATCCGCTCACCTCGGCCCCGCAAAGTGTTGGGATTACGGGAGTGAGCCACCTCACCTGGCCTTACAATTTACAGAATGCTTTCAATTAAATTATCACACTTGACCTTCACCCCTGACCTGTGAGGTCGGTGTTATTGCTCCTCTCAAAGATGAAGGCACTGAGGCCCAGAGGCCATATTAATAAATTTAGTTAGATAATTGATGGTGGAATGGGTGGGGTCCCTTCCACTAAACCATACAGCCCGATGACAATGAACAAAGAAGGGCTTTACAAAGACATGGCTTTATCCACTCACCCACCCATCCCTTCATTTATTTATTCACCAGCATTTAATATACTAAGCACTTTCTTTAAACATATTTTGGTAGCAGCACAAAGGAGTGGAATGAGCTCAAGTCCTGGGATCATCCTGGGTTTGCGTCCAGGCCCCTTTAGTTCCCAGCAGGGTGCTCTTGGGAACCTAAGCACCTCTCTGAGCCTCAGCTTCATCACAGGTCACGCAGCCAACACAGTCTTACCTAGCGAGGCCATGAGGAGTAGGATGCAGCCCCTTGGTTTCCAGCTAGGGAGCATTGATCTAGTTAAGGAGAAAAACACAAAAACGCATCATTGTAACTAGTGTGGTCCATGCTAGAATGGAGTTAAACTCCACTCGCTAGAAGAGTCAGGGAAGTTTCCAGAGGGAGCTTAACGCAAGCGTCATCAGGCAGATCCAGGAAAGGAAAAATCATTCCCAGGAGAGGAAATGCCTGTCCTGGATTGAGTTTAATTTTGTTTTTTGTTTTTGTTTTTGTTTTTT
Organism: Homo sapiens; assembly: GCF_000001405.40. Lineage (NCBI taxonomy): Eukaryota > Metazoa > Chordata > Mammalia > Primates > Hominidae > Homo > Homo sapiens. Next base: position 27,021,119 of record NC_000013.11, on the reverse strand, counting down.
GTTTTAGACGGAGTCTCACTCTGTCACCCAGGCTGGAGTGCAGTGGCGTGATATTTGCTCACTGAAACCTCCACCCCCTGGGTTCAAGCGATTCTCCTGCCTCAGCCTCCCTAGTAGCTGGGATTATAAGCCTGAGCCACTGCACCCGGCTGGATTCACTTTAGATCAGCAGTCCCCAACCTTTTTGGAAGCAGGGACCGGTTTCATGAAAGACATTTTTTCCAGGGTCTGGGGAACAGGGGTGGGAGACGGTTTTGGGATGAAACTGTTCCACCTCAGATCATCGGGCATTAGATTCTCATAAGGAGCGCACACCTAGATCCCTTGCAACCTAGATCCCTCACATGTGTAGTCCACAATAGGGTTCACGCTCCTGTGAGAATCTAATGATGTGGCTGATCTGACAGGAGGCGGAGTTCAGGCAGTGATGCAAGCGATGGGGAGCCGCTGTAAATACAGAAGAAGCTTCCCTAGCTCTCTAGCTCACAGGCCCCTCACGTCTTTCTGGGTAGCCCGGTTCCTAACAGGCCATGCTCCACCCAGTCTGTGGCCCTGGGGCTGGGACCCCTGTTTTAGATGACATTAAACATTTTTATGAACACCTTTCTAAAACTGATTTCAGATTTCAGATTTCCTTTGAATTATTCTAGAATACAAAAAGCAACTTTGCCTCGTGCCCTCACATCTTCTCCATGAATCCCTTCAGGCCTCGGGAGGGCTGCTTGCCCTGCACTGAGCCGTGGCTGCCCTCCTTCCTCTCCGCCACCTCACTTTCCCTTGCATCAGTTCCCTCCACTCTGGCCTCACTCAGCGCGCTCAGCACTGTCACAGCCCTGCTCTCTGCCCCCGACTGCTGCTCCCATTGCGTCTGACCTTGCTGGCCACACCTGCCAGGCACCTCTCTCCGTGACATGCTTAATTATTGCTTTCCTCTTTTCTTTCTTTCTTTTTTTTATGGAGTTTTGCTATGGCATAGTCTCAGCTCACTGCAACCTCCGCCTCCCGGGTACGAGCGATTCTCCTGCCTCAGCCTCCCAAGTAGCTGGGATTACAGGCACCTGCCACCATGCCCTGCTAATTTTTTTGTATTTTTAGTAGAGACGGACGGGGTTTCACCATGTTGGCCAGGCTGGTCTCGAACTCCTGACCTCAGGTGATCTGCCCGCCTTGGCCTCCCAAACTGCTGGAATTACAAGCATGAACCACCGTGGCTGGCCAACTTTCCTCTTTTCTCTCTGCCTTTTTTTCCTTACTGCTGCTATGCTTGATGGCTTTTGTGTTAGAAAAGCTTGGCCCGGACAGCCACACTCTGTCAATAGTAGCTTTCTGGTTGTTTCCTGCTTGGCAGATTGACCCACATTCTCACGCTTCCCTCAGCCTTCAGCTGTGCACAGGTGTATACAGGTGCAACATGACTGCTTACCTGGGAAGGTTTTCTTCTGTGCTTTCAGGTTTGTAGGTATTTTTGAGATACTGGGTGTGCCGGTGGAAGTGGTGCCTCCAGAATTTGGGGAATGGGACAGGTGGAAGGTAGTGGGATTTGAGGGGTGCTTGGAAAACCTTGGTGAGGAAGAGAGTCTTGAGCCAGAGTCTGTTAGAAAGGAAGGCCCTGCTGGCCGGACATGGTGGCTCACGCCTGTAATCCCAGCACTTTGGGAGGCCAAGGTGGGCAGATCACCTGGGGTCAGGGGGTCGAGACCAGCCTGACCAACATGGAGAAACCCCATCTCTACTAAAAAAAATACAAAAAATTAGCCAGGCGTGGTGGTGCATGCCTGTAATCCCAGCTACTCAGGAGGCTGAGGCAGGAGAATCGCTTTAATCCAGGAGGCAGGGGTTGTGGTGAGCCAAGATTGCACCATTGCTCTCCAGCCTGGGCAACAAGAGCAGAACTCTGTCAAAAAAGAAAGAAAGAAAGGAAGAATGAAAGAAAGAAAGAAAAAGAAAGAAAGAAAGAAAGAAGGAAGGAAGGAAGGAAGGAAGAAGAAAGAAGGAGAAAAGAAAAGAAAAAGAAAGAAAGGCCCTGCTGCACCGCAGGCAGCCAGAGGAATCCTGGAGGAGATCGTGGGGGAGGGGAATTTTCCAGGACCTAGGGAAACCGGTGCTTCTTTGGAATGGTCTGCGGAGTGCTGACCACCCTGGTCTCCTTCGTGTTTCAGGTGAAGCCTGGTCTGGCCACTGTATTTGCAGGGTTGGCAGATATTTTCAGTAAAGGGACAGATAGTAAATATTTTAGGCTTTGCGGGCCATACGGCCTCTGTCACAACCACTCCACTGCTGTTTGGTGCAAAAGCAGCCATCGACCGACCGTACATAAACCAATGGGCCTGGCTGTGTTCCAGGAAAACTTTATTTACAAAACAAGCCACAGCTAAGTTTCACCTAGTAGTTTGCCAACTTCTGCTCATGCAATGGTGTTCCCAACTCACCCGGTGAATGCCACACGCTCCCCAAACCTCACCACTGCAGCAGAGGTCACAGCATGACAAGGGCAATAGTACTACCCTGTAGCTGCCATTCACCCGGAGTTCACTTTGAAACAGGCACTGGGAGAAGAGCTTTACTTCGTTTAATCTCCCCAACAACCCAATGTTGGTTTTCTTGTGATTTTTACAGATTATGAAACAGGTCTCAGAGAGGTTAAATAACTTGCCCAAGGCCACTCATCTGAGCGTGGTTGATGGAAACAGCCTGGTGGGCAGAGACTTGACCTTCACAGTTAATCATCATGACCAACCCTCACACCCACATCTTATTTTAAATATTTATTTTTAAATCTTTTTTTTTTTTAAGACAGAGTTTCGCTCTGTCGCTCAGGCTAGAGTGCAGTGGCACGATCTCGGCTCACTGCAAGTGCTGCCTCTTGGGTTCACGCCATTCTCCTGTCTCAGCCTCCCGAGTAGCTGGGACTACAGGCGCCTGCCACCACGCCTGGCTAATTTTTTGTATTTTTAGTAGAGGCGGGGTTTCACCATGTTAGCCAGGATGGTCTCGATCTCCTGACCTCGTGATCCACCCGCCTCTGCCTCCCAAAGTGCTGGGATTACGGGCGTGAGCCACTGCACCCAGCCCTAAAAAATCTTAAGAATAGCTTTTTGAGGAAGACACGGTGGCAGGTGCTGTGGAGCTGTGGTCCGCCCGCTTCTGCTCCCAATTCACCACTGTTGGCTCTCACCAAGGAATGAGTCCGTCAGGGGCCACGCTGCAGCCATGGCTTTTAAAGACCCAGAAAATCACCCATGGAGCTGGAGGTGGTGATTCACTGAATTCTAATCACTCTAATGGGCCGCCACATAAAATCCCTGGAGAAGATGTGTGCTGACTTGGTCAGAGGAGCAAAGGAAAAGAATCCCAAAGTGAAAGGACTGGTTCGGATGCCTACCAAGACTTTGAGAATCACTATAAGAAAAACTCCTTGTGATGAAGGTTCTAAGACGTGGGATTGTTTTTGGATGAGAATCCACAAGCGACTCATTGACTTGCAGAGCCTTTCTGAGATTGTTAAGCAGATTACTTCCATTAATATTGAGCCAGGAGTTGAGGTGGATGCCATCATTGCAGATGCTTAAGTCAACTATTTTAATAAATTGGTTACTAGTTTTTTAAAAAAGAATAGACTCAGCCACTTTACTGGTCTGTGACACTGGGCAAGTTACTTCACTTTTCCATACTCTTGTTTCCTCAACTCTGAAATGGGGATCTGAGCACCCTTACCTTTGTAAACTAAACATAAAATCCTAAGCCCTCTCACTCCCCGCACTGGCTGAACAGACCCCCCGTCTTAGCCAAGGGGACCCCAGAAAAAGCTTGAAAACTGAGTTCCCAGTCATGATGGGATGAGAGGTCAGACACGCCTCATTATACCTGCTCCCTTTTGCAGTTTAGACACAACTGACGGGCATTCATGTTAAAGTAGAGATCATAAAGCTGACAGAACAGATGGTGGCAATAAGATACCAGACTATAAATAAGACCTAAAGCCATGCCAGGCAAGGGTTAAGTCACACACGCCTGCGCTTCAGCAATAAACTATGCCCTTGCTGCCACAAGGGTTTTATTTTTCTCTAGCAGCTAAACAAGTGCTGGTCTTGAGATAAGCAATAATAAAACAATTTTCAGCCTACCAGTCATCAGATGCTGACAAACTGACCCTCAGCCCCTGTGCCACCAGCCATAACTACAGCTTTGATTGGACAAGAGACTAACTTCTGTAACTTTCTCCTGAGAAGATCACTGACTGTGGACTGATTCTGGCCAGTTTAGGGAGGCTGCGCACTGCAACCTCCACCTCCTGGGTTCAAGCGATTCTTGTGCCTCAGCCACCCAAGTAGCTGGGACTACAGGCGCACATCACCATACCCAGCTAATTTTTGTATTTTCAGTAGAGACAGGGTTTCACCATGTTGGCCAGGCTGGTCTCAAACTCCTGGCCTCAAGTGATCAGCCTGCCTCAGCCTCCCAAAGTGCTGTGATTACAGGCATGAACCACTGCACCTGGCCCCCATTTAATTCTTTTAGATGCTGATGGGATTCAACTTGCTTTCCTATTTTTTTTTGATTTTTCACTGATGGTGTATAGAAATACAGCTGATTTTTGTGTGCTGACTTTGTGAGAGCACAAGACTTTGCTGCAACCTCTGCCTCCCAGGTTCAAGCGATTCTCCTGCCTCAGCCTCCCGAGTAGCTGGGAATACAGGTGCATGCCACCACACCCGGCTACTTTTTTGTATTTTAATAGAGACGGGATTTCACTGTGTTGCCCACGCTGGTCTTGAACTCCTGAAATCAGGCAATCTGCCCACCTCGGCCTCCTAAAGTGCTGGGATTACAAGCGTGAGCCACCGAGCCTGGCCCCAGTCTTGTGATTTTTTTTTTAGTGAACACCTTTTAGGGTGATTGTTTGGTTAGAATTAATTACTGTAATTTAAGTGTTTAGATAGTGGTTGGCACATAGCAAATGTTGAATGGGAGGTTGCTATTAATATTATTGTTGTTATTAATATTATTTTAGAAAATTTGAAAAATGAAGATTATACAGCAAGAAATAAAAAATACCTTTAACTCTCCTATCCAGAGGCAGCCATTGTTTACATTTTATATTTTTTTCTAATCATTTTGAGGTATATATTTTAATAGTTAATATATAGATATTAAAATTTTTATTATTTATCATACAGATCACATGTAAATTATAGAATACACATTTTTAAAAAGTCACTACACAAAGAAAACTACTTTTCTTGTTTATATTTATGTGCGAATGTGACTATAATATGATTTTATATCTTGACTTCTAAATGTTACATCATAAAACCTCCCAGCCGGGATTGGTGGCTCACGCCTGTAATCCCAGCAATTTGGGAGGCCGAGGGGGGCGAATCACCTGAGGTCAGGAGTTTGAGACTGGCCTGGCCAACATGGTGAAAACCCGTCTCTACTAAAAATACAAAAATTAGCTGGGCGTGGGGGCACATGCCTGTAATCCCAGCTACTCGGGAGGCTGAGGCAGGAGAATTGCTTGAGCCCAGGAGACAGAGGTTGCAGTGCGCTGAGATCTTGCCACTGCACACCAGCCTGGCCAACAGAGCAGACTGTGTCTCAAAAAACAAGCACAAAAACAAACAAAACAAAACAAAACCCTCCCCCTGCTCCATAATGTCTGTAAGGACCGTTTAGTGCCCCGCGGCATGGTGTGGAGGTGAGTGGCCAGCCCTATCTGGTCATCAGGCGCTTGTATTGCCAAGTGATTTTGCTCTGTTTGGGCCTCTTCCCGCAGGCTCCCCCTGGCTCCTTCCAGCAGGTCCTGGAGCTGGCGGGGGCACCCAGGGGGATTTCGTACTGACGGCCCCCAGGCCGCCCAAAGCGGCAGATCTGTGAATTCTGAAATTGGGGAGCAGAGTGGCGGAGGTGAGGAAGGGCCCACCTTGTTTCCACCTCCTCAAGTCCCCTCTCTGTGGAGCCTCGCTGGGGGGCCTGGGGTAGGAAGGAGACTCCCACACACAGTTCGGGCCTAGCCCACTTTGCTGAGGTCCTGGAATCCGTCCCTCATCTGCCCAATCCCCTCACTTGTGTTTCCCAGGCTTTCCCGGCCAGGGCGCAGGGCCCGTGGGGGAGGCTCCCAGTGCTGGGAGGGGAGCGGGCCAGCATGCAGAGCGCACTCGGTGCGCGTGGGTTCTCCCTCTCTGCCCTCTCCCGATGTCTCCGACTCTCTCCCTAGGGCAGTGCTACTCTCCCTCTTGCTCTGTCTTCCTCTCTGTTGCCCTCCTTGCTGCTGTGACCATCATGGGACTCTGGAGACCAATCCATCCACACTGACTTTTTTCTCTATCCTCAAATGGGCAGTGTGTAGAACTGCCCTAATTCAAATGGCCGTTTGGAAGTGCTTTCTTATGAGAGGGGCTGGTTATGGGAAGTGAGTCAGCGAGGAAGGCTCCTCATGGAAGAAGAGGTCGGCAGCCTTGCACTCTGGCCTGGTGCACTCTGAGGGCAGCAGGTGCTGTCCTTGGCGCAAGAAAGCTGTGAGAGAAAAGCTGGGAGCGTGGCCGCCATCTGTGCGCCCGCGGTGTGGTGGTGGATGATGGAGCTCTCAGCCTCTATGTGTGGCTACCGCACAAACCAGCCAGCATTTCCCAAATGCTGTATTCCATCCTGGGCGGGTGGTTTTTATCTGGAGCCACTGCGATTTTGTCTTGACATCCTAGCATTGTTGAGGTGGTAACTATTAGGGCTGCAATTGAATATGACTTTAGAAGAATCTTTAGTTTCATGGAAAAGAATGGAATCCAGATACCAGTAATGCAGTCTTCAATATTTTTATCGTGTTCTTTTTATATTAAGGAGCATTTTTCAAGCTCCTGTCAACTCCCTGGCATTAGGCTCTGATGTGCTAAGACACGCGCACAATGCACACCTCAAACATTTACCAGCTACCTCGGTTCACCTCGTGCATTATCCCGGAAGGCTATGTTTTGCTATGCTTTTGCAAATATGAGCTTTTCTATATTAAAAACCCAGTCATTCAATATCCCAAACACATCTAATCCTCCTAGTTCAAAATGCCAAACAATGAGTTTAATGAAGAAAGCATTATCTCTATGTGAAGACCTTAAATGGAAGCTGCCAAATCCTACAGAACCGACTCCTCTCAGTACTGGGAATGACTGGTTTAGTGGTTCTAAGCATTGCTGCAATTTCCAAAGCCATAAGTGTAGATGAGAAAGTCCAAATGAATTTCTAGAAGTGATGCAGAAGTTAATTAAGATGTCTATATATTTGATCACATTTTCAACTTTTCCTTTTCCTTTTGTTTTTTTTTTTTTTCTTTGAGACAGAGTTTCACTCTTGTCCAGGCTGGAGTGCAGTGGCACAATCTCAGCTCACTGCAACCTCCGCCTCCCTGGTTCAAGCGATTCTCCTGCCTCAGCCTCCTGAGCAGCTGGGATTACAGGCGCCTGCCACAACACCTGGCTAATTTTTGTATTTTTAGTAGAGATGGGGTTTCACCATGTTGGCCCAGCTGGTCTTGAACTCCTGACCTCAAGTGATCTGCCCGCCTCGGCCTCCCAAAGTGCTGAGATTACAGGTGTGAGCCACCACACCCGGCCGTTTTAAACTTTTTAATAAACACATGTCTCAAAGGACCTACATCTCAAAGGCAGGAAAGCATGCTCTAGGATTTAAGGGTGTAAAAGATTGATCCCCTGTGATGTTCGGCACCAACGCAAACCAACAGCAATAAGCCCCATCCATCCATGCAGGTATTACAACTTTCTGTATGAGTTCAGATCATGCTCCTCCCACCGTTTACAATGGGACACCATCCCCAGTGCTTCCCAGCCCACCTCTACAAGCAAACTGCAGCCTTTTTCAAGGTACAGTGCCATATGCATTGTAGTATTTTTGTATTTCTTAACCATGTAACATGTGCAAAACTGTGCTACTGTCTTCATTCATTTTTAATATGTTGCTGGTGATGGTTAGAGTTTTTCCCCCAACCCCATTTACTCCCAGAAGCCCCATGCTGCTTACCGAGTGATTTTGTGGTGTGTGGAATTTTTAGGAACACGTACGTCACATTTGTATTTGGAAATGGTTTGTCAGCTGCATTACTTAATTAGGCTTAGTAATCTTGCCACATGGCCCTGAGTGACTCATGAGGTGTGGGGAAGGGATGGGAACAGGGGAGTTTGAGCCTGTTTCAAGATTTTGAGGAGCCTTTCACCTATTTATTTACCATTTTTGCCCTCTATCTTTTTATTGTATAAATTTAAGTTGTACGATATGATGTTTAAAATGCACATTGAAGTGATTACAGTCAAGCAATTAACATATCTATCACATAGTTACCTTTTTTTGTTGGTAGTAAGAGTACCTAAAATCTTCTCTCTGCAAATTTTCAGTCTACAATGCAAATTAACCATAGTCCTCACGCTGTGCTTTAGACCTCTAGACTGACTCATCCTACATAGCTATAACTTAGGATTCTTTGACCTGCTTCTTGCCGATTCCCCCATTCCTGGTAACCGCCATTCTACTCTCTGCTTCTATATATTTGATTTTTTTTTAAAAAAAAGGTTTCCACATATAAGTGAGATTATGCAGTATTTGTCTTTCCATGTCTGGCTTATTTCACTTAGCATAGTGTCCTTTGGGTTCATCTTTTTTGTCACAAATGATAGGATTCCATTCTTTTTCATGGCTGAGTAGTATTCTATTATATGTATATAAAAATTCCTTTACCTACTCATTCATGAACATAGGCCGATTCCATATCTTGGCTATTGTGAATATGGTTGCAATGAACATGGGAGTTCATCACCACTGTTTCGGGTAATGTTTTTTTCTCTTTTGACTAACAGGGAGTAGACTCACAATACATGTGTATTGAGTGAACACATGTTTGGTGTGTGCATTAAAAAAATTCAGTCAAAGCATTGTATAGTCATACATCAATTGCAGTAGGAAAGCCAGCAGCTAGTACCTTCTCAGCTAAGAGAAGACAGAAAGCAAAATTTCCTCTAGTGTGTTTCCACCTCCATTCACTTCACTCTCCTTCAGCCTTAAAGTCTGAGTGAGGCTGGTACCTCATGGCTGGAAATGCTGCATTTCCCCCAGATGGGGCAGTGATTACTCCTGTCCTCCTCTCCACCGGGGAAACTGGCTCAGCTGTACCTTGTCACTCATCAGCCACCTTCCTCCCAGGCACAAGTGCAGGTGGTTGTTCTCTGGGTTCCTGGGTCCTTTAACTACAGAGAGACCAATGTGGGTTTGCTGCGTGGTGCATTCATTTCTGCTTGCTGCTTGTCAAGCTGGTGGACCCCAGTACACAGCATGACTAGAGAGACACAGAAGCCCTGAGGGGTAACAGCCTAGCCCCTGAGCATGCCTAGTTCAGCTCACAGCCCAGTGCACCTGACAGCAGAGTGGGGCCGGTTGAAAGGTCAATGCGTTGAACGGTCAATGCAGGTATGTAGATTGCCTTGTTTGGGGTAAAATATACATTATTTGGCACTGGAATCAGCCAGGCCAAGAGTCTGAATTGTGATCAAGGTCCTTAATCTCTCCCAGTTTCTCCTTCTGTAAACTAGAGATAAATGTACCTACCTCATCAAATTGTTAGGAGGATTGTGTGATAAGGCAAACTTTCCTATCACTTCCCCTCCAACATTTCATATGATAAAATAATTATCTCCTATCTACCCTTTGAAACAAACAAGCTGACTTGTCTGCCTATCAGACATGTCTTTATCATAAGCCATTGATGAATAAAACTGAACTTTTCCACCTTGTATTTCACACAGGAAAGCCTTTGGGTAATTCTTTACACAGTAACGGTAACTGGAAAATCTGATATATTAATATGCTCTCTGTCTCTCTCTTCGTTTTCAAATGTAACTTGCTACTTGCACACCCTTATTCTTTCATATAAATTTCAGAGTGAGTATGTAGAATTCCTCTCCCACCTCCAAATCCAGCTACAAACATAACTGCACAGATAAAAAGATTTATTTCAAGTGACTTTGAGCAAAACAAAACAAAACAAAAACCGCGACTGTGGGATATATCCTAAGATCAAAAATAACAGCAAAGAAATTTTTAATCTTGTTCAGTTTTTTTTTTTTTTTTTTTTTGAGATGGAGTCTTGCTCTGTCGCCCAGGCTGGGGTGCAGTGGCGTGATCTCGGCTTACTGCAAGCTCTGCCTCCCGTGTTCATGCCATTCTCCTGCCTCAGCCTCCCGAGTAGCTGGGACTACAGGCGTCTGCCACCACGCCTGGATAATTTTTTGTATTTTTAGTAGAGATGGTGTTTCACCATGTTAGCCGGGATGGTCTCGATCTCCTGACCTCATGATCCACCCGCCTCAGCCTCCCAAAGTGCTAGGATTACCATTACAGGTGTGAGCCACCGCGCCTGGCCTGTTCAGTTTTATTAATTGTAGTAATATTATAGTAATTTTGAGATGAACGTATATTGTAAGATAAAATAAATAGGTAAATTTGTTGATATAATATGAACCAGGGTTTTCAAGGTAAGAAAAGCGAGATATAAATATAACATTAAAGAAGAAAACAAACCTCTCATGTTGAGTTGATAATACTGATGTCAAGCATGATTTAAAAAAAAAAACAAACGTATTTCCAGCTGGTCGCAGTGGCTCATACCTATAATCCCAGCACTTTGGGAGACCAAGGCTGGTGGATCACTTGAGTTCAGGAGTTCAAGACCAGCCTGGACAACACAGTGAGATCCTGGCTCTACAAAAAATTAAAAAATTAGCCAGGTGTAGTGGCCTATAGTCCCAGCTACTTGGGAGACTGAGGCATGAGAATCACTCAACCCAGGAGGTGGAGGTTGAAGTGAGCCGAGATCACACCACTGCACTTCAGCCTGGGCAACAGAGTGAGACTCTATCTCAAAAATAAATAAAAATAGAAAACTTGTATTTCCTAGCTCCATCCACTGAAAGAGCTAGACATAGTGACATGACTGTGGTAAGGAGCATGCTTAGAATCTGGGCCTTGGTTTCTTGTTTTAGGTTGAAACATTACTACAAAGATTACTATTTTTGTATGTCAAAGATGGCTGAATGTCAGCGATTTTGTATAGTAAGTGTAATATTGTTCCTCACCTAGGAACCAGGGCTTTTGGAGAAATGACTGTCTCCAGATCTAGCCAGAGAAAGTATAAAATGATTCTGGTTTCATGGGCCAAAAAGCAAGGAAGCTATCAGAGATCAATGGGCTGCATGAAAAAGACAGAGCCAGCCAGTGTAGTGGCTTATGCCTATAATCCCAGCACTTTGGGAGGCTGAGACGGGCCAGGAGTTTGAGACCAGCCTGGCCTACATGGTGAAACCCCATCTCTACCAAAAATACAAAAATTAGTCAGGCCTGGTGGCACATGCCTGTAATTCCAGCTACTCGGGAGGCTGAGGTGGAGGATCGCTTGAACTTGGGAGGTGGAAGTTGCAGTGAGCTGAGATTGCGCCACTGCACTCCAGCCTGGGTGACTGTCTCAAAATAAAATAAAATAAAATAAAAGACACAGAGCCAACTTGACGGGTCTCCTACTGGCCATACTTGGGACAATTCAAGCATTAAAGTGACTATAATTGACTACAAATAATTAAATAAAAATCCATGGATCCATAGTTTTATTGAGAGAGAAAGACAGAAAATATCATCTACCATAATGAGATATGAGTTATGCTAATTTGTCTCTGAAATTTTGCAATTAAAGAGAAAAAATCAGACATTTACCTTGCCTTTTAAGGAGAAAGTGCAGCTTTTTCCTAATTGATGAGAACAACTCTTTACAGAAGAATGTCAGCTAATATATATGGAGAGATTGGTAGAATTAGAAAATTACCATTTTGCAAACCTCAATAAAACATTGATTCAGGCAAGTATCATAAATGATTCTATAAACCAGGAGGTTACAAGCTATAGCCCACTAGTCAAATCTAGCCCATTGCCTGTTTTTGTATATTCCATAAGCTAAATTTTTAAAAATATTTTCAAATACTTGAAAAAATCAAAAGGAGCACAATATTTCATGACATGTGATATTTATATAAAATTCAGATTTCAGTGTCATAAATAGGTTTTACTGGAACACAGCCATGCTCACTCATTTACGAATTGTCCATGACTGTGTTTGTGCTACAATGGCAGCTTTGAGCGACTGAGCTAGAGATGACAATGGGCCACAAAGCCTAAATTATCTAGTATCTGGAACTTTACAAAAATACTTTACTGACCCAGCTATAAACCACGTGGTGAAAAGAAGAGGATATTTGTATGATGCCAATGTATCACCCTGTAAATTGCTCACTAATTGCAAAAGGAAAAATGCATTTTTATAATGGAAAGTTTTGGCAGTCACCACTTTACCAAGTTATCAAAACACAGCATCACTGAAACAGGGGCAACCTGATATTATGTACCTGCTGATGCGAGGCCGTGTATCACCTCTGAAGTACTCTTGCTAAACATGTTTAACCTGAAGATTTTAAATAATATTATTGAGACCAGGTGTGGTGGCTCACGCCTGCAATCCTAGCACTTTGGGAGGCCAAGGTGGGCAGATCCCTTGAGGTCAGGGGTTCAAGTCAGGGTTTCACCATGTTGGCCAGGCTGGTCTCGAACAGACTTTATTTATTTATTTATTTATTTATTTTGGAGACAAATTCTCACTCTGTCACCCAGGCTGGAGTGCAGTGGTGTGATCTCAGCTCACTGCAATGTCCTCTTCCCTGGTTCAAGCATTTGTCTTGCCTCAGCCTCCTGAGTAGCTGGGATCACAGGTGCGCTCCACCATATGGCTAATTTTTGTATTTTTAGTAGAGACGGGGTTTCACCATGTTGGCCAGGGTGGTCTCAAACTCCTGATCTAAGGTGATCCACCCACCTAGGCTTCCCAAAATGCTGGGATTACAGGCGTGAGCCACCACGCCAGGCCAGAGATCAGACTTCTTGATGTTTGATCCTTGCTTCCCAAAGTGTGGTCCACAGCTCACATCAGTCGTATCATCAGTTGTACTGGCCAATTATGTTATTAATTAGATTCTGCATTTCTAACAAACTCGTGCAAAATCTCAGGCCCCACCCCTGGTCTTCCCAATCAGAGTCTTTACTTCATCAAGATTCCTGGTGATTCGCGTGCACACTGAAGTTTGAAAAGCACCAGTTTGAGTGACATTTAGCTGGGCGTTCTGTTTTTTGCATTGGGGAGCACCTTAATATAATTGATGTGACTTGCTTTGGATCTACAGACTAAGCTTTGTAAATATTTGGCGTAGGTATAGTAGTTTTCTTGTTATGCAGTATCCTTTTGTCTTGTTCCTTTGGATGGTCAGTTCTCTCCTTCCTCTCTTTTTCATGTGGCTAACGCATGTCTCCTTCAAGACTGAGGTAAGGCATCACCTCCATCAGGAAGCCTCCCTGTCCCCTCCAGGTTGAATCAGGCATGCTGTGTCACATTTTATTTGCATCATTACTTATTTGACTCTTCAGCTAGCACCCAAGTGCAGTGAGGAAAATCTATTTTTGCTCTTTGTATCCTCACTGTCCAGCCCATGTAAAGAGCTGAACGAGTGTTTTTAGAAGACAGAATGAATGTCGCTTTGCCAACCTGCTCCTTGCTGCCGTGGCCTCCCCCACGAGGGCTCCAGGCATCGGAGGCACTGATGTGGCGGGAAGCCAGGTGTGGGATCAGGGAATTAGAACGCCTGCTGTCTCGGCAGCTGTCTCTCCCTCCGTCCCAGCTCCTCGCCCTCCAGAGAGCACACATTTCAGAAGCAGCTGCACGGTCCCCTCCCCACCTCCTCCTATCTCCTCTCTCTTTCCCATGAATAAATGTCACAAGCCCCACAACAGCAGAGGAGGGAATCTGTGGCAAAGAGAAGACCCCACAACTACAAGTCCCTGGAGCTGGAAGCCCCGCACCAGCCTTCTCCATAACCGGAGCCCACCTGTGAATGCCCCCAGAGCAGCCCAGGCGCTGGCCATGGGGTGAGGGGCAGGGAGGAGTGGTAAGCAAGCCTAAGGAGGGCGGGGCTGGGCGGCACTCAGCGCTCGGCACTCAGCGCTCGGCACTCAGCACTCGGCACTCGGCTGGTTAAACCAACGGAGACTATGTGCAGTTAATGGCACTTTCTCATTAAGCAGTTATTAAAAATGGGGTAGTTCTTCCTTGCTAGGTGCTATGCCATCCGTTTCTATGCACTGAGATCTTCAGTGAAACCTGGTTGGCTTCAGCCTGGAAAAGCATGGGCCGTTGCTGCCGGGAGCACTCCCAGGGCAGGTGCGGGAGCCAGCTGTCCAGGTCTGCGCCTGGGATGCTGCTAGGGGAGGCAGAGGTGACAAGAAAGGTCCTCGTTTCCCAGCAGGTGCGGCACGGCGGCTTTCCTCCTTAGCAGGAGCACTCCAGGCGTCTCTGGTGTGCACACATGCTGGGGTGTGCTTGGGAAATCAATTCCTGAGCTGAAAGGCGGCCTCTCCAGCTGGTGCCGCCCCGGGAGGCGGCGCGCTGCTAATGGCTTGGTGTGACTTCCCGCAGAGGAAAGTAGGGAGGCCCCGGGGGGTGGGGGTGGGGGGAAAGAGGAGGCCTGTCCCCAGGGGGGCCCACAGGTAACATTCTTTTGGGAGACAGTGAAAATTTGCAAATGTTAGCTGAGCAAGCCTCTTTAACCAGGAGCCAGGCTCTGTGATGGGCCCTTGGGATTCAGATCTGGATGACCTGTTCCTGCCCTCTCCTTGTCCAGTGGGGGAGATAGACAGACACACAGCCACATTCAATCTGCAACAGAGGCAAGCGCCGGGCCTGAGGGGAGCAAAGAACCCAGACCGAGGGGCAGAAGCACATCCCCAGGGAAGGAGCAGCTCAGCTGTTTCTCAGAAGGACGCAGGTGGAAGGGGGGACACTGGCACTCACTCAGTGCCATGTGCCAAGCACTGTGCTGGGCACTTCCCCCTCCTCTTGTCTCATGACCTCCTCTATAGAAGGGGAACCAAGGTTCAGAGAGGGTACCTAGCTGGCCTGCCATGGGAGCCGCCCGAGCCTCCGCTGTGCCACTCTGCCCACCTTTTGCCAGGGCCGAAGGAAAGATGCTCTAGGCTGTGTGAACTATGTTTTCTAATCTCCGTATTGGATGCTTTGACATCTGGGGACTTGCTGACCTGGAAGGGACTGCTCCTACCAGGGTTAGCTGATTCCTAGAGAAAGCAAATGATGCGGCCAGGAGCTAGTGTGAGCTTTCCCATTCCAGGGCCTTAGTCCCCTGCCCTGATCACCCCAGAGCCAGGCACCGAGCAGCTGGGGACAGCGCCTGTGCCCTAGAGCTCACTGCAATCACTCAAGCCAGCCAATCCTGAGCCTGCTCACTCCCCCTCACCCATTCCTTCCCATGGAAACCACAGGAAAGGCTCTTGGCCCACGTATTCCCTGCTGCCTCTGCCACCAGGCAACCCCGGTGCTTCCTGTGTGGCGTGGCGTGCCCAATCTCCACCCCGCCGGGATCTGTCACAGCTATCTTTTCAGTAGCAGTTGTCTCCTGATCTATTGGCTTCACCATACCTGAAAAATAATATGACCTATATTTTAAAACACAAGCAGAGGGAGTTGCTGGTGTGGCTCCAACAGGAGCGAGTCGTGTACATCCTGTGAGCTGTTTGTGAGGTGGGGACCTGGGAGGGTGGGCAGAGGCCAGTGGGGTCCCTGGATCAGCCTTGCATCCTGAAGGTGCTTAGGGGGCTCCTGAGGATGTGAAGCAGGTTTGTGTTATAGAGCAATCCACCAGGAACAACACACACAGATGAGAGAGAGAGAGAGAGAGAGAGAGAGAGAGAGAGAGAGAGAGAGATTGACAGAGACAGAGAGACAAAGAGAGACAGGGCCCCTTTATCGTAATCTCAGTGGGACAAGAAGAGATGGAACTGAGGCACGATTGGTGGGAATGGGGCAGAGGAGACAGGTCTGCCTTGAGGAGACACGATGGTGCAGGTGAGGTGCTGGTTTAATGAGGAGGTGGGGTGATGGGGAGGAGGCGGAGTTTGGTGAGCCAGTGCATTGGTGGTGGCGGCTCACTGAGATGGGACCAGCTGGGCTGACTGCCTTGGAACACCCCATTCTCATGATGGGAGCCACAAGACTTTCAGATCTTTGAATCCAGGGCTCAGAAAAGCAGATTACAGTAGAGGATTCCAGTTCTGTGTGAGACTTGTCCTTTTATATAACAGTGCTAACCTCATTTATCTTTTGTAATTGGTTATTGTTAAACAACCCTCAAAAATTTAACCAAAGGCCTAACTGCAAACAACCACGTGATAAAGAACAAGCACCTTTTATATGTCAAGATCTCCCCTTAGGGAATTCAAAGATGCTGTTTTTCGGTGTCCCTTAAGAAAAGTTACCACCTCCCATGTCAAAGGACCTGGGAAAGCTTGGGTTTAGAAGTGGAATAACTGTGATGAAGCATTTAAAAATGGGTTTTGATTTGAAATCTGAGATTGATCGGGCAGGCATCCAATATTCTGGAATCACAAACATTCAAAGTTCAGACAGGCCAAAAATGACAGATGAACAGAAGAAAGCATCTTGTGCTGGTTGAGGACCAGGGAACAGAAGTGGGCCCGAAAGGCGGGGTTTATGTTCTGAGCCAGTTCTGAAAGGGCCGTGGGAATTGTCTGGCCCTGAAAGGGGGTTAGGTGTAGGGGAGAGCCCTTGGATCCCACATCCAGGTCCTGACAACTGAAAGATTAAAGAACATGCATGCATATGTGTGTGTGTGTGTGCGTGTGTGTGTGCGTGTGTGTGCCTGTGTGTGTTTGCGTGTGCGTGTGTGTGTGCATGTGTTGCAGGGGAGGTGATCATGAGATTTTACTGCAGTAGCGAAAGGGCTGCTGCAGGAGAGCCTCATAGATGTTAGGTGGTTGAGAAATCCCAAGGGAGAAGATGTGATCCTTATTCCCAAGAGCTTCCAGACTGTGGAGGTGACCAGGCATATGCGAAGGTCCTTCAGATACTTCGGAGGCAGAATAAACACTGTATGAAGGATTCAAGCCATAGCCATAAAAGTCAAAGCTATGTGAAGTGAGGGCAGATCCCCTTGGGTGGTGCGGAGAAGGCAACTGGGAAGGGCTGAGCCCCAGAGCAGAGTACTCCG
The DNA here is from genome assembly GCF_000001405.40 of Homo sapiens. NCBI lineage: Eukaryota > Metazoa > Chordata > Mammalia > Primates > Hominidae > Homo > Homo sapiens. Next base: position 27,003,954 of record NC_000013.11, on the reverse strand, counting down.
CCTTCTGATGAGCTCTTGTCCTTCTCAACACCACGTTCCTCCCCCTGAGTAGCGTCTCAAGAGCTGAGGTTGAGTCTCCTGCCCCAGATGGGCTCAAGCCATTAAGACCTTGGAGAATAGTAACGGATCCTGTAGAGTCGTGCGCTAGTATGGGATGGTACCGTATAGCGCAGCACAGGTGCCCATCCTGTCCTGAGGTGGATTTTTCTCAGGGTTTTCTGAGAGGAGGAGGAGCGGACGAGCTTTTTTTCATCTTCTAAGGAATCACTGAGTCCATTCAACACCTTAAAAGCAGAAAAGGCAAAAACCAGAAAAGCAGAAAAGGCATAAAGAAAATGAAAAAGCAAAAAATGAAACAATACTTGCCACACGATGACAGATGAAGAGTTAGTATCCTTACTCTATAAAGCTCATGTGAACAGGTAAGAAAAATACTGAGGCTACAGCAGGACCTGTGCACAGGATGTATGGGAACGCCTCTTCCAGGCTGGGAGAGGCTGCTCCCAAAATAGAGGCTGCTCCCAAAATAGAGGCAGAGAAATGCCAGGAAGTCATGGAGCTTCCCTTGCAGCTATGATATGGACATGCATCCCTGGGCACATGTCCCCGGACACAACTAACTTGAGGAGGATTCTGAGGCTTTGGGAAAGACACAGGAGACAGCAGCTGCCCACATTTGTTGGCTTGTGGCCCCTTCCTCTCATCACTCCCAACCCTGCTTCCATCACGTCTCTTTTCTCTATTTCTGAGTTTCCTGCCTCCTCATATAAGGACTCTGTGATTACATTGGGCTCACCTGGATAATGCCCCATGTCAAGGACCTAAACTCAATCACATCTGCAGAATCCCCTTTGCCATGTAAGGTGACATATTCACAGGTTCCGGAGAGTAGGAGGGGGACATCTTTGGGGGCCGTTATTCCAACTACCGCACAGGTATTTCAAACTTAACTTGTCAAAAACTTAAATCCCTTATTCCTGTCCTCTCCAAACACTATTTGTCCCCATTTTTCCATGGAATTTCTGTGGCCTCATCATCCACACAGTTGTCTAGCCCAGCAACTTGAGTGTCATCTTCAGCACCTCGTCTCTCACCTCCCACACCCTGTAGCCATCTGTGAATGTTTGCTGAGTGTCTACTGTGTGCCAGGCACTCATCTAGGCTCAGAAGACAAAGAGATGAACAGACATATGGGGTCTCTGCTTGGAGGGCAAATAAGATAATATCACTTAGTATACAGTGCTCTTAAAAAACCAGGCAGTGTGATGTATAGACTTGCTGGAGGTTACTTTAAATTTTGTGGTCAGGGGAGGTCTCTTTGAGGATGTAACATTTAATCTGGGATTTGATAAGAAGGAATCAGTCATGCAAAAGTTTCCAGGCAGTGCAGCCAAGGTTGGGGAAACAGCTTGGGCAAAAGCTCTAAAATAGGAATAAGCCTGTGTGTTTCAAATAACAGGAGAGGGTGAATGTGGCTGGAGCTCACAGGGAAGAGTGAGATGAGGCCAGAGGAGGTAGGAGAGGAGTCTCCTAGGGCCTGGGAGACCCGAGCAAGGACTTTGAATGTTACTTTCAGGATGTAAGCTTTAATCTCTCAACTCCATCTCCCTTCTGCCCTTTCAGCCTGACCAACCACCATCTCTCACTTGGACTATTGCAGCTGTCTTCTACCCAGACTCCCTCCTCCACCTTTGCTTCCTCTGACACAGTTTCCATAGAAAAACCAAAGTGATCTTTTGAAGAGGATGCAGTACTTTGGTGTATTCAACATCTTTTCCAACCTCCTCCCAGTGTGCCTTTCTCTCCTGCAGAAGCTGGAAAGGTGAGGACTGTATTTCCTAGACTCCATGAAATGTAGATTCCAACTTAGGCTCTGCTTAAGTCAAATGTAGGTGACCTGAGCTAGTGCAGAGTGAGGCAGGGAGAGTGGTGGCAGGGGGCAGGTGTTCACTTCTGCAGCTGGGTCCAGCAGGTGTGGGTCTAGGGGTCGTGGCTCCAGCAGGTGTTGGTCTAACGAGTTTGGCTCCAGTAGACGTGGGTCTAGGAGGTGTGGCTTCAGCAGGTGTGGGTCTGGCAGACGTAGCTCCAGCAGGTATGTGTTTAGCAGGTGCAGTGTAGCTCTGCAGTTGTAGTTGCAGCTGTGGCCTGTGGACACTGGACTGCTGCCTGTACGTTGTGTTCTGAGGCCAGCAGGTGCAGCTCATCTTCTGATTCCCCAGCTTCCTCACTGAAGTAGAGGTAACGGCTCCCCTGGTGAGTGAGCTCTGCAGTGACACTCTGCGAATTCCTCCTCAAGACCCAGGCCATGACCTGCTCCTCCAGCCCATCTAATGACTTGTGAGCAGATAATTCTCTGTATTAGGTGCTTTTCTTCTCAAAAAAGCAAGAGTGACTTCTTTCATGTTTTGTTGAACTCTGAATACAAAAGGCCACGCTGATCAAGTCACTTTCCAGCTCATTGACCATAGAATGATACCCAACATCCTTCATGTGCCTACTGTCCCTCGATGACTTAGACCCTTGCCTCCTTTGGGCACACATCACTCCCTTTTCTCTTCTAGTGACTCCCCCTCATCATCCAGATCACAGCCTAATGTCACTTCCCCAGAGAAGCCTCATTCTACGATTGCCAAAACCAAGCCCCACAGACCGGGTGGCACCAACAACAGGTACGAGTTTTCTCCCAGTTCCAGAGGCTGAAAGTCCAAGGTCAAGGTGTCAGCAGTGGTGGTTCCTTCTGAGGCTCTGAGGGAAGGATCTATTCCCAGCTACTCTCCTGGGCTTTTAGAAGGCCAACTTCACGTCCACACGGCTTTCTTTCTGTGTGTGTCCAAATTTCCCCCTTTTATAAGGACACCAGTCTTATTGGATTAGGGCCTGCCCTGATGACCTCATTTAACTGAGTCAATCTGCCATGACCCTACTTACAAGTCCAATTCCACTGTCAGGTGCTGGGGGTTAGGACTTCACCCTATGAGTTTGGGAGGATGCACACAGTTTATCCTCTAACAGCCAGGTTCTCAAGGTCTAACTTCTCCTCAAACTCTGCTTCTTCGTCAAAGCAGTCAATTCGGTGTGCGACGGTGCAGCTGCTGGTTGGTTAACATTTGTCCTCAGCTAGGGAGACTGTGTTGGATGATCCCCCAGTGCTTAGCACAGGGCCTCGGGCAGAGCAAGTGCTGAAGAGGTATTCGTTGGATTTGTGGATGAATGAGTTGAGGAATAAATGATTATTTCTAATAGCTGATGAAAGACCTAAAAGGCCAATGATAAGCAAGTGGCCAAATCACCCAAGACACAGTTGTTTATTACACAGCTGTTAAAATGTCTCTGAAGACTTTGTGACAATGTGGGAAAATGCTTATGATCTGACATTGAATGACATGGTAGAATACAACCGTTTATGGAATATTACATGAAAAAAGAACAGAAAAATGAGAGTCCAGTGTTGAACTCACAAAAACAAAAAATCATGTATAAATTGTGATCAGATTTTCCACATTAAATGTATTAGTTCTTCTCATTCATTAAATAAATAACTTCAGGTCAAAGCTAAAGAAAAATTAGCATCCTTAAACATTGGGATCCTATGAACTATCCTTTATTCATTTTGGAGTAAAAGATGGGATGGCAGGAAACACACAGGGCCTCATTTCTGCTTCTTTGGGCAAATCTTATTTTTAGTAACTCGCTTTGCCATTAATAAAACCACGTCTGATCATATGTAAAAATGATGTGTTTGAACTTCTTATTTTGCATACTTGCTCTTTAAAATTTTTTAAAAACATTTTTTCTTCAGAACTAATGCATGCTCATTAAAAAATTAAATATCAAAGTAAAACAAAAACTTAAAGCATCCTAAAATTGTGCCTCAAAGCCATAACCATTAATTACATTTTGGTAATATTCCTCCAGAATTTATTCTAAATATACAGATCTGTATATTTATTCTAAATATACAGATATACTAGAGTATAATACACACACACACAAGCATTATGCAGAAATGAATCCACACTCCATGAGGTCACAAACTGCTTTTTCATTTTAAGATATTTGTTGCCCATATCTGATGGTGTGGTCCGTATGCCCCCACAATCCTACTCTTTTTACCCAAGCAGCAACTCAGATGCGGAATCATCAACCTAGGGTCTGAGAGAAGCAGCTGAGATACAGGAAGGGGCCTGGCCATCTTCCCAAGGGCAGAATGAGCATGCCCTGGGTCCCCGACTGGGTCACACTCTGCTGCTCTGTGAGCTGGCTGCCTCTCTTTGTCAGGAAGACCAAGTTCACCGCCACGTGTGCTGGGGTGATTGGATGGGCCATGTGTGGCATCCTGGTTGGGTGGAAGCTGCCATGTAAGTAGTAAAAGAACAGAGCCAGAGCTGTCCTGCGCTTACTAGAGTTAAAGTCCCGCCATGTTTTGCAGAATTATCTAAAGCTTCCAAAGGTTATTGGAGTTATTTCCATTATTCAGAGCTGTGACCAAGTTTGTGAAACTGTATAACGTGGTTAAGAACATGGATTAAACATCTTTTAAGGGGCAGTGGTGTTGGCATGGGTTGTGGGTTCTGTGTGTTTGCGCATATGTGTGTGTGTGTGTGAGAGAGAGAGAGAGAGACTGTGTTTTACTAGCAATTTATAAGTTGTAGTCTCCATATTTTGTTGTAAACCCATAGTCCTTGTGTGTCCTCAAAATTTCTGAATGATCAATAGACATTGTTTCATGTTTGGTGAGTAAAAAAATTATATCTTTGAGAATTTTGATACCTCAGTACATCTGAAACATCTGAATAATACTTTGAGGTGTCTGATGAAAAATATAGTTGCTGCAGAGTCTGTAAATATCTTTTCTCCTCTCAAATTTTGAATAACATAAAGCCCAGGTTTTAATAAATGCTTCCAGGCTGTATTTTTTCCTCCCGAAATGAACTCTTCCCTGCTCTTTCTGTTTTCCTGGCTTCCTCTCTGGTACCAGCATGTCCTGGGAGGACCTTGTGTCACAGTCCCAGGGAATAATGAATCTCACCGCCGTGGAGGTGAACAAGGACGCCCGGTTCATGAACCTCCATGGTGAGGACATTTGCCGTTATTTTTTAAAATTTGAAGTTTTTTTTTTTAAATCATCTCATTGTCTTGTATTATAGAATATTATAGAAGATAAACTATTAATTATCTCATACTTTGGACAGTTTTCCCATTAATTTAACAGAGTAACTGTTCACATTCTTTCAAGGCGGAATACAAAATTTTACAGCCAATAATTAGAAGGGGCCCTGGGGGCATTATTCCTGTCCATGGTGCCAGCATCATCGATGTTTTATTGACTTCACCTTTGAAACTAAGCAAGGCACAAAACACGTCCTTTTATGTCAGAGTCAGGAGATTTGTTTCCCAGCACAGCAACTGCACATCACTTCACAGAGACGAAGACTTAGGTGGAGCAAGGGAAGAGGAAGTGCGAAGAACCTTGGGCTGGAAGCTTTGTTCTTGCACGACTGCTGGTGCCTTAGGATGTTGTTTTTCCTGTCGAACTTCTGGGCAGCAGAGAGGAGGGAACTGCTGACCCACCTCTCCGGTCCCTCCTCAGGTAGCCTCATGCTCGTGCCTGAGGGGAGAGGGTTCAGGGCTTTCCCAGACAATCTGCACCTCAAGCTGGGGGCATCCACACAATAACACGGTACCTGGAAAACTTGTGGGTTGCTCTGTCACTTGGACCTAACTCACTAGGAAAATTCTGTGTTTCAGCTGGGCGTGGTGGCTCATGCCTGTTATCCCAGCACTTTGAGAGGCCGAGATGAGTGGATCACTTGAGGTCAGGAGTTTGAGACCAGCCTCGCCAACATGGTGAAACCCTGTCTCTGCAAGAATACAAAAATTAGCTGGACATAGTGGCGCATGCCTGTAGTCTCTGCTACTAGGGAGGCTGAGGCAGGAGAATTGCTCGAACCCAGGAGATGGAGGTTGCAGCGAGCCAAGATCTTGCCACTGCACTCCAGCCAGGACCAGATGCCTAAAAAAAAAAAAAAAAAAAAAGGAGAGAGAGAGAAAATTCTGTGTTTCTAGCTTTTTTTTTTTTTTTTTTCCTTGAAGAAGCTCAGGAAACAGAAGCAGATGGAGGCTGGTGTTAGATCCAGCTCTAACCCCACTGCACTCATCATTCTGGATTGTATTTTTGTGCTGATCTGCCTTCGTATGAGACAGGGGGACAGGTGGGTCCAAATCTGGGTGGCAGACCCTCAATTGCTACTTCCTGATGAATATGTAAATGAGCCCTTGGGACGTGTTTTAGAACATAGAACACCATGGTCTTCAGATGCCTGGCTGAGCAGGGCCTGGTGACTGCTGAACCAGTGGTCAACTCCTCAAACCCTTAGGGACGTGGCGCTTCCTCAAGGGCAGGATGTGGGGTTGTTTTGCTTCTGTTTTAGGAGGTTATTCTTGTTTCCTTAAAGAGATAGTGAATTCTCTCATGTCAGAGACCGTGGCATGCGCCTCTTTCATGGGAGATGCAGAAAAGCTATGAAACAAGCTGTCTGAAGCAGAATTGAAAGGGGACAGGGAGAGATGGGCAGGCAGGAGGAATTTATTTTGTGCTGACTGTGCAAGGTGCAGAGCTAAGGCTTTCCATACACATTACATAAACTCACCCTCACCTGCCCCCACCCTAAAAGACTCTGAAGAAAGTATTATTATGCCCATTTAAAAAATATTAAAAAACCAAAAGCACAGAGAGACTGTCTCATCCTGGGGTTTGGTTATGATGTGGCAAAGCTTGGTTTGAACACTGGTGTGACTTCCCTAGTCTAGAGTTGTTCATGCTGAGATGGGACCAGTAAACACAGGGAAGCTGACATGTACCCTAGTATTTAGTAATAGATTCTAAATGAGTCTTCTCAGAGATGTACGTGTCACAAAAGATACATCACAGTTGTGGGAATTCCACAGTTTGGAAGAGGCAATAAATCCTTAAAGAATTTTTGTATCATTTTATGTTAATAGAAATTTTAAATATTTTAAATATATAACTTACTATATTCCAGGCAAAATGCTAAGTGCTTTGCGCATCTTACCTCATTTAATACACACACACACACACACACACACACGTGATCCAGTGAGGCAGGTGCAAATATCATCCCCATTTTGCAGATGGTGAAATTAAAGCTAAAAATACCACAGCCAAGAAAATCTTGAAAAAGAACAAAGTTGGAGGACACATGCTCCCTGATTTCAAAACTTATTACAGAGCTACACTAATCAAAACTGTGTGGCAGTGGCATAAAGAGAGACATATAGACAGATGGAATGAAATAGAGAGCCCAATAAACCATTTTTGGTTGATTTGTCATATATGGTTGAATGATTTCAACAAGGGTGTCAAGACCATTCAATGGGGAAAGGGCAGTCTTTTCAACAAACTGTGCTGGGGAAACTGGATATTCACATGCAAAAGAATAATGTTGCAGCCTTACTTAACATCATATACAAAAATTAACTCAAAATCAATCAAAGACCTAAACGTAAGAGCTATTACTATAAAACTCTTATAAGAAAACATAGGGAAAACTTCATGATATTGGATTTGCTAATGATTTCCTTTGTATAACACCAAAGGCACAGGTTAAAAAAATAAATAAACTGGACTTCATGACCATTAAATACTTTTGTGCATCAAAAGATACTATAAATACTGTAAAGTGACAACTTACAGAGTGGGAGAAAATATTTGCAAATTACATACCTGATAAGGGATTAATATCCAAAATATATAGAGAACTCCTAAAACTCAACAACAAAAAAGTCAACACTCAATGCAAAAACATCTAAAGGACTTGAATAGATATTTCACTAAAGAAGATATACAGATGGCCAATAAGCACATGAAAAGTGTTCAATACCTCTAATCATAAGAAGAATGCAAATAAAAATGATAATGAGATAAAACCACACACCTGTTGGGATGACTACTAACAAAACAAAACAAAACAACACAAAAAACAGAAAATAACAAGTGTTGGTGATCATTTGGAGAACTTGGAAACTTTGTACAGTGTTGGTGGGAATGGAAAATGGTGCAGCTGCTGTGGAAAACGGTATGGAGGTTTCTCAAACAATGAAAAATAGAACCACTATATGATTCAAAAATCCTACTTCTGGGTATATTCTCAAAGCAGGGTCTTAAAGAGATATTTGTACACCCATGTTCATAGTAGCATTATTCACAATACCTAAAACATGGAAGCAACCAATCCAAGTGCTCAACAATGAATGAATGGATAAAATTCATTCAAAATTCAAAATGTGGCATATGCACACAATGAAATATTACTCAGACTTAAAAAGGAAAGAAATTCTGGCATGGGTTACAACATCATGAACCCTGAGGACATTATGGTAAGTGAAATAAGCCAGTCAAGAAAGGACAAAGACTAAATTACTCCACTTGTATGAAGAACCTAGAGTAGTCAGATTCATAGAAGAGAGAATAGAATGGAGGCTGCCAGGAACTGGAGGGAGGAGAGGCTGAGGAGTGGTTTAATGGCTGTAGAGTTTTAGTTTTGCAAGGTGGAGAGAGTTCTGGAGATGGGTGGTAGTGATGGTTGCACAATAATGCGAATGTACTTAATGCCACAGAACTGTCCACTTAACAGTGGGTAAGATGGTAACTTTCATGTAATTTTTTTTTCAAAATAAGAAGTTGGGGTAAAATACGGATAGTACATGATTTGCTTTGTCATGGACTAGTTAACAATGGAGTTAGGATTTAAAGTCAGGTTTTTCCGATTCCAAAGCTATGCTGGACACACGGTGCATTGTGTCTGTTTGTGTGGCTCACAGGTGGCTTGATTAAATATTTTGCCACCGAGGTGGCTGTGTGTGTGGCACATGGCCCTGAGGTCCCTGGAAAGCAGCCACCTACAGATACGGGTGATGCTACATGCAGAAAGAGAGCAGGGGACCTCCAGGAAGAGCCTGAGGAACTCGACAGAAACCATGGGGATGATGAGATGTGAGGTGAGCACGGAGATGGTGATAATGATGAGCATGGGCTCACATCTGCATTGCTCCATGACCGCAGAGGGGAGCAGAAGGGGACCCCGCCGGCCCTAGGCTCCTGTCTGCAGCCCAGCCCCAGTGCCTCTGCTTCTGCCGCAGAGCAAGGCAGAAAGAAGTTAGGCTCTGGCTGGAAAAATTAAACAAATGAGATAGAACAAATCCCTAAGTATGCCTGGAAAATTCCGCTGGCTAATTAGAAATGCTAAGGATGCTAACAGAGCAGACATAAAGTTCACAAATGTGGTGAAATCTCTTTGTATCTAGATCTGAAACCTTGCTTTTCAGATAGAGACACTGGGGTAGGGTGCCAGTCACTTAGAAATCATACCAGCCAACATGTAAGGACCGACTGTGTGCCAGGCCCTGATATAAGCCTGTTCTGTGTAGCACCCCTACCTTCCCTCATTCTCAGGAGGTAGTGTTGTGGATTGCTGAGCCTTCTTCAGCTGAGCTCCTCCTTGGATTTCATGACATACCACAGATTCCCCTTGATAAATCACTTTTTTTTTTTTTTTGCTTAAGCCAGTTCAAATGGGTTTCTGTTACTTTTGTTTGTTTGTTTGTTTTGAGACAGGGTCTCACTTCTCACTCTGCCACCCAGTCTGGAGTGCAGTGGTGCAGTCACAGCTCACTGCAGCCTCGACCTCCTGGACCCAAGTGATCCTCTTGCCTCTGCCTCCTGAATAGTTGGGACCACAGGTGTGCGCCACCACACTCAGCTAATTTTTTAAAAAATTGTAGAGATGAGGTCTCGTCATATTGCCCAGGCTGTTCCTGAACTCCTGAGCTCAAGTGACCTTCCCATCCTGACCTCCCAAAGGGCTGGGATTACAGGCATAAGCCACCGTGCCCAGCTGGGTTTCTGTTACTTTTAACCAAGAGTCTGTGACTGAAGTGGTTGTACCCATTTTACAGATGATGAAACTGAGGTTTGGGAAAATTAAATGATATTTCCAAAGTTAGCAAATGATGGCACCAGAATTTGGCCCCAGGGTCTTTTTGGCACCAAAGTCATCCCCCTCAGCCATGCTGCCTCCCCAGGTGCTGTCTTAGGTGGGTAAGGGCACCTCACCTGGTGGGCAGGTGGGCAAACATCGCCCCTGGTCTAAGTGGAAAAAAGAAGGAGGAGCTGGGCAGAGAGGTGAGGTTGGCGACTGAACAGGCCTGCAGGGACAGCTTTAGCCAGGGGGTGCAGGTGCGGGAGGACCACTAGGGAAATGGTTACCTGAGCTTCTCCGACAGAGGCCTTCATCCCCTGGCATGCTCAGAACATTAACAATCAGCCCTGCCCCTTCAGCCCCAAGCGGAGACTCTCACTCTGGGTTATTAAATCACAAGCACTGGCACAGGGCTTGCTGATGCAGGTTTTTGAAAGAAGTAGGATTCAAAATCAATATCTCATTTTGAAAACCATTAGCTTAAAGGCAGTCTTGGCTGGAAAGCCCTGGGGTGGATTTTGATCTCCTACCTTCCTGGTCCCTGCCCTGCCCTGCCCCAATCACACACCTGCACCTGCTCCCACCTACCTGGTCATCAGAACCCCTGTCTGCTGAGGAAAAAATGTCCCTGCCAAGGGACCAATGACTTATCCCAGGCACTTGCCCAAGCATGTAGGTGCTGCTTTGGAACAGAGAAGTCTCCATGTGAGTTGTTTGCACCCCCAGTCCCTCCCTGCATTTTGGGATCACCAACAGGGCTCTGTGGCTGGGAGGGCTCCTAGCAAGAGCTGCATTAGGCAGCCCTGGCCTCGGGAGGTTTTTCCACAACTGAAGGATGGTCTGTGGGATTGTGGACATGTTTGCTCTGCCAAAGGAAGCCTGCCTTGCCTATTTTATTTTTTTAAAGACAGCCAGTTATGTGTCTAAATATAGACAGAAAACTTTTCTGACTGGTTGTTGCTTTCTCTCTCTCTCTCTTTTTTTTTCCCAGGCTGGAGTGCAGTGGCGCGATCTTGGCTCACTGCAACCACTGCCTTCCAGGTTCAAGTGATTCTTCTGCCCCAGCCTCCCGAGTAGCTGGGACTACGGGCAAGTGCCACCATGCCCAGCTAATTTTTGTATTTTTAGTAGAGATGGGGTTTCACCATGTTGGTCAGGCTGGTCTTAAACTCCTGACCTCAGGTGATCCGCTCGCCTCAGCCTCCCAAAGTGCTGGGATGAGCACTTTGGGGTGCTCCACTGCACCTGGCCTGGTTGTTGCTTTCAAAGAGTATGCTGAGGCTGGTTGGAGCAGAGCGAAGTTAATACCTCCACCTGTCTTTTTACCTGGGCCATTGACCCAAAAGCAGAGGCCGTCAGGAGAGAGAAACCTCATGCTGGGTAAAGCAGGTAGCTGTGCCTGGCCCTCTCCTGTCTCTCTGGCCTCAGTGGATGAACTAGCACCACCCAGGGACTTACCCTTTCCTGGGCAGGTGTGGGTTACCACCGCACCCCCTTTGGCATTCTGAGATAAACCCTGGGCTGTTCTTAAAACACAAGGACTTAAAGATATTGTGGAACCATTGTAATATAACAGAGAAAGAGCAATAACGGAGGCCCCATATTAATGGAAAACAGTATGGAGATTTCTCAGAGAACTGGAAATAGGACTGGCATTTGTTCCTGCTGCCCCATCCAAGGACGCAGGGTCCAGGGACGGCACTGCTAGCCTGTGCTCTGCTCCCCATCTTGCCTAGGGAGAGCCACAGTGTAGAGGTAACTGGGGTCCCGTGTGTCATCAGGCTCTTACGGGCAGGGTACCCATTTCATAGGATCACTCGTGCCTCCTGGTCCTTGAAACATCAGTCCATCCTTGCAGAGTACAAGTGAAGATTCCATGACCAGAGGAGGAGGGGACTCATCCTGTGCCCTGTCCTTGACTTGCACAATGAACAAAGCCGTGACCAGAGCCCAGCCGGGTGTCCTGACTCAACAGCGTGGCTGCGTTCAGAGCACTTTTCCGGAGCTAGGTCCTTGCTATCCAGAGGGATCTTGGTCAACTGGACAGAGGTTGGGGGATGGGAGTCTGGAGAGGGGCTGGGGTAGGGGAGAAGGGAAGGAGACCCTCGTTCGTCTGCTTGAGGTCTTGTTTACGTAACTCAGTGGACGATGGCCTGGGCTGAGCTAGGCTGGTTTGACAAAACCACTGACCCTGGTTTCTTTCCTCTCACTGTAACTTTGTCATCTAGCAAAAAGGGGAATGACTTTGGAGGAATGTGCAAACTAGAATAGCAACAAGGTTCAAAGTTGGGGAGAGTAATTGAACAAATAAACCCTCCAGTGTTGTGGAGGAGCTGGGAGTGGGGAGGAGGCTGCTGGGGCTGGCGTGTTTCCAGACCTTTTCCATTCACTTTTGTGCCAGTTCCATTCTGGCCCTGCCTGCATTACAGGAGAAAACAGAGTGACCTCCTCCTCTCTTGGACCCAACAGATTGTAAACTTGTGCTCCAAGGTGACATTTCTCCAGAAAGGGCTGGGTACACCATAGTGGGACAGGGTGCCAGGAGACCCCAGGATGGGACCAGCCAGGTAGCTGGGTTCTCCCCCGAGCTCTGCCCAGTTACTGAAGCACCAATAGTCTGGTTCTTCCACCTGCTGGCCTCAGTTTCCACACCTGTGAAATGGTGCCACTACCAACTGTCTTACTGTCTCACAGGTGGTGAAGACCAGGGGCCATTATGAATGGACAAGTGCTCTCTGATGCATTTATTTATCTACATCATCCCCAAAGTCACTGACAGAAATACAAACAGGATCCAAAAGGTAAACAAACAAATAAGAACTTTGGAGTTGGCCGGGCGCGGTGACTCACGCCTGTAATCTCAGCACTTTGGGAGGCTGAGGTGGGTGGATCACGAGGTCAGGAGATCGAGACCATCCTGGCTAACACGGTGAAACCCCGTCTCTACTAAAAACACAAAAAAAATTAGCCGGGTATGGTGGCGGGCCCCTGTAGTCCCGGCTACTCGGGAGGCTGAGACAGGAGAATGGCGTGAACCCGGGAGGCGGAGCTTGCAGTGAGCCGAGATTGCGCCACTGCACTCCAGCCTGGGTGGCAGAGAGAGACTCCGTCTTAAAAAAAAAAAAACAAAACAACAAAACAGAACATTGGAGTCATGGAAAATGTGAGCAGGAAAATGTGATGGCATGTGGTGAGGGTGGCCAGGAGTGCTGCCCATGGCCCTGCACAGAAGGTGGAGTGACGGGCGTGTGAGGGTGTGGTGGGAGGGGACAGGGACAGGGACACAGGGAGGCCAGTGCGGAGGATTGGTGGCGGTCAGCTGCTGGCAGAGGCAGGGGCTGGAGGAGACAAGGAGGATGCTTAGGGTTTTCCAGCTTGGACAATTGGGAGCAGCAGAGCAGGAGCCCGGGCACAGAGCCACTGTGAGTTCATCGGGAGCGTGGAGGCTGAGGTGGTCCTCACATTCCCATGAAGATGTCTGCGGGGTGTAGGGGCTTAACAGATAGGTCTGGACTGGAGATGCGAATTTTCCAGTTATTGAGAATTGAAGCGATGTGGGGATGGATGAGGTCAGGTGAGGTGAGCAGAAGACAAGAGAAGAGGAGCCAGGTGGGGCTGACATTCGTTCCAGAGGAGAAGTGGCCATGGGGCTGGTGAGAGAGGAGTGGCTGCAGGAAGCTGCGGTGGCTCACAGCTGGGGTGGGGGACCGGTGCCGTGTTCTCCTGGTCCCTGCCATGACACTCCTGCCATGTGTGTTCCCAGCAATAACGGCGGGGTCTCTGGGGTTGTGCAGAAGCCTCTGAGCTGGCTTATTGCCCAAATAGAATCCATGCTTTCCTTGTTACAGTGGTTGATAATGAATGTAAATCCAGTGCCTTAGAGATCCCAGCAGCCTGCCACAGAGCGAGTCTTTCCATTGCAAGCTCATTTCCAAGACAAGGTGGGATGCACAGGGAGAGGGAAGGGGACAGTCTGCCCCAGCAAAAAGCAGGGTCCTCCTGGTTTGCAGACCCTTCACAGCGTGGGCGTGGAAGGAGCCTCACCTGTCAAGGCTGGAGACTCAATTCTGGGAGCGGAGTGTTATTGATGAGGTGCTCCAGGCCAGAGCTCTCAGTCTCGCACTGTTGACCCTTGGAGCTGGATTGTTTGTTTGCGGGGCTGTCCTGAGTTCTGTGGGATGTTCAGCAGCTTCCCTGGCCTCGGCCCACTTGATGCCAGTAGCACCCCCACCCCCAACTGGTGACAACCAAAAATGTCTCCAGACATTGCCAAATGTCTTGAGGGGAGGGGGAGGAAAATTGTTCCTGGCTGAGACCTGCTGACATAGAGTGGAGAGAGAGGATGACCTGTCTTCCCCACTCCTGACCCTGCTCCTCGCCCAGGCTCCTATTGCTGCCCCTCTGTCTTCTGGAAACAGTTTGTGTCCTGTTACTCCCCCGCTCAAAATCATCTGTGGTTCCTCAAGGTCTGCAGACTGGAGCACAAGCTCCCGGGTGCACCGCCTCCTCTCTGCACCGCCTCCTCTTCCGTTGAGTCCACCAAGCCCCACTCAGGGCACGATGGGGCCACTATCCTATGGAGGCTCTCTGGGGTGGCCATGTGGCCCACCTGTGGTGCTCCCCTCAGAGATCTGGGTCACTTACTCCACTGGCTCATTCATTCTCCACACACTGTGTGCCCCCGCTCCCAGCACGGTACGCCCCATATTTGTAAAAAACATCAGAGAACCGAGGACAAAAGAGGCAGAGCCCAAAGGCAACGATAATCCAGGGTGGCAGAAATGGAAGCAAGAGTGTTTTAGTACATGAAGCGCAGACTGATGTGAAGTTCTGAATGGAGAGTACAGATGCCATGAGTGGAATTTGTGAGAAAGCCAGCAACACACACAGACATTTTCATTTGCAAGAATTTGGAAAGGGATGTGGTTCACACACAAAAACATCATAGGATACCTTTCCCAGGAAAGTACACAGAAGTGTTATTATTCATTTTTATATCCACTGCTCTAGCAATGTTTGTGAGCTTTTCGGTGGCAGATACAGCATTTAAGGCAATCATTTGTTCAACTTATAACAACAACAGTATCGGTAAGCCTTCATGGAGCACTTCATATGTAGCAGGCACTGTCCGAAGAGCACTCGAATCTGTGAGATAGCTAAGTGTTATGGTTTTATACTTGAGGGAACTGGGGCACAGAGAGGTTACAGCATCCAAGATCATACACCAGGATCATACGGTGACAGAGCAGGAATGCAAACCCAGTGCTTGGCACATGACAAGTGCTTAGTAAATGCTTGTTGAATGAATGGATGACTAAATAAACATCTTGCGCTTTCAAAGCTCTGCACCCATGCTCTCCTTACTGAACTCTCATCTTTTAAGGTCAAAGGCCGCCCCTTCTCTGAGGCTGCCTCCCATTCTGCCCCTGCATGTGACTCTGCCTGCAGCACTTTGGGTCTCAGCCAGAGGGTTTTTTCCATTTTGTGTGATAACTCAATGAGCCCAGCATGCACCTCACCCGAGGGTATGCATGGGAATATCGTCGCATCTCTTTAAGTGCTTTGGGCTAGTAGGTGCTTAATACATGAGCATTGACTTGAACTACATTGAAGTTGTAATAGGAGCCAAGATTTTTACTGGCAGAAGTTAAGAGCAGCTAGAACCCAAAGGCCATCAGAAATGGGGCCAAAGAGGCAGTGACCCTGATATCTGATGAGCAGTTGGGAGGAGCAGAGAGGATCAGGGTCAGAGACCTGACAAGGTCCCAAGAGGACAGAAGATCAAAACTTTCTTTGGGAGTAAGGCAAAGAAAGCCTAATTTGTTGAATTAGTGAAAGTGGGTTCAGCTCAATATTTAATCTGTATCAGAAATTTGTGTTTCCATTAACAGTTGCTCTAGTGGCAACCACAGTTCATGAGCTCAGGACCAAGAGCAGAGGCTGAGATGTTTTAATAAGGTTTGATGTTGGTTAAAAATTTTAATAAGGTTTTTAATAATGTTTGATGTTGGTTAAAAAATCACGAGTGGATTGTGTTTTGCACTGTTCTAAGTTATTTACCAATAGTAGCTGTTTCATCATCATTAACAGTAGCAGCATTGTCGTCCCATTTTGCAGATGAAAAAACAGATCTACAGTGAGGCTGGGTGACTTGCCCAAGGCCACACAGCTTGAAGTGACAGAACCGGGCAGGGAGCCCATAATTCTGGCTTTGGAGTCTCTGCTCGTTACTGCAGTACTTTGCTCAGAGAGACAGCCTATCTCTGGAATCTGTGTTTCCCTGGTCATAGCAGCGGGTAATGAAGTGTGAACTTGCTGCCTTAGAGGTCTCAACAGCCCCACCGAGAACTAGTCTCTAACTCCAAACTTATTTCAAGGACCAGGCGGGACGCATAGGGAGAGACAATGAAGGCCGGTTCTCCTAGACTTATCCTGCAGCATATGGTAGGTGCTGAATGAGCTGCACGGGTAAAGCTGCTGCCCTCTGGGTCCGGTTTCATGGCCTGGGCATCAGTATCATGAGTTCTTAGAAAGCTGAGGATGAGCTGTGTCCCTGGACTTGTTAGGGACATCCACGGGTTTGCTAAGTGTATTTGCTCTGAAGAGGCAAAGTGTGAAGGAAGAGAGGAAAAGGGGTTGGAAGCGGGAGGTGGACTGAGTACAGACATGTGAGATTTGAAGAGGAAAAGAGGAAAGGATCTTCCTTATAAATATTTCAGCCTTGAGCTGAGATCTTAACTGACATATCTGAGATCTGAATATTTAATTTGATCAGCGTTTTGGTTGAATAACATCCTTTTTCTTAATCCTCTCTGGGAATCCTTGAGATGGAACCAGTGTACAATCAATTAAGAAGTGGATGACTGCTTTTCACGGCCATGCCAAGAGTGAGTCCACACATCCAGGCTCTTGGGCAAGTTATACGTGGGGACTTGCCCCTCCAGGATGCAGTCTGCTTTTTGCAGTTGGTGCACTTTCAAACCACACGGGCTCTTCATTGAAAACATAGACAGGTCCATGATCTTCATTGAAAATATATGGTGCTGGGTGAGGGGCTTAGGCCACCAACCATCACTGACCCCTGTGTCTTATGCCTTGCTAGACAATTCCTGCTGCCATCACCTTAGTTACTAGACAGACTCAATGTGCTGTAACTGTGAGCAAATTGAACCTCTTTAAGCCTCAGGTTTTTAATCTGTAAAATGGGAATAATTGTAATACCTGCCTCTTGGAGTTGTGAAAATTAAGAGAGAATGCACACCACACTTCTCCCAGGGCCAGGCACAAGGACATGCTCAGTATGTGGTCTCTAGCAATGATGACAGCAAAAGAAATACAGATCACATGATCCTGGTCCTCGCTGTGCAAGGAGCCGGGGAAAATGGAGAAAAAAAACCTAAAACGCTTTGGTGTCTCAACTGCCCATTTAGCAGTTAATTGTGTACTGTCAGATTTTGAGTGGTATCCCCTACATGTTAGCTTGCTGGTACATGTGGAAGACAACAGAAGCAGCAGGTATTTGTTGAAATTCTTCTATGTGCCAAGCACAGTCATCCATGCAGGAGACCTATATGCAGACATCCATTCAGGAGTCTGTAAGGTTTGGTCTTGGTGCTCAAGGAAATTATAGATGAATAGGGAATTCATAGCTAGAAGGCAGAGACCGTGAATCAGGGGCACTTTGTACTTTCCAACACCAAGCCACAGACCTGAGTATAGAGCCTCAATAAATATTTTCTGATAATACAGTGAAGACAATGCCTCTGTGAGTTTGGGTATCTCTCATTGCCAAAAGCCTCAAAAGTGGCCAGGCATGGTGGCTCATGCCTGTAATCCCAGCATTTTGGGAGGCCGAGGTGGGCGGATCACCTGAGGTCAGGAGTTCGAGACCAGCCCGGCCAACATAGCGAAACCCTGTCTCTACTAAAAATACAAAAATTAGCTGTGCATGGTGGCGGATGCCTATAATCCCAGCTACTTGGAAGGCTGGGGCAGGAGAATCGCTTGAACCCGGGAGGCGGAGGTTGCAGTGAGCCAAGACTGTACCACTGCACTCCAGCCTGGGTGACAGAGCAAGACTCTGTCTTAAAAAAAAAAAGAAAAATTTTTTTAAAAATTAAAAAGTCTCAAACGCATCACATCCCAAGCTATGCAATTTTTCTAACTTAGCAGAAAGAAGTATCTATATTGAAATAAATAACTGGAAATCAGAAAATAAGCCTGTCTTTCTTGAGTTCTATTATCTATCTAAGTATAGCCAGGAGTTAAGAGAGAAAAAGAAAAAAGTTGAGAAAAAGAGCTGTGATTCCTACAGGACTTTTTGCTCATTAGACTGTTGGAGTAACAGCAGAGATTTGCCTAATTTGACAATGCTGCCACACCTTCTCTGAGTCCCACGTTTCTTATTGAATTTTGGCTCAGAGAGGCTGTTCATCAGCTGGGCGGTGGTGCTCACAGAGAATAGGTTGTCTTAGCCTGACATCTACTGGCCAGACTGGTAGCTACATGTTCGTTACATGTTTTCTAACTTGCACACCCACAGTGCCCACAATTGTTTTTAATACTAGAAGTTGCGATTCTCCCCTGACCGTACCACTCTACTCTTATGTCTAAGCATTCCCTTCCTTAGCTTCTGACAACTAGGAAGACTCACCCTCTCCTCTCTTCTCCTTACTTACCACTGTCCTTCCTTTTCAGCCTGTGAAACATCTTTTCAGTTGGGTGCAGTGGCTCACGCCTGTAATTCCAGCATTTTGGGAGGCTGAGGTGGGTGGGTCACTTGAGCTCAGGAATTCAAGACCAGCCTGGGCAATGTGGCAAAACCCATCACTATGAAAAATACAAAAAAAAATTAGCTGGGTGTAGTGGCATACACCTGTACTCCCAGCTACTGGAGGATGGCTTCAGCCTGGGAGTGGAGGCTGCAGTGAGCTGAGATTGAGTCACTGGATTCCAGCCTGGGTGACAGAGCCAGACTCTATCTCAAAAAAAAAAATATATATGGCTGGGCATATGGTTCATGCCTGTAATCCCAGCACTTTGGGAGGCCGAGGTGGGAGGATTGCTTGGGTCCAGGAGTTTGTGACCAGCCTGGGCAATATAGGGAGAACTTATCTCTACAGATAAATGAATAAATAAATGTTTAAAAAAAATACATCTTTTCACTTTTTGTTTTTGCACTTTATTATCTCTTGAACTCATTTCCTAGCCAAAGTCCAATGGTGGCATTTCTCCATGCTGGTTACCAGCCCAGAACAGAGCATAGTCTTGACACCATCTAAGGCCCGAATACAATATTTCCATCAGACTCTAGAGCCAATTTGGTTTCTTGCCATTGATGAAACCCCTTCAGGGAGGGCATTTCCAAAAAGGCTTCCAGGAGCCTGTGGCAATGTCTCACATTCCTGGAGGGGTGGCCAAGCCTTATTTTAAACGGGATCCTCACCAGAGCCTTTGGGTAGTGGGAGGAACCGTCAGTGCGTAGGGAGGGTGGGCATACTGATTTTCTCCAGAGCAACATGGATGAGTGGAACCAACATTCCCATCTTTAGCAAATCACAGAGTGAGGGCAAGTTCACATGCTGATTTGAATGGAGAAGGAGTTGGGGGAACAGGACAAGAAGACTGAGGCCACACGAGGACCAGCCCTCACCATTAAAACACGTCAGCCGTCAAGGAAGAGAATAAGTCATAGCTTCACACACCATTATGGATGACTGTCGCAGACAAAGTGCAGTGGGAAAGGCGAGACGCATAAGAGTAACTGGTGTGTGATTCCATTCGTATAAAGTTCAAAACCAGGCAGCACAAACCCATGGAGGTAGGAGTCAGAATGGTGCTACGTCTTCCAGTCAAGTGGCAGGATGTGGTTGACTGGGCACAGGGAGAGAGCATAACGGGGCCCCTAGGGGACTGGAAATGCCTTTATTGTGACCCGGTTGCTGGTCACACTGATGTGTGCAGATAGTAACATTCTCTTAAGGTTTATGCACTTTATTATGTATAAATTACACCAAAAATTAAAAAAAGAAAAAACCAAAACCCAAAGTTATCATCCTCACCAAAAAGCATCACTGCCTGACCATTTGCTGGGAGCACGGGGCAAAGTGACCGGCACACCCTGGAAGCTGAACTCTATTAGAAGGCCAGTTGGGCTGATCCCATATGCATGAGGGCTGGGCTCAAGTTTGGGTGAATGGGAGGTGGGGAGGGGGAGAGTTATCAAGAGATCTCATTCTAGTCCTTTATTTTTAAATCAATTATAATTTTTTTTCTCACAGTCATCACTTTTTAAATGACAATAATCTCCGCATCAGCCAGCATGTGGCTGCCTTCCAGTTCCAGGGTTTTCTACCTTGATGGCAGTCAAGTTCCCCAGAGGGGCCTCACTTTCAGGAAGCACCTTGACCCTCATTAGCAGCAGGAGGGGGCGAGAAAGCTCTGCTCAGAACCTGAGATCCTCCCAGACTCCAGTGACGTAGCTTCTGGTTTAATGTGGATCTCTGAGAAAACTGGCTCCAGGAATTTTCAGTTGGCTGCATTCTGCTTTCCGGGAATTGGAAAGCATTGCAGGTGCCGTGGAATGCTCTCGGGCCGCCCGGGCCTGAGGGCCAAGCAGGCCAAGTTAGGTAAGGAGGACGCTGATTAAACAGTCATTTGTAACCTGCAGATGGGTAATGTAAACGTTCCTTCCCCAGCATGCTGGCCACATAACTCTGCTGTTGCGAAAGTTATGAGCTTTTTATTGGTGCTTCAGTGTGACATTCTGAACGGTCATAGTGCTTACTCATTTCTGGTTATCAGTGAGCTGCAATGTTTCAAACTGCCAGTGGACAGTCAGAGATAAACTTGGGCCAGCTTCAGACTGAGTGGCGCCCGGGACGTATTGCATGTGTTGTGTGTTTTCTTTCTTTCTTTCTTTCTTTCTTTCTTTCTTTCTTTCTTTCTTTCTTTCTTTCTTTCTTTCTTTCTTTCTTTCTTTCTTCTTTCTTTCTTTCTTTTTTTAACTGTGGGATGATATATTATTTTTTGACCTGAATATGTTTATGTAAGGAACAGAAAAAAAAATCCCCTAAATCTAAGGGTAACGAACCCTATTGACATGCTGCCCTTTTCTCTTTTCTTTGTGCTTTTTTCTTCTCTATATTTGAGGCCCAAAGTGGTAACAATAGAAAGAAGTCACAAGAGGAACAGTCCAGGTTTTGGGGAGACAAATCCTGGGAGAACAGCCCAAGTACGGTCGGCATGTGCGCATCTATTTCCCACAGACGCTGTGCGTGGCGTCTACACACAGGATAGGCTCTGACATCAGTGTGAAAGGCAAAAATCATGTCCACATTTCAATTACCTCTAAAATTCCCTTAAATCTCCCATACCAGCACTTTGGGAGGCCGAGGCTGGTGGATCACGAGGTCAGGAGATCGAGACCATCCTGGCTAACACAGTGAAACCCCGTCTCTACTAAAAATACAAAAAAATTTAGCCGGGCGTGGTGGCGGGTGCCTGTAAACCCAGCTACTGGGGAGGCTGAGGCAGGAGAATGGCGTGAACCCGAGAGGTGGAGCTTGTCGTGAGCCGATATCGCGCCACTGCACTCCAGGCTGGGCGACAGAGTGAGACTCCGTCTCAAAAAAAAAAAAAAAAAAAAAAAAAATCCCCCATAAAGCGCAGTGAGATGGTTTTGGGTAAACAATTCTGCAGAATGATTCTGTATATGTAAGATTGAGAACCACTGAACTCTAATGGAAAGATATTTTGTATGGTGATATTGGGGCCTTATATAAGAAAACTGTCAATCTCTAGTTGTGCATAGGAGGGAGGCAAAGAATTCTAAACTATCCCTTTTTGCCAGTAGAGACCTCCCCATCTTATAGGAGTCAACTTCTGTAACTTTATTTATTAACTTATTTATTTATTTTAGACATGTTCTTGCTCTGTTGCCCAGGCCGGAATGCAGTGGCATAATCTTGGCTCACTGCAACCTCCACCTCCTGGATTCAAACGATTCTCCTGCCTCCCCCTCTTGAGTAGCTGGGATTACAAGTGTGCGCCACCACACCCGGCTACTTTTTGTATTTTTTTTTTCAGTATCCAAACATCAGGTGATCCGCCTGCCTCAGCCTCCCAAAATGCTGGGATTACAGGCATGAGCCACCGGGCCTGGCCAACTTCTATAACTTTAACACCTGGTAATAGATTTGTTGTTGTGAGGAGTGAGAACTTCAGTCCCCCATAGGTGAACTGCATGCATGATGTCACCACAAAGGGAGGGCTTTGAATGTAGGCTACTAACGAGACTTTTGGAAACTTTACATTTTTTGATGCCGTCAACAGGACTGATTAGAGCTCTGCAGACAGTCAGTATCCTTTTCTTATGTGAAAACCTCTGTCCCCTTCCCCATCAAATAGCAGGCACAGAAACTGGGTGGCCTATCATAGACCACCTCAGCCAGCAAGTGTGGGGGTGGGGGAATAAAACCTACCTACTCTCGCTTCCTTTGTACCTCCACCACTAGGCCATTTCCTGACGGCATTTCTGCTTCTTTAGGAATCTCCCTGAAAACCAGATTCCACAGCAGACTTCCAAGCATTGTAGAAGGTCTGCATAGTTGGACACTTTTGGGTTCCTCCATTTTACTTAAGATGGCGGAGGGGGCCAGGCACTTTGGCTCATGTTTGTAATCCCAGCACTTTGGGAGGCTAAGGTGGGTGGATCCCTTTAGCCCAGGAGTTCGAGACCAGCCTGGGCAGCATGGCAAAACCCTGTCCCTATAAAAAATACAAAAATTAGGGAGGCATGTTATAGTGGTGCATGCCTGTTGTCCCAGCTACTCAGGAAGCTGGGGTGCGATGATCACTTGAGGCCAGGAGGTTGAGGCTGCAGTGAACTATGATCACACCACTGCACTCCAGCCTGGGTGACAGAGCAAGACCCTGTCTCAACAACAACAACAACAACAACAACAACAACAAAACTGACTGGATGGAGTGTGAGTGTGTTTTGTGCAAACCAACAGATATAAAATGTAAACAACGCACTCTAAGTTGCCGGAACAAGGCCAAGCAGCGCCCCACCAGCCAGGGAGGAGAGCTGCTTGTGACATGACCACCTGCCGGCCCCAGAGTCCCCTTGCCACCCCTGAAGGGCTACGAATCCCAGAAGCACAGGTAACACAGCCACGCGACTCCCAGGTTGATGCAGGGACAGATGGTTGAGCGGCTTTCCACCTCTGCAGCTTTAGCTAAATTATGGAGGCTGAGATATGCAGAGAAACATCTTCAGGAAATACACACAGGAGGTGCAATAAAACACTTCTGGGGCTATGTGTGTTCTGTTTATTTAGCAGTTTGTGAGGTGAAAAACACATCAGAGTAAACCACTTTTCCTCCAGACTTTTATCACGCTCAATGTTATGACTATCTTTGGGTTTTAGAACACTCAGCTTGTTTTCCTTGAACACAATTTAAATTATAAGCTGGGAGGGGAGGAGATCTTTGCAGAAAACATTACGCTTATAAATTGAGTGCCGACCACCACTGCTTCAGGATTTGTCATTCCTGTCCCAGAGGTGGCCTGTGTGGACTCCCTCCTGGAAAGGGCTCTGCAGCATCCCTCGGCATGCTGCCTTCCAGACACTGGGGATGGCCGGCAGCAGCAGCTGGAGCAGCTGAGAGCAACAGAGAGGGAGCACCAAACACGCAGGGGGTGGGCGCAGGACTCAGACATCTGAGTTCTGATCTCTCCTGTCTCACCGCCCTGCTGGTCACCTCTTCCCGGTTCATCGCCTGCCCCCACTTCTGATTTCTCAAGAAAGGATGCTACTGATGACTTCTAGAGAGAAAATAAGAAGGCTGATGAGGGGACCGGAATCGCCTGCCTCTGTCTTTGTTTTCTCCCCTTTCCCAAGTGCCTGGGGTGAGGCATGGGGGAGGGACTAGACATGGAAGAGAAGGAGAAAGTTCTAGAAGACTGTCTTCCTAACGGGAACGTGGCTGCCGGTAGAAAAATCAGCAAGCCAGGCAGTCTGGGAGATGGGTGAATGGGTCGTGGTGTCCTCTGCAGAGCACACTCAGAAAGCTGCTCCCAACTGTGACAGAGCCCTGCAGGGACTGCTGGGTGTCGCCTGGCTGGGGACAGGGCCTTCCTGGATGTTGGGCTGGCTCTGCTCATCCCACAGTAAGCGAACATCCACTGCTTCTGGTCGGCAGGAGTTCAGCCCCAAGTCTTGGAGAGAGCTCTGTTTCTTCAGCCTCTGCCACTCCCATGTCATAGGGATTCGATCACAATTATGGGATCCTGAAAGGGAGACTTAGTGCTAGTGTAGCTCAGAGACTGGCACAGTCTTCCCAGTGCCAGGTCAGAGGATGGCGCAGTGGCCATGACGTGCCCTCTGCAGAGAGCCGGTGTCAGGCAACTGCACTTTATGACAGCCTGATCAGTGTGGACGTTGACCCGGCCCATAGCCAACAGCCCACCTGTGGGGAGCTTCCACTGGCAGAAGGCGGTAGCAGCTTGGGGAGACACTCGGGGCTCCACCACATTGGTAGCATGGGTCATGGGAAAGGGAAGAAGGAGCATGGACACCTTGTCACAAAGCTCAGTTCCTCTTGATTAGAACCCAGCCCTCTGGAGGCAGCAGAAACCACCAACAATCTTCTATTTTAAAATCTATTGTTAGAAACTTCAGGCATCCACCAATGTGCTCAAACCTGGCTCTGCACCTGCAAAATTGTTTTGCACAGTCCTGAATAAATGAGGCTAGAGTTCTTTCCCTGGCACGTCCATGGGGCCCTCTCAACCCAGAAATCGTCCAGTGACAACAGTCACTGTCCCCACTGTCATGCCCTGTTTAATGAAGGTCCTTCCAGTGTGGTCTTCCTTTTGCTTCCTTCCTCCTCTGCAAGCTAAAGACCATAAAGACTCAGGGTCTTTCGGAGTTAATTCAAGCACCAAACACCATTGTAGATGAAACAGACAATAATGTGAAAATAAATAACAGTCACCTGTCACCTTGTCTTCCAGAGATAACCACTGCTCATATTTTCAGTGTCTATCCCCCCGAGTCTTTTTCCTGTGCACACACACTTTTGTATTTTGACAGCAAGTAAAGAACCAGGGAGAGGTGGCCTCCCAGGCCATTCAGAAATGCAATTTAAACAACTAGGCATGGTTCGCAAACTTTAGTGCTCATAAGCATCACCTGGAGAGCTTGTAAAACACATTCCCAGACCCGACCCTCAGGAATTCCACATTCCCTGGGTGCTGAGAGAGACAGGCCGGCCCATCCAGCCCAGACTCCTCAGAAAACCACTCGCACCTTCCGGGCTCAGGCACTGTGGCTTCCTGAGGAGGCTTTGACCTTAGATCACACTCCAGCTGGGCCTTCAATGAAGAGTCTGTCAGGATGAGAAGGGAAAGAATGTTCCAGGTAATTGTGCAGGGCAGGGAGCCCTCTGAGGTCGTGGTCACTGGGTCCCTGGTGGTAATTAAATAAGGCATGTAAAATGCCAGGTATAATCTTCACCCATATTATGTGACCAGCAAACAAATCCTGTCAGCTCCCGGATCCACCAACACCCGTTTTATCTTTTGGATTTTTTTCATCGTTAAAAATTCAAGCATTGGCTGAGCACAGTGGCTCATGCCTGTAATCCCAGCACTTTTAGAAGCTGAGGTGTGAGGATTGCTTGACGTCAGGAGTTGGAAAGCAGCCACACCCCTGTCTCTACAATAAATTTTTTAATTAGCCAGGTATGGTGGTATACGCCTGTAGTCTTAGCTGCTGCAGAGACTGAGGTGGGAGCATTGCTTGAGCCCAGAAGTTCAAGGCTGCAGTGGGCTGGGATCACACCAATGCACTCCAGCTTGGGCGACAGAGTGAGACCTTATCAGTAAAAAAAAAAAAAAAAAAAATCAAGCACTCACAAATGTAGCGAGATGAGTACAAGGAATACCCTTACACCCATCACCCAGATTCAACAATTGGCAGGACTCTGCCACCCGACCGCCTTTTACTGGCTTAGGTCTGGTCCAGAGGCCCAGAAACAGGGAGCAGAAGGAAGCCTTCAGGGAGATGCCAGGGGAGAAAGAGGTCGTCCCCAACAACAGTGGCGGGGGAGCCAAAGTGTGGGACAGCAGGAAGTGAGCTGCCAGCGAAGCTTCCTGGGTATTAATGCATGAACCTGATTTTGAAACAAGCAAACTCAGAAATGCTTCTCTGACTCACCCATCCCACGAACGGCCCTGTGGATAACATAAGTTTTAAACGGGTCGTTAAACCTGCCCGTAACCTGGTCAACCTCGCCATGTTCATCTGCATGGACGTGTGGTCTTTGGCACCAATGACGTGATGGCTGCTGGAGCATTTCCATGGGATGTACAGGTCCACAATCTTACTGGCATTGTTCTGTGTAGTGAGGCCACACTAGGCACGAGCAGAGAAAACTGTTTTGTTTTGTTTTGTTCTCTGACTGTTAAAACTTTCTTCACATGTTGGTGGTCTCTAACAGCCTGTTTATATTTAAGGGCCAGTCACTAGAAGGTTTCTTGGAAGCTCTGTGCGTTGTTGTAGACTGTTGTTCTCAACTGGGGTGATTTTGCCCCCAGGAGGCATTTGGCAATATCTGGAGACATTTTTGATTGTCCCAACAATCAAAGTGCTGCTGGCATCCAGTGGTAGAGACCAGGGATGTTGCTCAGCATCCTAGAATGCACAGGACAGTCCCACAACAAAGAAGTAGCCAGCCCCAGATGCATAGTGCCAGACTGAGAAAGCCTGCCCTGGGGTGATCACGTGGGCACCAGTCCTGTCCTTCATATCTGTTTCTTTTGAGTGGATCAGTTTCCATCCTGAGAAACCCATCCCTCACCAAACTTGGAAGGCAGAGTGTGTGGCTCCAGCATTCAGAAGCCAGGTGCACTCAGTAAGCAGACTTTCAGACACACCCGCTGTTTTCAGTGCGGAGTCTCTGGTATGAGGAAAACAGTGCAGAACTTCTCTGGGTCCATTTCCCCTGAAAGCAACCTCCTGACATGTGTGAGGTGGGCAGGTGGAGTGGCCAGGCTGGTTGGGCTTGGGAAGAGGACCTGGCGTGGGAATGTGTGGGGCATTGGAAGGAGGGTCATCTAGCTGCTCCTTATGCAAAATTCAAACAGTCCTGCTCTTAGCTCTGTTTTGTACTCCCACCTTCGCTGACCCTGGGGGCCTTCCATTCCTGAGCCTTCCTGAGATGTTCATTGTGAGTAGATCTGCTTCCTGCAGGCAGTCAGGTGTCCACTCTCCCTGGGTGATGTCCGTGACCTTGTGCTCTGTGTCTTCCAGCATGTTGTGGTTGGGCCCTTCTATGGCCTCCTCTGCACATGCATGTCTGGATTTATCCCTTTGTTGTCATTTTAGTGAGGGTTGGGGAAGGAGTAGAGATAAACATGTGTTGAGTTTATCATCTTAAACCAGAAGTGGTATCCTTGTGTGCTGGAAAACTGTAGATTTCATTAAAAGCTCTGAAGTGTGTCTGGCTTCTGAGGAGGACAAAGTGCTGGTGCTGGAGCTCTTCTGGCTTACCTAGAGGCAGGATTTGAGGGATGGCATCATATAGGAGGAAGAAGAGCTCTGTGACCTTCATGTTGCAGAGCCTCAATGTCCCTGTGTGTGAAATGTGCGCTCTCAGTCCTGCTGGTACAGATGGAATGAGGGGATGGGTGTGGAAGAGCAGAGAGCACTGCCGAGGGCTGTGGTTTATGATTGCCATCCTCATGGCTGCAGTCATTACCATCATCTCCTTTAACTGTATGACCAAGGCAATGTGTCACTTCGGTACTGTGACAGAATGTAGCTCCCTGAGCTCCCTGGTAGACAGGCTTAACCCAGCAAATGGGCATGGGTACCAACTGCTTCGTTTTCTTGCCAGAGGCCTCCAGTTTGGTTGGCAGAGTGGTGACCAGCTGACCAATTGAACGGGGCTCTTCAGTGTCACAGATGATGCAGCAGTGCAGAGGGGCAGTGACTCCAGCTCCGGGTACAGACTCCAGCAAATGGCCAGGGAGCGGGGAAGGCCGACCTGGGGTGACCCTGCAGCCCCTGCCCCATTGTCCACCCCCTACAATGGAAGAAGCAGGCTCACTCCAGTGGCTCAAAACTCCCCGCATTTTGGTATCCCACCTGGTTCTTTTAACTTGAGGGTGAATTAATTTGAAGGATGAGGGATAGGACCCAACCATAACCAAGTAGGGATTCACTGGCTCCTTCTATCAGCGGGTAGGGTGGGGAGTGTTGGTCTCAAGCCTCCATTTAAGGGTGGGGACCAAAGCTCTGTCCCTGCCGCAGGGATTTCAGGTATCAGCCAGCAAGTGTGTGTAGGTGTGTGTGGGGGTGGGTGTCGGGCGGGGTATTTCATTCTCTGATTGGCCAAAGCCAACAGCATCACCTCAAAAAGAACTTTTGACTGGAGAGAATCATGGATGTGGAATATTTGTCTAAATAAATAGTGAGGCCAGGCGCGGTGGCATGAGCCTGTAACCCCAGCACTTTGGGAGGCCGAGGTGGGCGGATCGCTTGAGCTCAGGAGTTCGAGACCAGACTGGGCAACATGGTGAAACCCCATCTCTACAAAAAGTACAAAAATTAACTGGGTGTGGAGACTATTATTGTGAGTGAAGTAACTCAGGAATAGAAAACCAAACATTGTATGTTCTCATTCATATGTCAGAGCTAAGCTATGAGGATGCAAAAGCAAAAGAATGACACAGTGGGCCGGGCATGGTGGCTCATGCCTGTAATCCCAGCACTTTGGGAGGCCGAGGAGGGTGGATCACCTGCGGTCAGGCGTTTGAGACCAGCCTCGCCAACATGGTAAAAACCCATCTCTACTAAAATACAAAAATTAGCTGGGTGTGGTGGCTGGCGCCTGTAATCCTAGCTTCTCAGGAGGCTGAGGCACGAGAATCGCTTGAACCTGGGAGGCGGAGGTTGTTGTGAGCTGAGATTGCACCACTGCATTCCAGCCTGGGCAACAGAGTGAGACTTTGTCTCAAAAAAAAAAAAAAAAAAAAAAAAAAAGGCAGAGTGGACTTTGGGGACTCAGAGGGAAAAGGAGGGAAGGGGATAAGGGATAAAAGACCACAAATTGGGTACAGTGTGTGCTTCTCGGGTGATGGGTGCACCAAAATCTCAGAAATCACCACCAAAGAACTTACACATGGAACCAAACACCACCTGCTCCCCAATAACATATAGAAATAAAAAAAATTTTTTTTAATTAAAAAAAAAAAGAAATGCTTCTCAAGAACATTAGATTCAGCCATAATCCCAACTTCTTTATGCTGCTATTTCTAAATACTCCCCATCAATATCAAGTCTAGCTCTCAACAAAGTGAAAAAAGCCCTCCGTGATCCTCAGTCCTACTGCCTCCCTGGGAGCTCAGCAGGTAGCCTCCGGGCTCAGGCAGAACATGGTGATTTGGCATCTCCAGGCACGGGATCCCCGCAGGGTCGAGTCCCTGCACTCCTGGGTCTTTCCTGCTTCCTTGGCCTCAGGATCCCCAGCAAGGATTGCCGTCGTGACCTGATTTTGCCAGTTCCCGGCCCAAGTGATTGCAAGGTTTTGCAACGAATGAAATATGTTGTCTGATCTCTCACTGGGACCATGAAGGGGGTGAAGTGAGAAGTGGACAAATGGAGAGGGATTAGTCTGATTTATCAAAACCAGGAAGGGAGGATGCTATGGATGACAGGTGCATTCCCGGTTTCTCCGTGTCCTGGAACAGTGAGGCAGCTGATACTGCGGTGGCCTGGAGCCTGGGGCCTGGGGTCTTAGCAAGGTTGTCAGGGTGTGGCTGTGGACAAATCACTTAACTTTCCATCTATGAGAGGGACATACTAATCCTGCCTAGCTGGTCAGATAAGCTGAATCCACACTTTTATCAAAAGGACTGAGAAGCAGACACCTACCCATTTAAGGGGCTATTTCCCCCACTCAGCCCTTCCCCACCAGCAAAACGGAAGTGTGAATTCAGGGGTACTCTCTATTCTGAGGTCTCGAGATCAGAATTTGGCGGGGGGGTCAAAAATTTATACGATTTGTGGGGTCTCTTTAAGAGAAAGAACACAAAAGTTACTAAAGTTAATTGTTGCAAAAATGAGAAGAGGAAAATCTCATCACAATGCCTCTCATAATGGGGATCATAGGATTTGATAGATGACAACCACATGTCCTCCAGTGAGTCATTTCTTTTTTATTGTTTTAAATTTAATTTCTTTATTATTATTTTTTGAGACAGGGTCTTGCTCTGTCACTCAGGCTGGAGTGCAGTGGCACCATCACTGCACCTTGAACTTTTGGGTCAAGCGATCCTCCCACCTCAGACTTCCGAGTAGCAGGACTGCAGGAGGGCACCACCATGCCCAGATAGTGTGTGTTGTGTGTGGTGTGTATGTTGTGTGTGGTGTGAGTGTGGTGTGCATGTGTTGTGTGTATGGTATGTGATGTGCGTGTGGTGTGCGGTATGTGGTGTGTGGTGTGTGTGGCATGCATGTGTCGTGTGTGTGTGTGGTGTGCATGTGTGTTGTGTGTGTTGCGTGTGATGTATTGTTTGATGGTTTCTTTTGTAGAGACAGGGTCTTATGTTGCCCAGGCTGATCTTGAACTTGTGATCCCATGTGATCCTCCTGTACAATTTTAAATTACAAATTTTAAAAAGCGGACAAATAACACAAATAGAAAATGAACATGGTTATGAATCAACTCTCCAGCACACCTCTATGAAACTTTTTTTTTTACTTGCATGCATTTTGCCTTTGTAATGTTGTTTTCTTCTGTAGAGAGGATAGAAAGGGCCAGCCCCCTATCCCCTGTATGCTCCCATCCTCTGAGTCCTGGAGAATTTGGTTCCAGAATGAACCAAAGCAAGATGCAAAGAGGAAGCTCCTCTCCGAAACGGGAGAAAAGAGGAGGCATCATTTTCCCCATGTCTCATGGTTTCACCCTTAACTGTGTCTGCATTTTAGAGGTTGACATATTTCCATTTTCCAGCTGTGCTTTCTCTCCTATGTCCTATAGACTCCTGCCCAACACCTCCTCATTCACAAAACTGTGTTTGTGTGTGTTCTGGGTGTGTGGAATGGTGTGTGTGTGTTGTGTGTTGTGTGTGATGTGTGTGGTGTATATGTGGTGTGCATGTATTGTGTGTTATGTGTAGTGTATGTGTGTTGTGTTTGTGTGGTGTGTGTGTTGTGTGTGGTGTATGTCGTGTGTGTGTGTGTATGTGTGTGTGCAGTCTTTCTCCTGGAGAAGGGCGCCCTGCTGCACAGTCTGAGGCGTCTGTCTCGATTCTGTCAATCAGAAACAGTTTATGGAGAAGCTGAGTGGGCCTCTTCTCTTCCTAGAGTGTAAATAGGATGAAGTCTTTCTCTCCAGTCCATCCTCTTTATAATACTTTTGAAGAACAGTCCTGGTTAAAGCACCCTTTTCAAAAGTTTCCAAATGGCCTCCCATGGCCTTCCAAATCCCTGGACCCTGGGCAGCATTCAGGGCCTCCGCAGATGGCCTCACCTGCCTGATCTTTCACTGCTTCCTTCTTAAGCTCTGGGCTCCAGCAAAACCCGGAACCTGCCGTGGGCTCAGCACTCCCTCTACCGGCATGCCCTCCTTTTCCACATCCACCTGCTGAGAGCCATCTGTCAGGGTTCAGCTCAAATGCCACCTGCTCCAGGGAGCCTTACCTGATATGCAGAGAGAAGTGAACCTCTTCCGCTCAGACACCTCAGTGGTGTTTACCTCCCCAATGGCCCTTCTCCCATCCAGCCCTGTGTAACAGTATTCTGTGTGCATGATCCTTGCTCCCTGACTGCAGGGATTGTTGTCTACCTCATTTACACATCCTGCACAAGTGTTTGTTGAGCGAATGAGTCTCTCTCTCTTTTTTTTTTTTTGAGACAAAGTCTGGCTCTACTACCCAAGCTGGAGTGTAGTGGTGCGATCTTGACTCACTGCAACCTCTGCCTCCTGGGCTCAAGCCATCCTCCCACCTCAGCCTCCAGAGTAGCTGGGACTGTAGGCACGCCCTACTGTGCTTGGCAAATTTTTGTATTTTTTGTAGAGATGGGGTTTTGCCACCTTGCCCAGGCTGGTCTCAAGCTTGTGAGCTCAAGTGATCTGCCTGCCTTGGCCTCCCAAAGTGCTGGGATTACAGGTGTGAGCCACCTTGCCTGGCCTGATTCTCCTTTTTTGATAGAGGAAAACATTGGCCCTCAGAGAGGTTAAGTGATTTACCTGAAGTCACTCAGATGGTGAGCAGCAGAGTCAGATCTGGAGCCCAGGCCTGAGAACTCAGGCCAGCATCACCCTCCACACCCACATACGGTGTCCCTGGATCAGTGGTACTGACTCTTGATTCAGAGTCCGAGGGGCCTGTGCGAGCATGGCAGAGCCTCCGCACACTCCTCATCCCCCACCCCAGGAAATGTGCTAGTTCATGACCCTTGGGGAAAGAAGGGCTTGCCGATGGCCCCTGATCAGTTCACCCGGGTCTGCATCAGCTTAAGGTCAGCAGGGAGGTGAGGCAGGATAAAGAGCTAGGCAGAGATTTTGATCCCTTTTTCAGATATCTATTGTCACTGTCTCCCATCACAGTGGGTTATGGAGAGGTGTCTGATCGGATGTTATTTTGGATTTGTGGCTGAGTGTATGTAAACACTTGTAAGTATTTTTAACCCATTATTATAAAACATTTCACAAAAGTAGAGCAAACGATACAACAACCCCCCCATGTACTATCATCCAGCTATGACAGGTGTCAGCTGATGGGCAGTTTCCACATTCTGGATTCTGCTGATTGCAGCCCTGGGTGTCCTTTAACATTTTGTCCCTAGTCTTATATTTCCTGTAAACTAGTAGTTAGATCTAGAAGCTGGATTGGGTTTGATTTTTTTTTTCTTGTCAAGAATACTTACTTTACAGGTGGTGGTGTTATTTCCATCAGGAGCACACAATGTTATGGACACTTTAATGTTTAACATAGTTAAAAGTAGATCAGTGTTGTCACACACGTCTGAACAATGTGAAAGCCGACTCACCCAATAGACACTGGAAATGAAAATGGCTTAGTCCGGGGTGGGGTCTTAATGGAAGTTAGTTGATGAATTAGATAACACAGGAATCACACTGCTCAGGATTGGCCTCCTGGAGTAGGAAGACTCCAGAACTGGGAACTTGTCTTACCTTAGCACTGCTACCTGCTCACCCAGGACAGGATGTCAATATTTGGTAATATCCTGGGATAGCTTTGAGCAACATGTGATGGGTGTGTCACAGGAATCGGGGCCTGTTTTCAAGGAAACATCCATAGCTCCTTTTCTACAAGAAGACTCTGGAAAGTGTTGCAAGGCCTCTGGCTTCAATATTAGATAGAAATCATGCCTCTAAACATCACCCTCAGTTGAGAGGAAGACAGGACAATGGTGTGAGAATGGCTATGAACTGGACTCTATTGGTGGATGGGAAGACATGTGCAGGGGCCAGCCTTGGGAGAGTTGCTCATGATGCTTTTTTTTGTGGGGGGACAGGGTCTTGCTCTGTCAGGCTGGAGTACAGTGGCATGACCTTAGCTCACTGCAACCTCTGCTCCCCAGACTCAAGCAATTCTCCCACCTCGGCTTCCTGAGTAGTTGGGACTACAGGCATGTGCCAACCGCTCCCAGCTAATTTTTTGTATATATATATTTTTGTAGCAATGGGGTTTAGCCACGTTGCCAAGGCTGGTCTTGAACTCCTAGACTCAAGCAATTCGCCCTCCTTGGCCTCCCAAAGTGCTAGGATCACAGGTGTGAGCCACTGTGCCCAGCCTTAACATGGCGCCATCTTGATCACTGACAACCACATATCCTCAAGTGAATCATTTATTTTTAATTTTTTTACATTTATTTTATTTTATTTTTTGAGACAGGGTTTTTGTTCTGTCACTCAGGCAGGAGTACAGTGGAGTGATCATGGCTCATTGCAGCCTTGACTTTTTGGGCTCAAGTGATCCTCCCACCTCAGCCTCCTGAGTAACTGGGACCACAGGCATGTGCCACCACTCTTGGCTAATGTTTTGTTCATTTGTTTCTTTTGTAGAGACGAGGTCTACCTATGTTGCTCAGGCTGGTCTGAGAGATCTTCCTGCCTTGGCCTCCCAAAGTGCTGGGATTACAAGCATGAGCCACCGAGCCCTGTCCAGTCATTTATTCCTTCAATTATCTCTGCAAGTTGAGGGGACAGACCTCTTTAATCCTTAGCTGACATTATGATTTCCTAGAACACAGAGAAACTTTGGAGACCTTTCACCTTAAAGATTTTTCCATTGTTATGTTTTCCTCTAGGTTAGCTTTGCCTTCCCGGTGAGGGAATTATTTTTCACTCTGTGCAAAGCACCCCAACTAGACACATAGCGGGGCCTTAGCAAACCTCCTTAACTTAAACCGAGGCAGGAGTTCTGCACTGGAAGTTGTTTGGGAATTTCAGAAGAAAGTTGCTGGAGAATTCCACTGCAAGATACAAAAGCACTAGAAAAATCAGAAAGCAGAAAGTCTCGCTGAACATAATATTCTAGTTTCACTCAAACAGAGTGGCTCCCATGTCTCAGGACATGCCAGACAATAAAGATAAGCATGAAGCCCTGTCTTCTTGAAAGGGCTTATCAGCCTCGTGTTTGAGGAAATTCAGCCTCCTGGGAAGATGCCCTCGTTGGCTATTCCCAGTGGATTTTACCAGGGCCCTGAGGCCCTGCGTTTGTGATGTCAGTTCCCCAGTTCTCAGGAAGGAGGTGAGAGGGGCTGAGGCTGTTTGGTCGTTGAAAAGAGAGGGGCAGGAAGTGTTTGCCCAGGAATCGGCGCCAGCAGGGCCCCTCCCCAGGCCCTCTGCACTTGAGAGAGTTCAGGGAAACTTTCTCATTATCGCTCTGACCTCCAGGACCCCTGGATGCCAGTTAATCATTACCCGGGCAGGGCTGTATTCCTGGGCTCTCTGGCCTGTTTTTGTGGCCGTGGGTTTATGACTGGCCTGGCCACGGGGCCTTGGCTGGTGTTTGGATTGTGCACTGATAGGCTCCGCTTGGCTCTGACTCAGCCCTCACTGGATGCAGGAGTCAGACCCCTCTTGGGGAGCTGGGTCGTCTGCGTTGTTTGCACCCCGTTCCTCATGCTGCTGGGAGGCTCCGACACTGAGTGTCCCAAGTCTCCACCAGGAGAAAGCCCCAAAGCGACACTGGGCACAAGAGCCCCAGAGCCACAGCAGAAAACCTCAGAGATGGGAGGGTACCGAGGCCTGGATGAGTCACGGCTGCAGTCCTTGGGGACTCCTGGTCCCAGTCCTGGCAGCTGGGGCTTAGGGATGCATCCTGCTCTGAAGTTCTCCCTTTGCCATGTGTTCTCCCCCTTTCTCCCACTATGTGTCTGCTCGGGAGCGGAGATAAGCCCGAGCTGTTCGCTGCATCTGTTGGAGAAGCAAGATGGCTGTCCCCAGCAGCATCACCTAGCTTTCTTGCTAACCATGGGAAAGTCCTCAGTAATTAAAGTTGGAGAAGGGTCCTGGTGATCCTTGATGACACCCCCTCAACTTCCCAGGTTTCACGGGAAAGCCCTGGCCCCCACAAAGTCCCTGCGTCCTGAATGTGCTTTGTCCCCTTGCTGTTCCAGCCCTCTGTGCTGTGTCTCACATCACGCCCGTTCCCACAGGGACCCTGCCTGTCCCACGCCACTGTTGCTTTCCCTCCTCCTCACTAACTGACCACCTCCTAGACCCTGCCCTTGTGACCATTCTCCTGATCTAGACTGGCCTTCCCTTCCGCAAAGCTGGGTGACAAAGGAGTGTTGCGTGCTTCGGGCCCCGCTGCAGGGATCCCCTCTCTCCTCTCTCCTGCACCCTCAGCACACATGCCCACGGGCTCAGAGCTGGGGGCAGCCCTGCGGTGGCTACATTTATTTGGATCTGAGTTGATTCCGCATTCTCCCTGAAGTTTGGCCCCCTTGGCTGGGGCTACATCTCCGTGGTCCTTTTTATCACTGCAGGTGGCACAGGGCTCTTTTCAAAATACGGGGATGACCCCAAGCTCGAAGCAATCCCTCATCACATCTGTGTTGCTGGGAAAACCAGGTCAGGATTGGTGTCAGCGTTTGTGGAGTAGAAAAGGAGAAAGGTGATTCTCCTCCATTTCCTTCCCTTCCTGTGCGCAGTGAGGGAGACACAGAGGCCCCACCATGCTCTGGAGTCCACGTCGTGGCTCTTCTGTGAGCCTCTCACTCTGCAGTGGAGAGCAAGCTCTCCTTGATACAAACCCCAGCTGCGGAGCTCAGGGTCCCAGGCAGGAGACAGGAACAGAGCTGGGACCCGGGAGTCTCCTGCACATGTCCTCCCCTCCTCCTTCCCCCTATCCCACTGCCCTTGAGCCTCACCCAGCGCCAGCCCGGCTGCCTTCTCATGGCCACATGTGCAGATCTAGTGAAGAGAGGAGCAAACAGAAGCCATCTGGAAGTGCTCAGGGAGAACCCGCCCAGAGAGCCTGGAGACAGGACAGGATGCTGGTGCGTTGCTTCCGAGTTGGCTTTGTGGACTTGGATTTGGCTGGGGCTCTGCTGGCTTCCTTAAGGAGACAGGAGAAAGGGTGGCTGGGGTCAAGTGCAGAAAAGGCCAGCTGCAGGACCCCAGACATTAGCCCCCAGCTAAAGGCCATGGAGCTGACGTCAGACAGGCACTTCCAGGGCCTTGGTTACCACTGCTGTAAGCTAAGGAGAGGGTGGTGGTGAGGAGGGTAGCACCCTTGTCTAGGGGTAGGTGAGAAGTTTAGACATAGACTAGACAGAAGACCTCTTCCTTCTACTACCCTCGAATTCTCGTGGAAGGGAGCTCTCTGGTTTGCACAGAGCAGAGAATGCCACTGAGAGATATTTACCTGGCGCTAGTGTGTCCACACATCTGAAGCCACGTACTACACCCTACTACACCCTTCTTTCGGGGCTTTATTTCTGAGCTTGGTGAGACAAGGAGAATTTGTCATTACAAACGAAGCCTGCTTCCTCTCTTTTATTACATAGTTGATAGCATCAGTTTCCCCTGTGATTTCTTTTATTACTCTCCATTTTTATTAATCTTGGGGCTGCTGGTGATAACAATCTCATAAAAAAATAACTGGGTGAGCTATTGCTGGGAGGCCCACTTGGATGAGTTAGATGTCTTTTTTCTCCCTAGAGTAAAGGGGTGTAGGGCACAAGTGCAGGCTCATTAGTACCTCAGCATCGCCTGGGATATTTACGAGGGTGGTCCGTATCCTGCGGTAGACATGCGCAGTGCTTCACAGCAGCATGAGTCCAGTTAGAGCGCCTGTGACCCATTAACTTGACGAAGGGCTCAGGTGCAGATGGAACTGTCAGGGGAGATGCATCTGTGGAGGTGCTGAGTCCTGTGTTCCAGAGAGAATCCGGGCAAATTCAGCCAAGGAGCGGATGGGGCCAATTTGACTTAACAATCACACTCGAGGCAGCCCAGAAAGGGGGAACAGCAGCTCCCTGGGAGATTAGGTGTTCTACTAAGAAGCCCTCAACTTCCCTCATATCCACCTTAACCTTTCACTTTGCTTTTCTAGATCAGAATGGGCTTTTCTTGGGCTTCCCTGCCTTCCCAGCGACCGTGCTGCGTGGACTTTCAGGAGGAAAGAAGAGCTCCAGGGCCTCCCCGACGCCAGGAGCGGGGCGGTCTTTCCCACCAGTGGGAGCAGATTGGAACCTTCCCAGGTCCAGTAGCAGCTGCTGAGAACAGAGGGAGCAGCTGGCCTGGCAGGGGGCCACACTTAGCTTTGGCTTTCTCAGCGTTTACATCCACCGCCCACGCAGGGGATGCAGGTTTAAATTGGATGTGAATAGGGAGTATTTAATTTGGACTCGTGAATACGGAGTATATTTAAGTGGCCTTAACCACTTTGACTTTGCTTGCAGTCAGCTGTCACTGGGCATCAGTCTGAAGCCTCCATGGATTGCTCTGCCACCTGATCACTTTTCTTGATACTGAAAGTGGCCTGGCAGGGATTCCATCTGTCAATGTTTCTTTTTCTCTTTCTTCTGCCACCCATTTCTTCTGACCTTCAGTCAACTCCAGATATTCATGGGGATATTAATTTCTTGGGCTTTGCTGCCTTTCCCAGTGGCTGCAAGGCCCATTCTCATCTAGAAAAGCAAAGTGAAAGGTTAAAGTGGGGTGTGAGGAAAGTTGGGGGCTTCTCAGTAGAACACCTAACCTTCCAGGGACTGCTGCTTCCCCTTTTCTGGGCTACTTTGAGTGCGTGATATTAACATCACCATGAATATTTGGATTTAGCTGAGGGTGAGACACATCTCTGGGTGTGTGTATCTCTGTGTGTGTGTGTGTGTGTGTGTGTGTGTGTGTGTGTGAGAGAGATGGGGTCTTGCCATGCTGCCCTGGTTGGAGTGCAGTGGCCATTCACAGACACCATTATAGCACACTGCAGCCTCAAACTCCTGTTGTCAAGCCATCCTCCCGCCTCAGCCTCCCGAATAGCTGGCACTATAGGAGCATGCCGCCTTGCCCAGCCATCATGGCAATATTTTTAAAAAGAGGCACCCTTCCTTGTGGACACTGGCTCATTTTTCATTTAACACAGAATGAGGAGGGCCTTTATGGAACTTTTCATGAAGTGAGGAAGTCTTGAACCATGACACAACTTGATAGGTGCACATCACCTGGTTTCACATTTCCTGGTCTGAGGCTCAGAGGTTGGGCTGGGCCAGAAGAGCCGGGCAACACACGTGGAATGGGGAAGTCACTCTGCTTATTACATGGAAAGGTGAGGGAGCTTCCAGAGATGGAGAGACGGAGGCTCAGGTGAACCCTCCCCAGCCTCCAGCAGCACCCTTTGGGGTGCAGTCATGCTGCAGAGGGGCTGGCAGTGGTGCTGCTTGTCCTCATCCACTTGCTGAGTGCCTCCCCATCTGGCACTTCCTGCTCGCAGACAGGGTCCTTGGGGAATGAGTGACTCAGCTCAGCCCAGCAACACCAGTGCCTGCACCCTTCTCCCGTCAGTCCTGCCCGCATTGAACACTCTCCTCAACCCTGCATTCCACCTGTCCCCAGACACACGTCATCTCTGCCAGCCACATTTACCACCCACTTGCTGGGAGCTGTGATATTTTTAAGAGTCATTGGCCTGCATTTTAGTAGCATGTTATCTCTTTCTCTCCCTGCATTTGTATCTATTTTCATTAAGTGAAAGTCGATACTATACAAACATTCCCTTTTCATATTCATGGCTTGCCTAACTCAGAGAGAAAAAGAACCTTGCAGACCCCATCGTGTCCAGCCTGTCCCAGATCCCGATGTGCATATAACAGAAATGTGTGCATTGCAATTTGCCAATTCCACATGTATGGCCTGGCTTTTCCTGCCCAGACCAATCTAAGCCATCAGACCAGGGAAGGCGAAACCAGCTGATTCCCAATGTGACGTGTGCATACCAAGCTGTGTTACGGTTCAAGATTTCCCCGCCCCATGAGAAGTTCCAGAAGGCCATTCACACTTTGTATTAAACGAAAACTGAGCACATACTAAAAGTACATGCATGTGTATTTTACTCATTGTAAACAAAATACGCATCCATTAATAGTAGAGTGGGCAGTCCAGGCACATTAGCTTATGCCTGTAATCCCAGCACTTTGGGAGGCTTAGGCAGTAAGATTACTTGAGCCCAGGGGTTTGAGACCTCACCTCCCTGAGCAACATAACAAGACCTTGTCTCTACAAAAAATGAAAAAAAAAATTAGCCGAGTGTGGTGGGGTGCACCTGTAGACTCAGTTACTCTGGGGGCTGAGGTGGGCTTGAGCACAGGAGTTAGAAAGAGTGGCAGTGAGCTGTGATTATGCCACTGCACTCCAGCCTGGGCAACAGAGTGAGACCCTCTCTCTCTCTCAAAAAAAAAAAAAAAAAAGTAAAATGGGCATATAAAATGTGCTGCAGTCACACAATGGAATACCACTCAGCAATGAGAGTGAATGAATGAGCTACAATCATGAGCAGCCACACGGATGAGCCCCTCCTGCATCACACTGAATGAGAGCAACAGACACAACAGAGAACTTCGGTACGACTCTCTTTACATGAAATCCCCAAACAGGCAACACTTAACTGTGGTTTTTGGAGTCAGGATGGTGTTACCTGGGTTGGGTAGAAAGGGACTTCTGGGGTATTGGCCCTGCTCTGTTTTTAAATCTATAGGTACAGGTTACATGGGCAGGTTCACTTGGTGGGAATTTATCAAACCATACACTTGTGATCTTTGTACTTTTCTGTATGTATATTTCAATAAAAGGTTTTCTGGAAAAAACCTGCCCCCACCCCCTCCAGCCACTAAGTTCACTCTGGATTTGATGCCGTTTAGAAACCTATTTCAACCAATTACCTGTTGTCTGAATGAGCTATTCTTCAACTGTTCCCAAGGACTGCTCTCTGGCACACGCACAGCCTCCGAGCACTTCCAGGCCTGTGTCTGTATGGTTGATAACCTCTTCTTACCTAATTCTACTCCAAAGCCCTTTGCAGTACTTACTGGTGCGATTAGTAAGAAAGGCAATAACATTCTCTCCTTCCTATATTGTTTGGAGCTGAGGGGAAGAAATGAGACAGCGAGATGCTCATCCTGATGGTGTGTCAGGGTCTTTCATGCCAAGGTGTCATCCCAGGCATCCTGAGCCTGATGGGTCTCTCTGAAGGTGGGGAAACTGAGGCCTAGGAAGGTCATGGCCTTCCCCAAGGCTCTCAGGAAGCACAACCCTATGTCACTGGCCATCAAACCACATTTGTAAAGTGGGGGCTTTTCCAGGAGACAGGATTTTCCAAAATGTGACCACTGACCCCATGACTTTCAGGGGTCTGGGTTTGACCTTGACCACACAACCTCTAAGGAAGATGAGAAGAAAACAGAGCACAGGTCTCAACCAAAGAAGCCAAGAGAACCTCTCCCTGTAAGATATCCACACCCCCCACCCAGGCTCTTTCTCGCCCATTAGCCACACTCTAAGTTGTTGGTGGTGCCAGGAGGAGCCCTCAGCACCTGTTCACCCAGGGTGGTGACAGAGCCTCAACCCTGCGGGACAGCTACACTCAGTGTCCAGACATCTGCCTGCAGTTCTCCCTGGGGCTCCTCATTCTGTATATACCTCATCTGGAAGAAAACAGACTCTAAAAGGCTGCTTTCCCATAAAAACATGAGCCTTTCACTGGCCCTGTGTCCAGTGTGCACTAGTGAGTGGTTTCTCTTCCCCTTGGGAAGTGGATTTAAGATTGTAGGAGGAGGTGCTCCCACTCTCAGACGTCACCCCTTAACCTTCAAGCTGCACTTTCTTTTCTGCAACATGGAGCCATCGTGCCTGATTCTGATGCCCCGCCATCCTCCAGGGTCAGAGTCATGCGTGGAGCCACACCCATCTCTGTGGCCGTCCCCACCCTCCGCTGGAGGACTGAGGCCTGGAGACACCGGCCCTGACGGGAAGGCCGAGGGTGGGGCAGCAGCCTGCAGGGCCTCTCCTGGATTTCAGCTCCCCTGACCTGCTGTGGGCAGGGTCTGTGCCCAAGCAAAGGATAAAGTGGCCTCATCAGGAGTGGGAAGCAAGGGCCTGGGGTACAGCCAGGTCTGTGCACCTGTCCAAGAGTGGCACTCACTGGTTATGCATTAACAGGGGACTGGCCACGTGGCAGGCCCAGGGCTGCAAGCGAACACCCAACAGGCATGTTTATCACCGGCAGCTTTCTGATAAATTACCTCTCCTGTCAAAAATGTGCCCTCTCCCCTTTTCATGTCAGGCTTGTCACAAAGCTGAAATGACAGGTGAGCAAACAGCAGGGGCGCTGAGCTTGGAAACTCCCTGCTCTTCAGCAGGTCCACACAACTCCCCTTGGCCTGACCCGAGCCACAGTATTGCCTAGGATCACTCTGTAGATAGCAGGAACCAACAGAGGGTGGGAGGGTGGCCCCAAGAGGCTCCGTGGGCGTGGGAAGGTGCACAGAGGCAGCATGGGAGGGGAGCACACTTCGTCTGCCTTGGCCTCTGAGAGGGGCTTCTGAATTTCTTGCCTAAGATGTCAAGACACAAAAAATTAAAAAACAAACAATGAAAAATAGCCCAAGCAAGGTGGCTCCTGCCTGTAATCCCAACACTTTGGGAGGCTGAGGTGGGAAGGTCGGGTGAGGCCAGGAGTTCAAGACCAGCCTGGGTAATATAGCAAGATCTTGTCTCTACAAAAAAATTTTAAAAATATAAAATAAATGAGTAAATAAATAAATACAATGTCAAGAAGCAACTGGGGGTCAAGGAAGAGTGGCCTCTCTGCAGGCCCCAGTGGGCACTGGCGGGTAGCAAAGGTATTTGGAGGGTCTAAACCTCCACAGCCACTGGGGTATTTGCCGGGGTCATTGGCTACAGAGGGGCAGCCGAGCCCTGAGGCCGCCACATCAGGACAGGCACCTGGGGATCTGAGCACCTTCTTAGTCCACCACAGCTTTCAGGATTCTGGGTAGTGAGATAACGGAAGGAGACATCAAGTCCTAAAATAAAACCCCAGCATCCATGGCCCGCCCGTTCTCAGGCCGTGTCTATGCATGTAAAGTGGAGATTGATACCCATTGCTATTGTTGTATCTCCCCTCCATCCATCCCTTCTACCCATCTCTCCATTCCTCTGTCTCCCTCCCTCGTTCCCTGGCTTCCTTCTCTTCTCCCTTCCTCAAGTGTCTTTTAAGCATGAACTGTGTGCAAGGCTCAGCAGGAGCAGCTGGGGATACAGAGGGAAATGAGAATGGTGCCTGCTCTGGGCAACTTCCAGCTGAGTAGGGAGGAAGCAGACATGCAGGCCCACCCTCATAGGAATTGAGGAAGGCGCCCTTCCAGGCAGGCTGCCCATGGGCAAGGGGCTGGGGGCACAGGTGGCATCTTTGCACCAACTAGGAAAGGGCGCCCTTCCCTGGGGTAGAAGCAGCCCTGCGCCAGGATGCTCAGCTCGGCAAGCAGGTGGCTGTGAGGGAAAACGGGGTAGCTTTGAGGTCTGGGGAGAGAGCCTGCTGCCAATCTTCCCCAGAGGACAGACAGTGGAGGCCACTGTGTTTAAAGAGGCCTGGACACAACATCCAAACATTTTTCTTAAAAGTTGTGATAAAATACACATAATGTAAAACTTACAACCTTAACCCTTTTAAGCGTGCAGCTCGGTGGCATTAGGCACATTCACATCGTTGTGCAGCCATCACCGCCATCATCTCCAGAGCTCTATCTTGCACCACTGGAACTCTGCTCCCATTAAACAATGACTTCCCATCCCTCTCCCTTCCAGGCCCTGGCAAACAGCAGTCTACTTTCAGTGTGGGTAAATTTGACTAGTCTAGGGTCCCTATATAAACGAAATCATACAATATTTGTCTTTTTGTGGCTGGCTTATTTCACTTAGCATAATGTCCTCAGATTTCATCCATGTAGTAGCATCTGCCAGGATTTCCTTCCTTTTTAAGAAACGACATCCCACCGTGTGCATGTCCCGCATTCTGTTGATTCATTCATCCTTTGATGGGCACTTGGGTTACTTCTCCTGCTCTGCTATTGGAAATAATGCTGCTGAAAACATGGGTGTGCAAATGGCCAATGTCAGCTTTTGGAAGCCCACAAGGCATGCCTGAGTATGGACTCCCACACTGGT
The DNA here is from genome assembly GCF_000001405.40 of Homo sapiens. Classification (NCBI taxonomy): domain Eukaryota; kingdom Metazoa; phylum Chordata; class Mammalia; order Primates; family Hominidae; genus Homo; species Homo sapiens. Next base: position 26,960,239 of record NC_000013.11, on the reverse strand, counting down.
GCGGAAGGAAGGCAGGGATGCCATGCTGGGGCTAGGTGGTGAGCTGGGGACAGAAATGTCTGGGTGAGGATGGGACACAGAAGAGGAGTGATGTGACCTGGCCTCTGGAGGCTTATGCTGGCCAGCCCTGCCCTGACCCAGCTCATCTGCAAAGAGGATCCAGCCATAATCTCATGGCAATTTTGCTGGCCTTGGCTTTGGCCTGGGGTTCAGTCTGGGGTCTTGTTACTCTTAACTAAGGTGTCCTTGGTTCCAGTTTACACCTGCTGTAACAGCACCTGCTCTCCCTCTCACCACCATCCCTGCCTTTTGGTCTCCCCCACCCAGCCTGTCCTCCGAGCGTCCCATTAGGTAAGGTCAGAGTGGAGTCAACAGTCAGAGCCTCAGAGATCAGGCTCAGGGTTCCATCCTCGACCAGCCGTGCTCTGAAACCCTGGACACTGCACATCTTGGCAGCCTTGCCCATGAGATGGGGATGATAACCACACCCACTTAATGTGTATTTTGTGATCGTTGAATGTGAAAGACCACAGGCAAGAAAGTTGCTGTGTGTAAGAGATCTAGGCTGAAAATGTAAGCGTGGATGAGAAGAAGCAGGAAACGCCAAACTTCAGGGTGAAAACCAGGCTTCACACAGAATAGTTAGTGAACATGCAAAGCACATGAAAATCACCAGCTATTTATTCAGAGCAGTAATAAGCAAAAGTGCTGGTGCCACCCCATGACAATAATGACGATGGCTAACAACTATGGAATCCTCTAAATGTCACACGTACATCATGACCGTCAATTTACAAATGAGAGAACTGGAGTGCAGAATTGAATGTTGAAGGTCGTAAGTGCAAGAGCTGGGGGTAGAATCCAGGCAGTTGATAGAGGCTTGTGCTTTGGAACTCCATGCTTCGTGGCCTCTTGACTTGTGGAGAATGCTGGGGGCCTGCCCTGGGTAACAGGAACCTGTGTGCCTGTGCTACAGGGACTGCTGTCCCCAGAACTTCTCATCCTGTCTCCCTTACAGCCCTTTCTGAGAGACCAGCACTCCCCTCTCCTTGGGGTTGCAGCTCACAGCACTGGAGTTCTCTGGCCCAGAGATAGTGGTGGACAGGAAATGGCCCAACAGAGTGGGTTTTCTGAAAGACTAATGCTTCCTTGGGCTGGATTCCCCATGAAAATAGACTCTAGTCCCTGGTCTCAGAATCACTTGGGTACACTTCAGATATAAACCTAAATAACATGGCCTATTAATTAAACGGGTCCTACATCTTATAGGTTGAGTCCATGCCTGTCCCCTACCTTGGAGGCTTTTCGCCAAACCACTGTTGACTGATGCTGATGACCAGCACTTTGGGACATCTTCAACACCCCCAGCTGCTTGTCCTTGGTCCCCAGTGACAGTTGAGCCTCATGTCTGCTGTTTCTACTTGCCCAGGTGCATGCATCCTCAGCCCCAGTGACCTCAACGCTGAGGCCCACTGAATCTCACCTGCCCATGGAGCCCTCCCTACCTGCCCACCTGCCCACCTGCGCATGGAGCCCATCTACCTGTGGAGCCCAACCCACTTAGCCATGTAGCTTACCTGCCCATGGAGCCCACATACCCATGGAGCCTGCCCCATCTGTCCATGGAGCACCCCCCAACCTGCTCATGGAGCCCACCCCCTGCCCATGAAGCACCCCCCCACCTCCCCATGGAGCACCCCCCACTTCCCCATGGAGCACCCCTCACCTCCCCACGGAATGCCCTCCACCTGCCCATGGAGTACCCCCCACCTCCCCATGGAGCAACCCCCCTGCCCATGGATCTCACCTGCCCATGAAGCACCCCCCACCTCCCTATGGAGCAACCCCCCTGCCCATGGATCTCACCTGCCCATGGAGCACCCCCCACCCTCCCATGGAGCAACCCCCCTGACCATGGATCTCACCTGCCCATGGAGCCCACCCCCCTGCCCATGGAGCACCCTCTACCTGCCCATGGAGCACCCTCCACCTCCCCATGGAGCACCCCCCACCCCGCCCATGGATCTCACCTGCCCATGGAGCCCACCCTACCTATCCATAGAGTCCCCTCCACCCACCTGCCCATGGAGCCCTCTGCTGGGTGTTGTTGGGCAAGTGCATGACCTGATCATGTGGGCAGGAGCTCCCCCAGTCCCCAACTTTTAGCACTATTCCCTGGACCACCCTTCTCATCAGCTCCAGGTGCCCAAAGGGTGCTCAGGCAGGCACCTTACAGGGTCAAACAGTGGTTGCCTCCACTCCTGAACACAGAAAAACTGACATGGAAAACACACAGAGAAGCACAGGGCACTCCACACAGATCAGGGGCCAGTGTGTAAGGGTTCGTAAGGATTTCCTTTTTTTAGGCAATGAGGCAAGTGTGGAGGACGGAGAGAGAGAGGAGATGAGCATCTCTGAAGGCGCTCTCTGAGGAGGATGCAGGGAAACATTTGCTAGCATGGGCGTGTTCAGGAGAGAGGCTTTCTATGCAGGGGAGCTGCTCAGCCTCTAGGGTTTGCTCATTAGGCCGCCTTGAGGGTCCTTGTCTTTCTTTTTCTTTAATTGGCCACCGGTTGGCTGGGGCAGAAGAGATGAAAGACCTGGAATTTTTTCCCCAGTCAATTCTGTGATCCTTTGCTTTTGTTGCCTTTTATCATCTTGAAAGCAAGGCACTAGGTAAAAGTGTGCTTGTATGGAATGTACATTTCCTCTGTTTTCTCTCCCTCAGCTCATGCACTGTTTATCTTTGCTTGCCTGCCTGTAGCATCATCCATGCTTTCTCTGGCTCACCTATTCCTCATGCAACAGATGCGTATAGTGCACCTCCTTCTACTGTGGTCTGCCAGCAGCAACATTCATTGCCCTGAAGCATATTAGCATTCCCCTGAAGACTGTCCTGAAGACTGTCCAGTCACCCTGCTCTCAAGGCTTTCCTTACTTCCCCATTTTCTAAGACCTCTGGTTTAAGCAGCTCAACTCCTCTGACACTTGTTCAGAATGGTCAACTGAGAAAATTCCCAGAGAGTGGGGGCATGTTTAGGACTCTGTCTACTCCTGCTCAACTCAGAGAGAGCTCAGTTGATTTTCCCAGAAAACAAAGCAGAAGTTTAAATATGCCCAAAGTTATATTTTACAACGTGCTACTAAAATGCTACGCCTTCTTCTCTTTTCCAGACTCAATGATAGAATAGTCGTTTACTTTGGGGCATCAAATGGCTCTTTATTTCTCCCTGACTGCATTCTTCTCATCCCAGCCCTCTATGCCCTTCTCCACGTGGAGAATTTCGGGAAGGGGAGGGGAGGTGGTTTCTGAACATGGGTAAGACTCCAAACAAATTCTGCTAATCTCAGGGTTTGGTGAAACTCTTTGCTCAGAAACTTTATGGCCAGTGGGAATTGATGGTTTGTGTTTGCTCTTCAAATAAAGAAACCTTGACGGTAGAGAAGGGCATTTTCTGTGGAGCTGCTGACTTTTGAAATCTTGAGCCCTCTTCCTTATCAGCCTGTTTATTACGGGTTTCATAAATGTTTTATGAGGGTTGGTGAGGCACTGCTGACTAGGGGTGGTGGCAGCTGTCTCCAACTTTCCACATTGTTGACAAGATCAAAGGACAGATTTACCACCTGATAAGATAGGGTGGATAAGATAGGGCGGAATCCCGAAATGACTTCTTGCCTCCTTGCACACAGGCAAACAAATTGGCTTGATGGACGCCTTTTTCTCCCCTTGCCTGGAGCCCTTTGTTCCTTGTATCATTTGTGAAACCAACTGGGGCTCCTAAGCTATTCCTGCCCCTAAATCCAATGGCTAGCCCACCCTCATGTTGGCAGTTTTAGATGTTTATTTTTTTATGTACATTGTACATTTATAAAAATGATTTGCCTCTTTTTTTAAAAAAAGGATTCTAAGTGATAAGAAAGTATCCAGTTTCCACTGATAATGGGACATACTTCCTTGGGATCAGGTTGTCAAGCAGACTCCAAGGACACTTGGGAAGACAAGGACACTGCTCCCTTCGATCTGTGTTTCTGCCTCTCAAAACTCCCTTCTCCCCATTCAGAGGGTCTCCCTTTTCCCTGGGCACCCTGATTTTTAAACGTATATATATTTTAAATGTATATATTTAAGATCTGAAAGTACCTGAGCACTTCAATACCTATTCAGTTCATACAAATGACATTAATTTTAAAATTTGTACAATGAAAATAAGGAAATACCTGTGCATGGGAATAATTTATGGCCAAATAAATCAAATAAATCATCTCTAGAACACTTATATTTTCAGGTAGAGAAATTGTATTGACTTTATTTCCAGCCATTGTTGACTTTTAACTACAATTGCCTTGACAATCTTTGAGAATGTCCTTTTAATATGTCTCATGATGAGTGGAAATTGGAAACTTTCTTATCACTAAAATGCTTTTTTTTTTTTTTGGAAAGAGAGAGACAAAGGGAAAGATTCTCTCCTGAGTTAAAAGAAGTTTCTCTGACTTTCCAGAAATCCCTCACTTTGCCGGAGCTTTCTCTGCAACTCACCTGGCCCCTGGCCTTCCTTGCCACCCGGTCGGTGTCAGGCCAGATGGATGGACCCTGAGGCCTCCACCTGTTTCAGGAATGACTTTGAGGATATCAAAAATGTTCTGGCAATGATAATGCATGCATCCAGGCAACTTGTGACACTGCCGGAGTCTGTCCTCAGCAAAATAAAATATTAAGGAGCTACTTTATAGTCCCTGTTGTCCTGGGCAGGTTGTAAAGCGGATCCCAAGGACATTTGCGAAGATGGCTTTGCTTCCTTAGCCTGTGTTTCTGCCCTCAGAGCTCCTTCTCCCCACTTTCGGAGGGCCTCCCCTTTCCCTGAGCACCCTGATTTTTCTCTGTGGTGGTGCTCTCGTACCTCCCCCCTACCTACCCCGCCTTCCACTGGGCTGGACTTCTTTGGCAAGGCAGACTGTCTTCCCCTCCATTCATCTCCCTTTAATGCACCTGCTATGTGCCCTGGGGCCTCTTGGAAAGCCAGTTGATAAACTAATCCCATTCAGGTGAGAATGCCAGATAGCACTCTAATTTGATTCGACATTGCTCCCCTCCCTCAAATGGATGGATTGTGTGGTAGCGGTGGCTCTGGAGCTATGAGTCAGGGATCATGCCATGTGCTCCCCACATTGTGCTCTAATCTGGACCCTTGCTCTGTGAAATGCCATTGTCTCCCCAGACACCTCTTTGACCTCAAGCTCCAGCACCTGGATCCAGCCACAAGTGCACAAATAGTGACAATCCGGGGCTTAGAAACACACCCCGTCTCCCAGCTCCAGGCATGGCTGGGGCCCAGGGCTCCATCTTCTAACTCTGTGTGGGAAGGTGAAAGCACACCCTCGTTCCGTAAACGCTTCCCAGGGGTGCTGTGGGGTTGTCACAGGGACTGAAGGACCAGCTTTGGACTGGATCAGGCTTGGAAAGCTTTAGAGAGAAGATACCCGGAAAAAGAAGTATTTTGGAAAAAGAAAAGGAAAAATAGAACCAGAGAGCCAACAGCCAAGCTGGGGTCTCTGGGCTACAGACTCCAAGCCAGACTTTCTTCACTGAGACACTCAATGTCTGGAGAGAGGCTGAAGCCAGAGCTTCCGCCAAGGGTGGTGCAAGGGAGGCCTGCCCTCCAGCCTAGATGATCAAAGCATGTGTGGCCATAGGCGACATCCACATCAAGAAAGGAGGTCTTTTCCTAGAGCTACCAAATCACCATATGGGCTCGAGGCGGCCCTGTAGGCTGAGCCAGTCCCAGAACCTCCAAGTGACATTGGCCCTGGGGAGGTCCTAGGGGCTGAGAGGGAGGCACCACTGCAGGCTCCTTCCTCCAGAACCAGCAAAGGTCTCTGAGGACAGCCCCTCAGTCCCAGAGGGAACGTCTGTTTGAAAACTGCATTTTTGCCTTAGGGCGCACTATGGTCTTAGTACCAAGTAACTCAAGTCAGGAAGCATCAATGATTTTGACACTGTTTTCCAGATAGAGAAAGTCTAAACTGAACACCGTCAAGCGGTATTAGGGAAAATGGACAGGGCTGACAGCAAAAGGTTAGTGGATTAGAAAGAAATAGAGTGACTTCTGTGAAGGCACTGGTTCTTTTCAGGTGTACTGGGCTCAAAGCCATAATATTGGCCCTAAGATCCCCTCTATGTGGCTGCCTAGCTGGCTGGAGACAGTCCAAGGGCAACTGGTCCAGCTGCTCCTTTATCCTATCCCTTGGAAAGTGTAGCAGGCTTTTTCCTATGAGGTCCTCTGGAAAACGGTCTCTTTGCAAGAGAAGCCCACACAGGTTGCTAGAAGCAGGTGAGTCGGGTGGCCCGGGGTCAGGGTGGTCCAGCACCCTTTCCTGTGGAAGAGCATCAAAGGCCCCCAGCCCTGTCCTTGGCCAAGGCAGCAGGCCATCAGGAGGGAGCCTGCTCACGCCCCACGCTCCCCGCTACTCATGGTCAGGTCCATGTTGTAGAAGGCCATGAAGGGGACTTTTATGACCCATAGAATTGTTTCCGAAACATTATCAGCTCTGATTATTGGCTACAAATTTTCATCTGAAATCAGAGAGTCATAGGCTTTTACAGTGCAGTAAAATGCATATTAGCTGGTTCTGGAGTTGTCTCACCTCCCATTTACTCCACCGTTTTATCAATATTGCCATAATTTGACACTTGCCAATAGAGGAAGATTGTAAAGTGTCCATAGATCCTGTAAACCGTACTAAATAGAGATTAGGATTACTACTAAGTTTAAACTCTAGTAAAAGATAATTAAGTTGATGGATGTGGCTGTAAATCTCCCTTTTATCAAGTGCTTGCTCTCACACGAGCAGCGTCTGGCCTTATTACCTTACAGCATCATTAATGCCCCGCAGTATCTGAGCCTTCAGTGGATGCTGAGTGAGGAGACAATGAGATGTGCCACTGGGCCAAAGAAATCTGTGTGGGAGGCCCCCCTCCCTTCCCTTCTCCTTAAGGCAGGGCACAGCCAGGGTGGGAGTCTGCATGCTGGGACCACCTGGTGCCCAGGGGCAGGAACAGGGACAGGTAGCCCCAGGACTGCATTCCCAGCCCATCACCCATTCTGGTCCCCAGATCTCTCTAGGTCCGGGGCCCTGGGTGCCTAAAGGCTGCTGTTTCTGGTGCTGTGGAAACCAACCCTTTTTTCTAGATGCCCTGGTGGGGCCTTTGCTTTCTGCAGACAGTCGCACCTGTTGTCCAATCATGCTGCTTCTGGAGAAAATATAACTGCCAAACCACAATTCAGCTGATTCACCTCAAGCACTGACGTGTTTCTAAAAGATGGCTGTGCTCGGTGCCACACTGCAAGGGGGCACCCTGGGTGGTAGCCTGTATCTGAGCAGCTCCATCCCAGCAAAATGACTCGCTTCACACACGAGGATCTACAGGGCCCTTGTCCGCCTTTGACCAAGGTGGGAGTTGGCACGAGGGCTGAGCAGAGAGGGTTGGCCCTTGGACAGTGGGGCCATGGCACCTCCTCTGTGAAGATGCACCTCTGGGGCTGCTGTGCTAAGGAATAGCCAGCGCGGTGTCCTTGTCCCCACTCCACCCTTCCCACGTGTCCACAGTTGATCCGAGCCTCTGTCAATGGCAAAACCAAACAGAGCCAAGGTGAGCTGCCTTAGGCCTGGAATGGACTCCTAGTGAGGGGCAGACTCCAGAACATTGAGTCCATGTGTTTGCCAAAAGCTGGCTCATTCTCCATCTGGCCCCTTCTCTCCAGGGCCACGGGGAAGCATGGACATTCTGCTTGTTGCCGATCCATTTCCCCTGCATGGCGGTGCTGACAACCAGATCCCAGGTCCCAGGGCAGGGAGGAGATGGTAGCAGCAGGGGTGTCGTGGGCTGGTTCAGGACTGGTCTGTGCCACTGGGACTCTAGGTCCTAACTCAGTGTCAGGTGGAGGCTTTTTTGGGCTCTAGTCTTTGCAGACACCCCGAAGGCCCTATCTGGCTTCAACAACGGGTTTACTCAGATAACATCAACCCCTTTTGAATTCCGGTTGACCAGCAACCCATTATTTATGGGATGGAGGGCCTGGAAGCCAATGGCCTCCGGAGCACCAGCTCCTGACCTTGGCTGTGATCTTGGATGGGGCCTCTGGGTAACTGGGCTCAGGGCGTTCGGGCTGGCCAAGTTCTCAGGCCATTGGGTGAGCTGTGCTCTTTGGCTGGCCTTGACTATAGAAACTGGAACTTGGAGAACAAGGAAATAGGCCTACAGCAGAGTCATCTGGGAGAGACTGGATTTAGCTACAGCAGATAAACACACTTTTTTTTCTTTTTATTGCCCAAAGCTAAGCGATATGTACCTTGGTTGGAATTAGCAGGCTGAAAGTTCAAGAGATAAGCAGCTTCTGTTGGCGTGAGTGATCAGACTCATGGGGGCTTATTCAAGAGGCCCTGCCTTGGGCCTTGTCACCTTTGGAACATTTAGACCGCTGGGCTGGCACGGGGCTGGTCGCCCCTGCCTGTTTCACAATCCCTAGCAACAGGGAGCATGAGCAGGAGCTGGCACAACCTGTCACCTGGGCTTCACCTGTGTGTGCCGTGGTGCTGCGGTCTTTATTCCCGATTCGAGTTCTGCAGGGCCACTAGAGGCAGAGATGGCAAAGATTTAGGGTCCTGGGCCAGGCCTTCCTGGAACCCACAGCCTGGCAGCAGGAAACCCCAGGTGGAGCTTAGCAGCAGATGTGCACATCGGCCTCTCTGCACCTGGCCACGGGAGAAAAGTAGCCTCTGCTGAAACCAAGTTATTTGAACATTTGCAGTTGGCTGGTGTGCTTGTTAAAAGTGTGTTTTGGCTGAGCGCAGTGGTTCCTGTCGGTAATCCCAGCACTTTGGGAAGCTGAGGTGGGCGAATCATGAGGTCAAGAGATCGAGACCATCCTGGCCAACATGGTGAAACTCCTCTCTACTAAAAACACAAACATTAGCTGGGCATGGTGGCACACGCCTGTAGTCCCAGCTACTCGGGAGCCTGAAGCAGAAGGATCGCTTGAACCCGGGAGGCGGAGTTTGCACTGAGCCGAGATCGCGCCACTGCGCTCCAGCCTCGTGACAGAGCGAGACTCTGTCTCAACAACAACAACAACAACAAAGTGTGTTTCCTGGGGCCCTTCCGCAGGCCTCCCCAGTCAGGGAGTGTGCAGCAGCGTTCACGCGCTCAGATTGGGGAACTACTGGCTGGGCCCCTGATACCTGACCCTGTGTGTGAAAACCAAGAGCCCTAAGTCTCAAATGTGAAAAGTCACACTTTCTCTGGTTCAGTGTCTCCTTACTTCCTACCTCATTCTAGAAGTGCTTATTAAACACCTGGGTGCTAAGCTCCCTCCTGGGCTCCCAGGACGTAACTGAATCACGTATCAAGTACTAAAGTCCTTGCCCTCCCGGGACGCCAGGAGGTGGAGGATGCAGGCAGGTGGGCCCTCTGTGCTGAATAGAGGGACACAGGTGACCCAGAGCCTTCTCGGGGCTGGCAGAAGCTCTAACTCAGCCTCGAGCCCTCCCCTTCCGTGGTGGAGTGTGTGCGTGTGTGTGCTGTGGGGTGGGGTCAGGGCAGTGCGTACTCACAGATCCACTGCCCTGGCTCCCAGACCCCATAACACTTTTGAGCTCCCGGCCTCCTGCCCTGGTGAGTTGTCATTTCAGAACATTCCACCCATGAAGGATTTAGCATCTGACAAAACATGTTTTTCACTTGCAGGATATTTTTTGGCTCAATGAATATATGGCATATTTGCTAACGGGTTCCTTAAAAGTGTCATCCTTGATCTTTTTCCAGGTGGGAGGAGGGGAGTAAGAAAGAGTAAAGAAAAAAAGAAAGAAAAGGAAAACAACAACAACGACAACAAATAAAAGCTCGGGTGCTCTAACCCAAGTAAAACCTAAACACAAGAGGGCTGAGGCTGACTGTAAAATGCTCTCAATCGCTTAAGCTAATAAACCCAACTATCTTGAAGAGTAAACACCATATTGTTTTGCCAACTATTAGATTTTTACTACTCTCCAATAAAGCGAGCACTTTATTCCTTTCAAATAATATTCCATTCATTGTTTCCTAAAGATTAGCAATTGAAAGAGATGTCAACAATTTTCACTCTTTAAATTAAGTATAATAGGCTTTTATAGCACAGTATAAAGATATCGAAGGGAAAGGCCGCAATCAGAGCAGCTCGATGTTGCTTTTATCTATCAATACAGCCCCAATTTGACACTTGGGAGCAGAGGAAGCTTGTAAAGGGCCCACGGACCCCATAAAGCTGGTAACACTTGGATTAGTCTGACAGCTCACTTTCTGCACAGTAAAGTGATCATTTAATTAACTAATGGGGTTGTAAGCATGAAGGTTTATCTAATTAGCTCTCTTTCCCTTTGCCTCCTGGTCATTCTAGCTCTCGGTGTTTACATATTAACGGTAGCCTGGGCTGGGACCTGCCCGGGAGAAGAGCATTTTGCACAGGCCTCCCCGGGTCTCTGATTCGGCTTCTGTTGGAGGTGCTTCTGCAGAGTTGTGACATCACTGTTCCCAGAGAAAAATAGGAAAGCTTCTATACCAGATAGTTTCACAGAGGCTGCAAACATCTGCTCCTCAGGGGCTTTCTATATTGTCTGTGCACCCTTTTTTTTTTTTTTTTTTTTTTGAGACAGAGTCTTGCTCTGTTGCCCAGGCTGGAGGGCAGTGGCGTGATCTCAGCTCGCCGCAAACTCCACCTCCTGGGTTCAAGTGATTCTCCTGCCTCAGCCTTCTGAGTAGCTGGGATTACAGGTGCCCGCCACCACACCTGGCTAATTTTTGTATTTTTAGTAGCGATGGGGTTTCACCATGTTGATCAGGCTGGTCTTGAACTCCTGACCTTGTGATCCACCCACCTCGGCCCCCCAAAGTGCTGGGATTCCAGGCATGAACCACTGCACCTGGCCTGTCCGTGCACATATTAATCACATCGATTTAATAATGACCAGTGGTGCGTGTGTGCAAGCGTGAGAGTGTGTGTTCCTGTGTGCTGGGGCATCTGGGAGAGATTTTTCCCTCTGCATAGTGGCTTCACCTGTGCTGTGGACAATCACCGTCCCAAATCCACCATCATCACACACAGACTTTGCCACCCCGCCCCCCACAGTACAAATAATGAAAATACTTGTTTTTGTTTTTTTTTTGGGATGGGGGGTCTCACTCTGTCACTCAGGCTGGAGTGCAGTGGCATAATCACAGCTTACTGTAGCCTCACCCCATGGGCTCAATGATCCTCCCAACTCAGCCTCCCAAGAATCTGGGACTACAGGCTCATGCCATTGGGCCTGGTTGATACTTTTGATAGGGTGTGCCTTTCTACCTGCCCTTGACTAGACATGGAACTAGGCAGCCCTGTGTATAGGAATTCTTAATCCTGGCTCCCAGCATGAAGGGCCAGGATTCCTTACACAGCCCTGGATTCCTTGGGGCCTTCCTCAGGGGAAATCAAAATTGCAGCTGAGAAAGGTCACCTTGACTGCAGAGCCTACCTCCTTTTTACAGGGCCCCAGGGGCCATTGAGCCTGGAGGGGCCAGTGTGTGACTCCAGGGCCTAGAGACACTGGAGGGACCACCCTGAGCTTCCAGAGGGTGAGGGGTGAGGGGTGTCATCTGCTCTGACAACAGTGCCGGAGGGAACAAAAGCGCTCAATGGAAGCATCACCCTGTAGACCTAACTGCTAGTTTTCATCCAGAGGACAGCAGTGGGGTGGACGCAGGCCCGGTGAGGGGCCCATTCCAGAGGTCAGTCCTAATGGAAGCTCTCAGCACCTTTTGACTCAAGCTATTACCCAAATGTGAATTTTGGTGACTCCTGTACTCATCCAGAGTGGCCCTCAGCCACCTGGATCTGAGCTGCTGAGCAGCAGGGTGGCCAGAAGCTTCGAGAGGAGCGGGGTCAGCAAAGGGTGGGGAGGGATGTTTTGGGCTGGTGGGCCTGTGCCCACCCTTCTCCAGACACCCTCTTCCCCTCCCGCTTCTCTGCCTCATTCTGGGAGTGACCATCTCATCTGAGGACTTTTCAATGCTCCCCCAAAAAATGATTCTGAAAATTTTTAAAAGTAACTTACTTTTTAAATATTGTGGTAAAATATACATCACATAAACTTTACCAATTTTAACCATTTTTAAGTGCACCAGTGACATTAAATACATTCACATCATCACCACTATCTACAGAACTCTTTCATCTTGCAAAACTGCAACTGTCCTCGTTAAACAACTCCCCGCTCTTTCCCCCAGCCCCTGCAACCACCATTCTACTTTCTGTCTCTATGAGTTTGGCTACTCTAAATACCTCATATGAGTAGAATCATACAATATTTTTCCTTTTGCACTGGTTTATTTAATTTAGCATAATGTCCTCAAGGTTCACCCATGTAGTAGCATGTGTCAGAATTTCCTTCCTTTTTAAGGCTGAATCATGTTCCATTGCTTGTATGAACCATATCATGCTTATCCATTTTTCTGTTGAAACCATCAAAATGCAATCTTTGCTTTCATTCTTGAATAGTTTTCCCATCACATTTTTGGTAAGAAGGTTTAATAAAGAAGGGCTATTTAATCCTAAGCATGATTCCTTCTCATTTAGCTAATACTTTAATAGTTATTTTATAATAATTGATTCATGGCAGGGTGTGGTAGTGCATGCCTGTAATCCCAGCACTTTGAGAGGCCGAAGCGGGTGGATCACCTGAGGTCAGGAGTTTGAGACCAGCCTGGCCAACATGGTGAAACGCTGTCTCCACTAAATACAAAAAATTAGCTGGGCGTGGTGGTGCATGCTTATAATCCCAGCTACTTGGGAGGCTGAGGCAGGAGAATTGCTTGAACCCTGGAGTTGGAGGTTACAGTGAGCCGAGCTCATGCCATTGCACTCCAGCCTGGGCAACAAGAGTGAAACTCCGTCTCAAAAAAAAAAAAAATTGATTCAAATACAATTCAAGCCTAGTGTTCTCAGAAGGGCAGGAAACTAGCATCACTTCATTTACACCTCTTATGAAGAGGAGCTGAGGACAGGGCCTTGTGTTAAGAATTTGAGTAGGACGACACTGTCATCTTGTGGCTATTTGTACCAATAGCAACTTCATCCTAAAGCTAGGATTAGTAATTTCTGTACACAGGGTTACACAGGGATCCATTTCTGGTCAAGCGTAGGTAAAAAGTCATGCTCTATCAAAAGTATTTTATACTACTTGGGGGACTAGAGTCAGCATTGTGCCCTGAAGTGATAGAGGCCATGGCAGATACAGTCTTTGTTCCCTTTGCCTGTCCCAGACCCTGCTGCTCAGAGGAAGCTGTGGCAGGGGACATTGGCAGGAGAGTTAATTACTATTCATCTTACCCACGGACACAATGAGGACACATCTGAGCCTAGAGTGTGTTCTCCAACTGTCTTTAGTTTAAGAAGGTCTTTGGGGCAGGAATCTCTCTCCTTTCTTTCTTCCTCCCCTTCTTTCCTTCCTTCCTTTTCTCCTTCTCTTCCTTCTTTCTCTTCTTCATAACTGCTTCATTGAGATGTAATTCATATGCCAGTGAACTCGCCTGTTTAGAGTGTACAATTGAATAGTTTTTAGCTCTTATATTCACAGAGTTGTGCAACCATCATCACAATTTTAGAACACCCTCATCTCCTCCCAAGGAAATTCCATACCCTTCAGCCGTGACCCCTCGATCTCCCCTTCTCTCCTAGGCCCTGCCAACCACTAAGCTACTTTTTTGTCTCTGTGGATTTGCCTATCCTGGGCATTTCATATAAACAGAATCACTTGATTGTGTGGTCTTTCTTGGCTGGCCTTTTTCGTTAGCTTAGTGTTTTCAAGGCCCATCTATGTTTTATCATGTATTAGTATTTCTTTCCTTTTTACTGCTGAATATATTCCTTTGTATGAATGTGCTACATTTTATTTATGCACTCGTCAGTTGATAGACATTAGAGCTGTTTTTACTTTTTGGCAATTTTGAATAATGCTGCTATGAACGTTCATGTGCAAGTTTTTGTGTGAGCCTGTTTTCATTTTTTGTGTGTGCATATACCTAGGAATGGAATTACTGGGTCAAATGTTAACTACGTTTAATATTTTGACGCTTCTTTCCCCACATTGTCACCAGCTGTTGTTGTCATTTTTAATCTGACCATCCTGTAGGTGTGAAGAGGTAGCTCATTATGATTTGATTCACATTTCCCTGATGGCTAATGATGTTGAGCATGTTTTCATGTATTTGCTGGGCATTTGTGTATTTTCCATGGAGAAATGCCTAGCCATGTCTTCTGCTCATTTTAGAATCAAGTGGTTCCTCTTCTTGTTATTGAGTTGCAAAGAGTTCTTTACAATTCCCTTATCAGATATATGATACAATCCCATTATCAGATATATGATTTGCAAAATTTTTCTTCCTTTCAATAGGTGTCTTTTCATTTTCTTGATGGTGTCCTTTGAAGGACAAATGTGTTAATTTTGATGAAGTCCAATTTATCTGTTTTTCCTTTTGTTGTTCATACTTTAGGTCTCATATCTAAGAAGCCTTTGCCAAATCAAAGGTCATGAAGATTTAGTCATATGCTTTCTTCAAAGAGTTTTACAGTTGTATCACTTACATTTAGGTCTTTGATCCCTTTTGAGTTGTGTGTGTGTGTGTGTGTTTGTGTATGTGTATGGTGTGGGATAAATGTACATCTTCATTCTTTTGCATATGGATATTCATTTGTTGTAGCACAATTTGTTGAAAACACCATTCTTTGCTCTACTGAATTGTTTTGAAATTCTTGATGAAAATCAATTAACTGTAATTGTGAGGCTTTATTTATGGACTGTCAGTTCCTTTTCATTGACCTTTATGTCTAGCTTTATACCAGTACCACTTTGTCTTGATTGCTATAGCTTTGCAGTAAGTTTTGAAATAAGGAATTGAATTGTGAGCCCTTCAACTCAGTTCTTCTTTTCAAGATTGTTTTTGTTATTCTGGGTCCTTCGAATTTCCATATAAATTTTAGGATTGGCTTTTCAATTTTTGCACAGAAGTCAGCTGGGATTTTGATAGAGATTGCACTGACTCTGTAGATCACTTTGGCGAGTATTGTCATCTTGACAATATTAAGTCTCTTGATCCATGACTATGGGATGTCTTTCCATATATTTAGATCTTCTTTAAGTTTTAAAATTGTTTTTATCATTTCATTTTTTATTGTTCATTGCAAATGTATAGAAATACAATTTATTTTTGCCTCTTATCTTGTATCCTGCTGCTTGGCTGAACTCATTTATTAGTCTGATTAGTTTTTAGTTGATTTTTTAGAATTTCCTGTATACAAGATCATGTAATCTGTGAACAGAGATGGCTATATTTCTTACCCTCCAATTGCTTTTATTTGATTTTCTTACCCAACTGCTCTGACTAGAACCTGCTGTACAATGTTGAAGAAGTGGCACAGGCATCTTTCTTGGGGCCTACCTGTGGCTCCATCCACAGGTATGTCGCCTGCTGGTATATAGGTTGTCTTCATTGACATCTTTGGAAATTGTGTGTATCAGAACAGTGTCAAAGACAGAACTCAATGACCAAATGGAAAAATAATTTTATTTCTTAATAGACATTAATCCTTTAATCAACAGTCTTTGGATATGACAGATGCAGCTATTAATACACTTACCTGAATCATACACAATCCAAATTACTTCATCTTGACGATAACATTCTCCCTGAAATATTATGAAATGGTCTTCCTGAAAACCAGAAATATTATGTCTGTCTTTGATCTGTTCTACCAGTCTAGTGACTTGATAGGGTCTCTCAAGAAGGGAAATTCCTACGCACGCACACACACACACACACACACACACACACACACACACACACACACGCTTCTCTTCTGCTCTCTGCAGTCCCCAATAGCTGGACCAAGTTGTCTCCCCAGCCTGGAGGTCAGCTCACTCTGTTTTCCAAATCAATCTGAATATGGAGTGAACTGTCTTTGGTGCTTACTATGTTTTGAGATCTGACCTGTCTAGGTTCTTCAGGGTCATTAGTGTGTGAGGCCTCTGAAAGATGGAAACTTATTTGTTTGTTCACTGCTGTACTCCAGGACCCAATTGGTGTCTGCCACACCAGAGGCACTCAATATGTATGTGCTGATTGGGTGAAAAGTGCATTACAGGCATAGGGAGGGAGAGGGATGGGGTGATTTGAATGGGGGAGAAATGGAGCTAGAAATGGAAATAGAATCAGGCGTGGAGCTTGGCAGGAGAGGAAGGAAGAGAAGCCAGGTCATGCCGGCCCTAATCACCACTATGACTTCTGTGGTTGAGGACGCCTGGAGTAGATAATGCTCAGTTAGTATTATTTTCATAAATCAATGAATGTAAGAAACAGAGTAGGGAGTAAAGAGACAAAAAGAATAGCAAAGCATAATTATTCTCAAAAGATGAAAGAAACAAAACGCTGCACCTTCAGTAAGTTTCCATCTTGGCTCATAAAAAAAAAAAAAAAAGTCTTTAGGGCCCGTCTACAAGGCTGAGATTCTGCAGGGAGAGTGCACTGCAGATCACCTGGCCATATGGCCAGTGTTTTTTTCCTGATAATGGCATTTTCCCTCTATTCCTGCCTCCTTCCTACCCTAGTAAGCTAGGCTGAACAGCTGGAGGATAATATGTCTTTCCTTTCTTTCTCTTAAGGACCATAGCTCCCAGGCTTCTTGGTTGTTGGTTCTGGGTCACTGTTCTGAGCCTCTCTCTTTCCCATTTCACATTCCTAAGTGCTTTCTAAGCAAAGGACACCCCAAGACCAAAAGATATGCGAAAATAATAGGAAAAAAATGGGCACTAAAAGTCGAAATTCTCAAAAGTCCAAACATTCAACACCGCGTCTGCCCTTTCACCCAATCACCTTGGCCAAAGCATCCATCCCTCTTTGTTTTGCTAATACCCAGTGTTAGAATCTTTTATTGCCAAAGGTCTCACTTTAGAATGTCTGCACCTAGGAATTAAGGGACAGGGATTTCCCTGTCAATATCTGCAGTGGTGGAGAGGAAGCCAGTCCTCAAACAGACTGAGAGAGGTGAGGGGAACCCAAAAGAGTACAGCATCAGGGAAGAAGTGTTTCAAAGGGGGCAAGGAGAATCCACAAAACCAAATGCAAAGAAGAGTCAGAAAAGCGAGGACTGGCTGGGCGTGGTGGCTCAGGCCTGTAATCTCAGCACTTTGGGTGGCTGAGGCGGGTGGATTGCTTGAGGCCAGGAGTTCGAGACCAGCCTGGCCAACATGGTGAAACCCCGTCTCTACTAAAAATAAAAAAATTAGTCAGGTTTGGTAGTGGGCACCTGTAATCCCAGCTACTTGGGAGACTGAGGCAGGAGAATCACTTGAACCTGGGAAACAGAGGTTGCAGTGAGCTGAGACTGCGCCACTGCACTCCAGCCTGGGTGACAAAGTGAGACTCAGTCAAAAAAAAAAAAAAAAGAAAAGAAAAAGAAAAAGAAAAAAGAGCGAGGATTTACACAAGGCTTTGGAAATCTGGGCTCTTTGTTTATGAAGGCAGCTCCCATTCCCATGGAGCTAGGGATGGAATAAAGACAGCAGTAGGTTAAGGAGTGAATGGGAGATGAGGGAGGGCGACGGTGATTATCTATTTCAAAGGGTAGTGGACTCTAAGGTTACTGATGAAAATGAATGGAAGAGAGTGAGAGAGATGGTTCAAGAGATGGTCACAAGTCTGAAGTAGCTGCTGAGAAGACTGGGAGAGAAAGCAGGAAGGACTCTGGGCTGAACTGAGCGCTGCTAAGTTGCGCTGTGTGGCTATGGGGTGTGGGACAATCAAACACTGACCTGACCGGTCCTATATGTAATGGATTGCTGCTGTGTCTGCCTGACACTGATTTGCTGCGCCTGGCAATACTAGTGTGGCTCCTGCTCACAGTCATTTGATGTCTCAGGTGCAGGTATTCAATGGCTAGGAGGGCATTGCAGGGTTGAGTTTTTGAATGGTAGCTATTCCTCTGCCTCTGGTGTCACAGCCTTCCTCCAGAATACTAAGGATCTGTGCAGCGACTCTCCTCTTGAAGCTCCACATATCATCCTTAACACCTGTGGATATTCCTAGCACATGGGATCTGTCAGATTACACAGCCCGGGGGAGGGCTGTTTATACCACAGTTTGCTACTGCAGAGTCCAATCTCACTCTGAGCCCTACTCAAAACTTACAGCTTTCTGAGTCACCAAATTGAGGTCAGGGTGATATTCTCAAGTGTAGTATGTGCTGTCTCTACAATCCAAAGAGGCTTATTCACCGTGGAGTATTGCTCTCAGTGGTAGGAGGCTGAAGGCACAATCACTTGTTCTTTTCCTCAGAGGAGATAGCTCAGCTCATCTAAGACTGCTAGACTCTGAAAATATTCATCCACCTGGCAGAATTCTGGGTCTTTTTGGTTTACTTTTTGCCCTATGGGACAGTTTTGTTTTCTCAGGGACTCCAGAGTACCTGACACTTCCTGATCTCTAGGTCTAATTAACATGATGTCATAAATACAATCAGTATGATGATTTGTGGAAGGTTCATGTGATCAAGTTCTTTTCAGATTATACTATTTAGAAAGGAGGAGAGTTAACACAGCCCTGAGGTCAGATCGTGAATGTGTACTGCTGTCTGTTCCAAGTGACTGCAGCAACTTCTGATCCTCCTTCCTGCCGGGGACTGAAAAGACATACTCTCCAGACTAAAAGCTGCATGCCAGTTTCCTAAGTCTGTGTTGGCTGCAGTAAAGCTATCACCGCTAGCACAGCAGCTGCAATTGAGCCTAGCACGGGGTTAAGTTTACTACAGTCCCAAATGATCCTGTTGATTTTTACAGGGGCCCAGACTGGTGAATGAAATGGGGTGCTATCAATCTCATAAGGCTGGAGTTAAGATGTTGGGAGGGCTGAATTCTTTTCTGGAGGCTTTGAGAATGAATCTGCTTCCAATATCATTGAGGTTTTTGGGCAGATTCAGTTTTTTGCAGCTGCAGAACTGAGGTCCCTGTTTCCTTGTTGGCTGTTATCCGGGAGTCAATCTGTGCTCCTAGAGGCTGCCCAAATTACTTCAAGTGCATCCCATGTGGGACCCCTTCCAGCAACTGGAAGTGGGGGTGAGGGGGACAGGGGAGAAGACCCTCTCAAGCTTTTAATTTCTCTTTCTTTTTCCTTTTCTGTCTCATTACTTTGACTCCAGCCAGAGAAAGTTCTCTGCTTAATTTAAGGACTCATGTGCTTAGGTTGAGCCCATCCGGGTAATAGAGGATAATCTCCCTATTTAAGGTCCCTAACTTTAGTTGCATCTAGAAAGCCCCTGCCATATAATGCAACATATTAATAGGATCCAGGGATTCAGGTGTGGACATCTTTGGGAGCCCACTATTTTGTGTACCACGGTGAACCATTTCCTATGCTCATTTGTCTCAGAAAACATAGTATGTCACAGCAGAAAAAGAGAAAAATAGGACATGTTTCCTAAACTTCAGTTTCAAGGCCCTACCCAGTCTTTGATAGAGGATTCCTGTACTTTGACAATACAATAAATTTTGGAGTCCATAAGGGGCCAGGGGAATGCAGAGGTCAAGGTCCTATATTGTAAAGGGAGTTCTGGTGGGAATTCTCTGGCGACACAGCAGGCAAAAGACATTTCCAAATGGGCATTTTATATTCAGTATGGAACGATTTCCATCACTGTGATACAAGTCCTGAGGCCCTTTCTACCCCAAACCCAGATGCTTTGTGAGAGGTGTTTTTGCAGGAGTTCAGGGGAAGCTTAGGTTCCCATCTAGGTTAATGTGATCTGTGACAAACAGTGGAAGCTGAAGCCTTGGGTGAAGACTAAGAGCAACGCCAACTGCTGTTAGAAATAACCCCCCAAATGCCATGGTTCAAAAGTGATAAAAATTTCTTCCTTTTTTTTTTTGAGATGAAGTCTTGCTCTAATTTCTTCCTTTTTTTTTTTGAGATGAAGTCTTGCTCTAATTTGTTCCTTTTTTTTTTTTTTTTTTTTTTTTGAGATGAGGTCTTGCTCTGTCACCCAGGCTGGAGTGCAGTGACAAGATTACAGCTCACTGCAGACTTGAACTCTTGGGCTCAAGCGATCCTCCTGCCTCAGCCTTCTGAGTAGCTTGGACTATAGGTATACACCACCATTCCTGTATAACTTATTTTTTATTTTTGGGATAGAGTCTCACTCTATTGCTCAGGCTGAAGTGCAGTGGCATGATCTCGGCTCACTGCAACCTCTGCCTCCCAGGTTCAAGCGATTCTTGTGCCTCAGCCTCCCAAGTAGCAGGAACTACAGGCTCAAGTCACCATGCCCAGCTAATTTTTGTATTTTTAGTAAAGATAGGGTTTTGCCACGTTGGCCAGACTGATCTCCAACACCTGGCTCAAGTGATCCACCTGTTTTGGGCTCCTAAAGTGCTTGGATTACAGGCATGAGCCACTGCACCTGGCCAGGGCTATTTTTTTTTTTTTTAATTTTGGTAGAGTTGGAGGTCTTTCTCTGTTGACCAGGCTCATCTCGAACTCCTGACCTCAAGCAATCCTTTGGCCTCAGCCTGCAAAAGTGCTGGGATTGCATGTGTGAGACACTGCATCTGGCTGGAAGTTTGGAAGTTTATTTCTGACTTTTGAGGTCCAAAATTGGTGCAGGATATTTCTGTGGGTGGCCTCAGACTGACCCAGTTCTTCCCCCTTTCATACTTGCAGTTCTTAAGAATAACTGTAGAATATGCCTAGAATACAACATCCTGAGATGGGCTGCCCAAAACAGCCTGATCCTTGTTCCTGTTCCTCCTAGAAAATGTAACATCTTGAGTTAGAGAGGAAATGCCTGGGGCAGCCAAGGCTTTGATTCTCTCTTCCCTGGAAGTAGAATGCCCCTCAAGGTTTTAGCCCAGTGGGTCATGTGCCCCTGAGCTCTATAACCCAGGGCAGGCTGCCTTTTGGGGGTCCCTCAGCTGTGATGCAAGTGAGACATGCACAGTTGAGAATCCATCCACCCTGGACAGCTTTCTTGAGCCTTGGAGGCCTGATATGGTTTGGCTCTGTGTCCCCACCCGTATCTCATGTTGAATTGTAATTCTCAATCCTGGGGGAGGGTCCTGGTGGGAGGTGATTGGTTCATGGGGATGGATTTCCCCCTTGCTGTTCTTGTGATAGTGAGTGAGGTCTCATGACTTCTGATGGTTTAAAAGTGTGTGGCTATATACCCAGTAATGGGATTGTTGGGTCAAATGGTACCCAAAGGACTATGAATCATTCTACTATAAAGACACATGCACGCATATGCTTACTGTAGCACTATTTACAATAGCAAAGACATGGAATCAACCCAAATGCCCATCAATGATAGACTGGATAAAGAAAATGTGGTACATATACACCATGGAATACTATGCAGCAGTAAAAAGGAATTAGTTCATTTCCTTTGCAGGGACATAGACGAAGCTGGAAACCATCATTCTCAGCAAACTATTGCAGGAACAGAAAACCAAACACCACATGTTCCCACTCATAAGTGGGAGTTGAACAGTGAGAACACAAGGACACAGGGAGAGGAATAACACACACCAGGGCCAGTTGGGGGGTTGGGGGCAAGGGGAGGGATAGCATTAGGACAAATAGCTAATGCATGCGGGGCTTAAAACCTAGACAATGGGTTGATAGATGCAACAAACCACCATGACACATGTATACCTGTGCAACAAACCTACACATTCTGCACTTGTATCCTGGAACTTAAAGTTAAAAAAAAGTGTGTGGCACTTGCCTCTTCACTGTCTCTCTCTCTCCTGAGGCCTCCCAGGTTGTGCCTCCTCTACAGCCTGCAGAAATTTGAGTCAATTAAACCTCTTTTCTTTATATATTACCCAGTCTCAGGTAGTTCTTCATAGCAGTGTGAGGATGGACTAATATAAGGTCTGGCTCACAGTGAATCTTATGCTCTTTTGTCCCTTGCTGCCTTCTGCACGTCATAAATCTGCTTTATGTAACTTGTTGCACATGTGTGTGTTCTGTCTCGCTGGACTCAGACAAGTTGGTTGGTAACCAGTACATGATGAACCTACTTTATAACTGGTTTCCAGATCAGAGAAGGGTTCTCCTTCAGGTAGTGATTCAGCATCCCAGGATCATTAATCTAGTGGCTTCCCCATCTTCTGCAAATCATTTTCATGCTCTTTTTTATGATCTGGCAGAAG
Organism: Homo sapiens; assembly: GCF_000001405.40. NCBI lineage: Eukaryota > Metazoa > Chordata > Mammalia > Primates > Hominidae > Homo > Homo sapiens. The sequence continues at coordinate 26,937,976 of NC_000013.11, read as the reverse complement.
GGGAAAGAGCACAGAGACCCATACACAGGAAGGTTTCATGGGCCAGGCTGGAGCCCAGTTACATGACCACCCTAACCACGGGAGGCTGGGAAACATAATCCAGTTGTGTGCCCAAGGAGAGAGATGGGTTTCATGAACAACATTTCCTGCCATGGAACAATAGGGAACAACGGAATGAACAGAAGCCCAGCACTGACTGTTACTGTTCACAGAGCAAGTTAGTTTAGTTACCTAAAGTGACTATATGTCAGCTTAGAATATGAAGCTATTTTCACATGAACTCCTATGAAAAAACAATGGCGCTTGTCAGAGGCCTGTCAGCTCTCAACAGTGTCCCATTATTGGCAGAGGCTGCCGCAGTGGAATAAAGCAGAAACTGCCTTCTAAATCATAAGACTCCATACTCAAACAGCTCAGAGTCTAATCAGCATCCTCCTCAGAAAGAGCAGGAAGTTTGCAGAGTGGGAAGGCTTGGCCCCTGTGGTGGTGGTGGGGGAGCTGGTTGTGTTGGGGCCTATTCAGATGAGAGATCATTGAGTGGCCTTGTGTATGATACTGCAGGACCTGAGTCCACTGAAAGCTTTGGCCATTTTTTTGGACTCCTAGTGGGATGGGAGCTGCTGGGAGAAGCTTCTCCTAAAGGAGACCCAGTGGGACCTGGTGAAGCAGGAGTAGAACCCTGAAAGAGCCCCAGTGAGGAGTAGTCTTGGTTGCTAAGTGTTTTAGTCCATTTGTGTTGCTATAAAGGAATACCTGAGGCTGGGTAATTTATAAAGAAAAGGGGTTTACTTGTCTCACAGTTTTGCAGGCTGTACAAGAAGTGTGGCCCCAGTATCTGCTTCTGGTGAGGAACTCAGGATGCTTCCACTCATGGTGGAAAGGGAAGAAGAATTGAGGTGTGCAGAGATCACATGGTGAGAGAGGAAGCAAGAGAGAGAAAAAGAGAGAGAGAGCAGGGAGATGTCAGGCTCTGTTAACAACCAGCTCTCATGGGAGTTAATAGAGCAAGAACTCACTCAGCACTGTGAGGACAGCACCAAGACATTCATGAGGGATCTGCCTCTGTGACCCAACTACCTCCCACTAGGCCTCACCTCCAACATTGGAGAACAAATTTCAACATGAGATTTGGAGAGATAAGCATCCAAACTATAGCATTCTGCCCTTGGCACCCCAAATCTCATGTCCTTCTCACATGCAAAATACCATCATTTCTTGCCAATATTCCCAAAAGTCTTAATTCATTTCAGCATTAACTCAAAAATCAAAGTTCAAAGCCTCCTCTGAGACTCAAGGCAAGTCCCTTACAACTGTGAGCCTATTAAATCAAAATCAAGTTATTTACTTCCAAGATACAATGGTGGTGCAGGCATTGGATAGACACTCCGATTCCAAAATGGAGAAATCAGCCAAAAGAAAAGGGTAATAGGCCCTATGCGAGTCTGAAACCCAGCAGGGCAGACATTAAACCTTAAAGCTTAAAAATAATCTCCTTTGATGCCATGCCCCTGGGCACACTGGTGTGAGGAGTAGGCTCCCAAGGCCTTGGGCAGCCTAGTCCCATTGCTTTTCTAGGCACATCCCCTGTGGCTGCTTTCATGGGTTGTAGTTGAGTGCCTGCAGGATTTCCAGGTACGGTCTCAAGTTACTTCTGACAATGATAGGTCGGCAGCCCCCTTCCCACAGTCCCAGTAGGCAGTGTCCCAGTGGGGACTCTGTGTGGGGGCTCCAACTCCCCCACATTTCCCCTCAGCACTGCGCTAGTAGAGTCTCTCTGTGAGGGCCCCATCCCTATGATAGGCTTCTGCTTGGGTACCCAGGCTCTCAGATATATCCTCTGAAATCTAGGTAGAAGCCACCAAGCCCCCACCATTCTTGCATCCTGTGTGTTTGCAGACTAACATCAGGTGGAAGCTTCCAAGGCTTACAGCTTGTGCCCTTCAGAGTGTTGGCCAGAACATAACCTGAAGTTGTTTGAGCCACAGCTGGAACCAGAGTGGCCTGGATATGAAGAGCAGTATCAGTATCTCAAGGCAGCACAGTACAGCAGCACCCTGGGCCTGTCCCCAAAAATAATTCTGTCTTCTGAGACCTCTGAGCCTGTGATGGGAAAAGTATCCTTGAAGATTTCTGAAATGCCTCTGGGGCCTTTTCCTCATTGTCTTGACTATTAGTACCTGGCTCCCTTTTATCTGTGCTAATCTCTCTAGCAAGTGATTGCTCTATAGCACCCTTGGATTCCTCTTCTGAAAATGCTCTTTCCTTCTCTCTGACACAGCCAGGCTGCAAATTTTCCAAATTTTTATGCCCTGTTTCCTTCTTCTCTACCAATTTACCGTAAGAAGTTAGAAGTAAACACACAGTAGTCTGAGCACTTTACTGCTTAGAAATTTCTTCCTCCAGATATCCTAGGTCATCACTCTTAAGTTCAGCCTTCCACAAAGCTCTACAGCAAGGACACAAAGCAGTCAAATTTTTTGCTAGGGTGTAACATGGGGGACCTTTGCTCCAGTTCCCAATAAGTTCCCTATTTCCATCTTGAGAACATGGCAGTGTGGGCTTCTTATTTAAAAAATTTATTTTTTACTTTTTTTGAGACAAGGTCTCACTCTGTCACCTAGGCTGGAGTCCAGCAGCATAATCTTGGCTCACTGCAACCTCTGTCTCCCAGGCTTAAGTAATCAATCCTACCACCTCAGCCTCCCAACTAGCTTGGACTACAGGCATGTGCCACCACATCCAGCTAATTTTATTTTATTTTTGGTAGAGATGAGGTTTTGCTATGTTGCCCAGGCTGGTCTTGAACTTCAGGGCTCAAGGGATATGTCTACCTTGGCCTCCCAAAGTTTTGGGGTGTGGCCTTTACTATCTGTATTTCTATCAGCATTTTGATCATAATGACTTGATTAATCTCTAAGAAGTTACTAACTTTCCCTTGTCTTTCTGTCTTCTGAGCCTTCCAAACTCTTCCAACCTCTGCCCATTACCCAGTTCCAAAACCACTTCTACATTTTCAGGTGTCTTTATAGCAACATCCCACTCCCTGGTACTAATTTTCTCTCTGTTTGTGTTGTTATAAAGGAATACCTGAGACTGGTCATTTATACAGAAAAGAGGTTTATTTGGCCTATGGTTCTGCAGCCTGTACAAGCAACATGGCACCAGCATATGCTTCAATGTGAGGGCCTCAGGCTGCTTCTACTCATGGCAGAAGGTGAAGGGGAGCTGCATGTACAGATATCACATGGAGAGAGAGGCAGCAAGAGGAAGGGAGGAGGTGACAGGCTCTTTTTAACAACTGGCTCTTGTGGGAGCAAATAGAGTGAGAACTGGTTCATTACTAAGAGAATGGCACTAAGCCATGTATGAGATCCACCCTCATGACCCAAACACCTCCCACCAGGCCCTACTTTCAACACTGGGGATCAAATGTCAACATGAAGTTTGGAGGGTCAAATATTCAAACAACAGCACTAAGCCATGATCCCTCCCGGAAGTGGGGGCAGAAACGGCTGTGACTGGAGCCTCAGCAGCCCTGACACCCTCATGCGCCCTTGCATGCCAAATCCACACTGGCTTCTGCATATACACGGCCTCCAGCCTGTATTCTGGCTTTATGTGACCATCTGAGAGGTCAAGGTTACTGTGCTCAGAGATACCAACGCCACAGTGGGGAATAAGTGAATTGACTTCAAGCCTTGCCCCAGGCTGGTGCCCATGAGTGTCTCTAGCCCATCAGTGCTGGTCCTGTGCCAATCTCAAGCCTACGCTGGCCCCTGACCCCAGGGTCTCTTGCTTCAGTGAAACTCTTACCTCTGTCTCTGCTCCTGTGCCCCTGACTTGGCCGCCTCCCTTGGGTTTCAGGGAAATACCTGCCCCATTTTGTAATGCAAGTCTCCCGGTGGAGAATGTAAAGGAAGTCAGCTGTTGATGCTGAGTGCCAAGTGTTAGTAGCCTTTCAATGCCAAGAGTACCTTCCTGCCCCCCAACATGTGCACTCTGTTAAGTTCACATAGTCCACAGGCAAATCGTGGCTGCCTGAGCTTCGTTGTTTTTAATGTGACACCCTGGCTTTATCAGTTTTTATCCCAAAGAAGGTGTCTTAGTCCATTTGGGCTATGGCAAAAATGCCACGGACTTGGTGGCCTCAACAACACAGTTCTGGAGGCTGGAAGTCCAAGATCAAGGTACCAGCAGACTCAGTGTCTGGGGAGAACCTGTTTCCTGGCCCACAGATCGCGCCTTCTTGCTGTGTCCTCATGGGGTGGGAGGGCTGAGAGAGCTCTTTGGGGTCTCCTTTACACGGGTACTAATCTCATTCACGAGGGTTCCACGTTCACGACCTAATCACCTCCCAAAGGCCTCACCTTCCAATCACCAACACACTGAGGTTAGGTTTTGATATACGAATTTGCGGGGGCACAAACATTCAGTCTATAGCAGAAGCAGATATTTTATAATTTTTAAGCCCGCTTAGGTACAGAGGCCTGCGTGGTCTCACGCCAATACTGACTACCCGGAGCTCGTTCCTCCACATTGAACATGGACTCTGGCTGGAGGCCTGGCTTGGAGCGTGGCGTGTGCCACCACTACCACATCTTCAGAGAACGTAATTCCATTAGAACCCCCTGTAAGGTCCTCAAATGCCCACTGCCCCCTCAGCCATGCTGTGGCCTTTCCCTGCAAGGTGGTGCTGCTCTGAACTGTTTTACTAGATGGTGATGGGCACAAGGCTGGCACCTACCTGCAGGACAATGGCTGTTGTGTGCTATGTGTTCACCAGGTTTTAGACATTTATCTCCAATCTCTAAAACTCCCCCTTAAAGTGAATATCACCCTTCTTTTCATTTATGGAAGAGGAATCTGAGGCTGGAATGTAGGGCCTGCAGGATAGTGCGGTCTTAAGCCCCAGGCTGAGTGGCCCCCTCAAGACCACATGGCCCTGCTTTCCTCCACTGGTGACTGAGTGAGGCCTGCTGTCACCTGCCAGGGCTGAGGCCTCCTCTTCCACCAGCAACCCTAGGTCTGGGGTCATGTTAGCCTGTGTCTCGGGGCTCTCAGGAGGGCGGGGGCTGCACATTTCTGGAAGGAAATGTCCTAAGCTGGTGCTGGTCTCAGGAGCACTAACCCAGGCTGGCAGATTTGCTTCCTTCCCCCTGGTCACCTAAGCACAGTATTTTTCTATTTGTTATGGGAGTTGTCACATTGCAACTGTACTTTGTTCGTGAGGAGGTGACTGATCTCTGTAGAGTTTTTCATTTCTTGCCTTGCAGGCATTCATTTATCCACAGTTTGTTGCAATCCCCATAGTCATCATGGTCCCGCCTTTCTGCCCACATCTCTTGCACAGCCCCTCCCACCGAGCCTGTCCACCCCAGTCCTGTGCACCCACTCAGATGGGGATGCCCCTCTCCACACCAGGTCCAGCATCTTCCATCAAGCCTTTCCCAGGCGATGGCTGGTGATGTTCCTTCAACAGCCAGGCCCGACAGTGGTTGACTGTCTGGGAGAACCCCAGTCTGTTAGGCCTCCAGGGACTCTGATAGCACTTACCATCTTTTTTGTGCTAATTTTAATGACATGATCCCCTTGGGCAGAACTGTTAAATAAAGGCGCCTCTTCCTCCAGGTCAGATGTTGACTTCTGCTGGGTGCCTGGCTTGAAGTACAGCATATGCCAAATGTCAGCTCTGGGTCTCCCCTCAGCTGGGTGACTTTGTGCAGTGCACAGACTATGCAACTATATATGTCAGCCCTGTAAGCCACTGCTGCTCTTAGGCCTCTGACTTGGGAAAAGATTTGACATTTATACCCCTCAACAGTCACCGCCCTTCCCTGGAGACCCTCAGGACCCATGGCTGTAACAGGAGCTCCCTTGATTGAAGGCCACACCACATATTAGAGTCTGATGTATCCTTGCTTCAGTTATTTAACACGGGTCTTTGCAGCTGGCCACTGCTCGCCCCTGGCCTCACACCTCTTTTCATGCCTGCTGAGACGAGGCCACTGAGGCTTCTTTTTAGTTCATCTCTGAACTGGAATCTCTCTTTAAGGACAGAGGGAAGCTGGCTTTGCATACGAGGGCATCTTGTTGTTCGACCCTTAACTCAGACTTGCCTTTTTTTTTTTTTTTTTTTGACAGTTTCACTCTGCCTCCCAGGCTGGAGTGCAATGGTGCAATCTCAGTTCACTACAACCTCCACCTCCTGGGTTCAGGTGATTCTCCTGCCTCAACCTCCTGAGTAGCTGGGACTACAGGCGCACGCCACCCTCTCCGGCTAATTTTTGTATTTTTTTGTAGTGACGGGGTTTCATCCTGTTGGCCAGGCTGGTCTCGAACTTCCAACCTCAAGTGATCTGCCCACCTTGGCCTCCCAAAGTTCTGGGATTACAGGCGTGAGCCACCGCGCCCGGCCAGACTTGTCTTTTTGCAGTGTTGGCTGCAGGGCATTGCTTGTGGCACTGCCGTTACTAATGCCTGCCAATTACTGAGTGTGCACTGTGGGCCCCACATGGTAATTCATTTAATCCTCCCATCAATCCTTTGGGGAAGGTATTGCCAACCTCTCTTTACATATAAGCAAACTGAGGTTCAGAAATGCCTGGTCGCTTGCCCCAGGGCACCTGACCAGAATCCAACCTCAGGAATCCTGATGTGGAAGGCCAGCTCCTGGCTGCTACATCCCAGCCGCTGCCTTGAGATCCGTCAACATGGAGCCTTTCAGGATGGACATTTTCTTTCTTACAGGATTATTGTGGTAGGAAATTTGAGGGTGAGAAGAAATGTCAGTTAAAAGAGGCACGATGATTGTCACAATGCACTCCATCCAGGAAGAGCTGAATTCAGGTGCCAGCCCTGCCACCTAAAGGCATGTGACTTAGGGCAAGTTACCTGCCCTCTCTCTACCTCAGTGTTTTCATCTGTAAAGTGGGGTTAATAATGTGCCAACCTGATACGGTGGTTGTGAGGAGTAAATGAGAAAATCCGTATCAAGTGCTAAATGCAAGGCATGGCATACAGTGAAGAGTCAGTACTTGATGCTGTTATTATTATTATTATATTTCCCATTGGCATCCCCTCACTGTCTCTTGTTCTAAACAGCCTGTGCGGGCATCCCGTGCCACCCTTTTTTAGTGGGGATTATGGCCGCCTTGCCAGTCTATGTAGGACAGATTCATTGCCCTGAGCTAATGAAAAAGATTCCAGAAAACACCATCATCTCCCATCACGATCACATTTTCAAAGAATGTAATTTCAGCAGAAATCCCTGTAAGGTCCCGAAGTGCCTACTGCCCACCCAGCCATGCTGTGGCTTTTGTCTGCAAACTGTGCTGCTCTGACCTGTTCTACAAAGTGGTGGTCGGAGCAAGCCTGGCAGGGTACCTGCGGTTCTCGGGAAGGAGGCCCTCAAAACCACAAAGCTCCTTCCTCGACTCTGGAAAATGACATCATGAGCATCCCTCCGTCATTATAAATGCATTTTCAACTCAAGGCGCTGCCGCTGAGTAGGGAACGGTTACCACAGATCACCGCTAGAGGGCGCCCAAGCCCGCCTCTTAACCGCTTGGGAGGGGACTCAGGCTTCCAGATCTTGAGAAAAAGTAAATAGACCCCGGGATACAACCTTCCGCACTGATCTATTACGCACATTTTAAAAGCCTGTAACTCTTTGATCTCAGTCTCGCCCTTTAATTGTTAATATTCTGCCCTCAGCGAAAGGCTGGGAAACGGGTTGAGAAACAAAATATGTATGTACGTATGTATATACGCATGTATTTGGAGATGTGGTGTCTCTGTGTTGCCCAGGCTGGCCTTGAACTCCTGGGCTGAAGCATCCTCCAGCCTCAGCCTCCCAGGTAGCTAGGACTACAGGTGCACTTGACACCATGCCCTGCTGATAAACAATTATTAATGACCAATAAGGAATGACTTTGTGTGAGATAAGAAGCTTCTATTAATTCTCTCTGATTCCTACAACAGCCCTGTTAGGGGATATGCTCTTCACTCTTCTTCTTTGACCTTTTCTTTTTTCTTTTCTTTTTTTTTTTTTTTTTTTTTTTTGAGACAGGGTCTCGCTTGGTCACCGAGGCTGGAGTGCTGTGGCCTGATCATAGCTCTTTGAAGTCATTGTAAACTCAGAGAACTGGAGCGAATAGGGAGGGTAGAGAGGACACAATGAACACCCTTTTAGTCATCACCTGGGTTTAACAATTGTTAGCCCTTTGCCATATTTGCAGAGTTTGAGATATGATCCTCAAGGAGAAATCAGAATTCCATTAACTCAAGGCCCTGGGTTCAAGCCAAGGAACAGGATTATAAAATGGCCTAAAAACACAGGCCAGAGAAAGGTGGGTGGGGTGGTGGGCAATGGGAGGGGACCTCCCTCCACACTGAGGAGGGCAATACCTATGGCAACCACTGTTGGGCTAGAAACCCAAGGATGGAACAGGGTCCCAGATGGAAAAGGATCACTCTTGGCCAGAGATTTAAGCAACCTTAATACTGATCCAGGTCAGGTGGTAGAATATTTCAAAAATGAAAAGGTCAAGGCTAGAAGGGCCAGTAGATATTGGTAGGGAGGAAAGGTGCTATGACTAACTTGAAAATTGAACTTTTCCATGTAATATTTTCTTAATTATATGTCTTAGGGATGCAGTATAAACAGGCATATGACAAATGACTAATCAATTTCCAATAATGAATGACTTATTATTTATTGACCAACCGTGTTCTTCCCAGGCATAGTATAGAAACCTGGATGGACAGGAAGACTAGCTTTCTGTTTCTGGAAGGAGAATGAGACTTTTCTTTTATTCTTAAATACATCCAGGAAACATTCCACAATAGCTCATTCCAACGTCTTTCTTTAATGTTAGGAAGGTCTTCCTTAAATCTGACTTCAAGTTCCTGTTGTTCAGTTTACAATTTATATTTTTTTCATTCTTCCACTTTCAAACTTTCTTCAACTTTATATTTAAGGAGTATCTCTTATACACAGTATATAGTTATTTCTTTTTAAATCCATTTTGAAAAAAATTGATCTTTTAATTGGATTCTTCAGTTTGTTTACATTTATTGTAATTACTGGTAATTTTTGCTCAAATCTATCTTACTACTTGTTTTCTATTGATTATTTTTGTTTTAGATTCCTTTTCTTTTCTATCTTGTCTTCTAATTGCTCTTTATTTTACTCCTCTATTAGCTTGTTACATATATGCTAATTTTTTAACCCTAGAGATTCCAACATGCATCCTTGAGTTATTACAATCTAACATAAATTAGGTCTTTTACCATTTCCCGGGAAATTTAAGGAGGTTACACCATTTTAATTTCTTTTCTCCTGCCTTAAGTACTATTATTGCTTTATAAATTCTCTTTCTATTTAAAACTCTACAAAACATTAATATTATTACTATGTACATGGTCAGCACTAATTTAGTATTAATTTAGGTTTATCTACTATAATATTTACACTTTACAGTGTTCTTTATTTCTTCCTGCATTTCCATGCTTCCACTGAGATCATTTTTTTTTTTTGTCTAAAAAACATTTTTTAGTATGTGTGTGCTGGTAACATATTATCTCAGGTTTTGTTGTCTGGAAATATGTTTCGTTCACCTTAGTATTTGAAGAATAGTTTTGGTGGCTGTAAAATGTTGTCAGCTGTTTTCTTCCAGCACTTTGAAGATATGATTTCACGTCTTTTGTCTTCTATTGTTTCTGGTAAAGGTTAGTGTCAGCCTTATTGTTGTCCCTTTGATTGTAATATACTCTCTCCCCAACAACTGGTTTCCTTTTAAGATGTTCTATTCATTTTCAGTTTTCAGCACCCTTACTACAATATGCCTCAATTTCATTTTCTTTATATTTCTCCTGCTTGAAGTTCCTCTTATTGTCAACTCTATGGCTTTGATGTCTTTAATCTGTTTTAAATATCTCTTTAAATATTGTCTTTTCTCCGTTAATTCTTCCTTCTCCTTCTGGGATTCCACCTACGCATATTTTAAACCTTTTTTGCTGCGTCCTATATGTCTCTTACGTTCTTGTCTGTGTTTTCTATCTTTTTTCTCTCCATGCTTCGGTCTGGATATTTTCTTTGATATTCTTGACTAATTCTTAAAGACTATGTCATCTACTGCTAAATCTAGCCATTGAATTTTAATGACAGTTATTGTAGTCATCATTTTTAAAAATACTTGCCAGTTTGGCGCTGAAATTTCCCATCATTTCGTTGAGTTCCTTTAATATTTGAACCGTGGTTATTTAAAGATCCACATCTGGTAACTCCGGTGTCTGGCTGATCTCCTGCGGGCCGGTTTCCATGATCTGGTTGTAGGAGTGTGCCCCTGTGGCTGTGACCCATCCCAGGTTGAGAGGTAGCCGTCCATCCAGGTGCATCAACACACATTTCCACGTGTGCTGTTTCAAGTCATTTCGGCCCATGTTAATTTCTCCTCGTATTATAATCAGGTTGTTTCTTATTGGTTTATATTTTCAAAACATGCCATTTCAATTTAATGAATCTTTGCTGAGGACAACCTTGAAGCTCAAAGTGGTTAAAAGATTTTTCCCAATATCCCTACAGCATTCAGTGACTACAGAGGACTTTCGTTATGTTTTCTGGAGCTCAACATCTCAGAGCCCTTCTGATGTTTGGGAACAGCAGTCCGGGCTAGGACACTCTCAGCACAAGCACATGACCCTCTCCTGTCCAACCACATGCTCCCTCTAGGCTTTGCATCTGGCGGGAGTGATGCAGAGATGTAGGGGAACCCTTGGAATTCGTGCCAATGGCAGTGGTGGTGGAGGCAGTGGCAGGTCCTGCAGTGGCAGCAGCATCCTGCCCACGCCAGACTCACACCCTGTGTGAATTTGGCCACTGTGGTGACCACATAGCCTCCCTTGGTTCTGGCTACTCCCTTTCAATTCTGTGAGTTACTTGATACCCTTCCAATACATTCCTGCTTTGCATAAACTAACCAGAGTGGATTTTTGTTGTTTGCAACCACAAATCAAGACTAACACAGGGAACAAGCAGGTGAGAACTCAAAGGTGCCAGGTGGCTGCTGTACTCTTTGCTGAAAGCTCAGCTGATAGATGAATGTTTCAGACCCAGAAACCCAGTGTGGTTCAGCCTCCTTGCCTGGGAATGTTACAAGGGAATGCTGAACATGCCTCAGTGTACTCACAAAATTGTGTGCAATTTTCCTGGAAAAGTAAAATAATAATTTAGGCCCTTTAGCAGGCTAGAAAGGACTCATTAGGGAGAGAACAATGAGAAACAAATTAGGGAGCGAACGATATGTAGATGTGGATGACACAGATGGAGGCTGGGCCTGTGCCTCGACCTGGCATGGCTGGCCTGGTGAGCTTGGAGCTGTGGCCTGGCACCACAGAGCATGTGGTAGTGTCCACCCCTTCCAGTCAGGCCTCGCCTCCTGGGAGGGTTCTATGGGTCTGCTTTAGTGCCTGCGTTGAGGGTTGGCGCTCACTGGGCAACCAGGCTCTGGGTCCACTCCCTACTGTGACTCTGACCCTCAGCTGCCTTGCACCAGCGTGGCCACCTATACACAGTGCTGAACTCATTGCCTGGAGGATGAGGACTGTAGAAGCCTGGGACGTCATCTTGGGATGCCTCTTCCTTGCTTCTCTACCCAGAACACCTGTTCCAGGAGGGCAGATGCATCTCCAAGAGATGCATCTCTTTCATCTCTTACACTTTGCACGTGGTAGGTTTCAACAAGTGTTCCTTGGCAGTGATATGTGTGGCTGGTTTTTCCTTCTCCTCTTTGCTGACTCTTACCCCCAAACTGCCATGTGCCTGGGCAGACAGATTGAGTACAAAGGTACATGTGGAGTTAGAGTGTTGTTTCCCATCAAAAGTCCTGGGCTTGGGCTGAGAGGGAGAGGAGAAATTTGCCGGTTGATGGGTAAATCTTGTCTTTTTTCTTCTTTTCTTTTTTTTTTTTTTGAGATGGAGTTTCACTCTTGTTGCCCAGGCTGGAGTGCAATGGTGTGATCTCGGCTCACTGCAACCACTGCCTCTTGGGTTCAAGTGATTCTCCTGCCTCAGCCTCCCAAGTAGCTGGGATTACAGGCTTCTGCCACCACACGCAGCTAATTTTTTTTTTTTTTTGTATTTTTAGTAGAGACAGGGTTTCACCATGTTGGCCAGGCAGGTCTTGAACCCCTGACCTCAGGTGATCCACACTCCTTGGCCTCCCAAAGTGCTGGTATTACAGGTGTAAGCCACCACGCCCAGCCACCGTTTTTTGTTTGTTTGTTTGTTTGTTTTTTGTTTTTTTTTAGAAGGCCAATTCCTGGCTTGAAGCTTTCACATACATGTCAGCTGCAGTCCACTGATGACCTATAGGTTGAAGTCGCCCTTGTAGGATGCTCGCATATATTTCTACCCATGTCTAGGGTGTGTTTGCCCCACATATGCAAGCTGCAGTTGCTTTCCCACCTGCACCCCAGGATTGACATAAGCCTGGGCTTCTCCTTCAGCTTTTCCATTCAAGTACTTTAATACCACAGGAAAGTGCACATAAGCCAACATTAGCCTCCTCACTGGGCTCCCCGCCTACTCTCTTGCCCAGGCTGCTATTTAAAGCATAAATCAGGTCAAATAACTGCCTTGATGAAAGCCCTCCCAAGGCTTCCCATCGCACTGGGGCTCTTCCTACCATTCTCTGCTCTTTCTTGCCTTTCACTTCCTTGCTCCCAACACTCTAAGCGCACTGGTCTCCTTCCTACCCTTGGAACATCCCAGACCTCAGGACCTTTGCACTTGATTTTCTCTTCCACCCTCAGCCCATTCTATCTCTTGCTCCTTCTTGTCATTCAGGTCTCAACTAAAATGTCCCTCCCTGTCTACCCCATTTAGTTTAGCAGTCCCTTCTTCCAATTTGCTCACTTTTTTTTCTTTTCTTTCTTTTTTTTTTTTTTTGAGATGGAGTCTGGCTCTGTCACCCAGGCTGGAGTGCAGTGGCACCATCTTGACTAACTGCAACCCCTGCCTTCTGGGTTAAAGTGATTCTCCTGCCTCAGCTTCTGGAGTAGCTGGGATTACAGGGGCGCACCACCATGCCCAGCTAATTTTTGTATTTCTAGTAGAGATGGGGCTTCCACATGTTGGACAGCCTAGTTTCGAACTTCTGGCCTCAAGTGATCTGCCCACCTTGGCCTCCCAAAGTGCTGGGATTACAGGCGTGAGCCACCATGCCTGGCCACTTTTATCTTCTTTACATTTATCCCTTCCTAAAATTATCTTACTCATTTATTTGCTTACCTAGAACCATGTCTTGTGCATAGCAGTTGTTTGATGAAAGTTTTGCTGAATAAATACATGAAGACATGAACTAGTGGGAAATATTTTTAATGTCCATAGGAGTGTTTGAAAAAAATTAATGTGAATTTAGCATATGTTCAGTGAATTGATTGTCAAATGCAAGAATACATTCATTGCTGAATAAGTGACTGAGTAGGTGGATGAAAAGGTGATGCTTGCAGAGAAAAGCATCCTTTTTATCTGGTAGTATCTTGCACCTCCTGGCACAACGTCAGGTACACAAGCTCCAGAAACACATCATCCTGTGAATTCAAAGGGAACGTGCTGCTCTGTTGGTTTCTCTCCTCCTTATGGAAAAAGCAGAACTTCACTGGAATCACATAGTGTTCTTAAAGTCTAAAGAAGCAGGGCTTTCAAATTGTTTTCTCCTCGGGATCTCACACCTCTCTGTTAGTTCAGACAGCTGATGACTGGCTGGGGTATGACCCTTGGCATCACCACTTGAGGCTTCCCACAGAACAGGGGGAACGGGGAACAGAGTTTCCATTCCTGCAAGAGCATTTCTTGGCTCAATTCCTCCCTCGCTTCCTGCGTGAGCAAGTCTGCAGGAGACCTCTTAATGACCTCTGCCTCAGCAGATTTTCCAGCCACCTCTTGGATCACTTTCAAGAAAGCGACACTTTCCAGCTGATTCCCCTCTTCCACCCAATATCCTTTGAGCAGTACCTCCTCCCCTGGGTGTGTGCTCAAGAAATCTCTACCCACAGATTCTTGACATGAAGTTAAACAGATGCAGAAAGGGAAAGTGCTGGGAGAGAAATCACAGTGTGTCTCCTCAATCATCTGGAAGTGCCTCTCTCCTTTCAGTTAGGTGAAATCTTCCTCAATTTATAACTGCTTGTTTATAGATTTTTCTATCTCCTTGGGAGATAATTCTGCAATTCTGTAATCTGCAATCCCAACTCTGCCATTCTCCATAGCAGGGCACTCATGGTCTTTGTTCTGACAAGTTTTCAAGGATGTTTGTATAGCGACACAAAGCAGATTTCTTTACTGACCAGTATGATAAAGTCTCCTTCTGCAGCAGTTAGGCAAGTTTGCTTGCAGCCCCCTTATAAGATTGGAGGTTCCCTAAGCACAGGGCCCCTGAGCTGTGAAAAAGATCCACTCTGTGCACACCACATCTGCCCCGCCACCATGAACTTTGAGGGGCAAAAGAATCTGATGCAAACGGTAAGCTCATGCTTCCTGCTCTGTGGCAACAGTCTATGGTCTCTGACCCAGGAGTCTTGTGTCTTCCACTGACATGCATGAAACCGTGGCAGGCTAACTCATTCGCTGAAAAGCAGGGTCAAATCTCAGACCCTTCACAGTTCTTGAGACCCCTCTGGTCTATACTCTATAAATTCACTCTGAGTATGTATTTCTAGTATGTATTATACATTAAACTTGTACAGAATTTCAAGTAAGTGTGTTTTGCCCCGCAAAGGCAGGCAGGTTTGCACCTTGCAAATTATCTAATACATATGGGGCACGTGGCAAGTACCTCACAACTTCTTGTGGACAGGTCTTACTCTGGGTGGCCTGTGGTTGGAGATGTGTCTCTACCATGTCCTTCAAAGCCACCACGTTGACTCCATGGTGATGTATCTCCCAGTTCACAGGGGTCTATGCAGTTCCCCTTTGGCCATCTCCTCCATATCCCACTGCTCAAGAGGGCTGCTAACAGGAACAGACCCAGATGATTCCACTGGGAGCCCTGGGGCACGAGTCAATGGGGCTGATGCTGAGACATGAAGTGCTAGAGAGAAAACATCAAATCCCAACACCTAACAAAGGACTAAGTGTCCAGGGTCTGGGAGGCTGCTCTCCCTGGGAAACAGAAGCTCACTGCCCTAGCTATCAGGAACAGGGGACCTGACATCTAGGCCGCATCTGGATCAATTTCAGGCTTACTCTTGGCAAGAAACACGGGGCTGCTGTGACACAGAAGTGAACCAACACAAGGAAGCCACCAAACCCTCTCTGCATCGGGATTTGGCAGCTTTTCTTTCCCTTTCATTTTGTTATACTGTTGGATACTATAGACAGAAGAGGCAAGATTCATGATTCTGTTAACAAAACCCCCAAAACTGCTACTAAACGTGACTCATGGACACCGGGAGAGCCAGGCTGGAGAAGGGGAAGGGCCTCGGGGCTGGAGCCAGAGGTTCCTGAGTCTGGGTCTTGGCTCCGCCACTGTCAGCAGAAGGCCCCATTTCCCCACCTGAGCAAACGGCCCATCGTAACAATAACACTGGTCCTGGGTCCACCATGGCCATACGGGAAGAGTGTATGAGAGCACTCAGAATTGCAGGTGGCTCAGGTGAGGCGAGGGGGGCGAATATCACTCCTCAGGGGGACGCCAGGGGATGTGGATGAAAATCCTTCCCTTCCCTGAAAATCCTTCCCTCCCCTGAAAATCCTTCCCTCCAAAGGAGAGCCCTTTTACAGCTGCCGGAACAGCAGCCATGCTTCTTGGCTGGGAGTCAGAGTGATATTAATAGTGAAAGCAACAAGTTAGCAGGTGTGTGTGAGGGGCCAGATGTTTCACACGTGTAGAATGCTATTTCTAATCCTGAATCATTCTGAAGTTTATAATATTTATGACAACACTAACCTATTCTAATATTTCAAATGAGGAAACTGGTGCTTAAGAAATTTGCAATGCCTGTCTGAGGTCACGCAGCGAGCTTAGAGCTCACCCAGGTATGTGTGACTAGAGACTGTAAAGGGGGACCCGTGGTCCTAGATTGGTTCTGCGGCTGCACAGAATGACACACAAAGGAAGGACAGGTATCCCCTCCTTGAAAGGCGCACTCCTAGCTTTGGTACCGCAGTTGGTAAGGTGGAGAGTCCTTTTCCATGGGTTGTCTATTTATGCATATTTCCATATTCTAGGGGAAGACAGTGAGGCTCAAGGAACTGTGGCAGCCCTAGAGCCTGCAGAGAGATGCAGAGGGGGACAA
Source organism: Homo sapiens (assembly GCF_000001405.40). NCBI lineage: Eukaryota > Metazoa > Chordata > Mammalia > Primates > Hominidae > Homo > Homo sapiens. Next base: position 26,921,677 of record NC_000013.11, on the reverse strand, counting down.
AGCATGTCTTCCCCGGAGGGGGTGCTGCCAAGGAAAGGTGCCTGTTGCAGCCATAAAAATGAGTTCATGTCCTTTGCAGGGACATGGATGAAGCTGGAAACTATCATCCTCAGCAAACTAACGCAGGAACAGAAAACCAAACACCGCATGTTCTCACTCATAAGTGGAAGTTGAACAATGAGAACGCATGGACACAGGGAGGGGAACATCACACACCGAGGCCTGTCAGAGGGTAAGGGGGCAAGAGGAGGGAGAACATTAGGACAAATACCTAATGCATGTGGCGCGTAAAACCTGGAAGACGGGTTGATGGGTGCAGCAAACCACCATTGTTACGTGTATACCTACGAAACAAACCTGCACATTCTGCACATGTATCCCAGAACTTAAAGTATAATTAAAAAAAAAAAGAAGAAGAAGAAAGGTGACTGGAGGTGTTTCTGCTCACATAGGTGGGAGGGCAGTGGAGCTGCGGATGCTGGCAGGTGGCAGGCGCAGTGCCCGGGGATGACTGACTTTCACCCTGTGACTTTAGCAATGGCATTGTTTTGCCAAGTGTGTCCTGTGGCCCAGGCCGTCTGGGCCCTGCCTCTCTCCCTCCAGCGTGGGCCTGGACCAGTGGGGCATCGCTGCCTGTTGCTTGGGCTCCTTGACATAGCAAGTCTAGAGTCCAGCCTCTGGGAAGCCTGGGGGCCTGGGAGTGTCCTGCAATAGGACCCCAGAAGCGTCAACCTCTGACACAGTCTCTTTCATTCCTTAGGAAGCATGAGACTTGCCCTTGGCCCACAGAAAAGCCCAGGAGATATCCGAGGGCCACCCTGATGGCTGGGCAGCTTGGCCCATTGGCTTTCAGAGCCCACAGTGGCCGGCATGGTCGGCACTCGGGGGGCCAATGCATTTAGACAGCAGCTGGGTGCTGCCAGCATCCCTGGGCTTGCAGAAGGCTCCAGCAGGACACCCCTTCTGTCACCATGGGCAGCTCCCTTACCTCCTCTAAGCAGAATCTGACATGAAGCTAATGCCGTCTAGCCCAGAAGACTAAAGGAGTTAAACCCCTAACATTCGTTGCATGCCCGCCACACATCGGGACCATCAGGACCAGGAAAGTGTGTTTTATGCATTCTTTAGTATGTTCTTATTTTCATTTTACAGACAGAGCCCCGGGTTTGAGAGGTTACCTGGCCTGGCTCTGCCCTTGCCTGAAGTCACCTACCTAGACAGCAGAGCAGCGGGGACTCCAGGCCAGCCTCCGGCCGTAGAGCCTGAGCATTTGGTCGGCCACCCAGATGGCTCCAGGGGCCTGTTCATTTATTTATTCATTCCAGAATGGCTTAAGAGGAGGGGAACCTGACCTGCTGCTAGACAAAGACCATGCCCTGACGGAGCTCTCCTGGGTCTTTGAGGGATGTGGCCTTCTCTGCTAAGTGCCTGGCTTTCTCCTGCCTCTCAAAAACCATTTCAAAAACTTCTGCTGGGAGCCAACCGAGGGCAAGGGGCTTAAGAGATATATCCTTCAGCCAAGGGATGACTTCATTTTGCAGCAAAATGTTAAGCAGCAGAGCCAGAAGAAGAATATAGATGCTGAACATACAATCTTTTCCTGAGCTGGGGCTGGCTATCCTATGAGAGCTGGACCAGCTTCCTGGGTATTGGCTGGGGGCTCACTCCTCCCTCCTCTGCAGAGTGTGAGGAGGACAAGTTACCTCACAGGACACAGGGGCCATGTCTGGGGAGTAGACCAGCAGGACACATGCTCCTCTGTAGAGAAGGGGCCTCCAGGACACAGTGTGGCATCGTTCAGCCTCCAGAGAGCAATAGCATTGGACTCATCCCCCGGGGCAGCTCCAAATGATTGGCAGTAGTTGGCTGGAGCCCTGAGCTCAGGGGGCCACTCCTGGATGGGGATAGTTTAGTCTTGTCTGCAGTGGGCAGGGTAGGGAGGCCAGTGGTACGTGGGCTGTTTCTGGGGCTGAACTGAATCTGAATGGCTAAGATGCAGGTTTCACTGCATGACTGAGACTCAGCCTAACAGTGGCTTAAACCAGGGAGAAGTGTATTACCCTCTCTCAGAAAAAACCTAGCTGGGTTCATGACCCTGCTGTGGAGTCATCGGGGCCCGGGTGCCATCAATCTTGCTGCCCTGCCTTTGCGGTCATTGCCCTCCACAGAATGGTCTGACTCAGCTCCAGGGTCCTGGTGCGAAGCTATGCTGTGCCTCAGAAGGAAAGCAGGTCTTGGTGGTAGACCACGATTCTGATGTTAATAGCTCAGGAAAGACGATCAGCTGGTACTAGTAGTTCCAGAATAGTTTGCTTAATCAGATACGTGTACAGATGAAGAGTCTGATGAGAGAAATCAGAATGTTTTCTGGTGCCTCAGGCAGCAAAGTAGTGAAAGGTGAAATAGCAGCTGTGGATCAAATGCAATTTAATTCACTTTAAGGTCATCCAGCTGGAGCTGGAGGTTAAATGGAGGGAATACACTCTGGTATCAAGGATCTGAATAGATAGCTCCAAAGCTCAATTAGCCAGAAATTTTGGTTCTGCTCCTAACTTCCATCAGGAGAGGTGACAGTGGAGAGTACAACAAGTGCTTTGGAGTCTCACAGGCCTAGTTTTACATTCTGGTTGTGCGATTTGATACCCATTTGGGCAAATGGCGGAATACTTGCTCTCTTTCATCTCATGTTCCCTGCAGATCTGTGGGAGGATTCAACGAAATTCAAGTGCCTGTTCTCACTTGGCATAAAGTAAGTGTTCAACTAATAACCGCTGTTATTTCAGCAGAGGAGATAACTCATATTCAAGAGCCTACAGTGGGTTTTGGGCTCTTAAAAAGATATTCAAGGAGCCCATGTGAATACTTTCTGATTCCAAGGAAAATTTACTTGTTTTTAGAAATTTGGTAGTATATAGTTGCTATTTTCACCATTTAAAAAATTAAGATTTATAAATAAGCATGTGAAAAGATTTTCAACATCACTGGTCATTAGGAAGATGCAAATTAAAACCACAACGAGATAGCACTGCACACTTATCAGAATGGTTAAAATAAAAAATAGCGACAAAACCAAATACTGGTGAGGATGCTGAGAGACTGGATCTCTCATATGTAGCTAGTGGGGACGTAAAATGGCATTCATTCTGGAAACAGTTTGGTAGTGTCTTTTAAAACTAAAAATGGGACTTACCATATGACCCAGCAATTGCATTCTTGGGCATTTATTTCAGAGAAATAAAAACTTATGTGATGAATAACAGGGACACAGACATTCATAGCAGTAGCTTTATTCCTAATAGCTGAAAACTGGAAACTACCTAGATGTCCTTCAACAGGGAGCAATTAATCTCCCTGTGGCATATCCACACTGTGGAAAGAACTACTGATGCACAAAACAGCCTGGATGAATCTCCAGGGAATTACACTCAGTGAAAACAGCTAATCTAAGAAGGTTACATATGCTATGATTCCATTGATATAACCTGCTTGAAATAACAAAAATGCAGAGATAGAGAACAGATTAGTAGTAGCCAGAGGTTAGGGAGGGAGAAGAAGGAGCAGCTGTAAAGGGGTGACAGGACGGAGCCTTGTGGGGATTGAGTAGTGCTGTGTCTTGATTGGGTGGTGGTTACATTAAGCTACACATGTGATACGATTGCATAGAATTATACATCCTTCACACACACTAATACAGGCGTGTATAACTGGAGAAATCTGCATAACCTCTGCATTGTACCAATGTTAATTTCCTGGTTTTTATATTATGTTTTGTATTTCCTGTAATAAAGTAGTGCTAGATGTTAACTTTGGGAGAGGGTACATGGGACTTCTCTGTATATTTTGTTCAGTTTCCTGTGAATCTATAATTATTTCAAAATAAAAAAGTTAGAAGATATCTTAAAGTTTCAGAAAGTAAGGAAGTGCTAAAAAGCAAAATAAACCTACATTGATGGGAATTTATCAAAGCGACACAGGAACCAACTGAAAGAACTCCCATCGGCCAAATCTGGAACAATTTGAACAACAAAATAAATTAAATGGTATCGGATTATGACCCAGCATATAAGATAAGCATCCAAGAATCCACACTAATATAAATACATGATTGAATAAATAAACAGGAGAGAAGAGATGATCTCCCTTGAAGAATTCTAAATAATTGAAGTAGATCCTTCACCCTAAATGGGATGACCATAACTCCCCACTCCTTAAGTCACTATGCATAGTGACTTCCTTCCAAAGAGTACAGAATAGAAGGGGCAAGAAAAAAGGGTAACTTTACAGTGGAAAAACCAGTCTGACACCACTTCCTATGAGTTGGATGTATGTGTTCCTCTGAAATTCTTATGTTGGAACTTAAACTCGAAGGTGATGTTATTAAGAGGTAGGCCTTTTAGGAAGGGTCATGAGGGCTCTGCCCTCTTGAGTGGATTAGTATTCTTATAAAAGAGGTTTAGGGGCATGCCATAGTGCCTTTTGCCCTTCTGCCTTCTGCCATGAGAGGACACAGCAACAGGCACCATCTTGGAAGCCGAGCGCAGCCCTCACCAGACACTGAATCAGTTGCCTCCTTGATCTTGGACTTCTCAGCCTCCAGAACCATAAAGCATATATTTCTGTTCTTATAAATTACTCAGTCTAAGGTGTTTTTTTTTGTTTTTTTTTTTTTTTGCTTTTTTTTTTTTTTTTTTTGAGATGGAGTTTTGCTTTTGTTGCCCAGGCTGGGGTGCAATGGCATGATTTCGGCTCACCACAACCTCCGCCTCCTGGGTTCAAGCGATTCTCCTGCCTCAGCCTCCTGAGTAGCTGGGATTACAGGCCTGAGCCACCACGCCCGGCTAGTTTTGCATTTTTAGTAGAGACAGGGTTTCTCCATGTTGGTCAGGCCGGTCTTGAACTCCCGACCCCAGGTGATCTGCCCGCCTCGGCCTCCCAAAGTGCTGGGATTACAGGCATGAGCCACTGTGCCCAGCCATCTAAGGTATTTTTAATAGCAGCACAAATGGACTAAGATACTACCTCAGCCAGGTGATCAAGGTCAATATTAATAAAGATAAATCATGCATCTACTCTTAGTATGATGTGATGAGGATGGTACTTTATCTTTGTGGTTTTCATCTCCCAAGCCCATAACCCCAGTCTAATCACAACAGAAATCAGACAAATTCTAATAGAGGGATGTCTTACAAAACACTGACCGGTACTCCTCAAGACTCTCAAAGTCATCAAAAACGAGGAAAGGTTGAGAAACTGTCACAGCCCAGAGGAGCCTAAGGAGACATAATGACTAAATGTAATGTAGGATTTTGTCTGAGGTCCCGGAACAGAAGGACATTAGGAAAAAAAAACAAAGAAATCTGAATAAACTATGGGCTTTCGTTAATAATGTATCAATATTGGTTCGTTAATTGTAACAGATGTACCACACCAGTGTAAGATGTTAATAATAGGGCAAACTGTGGGTGGGGTACATGGGAACTCTCTGTACTAGCTTCTCAATTTTTTTGGTAAACCTAAAACTGTTCTAAAAAAATGTATTTTTCCAAATAAAAGTTAAAAGAAATGGAAGATTTGATATATTATTTTTAGCAACCACTGTAAGCCAGGCACTTTCATAAGTATGTTTAAGGTCAAAATCACCCTAATGGTGGCTGTGTTATTATTAACTGTGTTTCACAGAACACAGACTTGTGTACCCTGGAGCTGAGACAGGTCAGTTTCCTAGGGTGCCCCCTTGGGAAGTAGCTAAGCTGGAGTGTGTGCTCATGTCTTCTGACTCTATTCTGTGGTTCTTCCCATGATGGCATGGTATTGAGTGATGGCAGTGAGACTCACTTCACCAGAAGCTTCTACTAACCAGAGCTCCCCATTCCACAACCATTCATATCTTGCTGTCTCCAGAGGACTCAGCATAATTCCCTGAACTTTACATAGGTGAGCTCTTATTTTCACAACCATCCAGGAAGGTAGGAATTGTTGGCTCCATGTTAGAGGTGAAGAATCTGAGACTCAGTAACCTTCTCAAGGCCACTGAGCTAGTAGTAAGTCAGGATTCAAGTGCGAAGCTTGTGCTCTCCCACCATGTCATGCTGTCCCCTTGTGTGACCAGCATGAGCCCGTTGAGGAATTTCACTCAATCCCAGATATAGCCAGCTTTCCTTGGTCTTTTTGCTGACTTCTCTTCACTTTGTGGGAATGATTAGTGACTAAGAATTCAGCTTATTTAGTGAGGAAAGTCTTTGAAACATTTTCATAAAGAGAATAGGGAGAGGAAGTCACAGGGCACGTAATAGAATCTGCATTATAAACCAAGTTGGCAAAATAAATGACACGTCAATCCCACTGTCCCCACTTCTGCTCCCATGGCAGACATAACTAATAATCCTGAGCTCTTGGCTGGACCCAGCCTGACAATGGCTCTCAATGGGATCCCCAGGCAGCCATCACTCAGTCTCAAAGCTGACTTGAAGACTAAACCCGTCTGCCTTCCCAGCTATGGACACAACAACACTTTTATACTTATATCTTCAACATCTTGAGAAACAGAATGAGAGTGTGCACAGGGTAGTTATTTCATTTGCGGCTAATGCTACAGTCACAACACAAAGTTATTTCTCCAGCCTTTTATTAGGATGCACAGCCACAGCCATATTCTTGATGGGATATGCCCAAGCTCTGTGAGGGAGAAACAATGTAAAGCTGCTGCATGTCTGGGCACGCCCCTGTGCCAACCCTGGGCAAAACCACATGACAGAATGACAGCAGGCTTTTGTAGGCCAGCCGGCCACGGGAAGTGACATCACAGCTTATCCTTGGGAGAAGACTGTGGCAGTCGCGTGAAATGATGCCTGCAGGATGAGGCTTTACGTTTAGCTCCAGACTGTGTATGAGATCCAGTAACAACAATAGCAATAACAACAGCGGCAGATGGCAATAACCACAAAAGCCACAGGCTCAGGGCAAGTTAGAAAATGACCTTGTGATCCCTGGTGTGCTTGCTTACCACATCAGGCCCAGAGAATCAATACTGTGAAGAAGCCCAGGGTGTTAATCACAGACGCATTATTCTGAAATATGAAGCCAAATTGTCTGAGACTAATATTTGTGGGAATTTGCCAACTCTGATAAAAGCTTTAAAAAAATCACTAGGTCATAGCATGTCTATGTGGGTCACAAATTGTACATTAGCTTAACTTGTATTTAACATTTTAGTTAAATGTTACCTTTTTTTTTTTTTTTTTTGGCCTTCATAGCCTAGTTTTCTCCTGTGGTTCCCACATCTCAATATTGAGAGACCACATGGTCCTACATGAACATAAACACAGAGACACCCGCTTTGGTGTGTGAGTGACTGTGAGGGTATTTCCCACATAGGTAAGGATGGAGTGATGTTTTGAACCGTAATGCCCCTCTCTCCTTTCATTCTTAAAGATGTCACTTGCTCCTCTGCCACATTCCTGTTTCCCTGTGAGTCAAAGAAGGGGCAGTCACCCCCACGCCACCACATACACAGGGCTTCTGGGGCAGAAGAGGCCTCTGTGGGATCCTCTTGACCAGCTGGAGAAAGAAAGACACATGTGGATCGGGAAAACCCCTACCTTCTCCACTCTCTTCTATGGGAAGACTTGGTCCTTTTGCGTCTTAGTCTGTTCGGGCTGCTATAATAAAAAAGATCTTAGACTGGGTGGCGTAAACGACAGAAATTTATTGCTCAGTTCTGGAGCCTGAGAAGTTCAAGATCAAGGTGCCGGCAGATTGAGAGTCTGGTGAGAGCCTGCTTTCTGACTGATAGAAGAATTTGGTAAAGCTTTGCCTTGGGCCACAACAGAGACTGTTGGCATTGTATTTTTACAATCCAGACTCGTCTGCCTTAGGCTTGGGCACCAATTTCTGTTTCACTTATTCATCTTCTCACTGTGTCCTCATGTGGCAGAAGGGGCAACGGAGCTATCTAGAGTCTTTCTTACCGGGACGGCACTAATCCCAAGCATGCGGGTTCTACCTTTATGACTTGATCACCTCCCAAAGGGTCCACCTCTCAACACCATCACCTCGTGGGGTCAAGATTTCAACATATGAATTCTGGAGGGACCCAGATATTCAAATCAAAGCAACCTGGAATTGAAAAACTTTCCCTGACAGATTGGGGTAAGTTCTGGGGATGGTAGGCTGAGAAAGGCCCAGCTCACCTTTGATGCTGGGGGTTTAGTGAAGAGTCCGGGAACCTAGTGGTACAGGGCATCAGCTCCTGAGCTGCACTGTCCCTCTGGGTTTCCAGACTGGGATGCATGACAGGCTTCATGGAGTGTGCTTTCATGGCCTCCATACTTTCCAAAGATCTGATGAGGCCAGTTTGTTGCCACCCTATTCAAAGCATCTGTTAGGTAAAGCTTTGCATTGGGCCACAACAGAGACTGTTCACATTACATTTTTATAATCCAGACTTGGCTGCCTTAGGCATGGGCACCAATTTCTGATTCATTTATTAATTCAACAGATATTTATTGAGTACCTACTATGTGCTAAGTACTGGAGCTTCACCAACAGGTAAGAGGCACTGTCCTGCCCTCACAGAGCTTGGTGGCCCATTCGTTGCAGTCAGGGGAGCAGAACTCATTTTGATTGACACACGGCGCATGCCATAACAGCTTGGAGTAGAAAAACCACCTGTGGTCACATTCCTTGAAGGAGGCCATGGGCCAGGTAAGGGTTTACGGCTTCATGAGCATCTTTCCTATACATTAGCAAGAAGCACTTCCTGCTCTTCTCTGCACCAACTCCAGAAAGCCAGGGTGCAGTGGTGATGTGGTGGGCTTTGGGGTCAGACAGCCTTGGCCCTATCCAGCTCCACCCCTTTTTATCACGGTGCCCTTGGACAAGTCGCCTGACCTCGTTAAACCTCAGTTTCCTTGTCTGAAAAATGGAGGTGATGATTACAGCTGTGAAATAATGTTGAGGGGGCCAAGCACAGTGGTCCACACCTGTAATCCCAGCACTTTGCAAGGCTGAGGCAGGATGATTGCTTGAGCCCAGGAGTTCAAGACTAGTCTGGGCAACATAGTGAGATCCTGTCTCTAAAAAAAAAAAAAAAAAAAAAAAATAGCCGAGTGTGGTGGCCAGCCTGGGTGATAGAGTGAGATCCCATATCTAAAAACAAAGACAAAAATGGTGTTGAGGGTTAAATGAATTAATAAAGCCACTAACAGTAATAAGAGCTCTATAAATATTGGCTGTTACTGCTATAGTCAAATGGGCAAATGCCCAGTGCTAACCCATTCCCGGACATGGACCATAGAAGCAGGGCAGGCAGTATCCACGGAATGAAGCAGAAGGATGCAGGAACAGTTTCCCTCCATAAAACAATGCAGGGCTCAGCGTGTCTTCTTGCCCTCTCCTATAGGCTGCTGATGCTGCCATGAGACCAACAGCCCCAGAATCCTGATAGTGTAATAGTTACAGCCTTGGAGACAGCAGCGTGTTCAGACAGCAGGAGAACACACAGGACCATGGCTCATTTGCACGGCCCGGGCACACCTGCCAGCAGGAGATGTTTGCACCTAAATGCATAGCAACAAGCAACAGGACCTTGGGGGTTATGTTATTAGAAGAAAACTCTTAATGAACAGATATTTATTAATACTGGGGTTTTATTTCTGGATACGGAAATAGAAATAATCACATTAGTGTTTTACACAGCAGGTGCAAACAATTCTTTTTTTTTTTGAGACGGAGTCTTCCTCTGTTGCCCAGGCTGGAGTGCAGTGGGTGCGATCTTGGCTCACTGCAACCTCTGCCTCCTGGGTTCAAGCGATTCTCCTGCCTCAGCCTCCCAAGTACCTGGGATTACAGGCACGCGCCACCACACCTGGCTAATTTTTGTATTTTTAGTACAGATGGGGTTTCACCATGTTGGCCAAGCTAGTCTCAAACTTCTGTCCTCAAGTGATCTGACCACCTTGGCCTCCAAAAGTGCTGGGATTACAGGCGTGAGCCACCGCGCCCGGCCTCTGCTCATTTTTATCCTATGGAAACACATGACCCACGTGCAAAATGAACACAATTCCCAAATCATCTTGCTGCCTCTGCTTTTGGGATTATCTTCCCTGGACACACTGTGGCAGGCATAGGTTTGACCTTCACACCATGGCAAACGATCCCACACCTTATAGGGCATTGTCTGCCGAAAGGATGAAGGTGGTGCATTTTGTTTCACCCTGGTGAGTTACGGTTTGCCATTTGCTTTTTTCTGTGCTATGCACACCTGCTAGTGTGTTTGCAGTCCTCCAGTTGGCTCTGTGCTGGGACCCTGGGCCCTCAATTCGGTTCAGGGTTCCCAGGACGTTCACAGGGCAGCCACCTCTCTCCCTCACCACTCGCTGCAGGGCTGAGCAGGCAGCATCGCGCTCCCCAACAGGCTTTCTCAGTCCACAGCACTCACCATGGCCCCTGGCACACGGAGGATGAAGGCAGCCACGTCCCTGTCAGGGTCATCTGTGAGAAGGGAAGGGCTAGCATGGAAGCTGAGACCAAACATGGATTATGGAAGAACTGGGCCTCTTTCTGCTAGCTGTTTCCCGCCTGTACTATTTCCAAAGCTGGCAAACACAAAAGCACAGTGTGTGAAGTTCAAATCTGTTTCTGCATTGTTAGATCAAGCCTGGGAAGCCGACAGATGAGAGTGCTATTTTGAGATGCAAGATCAGGCTGAAGAGAAGAGGCAGAGTCGGAACATCCCCAGGTTTGGGTCCTCTTGGACGGAGCCTCCTCCACAGCTGTATTTGTCCCCAGGCAGGAGAGTAGTCACAGCTTCAGGGACCACTCCCTACCATGCCCTGCTGTGACCCCATGCCTCGGAGTAGACTTCTCTATTGGAAGTGCAGGCTGCTCTATCAAGCACCAGACAAGTGCTCCTGGGCTCTGGGATAGATGAAAGCTGATGTCAGCCATTTATTTGTATGGAAGTGAGTCCTGGGCTGTAGAGAGGAGACCTGGAGCAGCAAGGAGAACTAATGAAAGACTAGACTTGGCAGTGGGGCCCAGTGTTCAAATCAGCCCCCAGGTGACTGCAGCAAGGGCTCCTCCAGGGCTGCCCACGCTGGTCACAGAGCACTGTTGGTTCCCTGGTGGGCATCTTCCCTCTGTCTTGGTTACAGGAGCTCTTGAAGCTTTCACACATGCTTACCGGATGGTAGCTGGGTTTGTGCCATGCTAGTGATGGGCACGAGGAAACTGCTCAAATGTATAGTGTTAAATATGCACATGCTGGAGGCTGGAGACCTCTCAGGGATGGAACTTTCTTTTTTTCTTATTTTTTTTTTAAGAGACAGAGTCTCACTCTCTTGTCCAGGCTGGAGTACAGTGGTGAGATCATAGCTCAGTGCAGCCTCAACCTTCTGGGCTCAAGTGATTCCCCCACATAGCTGGGACTACAGGTGCAAGCCACCACACTCTGCTAATTTTTATTTTTTTTATGTCTCCAGAGACAGGGGTCTCACTATGTTCCTCAGGCTGGTCTTGAGCTCCTGGCCTCAAGCAATCCTCCTGCCTCTGCCTCCCAAAGTGCTGGGATTGTAGGTGTGAGCCACTGCTCCCGGCCAGGGGATGTGACTTTCTTCTGCACAAGTCAATTAATAAACTTTGCACATGAAGCTAAATAGCATTTATTGACCTGCAAAGTCACTGCCTGTGCTTGACAACTGTATTCAAGATGCTGAGGGCAATCTAGGCTGCTAATGTGACAGGCTCAGATAATTTTGAAAGCTGTTTCTTTCTTGTGCACTGATCCACGGCCCCAAACTGTGGAATGGCTTCAAAAATGGCCCCAGCAGAGCCCTTCCCTCCCACTAAACATAGAGACCCATTCTTCATTGATTTGTATGTGTCTACAAGTACAAAACAGCACTGATTCCTTCTTGGTATTAAAAAGGTCACCTCAGCGTGGTTTCGGAGGAGGGAGTACCCAGGTAGTAAATAAGGTCTTTCATCACAGATAACGCATAATGAATGTTATTCAGTGCTAAAATGATGGCAATTCTTCACCTGTCAGATGAAAAGGGCACAGAAAAGAGGGGTTTAAAAATAGCAGCAGCTCACAGAGTGTGATGGTGGCGGCTGGGAGGCTGCGAACCACTGTCTGGCAGGGAGGCCACGGGGGTGACCTTCACCTGGAGAAAAATTTCATGAACTCCTTGGCTAGGAATGTCATCCACTAGGATTGAAGAACCCAGGCAGGGCTTCTCCCTGGGACCATGACCTTGGGACAAGGTCTTACTCCCTCACTTCCCTTTGGAACCTGGGTTTTCAGCCCATCTTCATGCAATTCCTTCCACATTGAAGACATACACAGAGAAGGCTTCCCCACACACAGCACTGTGGAGGTCTCTGGGTTTCTGCTTCCCACAAGCTCATTCAGGGACCGCCTATAGAATAAAGGGGCTAGAGAGAGGTGTTGAGAGGGAGGATTGTGGGAAGAACACAGGCTTCGGAGTCCCCTGACCCTGAATGTACTGGGCAGCTACCCTGGCCTCTCAGGGCTTCAGTTCTGCTGTGTGTACTCCGAGGACATGAATACATCCTCCACAGGGACTTAATGACATAAGTCACCTCAATAGAGGATCTCAGTAAAGACAAGTTCTTCCCCTTCTAGTTTCACCATTCTGGCTGTGGTGCTCTTGACTTCCTACCTCTGCCTCTGTTCTTATATCTCCACCTAAACTTACATTCCTTATTCATTTCTGTTTTTTAGTGCCTCTCTACCTTAGACAAATGTCAGCTCCCAAGGGCTGTGACTACTCCTCTTGTTCCTCACTCTTACTCAGTGCCTGCAAATTGCTCACTATTTATTGAATAATCTGGTCCTTTCTAAATAACGATTGGTTTTATGAAAACCAAGGTGGAAATTAAAATGGAAGTTGATTCAATTAATGCTCAGATTATAGGTTGGCAGCTGAAAGGGTATTTATTATCGATATTTCTACTCTAGTAAAATTTCAAAGTGATCTCCTTTTAGAAATCATTCCACTTCCCACCCCTGTTGGGAGGCCTGCCCACCTAACCCCTGCCAACTTTGGAGGGTCTGTGGTTCCTCAGGAGGCTGCTGCTCCCTCCTTGGAAACTGTAGTTGAGCTGCCATGGGTAGAACTGAGGTGGCAATGGGCAGACAGACCCCAGCCTTCTGACCCCCAAACCTCCACTGACCAGATTAGCCTTTCTTCCTAGATTCTGCTTTCAGAGAGCAAAAGAAAGTAACCACCGTGTGTCGTCTATCGCTATGTTGGCAACATATCTGGTCACTGTGATGGGTTAGAACATTTAAAAATACTCAAGAAGATGTCTGTGGCTGGATCCCAAACATTCAGCTCAGACTGAGACTAGAATCTGCTCAGATTGGAGCAGAACCAAGAATCTTTAACAAAGGAACCCAGACTCTGCCCCTGAGAGGCTCTGTTCTCTTCCTTCTAAAGGCCACACACATGGCCTACAGTGCTTTATTAATTCACCATCTTGCTGCCTCTTTGCCAAGCTCTCCCCGTGGATCATAGAGGGGGGCTTCTCTCCAACAGGCAGCGTTGCCCCAGGGCTTCCTGGCTAAGAAATGGAAGGATACAAGGGCTCCCAGGGCAAAGCCCAGGTAGGAAGTTGCCATTCTAAGAATTCTAACATGGTTTACTTTTGGGAAGGAAGTGTTCGAGGGAGGAGAGTCTATGATTGTGTGAGCCAACATTGGCAAGGTCAAGACACAAATCAGCTCCTCCCGATGGTGTTTGTTAGTAACTGTGGCTCTAGCAAATTAAACCAAATGTGCACCTTCTGTATCTCAGAGTCTTGTTTCACTAAGGCAAAGGAAAGAGCAATGATCTCCGACTCTGCTATGTGCCAGTTCCCACCACCTCCCTGGCTCCTCAAAGTGCAGTTATCAAATGGACTCATGCTCCCAACCTCTGTTAGAGTCATCTGCCTCATTCCAACAAGCTTCCATTTATGTCCAGGGCCAATGAGTTTCCAGGGAAAACAATTTTCTCCTTGGAGCCACAAACATTGACCTGTAACAGACTAGTAACAAGCATCACAGTGCCTAGAGAAAAAATTAAAATAGACACACTTTGATCTTTGACATTGTCCTACTAGGGTTCCAGTGATTTTCCATTGTCTGCCACTGAGGACAGCCAGAGCATGTCTGTATAAACAGGTTTTCATACTGAAAACTAGCACAATATCAGGCACAGATGGAAACTAAAGCCAACAAACAAACAAACCCCCAAATTGATAGAAAAGATGAAAAGTCTGGACGGGCACGGTGGCTCATGCCTGTAATCCCAGCACTTTGGGAGGCTGAGGTGGGTGGATCAGCTGACGTCAGGAGTTCGAGACCAGCCTGGCAAACATGTTGAAACCCCGTCTCTACTGAAAATAAAAATACAAAAATTAGCTGGGCGTGGTGGCAGGCGCCTGTGATCCCAGCTATTCGGGAGGCTGAGGCAGGAGAATCGCTTGAACCTGGGAGGCGGAGGTTGCAGCAAGCGGAGATCGTGCCAGTGCACTCCAGCCTGGGCAACAGAGTGAGATTCCGTCTCAAAAAAAAAAAAAAAAAAAGAAAAGAAAAAAGAAAAAAAGTAAAAAAGTAAAAAGAAACGATTAAAAGTCTGAAGATTTTCAAAGAATCTTCCCAAATATCTTAAGAAAATTGAGGCAACATAATCTGCTTATGTTATCCAATGATACCTTTGCATTTTCTGGTGCTGCAACCTAAATTTAGAGAAAGTAAAAACTGTGGATTTCAGTTCTGTGTCCTTCCTTGAGGTAGTTGGTGACTGATGATAAATAGATGTAATTAAATGAATCTACCAGAGCTGGGATGCTGAGACTTACTACTGTTAAAATGGCAATATTCTCCAAATTGATCTACAGATTCAAAATTCTAGCTGGTTATTCCTGCAGAAATTGCCAAGCTGATCCTAAAATTCATATGGACCCTGAAGAGCTGAAACAATCTTGAAAGGAAGAACAAAGTTAAAGGACTTAAACTTCCTGATTTCAAAACTTACTATAAAGCTACAGTAATCAAGACAATGTAGTATTAGCGTAGGATAAAGCTATCAATGGACTAGAATCGGAGGTTCAAAAATAAATCCTGGAAATTTACAGGAAATTTATTTTTGACAAAGATGTCAAGACAATCCAATGAGGAAAGCATAGTTTTTTCAAACAACTGGATATTCACATGCAAAAGAATGAAGTTAGATCCTTATCTCATGGCATATACAAAATTAACTCAAATAGGTCATAGACCCAAAGGTGTGAGTTAAAACTATAAAACATAAAGGTAAATCTCAATGATCCTAGGTCAGTCTTAACTATAACACCAAACATATAAGCAACAAAATAAGTAGACAAATTGCACTTCCTCAAAATTAAAAACATTTCCACTTGAAACCATATCATGAAGAAAGTGAAAAGACAAGCCACAGACTCAGAGAAAAGATTTGCAAATCACCCACCCGATAAGGGATTTGGGTCTAGAATATGTAAAGAATGCTTACAACTTAGTAACAAGAAGATTTTTTTTTTTCTCAAGTGATCTGGGCCTGAGAAGAGCTGGAAACTTCTGTGACACAGCTCCAAAAGGTGCCTGGACTGGCCGACTCAATCAATTAACGAGTGGAATAACAGAATCGGTGTCTTTAAAATTACTTTAAAATCATATGCCACTTTAAAAATGGGCAAAGTATATGAGCAGACATTTCTCCAATGAAGGTATCCTGTGATGATGCCGTTATGATAGCTTCTCATCTACTCACCTACTAAATTATTTTTAAATGATCTTTTAATAAGAATAAATCCTATGACCATTGTTTACGCATTTTCAAAAACCAGCTTTTGAGAGCATCATTTATGTGGGCTGATTGAGATCATGATTTTCCATTATTTGAAGGATTTCTCTCAAATCATTGATTTTCTGTTTAAGCTGAAATCTTTTCTTCCTATCTCATGCAACCTTGATGCTCACCAATCTCAGTGGCTTTCCTCATTACTGCTGCTATTTCAGTTATCAGGTCAACGTGGGCTTGTAATACCTTGGAATGTTGTTTGTTAAATTTCATGATTCTACCAAGGTCAGCCTTCTTTTTAGCTAACTCTTCAGCCCTCAACATTTGTTCTCAGTACTTGCTCATTATGAATCCCAAAGCTGATAACTTGAACTGCTCTGGAAAGCTGCGGTTTGCTCATAAAGAGACTTTTTCTGCATTGTCATGGTCTTTTGATATTTCAACAAGAGTTTTGGCATCAGCAAAGATCTTCTTCATTGTACAACTCATTTTCTGGTCTCCATTGTTGTCAGCCAACAGCTGAAAGCTTTTGTAAATGGTTGCTTGGAGGACATCATGAGGCTTCTGCTCTCCAGTGCAGAGTAATAAGGGCTGGTGAGGATGTGGAGAAATCAGAACCCTCATTTACAGCTGGTGGGAATAGAAAATGGTGCAGCCAGGCTGGGTGCAGTGGCTCACGCCTGTAATCCCAGCACTTTGGGAGGCTGAGGCAGAAGGATTGCTTGAGGCTAAGAGTTTAAGGGCAGACTGGGCAACATAGCATGACTCTGTCTCTTAAAAAAAAAAAATAGGTAGGTGTGGTGGTGTGCAACTGTAGTCCTAGCTATTTAAGAGGCTGAGGCAGGAGGATCTCTTGAGTCCAGGAGTTCAAGGCTGTAGTCAGCCATGACTGCACCACTGTACTCCAGCCTGGGCAACAGTCTTGACGATTCCTATTAACTTCAGTAGGGATGGCACGAAGTTGAAGAGGCTGAAGAAGAGAACCAGAGCCAGTGCACAAAACGTAGGGTTTATTTGAGGGAACGTACTCACAGGGCAGTTCTGTGTTGGCAGGCTGGACAGGAGAACAGCAACCACTTGTAAGAAGCATGGACTTTATATGGCATTTTCATTTAGCACCCTCAGTGCCAGCAACCTCCATGTCGCAGCTCTCATTTCTTAAGTGACTGCTGTCAGGTGGATCTGCCATACAGTGACAGAGTGAAACCCTGTCTCAAAAGAAAAAAATGGTACAGCCATTTGGAAAACTGTTGGCCATTCCTCAAATGTTAACAGAGTTATCTTTGACATCAAACCTGGACACTTGGTCAGTGTTATCTCCTTAACCCCGATGGGACAGGGCAGGCAGCAGCAGGCAGCATGAATCTTTTCCAGGAGAAAATAATGAGGTGCCAAGAAAAAACACTCGCTGGGGTTTACTGGGGCTGACCATCCATGCCCCTCAGTTGAATCTCATTACTATTCTTTTTCCCCTCCCTTTAGTCCAGCATGTTTGGGCTCAGGACCATGCATCATACACGCTCTCTTACAATACTTAGGGCTAAATGATCCCCAGCGAAAACAGTATTTGCAGAAAGCAAATCTCTAACTGGAAACAGGATAACCTCAGGAGTGGGATTCTTCCCTGAAGCAGATCTGTTACTGTTTTCACTTTAGTGCGGGGCTGTACAGGTGGGACTATGAACAGGTCCCCATCATTTTAGTCGGGTTGGTAACCTTGGTGTGATGAGGGTGTGTATTAGTCCGTTTTCACACTACTGATAAAGACATACCCGAGACTGGGCAATTTACAAAAGAAAGAGTTTTAATGGAGTCACAGTTCCACATGGCTGGAGAGGCCTCACAGTCATGGTGGAAAGCAAGGAGAAGCAAGTCATGTCTTACATGGAGGTCAGCAGGCAAAGAGAGAGATTGTGCATGGATACTTATAAAACCAACAGGTTTCGTGAGACTCATTCACTATCACTGTAAGGTCCTCTGAACAGGCTGCACTATGGTTGAGCCATTGTGACCCCTGTGACTCACATGTACAGGCCTCCTGGAGTCACAAAGCCTGGAGCAGCAGGAACCACTCAAGAAGAAGAAACAGCTAGTTCCTGCCTTAACTGATTAACCGACTTTGCAACATTCCACCATTCTGGTGTGTTCCTGCCCTGCCCCAACTAATCAATTGACCTCGTGATATGGTGCATTGTGACCTCCCCCACCTCGTGACTATGCACCTTGTGACATTCTTCCCCTGCCCGAAAAAACTGTCCCTAACTGTAACTTTCCACTATCTACCCCAAACCCATAAAACCAGTTCCACTCCCACCACCCTTCGCTGACTCTCTTTTTGGACTCAGCCCGCTCACACCCGAGTGAATAAACAGCCATGTTGCTCACACTTAGCCTGTTCAGGTTGTCTCTTCACTTAGATGTATGCATAACAATCACGAGAACAGCAGGGGAAAGACCTGCCCTCATGATTCAGTCACCTCCCACTGGGTCCCTCCCACAACACGTGGGAATTCAAGATGAGATTTGGGTGGGGACACAGCCAAACCATATCAGGGTATATTCATGGGGTACCCCAAATTATGCAGTGTCTCTCTCGAATGGTATGGACCCCAAGTGAAGCATGCCAGCTGCCCCATGCTCGCCTCACAGGTGGAAAGCTCTCAGGGGCTTCCGGTGTTTCTGAAAGCACTGCAGACATTAGGCTACCTGGAACTATGGGGTGCAAAATGCTTCCTGACAGGCCTGAGCTATGCACACAGGTGCCAGCATCTGTGTGGTGATGTATGGGGATGTACCTAATAGGACATCTTCTGTCCTCGTTCTAGACACACACTTAAATTGCAGCACTGGGAATTGATTTTCTTCACTGCAGCTTCCATTAAATTGTAAATACTCTTTACACTGGGTGTTTATAGGATGGATTAGAATGCTCTTAAGAAAACCAGATACATTTAGCCTTCATCCCAGATCTTAAATCAGCATTTCTCAATGTGGGGCCACAGATTTGTTACACTATTACCTGGGGAGTTCGTTAGACATGCCTAGTCCAGGCCCTGCACAGACTCACTGTCTTCAAATCTTTAGGCATCGGGTTTGGGGAGTTGGCATTTCAAACAAACTTATTTTGCAATGAGTTTAAGAATGATGAGTGCTCAGCTGAAGTCTGATTCTGCAGTACTAACTCCTGGGGGATTAAACTGTCCATCACTTTCTATCTGTATGCCATGAGAAAAGAATGACTGATTGGTACAAATCTCAGCCTACTAAATAAGAAAATTAGGGGAGTGTTCAATTTTTTCCAACCACAGGACTGCTTTAAGATATCTGAGGGACATTTGAATAAGATTTTGTTGACAATATCTGATTCATGTTTTAAGAACCCACAGACTGCAGTCATTTCGGGTATATCTTCCTGGCACAGCTACCACTATCTTTCACTTCCCCAAGTCTATGCCAGGCTTAATTACCTTTGTCTTCTAAGCCAGTGGTTCTCAACCTTGGCCTTACATTAGAATGACCAGGGGGGCTTTAAAAACTACCAACTCCAGGCCGGGCGTGGTGGCTCACGCCTGTAATCCCAGCACTTTGGGAGGCCGAGGCAGGCCCGGATCACAAGGTCAGGAGATCGAGACCATCCTGGCTAACACGGTGAAACCCCATCTCTACCAAAAATACAAAAAATTAGCTGGGTGTGGTGACGGGCGCCTATAGTCCCAGCTACCTGGGAGGCTGAGGCAGGAGAATGGCATGAACCCAGGAGGCAGAGCTTGCAGTGAGCCGAGACTGTGCTACTGCACTCCAGCCTGGGCGACAGAGCGAGACTCCATCTCGAGAAAAAAATAAAAAATATACCAACTCCAGGGTACAACGCAGGCCAATTGCATTTGAATTTCTGGGAGTGGGACCCAGGTATCAGTATTTTTTTTTCTTTTCTTTTCTTTTTTTTTTTTTGAGATGGAGTCTCACTCTGTCGCCCAGGCTGGAGTGCATTGGCGCGATCTTGGCTCACCACAAGCTCTGCCTCCCGGGTTCACGCCATTCTCCTGCCTCAGCCTCCTGAGTAGCTGGGACTACAGGTGCCTCCCATCACGCCTGGCTGATTTTTTTTGTATTTTTAGTAGAGACAGGGTTTCACCATGTTAGCCAGCATAGTCTCGATCTCCTGACCTCATGATCCGCCCGCCTTGGCCTCCCAAAGTGCTGGGATTATAGGCATGAGCCACCGCGCCCGGCTCAGGTATCAGTATTTTGAAAGCTCTTCAGGTGATTCCAATGTGCAATCAAAGTGGAAACCCCTGCTCTGAGGGAGTATTTACCCATTTCTTTGTACCCATTTCTATTGGTGTAAAAGTAATTGTGGTTTTGGCCATTATTTTCAATGGCAAAACCAGCAATTTCTTTTGCACCAACCTAATCATAGACTCTCAGCCCTCCCACACTGGGTTGGCCGTTCTGCCTCTGCGTTCTTCCCCGTGTGTTGGAATGTTCTGTCCCACCCCTCCATCTAGCCCGGGGCTTCTAAGGGAAAACCGCCACTGTGTCAGCCTTGCAGACCCTCCACCACCAGTAATGTCCTACCAGCTGGCTCTCGCTGGGCCTAGCCTGTTCTGTTCTGGCCTGCACTAGAGTCCAACTTCCAGCTTGCTGTCTCGGGCTCCGTCTCTCCCTCAGTGTTGCTTTCAGCCCTGACACAACCAAGCCACACAGCTCCTGTCATTAGTATCAAATGTTAAAGCCTACCTCTCCAGGAGCAGGTCGCTGCCTTCATTAACCATCTGAGACAGTTCGTCTTGCCAGCCAATGCCTCAAGGGGCAATGAGAAAGAGGCAACTTGGTGATTAGACTGACAGTCTAAAATGTAAGAAGACTGCGTGCATTCTTCCCAGAGCCTCTGAAATATAGTGAACTCCAGGAACCCAGAGAAACAAAGGATGGATCTTAGCTCCTTGGGGAGGGGGATGGGCCAAAGCTCAGCTAAGAATCGGGCTCAGCCAAACTGGCATGACCGAGCTCTAAATTTGGTGGAGAAACAGTGCCAGACAAATTTACTCATTCAACTAATATTTTACTGCACACTTACTGCATGCTAAGCCGCGTCCAAAGTGCTGGGGATACAAAAGGAGCAGAACAGGTTAAGTTCCTGTTCTCAGAGCTCACCTTCAGGTAAGGGAGGTTACCAAGCAGTCAGACTAATATAGGTAAGAGGCGCTTGTGGCATGGCGGTGGGAGAACTCATCCTAGAGCATTGGAGAGAGATTGGGGGAATTGAAGGGTCATATAGCTAGCAAGGATGGAGGGCTGGAAGGCTCCAGGCAGAGCCTCTATAAGGGAGGGACTAGCATGTTGTGACCTAGGACCGAAAGGCAGCCAGAATTCCTGAGAGGAGAAGGCAGGAGGCAGCCTCTCCAAGGTGCAGAGCCTCAGCTTCATGTTCCCAGAGCAACATGCAGCAGCTGCAATTGCTCATGGCACATCTGCACTTTAAATGGCAGCAGACTGGTGGTAGGGTAGACCAACTGCTTGACTTTCTTAGCGGTGGTGGCGGCTGCAGCATTGGCAGTCAACATTTTGGTAGCTCAGTAGTCCCCATAGCCTGGAATGGGATGGTGCTGTGGGGATGGGCAGATGAGAGAGGATTCCAGAAACATGTAGGGGATGGAGTCAGCAGGACAGGGACAGTGGGCCAGTAAGAGTGGTGGGCCGGTTTGGTTTGGTTTTCTGTCCCCACTTGCCTTCTTCCTGTGGCTCAGCATAGACTAACCCCCTTGTAGAGGCGGATACGTATTGATTTTGCACTACAAAGGCAGGGAGCCCTTTGTAATACAACTCAAAAAGGACCAAAAGCGACAGAGACATTTTTAGTCTAAAGACACATGGGAGTTATATGAGAAGTCACTCTTGGAGGTATAAAAGGTTCCATTGTCCTGTATGTGCTTAACACTGAGGCCAGACCAGTGAGGGTCAGCTTTGTTCGCTCTTCCACTAGGGTGATCTGAAGCCTCCCCAGCTCTGTCCATGGAGATCAAAGACATGAGTGAGCAGACCTGGCTGAGGCCAGGAGAGGAGGTGGCAGGACCCAGGGGGTCCGTGACCTTGGGGTTCATGGGGGAGGGGAGCGAACTGAGCAAGGCAAGTCATAGGGGACTGAAGGACGGGCTCCAGCAAGGTTGGTGACCTGTTAAGGGGGTGTTCAGAGAAGCCACATCGGTTCTGCATGAGTTACATGCTGAATAAGTAAATTCACAGACTAAAAACTGAGCCTGGGACCTGTATGTCCCTGAGCCTGGAAGCTGAACTCCTCAGTGTTGGCAGACGAGCAAGGCTGGAGGCAGAGCTGCAAGCCGGAGAGAGGCCTGGGCCAACTTAGGCTTCCCTAGGTGCTCTCTCTACAGACTTTGTAGCAAGGAACCTAGATGCCAAATTTTGGTTGATAAAAATCACAGAAATGGCAGAGATGCTTCTGGGTCACTTCAATCAGACGGCTAACCAGCTGGTCCAGGCAGATGCTGCACGAAGACAAGCATTGCCTAATTGCACAATTTATTTAAAATTACATTTTCACTCACTCACAGTCTCTCTCTCTCTCTGAAAAGAGAATGGAATTAAATTCAAAAGTGTTAGGGAGGAATGTCTAAGGATGAGCAGCGTGCTAAGGAAGCTGTGGGGAGAGGAATAACCTAAGCCCCAGTGAGCCCTGTCCCTGTTGCCAAGGTCAGTGTTGACCGATTAAGGATAGGAGACAGCAAATAAACCAGAAGCTGCTCCCTGGAGAGCCAACACCAGGCTCCATGCTCCATCCTTAGTCTCAGAGGCCAAGGATGTCTTGTCTTCGTGGCCCTTGCAGGAAGAATCATTAGGTTGGAGCCCACGGTGGGGATGGGTTTCTTCCTGGGATGGTACAAATGAAATGTTAGGTCAGCTGAATTATGCCACAGCACCTACAGCTTTATTTTTATTTTTTATGTTCCAGAATAATTATAATCTTACACTGTTACAAAAGCCATACAATCTTTGCTTTGGTTTCTTAATTTACAAAGTTGCTTTCCTGTACTTTCAGTAGTTTTATTTCATGATTTTTATCAGTTAAAAATGAATACACGTGTGAAGTTCCCATATTACCTTATGACCAACCCAGCCTCACCACAGCAAGTTGCGTTTAGTGCCACATTGATGCAGTAATGGTATTTGTAGGGCTCATGCCTTGTGGTAAGGACTGGGCACACAAGAATGGAGATGTGGTCCTTGCCCCCAACGTTTCTACAGAGTTGACCAAACGCCCAGCTACATATGTGTCTCCTCCTACCTAGTGGTTGACTGCGGTGAGAGAAAAATATGAATGGATCCCAGATAAGGAATATCACCGGCAAGAGCCTCCAAGTGCAGCCCCTGCAGCCCCAAGCATCAGCGGGGCTGTGCGAGTGAGCCCTCCAGCCAGGAGCCACCCAAGCCTAACATGATGCTGGGAATAAGGAGGAAGGAGCAAGCCAGAGAGAGGCGCACGTGCGGGCCCATGGGTAGGCGCTGGGGCAGGGGTGGGGTGGGCACTGGGCTTCACTCAGAACCTGGGTTTGAACCCTTCGTCCAAATACCTGGGGTCCTGGGCATGCAACAGCCAGGGTGCCCTGAGGACATGCCCATGTGGGTCCTGAGTCTCCCACACGCTGGACATGTGAACCCCTCAACCCCTCGGAATCCCAGTTCTGTCACCTCTACACTGACTTAAAAATACCTGCCCCATGGACCCCAATGAGGAAGGGTGCGGAAGCCCTTTAGAAACTGTGAAGTGCGGCCCCCCGCTGAGGGTGGTGGGCCAGCAGGATCTGTGGGTGCTGAGGCTTTGTGCCAGTCGTCACCCTCCGAAGGAAGGCTCGTGAGTCTGCAGGGTGGAAGCGAGCCTGTGAGTGAAGGGGAGGAAAGGATCTCCGCATCCCCAGCCCACAGCCCAGGCCCAGCCCCAGCCCCAGCTCTGGCTGGCCCGCAGTGTTGCCGCCTGGTTCTGCGTCTGGTGTTGCCACCTGTCTGTGCTTACACTTCTCAGAGTCCCGCTGTCTGTGATCTGGTGAAATCCATGAGCCCTGCTTCCTTTTGGGCCCTTGCATTAGAGAAATCTCAGCCCTCAGGTGGAAGCAGAGCTTAGACAGCAGAGCAGAGTGAGTCTGGCTTTGTTTACAGGCTAAACCCCTTTCTAACTTTATCCTCATTCTGTCCCCGCCCCCTTCCCCCAGCAAAATTCAGGCTTTATTAACAAGCTGTGCAAATGTCCCATCTCAGCCATGCAGAAAACATTTCTGCCTGGGCTGCCTCCCTTCTAAGGGGCAGACGCTGTTGCTAGCCTTCTTCCCAGGGCTGGCCTCACTTCCCTCTGGGTTATCTCCACACCTCCAGCTGTGTCCCTCCTGACAGCAACAATGACCCCAGATACTGCAGGGACAGCAGCTTAAGCTCTACTTAAACTCAGCACAAAGGAAAAGCAATCTACAGGCTATTACCTAAATGGACTTTGCCTGCTGTCTTGGGTCTAGGACTGCTATGGACTGAATATCTGTATCCCCCAAACTTTCTATGTTGAATCTCTGATCCCAATGTGATGACATGAAGAGGTGGGGCCTCTGGGAAGCGATTTGATCCTGAGGGTGGAGCCCTGATAATGGGATTAGTGCCATTATGAAAGGGACCCTAGAGAGCTCTCTGGTCCTTTCCCAACATGGGAGGACACAGTGATAAGACTACAAGCCAGGAAACAGGCTCTCACCAAAAGCCAAGGCTGCTGGCCTTCATCTTGTATTCCCAGCTTCCAGAATGGTGAGAATTCCATTTCCATCGTCCCAGCTGCTCAGTGGATGGCCCTATGTCACACCTGCCCTAACCCAACAAGACCAGGACCTAGGAACTGTGGCCCTGTCATTCCAACTGCCACATAATGTATCAGTTGTTTGTGTAATAGGAATAGTGTGTGTGGGACCATATTAGATTGGTGTTTTGTTTGTTTGTTTGTTTGTTTGTTTTGAGACGGAGTCTCGCTCTGTCGCCAGGCTGAAGTGCAGTGGTGTGATCTCGGCTGACTGCAACTCTGCCTCCCGGGTTCAAGCGATTCTCCTGCCTCAGCCTCCCAAGTAGCTGGGATTACAAGCATGCACCACCACACCCAGCTAATTTTTGTATTTTTAGTAAAAATGGGCTTTCACCATGTTGGACAGGATGGTCTCGATCTCCAGACCTCGTGATCCACCCGCTTCGGCTCCCAAAGTGCTGGGATTACAAGCGTGAGCCACCGCGCCCGGCCGACTGATGTATTTTTAATGCCACATACATTGGTTGTTGTTCTGTGGCTCCTCACATATGGAATCAGTGGAATTTATTGGTGGTGGGGAAAGGGTAGAGAGGAGGGGTGCATACTGCCTTGAAGAAAGAAATCACCATGCATTTTGAGTCTCCATTTGGAGACTCTTCAGGCCGCAAAGAAATGATAGTATTGAAAGCCAGACTTCAATGATAGAGAAAAGTTTTATATAAAAAGCTTCCCTTTATAGGACAAGGACAAACCTTAGCAGCGTGAACACAGAGTATTACCGTAAAACCTGTTGTAGAAGGGAAGCAGGATAGGGGTAAGAAGACAGACTACGTCCTAGAAAGGGGAAAAAAATCCCTCCTGGTAGAGGAAGAAGAAGAAATCTGAAAGAGATGATTAGGATGTTGCCTGGGTCTCTGAGAAGGAGCAGGCGAAAGAAACAGACAATAAAAATCTCAGTAGACACCCGGTTACGCAGAGAGGCCGAGCCCAAGGGCACCAAGTGCTTCTCCCCAGTAGAACCCTGGTAGAGGAAGGCATCAGGTAAATGAGCCTGAGTGAGATAGGGACTGGCACGGGGCCCTCCGCAACTCCCCACAGGAGGAGTGGGTGTCTGCCAGTTCCCAGGCTCCCTGGAAAGGGAGGAAAGAAGCAGGGGGCCTGAGAAAGAGGCCTGCTTGTGCGAAGGAGGCCGCGGTGGGACCTCAGGCTGGAATTTAACGCTCAGGCCCGGGCTACAGCAGTGAAGCCAGCCCTGGGCGCGTCCAGGTCCTCGCCTACGTGGCCCGCCGCTCCCCACCAAGCAGCAGGACTCAGAGCTAGGACTGAGCCGCCTCTTCAATGACTAAGTTAGTAGAAAAGGGAAAGTGGACCCTCTCCTACTCCCTCCACTCACAGACAGGAATGTGCGCTCCAGAGAAAGATCAGCACAGCTAGTATTCTGCGCCACAGTGACAGGAGCCCACTGCACTGCACCTGGGGCCAGCTCTCCCCAGCAGCTCCTGCTCCATCACAGCGCCGTCCCTTCCTCGCCTGAGCCCTGGGTTGCCCGCGGAGTTCAGGCACCTCTCCCAGCCCGGCCCACGGCAGAGGGGAAGGAAGGCTGCCGGACAGCAGGGTGCTCCCGCCTGAAAATACGGTGGAGGGGTTGAGAAATGACGAGTGATGGGAGCACAAGGGTGGGGCAGAGCCCCCTACACGCCCTCTGTGGCTCTGCCAGTCTGACTCAGATCTTTTCTGGGCTGCAGTGATGCCCCTGGAGGTCTTGCTTCCTGGTCCTGAGTAGCCTCCTGTCTATGTCTTGACTCCTTGGAGCACTTCCGGTGGCTAGCCTTGTCTTGGCACTTTAATGAATCATCACAAAGACGGTCTCTGTTTTATGTATATAGGAAACTGAGGTCAGAGAACCAGGAAGCACGGAGTTAGGCTTTGTGTTCAGGCTCTGTCTCCCACCTGGTGACATTCTTAAATCCACTTGCTTCAATACAGGAAAAAGTCCTGTCCACAGCCCTTCCTGTCTTTTCTCCATCTTCATGTGCCTGCCCTGGTTCACATCTTGGCTGTGTCTTTCTGCATTGCCCTCACTCCCGCCCTCACCGCAAGCTCAGGATGGGGGAACTGAGGCTGGTGTTTGGCTCACTGGATTCCAAGCCTGGCACAGTTGGGCTCAATTAAGCTTTGTAGAATGGATGATGCGGTGAAAAGACTTATTTTCTGAGACAGTGTCGAGTTTCCAAACACAATGGTCTGAACAGAAAACCATGGAGTTTTCCACCTTATATGTGGAGAACTGCGCTCTTCTAAAGCTCCTCTGCAGAGCTCCTTTATTTATTTATTTATTTATTTTTGAGACAGCGTCTCTCTCTGTCACCCAGGCTGGAATGCAGTGGTGCAATTGTGGCTCACTGCAGCCTCGACCTCCCAGGCTCAAGTGATCCTCTTACCTTAGCCTCCTGAGTAGCTGGGACCACAGGCGTGCGCTACCACCACACCTGGCTAATTTTTTGTTTGTTTGTTTGTAGTGGAGATGAGGTCTCATCTGCAGAATTCTTGAACCTTCCAACTGAGAAGCTTTTCTGGCTTCTCAATTCTGAAACCTGCTGAGACCAAATGTCTTCTTCTGTTCCCATCATGGATCTTTACAGGCAGAAGAATACGTTTCTGCCCTTCCACAAAAATGATTATTTTATTGCATTTCTAAGAAACAGTAGTTTCCAGCTTAGCCGACCTACTTCTGCTACCTCAGCACTCTGTCCCAGGGCTCCACAGCCAGAAAAGGTAGAGTCTGCCTTCCCTTCATTCTCCATCCTCCTTCCCTCCTCCCTTCCTTTCTTCTTAAAATAATTCATGAATATAAACTTAAAATACGCAGACAGGCAGGCATCGACTGGATAAAATGTAAATACCTTAGTCCTTACCATTGCATCCTGGACTCATTTCCAGGTAGCTAACATTCTTTTTGTCTTTTTCTTGGTTTTAAAAACTTCTCCTGGCGATTCCTTGTAATTTTTTCTTATATTTCAGAGAAGACTATCCATAAATTGATGAGCAGACAGTATCTATGGACAATCTGTTCTGAAAGACAAAGAATTTCACCTTACACTACCTCTCACCATCTCCTCTCAGTCCTGATATTTCATACAATGTTATTGTTATTTTCTCTAATAGTTGCTTTTAATACTTTAAATTGCATGCATCAACTCCAGTTTTTTGGTTTATTCACCTTAGATTGTATCTGTGGACTCCCAGCCTTAAAGATTAGGAGGTGAATACCTTCCCTCCTGCCCCTAGTTTCAGTCAGTTGTATCAATTTTACATTGTTGGCCAGGCATGGTGGCTCACGCCTGTAATCCCAGCACTTTGGGAGGCCGAGGCAGTTGGATCACTTGAGGTCAGGAGTTCAAGACCGGCCTGGCTAAAATGGCAAAGCCCCATCTCTACTGAACATACAAAAATTTGCCAGGTGTGGTGGTGTGCACCTGCAGGCCCAGCTACTCGAGAGGCTGAGGCACAAGAATCGCTTGAACCCAGGAGGCGGAGGTTGCAGTGAGCCAAGATTGCATCACTGCACTCCAGCCTGGGCGGCACAGCGAGACTCTGTCTCAAAAAAAATTTTTTTTACGTTGTCTATGCTTGTCAATTTTGTATCTGTTTTGTGACTAAACATGTCTTTTGTGCTTCATCTTTAAATTGACTTTAACCACTGAAATTGCATAAATAGATCTATAAGATTATAATTATAAAAAATTATTGCATAGATGAGTAGCATAATCGAAACTTTAGAGAAGGAAATATAATTTTTTGCCATCAGAATCTTGCCTCTCAATAAAGAACCCTGCAAGCACCAAGTGGTATCTTTTATCTATGTCTAACTCAGTGACTACTGTTTATTTTGTCTGTATCATTCTCTTTGATTACTTTTTTATTTTGCTGGTGAGCATTCATGAGCAATCTTGTTTGTATAGTTTGTGAAAATGAGCAACTTTTTCTGAGTTCTTGCAGACCCCAAAATGTCTTTCTTTTGCTCCCATTTGTTTGACAATTTCTCTTTACCTTTTTTTGTTTTTGAGGTATAATTTGCATGCAGTAAAGAAAATGAGGCCTGGCCTGGTGGCTCACACCTGTAATCCCAGAAATTTGGGAGACCAAGGTGGGCAGATCACCTGAAGTCAGGAGCTCAAGACCAGCCTGGCCAACATGGTGAAACCCCATCTCTACTAAAAATACAAAATTAACTGGGTGTGGTGGTGCACGCCTGTAATCCCAGCTACTCAGGAGGCTGAGGCAGGAGAATTGCTTGAACCTGGGAGGCAGAGGTTGCAGTGAGCTGAGATTGCGCCATTGCACTCCAGCCTGGCTGACAAGAGTGAAACTCCATCTCATAAAAAAAAAAAAAAAAAAAAAAAAAGAAAGAAAGAAAGAGAGAAAGAAAAAAGAAGAAAAAAAGAAAATAAAATGAATCCTAAGTGTGTATATGTAAAAAACAAAACAAAACAAAAAAAAGCAAGGATGTATATATGTAACCAGTGCCCATATTAAGATATAGAAAATTTCCATCACCCAGATGTGCCACTTTTGAAACAATTCTACTGCTTCACCTCCTCAGGCAATGACTAGGTTTTATCACCACAGATTAGTTTTGCCTATTCTAGGACTTCATATAAATGGAATCGTTCAGTTTCTACTTCATATTTGGTGTCTTTCACTCAACATATTAACTATGAGATTATCCCATGTTATTGTGGATATCAGTAGTTTGCCCTTTTTAAGTAGACGTGTTGTAAGGAGCTTATCCACTCTTCTGTTGATGGACATTTGGAGTGTCTTAAAGTTTTGGCAATTACAAATAAGTCTGCCGTGAACATCTTTGCGCATGTCTTTTTGTGAACATCTCTTGGATATATAGTAGATCCTGTCAAATAATTTTCCAAAGTGGCTGAGCCATTCACACTCCCACCAGCAATAGATGAGAGCTGCAGTTGATTCACATCCTTGTCAACACTTGTTGTCAGTACTCTTAATTTTAGTCATACTGGTAGATATATTGCTGTGGGTTTAATTTGCATTTCTGTGATAAGAAATGATGATGAGTGTCTATTCGTATGTTTATTGGCCACTTAGATAATCTTGGATTGATCATTTGACTGGAGATACAATTTCAGGTTCAAAATAACTTTCAGGATATTAAAGGAATTGCTTTGTTATCATCAACAAGATGACTGTGGACACTTTTATTCTTGTTTTTTTGTAAGTCCCTTGCTTGTATCCCTCTGGAAGTTTTTAAAACTTTCTCTCTGTTGTTGGAGTCCTGCAGTTTTACCAAGATGAAGTGAAGTGTGGGTTTTTTTTTTTTGTTTTTATTTTTGTTTCATCAAAATTGCTTGATTCTCAGTGAGTCATTTCTATGGGAAAACTCCTGTATTTCTTCAGCCAAGAAGAAACTGTACATTTAACTCAATGACTAGATGTGTCTTTTGTACTTCATTTTTAAAGTTGACTTTCCTATGTTAGGTTCTTGCCCTCTTCCTCACCTTCATGTTCGCCAATGTAAGGTTCATTAGACAGATGTTAGATTGGCTGGAATTCTCCTCTATCTCTTTTAACTTTTCTCTCAGTGTTTTTTCTTTTCTTTTCTTTTCTTTTAGGGGGAGTCTCACTCTGTTACCCAGGCTGGAGTGTGATGGCATGATCCTGGCTCACTGCAACTTCCGCCTCCCAGGTTCAAGCGATTCTCCTGCCTCAGCCTCCCAAGTAGCTGTAACTACAGGCGTGGGCCACCACACCAGCTAATTTTTGTATTTTTAGTAGAGACAGGGTTTCCCCATGTTGGCCAGGCTGGTCTCGAACTCCTGACCTCAGGGGATCCACCCACCTCGGCCTCCCAAAGTGCTGGGATTACAGGTGTGAACCATTGTGCCTGGCCTTCTCTCAGTGTTATCCCATGTCTTTATCCTTCTGCTTTGAGTCATGGGAAACTTCCTGGATGTTATGTGTGACATAATCATCAAATCAAATCAAATGAACTTTTGTCTTAAAGGAGAATTTACTGTTCCTTTTGGGCCTAGTAAGCATGGGATTAAGAAGGCCCAGAGTCCAGCATGTCCCACTGCTTCATTTTAGATGGATAAGACAACAAAACCTGGGACCAAAAGGAGTTAGTGACTCAGTCAAGGTCATTCGATTTCAGTAGCAGAGTTAGGGTTAGATGGCCCAATTATTTTTCCATCACATCATGTGAAGTGTGAAATGGCCCCAGGGGGGAGACACCTTTAGCAGGGGCCCTTCACGGCATCACCAGATACATCATGTCGTCATGACCTATTTCCTGCAGACAGCTTCTCCCAGCAGCTCAGCCCTCCCATTTTGTCTTCCTGTGTTGCCCTGTAGCATGAATCTCTGCCCCACACGCTCTAACATCTACATTAATGAGCAGGCCTATTAGGGGTTGGCTTGTTCTTTGACATTTCTGCCTATATGTCTTCTCTTCCCAGTGAAGCTCTTGGGACCTCAAGACAGGGACTCACATTCTTCTGGCTTGTCTATAACATAGCACTGGCTCCACTAAGGGGGTGCTAGATATATCTGGGGACTCCCTGGGCTCCTGCAGTGGGGACATGATTTTTGCATCTCTGAAATATTACTCAACCTAGTGCAGTGCCTGGGACATAGCAGATGCGGACAGTCTCTACTGACAGAGCATTTCCCATCAATCTGAACTAGGATATCATATACATACTGTTTTTCTTAAGGGCCTCTTTTCAACTCTGGGAATTTTTATGGCATAGTTAGTTGAAAGGTAATTGGCTTTGGGGAACACAGATCCTCCTCTTATTATCTCTGGATCTTTAAGCAGTTCACACAACTGTTCTGACCCTCCTATGAAGTGGGTCATTTCCACAGAACCTGGGGTGGGGGGAGGAGGAGGGGAGAGATTCCTACTGTATATGGTTGTTGTGAGAGTAAAATGAGATAGAGAAATAAGATGTCTGTCAATTGCAGATCATTAAGAAAAGCCCAGCTTCCTTCCCTGTCCCCCTTCCTCATCCACAAAAGCCATTGGCCATCATCAGCCCAGCAGCTCCTTCCCTCACTACTCACTTCAGGGTCAAAAGAAAGGCTTTGCTATAAATTAAATGGAAATGCCCTCAATGTTCCATCTACAGAGTCTTTGCTGAAGGAAAGGTTGTTAAAATTTAGAACCTTTCATTTTCTTCTTAATGATCTAGCTGGGTCTGGAGGAGTGATAAATATAGCCTTTCTCACACCTTTGAGTCAATGAGCCACAAGATGAATTTTAAAAGCTTACTCTAATTAAGCATTTGCACAAGCTGTACTCAAAATTCATTCAAGTCTTTCCCTTTCTAATAAGCTACAACTTTCTCTTCTGCAGGGCAGAAGGCTCCAGGGGCCCCATGGTTCCATACGGAAGCAGAAGCCGGTCTCTGCCCCACTCAGGACTCTACGTTCATTCCCTGTCCCACACCAGGGAATCAGTCTGACCAGCCTGACAAGCTCAGCCACCTAACCCTGTTCCCTCCCTGCCAGGGCACCCTCTGCACCCAAAAGACAGCTCAGAAAGGCAGGCCAGAACTGCAAAATCACTTCTGTTTGTTTCTGACAGGAATGGAAGCCCATTTCTTTTTTGGGGGGCAGAGTACAGAGTCTTGCTATGTCACCCAGGCTGAAGTGCAGTGGTGCAATCTCAGCTCACTGCAACCTCCGCCTCCCAGATTCAAGCAATTCCCCTGCCTCAGTCTCCCAAGTAGCTGGGATTACAGGTGCATGCCAACACACCACTCTAATTTTTGTATTTTTAGTGGAGACAGTTTCACCATGTTGGCCAGGTTGGTCTCAAACTCCTGACCTCGTGATCCACACCACACCTGGCCTTTTTTTTTGAGATGGAGTCTCACTCTATCACCCAGGCTAGAGTGCAATGGTGTGATCTCAGCTCCCTGCAACCTCTGTCTTCCCAGGTTCAAGGAATTCTCCTGCCTCAGCCTCCAGAGTAGCGTGGACTACAGGTGTGTGCCACCATGCCCGGCTAATTTTTGTGGCCAGGCTGGTCTCGAACTCCTGACCTCAAGTGATCTGCCCACCTTGGCCTCTCAAAGTGCTGGGATTACAGGTGTGAGCCACTGCGCCCGGGTGCGGAAACCATTTCGCTTCAACTTCTGACAAAGGCTGGAAGGAGGTGGGAGTAGGGGTGATGGGGCTTTTTCTATTTTCAACTCAAGTACAGGTTGGAGTCTCCAAAATGACACATGCAGATTCAGTCAAAAAAGCGTTCCTGGAAACAGCAGCCACAATCCCTGCCAGCTCACTTTCAGTTCTTCACAATGAATACTCAGTTCAGTCTCTTTCCACCCCTCTCCCCAGCCCTTTCCCCCTTTCTCACTCTCAGCTGATGGTCTCACCTCCTGCTTCATGGAGTTAACAGCTGGGAACACTCAAGCTTTCCTCCCCAGATCCAGGAATATAACCCAGCCCCACACCCCCAGGCTTTCCTCCTTTCTCCTGGAGAAATGATGTGGATTTTCTCCCATCAAGCCTGGTTTTCCTACCTGATTCCTAATCATTTCACTTTCCCAGGGACCCAGAGTCCTGATTGCTTCTGTTAAAAGAAAAGCTTTAGACAAATTAAATGTAACAGAGTTTAATTGGACAAAGGACCATTCATGAATTGGGCATCCTCTAGAACCAGAAGAGGTTGAGAGAGACTGCAGGGCAGCCACATGGCTGGATAACATTTATGGGTAGGAAAAGGAGTGTATAGAAATAGGAACTGAGGTACAGAAACAGCTGGATTGGTCACAGCTGGGTGTTTGCCTTATTTGAACAGCTTTAAACAGTTGGTCACCTGTGCTTGGACCAAGCTCATCTGCTGTGATTGATTGAGACTTGGCTACTTGTTACAAGAGTAGGATGCAGGCTGTTTACTCATCCAGTGAGGTTACCGTTCATCATGTACTAGAAGCCTTTAGGTTGCTTGGCCTAAAGCTATGTATGGAGGCAGCTTAGAGTGAAACTGAATGCTACCCTCTTCATCCTCCCATAGCTTTCCCTCCTGTTGCATTTAGGCATGACCCAGTGTTGAGCATCTAGAGTCCCTCAAGTCCTGTTCCAGCCACCAGCCTACTGCTTTGCCTTTTGCCTTTTTATGCAAGCTAGAATGAGGTGTTCATAGACACAAGGCCAGGATTTGCTGGCTGAGGCATGCTGCTCAGGAGTTAGTGCTCTCCAATGGCCATTGGACAGGTTTCCAAAGGCGGCCTTACAGACGCCTTGAATAATGAGGTCAAGTTTCATAGTTTGGCTAAGATATTCACTTACAGGCACTTAAAACTGAATCAGCTAATCTTTGCACTACCTGAGTAATGAGGTCAAGTTTCATAGTTTGGCTAAATTATTGGCTTACAGGCACTTAAAACTGAATCAGTAAATCTTCGCACTACCTCATGTAATATTGCATTTATGCCGTATTTGTTTATTTATTTTCTGTCTTTCCCACTAGATGACACGAGCTCCACAAAGACTGAGATTTTGTGTGTCATCTTCACTGTATCTCCATGCTTGGATCAGTGTGTGGCCCCTCTGTGTACCCAATCAACACTTGTTTTTAAAATAACTGGATTAGAAATGAACACCAAAATTGCCAGTACTATCAAGAACACATACACTAAAACCCAGCTCATCACAAAATATTAAAAATTGGCAAAATGAGGTGAAAGGTATCCAGGTGTCTATCCAGCTATTCTTTCCGTTTTTCTGTAGGCTTGCAATTGAAAAGCCAGCAGTTAAGAAAGAAAAGCACTCCACCTAAAATAGTGGTTTTTAGTTCCAGAGCTGTTTTTCATGATTGAAATTAATATCCCAGTAAGAGAATATTGAAACCTTCTGAATTCTTCCAAAAGTCACCATCATCTTTGTATTCATCATCAAGGAACTAAAACTGAGCAAGAAAATTAATTTCTCACATCTTTTTTGTTCTACTGCAGAAAGTTGACATTTTGTCTTCACAAAGTTAGGGAGCACATTGCCACTGTCCTTGGAACTACACACCAAGCAAAATTTCTCCTGCCTGGCACCCTTGGTGGGTGGACAGAGACCACAGAGGCTGAAATTCCCGCCCCCAGAGGTCTTAGGAGAATCTCTACGAGGCGTAGCCTGTCTGAGTCCGACATCCTAGGTTTCATATCTGTCCAGATTCCTGTAGAATCACTATCCTCCTTGGGTTTAGACACAACAAGGGTTGGTCTTGATTTCTTTTAGTTAATTTGGGGAAATTTATTAAGTCCATATCACATACTCTCCTTTGAGACTGGGTGTCCCTCTGTCGTCCAGGCTGGAGTGTAGTGGTGCAATCAGAGCTCACTGCAACTCTGCCTCCTGGACTCAAGCAATCCACCTGCCTCAGCCTCCCAAAGTGCTGGGATTACAAGTGTGAGCCACGGTGCCTGGCCATATCAGATACTCTTTTCATTAGCAGGGATGAGCTCAGAACAAGGCCAGACCTGTGTCTATCACAGCCTGTGGATCAGTATTCCAGAAGACTCAAGACACATTCTGATGCAGGATCCACATTTCCTCTTCCTTTCTTGAATGTGGTTTTATAAAAAGGTGGAATTCAAATAGGGTCCATTAATCAATGGCAATGCACATCAAGTGAGTTTAGCTAATAAAACTCACAAAATCTTATGAACTCTCATGAATGACCCACTGATTGAAGTATCTCTTTCATGTCACCTAATCCTATTCAAGGCCTAGGAATAAAACAAATAGTTTTTAATCCATGACCTTTCTCCAATGCATGAGCTAAGGCTCATCTCCACATCTTCTTGGTTTAGTGGTTCTCATAGACCCTTGAGATCTTATATGGTTTGGCTGGGTCCCCACCCAAATCTCATCTTGAATTCCCATGTGTTGTGGGAGGGACCCAGAGGGAGGTAATTGAATCCTGGGGGCAGTTCTTTCCCATGCTGTTCTCATGATAGTGAATAAGTCTCATGAGATCTGATGGTATTGTAAGGGGGAGTTTCCCCATCCAATCTCTCTCTTTGTCTGCTGCCATCCATGTAAGACGTGACTTGCTCCTCCTTGCCTTCTGTCATGATTGTGAGGCTTCCCCAGCCATGTGAAACTGTAAGTCCAAGTAAACCTGTTTCTTTTGTAAATTGCCCAGTCTTGGGTATGTCTTTATCAGCTGTGTGAAAATGGACTAATTCAATATCCCAACACTCCTCCACCTAGGAATCTAGGGTTGCTCCATGTAAATTTTGTCCAGCACAACAAAGGCTTCTAGAAGAATCAGGGGCAGATTGGGTAGCATCTAGCCATGCAGCCCAGAGGCAGGCTTGGTGCAGAATGGCAGAGGCAGAAATTCATGATAAGCTTTCTAAGGAGGGTGGGGAGAAAAGCCAGGAGCAAAGATATGACCAAGCATTGGGTCCAGTGCCCACTCATGGGCATCTAAGGTTCTCCCATCATCTCAGGACATGTAAGCTCCAACACTATTGCCAACAGTATTGAGTACTTTGGCCTGGACTCATGGTCTTCCACACAGCTCCCAATCTTCCCCTTCATCATCTGGCGCATTTGCTGTGGTCTAGCCCATGCATTCCCTGTCCTGACATGCTTTGCTCTGCACTTCTCTTTTCCTTCCTCCTGCTACTTTCCCCTCTTCTATCAAGGCTTCCATGGGTCAGTGTCCATCCCTCCTCCCACTGATGGGCATGAAGCTCAACTCTGGAAGTCTTCTTCCACCAGTCCCACCTCACTGTTGAGACATTTATCCTACCTTCCCTTAGTAATTACAGGTTTGGGGCAGCTATATTATTTTTCACCTACTGCTCTTCCTCTTGAATTTTTCATTAGATTGCACCCATTTTATGTTCTTAATTTGGTGGTGATGGTTGTGAGGCTGAAGAGGGAGAATGGCCTTTTAATCACATTTGAAGAGTAAAAGCACTCATTAGACATTTATTTGGAAATACCAAGTACCAGCAATTTGGCTAACTGGGATAAAGAGGGATGGGATCAAATTGAAGAGAAACAACTCTATCCAAATTTATTTCCTACCATCGTGACTATTCAATAATTGTGATTTGGAGACAGCCTTTAAAGTGGGCCTTCCAACATGAGGCATTTTGGAAGCTTGAGACTCAAGAGTGCCATTATTTTCCCACTCATTCATTCAAAACATACCTATTGAGAGTCAGGCACTTTTCTAGTTGGGGGGACAGGTGGTGATTAAAACTTGACTTTGGCCTTCAAAAGAGCTCACAGTATAAAGAAGGAGCTAGGTAACTATGCCACTGATTAAAGTATATTTTAATATGTGCTATAGTATTAGGATTAAGAGATTGCCTGGGTTCAAATCCCAGTTCAACTATTATTATTTGTGCGACCTAGGAGAATTTACTTAATCTCAGTTTCCTGATTGTCTTAGTACATTTTGCGTTGCTATAAAGGAGTACCTGAGACCAGGTAATGTATAAAGGAAAGAGGTTTATTTGGCTCATGGTTTTGCAGGCTGCACAAGAAGCATGGTGCCAGCATCTGCTTCTGGCAAGGGCTTCAGGCTGCTTCCACTTGTGATGGACAGTAAAGGGGAGCCAGCACATGGAGATCACACGGAGAGAGAGGAAGCAAGAGAGAGAGGAGATAGGCCCTTTTCAACAATCAGTTCTTGTGGGAGCTAACAGCACAAGGACTCACTCATTGCTGCAAGGACAGCACCAAGACATTCACGAGAGACCCGTCCCCGTGACCCGAACACCTCCCATTAGGCCCCACCTCCCACACTGGGAATCAAATTTCAACACGAGGTTTGGAGGGGCCAAACATCCAAACTATAGCAGTTGTTATAAAAGTGGAGATAATAGTAAAAAGGTTATTGTGACTTGAAAATCATTCTTATGAGGTGGAAACAAGCTTATAGACAGAATCACTTAGAACACCGTCTGCACATATTGTCAGTTATTATGATAGATGTAAAAATGAAGGCTATGAAAACAGCAAAGAGAAACATGGAAATCAAACTGAATATGTCAAGGAAGGCTTTCCAGAGGCAGAAGTAGAAAGCTTCGTTTTGATGGATGAGTGGGAATTATCTGTATAATGAGAAGGATGGAAGGACATCTAGGAAGAATCATGTGGGTGAAGAACAGGAAACTGCATCTCCATTCAGAGAGTGCAGCCTGCTTTGTGGGCAGGAGAGAAGGGTATTTGTGAAGTTCAAGAGGTAAGCCACAAAGGCTGATAGAAGTCCAATTCTGAAGGGCCTTAAGAGCTCAGTGAAGGATTTGAGAAATGAAAGCCTCTGAAATGTTGAGAAAGAATGACAACACTAGATTTGCATTTTAGAAAACCACCTCTGATTGGAGGGAATTCCACTGGTGCTAGTTAAGAAGTCTTCTAATCCTCCAAGTGAGAAGGGAAGAAATTTCAGGAGAGTGGCTAGCAGTGTGTTGAGAAGAAACATATTCAACGGCGGATGTAGCTGGATGGGGATTTGGGATTGGGGTGGTTTGGTTTTTCTAAAAGACAAAAAAGACAAGAGTGTTTATGTAGTTTAGAGGAAAGAGTGTTTAGGGACAGAGATGGTTCAACTCAGAAAACAGGATGGGAGCGTGTAACTGAGCAGAATCTTTGAGGATGCACTAAGGGTGGGCTCCACATCACAGGTGGAAAGATGGACTTTAGTGACAGAAGAGCATGCCTACCTGGCTGGGCCAGGAGAGGTAGCTACAAGGTGGGTGCAGATGGAGGTAGATTTGTAAGACTCCCTGGGAGGGGGTGGGGAAGGACTGCTTGGAGAGTCCTTGTCTTGTGACCTTCATTTTCTCAGTGAAATAGGAAGCAAAATTGACTGCTAAAAATGAAGAGAAAGCCCTTGGAGTGGAGAGTTTGGGTGCACAGGCAACAGGGCTGAGCATTTGGAGGTGGGTGGAGCAGCGATCTGGCTGAGGAGGTATGTGACACTTATCTGGCTGCATCAGTGGCCCAGCCAGGTGATGGCACCAGCATGCACAGGGCATGATGTTCTCCAGCAGGACCTGGAGCCTGGAGGAGGGCATGTGGCGGGGGTGTTTTAACGCTAGGCTTCTTTGGGCCAGGTGCAATGGGAGGATGAGAGAGTCCGGGGAGTCGGCAGATGAAACCTGTGGTGGTGATGGACTCCAGGCTGACCGAGAAGGAACTGAAACCAGAAGGCAGCTGATGACAGAGAGAATGGTGGGTCCAGGGACACACACTGAGATGAGATGGAAGAGGAAGAGCTTGGGCAGTAAGACAGTGAAGAGGCTGGAAGGACGGGGTCAGTGTGAGGATGGGACCTGGAGGTACCGTCTGGGTGGAATAGTGCTGAATGATAACATGGGAACAGAGAGTGGCCTTGAACTTAGGGTGCTAAGATGCAGTTGAATGTCTAGGAGGTGGGCGTCCAAAGGATCAAACAACTCCTCTGAGGGAGGGCGGACTGCAGGGTGAAGACTGGAGCAGAGAACCCGAGATGAGCGTGGATGGCAAGAACAGCAACACAAGCAGCCTCAGCGTTTCCTGCCCTCTCCCCATCCTCCCAGGTTGGACAAGCTGTCTGCCTTGGGAAATGATCAGCAACTTTGAGCTCAGCAGTGCGTTTCTTCCTTATGTCACCTACAGCATCAGGAGCAGCCGCATCACAACATTAACACCAGCGTGATGCAGGACGGGCCCATCCTGCTTCCAAATTTGCCCCATGACATCCCATAGGTGACAAGAACAAAGCATCTCTAAATTCGGTTGGGCCATGGGGAGTCAAAGATCCTGCATTCTGTGAGCACTTCTCCTGTCAGAGTGTCTACCTATGATGGACGCAGGCACCTCTGCTCTCCCACTGACTGTTCCCCTGCTAATCCCTAGTGGGCATTCCTGGCTTCATTTAGACCGTGAGGTTCATGCTTTCACCATCCTCCGGTTCCCTGATCAGTTCTGGACCTGAGCATGGGAGAACCGCTGCCACTTTTCTCCTTGTACACTGTGACATTATTGCCCTTTGAGAATAAGAGAACAGTCCCCAAGGGGTGACAAGTTGTACCCTCCTTTCCCAAGACAGAGAACTCTGCTACCACCACCGGCTCCTAGGAATATATTTTGTAAACTATTTCAATTGTCCAAGGATCCAGAGAGGAGCTTGGAATTCTCATTTTGTCCCTGGTTTGAGAAAAGGTTAGAGAGATATGGGGGTTCCTTTAGTATCAGGGAGCCACAGCCCTTTGGAATCTGAGACCTCATTAACAATTTCTTCACCAAAATCAGTCAAATGCAATGGAGTGTGTCTGAAGGAAATGAGGGTGAGGGATGAGAAAAAGGGAAAAGAAAGGTTTATGGCAGAGGGGTGAGCACTTCAGGCTGGTGAGCACATTGGTGAGGTTTGACACGTCCAAGCCCGTCTGTGGGGCGTGATTTCTATGGAGACTGAGTTAGAAGCAGGAGCCCTCCTGAGCCTGAATTTGAATGTCAGAGGAGCCATCAGTTCAAACCACTGCCTGCCTTTATGGTTTCACCTGTGCATGCCCCATGTGAAGGCTCCTATTTCCACAGCTCCATGACAACAGAGGATAAAATAAATTCCTTTAGTCAAAACTCAGCACTGACAGGCTCCAGGCAAATATGCCATTCCTGTTTTTATAATGGTCAGTGGAAAGTGACGGTTCATCTGGGCCAAGAGCCAGATTTTGTTCCGGTGAGCTGGGAAGCAATGTCAGTTTCATCTGGCAGAAGTTACAACCCACTACGCCGGGGGTGGAGAATGGCTCTCCTGGAAGCCGGAGGCCAGCGAAAAATCCAGAAAGCCCCATTTGTGTGGCTGCCTCTGCCAGAGAGCTAACAGGGGAAAGAATCTCAGACACATTAAGGGGTATTGTTTGTCCCAGCTGAGCTCAGCTGTGTTTCAGCAAAAGACAAATTTGCCCTCCAGGACATGGGCTGCACTGCCCTCCTGGGGACCCGAACGCCCTCATGCAGCACCCTCACCCCGTCTCTTTCTGCTCACAACAAACATCAAAACGAAACAAACCAGGGCTCTCGCCACCCATCTTTTCTCTTTGATATGCCGTGGTGAATCAATCTCCACAAATGATGTCACTGAACTTCTCCGCTGGAAGAGGAGAGCTCTATGCCCTGATGTTATGCAGATGAAGTCACTGTGAGTTGCACTTCAAAATGTGTCTGAAAGTCCAATGAAAAGAAAAATCCATATTTGGGAAGAATCTCATCCTGAGGTCCACCGAACATTCTCAGTATCTGGGACACTGGCCACTCAGTCTCCTCACCTCTGGCAAGGTACTCAGGAGACTGATTTGTTAGGAGATGACCCTTGGTTGCTGAAGCATGCCACTGCCCACCTGGCTCGGTGACTCTGAATGCTGCACTGGAACTCACTTACCATAGATTCGTTTCTTTGTAGGCTTAGAATTAGGTCATGGGAAAGCCACATGGTAATGTATGTAAATTAACATGCACAAATATGCAGAAAGACTATATAGTTTTCCAAATTTCCTGAAAAATAATATATTGCAAGCTTCTCAATATGGCAGTTTATCAGTCTGGCAGATATATTTAGATCATATTCAACTAATGTGTATAAATACCCAATATGGGCTAGGTGTGGTTGTGTTCCCAATTTCACTAAATCCCTGCAAAGACCTGTGCTGTCCTCACTTTGCAGATGATGTGTCTGAGGGTCATGGCTACTCTGAGCTCAGGTGGAGGCAGGGAATGGGGTCTCTGAGCCTGTATTCCACACTCTCCCACCACCCCATATCTCTGCACAGAGGCCTCCCTGACCTGTGAAGGAACCTCTCCCCAGGAGTCCTTTGTTTTGGCACAGAATGCTTTCTCCATATTGTACTGCTCTAGAAGCCCAGTAGTTGAAAGAGATAAAAATGGAGTCACTGGTTAAGTTGGGTGGGGCACTGAGCCCAGCCTTTCCAATCTGTCCTCTGCCTCTTCCTCCGTTTTTAGTGATCCTTGGGCCTTATGAACCACAGCTTGAAAACCACTACCCTCCATCGTCCTCTTAAGCTATTTGTTTTAGGTCTATCTGAAGGATTTCTCCAGAATTGGAGCTCTCACTTTGGCCTTTCAGTACTTACATAGGCAAAACGCTGGGCTCAATCTGCGCACTCGTCCCAGATGGTAACGACTCAGGTGGTTCTCAGAGCTGCCTGTTCTTAGTGCTGGTGGAAGGGGTGGGTGATGTTAGACAGACAGGCCTGGGCTCTCAGGTTGCCCCATCCTAGTCCTATATTTATTTTACATTATTATTACTATTTTTTGAGATAGCATCTCACTCTGTCACCCAGGCTGGAGTGCAGTGGCACAATCATGGCTCACTGCAGCCTGGACCTCCTAGGCTCAAGCGTTCCTCCTGCCTCAGCCTCCGAGTGGCTGGGACTACAGGCAAGCAAAAACCAAACCAAACAAACAAACAAAAAACAAGCAAACAAATGAAAACAGTTGATTTAATTTTTAAAATCAAAAATTTTGATTTTTAAAAATTTCTGTAGAGATGAAGGCTTATTATGTTGCCCAGGCTGATCTCAAACTCTTGAGCTCAAGTGATCCTCCTGCCTCAGCCTCCCAAAGTGCTGGGATTACAGGTGTGAACCATCATGTTCAGCCCCTGATCCTTTAAATGCAGCAGGCTCTCCTTGGGACAAGCCCTTAAATGGCTCCCTTAAGAACCATTGCTGACATTTTAAGTATGATAGTGGTGTTGTGGTTACATTAAATGAAAGAGCCTGTATCTTTTAGAGATATATATGAAAGTACCTACAGATGTAGTGATAAAATTATTACTTCAACATTATCCAGGGTGAGGGATACGAGTGGGATAATAGATGAAACATTCGTTTTGTTAAAGCTGTGTAATAGGTACATAAGGGTTTGTTATATCATTCTTTCTACTTTAGAATGGGTTTGAAATATACAGATAGAGAGATATAGATGATACATTAGATAGATAGATAGATAGAGGTACAGGCAAAAGAAAGAAAGAGAGAAAGAAAGAAAGAACGAAAAGAAAAGAAAAGAAAAAAAAAGAAAGTTGGTGCTAGTGAAACCGCCTTTGCAAAATTATGACTGAGACAGTGAAAGAGATCTAACCTAACTGAGTCCACCTTGCTTCTAACCTCCAAGCTGTCCTTGTTCATTCGTGGGTGTAGGCTGAACTAACTTTGGGAGGAACTTAGTTTATAGGTTATAGTTTAAAACAAAGATGATAACAGCCTTTTCCCAAAAACAAGCCTCCTTCTTGCCTGGGGACCAGACTACTAACATCAGGAACAAGATTAGAAATTATGGTTTAGGAGTCATGTAGCTGGAGGCTACAAGATTCTTATCCTTCCTAAACTGCTCCTAAGATCAGTGCTTGCGATATTTTGCAGAGTCTGCACTTGATGGATCAGCTGGCACCACCCAAATTAACCAGCTCATCTGTTCTTGTGGCCCCCATCCAGGAACTGACTAAAGCACAAGAGGACAGCTTCAATTTCCTATTATTTCATCTCCTGCCTAACCAATCAGCATTCCTGGCTTACTGGCTCCCTCCTACCTACCAAGTGGTCCTTAAAAACTCTGATCCCCGAATGCTCAAGGAGACTGATTTGAGTAATAATAAAACTCCAGTCTCCCTCACAGCTGGCTGTGCACAAATTACCCTTTCTCTATTGCAAGTCCCATGTCTTGATATATCAGCTCTGCCTAGGCAGCGGGCAAGGTGAACCTACTGGGTAGTTACATTAGGCCCTTGTCCCAGGACCACCCTCGCTTCCTCTCAACTTATTGCTCCCTGCCCTCAAAGGTGCGTTCTGCTGCTCTTAGGCAGGATCCTAGACCTTTTCCTGGAGTTGATAACGCCTTTAGATCCTTTTCTCTGGCTGATTGACTAGGATTCCACCACTACTCGCAGCTTTGCCTGAACCTTTGATTTTGGCCTCTCCCACAGCTTAGGGTTCAATGTGTTTCTCCGCAAAGTTTTGTGGCAGAACCTTCACCATTCAGTTCACCCTGGGAGATGTGAACAGTTACTTAGTTTCTTTCCAAAACTCATGTAAACCAAAAATAAAATTCGAAGGCCTCCCGCAACCACCTGAATGGACTCCCTCCTCGGCCAGGGTGCTCTAAAAATTAACCTGAAAGGCTGGCTCAGGCCATGATGGGAAGTGGGGGTTGAACATGCCTCATGATACCCTCCAGCATTAACATCAACACAGACCTAAAGCCTTATAAGAAACAGGCACGATCTATTCTCTCCAAAGCCTGCTACTTGGAGGCTTCATCTGCATGATAAAACCTAGGTCTCCACAACTCCTTCTTTGAACCCAGACATTCTTTTTTACTGATAATAACTCTTTCAACCTATTGTCAATCAGAATATGCCTAAATCTACCTATGGCCTGGAAGCCCCTTCTTCAAGTTGTCCTGCACTTCCAGATTGAGCCAATGTAAATCTTACATGTTTTGATTGATGTATTGCCTCCCTAAAATATATAAAAGCAAGCTGTACCCCAATCACTTTGGGCACATGTCATCAGGACCTCCTGAGGCTGTGTCATGGGCATGTCCTTAACCTTGGCAAATAAACTTTCTAAATTGACTGAGACCCGTCTCAGATATTTGGGGTTTATGCTCAGACACTTTCATGATCTTCCATTTTACAGATGAGAAAACAGAGGCTTCAAGAGGTTAAGTAAACTGCCTAAGGTCATGCAGCTAGAAAGTGGTAGAACCAGGCTTGTGAACTCAAGCAATCTGTCTCCAAAAATGATCACCAACAGGAGGTGATCTGACAAAACCCAATTTTCATCTTTTTTTTAGTATGAAGAAAAAATCCCTGGAAAATAGAATATAATCTACAATCTTACCATTCTAACAAAATAGTTTTTCTCTGCATGTATTTCATATGACATTCATAATAATAAAAAATTAAAAACTTTTTAAAGTTCTC
The DNA here is from genome assembly GCF_000001405.40 of Homo sapiens. Classification (NCBI taxonomy): domain Eukaryota; kingdom Metazoa; phylum Chordata; class Mammalia; order Primates; family Hominidae; genus Homo; species Homo sapiens. The sequence continues at coordinate 26,877,072 of NC_000013.11, read as the reverse complement.
AATTTTTAATGTTCTACCACAAACATTTCTTTGTATTGCTTTACTTCATCATATTGAAATTGCCTTTGTGAAAATTATTAACAGGGAGAAAATTACAACAGTGAAGGAGATCTGATTTAACCAACTCCCATCTTGCTTTTAACCTCCAAGCTTCCCTTAGGCATTCCTCGGCTTGGGCCAAGGTAACTTTGAGAGGAATTTAGCTTGTAATTTAAATGATAATAGTCCTCCCCCAAAACTAAACCACTTTCATAAAGCTAATGGAAGACCACCAGGTTAGGAGGATGAGAGGAGCCTGAATTCTGCTAAGGTTTAAACATAAATGATTACCAGCTATTTTTCCAGAAGTCACAAGACTTGCAACTTCCCCAATTACTCCTGACAGATAACATCACTACTGTAGAACAAAAGATTGGCCTTTCGAGTCAGGTTTCTGCATTTCTGATGACCAGTAGCTTCACCCAGACCCACCAACCAGCCCTGTGGCCCCCAGCTAGGAACTGACTCAGCACAAGAGGACAGCTTTGACTCTCTATGATCTCATCTCTGATCCAACCAATTAGCACTCCCTGGCCCCCTACCTGCCAAACTGTCCTTGAAAAACCCTAGTCTCTGAATTTTTGGGGAGACTGATTTGAATAATAATAAAACCCTGGTTTCCCATTCAGATGGCTCTGCATGAATTAAACTCTTTCTCTATTGCAGTTCCCCTGTCTTGACAAATTGGCTCTATCCGGGCCGTGGGCAAAAATGAACTTATTGGATGGTTACAATATCATTTCCAATGTGCTTTAGTTTTATTACAAATCCTTCTCTTCTTGGAACTTCTTGTTGCTTCCATTTTGTGCTGTTTGAAATAATCTAGGAATGAATGTCTTTAGGATGTAGCTGTTTCTTCTTTTTGACTTTTTTCTTTTGCATAAGTTCCCAGATATGAGATGATTGAATGGAAGGCTTATGGCACTTGAAACTTACTGTCAGCTGAAGTTCAAATTGATGGTACTATTTTATACCATATGGTATTTTTGCCATGGGGTATTATCAACAAATATTATCTATTTTATATACAAAAACATGAGGTTGTATTAATTTCAGTTTATTTTATTTCTAGTGAGTGGAGTGTTAGTGTAAGGAACGGCTTTGCAGCTGAACAATTCTGCTGGAGCTCCAGGCCAGCTTGACACTGCACAGCCCCAGACACACGCACACATACATAGAAAGGGAAGCTTCTCTTGACCTTGTTTGCACTGTTACAACACACAATAGCTCAGGTACACAGCAACAACATCTGAGCACTCAGTGGATATTGTTTGGAGAAAGAAGTAATGGAACAAAATGTAAGAGACAGAAGATGCTGACTTGTCTTCTTCACTCAGGCTAAAGTTTTGCCATTTAATAATTCAACAGCAGTTGTGCAGATAGCTCTAGTTTCTATGAATTTCTTCAAAGTTCTTTGTAAATGCCATTTCTCAGTCTGAGAAAAATCTCTCTCTCTCTTTTTTTTTTTTTTTTTTTTTGACAGAGTCTCACTCTGTTGCCCAGGCTGGAGTGCAGTGATGCAATCTTGGCTCACTGCAAGCTCCGCCTCCCGGGTTCATGCCATTCTCCTGTCTCAGCCTCCCAAGTAGCTGGAATTACAGGTGCCCGCCACCATACCTGGCTAATTTTTTGTATTTTTAGTAGAGATGGGGTTTCACTGTGTTAGCCAGGATGGTCTTGATCTCCTGACCTTGTGATCTGCCTGCCTCGGCCTCCCAAAGTGCTGGGATTACAGGCGTGAGCCACTGCGCCCGTCCTGAGAAAAATCTCTTTTGAGGTATTAAGGCTTGATTATACGGTACCTTTTTTCTCTTCAAAACACTTTTTTTTTTTTTTTTTTTTTTTTTACAAAAAGGGAAATAGTAACTGTGTCAGGTGGTAGATATGTTAATTGGCTTGATGTGGTAATTATTTCACAATGTATATGGATACCAAAACATGAAGTTGTACACTTTTAATTTATACAATTCTTGTCAATTGTCTCTCAATATAGCTGGAAACAATTTTAAAAATGTTTTTCTAATTGTAAATTTAATTAAGACATGCAAATTGTAGAAAACCTGTAAAATACAGAAAAGTTTCAAAAGGAGACAAAAATAACTCATAATCTTACCACTTCAAAAAAGTCACCGTTAATATTTGATGTATTCCTTCTCCTCTTATTTTATACATCAAACAAAATTGCTATCATACTATCTGCATTTAGTTTTATACCCTGATATGATTTCACTCAACATTATATTGGGAGTGTTCTACCAGATCATTAGATATTCTCCAAAAATGATTTTTAAATATTTATATAAAATATATAATTGCAATTATTTGTATATGATACATAATTATAATTTTATAATATTTAGAAAATATTCTTAGTACAAATGTATCATCATTTATTTTACCATTTTCTTAGTGCTGGCCATCTGAAATGTTTCCAAATTTTCACTATTGTAAATAATAACACAATGAGCATTCTGGTCCATTTATTTGCAAATGCTCAATTTAACTAGCAGGACATGCAAATGTGTGTTTCAGGACAAGTACTCCACACTGGGCACCTTACACAATCAGGAGTTGGGAGCCTGGGTTCTGGTCCCACTTTGCTATTGTGTGACCCTGCAAATGGCTAGCATTTTGTAAGTCTAAGCTACAGCCATAATTTACCCTTTATGAACATTATTCTCCCTCATATCTCACAGCACTTTACAGTTTTTATTATTTTTGCCTCTACACGTGTCAAGTGAGAATATATCTGGGAATATTTAGTGATGATAATGAAGCAACCACTCTTATAAATCTTTACATGTGGAACTTCTAAGCTGTGCTCATTAGTAAGAACATTAGACTTAGATCACTGCTAGCAATTAACAGCAGACAACAATAATTAAGAAGCAGAACCATCTGAGATGAGATAGAGTATAATGCATGATGAGAGAGGGAGAAATGTATGGCAAGTTTGAAAGAGCAAATCCAGATTCTCTGGCTAAAAGTCTCTGCATTCAAGGGCGACTACAGCTAATACAGGGCAAAAGAAAATAAAAGCTAGAGTAATTGAGGCTGCCAGTGATCCCCTGGGGTCTAGTGAAAAGGCTATTATTAGACCTGCTTATTGTCATGCTTTAACACTCTCTCCAAAACTCTGGCCCAGAACTGCACCCACAAGGTGACTGGTGGTTTATTCCACAAAGCCCAGGGAAAGAATCTATGTCTCAATCACATTTTCTTCTTGGTTATGGAGAGATTTAAGTATAAGCAAAGAATGGAGCAGTTCCGTATGATCACTTTTGATAAACGGTGCTTTCCCCACCTTTGGTTTCATAGCCTAATGCCTGACAATCACCTTAAAGTCTTTTCTGGGCTAGCAAGATGCAAAGGGGTGAGGGGATTTGGTATTTAAGTGTCCTAGAGCCAACGGTGCTGCCTCCCAATTCCCTTCTCATTGAATCTAGTGGGATGATTCATCCGGCGGAGAGGCCCTATCACTCCAGGTAGTTTATGCTACTGCTGCAGTTCAGAAGACAGTAAATGGGCTGGTGGTTCACCGAGGGCCGCCTCCTCTGACTGAAGCTCCATCAGGACCACGCCAGGGAAAGTGAACTGCATGTCACTGTTGTCACACTTGGAAAGGGGCATCGCTTCTGCTATTCTACAGCACTTCTTGAGATATTGAAGTAAAAGTTTTAAAAGATTAAGAGAGACTGGGGCACGCGGAGAATCTTCTCCCCACGGTAGGGCTCTTTTCCATGCTGAGCTTGCGATGTGACTGCCAAACGCTTAAGTCCATTAAAGCAATAACCACCTGATTCCTTCTCATTAAAGGCATAGTGCTTTTCACCCAGAGATTTCCTCTTGTGGAAAAGGATTTCTGCCAAACAACGCTTTGCATGTAAAGTTTGCTTTGCAGAGACTTGGCTCTCAAGGCCGAATTGGGCAGCTCCCGGTGCTGAACACAGGCGTTGAGCCAACACCAGAGGGCGCCATTTCCCCTGCATCCCACGAGCAGCGGCTACTCAGGGTGGCGGATTCTGGCTTCTCTCTGGGTCCCAGGGTTTATGTCACGTAGGGCATGGCTTCATAGGAAAATGTTCTTAAGGTCAGCCAGGCAGGGAGATGAGCAACTCTGGGAGAAAGTAAAAAAGCAGAGCTGTTGGTGTTTTCCCATGCACGGTCACAACCTGTGCGCCCTGGGGGACAACGGAAGCCTGCAGAAGCTCAGCCCTCTCCACGCAAACCCAGGCCACAGATCAAAGAGGGAGCAGTGTGAGATCCCATCGCAGCCGAAGGAAACTGTCACCAGGACACTGGTCTCAATGCAAAACAGGCTTAGGCAGTGGTCAGAAGGCACACATGTGATTTTCTTTTTCACCGCTGGGCCATGCTGCTGTCTTCCTGCTCCTTTTCACCGGCCTCAGGAGGCCTGCCTTTCACCTGGGAATGGTGACTGTCCTGTGCACGTAGAGAGCGGCCGTCAGAGCTTTGGCAGGCGCGTTGGGAAGGCTTCTCGTTCATATGTTATAATATTGATACTAACAGCCAGAGCAATCAAACCCCTGCTGTGGGCTTGACATTCATTATCCCTCATACCCACAGCAAAGCTACAAGGAGGAATGAAGAAGCGGAGGCTCCAAGAGGCTGATGGCCTTGCCCAAAACTACACTGGAGTAAGTAGCAGAGACAGAAACGAACTCCCAGTCTACATGGCACTAAAGCCACGCACTTTCCACACCATATTGCATCCCAGTGATCAATCATTATGTGTTAAGGACAGCAAATGATTATCCATGCAATGAAAACTAGGAATAATTTTTTAAAATGATAAACCTCCCTGATTCACACTATTATGGATGTCCAGAAGAAAATAAACCTATTCACAAACCAGAGGCAATATCCGGCTAATGACCTTGAGTGAGGTCAGCACAATTACTAAACAATTTCACCAAAGAATGAGAATTGTTCCCCATGGTAAACAAGCCTGTGCTCAAGTTAGCAGGATACAGTTCCCTAGAGATTCCCCACTCCCAGCTATCCCTGGGGGCAAAGAAGGCTGTGTTGGTCCCTTATTTTCTCTCCCTTAAGGGCATAGTCTCAAAAGTGAGAACTAGAAATGTGGGAAGATCTACATTTGCAATATTACATTCTAAAAGGAAGTAGTAGCTCACTATTTTCCCAGCTTGAGATGTATATTTAATAAAAGGTTCACCACAGTCCGCATGTAGTACAGGTCAAACTTCTTCCTGAGAACCGATGAGCAAATCAGCTAATTAGTGTCCATTACAGGTGAGGGCTGCTGGCTGACTGCTGAGCAGATGTGGCCTTCTCCCCAGGGTCTGGGCTGCAGTAAGAAATAGCTCAGTCTTTCGAGCTGACTGCTGGGTTTAAATTCTGCCTCCATTTCCTTCCTAGAGATGAGGCTTTTGAGGGCTCACTAACTTCTCTGTGCCTCAGTTTTTTAATCTATAAAATGGAGATAATGGTCACACCCTCCCTTGAAGCTGTTGTGAGGATTAAATGATCAATGTATGAAAAGATCTTAGAACAGTCCTTGGCACATAGTCAGCTTTCTTTAAGGGTCAGCCATTCCATGAGGGTAGGGGTGAGATGCAACTAACAATGTTAATTTCAGACAGGTCTCTCCAAAATTAGGTAGGTCTTACAAATCATACCAAGGACATTTATTATCATTTCCAGCTGGCTGAAAGCAAGGCACTTCATCCATACAACAAATTTTTGAGCAGGGAGCTTAACTAAGATGTGTATAGACTGACACCTCCCACACACCCACCCTAAAGTTCTCAGAGAAAAAAATAAGTGAATAGACGTGTAACTACCAGAAACATTTATTTATCTGACACATATTTGTTGAGACAGGCACAGTTCTTGGCCCTGGAGACATAGTACTGAACAAAATCAAATTCCTGCCCTCAGGGAGCTCCCAGTCCAGCACAAGAGACTGACAATAAGCAAATAGACAAGATGAATATATAATGCCACCCAGAGGGATGGTAGGGATGTTACAGACACACAGCCAAGTAACTCTTCTCTGCAGAGAATGCTGTGAGGGAGACAGCCAGGAAATCATGGGAAGGAAAGAGTGTTTCTGGGCAAGGGAGCCACACATCTGAAAGCCCTGGGGTAGGAGCACTTGGCCAGGAGGCCAGAGGGACTGGAGTTGGGGGAGCAGGGAACAGACGGGTGGAAAACAAGGCAGGAAAGGGTGTTGGGGCCATGCTGAAAGAGACCGTTCAGGTTGTGGTAAGGACCTCCGATTTTTGTTCTAAGTGACGGGCAATTATTGGAGGGTTTTGAGCAGACCAGTGACTGTGATACATGTTATGTTTTAAGAGAATCTCTCTAGCTGCCCTGTGGAGAATAGACTGGAGCAGGTAAGAAGGGTGAGGTAGGTAGAAATAACAGAAGCAGGAACCAGGCAGGAGGCTACTGCACTGGTCCAGGGGAGAGTGGATAGTGGTTTGGAGTAAAATGGTGTCTTAGTCTATTTTTGTTGCTATTAACAGAATATCACACACTGTGCAATTTATGATCAACGGAAGTGTATTAGCTCATGGTTCTGGAGGCAGAGAAGTCCTAGATCAAGGGGCTAGCATCTGTGGAGGGTCTTCTTGCTAGGTCATGCCGTGATGGAAGGCATTACATGGCAGAAGGGCAAAGAGAGGCCAAGAGAGAGAAAAAAGGGTGCAAAACTTACCCTTTTATAATGAACCCACTTCCAAGATAATGGCATTAATTCATTCATGAGTTTGGAGCCCTCCTCATGACCTAATAACCTCTTAAAGGTCCCACCTTTTAATACCATCACAATGGCAATAGAATTTCAATATGAGTTTTGAAGGGGACAAACATTCAAACCATAGCAGATGATAATGGGTTGGAGGGGTACATTAAATGTAGTTGAATTTGATCTACATCTTAGAGGTAATTAAATATAGCTGAATTTGATCTACATCTTAGAGGTAAAGGTAGAGTGTACAGCATTTGCTGATAGTTTGGATATGGAGTTTGAGTGCAAGAAAGATTCAAGAATGACTGCAAAGTTTTGGCCTGAGTGAATGGCTATTTGGTGTACTATTTACTGAGATGGGAAAGACCACAGAGCTAGGAGAGTTTTGGGAAAACCAGGAGCCAACACTGGACATTGGGTTAATATTGCATATTAAGTTTGGAAAGCCTATTAGAAGATGTGGTAGGCAGAATAATGCTCCCTTAAAGATGTCCGTGTCCTAATCCCCAGAACCTGTGAGTATGTTAGTTTATATGACAAGAGAGAATTAAGGTTGTAGAGGAAATTGAGGTTGCTAATCAGATTACCTTAAAATAAGGAGATTATCCTAGATTATCTGAGTGGACCTAAAGTGATCAAGTCATTAAGTGTGGAGAAAGAAGGCAGAAGAGTCAGCAGTGTGATGTGAGAAAAACTCAATCTGCCCCTGCTGGCTTTAAAGATGAAAAAGGGGCCTCTAGCCAAGGAATGCAGGCAGCCTCTTAAAGTCGGAAGTCAAGAAAATGGATTTTTTCCTTACAGCCTCTATAAAGGAATTCAGCCCAGTTGACACATTGGATTTATCCTGGTGAAACCCATTTTAAACTTTTGACCTGCAGAACTGCAAAAGAATAAATGTGTGCTGTTTTAAACCACTGAGTTTTTGGTAGTTGTTTTATAGCAGCAAAAGGAAACAAATAGAGGTGGCAATATAATTTATTTTCTAAACAGGGTCTGTTTTAAATGAAAGAAGTGCAATCACTACTTAAACAGGGGTAACAGTCATAAGTCAGAACTATCCTAAGAAAACGGGGATGTGGGTTCACCCTACTCATCCATTGTTTTATAAGTGGAGATGTCAAGGAGGCAATGGGTTCTATGTGTCTTTTATTTAGAAGAAAGGCAGGGGCTATTAAATTTGAGAAGTGGCCCATGTAGGTGGTATCTAATGCCATGGAACTGAATGAGATCACAAGACAGTGAATATATGTAGAGACAGAAAAATATCCAAAGATGAAGCCCACCTTTAGAGGTTTGGAAGTAGAGAAGGATCTGGTAGAGAAGATGGAGAAGGCATACCCAGTGAGGTGGAAGGAAAACCAGAAAAAAGAATAAATAAACTCAAGTGAAGAAAGTGTTTTAAGAAGGCAGGGTTGATTGATTGCATCAAATGGTGGTGATAGGTCAAGAAGGAAGAGGATGGAGAGCTGATGCTGGATTTGCAACATGCAGATCATCAGTGACCTTAAACAAGGGATATTAGCAGAGTGGTGGGCAAAAGAATGATAGTAATGAGTCAGAGAAAAATTGGGACAGAAAGCATAGCAACCTTTCCAAGTGTCTCTGTAAAGGAGAGCAGAAAAATGGGGTAGTAATTAGAAGGGAACTAGGCTCAGGGAAGATTTCTAAAAGATGGAAAATATTAGAGCACATTTGTAAGCACAGAAAAGGATGCAATATAAGGAGAATGTTCAGTACAGACACAGTGTAATTGCAGGAGCAAAGTCCTTGAATAGATGAGAGGAGATGTTATCCAGAGCATAAATAAAGGAATTGGTCTTTAGGAGGCATGTGCACAAACCTTCCACTGAGCAGGAAGGAAGGGTGCCAAGGCACCCTAACCCTAACCCTCACTTAAAAAAATCCCACCCCTTTAGTAAGGCCTTTTGGATAAAAAGGATTTTTTCTTATTGTTTATATTTTTCAGTGAAATAAGAAGGTAATCAGCTGAGAGTAAGTAGTGGCAAAAAGGTGCTAACATTTTGAGAAAGGGGTAAAATAGCATGCCAGAGAGTAGGAGAGAGACTTGATACTCATTGAATTATCTATCAATGACATGATGAAAGTGACAAAAGGAAAGCTACACACTATCCACAGAAAATCAGCTACAAACATTATGAAACATGAGGGACATAAGTTCTTATTGGTTATGGGCAGTGTAAGGACAGATATTCTAAGAAGGAGAAAATAAAAACAAAGGCAAACTGTAATCACTTAAAACTAGCTGGGAATATGACTTTAGCCACACTCTTTCTGCTTGGCTGCATTGCCAGCCTGTGTGAATGTGTTTGTTCAAGTTGACAGTTGCACATACAAACATTTCCTTCCTTCAGGGGCTCGCCATTTCATCCATATCTTGCTGTGGTGGCTTCTCTCTTGCTAACAATAATGATTTGGATATGTCAGCAAAACCTTTTCTAGTGAGTGGCTATTTCTCTCTCTCTCTCTTTCTCTCTCTCTCTCTCTCCTCCCTCCCCAGCCCCCATATGTCATAGTCTCTCTCTTCTCACCATAACATATCCCATAACCTGGTTTCTACTTTGCTGGAAGTTTGGACATAGGAATAGTCGGCACACAGCCCAGCCGTGCTATTTCAGAACCATGGACAGTGGCCCCACTTTGAAAATTCTGCCCCGCCTTGCAACAGGAACATTTTGCTCATATTCAGCCCAGTATGCAACGGATACTGTGACAGATGTTTGAACAATAATCAGTCCTTGTCTTCAAAGAGATTTATAGTACAGAGGGGAATACAGGCTACAAACACAAGTACAATATAGAAAACTATGATTCATAAATAGAGGACACTATGGGAATACTCAGGAAGGAAGAGCCCTAATTTTGTCTTTGTATGGAGAATGGTATAAAGGAAAGCATCCTGGAATAAGAGATGTCTAAGCTGAAATCTCAAGGCATTAATTAGCCAGGGGAGAGATGTATGGAAGAGCGTTTTAGGCAGAGGCAACAGCAATATGCAAAGGCCTAGAGGCAAGAGGGCATGGCTCACCTACGGACCCGCAAACAGCACTGTACAGTAAAGTGTAAGGAGGAGAAAGTTCCTCCTGACAGAACAAAAGAAGGAATAGAAGCCTGTAAGCATAAACTGCTAGGGGAGTGAAGTTGAAGGAGTAATTAAGTCTCATGGGGTGAAGAGGAGGTGACAGAAAGTGAATATGAAGCAGTGACATTTAAACCTGTCCTTGATGATACATGGACGTTTTCTAGATTCCCAGCATGGGGAAAGGTGGGAGAGAAGAACAGAAAACATGTTGTCTGGAGTTTTTCTGTCCAATATGGTAACCACTAGCCACTGTCCAATATGTTAGCCACTAGCCACATGTAGCCATTGACATTTAAATTAAATTTATTTAATTAAGTTTAATACATTAAAATTAAATAATGTTAAAATTTTAGCTCCTCAGTCACACTGGCCACATTTTAAGGGATCAATACCCACCTATGGCTAGTGGTTACCATATTAGACAGTATAGACACAGGACATTTCTATCATGATGCAAAGTTCTATTGGTCCATTCTGGGTTGGAGGGAACAGCACATGCGAGGGCTCAGAAGCTTGCATGAGTGTGGTGTGCTCAGGAAATGATGACCAGTCATGGGGGCCTTGACAAAAGGTAGGTGGAGGGAAGTGGCTGGAGATGGCACTAGAGATTGGCTGCAGCTGGCAAAAGGCCTTTTAAATCATTCTAAAGAAGGGTGGGTTTAGCAATTGGGGGCTGATAGAGGCAGAAGCAGATCTGGATTTATAAAGTTAGTTCAAGAGGCAGTTACAAGGTTTGTAAGAAATAGTGGAAAAGCAGAAGGCAGAGAGAACAAACCAGTCAGCCTTTGCAAAATACATTTTGCTAGAACATCACTTTATATCATGTCACCTTACATTTGCTGGCTTCCATTGCTCCCAATTAAATTCAATTTTCCCTGCCTGGTTTTCAAGGTCTCTACCTTGTTGCTCACTACTAAACTGCATATTAGCTCTCCTTCAATAATGACAGTAGTGTCACTCTCTCCCTCACATGAAAATTAATTCCTATCTCTGTCCCTGTCAGTCCATGAGTATACTATAAACTCTGAGAACAGAACCACATCTTCCAGCAGGTGAGCTCATAGGATAAGCTTACACAACTCCCAGGATAGTCAACCATTGCCACTGGGATGTCCATTCCAAGGTGTTTTTCTCAAGGGTCATAGAGTTAAGAGTAAAGAAAATGCAAATTCACTGATTGATCAGGAAGGCAGTGACTGGTAAGATACACAATCCTCCTGCTGGTCCCTGCCTCATTGGTCTATCAGCCAGTGTCCTGGCAGGAAGCTGAATTCTACTAAAATGTTTAAGGAAATTAACAAAAGGACAATTTACAGAGGTGTGAGCACAATTATGAAAACCTACAAAGGTTACTGAGCTTCCTAGAGGTTAACAATAATAGTAAGCCATTACTAAATAGGAAAAGAAGAAAAACAGTGTCATCAGAGCCCAGTGAGAACTGGAGACAGCGAGGAGAGCGCCCCTGGCAAGAGCTGTAGAGGAAGATGGGCAAACTCTGCTGTGTTGAGGCACTGGAGCAGGAGGGAGCAAGGGAGGAAAAGTCAATCTCTCTCTCTCTCTTTCTGTCTCCTCCCACCCTCCATTCTTTTGCCCATGCCTTCCATTGCCTAGGTGCAAGCAAAGGCCACAGGGCAAGAGAGACAGAAGGTGCAGCTCACAGGATCTGGTGGAAACAGGTGAAACTAGAATTGGCTGCATTAACAGATTACTCAACATAACAGTGGTTTAAACAATACAGAAGTTTGTCTCCTGTAAATGAAGTCTAAGGCTAGCACACTGGCTTCCACTGATTGAGGACCCAGGCTCTTTCTATGTAGCTGCCCCTTCTTCTGCAGCATGTTGTCTCATGGTCCAAGATGGCTGCTTGAGCTCCAGACCTCATACTGGCATCCTAATATGCAGGAAGTGAAAGAAAAGGAAGAGCACACTTTCTTACTTTAAAGGCACTTATTTGAAGTCACATGTGACTCTTCCATTTACGTTTCATTGACCAGAACTTAGTCACATGAGTACACCTACCTCCAAAGGGGCCCAGAAATGTGATATCCATGACAAGAAGTTTTGGGTCCTGCTAAAATCAAGGATTATTTTACTAAGTAAAAGAAGGAGATTGGATACAGGAGGATGACTCACTCTCTTAGAATCTCAGAGGAAAAATCCTATTCTGTGATCCAATAGACAAATTCCAGGAATGAATAAGAGCCACCTCAATTTCAATAACCAACAGAGTGAGCACGTTAGTGATAATGACATATGCATCATGGCACATCATGTGCCTTTTAGCCACATGATAGTAACTTACATTCCAACTTCTAAGGGAAATTCAATTTTGCTGTGTAAGAATACAGCACATTCAATGAGGAAATGCCAGTTAGAGACATTTGCCAAAGGAAATTTCAAGACACATTCCTAGAAAATATGTTGTCCGTAGCTATTAGGGAACCAGCTGGTTTGATACAGGAGTGACAGATTGTATTTTCGGAGTAGAGGGATAAGTCTGCCTTTAACAAGCCGCTCTTCAATGTGATTCACCACTGCTTATGGAGAAGAGCCCCAGCGGCTGTCACAGTTGCAGTGTGCATGCTGACTGGCTCAGCTCCAAAACCTTCCTTGGGGACAACTAGTCCCTTTCTCAGATACCCAGGCATGTCCCCAGCCTGTGCACCCTGAGCATTCACAGGAGGCTGAGCCCAGGTAGAACAACAGTCAGGGCTGCCCCAGCTCACCTGTGAGCTACCTCCACCTTCTTCAGCCTGAAACACATCCCAGTCATCCACCATCCTGGGCTGCTCCAGGTACACAGACAGAAGATGTCTTTCTACCTTCTCCCTTCTAGCAGCCTCTGGGGGCTTTGGTCAGCCCACTTGGCTGGTCCAAAGGAAGAGGCAAAGAGATCTCAGCCTTTTAATCATTTATTCCACCAGCTTCCTGGAGGAGCTACTGTGTGCACTCTTGTAGAAACATGGGGTACAGAGAAGTAGGGCATGAGGACATACAGTCTAGTTAAGGTGGGCAGGAGTTACACACATGGAGTTAAATCATCCATGGCAACAAGACACATGACACCCAAAACAGCAGTGTCTGATGACTAGCAGATGCTGTCCGTTCCATCATTCCACAGATGGACAAAGTTGCCATGAGTTGGAATGCTCAAGGAGGAAACAATAGACAGAATAACTGTTGGGTAGGGTCTCGGAATATGAGCCAGAGTCGGCTCATGGCCAGTGATTGGGAGAGGAGAGCGTGCCCAGTGACAGAGGCAGGAATGAGCATCTGCGAAGGGACAGTTAGGAGACCAGTCTAGCTGGAATAAGGGGTTTGTGTAGCACAGTACTGAGAAAGGAAGACAGAGGCAGGCTTGTGGAGGGTCTTGACTGCCAGGCTAAGGAAATTGGAATTCAAAGAGGAGTCAGGGAGATTTCTGAGTGGAAGGATTGCATCGTAAAAGCAGCGTTTGAGAAACACTAGCTAATGGTAGTGAGTAGAATGCATTGGTTGTGTTGTAAAGGAGCTGGCCCCTGTATATAAGGATGCCCTTGATTTTCTGGGTCAGAATAGTAATACAGTTGAGCATTCTGTTCATGTCTTCCGTGAAGAGCACCCATAAAGCAAATAATATCCCTTTATTCAACAAATGTGTGCATATTGCCTGCTATCAAGAGGTACTGGGTGTCGAGTGTCCTCAGTGACCAGTCCAGGCATGGTCCCTGCCCTCTAAACCCTTTCTCATCCACACCTGTAGAGCCTGCTGGGAGTGATGACATGAGGCTGAGCTCACAGAGATCAGGAAGGTGGTGCACCCTGGGGAGGGGGTATACAATCACAAGCAAGTCCAAACAGGCTACAGAAAAGCTGTGGTCAGACTCGGAGTTGTAAGTGGGATTCTGTGTTTGAGAGTGCAAGATAGGACAGTGCTGGACCACAGTGGAGGAAGTGGAGTTGACAGAGGTAGGGATGGATCATGTCCAAGGAATTCTGTCTGAGAGAAGATGAGGAAGACTGGGCAATGGGACCAGCTCCTGGAAATGGGACTGGCTCAAGAGAAGTAAGAAAGAAAACTTCAGCCCTCCATTGGGTGGCAGGACAATATGGTGGCACTGGAGACTTTGGGGAAGGGCGACATGGTCCCCAGAGACACCAGTGGAAGAAGGGGTAAGTCAAGCACAATGCGTCCTCTACTTCTGTTCCCTCTTCACACTCTTAGGGTAGACTGGGGAGCTGGATGTCCCAAGCCACTCATGGGCCCTCCCTACACCTCACCACTATGAATGAAGCAGCTGGAAGTGGTCCCCAAGTTTCCCTCTCCAGTGGAAAGAAATTGGCTGGTATTTTGCCTGCCTGAGAAGGGGCAGCCTGAGGATTACCAGATGAGCGTTGTCCTTTCCAGCATCTGGCTTGGTCAGGACCAGCCAGGAACTGAGTCTTATGAGGGTGGTTGTGAGCCTCAGCATCACATCACACTATCAGCATCCTTCCCTTCCCACCTGCAGGCAATGACATGAAATCCCTCTAAACCCTTCTTGAGCTCAAATCTTCTTTAGCCATGCAAACTTGCACCATAACCTCTTCCACACTGGCTACCCATATACTTCCTGGCCCCTCCCGGTGCCCTGTGCTTGTTCTCCCACTAAGAACCCATCTCTCCCTCTCCTGTGAGCAGCCCCACTCCTCAAAGGCCTCGTGCAGACCTCAGCGGGCTCTGTTCCCCATGCCCCCTGGGGTTGTAGCCTGTGTTCTGGAACAAGGTCAGCAGCCATGCTCTCAAGGGCAGAGGCTAGGATGATATCCAAGCTTGATGTACTGAACCGAAACAAGGAGTAAAGAAGGAATAAATCGTTTTAAACTGGCAGGTGAGGGGTCAAGACCATTTCTGTAGCCAACAAGATCTATTGATTTGTATTGTTAGTGAAATAACCAAGCTGTTCAGTTTTTTTAAAGCTGGTTATTTTATTAAACAGACAAAGCCATTCATATTCTCAGTACTGATGTCTGTGAAGACACAGCCTGAACTCCAGCCAGTTGGCAAGGCAGCCCCAAAGGACTCCATCACAGGGGACAGACAGGAAGCTTGCAAAACTCCCTGCATCCATCATTGGCAGGGAGGCTGAGCTGCCCTTCATTTCCCCTGGATAGAGGCCAGCTATTTCAGTCCTAGTGCTTTTTATATTTTGTCTTATTTTAGGAAGTGGGGAGACCGTTTGGAAGCTACCTGAAGTGTGCACTTTCTTCAGGGTCACGTAACTTCAATCACCTGGGACGGGATAGGGAAATGGAGTTCCATTTATTTCCTTTTTGGAAAGTAGCTATGATGTTTAGGAAGTGAGAAATCTCATTTAGAAACAGCACTCAGGTCAAGCAGGTGCCCTCCCTTGGAGTGTTTGTGTCTTCTAGCAGTATCTTCATTCAGTGGCACTCACTGAGCCCTTAGGTACACAGAGAGCAAATTTGAGCATAGTCTCTCCCCTCAAGGACCCTGTAATACAAAATGAAACACCATGACAGGGAAATGGATGGAAAACAACAGCAAGACTCAGGTGTCGGCCAGGTGCTGTGGCTCGTGTCTGTAATCCCAGCACTCTAGGAGGCTGAAGCAGGAGGATTGCTTGAGCCCAGACATTCAAAAGCAGCCTGGGCAATGCAATGAGACCCCCATCTCTACAAAAACTAAAATATTAGCCAGGCATGGTGGCATACACCTGTAGTCCCAGCTAGTCAATGGTAGCTTGAGTGACATGGTCACTTGAGCCTGGGGGGTCAAGGTTGCAGTGAGCCAAGATCATACCACTGCACTCCAGCCTGGGAAACAGAATGAGACCCTGTCTCTTAAAAAAAAAATGTTCCAGGTGTGCTGATTTTGACAATATTGTGTTGTGCTGATGAACCACATCATTTCCATTTGTTTTGGCACCTGGATAGCAGATGTACCCTGGGTGATATGGTTTGGCTCTGTGTCCCCACCCAAATCTCATCTTGAATTATACTCCCATAATTCCCACGTGTTGTGGGAGGAACCCAGTAAGAAATAGTTTAAATCATGGGGGCAGTTTCCCCCATACTGTTCTAGTGGTAGTGAATAAGTCTCATGAGATCTGATGGGCTTATCAGGGGTTTCTGTTTTTACTTCTTCATTTTTCTCCCGCTGCCACCATGTAAGAAGTGCCTTTCACCTCCCGCCATGATTCTGAGGCCTCCCCAGCCATGTGGAACTGTAAGTCCAATTAAACCTCTTTTTCTTCCCAGTGTGGGGTATGTCTTTATCAGCAGCATGAAAATGGACTAATACACTGGGTATAACTATAGTGCTCAGCTCAGGAACCCTGACAGGAGGGGACACCTGCTGAGGACCCCTCAGTCCCTTTTGCCACCTCAGTGGGTCAGACTGCACCACCCTGAAGCCCAAGGTTCCTTCCTTCCCCGGGAGATGGGACCTCCACCTCAGCTAGTAGTGCTGTTGTCAACACTAGACATCTCCTTTTCCCCATGGATGATTGACAGATGGTTGATGTCAGTAGAGGTAAAATTCCCTTCATATGGATGAAAAATGAGACAAAGCAGATGCTAAAGAAGCTAGGAACCTACAAGAATTTTCTATCAAAATTCTTAAAATTTTGGCATTATGGAGCTGGAACATATTTTTAAAAATTATTTGATCCAACATCTTCATTTTACAGATAAGAAAACCAAGCCCAGAGAAATTAAGGGCTTGTCTGTGGTCCCACATCTAGAATGTGACAGAGCCAGGCTCCAAAACCGGCTCCTACTCCCAGCTTCATCCTTTTACTTCTATATGAGGCTGGTTTCCCAAAGAAGTAAATACAAGAAAAACTGGAAATTTGCCTCTTTCTCTGAACAAAGTCCAAAGGGTAGGATAATCCACAGAAGGCTATCCTGAGATTGGAGACCACAAACCCAACTCCATGGTTGGGTGATTTCCCTCAAAGCACAGCACTGAGAATATGAGCAGAAAATATGAAGATGGACTGATGGGAAAGTCAATGGGTTGCCAGGGTGTGGTGGGGGGCACCGGGAGAAGGATGGACCTGGGGACATCCTTGACCTGGGGAGCTAAAAACATTGGCACAAGAGCAATCAGAGTGACCAACCCCAGCCCAGGGCTGGCTGAGCAAGGACATGCAGATAAGAGGAGTGTGCTGGTGGGGTGGGCCTTGGGGTCAGGGCATGAGTCCTCACGTGCTGAAACGGGGCATGGCAGGGACTTCCCGTGAAGGAACTCAAGGTTCAGGAGTGACAGAACTAGAACCTGGGATTTTGTGGTCAATTCCATGACCACACACAGAGGGTGGCAAAGAGTTGGGTGGCTGAGGAGGAGTCGAGGACAGAAATGAAAAGCCATAAATTCTTCCAGGAACTCGGCAGGGCCTCAGGTGGAGGTAAGAATTGGGAGCCACACAGCACATCATTGGTGAGCAAGAGCATCTTTAGGGGAGGCCAGAGGACCAGGCCAGAGGACCAGGCCAGAGGGTGGGGTCACCAGATGCCTGGCATCAAAAGCCCAGAACATCAGCCCAGCATCCTGTCTTCCTGGGAGGATGGCTGGGGAAACTATGTTGATACGGTTTGGCTGTGTCCCCACCCAAATCTCATCTTGAATTGTAGCTCCCATAATTCCCACATGTTGTGGGAGGGAGCCGGTGGGAGATAACTGACTCATGGAGGTGGTTTTTCCCATACTGTTCTCATGGTAGTGAATAAGTCTCATGAGATCTGATGATTTTATAAGGGGTTTCCCCTTTCATTTGACTCCCATTCTTTTTTGTCTGCCATCATGTAGGATGTGCCTTTTGCCTTACGCCATGATTGTGAGGCCTCCCCGGCCACGTGGAACTGTGAGCCCATTAAACCTGTTTTTCTTTATAAATTATCCAGTCTCGGGTATGTCTTTATCAGCAGTGTGAAAATGGACTAACACACATGTCCTCAAGGAAAACCAGGGCAAGGCAGCTGTGTGGAGGAAGCTGTCCACGGCAGAATGAGGAAGGGAAATTCTGCTTACTGTGACCAGGGCTTGGAGAGGATATGGAGGAACAGTGTGGAGACATTGGAAAATAGAGGATCCAATGAGGAAACACTAACCTCATTTTTAAAGACCTACCGTGTGTCAGGCCCTGTGTTAGGAGCTTTCTATACGGTATCTCACCACTATGAGGAAAGTATTATTATCCCAATTCACAGCTCAGCAAACTGAGAGACAGAGAAGTTAAGTAAAGAGTAAAGGTAATGTGTGTGGAAATGCTTTGCAAACCCATAAAGTGGTGTGTGCATGTTGGGTATTCTTTTTTCTACTAACTGGTGTTCACAAAACACCCTCTAATACAGCACACTCCCCAATTACGGGTACCCCCACATGTACCCAGTGCACACACTTGAATTGATTGCTCATCAAACAAAAGAGGAAAAATTAGAAAGCTCCTAGTTGCTCCATTAAAATCTATTTTAGTTCCCTTTCTGTGTGTGTATGGAGATAAGTTAATGACACAGTGATTTTACCTAAATAAATGTTTAATGGGCTTTTCTGGGGTTCTCTCCGGATGCTATTATGCAGGAGGGAGGCCTGTCCTCCTCACATCCAGCCATCCAGGCATGGAGTGGGTAGTTCCAGTCACAAACTGCCAGACATCTGGTGACAAGGGGTGAGAAGCCTCTTCAAAGGCATGTGAGTGGATTGCAGTGAATTATTTGGTCTCCAGAAGACAACTAGGTTTTTATAGACTACAGGGGCCCTGCTCCAGCTCCATTTTCTGAGTTCCCTTAAATATTTATTCTTTTTATAAGTACAGTGTAAATTAGATATAGCAGTGCTGAGGTGGGAACAAACAATTTCAGTAGATCCAGTTTAGGATGTCTATCCAAAAGACAGAAATAAGCAAGGAGGGTGCAATTGCTAAGTAAGGAACACGATCCATACTACTGAGAAACTTGAAATAGGAGGGCTTGGAGAGTCCAAGTCCACAGAGTGCGGTTTCTCAGGATGGGGAGCAACAGAAGGTGCTCGTGGAGCAACTAGCAGAACTCAGCCCTTGCCCCTCTACCCCCTGCCTGCATGTAAGGGGAGAAGGTGGGGGAAGGCTCCCTGTCTCCTCTATTTCAAAGTTGGCCCTCTGATGAAGAGCAACTGTGCCAGCCTTCCCCAGAGGGTCCCATTTGAGAGTGCCAGCCCAGCGTCCAGGACCCTGGGGATGGAAGTCAGTCCTTCCCATGGCCAGGAGGGCCTTATCTGGCCCCAGACTGGACTACGTGGCTTAGAAGTGGGCAGGTGTATTTTTCTGAGAGTGATAGCTAAATTCCCATTCTATACTATGATTATGTATTTTGGAGGTTTGCTGATGAGAGGTCATCAATAACTAATAAAACTTTACTTTTAAGTAAAAAGATATCATGAAGATTTCGTGGTTTGAATGAAGAGTTTTACATGTGCAAACTGGCTTTTTAGGATCTTCTGAGAGTGGGATGTGGCTTGAGAGAAGCCCCAATGACAAATTTCAGTTTTTACTGGCTAGCAGTTTGTATCAGTAAGGAGTTCAGCTGCATTCATTTAATGTGCAGTAAAGTATTCCTAAAGCATAAGATACAGCCATGAATGAAAAAATTTATGCCTTTGTGGAATTCTATTCTAGAGAAGAGAGATAAATAAACAAATGAATGCATGCATGTAATTGAAGGCCAAATCAGAATGACTTAGACCACATCGGGATTAAATTTTTTAATCAAAATGAAAAGGTCAGCCTTTGGCAGGGGCTGGTGTTGGTTTCCTGGTTTAAGAATGTCAACATGGAATGATGCAATGGACTTTGGAGGCTTTGGGGGTAAAACAGTGGGAAGAGGGTGAGGGAAAAAAGACTACAGATTGGGTTCAGTATATACTTCTTGGGTGTTAAGTGCACCAAAAATCTCACAAATCACCACTAAAGAACTTACTCATGTAACCAAATACCACCTGTCCCCCCCAGACCTTATGGAAATAAAAAAAAAAGTTTTTTAAAAAGAATGTCAACAGGGAGGTCTCTGCTATTCTCTTGGCCCTTCCCTCATGGTGGTTGTAAGGCTGCTTCAGCTCTGGTAAACAAGTTCTTTTTCTAGGAAGAAAGAAGGAAGAAGTACCAAGTCAAATCTCCAGCTGACTGGGGAGTGTGAGTCCACCCCTTCTATGAGAAGCTTTTGCCAAAGTCCCAGCGGACAGCATCAACCTACATCTCATTGGCCAGTCTTCTTCATGTGACCATTCCTGTCTGCAAGGGAGCCTAGTTCTGTAGGTAGGTGTCTCGCCACATGAAATATTATCAGACCATATTGGATATTGTATATGCAACTAACAGCCTCTTCCTCTCAGACACATAATATTACTAGCTGTAGTACATACTTCTGAGCAAATCTTGTTCATTTTCCTTTTGGGTCTTTAAGTGCAAAGCAGTGATTAAAGTATTTGATCAATATTGATTGATTTACTGCTGTCATCTTAGAAAAAAATGCCTCAAACATTCTATACCTGAAAAAGCTTTTTCTTGGACTAATCTACCAGTTCTTTGAGTCAATAAAATATCATTGCTCAAAAGAAATGTAGAATTAAGTGAATATGACTACCGTTCCTTGTCTTACTCAACCAATTTTGAAAATGGGAAATGCTTTCCTTTTACAGCTAAATATCATGTTGCCAGAAGAAGCTTAATTATAGAATGATAAAATTAGTCTATTAGAATTGGTGAAATGAATTATAATTAGTCTGAGGCAATGGCTATAGAATGTCGAGCAGAAAGCCTGAGAACAGCACTTGGTCCTGGAATAATAAAGCCTCTAAAAAATGGTTAGATTGAATTTCAATCTGTAGCTCAATCATCGTTTCTCCTTTTCGCTGCCCTGTGTAATCAAAACTGCTATCACAGTACAATAAAATGGCATTTTATCCTACGAAGAGTGATGGAGTAAAAATGAACTTAACTGTAATCATGTGCTCTACCTCTACGAAGGACTTTACAGACAAAAAGCTCTCTGTATGTGGTTTATGCAGAATGAAGACAGGCGATGCTGCCAGGGAATGGAACACAATTTTTATTAAACAAAGGGTGACTCTTGTACTAAACACAGAGGAGGCATTCTGTCTGTCACTCACCCAATGTCCTTAGCAGCCTCTCTCTAGGATGAATGGTTTTATTTCAGTCCCAGGATCGTACTGAAGAACATGTTGAACCTGGGAGACTGGGGACCCTACTGAGAGGTCCCAGAGAACTTTTAGAAACCGGAAACTTCATTGTGGGTTCCCTATGCCAGACAGTCCTAGGGGACAATCAGGAATGTATTTGGGGAATGAGTTGTGCATTTTTTGTGTGTGTTGAGAAAGAGGAGCAGACATTTTTGTTCTCTGTTATTGTGTCTTTGAGAGCTAGAGATTAGGGGTTGGAATTGTGACAAATGTCCACCACTCACTGGTGAGGGTAATCTAGCCCGAGGAACAATGGGGGTTTGAAGCTAGAGGGGTCTCAGAACAGCTAGTACAGCACCCTCATTCTATACACAAGGAAACGGATGCCCATGGACTCCCCCAGTGCTTGGCATCACACAGAGAAGAGGCTATGGCCTGGGGGAAGGTGAAAGAACCTCTCCAGGCTTGGGTGTTGGGAGAGCCTGCTGCTCATATCAGGCTCCTAGCCCCCCAGGACTGCTGAGGAACCAGGAGTCAACAGGGAGGTATCATAGCCCAGAAAACAAACAAGCAATAAACTTCCTCTAGCCTATTTTTACAAATGACATTTGACTGAGGATGATCTGAGAATTTTTCACAGATGAGGTGGCATTTGAAAGGAGCCTGGAAAAATCAGGTTTTCAGTCCATGAGTGAAGGGAGGACAGTGTTCTAGGCTGGAACTGACAATCACGGAGCACCACAGAGCATGTGACAGGCAGCCTCTGTGTCAGGGGAGGGTGGAGCAGGGTAGGCGGGAACACTGAGGCGACCAGACAAGAGAAGCCAGGTCCATCCCTGCTGTGGGCTGTCCTGCAAATGTGCATTATTGGGATTCAGAGAAGATATGTGGGAGAGATTCATTCTTAATGTACTCCTTTTTGTTGTTTTATTTTTATTTACTACTTAATGAATCCATTTATTCAACAAATCTTTATTAAGGCCCCAAGGGAACCTCATAATAACAGATAGTGCTGGTGTCTGCATAGGTTCCTATAAGCCAAGCACTGTGCTGTGTGCACTGTCCTATGACGTGGGTACCATTAGCATTACCATGTTAGAGACCAGGAATGAATGAAACCCCACACCATTAGGTGTCCTGCCCAAAGCCACCAGAATACAGACCCAAAAAATATGACTTTCCACTCTTCTTTCAAACTCCTTTCACCCTTCTTCTCACCTCTTATTTCCTTTTAGGAACAAACAAACAAAGAATCATTAAATGCAATTATTTCAAATCATGATATTAACAGAAGGGAGCCAAAGTGTCACATAGCAAACCCTAGATCTTCAGGAAAACATGCCCGAAATTGGAAGGAGTAGCAACTGAATGGGAAGTCAAAGCACACTGTGGTTATGGAGGGCTTGACCATGTGTCATCTTGATTCATCCTCTTACCACTCTGGGAGAGGATTCTACCCACTGCAGATGGCAGTGCCAAGGCCTGGAGAGATTTCAGTGCCAAGGCCTGGAGAGATTTCAGTGATTTGTTCAAGTTCACACAAGGGTGAGGCCAAGTCAGATCAGCCCCCAGACCCCAGACTACACCTGCCCAGGGTGTCCCCATTGCCAGATAGGAATCATCTGGGCTGGGTAAGGACTGAGGACAGAACCAATTTCCTGTATAGAAAAGCCAAGAAGATATAATCTTCTGTGGATGGTGTTTAGTCTTGGAATTCAGAAAAAGAAAAAAACAAACCCTGCTGCTCATTTTGCCCAAACTAACTCCTTTGCATAATGACCCTTTAAGGAAAACAAATTTTTTATTTTCTTCTTGAGTTTTGAGTGAGAAAGGGTAAGAGATACGTTTTCTGGACTTCTTACAATTTTAAAACTTAATGGACTTACTCCACGATTTCCTTGTTCCAAAACGACATCAAATCTCTCAGTGGCTTTACAATAATTTTTATCAGCTCCTCCCCAGAGATTCAAGCCTCACTAATTAGCTGCGTGTGAACTGTGACTAACATGGGGGATTTTCATCTCTCCTTCTGGATTCCAGAAAGCCCTTTCTGCTTCTCCAGGCAGGGTTTGTCAGCAGTCCTTTCTGCCCACTAACAATTCCTCATTGCACAAAGACGCTCCCCTGGTTGCTGTTGGTGAAAACACAGCATAGTCAAAGCAAAAAGACCAACTATTTTTGGGGCCATGTGTCAGGAGGAATCAAACGAGTGGATGAATTATGGAGGCTGTTCATGGAGTTGAGGGCAGCCTGCCTAAAATAGAAGACAGAAAATACATCTTTAACAGATTCTATCATTTGGATATAATTTTTTATGTATCAGCTCACTTCATTCCTCCATCTAAAAAAGTGAACATAAATGATCTTGTCTATGTGCATAATTGTCAGATCAACCCAGACTCGGCTGCAAAAACTTGATGACAGTTCAGCCCAAGAGCTCCTCTCCATGAATTTTCTCTGAGCAATAAAGATAAATGACAAATGGGCAGGAGGGACTGGTTTATTTCATGAGTTTTTCACTGCTCTGTGGATGGTGTTGTCACAATGAGGGGAGCAGACTTCAGCTCTGGTCTTTCTCTGAAATCCATAATCCAGCACTGACAGAGACCTGGAATCATAAAGCACAAGATGTTTAAGGGGAATGAGCTGGCGAGAAAAGCAGGGCTGTCCCAGACACTGTAATAAATTATCCATCTGGAAGGAATGGGGAACAACTTGCTTAAAGGAGAAGGCAGGCTGCCTGAAGATAGGATTCTGTTCAAAGTCAGACACCTGCCCTGGAAAAACACAGAACTGCACAAAACAGGGAAAAAACAGTTTCAACATGAAGGCTCTCATGACCTGCGGCTGGCTGCTTCCTGGTGCAATTCCTCGGGCCTGCCCTGCCACCATGGGAAAAGTGTGCCTGTATCATCGATCACCAGAAAGAACATCCATTGTGAAATATCCAGAGAATGGTGCAAAAACACCTTTACCTAGTTTCACCGTCAAGTCACCTACTAGTTCATCCAGAGCAAGTCTCAGATGGGCTTCCGGGAGCCTCTGGTTTCCTTTCATTCTTTCCTCCACCCCCGCCCCTTCCCCGTAGGCCACTGAGCTTGGGCAGAACCCTCCTGCAGGGACCTGGTCCCACCCTGGGGGGCTGGAGTAGATCTCCTCAGTTCTGGTAAGAGCCTATACCCAGTCCTTCCAGACTCTTCAGCGCAGAGCATCTCTAAGACAAGCCAACCTTTCTCTTCAGCTTGTGCCTCTTAAAATGCAGTCTTCAGGCCCCAGAGGCATGATACTGTGGGCCGAGGCGAGAACTACAAATTGAATCCTACACATCAGAGAAACATGAGCTTGAAGATTGCACTGGGCAGGATGGCATGTTTTTGTGAAGATAGGGTTTATTATGCAGATGAATGCAAAATTAGACAAAAATAGAGACTACAAGGAAAATAATAGTCCTAACCTCCAATCCCTGAGAGGTAGTCCAAGCCAGGCCACACTGGTTCATATGAAACAGGGGCTGGTGATGGACAAGGGAGACCTTTCCTCAGAAGGGGGCTGACCCGTGCAGCTTCGTGGCCCGCTTGGCACCATCCTGGGCAAATTTTTTCCAGCAGCCCCTGGGACACTCAGCTCTTCATGGGTGCAGAAAGACCACAGCAAAGGCAGGGTCGGGGGCCAGGTAGTGATGTCCTACAAGGGAGATAGGACACAAAGACACTCCAGGGTGCAGGCAGTGCAGTCCTGGTCACAGGGAAGGGTGAATCACAGCTAGAAGTATAAGCAGACAAGGGAGGATCTCTGGGGACTATAAAAATTTAATCCACTTGAGCAATCAGCCTGTTTGGCAGCCTCTTGCCCTGCAGCCTGTTCTTCCCCAAACCCTGCGGTCACCTTGTTGGTTTAAGCCAGCTCCTGAAAGACGCCCGGAAACTTGCAGATGAACCCAAGTGATCTTCCCTCCTTACCGTGCTAAAGTCTTCATCCTGGGAGAAGCTGTAGCTTCATCATCAAAACATGCAACCTGTGTGTTGGCATGATAACTCACTGGATCTGCACAGCTGGGACCCCTCCTCTACATGCCATGCCGCATCCTCTCTGCTCTCCATCACCCCCTAACGCCCTCTGTCACTTTCCCTCAGGGAGAAACTGCTTTGGAGAATACTCCCAGTGTCCTCCTTACTTGAGCTAAGTAATAAAACTCCTATTATCAAAACCTGTGTTCTCATGCACACGCATGTTTATTGCGGCACTACTCACAATAGCAAAGACTTGGAACCAGCCCAAATGTCCGTCAATGATAGACTGGATTAAGAAAATGTGGCACATATACACCATGGAATACTATGCAGCCATAAAAAAGGATGAGTTCATGTCCTTTGTAGGGACATAGATGAAGCTGGAAACCACCATTCTCAGCAAGCTATTGCAAGGACAAAGAACCAAACACCGCATGTTCTCACTCATAGGTGGGAACTGAACAATGAGAACACTTGGACTCAGGAAGGGGAACATCACACACCGGGGCCTGTTGTGGGGTGGGGGGAGGGGGGGAAGGATAGCATTAGGAGATATACCTAATGTAAATGACAAGTTAATGGGTGCAGCACACCAACATAGCACATGTATACATATGTCAACAAACCTGCACGTTGTGCACGTGTACCCTAGAACTTAAAGTATAATATATATATATAAAAGAAAAAACAAAACCTGTGTTCTCATGGAGAGTCGTTCATTACTTGCCAGGAGAATGAACCTGTTTTTTTCAGGTAATAGAAGGCGTCTGAGGCTCACCCGGAGGGCCTTTGTGATAAGATGCTTCTGCAAGGCAGGACGAGGAGAGCCTCCCTGAACTTGCTGCAGAAGCTGCCCCTGGGAAGGGCTGACCAAACTCCAGATTCTGGGGCCCATGTCAGATGTGTCCAACAAGACTCTCCAAGAGGAGGCCCAGAAATCTGTTTCTGAAAAGCTCTCCAGATTGTTAACAAAAAGAGTCAAACTCTGTAAAATATTTTTAGAGATTTATTCTGAGCCAAATATGAGTGACCATGGCCCGTGACACAGCCCTCAGGAAGTCCTGAGAACACGTGCCCAAGGTGGTCGGGGTACTGCTTGGTTTTATATATTTTAGGGAGGCATGAGACATCAATCAAATACATTTCAGTAATACACTAGTGTGCTCTAGAAAGGTGGGACAACTCAAGGAGGAGGCTTCCAGGCTATAACTAAATTTAAACATTTTCTGGTTGACAATTGGTTGAATTTATCTGAAGACCTGGAATCAATAGAAAGGAAAGTTCAGGTTAAGATAAAGGATTGTGGAGACCAAGTTTTATTGTGCAGAGGAAGCTCTCAGATAGCAGACTTCAGAGAGAGCAGGTTGTAAAATGTTTCCTATCGGACTTAAAAAGGGTGCCTGACTCTTAGTTGATTATCCCCTGGATCTGGAAAGGAAGGAAGGAAAACAAAGGTGAAAGGGGATTCTTTATAGAATGTGGATTTTTCCCACAAGAGACTTGCAGGACAATTTCAAGGTATGGCAAGGAAATACATTTTGGGGTTAAATATTTTTATTTTCTTTCTTGTTATGCCAGAGTCAGATTGGAAAGTAAGTTATGATAAACAGGGTTAAATAAAACCCATCTGATGGGAATTTATGGTTTGTAGGGCATGACTCCCCAGACTCCTTAGATAGGAATTTGGGCATGATAAAAAAAAATCAGAGCTTAGTCCTCAAGGTGATTCTCAGGTGATGTAGCTCCAGTCCCCAGGCATTGAATTGAGTAGTTAATAGAGGAAAACTACATTTGTGCTTTTGTATAAACTGTTGGTTCTTAAGCTGGAGCACTGAAGTATTCAGCAGTCTCTGAGCTGCGGGTGCTAAAGATTATTTTCTGGGCCAAAAGATCCTAATCAACAAACATTAGAATTTGAATAGGCCAGAGCTCTTGATCTGTAACTGCCTATTCCACCTTTTCATTTCAAGAAATCCCCTAAGCAGATGCTGTCTGCACAAACTTATTTTGGAAGACAGTGCATCTGCTGACATGGAGCAACCATTTCTGCCACGGTGCCCGGGAGCCTCATGTCCTCAGGGCCAGGGGCACTGCTAGATTGTGAGGGAATGAACTTGAGGAAATCCAAGGGGAGCGAGTAGATGGGTTTGTGTGTTGGGAGGCTCTTCAGAACCTATGGCTCCAGCCAAAGAAGATTGGGGTCTCCCTCTCAGCCCAGACTCCTCCAACACCCCAAGCTTTGCTTTGGGGATACAGCCACGCTCCCATTCACTTTTACAGCTTTTCTCCAGCAAATCATTTCCAACTTCAATTTTGTTTCCTTGGCAAGTCTTGGTGGATATTATTGACTTTCCCTTAAACAAGAACAAGCCATTTTCTCCAGGGCTGTTAGTGCAAAGGGTTTTTTAAAAAAAGAAAACAAAAGAGAAAAAAGAAAGAGAAAGTAATACCCCTCTTGTATTTGAGAAACACAATCATTCCTTACCAGCAACCATGAGAAGGACTCCTCCCTCCTCTAAAAGGCTCAGACCCTACTTTGCTATTAGGTTAGTTTTAGTCCACAAGAAAGAACAGGTTCACTGCTGCTCGTTGCTCCAGCGATGCCCTGTTTACTTGGCAATTACTTGACCGATTGTTATTTCTGGAACACCAGACAACTATGTCCCTGTAGAAGAATCTCAACCAAGAAAAAGCAACAACAAAAAGCAAACAGTTGCATAAAGTTAGATTGACAAGGATTACATGCTGGAGGAAGTCTCTCCATCAACATGAATTTTGTAAATATTTGTGATGGATGGAATGTCTTCTATGTGGACCGATTAAAATTTCAATCTCTGCTTAAAAGAAAAGGCACCACAGTTTCAGGGGCATATTCTAGGAGAGTTTTCCTGAATGTGCTCCACAAAACACTAGTCTTATGAAATGCTCCACTAAAAAGACTTTTGTGTCCAATTAAATTTGGCAAATGCAGCATACTTGATGCCCTCTCTAGGACACACATGATGCACTTTTAACTTGTGAATTATTTAGCAAGTATATTATTTAATTTCAAGATATTAGGAGTTTCCCTAGATATTATATTATTACTGATTTCAAATTTAATCTCATGTGGTCAGAGAGTAAACTTTGTATGATTTCAATTTTCTTAAATCTATTGCAACTTGTTTTATGGTAAATACATTATGTGGATTTGAAAATAATGTTTATACTGTAGTTATTAGATGTAGCATATTACAAACATTAACAAGATCAAGGTGGTTAACAGTGTGGTTCATATATTCTATGTCAAGATTGATTTTTTGGCCAGGCGCGGGTGGCTCACCCCTGTAATTCCAGCACTTTGGGAGGCCGATGTGGGCAGATCACAAGGTCAGGAGATCGAGACCATCCTGGCTAACATGGTGAAACCCCCTCCCTACTAAAAATACACAAAATTAGCCAGGCGTGGGGGCGGGCGCCTGTAGTCCCAGCCACTCGGGAGGCTGAGGCAGGAGAATGGCGTGAACCCGGGAGGCGGAGCTTGCAGTGAGCCGAGATGGCGCCACTGCGCTCCAGCCTGGGAGACAGAGCAAGACTCCGTCTCAAAAAATAAATAAATAAAATAAAATACCGATTTTTTTAGGTCATTGTTCTATCAATTGCTTAGAAAATTTTGGAATTAGACAATTTCTCACTTTAATTTTCTCCATTTTTGCTTCATGTGTTTTAGGGCTCTCTTGCTAGTTGCATACACATTTATAATTATGCATTTCTGATGAAATTCCCCCTTTATTGTTATGAAATACCTATCTTTCTTTTTGGTAATAGTCTTTGTTTTGGAGTCCATTTTACTGGATGCTAAAACAGCCCCTTTTGCTTTTTTATGCCTACTGTTTGGGTGGTCTGTATTTTATTTTCAACATATTTGTGCCTTTATATTTAAAGTGTGTCACTTGTAGGCAGTGTTTAGTAGAGTCTTGCCTTTTAATCTACAATGTTAATCTATGTTTTTTAATTGGAGCGTTTAGACAATTTAACATTTACTATAGTTATTAATATGGTTGGAGTTAGGTCTACTATTTTATCATTTGTTTTCTTTTTGGACCCTCTGTTTTGTTCCTCTCTTAATCTTTTCCTGCTCTTTTTTGGATGATTTTTTAGTTTAGATTTTTAGCATTGTAACGTATTGGTTTGATTTTAGAGAAAGATGGTGGAGTGGAAAGCACTGGGAATCTTTCCCCCCACTTAGACCACAATTGCACTGGCAAAATCTGTCTGATGTAACTATTTTGGAATTCTGGAGTCTATTAAAGGCCTGAAAATTCCAGGGAAGGCTTAGATGGTAAATTTCAGTTAGTTTTAGTCCATTTTATATCTTAGCATTGTAGCAACTACCCATTTTCCATCCCTATTCCTGTGGTAGGCAGCTGTGCACATGTTCCAGGAACAGCTTGCAGGAGTTAGCATGGGTCAAAAGGACAGTGTTCTCTAAATGTCAAGGATCTGTTCTCTGACCTCCAATTTCTGCTTCTGATCCAGAGCTACAGACAAAGAGGCAGGGACCAGTGTTGTTCTGCCTACTGCCATTGTTGCAAGCCCCTCCCCCTCCAGCAGAGGTGACTTCCAGGAGATTTAAAGAGCCGAAATCTTTTGTTCCTCTCTCCACTTCATTTTTCTCTTTTTCTCCTTTTGGGAGATAGATATTAAAGACTAAAATATTCAAAAGCAGCTACATATGTGGGGGAAATTAGAAAGTGATCTTGCAATATCCAGGGAAAGGTGCAGGCTCAGAAAAGACCTGAGAAGACGTTAAGCTTACACCTCAGATTCATCCTTAGCACAAATACAGCATGCATCAGTCAAAAAAAAAAAAAAAAAAAAAAGAACAAAACATCAAATAGCAAGCTCTGGCAACAGGGAAATTTTTTATTTCCAGAGTTACTCTACTTTGTTAGATGCAAATGTTCAGTTTTTTCAACAAAAAAATCACAAGGCATACAGCAGAACAGAAAAGTATGGCCTATTCAAAGACGAAAATAACAACAGAAACTGTTGCCGAAAAAGACCTGATGATGGCTCTACTTGACAAAGACTTTAACACAACTGTCTTAAACATGCTGAAAGAACTAAGATGGGGGAAAAGTCAAGGAAGTGATGTATGAACAAAATGGAAATATCCACAAAAAGATAGAAAATTTATTCTTGGTGTCTAAAAAGACACCAAGAATAAATTCAGGAGAGAAAATAGCTATAGAATAGACACAAAAAGAAATGACAAAGGAATTTAAATATTTCACTACAAAAAATCAACTAAAAAAACAGTGATGCAGACGATGAGGTGCAAAAAGCTATAAGGTGTACAGAAGACAAATCATTACTAGGTGTAAATAGATTAAACTATCCAACCAAAGACAGAGATTGACAGAATGAATATAAAAACATGATCCAGCTACATGCTGCTCACAAGATACTCATTTTAGCACCAAAGACACAAATAGGTTGAAAGTAAAATAATGGAAAAAGATATTCCATGTAACAATAATCAAAAGAGAGCAGAAGCAGCTATACTGATATCAGAAAAATACACATTAAATTTTAAAAATAGGTTACAAGAGACAAAGAAGAACATTATGCTAAATAAAATAAGCCAGTCACGGCCGGGCATGGTGGCTCACACCTGAAATCCCAGCACTTTGGGAGGCTGAGGTGGGCGGATCACGAGGTCAGGAGATTGAAACCATCCTGGCTAATGGGGTGAAATCCTGTCTCTACTAAAAATACAAAAAATTAGCCAGATGTGGTGGTGGGCACCTTTAGTCCCAGCTACTCAGGAGGCTGAGGCAGGAAAATGGCGTGAACCCAGGAGGCGGAGCTTGCAGTGAGCCAAGATCGCACCACTGCACTCCAGCATGGGTGACAGAGCGAGATTCTGTCTCAAAAAAAAAAAAAAAGCCAGTCACAAAAGGACAAGTGCTATATAATTCTACTTATATGAGCAACTTAGCATAGTCAAAACCATAGAGACAGAAAGTAGAATGGTGGTTGCAGGGGTTGGGGAAGGAAAGAATGAGGAGTTATTGCTTAATGGATAAAGAGTTTCAGATTTTCAAGAGGAAAGTGTTCTGAAGATGGAGGTACAACAAAATGAATGTATTTAATACCACTGAATTGAGCTGCATGCAAAAGCTCATGCCTACAATCCCAATACTTTGGGAGACTGAAACAGGAGGATTGCCTGAGGCCAGGAATTCAAGACCAGCCTAGGCAACATAATATGAAACCCCATATCTACCAAAAAAAAATTAGCCAGGCATTGTGGCACATGCCTGTAGTCTTAGCTACTTGGGAGGCTGACATGGGAGGATCACTTGAGCCCAGGAGTTTGAGGTTACAGTGAGCTATAACTGTGCCACTGCGCTCCAGCCTGGGTGACAGAGTGAGACCGTGTCCCAAATAAATAAATAAATAAATAAAATAAAATACTACTGAGCTGTACGTTTAAAATGGTTAAGATGGTAAATTTTATATTATACATATTTTACAATTCAAGAATTGAAAAAATACATATATCTAACTTTTCAAAGTCTACTTAGAGTTGATACCTAAAACTAAGTTACAAACCTTGCAACCTTTAATTTTCCCACACTGACCTTTTTATTATGTCCTCATATGTATTATACGGGCATACATTGAAAACTACAAAGATAATGTTGTAATTTTTCTTTTCATCAGTCATACATGTTTCGAAGAACTCAAGAGGGGAAAATAGTCTTTTATTTATTTATTTATTTATTTATTTATTTATTTATTTATTTATTTTTTGAGATTGAGTCTCGCTCTATCGCCCAGCCTGGAGTGCAGTGGCCCAATCTCAGCTCACTGTAAGCTCCACCTCCCAGATTCACGCCATTCTCCTGTCTCAGCCTCCTGTGTAGCTGGGACTACAGGCGCCCGCCACCACATCCAGCTAATTTTGTGTATTTTTAGTAGAGACGGGGTTTCACCGTGTTAGCCAGGATGGTCTCGATCTCCTGACCTCATGATCTGCCTGTCTCGGCCTCCCAAAGTGCTGGGATTACAGGCGTAAGCCACCGCACGTGGCTGAAAATAGTCTTTTATATTTGCTTAGATAGTCATCATTTTTGTTGTTCTTCATTAATTCCCAAAGATCCAAGCCTCTGTCTCGCATCATCTCTCTTTGGCCTAAAGAACTTCCATTAATAATTCTTTTACAGCAGGAGAGCTGATGATGGATTATCTTAGTTTTCTTCTTTTTTTTTTTTTTCATCTGAGAATCTTTTTCTTTTTTTTCCTCTCTCTTTTTTTCATTTTTTGGGAGACAGAGTCTCACTCCATCACCCAGGCTGGAGTGCAGTGGCACAACCTCAGCTCATTGCAACCTCTGCCTCTCGGGTTCAAGCAATTCTCCTGCCTTAGCCTCCCAAGTAGCTGGGACTACAGGTGCACCAGACCTGGCTAATTTTTATATTTTTTTAGTAGAGACGGGATTTCACCATGTTGCCCAGGCTGGTCTGAACTCCTGACCTCAAGTGATCTGCCCTCCTTGGCCTCCCAAAGTGCTGGGATTACAGGCGTGAGCCACTGTGCCTGGCCCTGAGAATCCTTTTCTTTTGCCTTCATTCCTGAGGGGTATTTTTGTTGGATTTAGAATTCTGAGTTGGCAGTTCTTTTCTTTAACTATTTTGAAGATAGTATCCCATTGGCCTCCATGGTTTTTGAAGAGAGATCAGCAGTTATTTGAATTATTGTTCTCTGTACATAATGTGTCATTTTTATCTGCCTGCTTTCAAGAATTTTTTCTTTATATTTGGTTTTTAGCATTCTGATTATGATGTGTCTAAGCATTTTAAAATAGTTTATCTTATTTATGGTTTGCTGAGCTTCTTAAATCTATAAATTTGTCTTACACCAATTTTGGGACATTTAAGGCCATCATTTTTTCAAGTATATATTTTTTTGTCCCAGTCATTCTTTTCTCTGTTTCTTGGGCTTCAGTAAAATGTCTGTTAGTCCTTCTGATATTGTCTCACAGAACCCTGGGTCTCTGCTCATTTATTTTCAGTATTTTCTGTCTTTTTCATATTGGATAAGATTTCCTTGACTCTCTTTCTTCATTTCTAGCCCACTATTGAGCCTACGTTGGGAATTTTTATTTTATATATTGTATTTTTCAATTATAATATTTTCCCTTGTTTCTTTTTTATAATTTATATTTCTATGATGAGAACACCTGTATTTTCATTCATTTCAAGTATATTTTTCCTTACCTCATGGGGTATAGTTTTCATAGATGCTTTAACATCTTTGTCTAATAATTGCAATGCCTGGTTCATCTTGGGGTTGACATGTTATTTGTCCATTCCTTTGAGAATTGGTCATATTTTCTTGTGTACGTCAGGTAACTTGGGGTTGTATCCTGGACATTGTGAATGGGTTACGTTGTGCAGACAGTGAGTCCTAGTATAATGCTATGGAGGATGTTCATGTTGTTGGTTTAGCAGGCAATCAGCTTAATTAGATTTGGAACCGCAAGTTCTGCTTACCTTTTGTGAGTATCACTCAGGGGTAATGCTGAGACTCATGAAGATTATATACAGGATCAGCAGGGAAACTTTTTCTTCCTGGCTCTCTTCATGCTATTCTCCCCTCATTCTCCAGCCCTCAAAAGATATTGTTTCTTGATTCTTCTGACCAGAAAGATGCCATTTTTGTGGGAGTTTTAGCTACCTACATGGCCACCCCCTGCCACATTGCTCAATGCCTGGGGGCCGCCCTTAAGACAAAGCCCTGAAGAGAGAGGTAGAGAAACTCACCCTGTAGGTTGTCTTCTCCAAGTTTTGACTCCCCTCCACAGTCCACCTGCTTTTATTTACTTTCCGGAAACAGAGGCCTCGGGTATTATTTTTTGTATTTTTTCCAACCAGAGTTTTTTGTTGTGATCAGACAACAGGATGGACTATAGTGGGCTTATGTCACATTAGTGAAATGGGAACCCCATAGAGCACTTTAGAATACGGTGAAGTGCCAAGTAACAACATTTCAGTCAACAATAAACTGCATATGAGATTATAATGAAGTTGAAAAATTCCTACTGCGTAGCCATTGTAGTATCTTAGTGCAATGCATTACTCAAAAAGGGAGTGTGGCGACTCTCAATAGTGTTTGTAGTGATGCCTGTATAAACAAACTTATAGGGCCACCAGTCATATAAAAGTGTATGGTAATGTCCTAGGCCTTCACATTCACTCATCACCACTCACTGATTCTCCCAGAGCAACTTCCAGTCCTGGTATGTGCCCTATACAAGTGTATCATTTTTTAAATGTTTTATGCTATATTTTTAATGCACCTTTTCTATGTTTAGGTATGTTCAGATACACAAATACTCACCATAGCATTACAATTGCCTACACTATTCAGTACACTAACATGCTATATGCAGGTGTGCAGCTTAGGAACAGCAGGCTGTACCATATGGCCTAGGTGTGTAGTAGGTTATGGCATCTAAGTTTGTGTTAGTACATTTTACCATGTTCACACAATGATAACATCACTTAACAATGCATTTCTTGGAATATATTCCCACTGTTAAGGAATGCAGGACTATATTAAAGGTTTGGGAAGTCTGGTGATGATTACCTCGGCATAATATCATCTTTTCCAGATTTAAATGAAGCTTTGCCACAATGTCTTCTATACAGCAACTATTCAATACAATAAACTCTGCCATGATATCTTACGCGAATTAGTATTCAATACAGGTGTGTTGAACTGAATTTTATGAATTCACTGCTTTTGGAACCACATCCTAAAGTAAGTAAAGAGAAAAATATCTCAAGCTAATCAATAGCCAATAAACGGAACCATTCTCTTTTCCGTCATAGTCCTGCCCTGCTCCATAACATGGAAATGTCCTAATAGTCCTTGTCTCAGAGGGGAAGAATTGGGGAACAAACTTTTGTACTTTTGTTTGTTTGTTATCCTTTCCAGTCCCCATTTTCTCGTTCTTAAGAGAGAATGGTGAGAACCTGACATTCTCTGTTCTGTTTCCCTCATGGTTGATTGTAGTGTGTTAAATGTATCTGCTCATACTTGGCCCCATGGCTTGGTTCTCTGAATTTTAATTACTCAGGCTCCTTGTGGTATGAGACAGGCTGAAGGCTGAAGTCTGCTGTGTCTGGGTAAGTGTATGCCGATCCCACTCTTCAACATGCAGTCCCCCAGGTCTCGACTGTAAGGGGAAGAGCAGACAGAAAGGGAATGCACCATAGCAGCAGGTGCCTATGGCATTCTCCAATACCACCAAAACAGCAATTAAGTGAATATTGCATGTTAATTTCCTCTGGGATCTGTGTCTTCTTCCCAATTAGCTTGAAATCTAGAGGCAATGAGGAGGAGTGGTTAGGCTCACACAGAACCCCCAACAGCCAATGTATTCTTGGTGGAGAAATCTTAGAGATTGTTAAAAAGACATCAGAATAAAGAGGTATATGACATTCATCAGGAAGATAACAGTGATAGTTAGTTTTACTATAGTTGCCATTTACTCATCCCCTAGTGCATGCCAGATATTGCATCTACATCTCAGGAAAATCTATAAGGAAGGCATTATCACCTCCACTTTGCATGGAGGAGTCAGAGGCTCTGAGTGGCTATGTGACTTAGGAAGGCTGAGAGATGGGAGCTGAACTCGATCCAGGGACTCAAAATACTGAACTGTGTCTCCGTGTATCTCCTGATACCACTTCTATTTAACTTCAGCTGCTCAAAGCTGCATACCATGAGACAGAAATAATACAGCTAAATATTAGAAAAGCAGAAAAAATATTTGTGAGTAATTTCTATATATAATAGCAAACCCAAAATAATTAAGTGAAAATTGGTGATCTTTTGTCCTTCATCATGTGAGGCAAAAAGGCAAGAAGCAATAAATATTATTATAAGGCTTCCCTTAGTTTGCCCAGACCCAATCAGAAGTATACACAGCTCATCACACTCCTCGCAAGTTTAACTGATGTCCCCAGAGAATTCTTTACATTCTGTCTCTTTAAGGGAAGTATGCAGCCGTATATACCGATAGATAGATACAAATAATTTTTTTAAGTCTCATTTACTCTATTTTCTTTATGGAGAAGGAAGAGCATAGCATTTCATCTTGGATATCTATATTCATAGTATAACTTTGTTGTATCTGGTATAATGCTCAGGAAATCTTTGAATAATAAGAGTTGAGTGAATTACATTGCTGGAATCATATTTCATTTAACAAATCTCTGCAAGAAAGAAAAGGATCATTTCCAGAACACTTTGGCTCATGTTTTAATGAGAGAGTGGGTCTCTGCACAGGTGCCTGGCTCGTTATGATTCTGGCAGAATAAGGAAGGATGCCGCTTTATATTTGCAAATATTGGCTTTCCATTTCAGTTTTTATTACCTCCTTATGTTTGTGGCTCCAGAAAGCAGGTCCAGGACCCAGAGGTCTGGGCCTGAAAAAAGGCTGATAATAGGAAAGCAGTAGGAGAGATTCTTGCTCAGAAGAGTGCAGTAGTGGGAGCCGATTGTTCTAGCAAAGTGTTGTGTTCCCAGGGATTTCACCACCCAATCTCACTAACTCTCCATAATGTGTCATCTGTGCAGATTTTTTCCAACTCAAATACTGAAGAATTGGGATGGGGCTCTCATATTACCTTGATAGAGTCACCTCTTCCTTCGTGAAGTTGGAAAAAACAAAAAAATCTGCATAAAAGCTTGTAGGAAGCTCAGGGCTGGATGCGGGTATTTGGGCTGTTTGCAGTCACACAATGAGACTGTGAGCTTTTCTGATCAGTGGATTTCAGTGGACAGCTGTAGTAATCGTGTTACAAATCATTTAAATCCCTATGTTCCTTATTTTGCCCCTGAAAAAATAAAATTCTGGCAGTAGGTCTGAAACACAGGAAGCAGTGATCCGGGTTTTCACTCTAATCAAACTAAAAGAACTCAGAGTTTCTTAGTAAACAGAGTAGAAAAGCAACTCAGCCTTCTCTAAGGCATTTCATTTAGTCACTCACTCGTTTATTGATTAATAACTATGTGACCAACACTATGACATGCACTGGGGACGCAGTGGGATGGCCAGGATACTGCCTGAACCTAGTGAGAGAGAGAGGTGAGTAAATAAACTAAGTGACAGCGTGCCAAGTGCTGGCATGGAACGAGGCACACATGCTGTGGACACACATCTCCAGGAGAATCAAGCAGGTTCTTATATGGGAGTCTTTTTTTTTTTTTTTTTTTTTGACAGAGTCTCACTGTATTGTTCAGGCTGGAGTGCAGTGGCATGATCATAGCTCACTGCAGCCTCAACCTCCCAGGCTCAAGTGATTCTCCTGCCTCAGCCTCCGGAGTAGCTGGGACTACCAGTGCACCCCAATGCACCCAGCTAATTAAAAAACATTTTAATTTTTTTTTTAGAGTTGGAGGTCTTGCTATGTTGCCCAAGCTGGTCTCGAACTCCTGGGCTCAAGTAATCCTCCCACTTTGGTTCCTCAAAGGGCTGGGATTACAGATGTGAGCCACTGCGCCTGACGAGTCGGGGCCTTAAAGCAGAGATTTTCCGGCTGGAGTCAAAACATCAAGTATGTTTTCAAGGCTACTCTTTCAGAGGGTTCTCCACGCATTAGCCACTTTATTTAGAGGGTCTCTTCTCCTTTCGCTAGCCCGGTACCTCGAGCCAGTGCTGGTGGTAGGAAACTTCTCTATCCATTCTTCACAGGCCAACCTCGTCCGTCCTACCCACCCCCATCGCCGCACTGCTATTTTATCAAAGTGATTTGGCTTTGCATCTTTCTCTCTCCCTAAACTGTAAGCTACTGAAGGCTTTGGGCCCCTAATCTCGGGCATACATAATGTTGGCATAATAAGCCATGTCATAAATTTTTGCAGAACTGCTCATTGAAATGTTATACTAATAATAGTATAATATTAATATATTATTTATTATTTCATTTAATACATTTTAAACCATATGTTATATAATTAATGTATTAGGATATTATTATATTAATATATTTTTATGATTTTTCTTTTTCTTCAGAGATCTGACTTCTGAGAACTCTTACAGACCTTCAGGCATCCATCATATTTGGCTCTCTGAGCAGTATTGGACCCTTCATGATGACCTTCTCCATCTGGATGGGACAGAACAAAGTGGATTCGCTTGAGCTAGGGCAGGGCAGGAAACGCCACCAGCTCTCTCTGGGAACACAGCAAGCAGGGAACTTCTGGCGGAGAGTGAACGGTGCCACCCCAGGAGCAGAACCAACACTTCCGTCCGCAGGGACTGGGAGGGACCCTTCCCATCTTCAGAGATCTCCTGATCCCCCTGAGACCCCCGGGTTCCAGGAGGAGCATGTTTCATGAGGACAGTCCTTCTCAAGACAGGGTGACTGGTTGCTCCCCTCCCACTGAGGGTGTCACAGCTGGTCCCTCTGTTTCCCTTGGCTGAGAGGGGAAATAGCCAACATCTGTCGTTTGCATAATGTGTGTGCTTTTGCCACTTAGAATTCTCTGTTTCTATAAACAAATGCTTTTACAATAAAACTGAAATGCCAGAAAAAGAGACAACCTACTTTAAGGTCACCACTGCCTCCCAGCAAGGACGTTTAAAAATAACCCCCGATCTGCCCTGTGCTCACAACTCTCATTGCGCCAGCTCAATGGCAGGCCCAGTGCCACCAGGACAGCTATGTGGAAGGTTCCGGGTGGGGCACGGGTGTGTGTTATGGAGGAGGTGAGGGAGGCTGTTCTCATAACAATGCTGGCATCTGGTCTGTGGGTCCACCCTGCCGATGTCTGTGAAAGGGCATGTGGTTGGCCCCTGTTAGACCAGTTCTGATGCCAGTTTCCAGCTAAAGTGAAACTGCTCCAGACCTGAGTGGGAAGTGCACTGTGAGAAGTCAGGTTCACCTGGAGGGTATGGATGCCAGGGTGTGGCATTGGGTGGACATCAAGCACATCCCTCAGGGAGTCCTGGGGCTATTACCTCTAGAAGCTGCTCCAGCAACTCTGCCAGACAGGATCATAAACTTTTGCAGCTAAATCTTGGGGATGAACTTTTTCAGTAATTGTCAAGCTGTGCCCCACAGATTGCTGGTGATTCTGGGGCAGTGATATGGTTTGGCTCTGTGTCCCCACCTGAATCTCATGTTGAATTGTAATTCCCAATGTTGTGGGTGGCAGCGGGGGAACCTGGTGGGAGGTCATGAATCGTGGGGGCAGTTTTCCACCTTGCTGTTCTCGTGATGGTGAGTGAGTTATCACAAGATCTGATGGTTTAAAAGTGTGTAGCATTTCCCCTTCTGCTCTCTTTCTCTCCTGCCACCACGTGAATACGTGCTTGCTTCCCCTTTGGATTCCACCATGATTGTAAGTTTTCTGAGACCTCCCAGCCATGCTTCCTGTACAGCCTGTGGAACTGTGAGTCAATTAAACCTCTTTTCTTCGTAAATTACCCAGCCTCAGGTAGTTCTTTATAGCAGCATGAGAACAAATTAATACAGGCAGCTATTCTGTCCTTTACTTACAATAATTGTGTCTGTTGCACCAAATGTGTCCCCTCCCAGGGATTGTTGCCTGTAACTAGGGATCACATTCTGAAATAGAGGAATGGAGTTCTGCTGGGGGCTCCCCACAAGCCAAGAGGCAAGGGCAGACTAGCACAGTACTGAGGGACATTGCCTTGGAACAAATGTCCCACATGCCTGTGGGCAAAACTCACCCTGCTGGCAGCACTGTCTGAACTGCCAGGCAGAGCTTGTGCACAACATTAGATATAAATCCATCTCTGCTTCCCAAAATTGTCCTGAAGGGGACCAGGGGTTTATGTCTGAAATTTCCCCAAGCAGAGACGTTTAATTCCTGTTCTCCGTCGTTTCTGAAGGGCTAGTCCAAGGACCAGAGACGGGACCAGAGTGAAGTATCTTTCTTATCTAGCACACCCACAACCTACCCTTTGCCAGTCACAGCATAAACAGAACACAAGTCCCACTCCATTCAGGATCATGCCAAGGTACCCCTGTCTACAAGGCAAGGGAGAGGATGGATGCAGTGAAGGATGAAGGAGAGGTCTGTCTCCAGCTTTCACTCCATTGTTCTTTACTGCCTTTGTCATTTCCCAGTTCTGCCTAGACTAGATCATGGGAGCAATTAAATCCTTAAAAGGTTGAAAGGCTTATGATAATTTCCACTTGCTGAGTGCACATGTTGTGGGAGGGACCATGCTAGTGCTTTGTGTACAGCAGCTCACTCACTCTCACACCAATGGGGCAAACATTTCATCTTCATTTTAGAAATAAGAAAGCTAAGGTTCAGAAAGTTTGGGATCTTACCCCCAATCTGGACTTTAACACAAGGCTGTGTGACTTCAAAATCTGTCCTCTTAACTCTGAGGACAGGGACTAGAATGATGAGCAAAAATGCAAAGCAAGTTGTATTTGTCCTCAGCAGTCTTCCCATAGTCCTGTTGTGTGAGGTTTCTCTTGACCCTGGTGGTGGTTCCTGATCCCACCCCCTGCAGCTCACATGTATTCATGTGCACACATCCTCTACTCCCTCCCTCAATGTGCGCATGTCCACATATACAAATACCTCGGTTTCCTCCAATTTCACTTTAAAATCTCCTCATGAGAATGGATTAGTGAAATTCATTCAACCTCAAGTTTTAGTAGATGAAAGCATTTCAGTAGGTACTGTTCCCCATGATATCTGATTTTGAGCAGTGATCAAAAACTAAACAGTTTTAGAGTTGGAGGTTAAGACAATAGAGCATGTGTTTGCTTGGAAGCAATCAATCCACTTCCAGGAGATTTTTTATAACATTTTCCATTTCTAAGTTCAGTTCTACTAAAACCATGTTTGGAGGTGAGGAGATTCAGCACCCTGTGACTGGTGAAATCCCAGAAAACACTTCATATGCTACGATATGTAACCAGAAGAGAAATTAGAAGGTCATTTAGAAAAGACTTTCCCAACAATAAAGAAGAACAAGTCAAAGCATTCTCCCTCAAGGCATGATTCCTGTAGTGCAACTGATTGCAAAAGTGGACTCAATTATTCCCTCCTTGCATCTCTGCTCTTTTCATAGAACTGGTGGCCACCAGAAAGAGGCAGAATTGGTGTGCTACCACCGAACCTAGCTCTCAGGAGGTCTTGCTCATCCCCTTTCTCTTTCTTAGACCCTTGCCTAGCTGCGATAACAAGCCCAGGACAACCTGCTGGGTGAAATACTTGGGACACAGTTATATCGCAGTGCCCCAGCCAGCAGCGAAGCAACCACTGTCATGCAAGTGAGCTCATCCTAGACCAACTGGCCTGCCCCATCCCACCTGCCTGCCAACCAAAGAAGCTTGAGGGAGCCCAGCCAAGGTCAGCAAAGCTTGGCCCAGATCAGCAGAACTGCCAGCTGACTTGCAGACTCATGAATAAGAATAAATGTTTATGTTTTTTAAGCCTCTGAGTTTTGGGGTTGCTTGTTATGCAGCAATAGTGAGCTGTTACAGTTATCTACACAGTAAGTGCACTCTACCCCAAAGGCATTGTATAAAGCTCATTTCCTCTAATATCAGCCCTATTGAAAAAAAAAAAAGGATTATCTCAGCATATCAAATCAGGCCAGGCATTAACTAGATTTTTAACTTGACTTTTCACTCTATAATAAAATAATACTTGGATTTTATAACAGCTAGTGAGTATCATATTTCACATAATTTAGATCTACTTAACCTGTATTTTATACATTAAAAAGAAGAAGAAACTAAAACCAAGAAACAATCTGATGTGTCTGGCAACACAAATACTAACTAAAAATTGATTTTACTTTAAAAATAACCATTTTACAATGTCAGAGTCACATTTTAAAAAGTGGTTTCTTGAAAAGCTTGGTTGCATTCGAGGAAAGACTTCACTCACAGTGATTTGGGGAAGGTAATATTCTACATCTCAAATGGCTTTGGCAAATCAGGGCTTGGGCTTTCACTCTGGTGTCTGTGGCTCTTAGTATGAATCTTGGAAACAGAATTTTCCTGCAAGGAACCAACAAGATGTGCTGTAAATGTCACACTTCGTGCTGCTTTTAGCTTCCAATCCCAGTTCTACTGCTGGCTCTATGATGTTATGCACAGAACCACCCTCATTTCCAATTTTAAAACATTATTCAAACTGTAATGATCCATCACAAAAGATTCAGCACTGTTCAGGGAGCAGTTTCAACCGAGAGTGATTTAGGCAGGCTGCAGGCTGCTACAGAATTTCCAAGGCAAAAGTCATTGTTGAAAGAAAAACAAGCCACTGGTGGGAAGTGAGCATTCTCCACCTCAACATGTTGCCGTATTTCCTC
This sequence comes from Homo sapiens, assembly GCF_000001405.40. NCBI lineage: Eukaryota > Metazoa > Chordata > Mammalia > Primates > Hominidae > Homo > Homo sapiens. The sequence goes on along the minus strand of NC_000013.11, from coordinate 26,834,658 downwards.
GGGATTATTTAAATAATAACACATTGAAGATATAAACAAAGGCCCCTTCTGTACTTGGTCTTGATTGGTTCCCTGCTCTGCCTCCCTAAGACAATTAATCACCCTCTAGAATTCCCACCACAAACATAAGGATGGTTGCTTGTGGCATAAGGATGATTTTGTCAGAACTCTGCTAAAATCCTGATACGTCATGGGTATAGCTATAAAACTACCAAAATTGAAATTAAAATTAAATTAGTATAATATTCTAAGGGAACCAAATTTGTTCCTAATTACTCATCCCACTGTATTATAAATAAAAATAATATAGTTATTGAATATTTACTCTGTGCTAGACACTGTGCAAAGCACTTTTCACATTTTCATTGAATTCTCACAATGACCCCTTGAAATAAATATTTTTATCTCCAGTCTACAGACAATAGGACTGAGCTTGAATAAGTTGCTCAAGGACTTAGAACTAAAAAGACTTACATACACCCAGGGTCCATCTGACTTTAAAGACTGTATATTCAATCCCAAGCATCTCTTCAACATTTTCTAGATTTTTTTTTCTTTTTTTTTTTTTTTTTTGAGACAGCGTCTTGCTCTGTCACCCAGGTCGGGGTGCAGGGGCATAATCACAGCTCACTACCACCTCTACCTCCCAGGCTCAGGTGATCCTCCCGCCTTAGCCTCCCAGGTAGCTGGGACTACAAGCGTGCACCACTATGCCTGGCTAATATTTTTATTTTTTGTAGAGACGGGAATTTGCCACGTTGCCCAGGCTGGTCTTAAACTCCTGGGCTCAAGCAATCTTCCTGCCTCGGCCTCCCGAATTGCTGGGATTACAGGTATGAGCCACCATGCCTGGCCCATTTTCTAGATTTCTAAAATAAAGCTCAGTATTACAGCAATTGGTATGTAGTTTTGAAACATGTTCTTTTCATCTTTTTAAAATTGGATTAATAGCCCTTGCTTTTTGGAAATCCTGACTTCTAGGTGTCCTTTCCTTCCTCGTGACTTTGGAGAGTGGTTCTGAGATCCCATCTAGACTCTATCACTAAAACTAAACAAACTAAAAACCTGCTCAATTTTAAAAATTCAGCTTAAACATCAGCATGTCTCTGGGAAACCCCTGGGCCCCCATTCCCTGTCTGCCCCGCAGCCAGTGGAGCAGCCCAGCCCTTCCTGGCTCCTGCCCCGCTTCCCAGGCTGACCTCCTGCCGACCCTTCCCCTTGCGTCGCCATCTCCTAGTCTCCCCGAGTCTCTCTCCCAGGACACTGCAGTCCCCTGAAAGGCAGCCACTGCTCTCTTTAGCCATCAGCTTGCCTGGTGCTGCCATAGACATCCCATAGTTCATGTTTTTAAACCTGATGAATGAATGAACAAATGAATCACAATTGGCTCATCTGAAGCAGAGATAAGTTGAAGAGGAATCATTTTGTGGAAAGGCATTTTTAAAATGGCATTAAAGGCTGGGCACGGTGGCTCATGCCTGTAATCCCAGCACTTTGGGAGGCCAAGGCGGGCAGATCACCTGAGGTTGGGAATTCAAGACCAGCCTGACCAATGTGGAGAAACCCCATCTCTACTAAAAGTTCAAAATTATCCAGGCGTGGTGGCGCATGCCTGTAATCCCAGCTACTCAGGAGGCTGAGGCAGGAGAATCTCTTGAACCCGCGAGGCAGAGTTTGCGGTGAGCAAAGATTGTGCCACTGCACTCCAGTCTGAGCAACAAGAGCCAAACTCCATTTCAAAACAATTTTTTTAAAATATAAAAGATTAAAAAATGGCATTAAAGAAAATCTGTCCTGCATTTCAGGAAGTAGTTTTGAGTAAGTTCAGCCTCAGTTTCCTCATCTGCAGTGGTGATTAGAAATTTGTAAAGATCCCTTCTAGCCCCACTATTCCGATTCTTAGTAAACAGTATACTAATTGAGTTTAGTGGCCAGAGTAGTTGCAGGACAATTTTGAAACCATAGGGCTGCAGTTAGAGTCTCGCTTGGTAAAGTGTGTGGAGGAGACCAGAGGCTGGAGGTGTGGCCCCGTCCTGGTTCCGGCCATGTCTGTGGTCCTGCCTAGCTATTAAGAGTGGCTCCGGGCCGGGCGCGGTGGCTCACGCCTGTAATCCCAGCACTTTGGGAGGCCGAGGCTGGTGGATCATGAGGTCAGGAGATCGAGACCATCCTGGCTAACAAGGTGAAACCCCGTCTCTACTAAAAATACAAAAAATTAGCCGGGCGCGGTGGCGGGCGCCTGTAGTCCCAGCTACTCGGGAGGCTGAGGCAGGAGAATGGCGTGAACCCGGGAAGCGGAGCTTGCAGTGAGCGGAGATTGCGCCACTGCAGTCCGCAGTCTGGCCTGGGCGACAGAGCGAGACTCCGTCTCAAAAAAAAAAAAAAAAAAAAAAAAAAAAAAAAGAGTGGCTCCGTTTCACTCTCAATGTTCAGTGGCTTGGGCCACAAGCTATGTGGTCACCCTAGTTATGAAGCTCTAAAGAGCAGGGTGTGAGGTACAGTGGCCCTCTAACCACAAGTTCCTTTGCCACCTCTGCGACATGTCAACGCTCTCGTGCCCATCTGTGTTCAGAGAGACATACAAAAATCGAGGTCACAGAACATCCTCTTTGGCTGAGCACTGAATCTTCTAAAACCCTTGTTGGAAACTCTTTGGGAATGAAGTTTTTTGCATGTACAAAAGTCTGCGGTGTGTCCTGGGGAGAAGCACATAGCTAGGCCTGTGAGTGATGCAAAGATGAACAGAAAGTCTCTACCCTCAAGGATGTGCAAGTAGCAGACAGTATAATAGTGAACATTTTGAAAGCATAAAAATAACCAAAAAATAAATTAAAAAGTGCCATCCATGAGGTGCAGCGGACAAGCCAGGCATCCTTACAGAGGAGTGGTAAGGTCAGAGAAAATGTACTGGTTCTCTGGGAACTCAGGGCAGCCTGCCTGGAGGAGGTGGCATCATGAAAGCTGCACAGTCAGAGTGTGGTGCCCACTTTTACTGTGAGCAGTGGGCAACAGTCCCTCTGCAGGAGCCAAGGCCAGGCCCCTGATTTTGCTTCTGCTTGCTCTATGTTGTGGTCTCTTTCCTGCAGCAAAATGCAGGGACACCAGAGACCCTTGGCTGGGAGCCCAGAAACACAGTGCACTTGCTTGGTTAGTGTCAGGAAATGCTCGCAGGCACCCTTTATTGAACACGCACTCTGTGCCAGGTCTTTTGTGCGCAGCTGGCTCTCAGCTGCCCCTCATCCTTTAGATCCACAGGCACGAAATTTGATTTTTCTTCCATGGCAACCTGGGCACAGAACTCAGCATCTCTTCGAGGTCCCCCTAGTAAATTCCATCCACACACAGCAAAGAGAGTAGGAAATATTTACGGAAGATTTAGGGAAGTCAGAGGAAGGAGTGGCCTCAGACTCCCCAAAGGCATGTCCAGCCCCCAGAGGCCTTTCTTGGTTGCACCAAGGTGAGGGGGAACAGGGAGCATCTTGGGCTCTCTCACTGCCAGACTTTTGCCCCCACTGGAAACAATGCCTTGTGTACTGATGCTCCTCTCACGGGGAAAAAATTCAAGTCTAAATTGGATGGAGCCCAGGTCTGGCCTCCTGAGGATGTTCTGAGGACACAGAAGGCCCTGCAGTGGTCCAGGGCCCCTGGCCTGAGGGGTCACCCGTGGCAATGGCAGATTTATCCTGTGACCTTCTGAGAGGGATACGAAGGTGATGCACTAATTTGCCATCCACATTGGTAGAACATTTGTTGATCTTTATTGAGCTTCTAATATGGATCTCAGGAGACCCTCCAAAAGTGTTCCAGAGTTCCCCAGGGCAAATCAGGAGAGTCACACGGATGGATGGAAGTGAGGTTGCCGCACTGAGGCTGTCTGCTGCCAACGTCCCCCGATCACATTCTCTAGCACTAGGGTCAGATGTTGAAGGTGTGTTCTGGCATTGAGACATTAGATACGATCAGGGCTGTGGAAAGGCTCCCGCCCTCTCACCCAAGCAATCAGTGGTTCAGGCTCGGACAAGAAAAAGCCCAGGCCAGAAATTGCCAGGGGAGAAGCAGTGTTGGCCACTTGTTTCCCTGCTTTCTCTTTTATATCTTTCCTCCAGGCCTGTCCAGTTTCACCCCTCCCGGGAAGCCTTGGCCAGGATCCCTTGATTTCATGGCTCAATTCTGATAATACCTAGAAGGCAACCCCAGACTCCCAGATGTCCCAAGGCTGCCCTCAGTATTATCTTCTTATTGTCAGTGGCAGGAATATTATAACTTTGATGACCACTGTTTATGTTAATGACAGCTGTTACAGCTTTCTTCAGCCTGCTGCCTTCTATCTTTGCTTCCCTGCTTCCCAGGTCTAAAAAGGCTTGGCTTTAAAAATATGACCCTGTGTTTTAGTATTTTCAAGACTTTTGGCAGTATCCTCACCACCGTAATAAACCTAAGAGAAAATGCTATAAAAGGCAGAAGAAAAATACACTACCTTCCTTTGGGATTGTTTGTGGGCCAGGCTGCCCCACAACACAGGCTCCTGGGTTTGACTTCTTCACTCACTGATTCATTTGCAGAAGGAGATGACAGAGCCTACTTCCCAGGGAGAAGGAACGGGACACACGGGCCCTGGTCCAGCCTTTGTTCAACCACAAGGCTTATTATTCACCTACCCATCAGCAAGCTTGCTTATCGCCATCTTCCAACTCCTCAACACTGGGCTTGAATGTAACCCTACAGCAGGCCCCCCATCCCCCACCCAATTCCACATCCCAAGAGGCTGGCATGGCCTGCCATCTCCCCTCCCCAGCCCCACTGTGTGATGGTGCATTTGCTTTGATGATGGTAATATTCTGTCACTTGGTGACCCCATTCCTGAGGCTGAGCTCCTGAGGGCATCCCAGCCCCAAATCCCCAAGGTCTAGGCCACGTTGAGGGCATCCCAGTATCAGTGCTCTGTGATGCCACATAATAGATTCTCCTCCAATTCTCATCTAGATCTAAACACACCCTCCACCATCTGCCTGCAGGAGAAACAAAATATCTTGAATTCTGCTACTTGCCCAGAATTTTCATCTGCTGACCTCTCTTGGATGGTTGCACGGTCCAAGGTAGAAACTTTCACCTCTTCCCCTTGAAACTTAAGCCAAGGCTGAGCCAAGTCAGCCCCAAAGGTTATTTTCTTCTGAACCCTTCCTGGTCCTGCTTGGTCCTCCAGGGGTGAGAACACCCTCCCGGCGGGCAGAACCTCTCCAACCCAGGTCCCCCCTGACCAAGGTAAGAGGGGACAAGACAAGGAGGACTCTCTACCTGGCGAGATCAGGCTTTAAGCCAGTTTGCTCCTCCTACCTGCAGACCCCTTGAAATGCAGAGCAGAGCTCCTCTCTGAGAGCTGATGATTGAGGTGGTGGGGTGATGGGGTTGGGTGGGAGCATGGGCGGGTCCAGCCTCACTCAGTACACATGTTGAGTTTAGCTAAAATAGTCATGAAGGCTTTACAAGGCTCAGAAACAATGCAGTGGAAATTGCCCCCAGCCTCATCCTTGGTGGTCCCAAGTATCCATGGTGATAAGAAAGCCTGAACCCTACCCCTGCTCTCCAGGGAGATCTGACAGTGGATGTTCTTAGAACAGGGGTCTGAATATTTTTGAATTTCTGTCTGCATGACCTTGGGGAGGTCAGTGAGTGTCTCTGAGCCTCAGTTTCTTCATATGTTGAATTAGGTTGATGACAGCTGCCTTATCTACCTCTAGGATTGTTGTGAAGTTCAAAGGCAATAATATATACAAGAGCACTTTCTAAAATTTGAGGACTAGAGAAAAAAAAAACAACGCTCAGAAATTAACCAGGATTTGCTTCCTATTATTCCCCTAAAACCTCCAAAACAAGATTACTGAAGAATATGTAGCCTGGGCTGGGTGTGGTGGCTCATGCCTGTGATCTCAGCACTTTGGGAGGCCAAGGCGGGTGGATCACCTGAGGTCAGGAGTTCAAGACCAGCCTGGGCAACATGGTGAAACCCTGTCTCTATTAAAAATACAAAAATCAGCCCAGCATGGTGGCGCACGCCTGTAATCCCAACTACTTGGGAGGCTGAGGCAGGAGAATTGTTTGAACCAGGGAGGCAAAGGTTGCAGTGAACCAAGATCGTGCCACTGCACTCCAGCCTATGTGAGAGAGTGAGCGAGACTCTGTTTCAAAAAAAAAAAAAAAAAGAATACATAGTCTGGAAGCAAAGACCAAGGGATAATTAACAAGCTTTTTAAAAAAATTGAGGTGAAATGTATATAAGATAGAATTAACCATTTCTAAGTGTGCAATTCTGTGACATTTAGTACAGTCATGATGCTGTGCAACAACCACTTCTATCAAACCCCAAGCAATTTCATCACCCAGAAAGAGAACTCCCTACCTGTTAAGCAGTCACTCCCCATTCCCCGCTCCCCACAGGCTCTGGCAACCACCATTACACTTTCTGTCTCTATGAATTTGGCTACTATCTCATAAAAGTATAATCATATAAAATTTGTCTTTTTGTGACTTGTATATTTAACTTAGTATAATGTCCTCAAAGTTCATCCATGATGTAGGATGTGCAGGATTTCCGTTTTTGTTTTTTTTTTTTTTTTTTTTTTTTGAGATGGAGTCTCACTTTGTCGCCCAGGCTGGAGCGTAATGGTCCTATCTCAGCTCACTGCAATCTCTGCCTCCCGGGTTCAAGTGATTCTCCTGCCTCAGCCTCCTGAGTAGCTGGGATTACAGGCACCCACCACCACGCCTGGCTAATTTTTGTATTTTTAGTAGAGACGGGGTTTCACCATGTTGCCCAGCTGGTCTCGAACTCCTGACCTCAAGTGATACACCCGCCTCGGCCTCCCAAAGTGCTGGGATTAGAGGTGTGAGCCATCCCGCCTGGCCAATTCTTTGTTTAATTTGTCATGGAATTGCCATATTGTTTTTTTGTAGTAGCTGCACCATTTTACATTCCCGAACAGCAATGCACAAGGGTTCCGGTTTCTCTACATTCTTGTCAATACTTATTTTTGTTTTGTTTTGTTCTGTTTTTGAGATGGAGTCTCGCTCTGTTGCGAGGCTGGAGTGCAGTGATGCGATCTCGGCTCACTGCAACCTCCGCCTCCCAGGTTCAAGTGATTCCCCTGCCTCACCCTCCCGAGTAGCTGGGATCACAGGCACGCATCACCATGCCCAGCTAATTTTTGTGTTTTTAGTAGAGACAGGGTTTCACCATGTTGGCCAGGATGGCCTTGATCTCTTGACCTCGTGATCCACCTGCCTCGGCCTCCCAAAGTGCTGGGATTACAGGCATGAACCACTGTGCCCAGTCTTCTTTTTTGCTTGTTTGTTTTTGTTTTTTGTTTTTAATGATTATAGCCATCCTAATGGTTGTGTAGTGGTATCTCGTGTAGGTTTGATTTTCGTTTATCTGAAGACTAATAATGTTTAGCACCTTTGTATGTGCTGTTTGGCCATTTGCATATCTTCTTTGGAGAAATGTCCATTCAAGTCCTTTGCCCATTTTTAAGCTGGATTGTTTGCCTTTTTGCTGGTGAGTGTAAGAATTGTTTATATATTCTGGATACTAGATTCTTATCAGATACATGATTTGCAAACATTTTTCCCATCCTATAATTTGTCTTTCCACTTTCCTGAGACTGTCCTTTGATATAGAAACATTTCTAATTTTGATAAAGTCCAATTTATCTATTTTTTCTTTTGTTTCTCAAGCTTTTGGTGCCCTATTTGAGAATCTATTCTCAAATCCAAAGTCCTGAAGATTTACCCCTATGTCTTCTCTTAAGAGTTTCATAGGCTTAGTTCTTACACTAAAGTCACTGATCCATTTTGAGTTAATTTTTGTTTATGATGTGAGGTAGAGGTCTAACTTCATTCTTTTGCATATGGATATTGGGCCTTTGTTTTTAAAAGTTTAGCTTTATAATACCCAGGGCTAGGTTACCCCAGAGGAGGGAGGCTCTGAGTGTTGGCAGGGAGGTGCACCCATCCATGGAGCAGTAGGATTTCCCAAGCCAGGGAGGATGAAGAGAAGCAGGGCCTGCACCCACTTGCAGGAACTGACTTGGGTGGTGGGACCTTGATGGAGCATAATCATATAATTTTTGTCTTTTTTGACTTGCATATTTAACTTAGCATAATGTTAAAGCATATGCAGTGTAATGCTGTGGGGAGTTACTGAGGGAGAGACTGGCACAAAGGTTGCACAGCTCTTGACCCCACAAGGATCCTGAGGCCGCGGGTTAGGGAAATGGAACAGGGGCAGGGATTTCCCTGAAGGACAGTGGAACCCCTAGAGCCTCTTGTTCAAGGGATGGGTCACTCTCAAAGGGGAGAAGTAATGGCCACCACCCCACTGGTGGTGGGGCCAGGCCAGGTATGAAATGACTGACAAGAATGAAGGAGTGTAATATTTCCTGCACCTCGTATGTCTCAGAACAAATTTATGGCCATGATATTACTTAATAAACACAAGACATGATCACCAGAAAATCATCAGCCTTCTCCATTGAGACTCTGTGCTTTCGTTCATGCTTTTAACTTTTTAAAAAGATTGACTTACTTATTTCTGAATTATCAAGCCACGGACCTGTGCTCTTGTATGTGGCTGTAACAGTGAGCCTTGGGGAAACAGATCAATAAAATAAAAAGGCCCCAAAGTCACTGGACTACGCTAGGAATGTGCAAGATGTTCTCTGAAGGAGGTGATATGATTTGGCTGTGTCCCCACCCAAATCTCATCTTGAATTGTAGCTGCCATAATTCCCATGTGTCATGGGAGGAACCCAAGTGGGAGGTAATTGAATCATATGCCAGTCTTTCCTGTGCTGTTCTCATGATAGTGAATAAGTCTCATGACATCTGATGGTCTTATAAAGAGGAGTTTCGCTGCACAAGCTCTCTCTTCCCTGCTGCCACGTAAGAAGTTCTTTTGCTCCTCCTTCACCTTCTGCCATGATTGTGAGGCCTCCCCAGCCATGTGGAACTGCGAGTCCATTAAACCTCTTTTCTTTATTTTTAAATTTTATTTATTTATTTATTTGTTTGAGATGGAGTCTTGCTCTGTCGCCCAGGCTGGAGTGCAGTGGCGTGATCTCAGCTTACTGCAATCTGCAAACTCTATCTCCCGGGTTCAAGCAATTTTCTTGCCTCAGCCTCCTGATTAGCTGGAACCGCAAGCACATGCAACCATGCCTGGCTAATTTTTGTATTTTTTTTTTTTTTTAGTAGAGATGGGGTTTCACCATGTTGCCCAGGCTGGTCTCAAACTCCTGACCTCGGGTGATCTGCCCACCTCGGCAACCAAAGTGCTGGGATTACAGGCATGAGCCACCGCACCCAACCATGTTAAACTTCTTTTCATTATAAATTACCCAGTCTTGGGTATGATCTTATCAGCAGTGTGAAAATGGATTAATACAGGAGGAATCTAAAAATTTTGCCCAGACAGGCACAGACAACCTGCAGGGTCGAGGTCAAAGCCCCAGCTAGCCGAGGAAGTCAAATAGGCAAATGTAGCAGTCCAGCCTGCAGATGTGTGAACTCCTGAGAAGGGGCCATAGCCATGGTTACTGAAACGCAGAGCTAGAATTGAGTCTTTGGAACCTGAATACATGATGGATTTCTCAAAACAGAAATTGAATCAAGCAATGGGAAACATAGATAGTAAATCAACTCCATATTCCTGATTATTTTTATACCAAGTTAATTTTAAATACTCTATTTCTATAGGAATCAGTGAGACTTCCACTCATCTACAGCTCCAGCTTCTTATTTTTTTCTAATTCTGGGCCCTCTCACAAGCCTGTGTTTTTTCTTTTTTAACACCACCAACTGAATCTGGGGAAACCACATTTACATCCCAGATGCCTCAGGCAGCCAGCTCTCCAACTCCAGAACAAGCTTACTTCTCTGAGGTTGAGGACATTCATCATGACTTAAAAAAAAGCCCTGTGCTTCAGTAATGCAGCCTCCCTTCTCTGAATTTCCGTTCATTTGAATACTGCCTCTCCTTAATAAGACTCCCAGGTTTTATCCCACATAAACCCACAGGGGCTGGTTACTTACGAAAGGGAGGAAGAGAAGAAGGCAGACAGGAAGGAAAACCATGATTAGGAGCAGCCAGGGAGAGAACTCTCAAGAAGGCCACAGGTGGGCAGGGAGCAGAGGACCATGGGGCTGCTCCTTCTTCCAGCCAATTCTCTGTGAGAAATGTGCCTCTCTGTGATAAGCAATAGTGTTTCCTTGCAGGCCACCTCGCGTGTTTCTTTGAATCTCTTCTGCCTTCTCCACAGGGTCGGGGTCCCTACCTCATTCCCAGTTCTTCCTGATGCCTGCCACAATGCTGATGCTCAATATATATTTCTTTAAAGAATAGATAACCTATCTCAGTCCTTTGAGAGGCTGAGGCAGGAGGATTGCTTGAGCTCAGGAGTTCGAGACCAGCCTGAGCAACATAAAGAGAACCCCCTATCTCTACAAAATATAAAAAAAATTAGCCAGGTGTGGTGGCTGTATGCACCTGTGGTCTCAGCTACTTGGGAGGCCAAGGTGGGAGGATCGTTTGAGCCTGGGAGGTCAAGGCTGTGGTGAGCCACAATCATGCCACTGCACTGCAGCCTGGGTGACAGTGAGAATTTGTCTAAAAAAAAAAAAAAGAATCCTCCTGCACAGGGGAGTGCAAACTTGTCGACGATTTTCAATTAAATTTTAAAAGCATTATTAAAGCCTATTTTCTTGCTGATGCTGTGCTAGAAACTTTGTGATTGTGTATGAGGCCTTGTTCTTACCAGAATATGCTGTTGGCCAATTGACTCTGCCTCTGCCTGTCTTGAATTGAAATTTTCCAGAAGAAAGGATTTGATCCAGTGAGTGGTGGCCCCGGGGCCTGGTGGCAGAGTCCCTGGTTCAGAGGATGGGAATCTATGCCCACCATCCCCAGCAGGGCCAGTTTGCTGATGAGAACCCAGAAAGCCCGGGACTACCCCGAACACTCACGGGCCCCAGCCAAGCAGAATCAAAGGCCCACTTACATTCTCATTGTCCTGATTAGTAACTAAATCCTCAGACAGTAACCAACAGGGAGTTTCAGGGATCTTATTTGACCTGTTCAAATTGCTGATTTTATTAGGGTAGTTTTCTTGCTTATTAGTCATTAAATCTCCACTAAAAAATTGGTTACATCCTGTCTGTAAATTTTAAGTGGGCTATGCTCACCAGACTGTGCTAAATTTCACCCTTTCAAGTGTTTAAAAATTTAAGCAGACTGTCCCCTTGAAGATTTTCTATTTGCCTTTTTTCACATTTTGCTCTTTTTTGAGCTCCATTTTCACACACCCTATCCTGTCACAATCTGAACTGCATTCAAGCTCAATGATTCAAAGGATCGAAAACACAGAGCATTGCATTTAAAGTGTACAAAACTTGAATATATTTTCATCAGAAATTAAATTGAGTGTATGTTTTCAAAAGTTATTTTTGGCTTAAAATATACAAAATCATCTATGAAAATTTAAAAGCTACGAATTGTCCAAAGTGTAAGTCAAATTTATTTAAATAAAGCTGCAATGCTTATTTACATTTTTTGAAAAAGTGATTACATCTTATTAAATATTTTTTGTTTGTTTGTTTGAGACAGAGTCTCACTCTGTCTTGCCCAGGCTGGAGTGCAATGGCACGATCTCGGCTCACCCCAGCCTCTGCTTCCCGAGTTCAAGCGATTCTCCTGCCTCAGCCTCTCGAGTAGCTGGGACTACAGGCATGCGCCATCATGCCCGGCTAATTTTTGTATTTTTAGTAGAGACTGGTTGCACTATGTTGGCCAGGCTGGTCTTGAACTCCTGACCTCAGGTCATCCACCTGCCTTGGCCTCCCAAAGTGCTGGTATTACAGGCATGAGCCACCACACCTGGCCTTATTAAATACTTTTATAAAATTAAAACTATTTTACGGTTCTGGCATTTGGCATCCATCTAGTTGCCGAGGGTCTAGTGTCATTGTCATTGTCTTGTACATGTTAAGTTTCAACCTACACATCTATTTACCAATTTTTGAGTACTAAGAGAGTCTGAGCCCAGCCTCTACCATGAACCGCTGCTAACCAGCACATGCACTGGAACCATGGATTGGAGATGAGAGGGAGGAAAGGGAAAATGAGATTAGCTATGCAAGAATCAATTGCATTTATGCCAAGAGGGAGGATTCAACAAGTTAAATAATTAGTCTTACCTCAAAGTTTCCATAGCTCATATCCTGCCTGTATCTGAAGGGGTGACCTTCTGTGGTGTCACAGATGTTTGTATCAGTGAGACACAGCAGCTTTTTATCTGTGGCCATGAAACAAGAGAGAGGAGAAGTGTCTCCCTGGGCCCTGAATGGTGTTAGTCTTGACAGCAGATGTTTAGGGTTAGGGCAAGCTCTGAGCCAGCACAGCATGCTGGGTTCTGAGGGGCAGAGATGCTGTGTTCCTTACTGAATTTATATGGTGTCTGTTTGTGACTTGCAGGACCCACTGAAGCACGACTGCCATGGCTGGGCCCCTCTTGCCCGACCTAAGAGGATGATTGCACTGGACTGTCCTGTAGAAACGCAGATAAACATGATTCTTGTTCTGAAGAGCTAGACTGCGGGAGCTTTCCAAGTCTGGGAAATCACATCTGCTACACTCGCAGGACTATAAACCTGAGCTGTTTGCATCTATATTGGTAGCAGGCAAGTTCTGCTCAGGCCCTGCCCAGCCAACTTCAGCACAGTGATATTTATCAGGGCCAGGCAGAAGGGTTCTCAGAAAGCCACCACCCTGGAGTCAGATGTTCCATAAGACCTCAGAGAGGACTGCCTACACGCATCTAGGTTGGAAGCGGCAGTCGTGCGAGGCATGGGATGTTTTCTGAAGGGACTCAAGAAACACTTTTGATCTCAGGGAAGGTGGTGGATAAAGGAAATTACATTAACTGTTTGACTTGAGTGTGTGGTGGCCAAGTAGGCTCATGTCATTAAAGCCATCCTTCAGTGGGTGCCTTGTTTATTGATATGCTTAGCTATTTGTAGTTTTCCTCCTCCCATCTCTCCAGACACTGCTGGACTCTGGGGGAGAGGCCAGAGTGCAGGCATGATCTGTCCACCGCAGGATCCTCTACCTGCCTATGGAGGCTTCCAGGGAAGGGCCTGGGCTTTGCAACCTTGATACAGCCCTTCAGACATGGTGATGCTGCGTGATAAATGCTGCAGAATATATAACTGACAACGTGTAAACCTTCCCTCTGTGTCAGAAAACACTTGTGGATCCTGGCAAATCTCCCCTATCCCATCACTGACTCCTGCAGTTAATAACGGCGGTTGCAAGTCTCCTTTACATACATTGATCTCGGGTCCTCACTAAAACCTTGTGAGGGAGGTACTTTTATTCCCTACTTAGAGAGAAGAAATGGAGGCTCAGGGAAGATGAGCTACTTGCCCTGGTGACAGCTGCCGAGTGGTAGAACTGGGATTGGAGTCGGTCCATGTGACTCCAAAGCCATATTCTTCACACTCAACCCTTTCACTCCTGCCCCACCCTTTCCAGTTTTGTCTGGTGCCAGTTAAACCACACTCTGCCTTCAGACATCAGGCCTCCACAGGGAGCTCCAGCACAGCAGAGGCACTGTGTACAAGGGCTCCAGGTCCTGCTGGGCATCCCCACTCCACAGCACCTCCGTGGATCCTGACCACAGACACCCACTCCTCGGCTCTTGCATTTGCCTCAGCCTAGGTTAACTAGGCTCTGTGGATTTGGGAGACAGAGCTCTCCATATCCTGACTGTTCTGCGGCTGGGGCACCCACCCTGCCCTGGACTCGGTGGTATGTGGCCCTGACCTTCCCTCCAGCTCCCCACCCTCTCCCTGCGCCAGCTACTGGAAGGGAACTCGTCCTGCTGCCCATCAGAGCACCCAAGATAAGACACGCTTGCTTCTCCTTCCTTCACTTCCCAGCTCGGCTCCCCAAATTTCTTACACAAAGCTGCTCTTCCACAGGCCACGTTTTGAATGAAAAGCAAAAGTGGGAACAGGATACACAACATTTACATGATCTGGGCCAATTCCCCTGGGTAGCTGTAGCTTCTTAGTGTCCTAGAGTAACAAACCAGAGGCAGAAACTTTCTCGCTCAAATACATTTTCCATTTTCCATCCTAAACACCCCACGCACCCACTGTCTTAGTCCATTTGGGCTGTGCTGCGGGACAAATATGTCCCCAAACTTTATATGTTGGAAACTTAATCCCTTGTCAGCAACAGCGTTGAGAGGTGGGACTTTTAAGAGGTGATGAGGTCATGCAGGCTTTGCCCTCCTGAGTAAATTAACAACACTGTCTTGTAAGATAGTTTGGATAGTAATGAGTAAGTTTGTTAGGAAAGCAAGTTCGGCTCCCTCTCATGCATTCTCTCTCTCTCTCTCTCTCTCTCTGTCTGTCTCATGCTCTCTTGCCCTTCTGCTTTCCACTATGGGATACCACAGCAAGAAGCCCCTCACCAGGTGCAGCCTCTCAAACTTGGACTCCCCAGCCTCTAGAACCGTAAGAAAGCAATCTCTGTTCTTTACAAATCATCCAGTGTCAGACATTCTGTTATAGCAGCATGAAATGGACTAAGACAGGCTGCTATAACAAGATACTACAGAATGGGTGGTTTGTAAACAATAAAAATGTATTTCTCACAGTTCTGGAGGCTGGAAAGTTCAAGACTAAGGTACCAGTAGATCAAATGTCTCCTGAGGGCTCGATTCCTGGTTTGCAGACGGCACCTTCTTTTTGTGTCCTCATATGGTGAAGAGAACGTCTCTCTTGTGTTTCTTCTTACAGGGTCACTAATTCCATCATAAGAGCTCCATCCTCCTGACCTCATTACCTCCAAAGGCCCCACCTCCTAATGCCATCATAGGGATTAATGCTTCAATATATGAATCTGGGGGGGACACATATATTCAGTCCACAGGACCCACACACCACACATGTGTTTCTAAGCTAAGGGAGCTGTAATCAGCCAGCCGTAAGCAAAGGTATTTGCAGTTTCCTGAAGTAGGCCCCAAACAGAGCAGACCCACAGTCACAGGAATATATGGCTGGATTCCCTACAGGAGAGAACTTTGAGCTTGGGTGGAGAATGAAGCAGGCGACAGATGCAAAATTCTTCAGTTGTGGCTCCTCTTTTTTCTGTTTCAATATTAGGTTTTCTTTTGATTGAACAAGGCCTGGGCAGCATCAGGCCCCTGCAACCTTAACTTCTTAGCACTCTGAGCTAACAAACTAGCCCCTAAATACAGACGAAAGCAGATGGTGTTGCAAGCGCTTAGTACACAGAGGGAGCTTCTGCATGCTGTCTCGCTCCTGCATTGTCACAGCACACTGGGGCTCAGCAGACAGGAGGCTATTTATGGATTCACAAGTTAAGAAGTATGTGTCTGTTGGAACAGGAAGAGTCCCAACTCCCTATTGACACCTTCCAAATGGCAGCAGAGTAACCCTCAAATTGCAAGCTGTCTCTAGGCTCAGCATCCAATTTCCAGGACTCATTGACAGACAGAGGACCCTGTCACATTTATCCCTATTGAAATATTCCTGCCTTAGTGAGGGATGCCTCTCGGTCCAGACGATAGGCCCTTGCTCAGACCTCAGCATATTTGGCAGTGGACAAATTCATCTGCAGACTGAAAGTTGAATTGTGTTGAAATTCAGGACAAATCTCAAAGCAGATTTATAAAGCTTAAATTAGCATTTAAAAGCTACAAACAAAACACTGAGTCCAAATAAACTAAGTTAAAAAAGTCTTAATCTTTTCAACTCAGTGATATATATATGTATATGTATGTGTGTGTGTTTGTGTGTGTGTGTATATATATATATATATATATATATATATATAGAGAGAGAGAGAGAGAGAGAGAGAGAGAGTGAGAGAGGAGAGAGAGAGAGAGAAAGAGAGAATAAAACTCACTCTGTTGCCCAGGCTGGAGTGGTACCATCATGGCTCATTGCAGCCTCCACCTCCCAGGCTCAGGTGATCCTCCCGCCTCAGGCTCTTGAGTAGCTGGGACCACAGATGTGTGCCACTATGCCTGGCTAATTTTTGTATTTTTTGTAGACATGGGTTTTCACCATGTTGCCCAGGCTGGTCTTGAACTCCTGGGCTCAAGCAATCTACCAGCCTCAGCCTCCCAAAGTGCTGGAATTACAGGCATGAGCTACTGCACCCAGCTGACAGTATATTTTAAAAATCATTTCTATGTCTTCTCTATTCAATTGGCAGGTCAACAATGTAGCGTCATTAACATCAACAGGTGGAATCCAGCCCCTGTACTAGTGTAGGACAGGTGCGCTGGATATCCTGTCTTTAAGCCCAGGAGGACTAGATTGGATTGCATCTTTAAGCATCTTTCTTGCTGCAGAAAGGGAAGTGGATAGGGGAAAGTTAGGGGAGGTGGGGAGATAAATTAGGTGGCCCTTAAAGGAGCCCAGATGTCCTAATGTCAGACAATGGTTGTGGGGTTGAGAGAAGTGGTTAGATTCAAAGGTATTTGGGAAGTAGACACATCTGCCCATCACAGCCTCCCTGGTTTCTCAGCCTTGCCCTGATTGTGGTTCTGATATTCCCTGGCACTGAGCTGCTCACCTGGAGGGTTCTTACGCCTCTGGTTCCCTGAGTTTGCCTCCTCTTTGGCAGTTTCTTGCCCTGAGCCCCAGCCCTGCCTCCCCAATCTGCAAAGTCACGACAGGAACAGATGCATTTGTTTGTGTAAGCCCAAGACACTTTTTTTTAAAAGTGCTTGCTATGCTCCAGGATTGGGCTAGGCTCTTGAATGTGTTTTCTTGTCGAATCCTCCCAATAATTGTAGAAAATCTTTATCATTCCCATTTTACCAACTAGAAACAGAAGGCTCAACTTCCTGAATAAGTTCACACAGTTACAGAGTGACGTTAGACAGGAGACAGATGTGTCTAACTTGAAAATCCATGCTTTTCCCAACACATGGCCAGGTATTACATTTAACTCTATTATTAAGAGACTATATTATATCATTGCCTGCCAGTGAATGATTATAAATTTAGGTAACCTTGAGCAGAGAGGTGCTGTCTTGATTCTCAAGCAAGACATAAACATTGCTACAACGTGGCATCAGCAGACCTAATAATGAAGACATTTCTTTAAATGTAAAACAATATGCTGAGAGAGATACCATGAACCGTCTCTATGTCACCCCCCCAGCCCTCACTATTTTTTTTTCCTATTAGCTCATTACTGCTTGTTTTGAAACCAGCGGAAAGCTGACACGGCACCAATTTTGTTCTGCAATTTTAACATGTGGTTGATTGTTTCACTGCATTTTAACTTTCTGTCTAGCTCAAGAAAAATGTGGTTAAAAAAATACTGGAACTGTTTTTGGACACTATAAAAATGTTGCCATTTAATCATAAAACTGTGAGCTCCTTGGGGGCAGCAATGGATGTTTTTATCCACCACTGTGTACCCAGCTTGTGGCACATGGCTCGGGCTCCGGAATGCGTGTCAGATGACACTGAACTGAAGGAATTCTTCACGATCACCCAGTGCAGCAGCCCAGGCCTACAGCAAGACTGCATTTGATCCTTCACTGCCTTTAAAAAATCTCACTGTGCCCTGCAGCCAGCATCATGGAGAAGCAGCCCCAAGACCCCCTGAAAAGTTAGTTCACCTTTCTCCTGAACCGTTTACCCTGACCCATGTCGCTCACCGACCTGCGATTTTCTATTGGGTCTCCCACCTTTTGACCGATCCCCCAATTAGCCTCCCAAAAAATGGACTTTGTTAAGGGTTGAATTGTGCTCCACTGCAACTTCATGTGATGAAGTCCTAACCCCAGTGCCTCAGCACGGGACCTTATTTGAAAGTAGGGTCGTTATATGTAATTAGTCAAGATGATGTCACACTGGAATAGGGTGGTCCCCAATCCAGAATGACTGTGTCCTTGTGAAAAGAACACCAGGTGAAGAACAGACACACAGAGCGCTGCATAAAGATTGGGGTTCTGCTGCCACAAACCAAGGAATTCCTGAAAGCCAGGAGAGAAGCCTGGAACAGGTCCTTCGCCAGTGCCCTCAGAGGTTGCATAACCCTGTGGACACCTTGATCGTGGACTTGGCTGCCAGAACAGTGAGACAGGACATTTCTGTTGTTTCAGCTGCTCCATTTGTGGCATTTTGTTGCGGCAGCCCCAGCCAGCTAGCACAGCTTGCTGACCGGGCCTTGCACTTCGCGCCCATCTTGCTGGCCACCCTCACTTTCGTCCCAGCCCTTCTGCCTCTGGCTACTCTGAGTGATCAGCTCACCTGGCCAGGCTGCCACACCCAGATGGTGTCCTGTCCCAGCAGCACTGACATAGAAATATAACAGAGCTGTTGTCCCACTGACAGAAATATAACAGAGCTGTTGTCCAGTTGCTACTTCTGTGTTTGATACCCGAGTGACCATTCCCCTCAGAGGTAACTTAGGGTGAGCAGGGGGTTGGGGTGTGGCTCCTCAGGGAGCATCTAGGGACCCCCCTTCCTGTGCTCCACCACTTGGAGTCCACTGGCTTTAATAATGGGGATCCATTATTAAACTCAGAGAAAAATGACTGACCCCAGTAGAAGCCTACAGCTTGTGACTGTGTTTATGGATCCACCTGGCATCCACACCTTCCCTTCCTTTTCTGACCCCGATTAGACTGCACAGCCCTCGACAGGCAGGAGCTGAGAGGAGATGCAGGAAGACCCTTTCTCCTGGGACACTTTGCTGCACGATAAGTTCACCAGGATTGACGTGCTCTTCCCTAGGCCTGTGATGACGAATGCTGCAGCCAAGAAAGACAGACATGCTGCAAGCATTCAGAAAATAGAGTGTCTCATTCTCTTCCAGCTCTGTGCTGCTGTTATTGTTGTTTAATCAACAACCACAGTTGTAAATCTGTGCCCCTGCAGCCCTGCAGTGCCCTCTCTGAGAAAGCCTCAAGACCTTGCTCCCAGTGGGAGTGCAAGACACGAACCAGTGCTCATGAATTCTTGATGAAAGACCAAAGGCCATGACCTAGTGGTCATCTTCTGATGGGCATTATTAGGAGGCTAAGAAAGAGGAGTAGCTGGTAAAGATGTACCTGACTTGTTAGCAGATTGTTTTTTGAAAGTGGAGAATTATTAGTTAGATAAGAAAGCACCAGAGCCAGACTCAATGCTGACTTTCATTCTGTGAGTGCTCCGGACACCCCCATCTGCAGGGTTCCACTTGGATGGTGCTGAAGGAACCCCGTGTGCCCTGCCCAGCAAGTGGACAGAGGAAAGGATGCATCTGACCCTTCACCACAACACCTCCACATCATCTCCAGGAAGAGAACACAAAACCCCAGGAAGCAGCCAAAGCAGCTTGGAGAATACAAGGATAAGAATGTAAGTAAAGATTGCAATTCACCTGAGAGGTGTGCAGCTGTGCTGAAATCAGTTACAACGAATGAAATCACAAGCAGGTGGGTGCCCACGGGCCTGACCACCAACCACCCAGCATATGCCCAGAGTTCTTGGACACAAAGGGTCTCTGCCCTCAGGAAGCTTCAAATGGGGCTGAGAAGATGGGCGTGTACATAGAGAGCAATTGGAGGGCAGGAGAAGACCGAGGGAAGGCGAGAATCCCAGCTGGATCTTCTCTTTGGGTTGGAATTTTAGGGGGCAGTGAGACAGGGAGAAAGGAAACTCCCACGGGAGCAGGGCCCCGGCCTCACGAGCCCCAGGAGCAGAGAGAAGCAGCCAGCAGGGTGCCTGGGTGTGGAGGTGAAAAGACGTGCACTTTGGCATCAACTAGACTCGCATGACCCTGGGCAGGTGACTTCACCTCACTATGCCCTGCAGTTTTCTGCGGTAAAAAGCAGGATAGTATCTACCTGTGGAAGCTTGATCTAATAACTAAAACAAAATCATATATGAACAGGGCCTAGAACATAATAGGCCCTCAACCAAGAATAGCTACTTATTTTTAGCAGAGACAGTGTTTCACCATGATGGCCAGGCTGGTCTCAAACTCCTGACCTCAAGTGATCCATCCCCCTCAGCCTCCCAAAGTGCTTGGATAACAGGCATGAGCCACTGCACCTGGCATACTAAAAATACAAAAATTAGCCAGGTGTGGTGGTGTGCACCTGTAATCCCAGCTACTAGGGAGGCTGAGGCACAAGAATCGCTTGAACCTGGGAGGCAGAAGTTGCAGTGAGTCGAGATCGTGCCATTGCACTCCAGCCTGGGTGACAAGAGCAAAACTCCGTTTAAAAAAAAAAGAAAAAAAGAAAAAGAATAGCTATTTATAAGAGAAGCTTAAAAAGCTTAAACTCTGCTTATCTGACAGACAATATGGGGGTGGTCTCTGTCTAAATGCCCTGCCCCACCGCCCCCTGAACTTGCACACCACCTGTACTTTCTAGAAGTGTGGCTTCAAGGAAATTCGCCAGGCAGAGGCCCGAGCATCCCCACAAGGATTAGATCACAGATGACACGGAGCAGGGCTTTCTGGGGCCCAATGCCTGCATCACACACTACAGAATAAAAGTTATTGCAGAGAGAGAGAGAGAGTGACGAATGGTCAAATCTCCTACCTGATTATTAGGTAAAGTGAAATTTAGAGAGGAAAGAGTTTGTAATCAGACGAAGCAGAGAAACTGACCAAGAAAATTGATTATGTCGCGAAATGTTTAACCTTACTGACACAGGGCTAGTTCCCTGCAGAATGCTATAAATCAACAGGGACGTGTGCCGGCTGAGCCGGCGTTGGCAACCTGGATTTGCCCAAGCAGGAGGCAGAGCTGGCTCTTGTGCAAGAAGAAACCTGCTCTTACTGGAGGAGACGGAAGAATGTAGTTCTTTTCCTTAACAGAATGCCAAAGCCCTGTACGTGTTCTATAAGAAAGAAAATCCACAAATTCAAATACCTTCTTGATTTACTTTAAAAAATATATCCTTTATTTATGAATATAATACAATAAGCAAAAATTCTACAGTTTCTTTGGAAATAAAAACCATTTATTAGCCATGACTTTTCCTGACCTGAAATTGCTGACAGCTCTTTGTTGGAAAGTAACATTTCATAAGATGCTGAGTGTGAAAGCATAACAGATGGTAAACAGGTTTCCTTCCAGTCCCAAGACATGACTATTATAAAAGGAATTGTGGAGCTTAATACTGTATTTAAAGCCAATTTTGAAAATTGACTAAGTCGGTTCTGTTTCTTCCATTATTAGTTAGACTTTTTTCCTCTCAAAAATATACTTTTTTTGTGGGCTTATTTCTAATTTTGACATTTGTCAAACTTGCAAATATAGATGAGAAAATAGGTAGCATTTCTAGATGAAGAAGTACAATACCATTAGAAATAAAATCTAAACTGGATCAGGCGTGGTGGCTCACACCTGTAATCTCAGTACTTTGGAAGGCTGAGGCAGGAGGATCACTTGAGGTCAGGAGTTCAAGATCAGCTTGGGCAACACAGCAAGACTGCCATCTCTACAAAAAAATTTTAAAATAATATTTAGCCAGGCATGATGGTGTGAACCTGTAAACCCAGCTACTTAGGAGGCTGAGGTGGGAGGATTGCTTGAGCCCAGGAGTTTAAGGCATCGTGAGCCAGGATCATGCTACTACAATCTAGCCTGGACAACACAGTCAGGCTCTGTCTCTAATAAATAAGTAAACAAATAAAATAAACAACAACAAAAAACTGACAGTTGCTGTAGACAATGAGCACCATGGGCCATTAGCAGGTCCCAGGAATGGGTCCATTTGGCCCCATCATCAAACTTTGGGCCTGTGCATGAGTCACTCAGCTTTACAGGTAAAGCCTCACCTGTAAATGGAGATTAAAATAGTAACACTTGCCTAGTATAATATGTGATCTACGACGTATTATAAACTCCCTACCTTTGTGTTTGTGGTTAGATGTTGTCTAAGAAGACAACTTACCAAGGCCTCACTGACCACGGGACAAGATTGGTTTCAGCTTCAGATCAGGAACTGGGTTTTGTTCAGTCTCTTAGGGCCACCTCCCACCAACCATGCTGAGAAGAACTGGAAGGGAGATCCTTAGAGAAATCACCTCCACGGGGCCCAAGAAGCTGACACCTCCATTTTATGTATTTTTCTTCTCGTAGTATGTCAGTCAATCAGGATTTAGTTGCAGAAGACAGATACCACCCTAGCTATTTCCAGGATATAAGGATTTAATACAAGGATTTACATTCTTACAAAACCTTTGGAAGGTCAGAGAGTCACCGCAATACCTCACCACGGGCTCATAGTTTCTGCTCTTAGAAGATTAATGGAAAGGACTCAGAATGTCTTTCTTTCTTTCTTTGGTACCTGCTCATGCTTGCTAAGACTTGGCTGTAAGTCTCAGGCCACCCCTTGACAGTCCCCTGAATGGTCCCCCTGAACAACCCTTGCTTTGGGACCCAGGACCATTCAGAGATGAAGTACCAGGCATCGAGCAGGAGGAGTGGGGTAATATCTGCACATTATTGCCACTGTATTTGGTCAATATAAGGGGGGGGGGTAAATCCCTTTCTTCATCTTGTCTTTATCTATTGGAGGCTTGCAACGTTCATCCACTTGCAATCAAAGAGAAACAAAGTCAGTTTTTGAGAGTGAAGGCAACCTCCACTTGGCAGCCCCTAGAACACCATACAGCAACCAAAATGGCAAATTCGTGACTCACTGTGAGAAGTAAGCCTGCCAGATGGACTGGAGTGTGCAGCCTGGGAAGAGGGGCCACGGTATTCTTTCCAACAGAGAGTCAGGTGCCACCCTCCGGACAGCACTGGAGACACAGCCTTATTCTAGCCTTCCTACCCACCCCCATTGAAGGGTCCCATCAACCATCTGCTCCTAGTCTTTCTTCAGCTATGGCACCATGCCATCAATTAGAATTAGGCTGGCTTTCTCCATTCACTTGAAATCACTTGAGATAATCCTTCTTTTTTGAAACACCTCCCAACACACCAGCTGCCAAAACCATTTCTTGGGATGTGACATTTCTATAAAAGTCTGGTTCCGTCCCTTTGGTATGGATTCTTCCTAATTTTGCTCCCAAGGGGAACCCCCATTTGATGTTGACAGAATGTCTCCTCAGTCCTTCCACCGTGCAGCAGACATTCACTGAGAACTGCCTCCAGCTTTCCCAGCATTCTGCAGTTGATACATGAGAAGGGTAAAGGGCTCAAAGCACACACTTCCTCACAGGCATTCAGAGGCTGCCCTTATGGGCAAAGGTAGAAATGAAGAGTAGAAAATCATGGTAGGAGGAAGGAATGCACTCCCACCAGACTGGGGGAAGGATGCCTGGGGTCTTGGACCAGGGAGAGGAATGGAGGATACCTCTCTCTGGATGCACTGAAGAAGTTTGTGTTGACATAGGAAAGTTGGTTTAAAGACAAGGAGGAGTTGAGATGGAACTAAAGCTGCATTTGGCTTTCCTCTTCATTTATGTCTTATCTGTCTTCTTTGCTTACCTTCTTTATTCCAAGTATTCATTGTTTTGCTTTAGGTCCTGAAACAGATCTTATTTTTTGTCTTTGACTTCAGATATTTATTACCCCAATACTCTACTTATCTGTAGAATATTGGAGTAATAAATCTTAAATGGTTACTTGTCTTTAAATGGTTAAACAGTTCAGAAATTTATTTTCTGTAGAATATTGGGGTAATAAATTTCTGAACTGTTTTTACTCTTACTCCATTAAAAAAATTTTAAATGTACTTCTTTATGTGTGTTTCAATTTTTAAAACTGTCTCAAAACTATTTTGCAAGAAAGTAGGACAACAACGTGTGAAAAAAAAAAAACCAAGTTACCGATGGTTATGTCAGAAGTATCTAAAAGGAGTCAGAGAGGCATGGGAGTTTGACCCCAGCTGTAACCAAACTGTAGGTTAGTTGTTTGCCACCTGCAGAGTCCACTTTTCAAGAGCAAGGTCTGGTATAAAAAAAGTGATTTATTCCAAGGCTAGCTTAGGGGAAGAAATACGGGCATCCTGCCTTAAGTGTATTGCTTCACTTTTGGAGCTGACAACGGGTACTTTTAAAAGGCAGGAAAGGAAGCAATCAAGTGGGGAGTCTTTGTGTTAGCTCTGGTGTCTTATCTACTGGGCAGTTCAGCTGGTGACTGCTGGCACCTTTGTGGGCAGGACTAGGCCAAAAACTCCCCAAATAGGAGGGAGTTCCAAGGCAACCTCCTGGTGGGTGAGAATTCTGTGCTTTGCTCTGTAAATCAACTGCTAACTCTCCTGGAGAGTTCTGCCTTGGTGCACATAATCAGGTGAACTTGTCCTGTAGGGAGTGTCTGGTGAAGGGGAGGTAAAAGGTCATATTTGCATTTCTAAAGGGCCAAGTAGGAAGTCGGGAACAGTGGGAAAGAAGGAAAGAGAAGAGAAGAGAAAATTAAAAAAATAATAATAACTCATTCTCTTTTTCTTAGAAAAAATGGGAGTACTCAGTTACATAGCTACATACACACCCGGTGAAATCTGACCTGTTAGGCTGGGCCAGATATCATAAAAGCAGCCACATTGGACTTTAGCTGCTTCTACTAGGCTTGACCATCAACCTCCTTGGGAGAAAACTACATGAAACTAAATTGATCAACTAAAGATATCCTAAACTGTTAATCAGCCATTATCAATCATGAACTGTGCTAAAACCGTCCAGTGTATAAACTCACTCTAGCTCCCTTACCAGCCCTTACAGGACCATTAATTATTTGCTAGATCTGTGTCTCTCAATATGCAATTCCTAAGACTGATTAAAATGCCTTTTCCATTATTTGCTGCTCTGCAGAGTTTTATTTCTTATTAGGTGACAAATGTATAAATGGCAAATAGCTAAATATTTATTTGATGGCTTTTTACACATATACTCTTCTACTGCAGTATGGCATTGGTAAAAAAGCTGCAGTGATTTCTGCTAGGGGTGCTAGTAGGCTATATTATTTTATATCATTATATCACATAATGTATCACATTTATGCTTTAATTCATGCATTTATCCATTCACTCTACAGAAATGTATATTAAGCATCTACTCTGTGCTAGCACCATCCTAGGTGTGAGGGATACAAACATGAACATTACATCTGTGATGTTGTGATTTATTTTATATATTTGTATATTTATATATTTGTATCCTGTATATTTATATATTTATTGTGTGTGTGTGTTTGTGTGTGTGTGTGTGTGTGTTTATATAAATATGGTCTTCATCTCTACTTGGCTCCTGGAACCTCTGGAATCTCCAAAGGGATACGTATCTGTATTCTAATGATTGACCTTTGGCTGGGGGCTCCTGGATGGCCTCAGGATGGGATCAGTTGCCAGGGGAACCAACCATGTTATTAGAGGGTTGGGACTTTAAGTTTACCCCAACCTCTGGGAAGGAAGAGGGACTGAAGGTTGAGTTGATCACCAATGGGCAATGATATAGTCAATCATGCCTACATAATGAGCCTCCATAAAAGCCCAAAAGGACAGGGTTCCAGGAGCTTCTGAATATCTGAACGTGGAGGTGACACACCCAGAGAGGAAAAGGAAATCTCTGCGTCTTTCCCACATGCCTTGCCCCATATGTCTCTTTCATCTGGCTGTTCATCTGTATCCTTTCTAATATGTTTCGTAATAAACCAGTACATGTAGGTGAAGTATTTCCCTGAGTTCTGTGAACTACTGTAGCAAATTAATCGCACCTAAGGAGGAGGTCATGCAAACCTGCAATTTATAGTCACTCTGTCAGAAGCACAGAACACAACCTGGGGCTTGCAAGTGACATCTGAAGTGGGGAGTCTTGTGGGACTGAGCCCTCAACCTGTGGAATCCAACGCTGTATCCTAGTAGATAGTGTTAGAATTGAATTGAATTGAAATGGATTGAATTAAAGGATGCCCAGCTGCTGTGCATGGACAAATTGACCGCGTGCTGCATGGGGAAGTGCCCCATACATCTGGGGTCAGCAGTGTTGTGTTGAGAGTAGGAAGAACACTTTGGTTTGTTTTTTTCCTATATCTCTTACAACATTTTTCATGTTTTTAAGAATTCACTGTTTTGATTAATGTTTCTTGGAATGTAGTCCCTGGATGCATCAGCATCCCTTGAAAACTTGTTAGAAATGCAAATTCTTGGTCCTTACCTCAGACCTACTGAATCAGAAACTCTGAGGGTGGAAAGGAGATGGCAGGAATTTGTGTTTGAATAAACACTCCAGGTGATTCTAATGCATGCTGGAGTTTTAGAACTACTGTTCTAGGGGAAAATAAAAAGGGAAAACACAATTCTCTGTGATAAATGTCAAACTAGAGCTGTACTCCAGGTGCTATGGGGACCCAGTAGAAATCACCAGGGAAAGGCAGGGAATGCATCACAGAAGAGATGACATATTAATCGATTTGGAAGATGACTGGGACTTTGCCAGGGAAACAAGATAGGGAAGGGTATTGTAGGCAGAGGAAAGGCAAGAATATGTGAAACAGTCTGAGTGCAGTGACTCACACCAGTAATCCCAGCACTTTGGGAGACTGAAGTGGGCAGATCACCTATGGTCAGGAGTTCGAGACCAGACTGGCCAACATGGTGAAACCTCATCTCTACTAAAAACACAAAAATTAGCTAGTCGTGGTGGCACACGCCTGTAGTCCCAGCTGCTCAGGAGGCTGAGGCAGGAGAATCGCTTGAACCTGGGAAGCGGAGATTGCAGTGAGCCAAGATTGAACCACTACACAATCTGGGTGAAGAGCAAGACTCTGTCTAAAAAAAAAAAAAAAGAATATGTGAAAGAGGAGCATGTGTGTTTGAGTAACTATTGGTAGTCCGTGTAGTGAGGGTTTTAAAAACAGGATACTCAAAATGGAATGGGGTTGACTGAGACTGAGTTCTCAGTTGAAGGGGAAAAGCGGAGTCCATATCATAAACCTGTCTCACTGATTTGACCTGAATTTCTCTCCCTCTTTGTTTCCTTGGTAGTGTCTTGTGAAAGTTGATATCACTGTTGTCAACGAAAAGAGTCAAACTCTGAAAAATATTTGAAGAGATGTATTCTGAGCCAAATGTGAGTGACACTAGCCTGTCACTAATATGAGTGACTCAGTCCTTGGGAGGCCCTGAGAACATGTGCCCAAGGTGGTTGGGGCACAGCTTTGTTTTATATATTTTAGGGAAACATGAGACATTAATCAAATATATTTAAGATATACATCGGTTCAGTCCAGACAGGTGGGACAACTCAAGGGGCAGGGTGGGTGGGCTTCCAGATTATAGGTAGATTTAAAAATTTTCTGATTGATTGGCAGTTGGTTGAAAGAGTTATTATCTATAGAAAGAAAAGTCTAGGTAACAATAAGAGGTTGTAGAAACCAAAGCTTTACCATGCAGATGAAGACTCCAGAGAGAATAGATTGTACATGTTTCATATCAGACTTAAGGTCTGTGTTGATGTTAATGCTGGTTGACTTTTCCTGAATTCCAAAAGGGAGGAGGGCATGATGAGGCATGTCCAACACCTCCCTCCTTGTCATGGCCCAAACCAGTCTTTCAGATTAAACTTGGAGGGCACTTGCCTAGAAGAGAAAGTCCATTCAAATGACTGTGGCAGGGTGGGGGGCTTCAAGTTTTATTTTTGGTTTGCCCTCTCTAACAACATATATATCTTTATCTAAGTTTGGTAGTACCAGTGGTATCCTACATTACCTTTTCTCTTAGAATGCCTTGATATGCACCTTAGGAATGCACTTGTAGGAGTATGTCATGACTAGGCAGTTAGACAGGTACATGGATCCTTTCTAGCTTCCCCATATTTGCAGTAATTTTGTGTCTGCTTCATTTTGATATAAGAATGTTGGGTATTAATTAATGACCCTGAGCATGTCTGTATCCTAATCAATTCATCTCGGTTTATTAGCTAGAACTGTTTGTTTTGTTTCAGTGGTTGCTCTAGGATTTGCAATAAATATCTTCCATTTATCACAGTCTACCTTCAAATAATGTTATACCATTTTTTGTATAGTTGAAGAACTTTTTAACAGTATGCTTCCATATCCCTCTCCTGGCCTTTGTGCTATGATTGACATACACTTTAATTCTACATATGCTATATATCCCTAAATACATGACTAATTATTACTTTGCTTGAAACAGTCAACTATTTTTTAATCAATTAAAAAGATATTTGATGTCCGGGAGGGAGGTGGGGGGTCAGCCCCCGCCCGGCCAGCCACCCCGTCCGGGAGGGAGGTGGGGGTCAGCCCCCGCCTGGCCAGCCGCCCCGTCCGGGAGGGAGGTGGGGGGCGCCTCCGCCTGGCCAGCCGCCCCATCCGGGAGGTGCGGGGCGCCTCTGCCCGGCTGCCCCTTCTGGGAAGTGTGGAGCCCCTCTGTCCGGCCACCACCCCGTCTGGGAGGTGTACGCAACAGCTCATTGAGAACGGGCCATGATGACAATGGCGGTTTAGTGGAATAGAAAAGGGGGAAAGGTGGGGAAAAGATTGAGAAATCGGATGGTTGCTGTTTGTGTAGAAAGAAGTAGACATGGGAGACTTTTCATTTTGTTCTGTACTAAGAAAAATTCTTCTGCCTTGGGATCCTGCTGATCTATGACCTTACCCCCAACCCTGTGCTCTCTGAAACATGTGCTGTGTCCACTCAGGGTTAAATGGATTAAGGGCGGTGCAAGATGTGCTTTGTTAAACAGATGCTTGAAGGCAGCATGCTGGTTAAGAGTCATCACCACTCCCTAATCTCAAGTACCTAGGGACACAAACGCTGCAGAAGGCCGCAGGGTCCTCTGCCTAGGAAAACCAGAGACCTTTGTTCACTTGTTTATCTGCTGACCTTCCCTCCACTATTGTCCTATGACTCTGCCAAATCCCCCTCTGCGAGAAACACCCAAGAATGATCAATAAAAAAAAAAAAAAAAAAAAAAAAAAATTAAAGTAGAACAACTTAGTTGTACATGGTTACAAGAAAATTTAATAGAAATAAATTTAAGAAATAAATTTAAATTAAAAAAAATAAAATAAAAAGATATTTGAAAAAGTGAAGGGAAAATGTATTTTCCACATACCCACATTTTTGTCATTTTCACTGCTCAACATTCTTTTGTGCAACATCCAATTCCCATCCAGCAGCATTTCTCTTCTACCCCCCCCCAAAAAAAACACCAAAAACTTCCTTTAACATTCCTCATAATGCTAGTCTTCTGGTAATTAATTCTCTCAATTTCTAGTTGTCTGAAAAAGTCTTTATTTTGCCTTCATTTTTTGAAGTTTTTTTTTTGACTATAGATTTTATATTAATAGCTTTCTCTTTCAGTATTTTAATAATGTGATGGAATGGTCTTCTGATTTGCATAGTTTCTTATGAGAAATTTGCAGTCCTTATTTCCCTTTGTGTTAATGTCTTTTTTCTGCTGCTTTAAAGATTTTCACTCTATCATTTGTTTTGAGCAATTTGACTATGATGTGCTTTGGTGTAATTTGTAAGATATTTTTTGTGCTTGGGGTGTGTTGAGATTTTTGTATCTATGGGTTTATAGTTTTCATCAAATTTGGACTTTTTTTGGCCATTTCTTCAAATATATTTTTCTGTCTCCCTTGCTCTGCTTTTTCCCCCATCAGAGCTCTAATTATACATCTGTTAGATTGCTTGTTTGATATTAGCTCACAGCTCATTGGTGCTTTTCTCAATTTTTTACAATCTTTTCCATTTCTGTTTCCTTTTAAATGTTTCTACTGTTGTATCTTCAAGTTAGTTCATTGGTCTTTTCTTTTGCAATGTTTAATCTGCTGTTATTCTCATCAACTGAATTTTTCATTTAAGATATAATATTTTTTATCCCTCAGAATTAGATTGGGGGCTTTTATGTTCCATGTTGTTCATCATGTTTATGCTTTCCTTTATCTTCTTGAAGATAAGGAGTATGTTCATAATAGCTGCTTTAACATCCCTGTGTGCTACTTCTACCATTTGTATCTTTTTAAAAATCTATTTAGGCCAGGTGCAGTGGCTCACACCTGTAATCCCAGCACTTTGGGAGGCCGAGGTGGGTGGATCACCTGAGGTCAGGAATTTGAGACCAGCCTGACCAACATGGAGAAAACTGGTCTCCACTAAAAACACAAAATTAGCTTGGCATGGTGGCTTGTGCCTGTAATCCCAGCTACTCAGGAGGCTGAGGCAGGAGAATCACTTGAACCCAGGAGGCTGAAGTTGCAGTAAGCCGAGATTGCACCATTGCACTCCAGCCTGGGCAACAAGAGTGAAACTCCATCTCAAAAAAAAAATCTACTTAGATTATTAATTTTTTTCTCCTAGTGATAGGTTATATTGCCTGCTTCTTTACATTCCTGGTAATTTTTAACTGGATGCTGAGCAGTGTAAATTTTATGCTTTTGGTTGCTGGATTCTATTGTATTCCTTTGTATATTGTTAGGTTTTGTTCTGAGCAGCAATTTAATCCTTCCAAGGCTTGCTTTTATTTGAGGCAGATCTAGGGCTAATGTGGTCCCATTACTGAGGCTACCACCTCTGAAACCTCTGCTCAATACTGCTTGTGTTATGAGGTCTTTCCACCCTAGTGGGTGGCAGCACAAATCATTCCCAGCCCTGTGTGATCTCCAGGGACTGTTCTGCCTGCTCCTTTCTGGTTGCTCTTTTCCTGGCCTCAGGGAGTTTCCTTTTACGCACACACAGATTTGTTCTCATCCGTAATCTCAAGGGGACCCCTCTGCAGATCTCTGGAGCTCTCTCTTTCTCTCTGTGAAGCTCCCTCCTCCCCAGTATTTTACCCTGGAAATTCCAACCACTCTGACCTCCCTGAACTCTGAATTCTTTCTCCTCCACTCAGCCAAACCACCAGCCCTATCTAGACTCCCTGTCCCTGAGCTTCAGCCTGGAAACTCTCTCCATGCAGTAAACTGAGGGAATTGTAGAGTTTGCCTCATTTACTTCCCAATGAATGAATGAAAGCTCTTTTGTCATACACATTGCCCAGTTTTCTAGTTGTTTAAGGCTAGAGGGAATCCTGTAACTCCGTCATGGTCAGATGATATGGAAGTTTCCATGCCCTTATTCAGATGTGGCTTCCAAGGACCACAGATCAAGAAGCCGAGGGGAGAAGAATGAGACAACTACACAAGAACCTAGGAACAAATATCGACGTGTAATGCCTTCACTTTCTTGTGGAGGGTCCTCTCAGTTTATTATCAGACCTAGGCTGCTGTGGTTATAGAGGGGGCGGCTGAACAACAAGGAGACTGTGGACGATTTTGAACTGTGCATTGGGTTTGGTGCCTGCTGCACTCATCAGTGTTTAGCTGTATGAGCTGGGCTGGAGATATCCCATCACATTGTGTTTTCCCACAGGTATCAGAAAGTCCACACAGTCACTTGGGATTCTACCAGATAATTGGGTATCTGTCTCTAGAGGTTTTTCTTGTGATCCTGAAAAAGCCACAGCTCCTGGTGTGCTCATCATTTTCAGTGTAGGTAGGGTATCAAGTGCATGGGAGTAACTCTTGAACAGAATGATGAAAAAGAAGGTGAAGTCTGATCATGAATGGCTTGAATATGAAGCTAGAGAATTCTGACTTCTATCACGTGGGTATCGGGAGCCACCAGGGGGGATGAGCATTGAGAGATATAAGAGCTGCTGTTCATTTTACAGACATGTTTTCGGAATCTACTGGTTCAGGAGATGCAGAAAAAGGTATCAAATTAGTATACTCGTATAAAATCAAATATTCAATGGCTTCACTAATTGGAACTTTGAGTAAACTCTTTTATACTTACCTGATAAATGAGCTGAGAACAAAGAATAAAGAGATGACTTTAAGAATGCACTGCCCTTAAAAGTAGTAAGTTTGGTCCTCAACCAAAAACTGAGTAAAAGGCTATGGATTGGGAAATCTGTAAGCAGGATTAAATGCATAGAAAATAAACCAGAAAGCACTGGTTATAAAACAGAAAGCACTGATAGGGTAGAAATGCCCCCAGAGCTATATTCCAGGGTGGGCTAGCCAGGCAGCCAGACTCAATGGGGCTGTACTAAATGTAATGAGATACACAAATTTTTATTTGCTACAACCTCTCAAGCATGTATTAGATGTGGCTGATAGTAGAGTTTTGATAAGTCAATCTGGGGGACAACAACCCCCAAAAAGTATACCCTGATGTTCTCAGATGTTTGAGAAGATTCTTTCTAAGGGGGAGGTCTGGCTGTTGGCAAAGGCCTTGTTCACCCAGGGACGCAGGCAAGTGTGGGGCCAGTTCTCAGCAAGGGGATCCTGCCTCCCCAGGAGGCGTTGGAAGCATGAGATGAAGGGAGCTACTAGCATGCAGTGGGCAGTGGGCAGGGATGCTGGACACCTGCAATGTGCAGGAAAATCAGCATGAGGAAGAATTGTCCCATCCAACACCAACAGCTTGGTCTCCCTCAGATAGACATTGAACATGTGCTTGAAGAATATTGGCTGGAAGGGATGATAAATGACCCTGCCCAAGTATGCTAAATTATTGCCTTACACAGGGCATCTGCATGTCTTATTCTTACCCTAATTATTGTGGTAGGGGTTGCCAAGGAAGATTTCATAGGCCCCTTGTAGCTCCATGTTGTGGGGTTTCTGCTCCTGCTTGGAGCCAGGGGAGAAAAGAATGTTCCTTCAGCCTGTGGATTTAGACCCAGCTCTGGGGTATAATAGAATAAATATCATACTTTGGCTTCCCTCCCCACCCTCCACTCATTATTTTTCTCCTCTCACAGGGAAGGCCCCTGCAGCTGAGACCCCTGATGTCAAACATGTGCCAAAAAGCCAACAAAAGCCCCCACAAAGTCACAGAAAAACATCTCCCATCACAGCCCAAACTGCCACTGCCTACTCCGGCTCTTGCCCATGCCCACCAGGTCAACCCTGTGCTGACCGCTGAGCCCACTGCTGTAAGCCCAAACCCTCTGGCATTGCTGACGCTGCTCATGGAATCTGCTGGAGTCCTCAGGGCATCAAATCAGATGGATCTTTGCCAATTCAGGGAGACTCCTTCTCACTGTACCAGTGCCCCCAATTCACCATGATTTGGGAGAAGGCTGTTCTCCTTGGTTTTGCTCACATCCCTCCCAGAGCTCAGAGTGGAACAGGTTCATGGAGCCAGGCAGGAGGACACCTGAGGCTTGGGGCCCTGCTGTGCCTCCAGCTGCCACGAGCTATCATCATCCTTGAGCTCAGGGTCCTTCCCTTGGGCTTGCTCTGTCCCAGGAGACCCCTTGTTCTGTCACATAAATAGGTACCTGGCGGCGTGCTCTATAAACGGCCACACAGGCCCAGACTAACCCAAAACTCCTGACAAACACAGGCTGCTGTTAGCCAGACCCCTGCACCCGCAGTCTGAGGAGGGATTAGGTGGCATTTAATAGCCTTCTTCCCTGGACCTAAATTGCTCTCTGATTTATTCTTAGAAAATGAGACTTTTAGGGAGAAGCAATACTGCACAGGCCCCCACATGCATTGGAGTGGTAATATGCTAGTTTATCCTGGTCTGAGGGAGTTGTTGTAATGCGTGTTCCCTGAGCTATCGAGCACCTATAAGAATACCATATGTAGGACAGTGAGGGAGAGATTTAGGGTCCAGTTGAATGGAAATGTTTCTGTCTATAAAAGTCTTAAGGTTTTCTTCAGGGGTGGAGAACAGCTATAATGTGCACCATTAACTTGCACTACATTCTGTATATAATAATGTTAATAATTTGTACCTCTATTTGGTGTATCAGTTGGGAAAAACTACTAGTGAAATTCTCTGGGCCAAAAGCTGCTCTCAAATATTCCTGCAGGGCCTCTCCATCCCCAGCCCACTCAGTAACTGTGCCTAGAAGGCCTTGTGCCTTGCTTTGCTGACCAAGATGGTGGAAGGACTCCTTGAGACTGGCTGAGTCAGTCTTTAGAACATGTGTGTCATATCAAAATTTGCTCCAGACTGAGGGCAAGCTGGGTAACTTCTGTCTCAGTGATGAATAAAAATAGTACCTAACTTGTAAATTGTGAGGATTAAGGGAGTTTTTACATGGAAGGCACTTGCAGCGCATTACAAATGCTCAATACACTTCCAGTTCCTTCTCTGATACTCAGTTATCTCTATGGCTAATAGATGGTCATGGCCTAGTCTGAATTGCTTATTTGGTGTCTCTAGGTGTTCTTGTGCCAAGATATCTGCTTCTAGATTCTGTGACCTGATGATTAGCCTTGGCCATTGCTCATATTCCTGCTTACAGTAAAATCTGGAAGTGCTGTGCCTATTCTGACTGATTTCTAGGGAAGGCTTTGCTTTGCCTGAATGTGAGCTTCCAAAGACTAGAGGTGCACCAGCCTGCCATGCCTCAGTATCTTGCATCTGTGTGCCCTGTGTCTGGGCCCATGCTCCTTCTGCCATGATCAGCAGTTCTGCCTGCCTTCTGGATTGGTGCTTCCTGTTACAGTGACAGAAAGGCTAGAGGGTGAAAGATAAGACCTATTCTTTCCCTGCTTGGAACTGGAACTGAAAACAAGGTTCCTACTGTCCAGAATCTACATACCATGGTTCTTTCTGTGCAAGAGCACTAAATATCTACCAAGAGAGCTGAGCTCCCAGGTCCTACTGTTCGATCATGTCAAGCCCAAGGATGTGTAGGCTACATTTCCATTTCTTACAGATTAATGGAACGTGGAAATGGGGGCACACATCCTGGGATGAATGCTGCCTCAGATGTTTCCCCTGAGTCTGAGGACATTCACTCATCTTTCCCTCTCATGAAATGGCAAAGCCACAAGATGGAACCTGCCTGGATCCCTGAGTCTCCACATGGAAGGGAGCTGCCTTGGAGAGTCACTGGACTCCAGAAGACTTTGTATGAGTGAAAAATAAATTTTACATATTAAGTAAAAGAATTAAGTAGCTCAACTATTCTGACTAACACAAATAGTAATAGTACTGTTTGAAGTGCTTTGCATTTATTAACTCATTTAAACTTCACAAAAACCAGTGAAACATTGCTATTTCATAGATGAGGAAACTGAGATACCAGAAAATAAATAACCCGCAATGTGCCAAATGAACGCAGCAGGTCATACAAGTGCTATAGGAGAAAAAGCCACAGCATTTCTAGATAGTCCCTTGCCTCTCTTAGGAAGTAAATTCTTTTTTGTTTTAGACAGTCTCGCTCTGTCACCCAGGCTGGAGTGCAGTGTCATGTTCTCGGCTCACTGCAACCTCTGCCTTCTGGGTTCAAGTGATTCTCCTGCCACAGCCTCCCAAGTAGCTAGGACTACAGGTGCTTGCCACCACACCCGGCTAACTTTTGTATTTTTAGTAGAAATGGGGTTTCACCATGTTGGCCAGGCTTGTCTCAAACTCCTGGCCTCAAGTAATCTACCTGCCTTGGCCTCTCAAAGTGCTGGGATTACAGGCGTGAGCCACTGCACCCAGCCAGAAGTATGTTATATCATTTTGTCTCACCATCTTCTGGTGGAGATTCAGCAAGTATCATTACCAAGCAATTGAGCTGTTGACACAGAGAGGGAAGGTGGTTACACGCGGCATGTTTTTACTGCTTTTTCTCCATCTTCTGTCTCGTCTTAGATAGCAGTCACCAAGCCCGCAGAGGTCATACTGCCTAGTACAACGTCTAGCCACCTCTGTCTTGACAGAGGAAGGAAACTAATGTAAAACACTGGCCTGGTCTTAGTGACATGTCCTAAAAAGCCACTGGAAGAGAACAATCAGCAAGTACTTATTCTTGACCAAAAGAAAAAAGTCACAGGCAATTGCCTACCTTCCTTTCCAATCTTACTTTAATTCTTCTGCTGGGATTAAGGAAGCCCATAATTCCATAAGTACATGACAACTATCCTTTACCTCTCTTTGAATACCCACCAACCTTTTTTATAGCAAAAGTGGGTCCTGGGGTGTACATGCTGCCTTGCCTGGCAGCAGGTACCTTTGTGACCCCATGGAGATGGGGGAGAACGGAGCCTCTTCAGAGAGTGGGACAGCAAATACCACCACCAAACACTTAACGGTTTATGAACCATGATCATCAGCACCACATCTTCTTCTCTTCTTTCTCCTCCTCTATATTAATGAGCAAAGACAATGAGAGGTGGTTCTCAGTGAGCTAGAGAACACTGTGAGTTGGGTGTTGGACAGCTAAGATTGTGTGTGTGTGTGTGTGTGTGTGGTTTTCAACAAGATCATTTAAAAAATACACACAGATAAAGGATTCAGTAGATGAGTAGTAGCCTTATGAAGCATGAAAGAACACATTTTTTGACATTAGTATAGTCTGAGCCAGTTGCTGTGGGCAAATGGCAGAATTTCTCTTAGGGAGAGAGCTGCTCTTTAGTTTGGGGGAAAAATACTTGACGGAATTTTGATTATGCAAAGACCACAAATATAAAACTAATCTGAATGAGAGAGGTTCAAACAAAGACGGAGGTAAAATTTCTCTCTCTAACAAATGTGCTGGTTATTATTGGCACCTCCCTGCCCTTATAATGCTCCTCCCCACTGCTCGTTCTGTGCCCATGGAAGCTGACCTCTGGGGAGGGTACTACCCAGGCTTCCCCGCCTTGTGGCTTCCAGTTGGGTTCAGTCAATGGGAGACACCTGCAGGAGAAAAGCAGAGGCAAGGAGAGAGCGGTGAATGTATTTATCGCACACTACCTCCAATCCCCAATCCCTGCCGGCCCCCAAGGATCCAGTGTTGGCTGCATTTCTCTAGAGCCCCAGCTCCTGATGGGGCCCTCTCTTCTACCCTGGGGCCCTCTCTTCTACCCTTCAGCCCTCCCCAGGCTCTGGCAACGTTGGTCAGGCCCAGGAGTGATTCCATCCTTCCGCCATTGCTAATTCCTGCTTCACCATCCCTGCTGCTTCCCTTCGCCCCCGGAAAGAGCCCGTTCGTCCAACTTTGTTCACTCAAACCCTTTTGTTCTCCACCTGTTTCCTGCTAGCTCCCTGATGGCTGCCAGTTAACAGGGATATTCAGTTGTCCCCTGAGATAGAAGGGGGTGGGGGCTCTGACCCTTTGGAAAGACAAGGGGGAAAGGTGTCTGAAGTAAAGGAGAAAACCTTGATCAGGTCAGGTCACGGGAGAGATTGCTATGGCTGAAACAGCCAGCTCCCAACGGGAAGAGTGGCTGAGGTTTTTAGCAGTTTCCTGGTTGTGTTTTTCCCGGTTTGTTTTGTTTGTTTGTTTGACCACTAGTTTATTTATTATGATTTTCCTTTAACTCCAAACTCTCTAAGCCTTTCATAAAACTTGAAGTCACTTTGTTAAAAGCAGAAGTCCAAAAGCAATTTTCACATTTTAGGGCAACAGGGCTAGAAGAATCAGCCAGCAAACCAGCAGATGGGCCAGAGGTGACACTCTTACTGCCCTGGAAACGCTTTTGCCCAGGAAAGCCTCAAAGCACCAAGATAGGCACCGACTTCCCTGACTGGAAGGGAGGGCAGCATGTAATTTTATTTAGTTATTAAAGGAAAAGATAAATCCAGAAAACTTATATTCAGAACTTAAAAAAAAATCTATCCAAAGAACTAACGATAGTCAACATGAGGATGTAGGTAACCTTTGTCAAAACTGTGAAACCAATGTCCAAAAGTTTCATTCCAATTTAAAATTAAACTTTCCAGGTTTTCTTTTTTTTTTTTTTGCTTTCATTTGTTTGTTTTTGGTGAGACAGAGTCTCGCCCTGTCACCCAGGCTAGAGTGCAGTGGTGCAATCATAACTCACTGTAACCTTGAACTCCTGCATTCAAGTGATCCTCCCACCTTAGCCTCCCAAGTAACTGTGAGCACAGGTGGATACCACCACAGCCTGCTAATTTTTAAATTTTTTGTAGAGGTGAGTTTTTGCTATTTTGCCCAGGCTGGTCTTGAACTCCAAGGCTCAAGTGATCCTCCCGCTTTGGCCTTTCAAAGCATTGGGATTACAGGCGTGAGCCATGGCACCAGGCATCCAGAATTATTAAATAACCTTATATCACACACACGGATCTGGGAAAATAAAAACAAAACCACAATACAATAGGCATGAGTGGTACAGAAGATAGTATATGCTCAGGACCATGTGACACGTGAAGAAATCCATCATCCACCCAGAGCACAGACTTTCTGGCTTAAGCAGAGCAGTTGGAAACATTAGATTTTAGGAACAGACATGACCTCATTTGCCATAGAAAGACCGAGGCTTACAATGAATTCAGCCATAAATAAGCTTCCATTTAGAATAGTTTCTAAACAGGTACTTTCTTTTTTAGAAAGAAGCTATCTAAAGCAAAGGGGAAATGTTTTGGATGTCTACAGAAACATTTTAAGAGTATGAAAATCATGCAAAGACTACCAGAAAAGGGCCTGTTTTTTATCCCTTTGAATTATATTCAAGCATGACAAAGGTTGGCAGATGAAGTGAGTGCATCAAGATCATTTGATCACTCAATAACTTAATCAAATGTTTCTTGCAGTGTGACACTATCATCTACATACCAGCCTTTGCTTAGGAGAATTTGGTTATTAGGAATCGTAAAACAGTGCTGGAACAGTACCATTATTCTCCTGAGTCCTCTCCACCTGCACACACACACACACACACACACACACACACACACACACACACACGGAATACCCTGTAGCACTAGAATGTTCGTGTGCAGAACAGAGCGACAGCCACCAGACCTCAGCCTGAGCTACAAAGGGCCTGTGATAGTGTTATGGCCTTTTTTGTTCTGGCCTCTACCTACATGTCCAGCCTCAGAAGTCCCCACTCTCCCTCTCCCTGTATCCCTGTCTCTGTAGAGGAGGAAATATTGCTTCCTTCTACCCTTCTAGTTCTTTGGTTGGTCTACAAATTAAATCGACATAGGACAGATTAACAAGAGAAAAAACATTTTGATTATGTAGCTAGGCATGGGAGTCCCACAAAAATATGAGACTCAAAAAAGAGGCTGGATGGTCGAGGCTTGTGTAGCATCCTGAGCTACGGAAGGGAAGGGGCTTGGGGCCTCTGGGAGGTGGTGGAGGCAAATTAGGGGAGGGCAAGGTGAGGAAACTTATGGCGAATAAAGGTTGCCTGGTCATGAGGACAGAAGTCTGTCAGGTGATAAACATTGTCTCTTTCCTGGTACATATACCCTTACTAATGAAAATTGCCTTTCTAGACCTACACGTCCTTTACAGAAGGGAGAACATATACTTTATTTTCAGCAGTTGAGGGTAAAGCACTTCTCTTGCACTGGTGGTTCTTAATTTATTTTAGCTCAAAATAATCAAGATGACAAAGTGGCATGTTTTGGGCTGATGTGTTCTGAACACTATTTTCAAGCACTAACCTGAGCCCCAAAATACTTTTCAGGCACTGTGTGTTCTGCCCTTGCCTAGGGCATACTTCTCACCTGTCTCCCGCTTCACCAGGTAGCGGCTTGCACCTGTCCTCCCCATCTCTGAGGGGGCTCTAAGCCCTTCAGGAAGCCATTCCAATTATCCACCTGATTTTATCTATTCACAAACAATCACCAAGTGCCAAGTGCTCCCTTCTGTGCTTACAGCTCATAACACCCCCCCATGCATACTTCACTTATCTGCCCCATGTCCACCTTCTACCGGTAGACTATAGACACATAACACATGCCTGGCATGTCATAGGCATTCAGTGAATGTAGGCAAGTGAAGAATGCATAAGTGAACACACACCCCTCATACTCCTCAAATTCACCATTTGGCCAAGAGGACAGTCTGCATTTTTTTTTTTTTTTTTTTTTTTTGTGAGACAGAGTCTTGCTCTGTCACCAGGCTGGAGTGCAGTGGTGCAATCTCGGCTCACTGCAACCTCTGACTCTCTGGTTCAAGCAATTCTCCTGCCTCAGCCTCCCAAGTAACTGGGATTATAGGCACGCACCACCATGCCCATATAATTTTTGTGTTTTTAGTAGAGACAGGGTTCCACCATGTTGGCCAGGATGGCCTCTATCTCCTGACCTCATGATCCGCCTGCCTCAGCCTCCCAAAGTGCTGGGATTACAGGCATGAGCCACTGTGCCCAGTCCATTCTGCATTTTTAAACACACATGCAAGTTACTAATCCTGAATGACATTTTGTTTCATATCTGTAGGGCTAGTTTTAGGGCTAATATCCACATCATAAATATTTATTTGAACCCTCATTAGAGATGGTTTATATCTCTTTATATTCAGTCTTCCTTTAAACAGCAATACCTTAAAGACAGCCTGGAAATAACTATCACCTGACCCGGTAGGAAGGCCTGGGGATGGCCCTCAAGAGCTTCGACTCTCATCTCAACCTTGTGACAAACCAGCTGTGTGACCATGGTTGAGAAACCGCCCCTCCTTGCACAGTCGGCCTTCTGTATCCATGGGCTCCACATCTTCAGATTCAACCAACCACAGATTGAAAGTATGTGAGAAAAAACAACAATAAAGAATACCAATACAGGCCAGGCGTAGTGGCTCACACCTGTAATCCCAGAACTTTGGGAGGCCAAGGTGGGCGGATCACCTGAGGTTGGAAGTTCGAGACCAGCCTGGCCAACATGGTGAAACCCTGTCTACTGAAATACAAAAATTAGCCGGGCCTGGTGGCATGCATCTGTAATCCCAGCTACTAGGGAGGCTGACGCAGGAGAATCGTTTGAACCCGAGAGGTGGAGATTGCAGTGAGCCGAGATCATCGTCATTGCACTCCAGCCTGGGTGACGAGAGTGAAACTTTGTCTCAAAAAACAAAAAACAAAACCAATACAACATAAAAGATATAAATTAAAGACAAAACAGTAAGCACCTGTTTACATGACATTTACATTGCATTAGGTATTATAAGTGATCTCGAGCTGATTGAAAGTATATGGAGGATGTGTGAAGGTCATATGCAAATAACATGCCATTTTATCTCAGGGACTTGAGCATCCTTGGATCTTGTTATCTGTAAGGGGTCCTGGAACCAATCCCCTATGGATACTCCAAGGGACAACTGTACTTCATTTTCTTATTTGAAAGCGATTAGACTAGTCTAGATGATGTTGTGGGGGGAGAAAATGTAATATCTTTTCTTCACCCATTGCAAGGTTCATGGCTGAGGCATCTATTGAAAAAAGAGAAAGATTAACAAGAGAAAAAACATTCGGATTCATTTAATATACGTTTTATGTGACATGGGAGTCTTCATAAGGAAATGGAGACCCAAAGACACAGGGAAACCTGTGTATTTTTATGCATAGGTTTGATGAAGAGTGGACAATCATGGAGAAGTGTGATTGAATAAAGGGGTGTGACCTTGAATAAAGGCAATACGCTGGGGGAATTTTGGAAGGCTTGTTTGTTCAGAGTCTTTTCTGTATCCCTGTGTCTTCAGAAGTAAGGATGTTCTTTTTCTCTGTGTATTGGGAGGTCCACCTCTTGGATGAGAGAAAGGTCAGAGAATTCTTTTATGGCCTGCTTTAGGGGAGAAGGACAGGAGAAGGTCTAAGAGCAACCCTCCTGCTTCTGCTGTTTCCTCAATGCCATCATACCATATTTTGGAGTAAGGTGTCCTGAACCCCATCAATGTCATTTATACAAAAATAATTATGAGATGCCTATTCGGCTCACGCCTATAATCCCAGTACTTTGGGAGGCCGAGGTGGGCGGATCACAAGGTCAGGAGATTGAGACCATCCTGGCTAACACGGTGAAACCCTGTCTCTACTAAAAATACAAAAATTAGCCAGGCATGGTGACAGATGCCTGTAGCCCCAGCTACTCGGGAGGCTGAAGCAGGAGAATGGCGTGAACCCGGGAGGCGGAGCTTGCAGTGAGCCGATATCGCGCCAATGCACTCCAGCCTGGGCGACAGAGTGAAGACTCCATCTCAAAAAAAAAAAAAAAAAAAAAAAAAGGCAGAGATGCCTATTCTGTGGTAGGTCTTCGGTTGCAAAGATGGGCAATACTGGAGTTCACCAGGAGAAGGGGAACTAAGTGCTGTTACAGAGGTACACGCAGCATGCAGGGAGGAATGCAGACTGGAGCTCTGAGGTCAGCTTCCGCAGAGGACTGGCATTTAAGGTGCATCTCAAAGGTCTTGAAGGATAAAGAAGTCAGCCAGGTTAGTGGAGGGCATCCCAACACAGCGAATTCCGTGAGAAAGGATAAGAGGCAGGAGACACCACTGAAAACAATGGCGGAATGAATTGAAGGGTGGGAGTGATATTCCAGGGAAGGCGGCATCCACCGTAGCTGCACTGCCCTGAGTTCCCTGCATCTAGGCTTGCTCAGTCTGACAACAACTCTGTTAGGTAGGTATATACCAGGAGAGACTAAGGGGGACCCAGGGTAGCAGAGGGGGCAGTCGTCCAGAAGGGCTGTCTGAGGAGATGCCATTGTTGCCAGCTTCTTCAGAAGGAGATGCCATTGTTGCCAGCTTCTTCAGAAGGAGATGCCATTGTTGCCACCTTCAGACAGGTGGGAGTTTGTCAGCAGAGAATGAGGGAGCTCTTCCAATGGGAAGGGGTGGCACGTGGAAGGCCAGGCTTGGGGATGGAGCTTGTATTAGTCTGTTCTCATGCTGCTAATAAAGACATACCCGAGACTGGGTAATTTATAAAGAAAAAGAGGTTTAATGGACTCACAGTTCCACATGGCCGGGGAGGCCTCACAATTATGGTGGAAGGCAAAGAAGAAGCATGGCATCAGGCAAGAGAGCTTGTGTGGGGAAATTCTCATTTATAAAACCATCAGATCTCATGAGACTTATTCACTACCACAAGACCGGTATGGGCAAAACCACCCCCATAATTCAATGATCTCCATCTGGTCCCTCCCACAACAGTTGGGAATTATGAGGGCTCCAATTCACGATGAGATTTGGTTGGGGACACAGCCAAAGCATATCAGAACTGAGAGGCACTGAGGGCCTGCTGGAGAGCAGGGAGTGGACCTCACCCTGGCTTCCTGTGGGCACTGCCTCCTCCCTTCCCCACATTGCTGCTTTGTGTTCTCCAGTCCCTCCTTTGTTTCTTTGTATTATTCCTGTGCATGTAATTTCCTGGAGAGGGGAGATGGGGTTTCCAGATCTCAGTAACTCTGCACCTTGCCAGTCCTCGCACACAGAGGCCGGTGCTCAGTCCATGTCCTCTGATGAGCGATGAGGTTAATTACTTGCAGCCCAAACACAGCAGCGCACCTGAAATGTAAATGCAACTAAGAAGACACAAAGGCTCCTTTCTGTTAGTGCAAACACCATTCCTGTATTTCATGATACTGTCAAGGCTGGTGGAGCAAGTTTTGAATCTGTCTTCCCTCGAAGCTCTACCTGCTACATTAAAAACCATCCCAACCCTCCTCAGGGGTAAAATAAATAGAATTACCTTGCTGGAGGAAATCTTACGGATAAGATAGTTCTGCTCACTGAAGTGATGCTACCTCTTTTCTGTGTGCCTGAGTGCAATGCACTCCCTGATTTTTAAAAGAGGCAGTTAGTCAATGTTTTTACAAATGATATACAATATGGAATTTGCCTGGAAAAAAA
Source organism: Homo sapiens (assembly GCF_000001405.40). NCBI lineage: Eukaryota > Metazoa > Chordata > Mammalia > Primates > Hominidae > Homo > Homo sapiens. The sequence goes on along the minus strand of NC_000013.11, from coordinate 26,791,055 downwards.
TGCATGCCCTCACCATCCCTTGATATTAAAAGGGTGAGAATTTTGTTATAAGCCCTCTACACGCTGTGTCCTGAAAACCAAAAGGCACACAGTCATGCATTATTCCACATAGAAGTGCCATTTGCTGAATTAATCTGGGATATGGCATCCTCTGAAAGGTGAGTGCCTGATTAGAAATACAATAAGAAGAACAGAAATTTATTTCCCTTTAAAATTATGAAAATGGTCTTATCTAGCCTCCAGGCCATTTATTTGAATTGTAAAGTATTAGCAGACTGTGATGAACCAAAAAGATGATGTAATACTGTTAATAAGTTTTCCTTCAACATTAAAGGTGCATAGAATGCGTTTTTCTTTTTTTAAAAAAACGCCCACACACTTTTGTACAAATTATATCTAGAAAGATAATTAAATGGCAACTGTGAGAGAGATTCTTCTTCTCAAAAGAATCTAGTCACCTTTAATAAAAAATGCTAACTTCTTTTTTTTTTTGAGACAGAGTGTCACTCTGTTGCCCAGCCTGGAGTGCAGTGGCAAGATCTCGGCTCACTGCAACCTCCGCCTCCCAGGTTCAAGTGATTCTCCTGCCTCAGCCTCCCAAGTAGCTGGGACTACAGGTGTATGCCACCACACCCAGCTAAGTTTTGTATTTTTAGTAGAGAAGGGGTTTCACCATATTGGCCAGGCTGGTCTCTAATTCCTGACCTTGTGATCCACCCGCCTCAGCCTCCCAAAGTGCTGGGATTACAGGCGTGAGCCACTGCACCTGGCCAAAAAATGCTCTTAATATATGGCTATATGAGACAAATTGATATGATATTTTATAGCTAAATGGTTTCTGTCTTTTCATCACAAACTTTTTTGTTATTTTTATTATGATCAATGAGAATAAGCACTTAGTCATTAAGGTATATAACAAAATAAAATAAAATTGTTATAAAAGAGGTTTCTAATGAAATGATAAACAGGCTGTAATCTAATGAAATGATAAACGTCTGTAATCCCAGCACATTGGGAGGCCAAGGCTGGTGGATCACCTGAGGTCAGAAGTTCAAGACCAGCCTGATCAACAGGCTGAAACCCCATTTCTACTAAAAATACAAAAATTAGCCAGGTGTGGTGGCGGGTGCCTGTAATTCCAGCTACTCAGGCAGCTAAGGCAGGAGAATCGCTTGAATGCAGGAGGCAGAGGTTGCAGTGAGCTGATATTGCGCCACTGCACTCCAGCCTGGGTAACAGAGTGAGACTCCATTTCAAACAAACAAAGAAAATGATTTAAAAAAAAAAAAAAAGCTCACTTGTAACCTATCTCACTGTGCACATGCAGGGAGAGCTCCAGGCCGGCCCTCAGTCCCAAGTTAGTCCTAAACCTCTGGTCCCCAAGGAAAAGCCCAGCTCCGTCAGTCCCCCTGTGTCTCAGGGAGACTTATTCCCAGGCACAGTGAAATGAGAGGACTCCTGGATCTGTTCATCTAGCAGCAAACAAATATTTAAGTCTCTACTACGTGCCAGGCATTATTTTAGGTCCTTGGAAATTGGCAAGAGCTAAGATACAGGCTCACTCAGCTTTAGGTGTAATGGGAAATAGAAATAAGTAAATATGGTGTGTTAGAAGCTGTTCCAGGGAACCCACCAGGTGCCGGGAGCTCTGAGGAGCAGTCCCTTGCCCAGGGTGTCAGGGCCCAAGGAGGTTTCCAGAGGGAAGTGCAGTCTAAGCTGAGAACTCAAGGATGAGCTGAATTTAGTGAGGCAAGGAGGGCCAGAGAGAGGGTGTTCTAAGCAGAAGGAATAGCGTGAGCAAAGGCCTGGAGATACAGCTTCTTTAGGGAAGGGAAAATTAGCAGACGATCCCTGGCAACTGCCCAAATCCAACCAAATATCCACTCTAAGTGTTTGTAATTTCAGACCCCCTGCTTTCGGTCTCAGGGTAACAAGTTGGTTGCATTAGCTGAAACTCTTTTTAAGAACCATCCAGAAAGTAGTGACAGACATATTTCTGAACAAAATGGGTCAAACTGAGTTGAGTAAACTCTTAGGTTAAATAAATACATTTTTACAGAAACAGAGCTGGTAGCTTCCAAAGCTATGTGTTTCTATCCTACAGTGGTTGCTGCATCTGTTACCAAACACAGGACAGGAGCAGAGATGAGGGAAGGACTAGTGACTAGAGCCAGGAGGAGCAGACAGGAGAGGTGGTGCAAGAGATCAACTGCCCAGGGGTGTGCAAACCATGCTACCTGCCCAAAAGGAGATAGTCAGATTGAGGGCATGAAACCTTCCCAGCCCTGTTATCACAAACCCTTTCAAGTCACCCATTGAGTTACATGAAACAGGTCAGGAGGTTAATACAGTACACAGATTCCCAAACAGTTAATGAAACCACAGTAAAATAATCCAATGACCACAATCAGTTATTACTATAAAATCTGATTTAACATTGGAGAATAATGTCATTGTGTTCATATCTGTTTAAGTGATATATTGATCTTTCTATTCAGCAGGCATTTGTTGAGTACCTACTGTTTGCTGCACATGATTCAGAACATTCAGCATATACAGGGAAATAAAACACAGCCCCTGAGTAAGGCAGAAAGGAGTGAGCAGAAGTCACTATGTGAGAAGCAATGAATAAGGTGAAATCACCATAAAAGCATGGGAAGGAAAAAAAGTCTTTTAGCCATGTTTTCTGTTTTCTTTCTTTCTATTAGCTCATTTCCAGTCTGTTCCTTTCCATCCATCATTTGCCTAAAAATCCTCCCTCATTATCATACAATTAGACCATTTTATGACCTAACAGGCCCTTTGAGATCACATAGCCTTGATGCTTTCAGACTGTTTGGATCCTAGAGTTTTCAGACTGCCTCAAGTTCCTTGGCAGTCCTCATGGGCCATCTGTTGACAAATGCTTGATGGTTCTATAGTCATTGATTCACTCATGTGGCAACAGTACGGGAAGATCTACTTATGCTGGCCACAGCATGCGGTATTGAAGATATGGCAGTGAGCAAAATAATTAAGGAGCGAATGCTCACAGAGGACCCTGCCCACATGGTATCTACAGACTGTGGGGAAGGGCATTGGTAAAATTCATATCACAAATGTAAGCTCACAACTGTGACACCTGCATGACAAAGATCTATACTGAAAAGAGCTATATTGCTGTATCTATTTAATCATGTCAAATAAATACATGATCTGACCCATCAGAAGATTCTGGAAAAACTGCCCTGGGGAGTCGGGGCTGACAGGAGGTCTAAGGATGGGTGTGCATTAGATGGAAGGGGAAGGCAGTCCAGGGGAAGGAAGGTGCATGCAAATGCTCAAGATGGGAGGGATTTGGGTGTTTTTGGAGAAAGAAGGTAGTAGGATAGAGTTCCGAGAGCAAGATGGAGTGTGGAGCAAAATGCAGCTAGTGTGTCCTATGAACCCCATTCTGGATTCCAGTATCTAGAATGGGGTTCTCAGAGCAATGGCAGCCACAGAGCAATGGCAGCCACAGAAGGGGGTTTGAATAGGAAGGAGCACAGGGCTGGTGAAATTAGCATGTTTGCCTTCACAAGCTGTCCCTGGATGCAGAGTGGAGAATGTTCTGGAGGGCACCTCGTGAATGCAGGCCCCCAGAGGCAGTTATGGGAGTGGTTCAGGGAAGACACGAAGTGACTTGGACTCAGGAGCTGGTGGTGGAGGAGCAGCTGGAACAGGCACGAATTGCTGTGTGACTCCCAACACACAGAGCAGGAAGTGCTCCATTTCTTTTTATTCCAAACCAAACCAGATTTGGCTCCAAGTGGCTACTCATCCTTGGGAGCAAGTGACAACTTGGAGCCAGACTTTATTTGACAGTGTGACTCCCCAGCCCTCCCCTATTCCTTGGGTCACTCCGGTGCTTACCCAGTCAGGAATAATTGGGAAGTGATGTCAGAGAATTTTTCCTCTGCTTTCAGGCTATTTTCATGCAGAGAAGATTTAGTATGAACTGTGTCTTCTCCCTGATTCCAAAATGAATTTGGATCTGCATAACCCAAAATACCAGCCATCTGTTCTTGTCTAAAAGTCAAAGCCACACCACCAGGCGCTGACACCTGGAAACATTTATTTGAACTTTTTTTGACCACAAAAAATAGATTGCTTGTAAATCACACCTATCAAAGATTCTAGCTTTTCAGTTGCTATAAAATGTTACAATTGCCACCAAAAGAGGGCATTCTCTTATCTGTTTAAAACAACCCCACACAAGCTACCTGGAAATGTGAATGCAGTCTCTTTTCTGTAGCAGGGGCTGCTGGTCAGCAGTTCACTGAGACATGGGCTTTTTGTCTTGCCCTTCACTGACTATTTAAAAGTGGAAATCTCTGCTACTTGGACCAACTCCCTATGACTTCTAGGGCAAGGGAGCCCACAGTTCTAGAACCCAAAGGCCTGGTTGTCCATGCCACCAGGAGAAGATGAAAGAATACCTTTTTCCATTGGTCCGGCAATTCCTGTAGTGACAGTGCCCACAGACCAGTCTGGGAAGGCTCGGGTGTCCACTCCAGCCCCAGCTTTCTTCTGAATGGCTTCCTACCCAGAGGGCATGTTTGTACCACCTGACCCCACCTCCGTGAGTAAGCTGCTGGGATCGAGAATTCACACCTGCAGGGCTACTACATGTGCAGGTTGTGCTTTGAAGAAGACACTTGGCCTAGAGGGCAGTTGAGGTCTGAAATCCAGGCAGTGTTCAGCTGCCGAAAAGCATGTACTTGCTGGGGGTGCCACAGCCTGGGGAAAGGGCTCCTTTTTGAATTAGTCCACCCAAAGACAAGCCCTTTTAGAATCATCTGCTCTGGAGGGGAATCTCTTCTCCAATTTGCCTGCAGGTGATAGGGAAGTGCTGGGAAGGGAACAGCTGGTCCCTTTAAACGATACGGGGAAGGGAAGTGCTGGGTAGAGGAGGGCGTGGTCCCTGGCTAGGGCTCCACCCCCACCGACGTCGGGGAGGACAGGCATTTCCTGCCCAAATGCCATGCCCCCATCCTGTGCCTATAAAAACCCGGATACCCTAGTAGGCAGACACACAGACAGCTGGATCTCCAGTGCCTGCATGCCGGCAGGCCACCGGTAGAAGCCGAATGATGCAGAGTTTGGCTGAGGCAGAAGCAGAACGATGCAGAGTTTGGCTGAGGCAGTCTGAGGAGAGCCCAGGCTGCTGAGCCGCTGAGTGGCCTGACTCCAGGGAAAAATCTTCCTGCTCCATCCCCTTCTGACTTCCCTCATATGCTGAGAGCTACCTCGACTCAACAAAACCTTGCACTCATTCTCCAAGCCCAGGTGTGATCCGATTCTTCTGGTACTCCAAGGCAAGAACCCGGGATACAGAAAGCTCTCTGTCCTTGCGACAAGGTAGAGGGTCTAATGGAGCTAACATAAGCGCCTATAGACAGCAAACTAAGAAAGCACCCTGTAGCACATGCCCACGGGGCTTCAGGAGCTGTAAACATTCATCTAGACACTGCTGTAGGGTCGGCGCCCCACAGCCTGCCCGCCTGTAGGCTCCCCTAGAGATTTGAGCAGCGGGGCACTGAAGAAGCAAGCCACTCCCCCATCGCACGCCCTGCGAGGGGAACAAGGGAACTTCCCCTTTCACAGGCACTGCAGGTGGTAGCACCGGCCATGGGCACCTGACCCAGAGGGTTGAACAGTTGCTGCAAAGTTCTGTCCGTTACAAATCATCTATACAAAACGAGGAGCAGCCCAGGCAGGCAGAAAATATCAGAGTGAGAACATAAGATGTAGGGAGACTGAGGTTGACCAAGGGACAGGGCACAAGGAATGCTGTAGTGATTGGGTGTGTCAGGTTGCAGCAGCAGTGGTGTAGCTGAATCACACTGGAGATAGAGCCTGAGCCAGATGCAGTGGGGACCTCCTGCTTGGGGGCTGTGACCGCGTTGCCTGCACACCCCTGAGCTGCAGCACCACCAGGCTACTGCCAACTCAAGGCCACTGCATAGGGGTTGCCATTTCCTTTTTCCTCTCCTGTATCTTAATAATAAAAGGTACCACGTGGGACAACCTAAGGCTTTTCTTGGTCCTGGAACCTAAGAGTACAGTAGCCAGCGGAAAGTCTAGGAGCTAAGTGGAGAGAAGCACAGAGTGTTCTGGGAACTTCCACGGTAACGTGACTAGAGGCAGGTCCATGACTAGGGGTGGAGTGGGCTTCCTTTTCCTGTCTTGCTTCCTCAGTTCCAGTGCACAGCTCCTCAATTGCAGCTTCCTGGCTCTACTGCACTTACCAGCCTGTCCTGCCACCAGATCACCCCTCCTGACCGGGACAGACAGTGGGCATGTGGCACCCACAGAGGAGACATGAATCTTTATCAAACTCCTGTTCTAACAGAATTTCTTGTCTAACAAAAATTGCCTTCACAAAACTTACTGCAATCACAATTGTTGTGTTTGTTGATTTACTTTTTGTCACCTCCCCTACGAGGTGATGAGCTTTCAGGGATGGAGGCCTTTTCATTGTGCTCACTGTTGTATTTCTCATGTCCAGAGTGCTCAATGCTTACTTACCGAGTCAAGTTAAACATGCCTTGATACACATCAAAAGGAATATGGCTTTCTGCAGAATAATCACCTTGGTAGACATTTTTCCCTAAACGTTTTAAAACAAGGCTTCTAAAATTGTCTTCAGGAAATTAATTTAGAGTATTCATAAGAAAAAGAAGACTTGATGCTTTATGCATCCAAGAGTAAATGAAACACAGGGCTATATTAATATTTACCAAATCAGCTGAAATCCAACTGCTTAGAGAGATGCTTTTCAGTGGCTGACTCGTGTTTTTAACTACAATGATCCTACTTTTCTGGCCTCTGCATATCTGAGTTTGTTAAAGACAGAAAGCCGATCCCCTGCTTTAAGAGCTAAGGTTCCAATCTTATTCAAATGGTCATATCCATCTGTCCTGATGTAAGAAAACTATATTTACGAATATGCTCATGTTTTCCTTCTTATGAGAAAAAAAATCCCTAGCAATACATAAAATTCATATTATGCTTTTATTCTCACTTTCATCATCAACATTCAGATTTAATTCCATAGACAAGCTTGCCCATACTTGGTGTGTACGTGCTTCAGGTAGCAAAGAGAATCCATCAGCCCTAGGGTCTCAAGTCCTGGCTCCTTCCTCAAGGCACCTATGTGACTCTGACAACGACTTCTGCCCTAGTTCTATGGAAATGTACGTTCCACAGTAAGATTGAGTCACAGCCAACTGAAGACCACCGAGGTCACCTCTCAGCTCAGCCCAGGCTTTGTATGGGCTCCTGTGGGACCCTCACTCAACAAACAGCTGTGGGAACCCCAAAACTGGAGGGGATCCTTGGCTTCCCCCCAAGGAATTAATTAAATGAATTCCAGGTGAGACTACACCTTGCCATTGAACTGAAGGCCTTGGAGCCTTCTGGGGCAACCTGAGACTCTTTTCCCAGCACAAGTTTTGCTGAGTGTCAGAGGAGCTCCATCTGACATGGCACAGAAGCTCTTCTTAGCTCCACAGCACATTTCATGGGATTGCACACACCTGTGAGGCCAGTGTACTGGGGGCTCCCAGAGTGAGGCAGGTTGTGTAGGGCTGGTCCTGGAGAGGCAGTAATCATGCGCCCAGCCTTCCTGCACATTTGCTCTGGCAGGAGCTGCATCTGCACAGTTCTGCACCTTCATGGTCATGGTCACAGGGCCAGCTCCACCACAGGATGCACATGAAGTGCAAAGAACATGGGCCTGAAAATCAGATGCTCTGGGATCTCTGCCCTGAACTCCTGACCTTTGGCCATTTAGGCTATGAACTTTGCCATTTTGACTTTCGGCATTCCTGGTTCTTCAAGCCTGACTCCCAAAATGTAACCAGTGTCCCCCTTACACCAGGGACCTCCCTGTTTCCCAGGCTCTGTCTACTCTTAGTCCTGGCCCCTGACCCTGCTCTGCAAACACCCACTTGCTGGGCAAGGGATCAGGCCAGGGTGGCAGGAAGCTAGGAGGAAGGAGAAGGATTCCCTCTCAGCAATCACTGATAGCAGCAGTCGTATGGGAGATAAGTCAGAAAAGGGCTGAGAAGAGGAGTCAGGGACTCTCAAACTGAGCCTAAATTCACAACAGGGGCTAAACAAATCTTCAGCTGATGATTGCACCCAGGCTTCTGGCAAAAGTCAAAGCAAATACTCTGCAGGAGAGCTTCTGGAAACCGCAGTTTAGACCCACAATACTCACACAGATTAAGATCAGTGCACTTACAATCCAAGAGAAAGGTACTGTAACTGAGAGAGTTAGCAAAAACAACAGACCACAGATTTAGATAGCCAAATGCTGTAGACATTGGAATCATCAGATAGAAGATATAGAATAGCCACATATTAGAGATAAAAGAAATTAGAAATGCAACCACAAAGGTTATCAAACAGCAAGAAATGATTAGAAATAATCAGATGGAGTTTTAAAAATCTAAATTCTAGAAGCAACACCAAAATTATCTTAATTGAAATAAAAACTCAGTGAATGGGTCAAATGGCAGATTAGATACAGTTGAAGAGACAATTGTGAACTAGGAATTGCAACCAAAGAAATTATCCAGAATATAGCCAAGAGTTAAAGATGTGGAAACTATTAAAGAAATGATAACAGATGTGGAATATTGAATGAGACCATCTAAGATACATCTAATCAGAGTTCCAGAAGGAAAGAATTGAAAGAATGGAGGAAAGGCAGTATATAAAGAGATAATTTTCCAGAATGGATGAACAATGTGAATCCATGGATCTAGGAGGCACAATGTATCCCAATCAGGAAAGATAATTAGGTTGATAGCCAACTACTCAACAACAGGAATAATCAGCAACCTCTTCTCTTTCCTTTTCATACCCAACCACAGTTCAGGAGAACAGGAGTTAGGAAAATGAGGGGTATGCTTGGTTTGACTTATAACATTCTTTGATCCACCTTCATCCCCTTCCTATAACTTCTGTCTCCTTCAAAGTTGAGATGAGATGGGGGAGGAGGGAGGAGTATGGAGGTTATAGTGACAAAGGACCTTCATGATTAGCCAGTGCTGTTTATACTCCCCCTTGTCTGCCATTGCCTTCTGCATTGGTAGACTTTCAAATGCATTCTTTCTTCCTTGATTTTTCTTTTGGTGCTCTTTTGTGAGCTACATTCTTGGGCTTCTCCATTTTGGCCACTCCTGTAGCACCTACACCTCAGCAATATACCTTTAGCTCATTGGGCTAAAATCCCTTGTCCTAGCAGTCAGTGCTCTTGGGTGGGGTCCTCCAAGAGGATGTGAGCCTCATTTCCCTCCATGGGACCCCAAATGTGTGAGAGCAGCCTGTCCCACAGTGACTTCTCTTCATTCTGCCATAACTGGCTCCAGCCATACCCCCCATCAGAAAGATGCAGGAGAGAGACAGATACCAGATGCTTTCCTCATGTGTGCCCCCAAACTCGAAGGGATGCATAGCATACCCTTTCCAGCATGGGCCAGGCCTGCGAGTTGTTCTTACAGCTCAGCAAGCTGGCGGTGAAATGAGGCACTTACAGCAGCTCCATGTCTGTGGAGTGCTCTCCTGGGGCTCCTCTGCCCAGCTCAAGGTCAGTGGGGAGATGCACCCTCCCTGCCCTGCCATAGAACAGAACTGCCACCGCACTCTGTGTCCACAAATCCCCGTCAAAGACTTCTCCAGAGTAAAACTCTAGTCTCCTCATCAAGCCTGAGGGAGAAGTTATTGGGCTGACCTAGCTATATTTTAACAACTTCTGCATGGATGAGTCCAGAACCTTCTTTTAGACTAAAGAGTTCTTGTCACTCAGCTTTGAGACTTTAGCCAAGGTTCTGAGAGAACAGATGCATCCGTTTTGTTGTTGGAGACTGATGTAGACAGCAAAAGGGCTGGTCTTAAAATCCCCGTGTGTGAAGCGTATATAGGACAGCTCCCTAGTTTTACTTGGGATGCTGACTTTGTGCTTGCAGGCTGAGGATAAAAAGCAACCAACACACACACACTCTCACACACACACATACACTTACACACTTATGCAGTCTTACTCCACATTTACCTTCTATAAATTGGTCTTCATTTCTTTGTATCCCACCAAATGACTGATTCATTTTCCCTGTCTTGCTTCTCCCTGCCACCCTCCAATTCCACACTTCCACTTCCTCTCTCCACCCCAGGGAAAAGACTCTGCTGGTCTTGAGTCATCAGCACTGTGTGCATGTGTGTGTGCACACACATGTGTGTTGTGACTAGTGGGGGGCACATCTTGTCCGTGCTGGCCACACTCAGAACTCCAGGCCAGCTCAGTTTCCTTGATTATTCACTTCATCCAACACTTTGCTCAGAACTCGGTGCCATAGGAAAAAAACATACATTTGAAGCCTTTCATCCAGAAAACAAGAGCAGAAGCGTATCTAATTATCATGATGCTATTTCATTTCCCAAGGAGGGAACCGCACAGATAAAACAGTCTACTGGAAGCAGCCAGGCTTCCTCCTGTGCTTGTCATTTTTGGAGGCTCTTTTCTCTGCCTCCTAGGTATGCTAAGCAGATCCACAATTCCTTATCCAAAACCTTTGAGGCCAGATATGTTCCTGATTTCAGAAATTTTCAGATTTCTAATATAATACAAACTTCATATTTTATATAACTCCCTTTGGGGCCAGTCTGAGACTAGTACCCCATAATTAAACTCATTAGCATTTCTGCAGCAAGGGGTATGAATAGTGTAATGAATTAAGACCTTAATTTACCTCACATGATTTTGGGTCAGGTTTTTCTACCAAATGAGAAAGAAAGAAAAAAAAAAACCTCTCAGGTTTTGAACATTGAAATTGTAAATAATGGATTGTGGGTATGTATTTCCAATTTCTTTAACTCACTTACATACTACAAATCAGTTATTACATCTTTCTTCCTTCTTCATATATCTTCCTTCCTTTTTTCATGGTAATGGTCTGACATGGGAGCCTTATCTCTTTTCTTCCCTGATCTTACCATTCTTCTTTTTTTGAGACAGAGTCTCGCCCTGTCGCCCAGGCTGCAGTAGCACGATCTTGACTCACTGCAGCCTCTGTCTCCCAGACTCAAGCGATTCTCCTGCCTCAGCCTCCTGAGTTGCTGGAACCACAGGTATGTACCACCACGCCCAGCTAATTTTTGTATTTTCAGTAGAGTTTGGGTTTCACTATGTTGGCCAGGCTGGTCTCAAACTCCTGACCTCAAGTGATCCACCTGCCTTGGCCTCCCAAAGTGCTGGAATTGTAGGCATGAGCCCCCTTTCAGGTATAACTGACACACTAGTTTTTACTCTCAGACCTGTAGCTGCAATCCCTTTCCTGCACAGGAGCATTCAGGCACAGAGAAAAGTTGTCTAGATGGATTTTAGGCTTCTTAAAACAGTTTTGTGTCTTACGCAGCTCTGCAGCCTCCGCAACCTGAGAGATTTACAAAAAATATAGAGCCTCTAGCGTTTGATGGAGGAACACTAAAAAAGACATTCCAGACAGTGAGCAGCTTCCTCTTCCTTTATTCATTGGTTCAGTGAATGAGGATTATCAAATGGTTCCCAAGCAACCAATCTCACAAGACTTCACAAGAAATGCTTTCTAGTTTGCAGATGAATTTCTGAAGTAGCCCACGGTTATATATGACTGTTTATGCCAGGAAATAAAATATTCAAAACACAGTCCAGCAGAATGAAATCAGACATTTCAAACAGGGATATGAAGTCATTTTACCCATCCTGCATATTGCTGACTTCATGTCTCTCAGGTGGCCTTTGCTGTGGGTCGATGCTCCAGGCCTCATACAATTCACTCGAGAATTGCCAAAGTTATTTGCACACCGGTGCTCACAATGGCATTATTCACAATAGCCAAAAGGTGGAAGCAACCCAAGTGGCCATTGACAAATGAATGGATAAGCAAAATGGGGTATATACAGGTGATGGAATATTATTCAGCTTTATAAAGGAAGAAAATTCTGACACGTGTGACAACATGGATGAACCTTGAGGATATATGCCAAGTGAAGTAAACCAGTCACAAAAAAGCAAATACTGTATGATCCTACTTATACGAGGTGCCTAGAGTAGTCAAATCCATAGAGATAGAAAGTAGCATGGCGTTTGCCAGGGTCTGGGGCAAGGAGGAAGAGGGAGTTGTTTAATGAGTAGAGTTTTAGTTTTGTAAGATGAAAAGAGTTCTGAAAATGGATGGCAATGATGGTTGCAAAACAAGGTGAATGTACTTAACATACAATGTGAATTTACAAACCAAGTGGTGACCCATCACGGTGCACGAAGTTATTTTCCACATGCATCTCTACCCAGTCCAATTCATTCATTTAAATATGGTTAAGATGGTAAATGTTGTTACATGCATTTCGCCACAACTGAAAATAAAAGCTAAAAAAAAAAAAAACTGCTACAAAAAAGGAGGGGAAAAAGGAAGAAAATTCTGACATTTGCTACAACGTGGATGAACCTCGAGGGCATTATGCTGAGTAAAATAAGCCAGTCACACACAAAAAGACAAATACATCATGATTCCACTCACATGAAGTATTTAATCAAATCCTAGAGGCAGAAAGTATTAAATAGAATGGCGGTTGCCAGGGGCTGGTGGGAGGGGGAATGGGGAGTTGTTTAATGGATATAGAGTTTCAGTCTTGTGAGTGAAGAGTTCTGGGGATGGATGGTGGAGATGGTTGTATAACAATATGAGCAGAGTTATGCCACTGAGCTGCACCTTTAACAACTGTTAACATGGTAAATTTTATGTTATGTACATTTTTCCACAATCCAAAAAAAACTGCTAATGTTCACAAGGATAGCTCTTGTTTTGCAAAAATGCTTTGTGCTTCAAGTACCAACATAAGCCAAAAATAATAGAATAAGTCATTAACATATACCTAAGACAAAAAAGCAAGAGAAAATAATGAAATCAATGACCTCAGCTAAGAAAATCTTCGATTTGGTCTTGTGCAATTTGTTTTTGTCTGTGCATATTTTAAATTTGTAGCAGTAATGACTTTGGAAAGGGGGAATCAAGTGAGTCTCAGCTCGGGGAAAACTAGGGCACTGCATCATTTATAGAAACAGGTGCAACTGGTTTTATTTGGACTTTTTTCTCAACTGTCTGGTTGATAAATAAAAGCAGACACTATGTCAAATGAACCAGGGAACTTTGCTCACAGCTGTTGGCAAATTGTTAAATTCCATGAAGATTAAATTTGCCTCAAGTGTCTGTATGGTCTGACTTCTTGGCCCTCTTGGTGGTGCCTGCAACAGCACCTGCATCTGCTATGCAGGTAAGCCGAGGGATGACACATCACAGTGTGCAAAGTTGTTTTCCAGATGCATCTCTGCTGAGTTCGATTCAATTGTCACACCCTTCTCACCTTTTATAGAAGTGGTTCTAAACATTGGCCACACATGGAGTCACCTGGGAGATGTCTAAAAATCCCAAGGCCCAGTTTGAGCCTCAGCCCCACAAAATCAAAATCTGTGAGGCTGGGACCCGTGGTTGGGAATCACGGTTTTAAGGCAACTCTATAATCCCCTATATGATATCTGCAAGAGTAACAAAAGCTATATAAATGTTGTCCTCAAAAATGTATTCTCTATTACATATTTTGGATGTTTGTCTCCCCCACATCTCACACTAACATGTGATCCCCAGCGTTGGGGATGGGGCCTGGTGGGAGGTGTTTGAGTCACAGGGGTGGATCCCTCATGAATATGAATATCTTGGTGCTGTCCTCATGAGAGTGAGTGAGTTCTCGCGAGATATAGTTGTTTAAAAGTGTGTAGGACATCCCCACTCTCTCTCTTGCTCCCACTCTTGCCATGTGATGTGCTGGCTTCCCTCTTCCCCTTCCCTCTTCACCCATGATTGGAAGCTCCCTCTGAAGGAGATGAGCTTCTCTCCTGAAGGAGATGCCAACACCACACTTCCTATACAGCCTGCAGAACCATGAGCCAAATAAACTTTCTTTCTTTATAAATTATCCAGTCTCAGATAAAGAAAATGTGGCACATATACACCATGGAATACTATGCAGCCATAAAAAAGGATGAGTTCATGTCCTTTGCAGGGACATGGATGAAGCTGGAAACCATCATTCTCAGGAAACTGACACAAGAACAGAAAACCAAACACCACATGTTCTCGCTCATAAGTGGGAGTTGAACCATAAGGACACATGGACACAGGGAAGGGAACATCACACACCAGGGCCTGTCGAAGGGTGGGGGGCTAGAGGAGGGATAGCATGAGGAAAAATATCTAATGTACATGATGGGTTGGTGGGGGCAGCAAACCACCACAGCACGTGTATACCTGTGTAACAAACCTGAACGTTCTGCACATGTATCCCAGAACTTAAAGTATAATAAAAAAAATTATCCAGTCTCAGATATTCCTTTATAGCAATGCAAAAAAATGGCCCAATATACTCTATTTTCTGGATGTGTGCCCAGCACAATGGTGGTAGGATGGGGTGAGAAATGAGGGCAGGAGGCTGTGAAGATCTATAGCCATCTAAAATTCACAGATGAGGTTACTCAGTGAATTTCTTTAAACTGATGAAAGATTCAGTAGAAAACTCCTTTGATTTCAACCCTCACAATAAATTTTTCTAAAATGGTATCTTAGTCCGTTTCATGCCACTATAACATGATACCACAGACTGGGTAATTTGTAAAGAACAGAAATTTATTTCCCACAGTTTGGGAGGCTGAGAGATCCAAGATCAAGGAGTCAGCACCTAGTGAGGAACTTCTTGCTGCATCATCCTGTGGTGGGAGGCAGGAGGACAAGAGAGAGCAAGAAGAAGGCAGCCTGTTGCTTCTAGGCTACGAACCTGTCCAGCATGGTACTATACTGAGTACTTCAGGCAATTGTGACACAATGGTAATTTGTGTATCTAAACGTATCTAAACATAGAAAAGGTAATGTACTGGTTACAATGGCTACAGTGCCAGGCTGTAGGAATTTGTGAGTTTTATTATAATCTTATGGAACTACCTTCTTTTTTTTTTGAGACGAAGTCTCACTCTTGTCCCCCAGGCTGGAGTGCAATGGCGTGATCTCGGCTCACTGTAACCTCTGCCTCCCGGATTCAAGCGATTCTCCTGCCTCAGCCTCTGGAGTAGCTGGGATTACAGGCACCTGCCACCACGCCAAGCTAATTTTTATATTTTTAGTAGAGACGAGGTTTCACTATGTTGGCCAGGCTGGTCTCCAATTCCTGACTTCAGGTGATCCACCCACCTTGGCCTCCAAAAGCGCTGGGATTACAGGTGTGAGCCACTGCGCTGGCCAGAACTAACTTCTATATGCAGTCCATTATTGACCAAACATTGTTGTGTGTATGACTGATTTTTACTACACCCCAAATTTGAGTTGCTTGCTACTCAGGGCATTCATACATATAGTTGTATGTTTATGTGGAATTGAAACATAAGTTTCATGAAAAATGTTTGCTCCTTTGTGATGCATTCTTTCATTTTAAATTTAATTTTATTTTCTAAGAAATTTGCTCACTGATATGATCCATGAATGGGGGTCCCAACAGCAGTTTGAAAACACTCATTAGGTGGCTTCTAAGTACCACCCACACCTCAGATTAATCCTCACGTTAGTGTAGGGTGACCATAAACGGGTTGTGGCTAAGGAACTGGTGGCTGAGCCACTAAAAGACAATACGGAGCCCTGGTCTTTGAGACATCCAAGATATTCAGTGACATACAAACCTGCCAACTCATTTTGCTTATATGCTTGGAGTCTAATCTATATCAAACAAGCTTGAAAATGCTGGGGTTGGAAAACCAAGGAGCTCAGCCTGGCTCACATCACAGTAGGCAGCACAACCACATCAATTCACTATCAGCCACGCATGGTGCTTTTTCCAACCTGGAAAGATATTGCTGCCTCTATAGATCAGAAACTTGAGACCCACAGAGAAGGTCATGGCCTAAGTCACCAAGACAAAGCTAGGACCTAAATCCAAAACTGGGTCTATTGGTTCCCCGTCCAGTTCTCTAGTATTTACTCCTTGTGCCTGAATAAATGGAGACTTTTGGGAGTGATATAACTAATAATGTCTTGCTATTGTGCACTTCATGGACACCTATTCTATGCCAGGCTTTGCTCCAAGGGTTTCAAATGTGTTGATTAATTCAGTCTCAAAAAGCAAACCCTAAGAAACTAGCATCATTTTTATTCTTAAGTAGACTAAAGGTGGGAGACAGGGAGTTTTTACTTCCTCCAGGCCTGGACTACTTTTAAAGTCCACAATAGGGAGTGCAGAGCTGAGTGTGTCTTATTGAATGAAACCAAGATGGCCTTTCACCAGACTCCTCTGAGTAATGGATAAATACATTAGCGAAGGATATGAGTTCAATTGAGCTAATTCAAATCTCATGCCACTTAATTTTAATAGGAAGAATATTGGCCTATAAATAATCCTTTTAAATAGTCAGAATATGAATATGTGCAATTCAGTGTTGAACTGAAGATATTATTTCAACATCATTTAATCTGATTCATCTCAGGGGAAATGAAAGAGACATTTTTAGTGTCCACAGAGGTGGTTGACTGAAATACGAACAAATCTGAAAACAGAATAATAAAACAGCATCCCATGGCCCAGCTTAAGCATCTCTGCAGCATCTGGAGGCTCAGCCCATGGTAGGACATGACCCCTTCTCTTTTCCATCATTAATGTCCCAGGAGCCAGTAGCAGATCACATATGACACTGGTCATAGCCTGGGCTACTCTACTGGAACTGCTGCTATTCCTTTTTCTCTCTGACTATCCCAAGAGCCCCAGGAGGGCAGGAATCAAGTCCTTTGGGGCTTTGTGTCAGGAGCATCTAGCCCAGTGTGTTTGGATAAATGACAAACGCAGGTGCCCAGGATTGCAAAGTGCAGATCCTAACGGCTCTGGAACCTCTGTTCTTACACACATTCCTCCAACCTAAGAATTCAGCAGCCTCCAGGTTCACCAGCCTCACCCAGCAATAATTGTAAGACAAATAAATTATATGCATGCGTCTCTACTAAAAATACAAAAATTAGCTGGGCGTGGTGGCACGTGTCTGTAGTCCTAGCTACTCGGAAGGCTGAGGCAGGAGAATTGCTTGAACCGGGGAGGTGGAGGTTGCAGTGAGCCGAGATCATGCCATTGCACTCCAGCCTGGGCAACAGAGTGAGACTCCATCTCAAAAAAAAAAAAAAAAAAAAACTTTCTGGAGGACTTCTTGGAACCTATAGTATGCTAGAATGTGCTATCATTTTTCTAGGAGGACATGCAGTATTCAGCTTTTCTTCATTTGGGTTCCCCAAGAAGCAGACCCTGAGCAACAAAGATCCAATGGAAGTAATTTACTTTGGAGGTCTTCCCGGGAAACATTTGTAGAGAGTGGAGAAGTGAGAGAGGAAAGAGAAAGCAGCAATTAGCAAGAGTTTGTAAAGCAAGTTACCTGTTATGCACTAGACATTTGTATCCCCTTGAAATTCATGTTGAAGCCCTAATCCTCAGTATGGCTGTATTTGGAGATAGGTCCTTTATGGCAGTAATTAAATGAGGTCATATGAGTGTGGTCCTGGTCCCATAGGATTAGTGTTCTTACGAGACAAGTCACAGAGAGCTCACTCTCTCTGCACTCAGGCACTGACGTAAGGCCATGTGAGGATTTGGGGAGAAGACAGACACCTGCAAGCCAGGAGAAGAGTCCTCGCTGTGAACTGAACCCTGCCAGGACCTTAGCACTGGACTTCCAGCCTCCAGAACTGTGAGAAAATAAATTTCTGTTCTTTAAGCCGCCCAGTTTGTGGTGTTTTGTTATGGCGGCCTGAGCTGCCTAGTACATTCCCTCTGTGGGTAACTGGGACTGAAGCCTGCCAGGATTCAGAGTAAAGCATGCACCAGGGACTTGGTTAAACCACCAGGAAATAAACTGTAGCCTTGAGTTTGAAACCTTCAAACAATAATAGGCTATAAATGCAAAGTGCTAGGATGCTTGGCTGTAACTGCGTGGGCAGCACAATCACAGCAATTGACATGTCCTCCAGCCTGCGGTGGCTTCTTCACTCTGAAAAGATGATGGCGACTTGTTAGTCCCTATCACTGAGACACAGAAAGGAGAGAGGAAGCTGGGGTATTTATACACCAATTCCACTGCTCCCAGGGGTATAACTTTCCTGGCACTTCCAACCTGCAGTGCAGGTGGCAAAGCAGGCTCTAGGCCAGAAAGTCCTCGGGCAAAGTCCTCGGAAAGGAGGCTGACTGCTAGGAATTGGCCGCGATGCCCTGGGAGGGAAGGGACATGCTAGGCATAGGTGCCAAGCAGGTACACTTTCCCCACATGTGCTGTCAAACTGTGGAGCAGCAGAGCCCCTTGAAACACAATTTGGGGATCCATCTGAGGCCCTCCCAAAAGAACTTGACATCCTGCCACAACTGTGGTCTGCCCACTCACAACAGAATACCCCTGCCTGGGGGCCCTAAAAAAACAGAGGGTTATCATCTCACAGTTCTGAAGCCTGGAAGTCCAGGATCAAGATGTCAGCAGGGTTGGTTTCCTCTGAGGCCACTCTCTTTACTCTCTTTGACTTGCGGGTGACTGTCTTCTCTCTCCCTGCATGCTCACTTCATCTTCCCTGTGTGTGTTTGTGACCTGATCTCCTCTTACAAGGACACCAGTCATACTGGATTAAGGCCCAGTCCTGATGGCCTCATTTTAACTTAATCATCTCTTTAAAGAACCTGTCTCCAAGTACAGTCCCATTCTGAAGTACTGGGGGTTAGAATTTCAGCATATAAATTTAGGGGGGACACGATTTAGCTCTTAACATGATCTGTGCCTTTGCTGGCACTAAGGCAAGTCACTTAAAAAAGACAAAAGATGCAAGCAGGACTTGCCTCAAACCTGGCCCTGTAGATTAGCACGTCCAACTCTGACATGACTTTCCCAGGCATGGCGGACGCCGCAGCAGAGGCCCTCCCAGCTGGTCCGGGGAGAGGCTCTCAGGGCCACCAGATGCTTAGCTTCCCAGGCCCCGGGAAGGGCCCGCCCTGCCACCAGGCTCGTGCTGCCGCTGTCTTAGGCCAACCTCTCAACAGTCGATTTTCCTAGCTCCCTATTCCAATTTCATTGACCGATTCATCAAAAATAAGGCCCTTCTATCTGCCAGGCAGTGTTCTAGGGCCTTGGAGTTACAGTCACATACCAAATAGACAAACATCCCAGCCTTTGTCAAGCTTGTATCCTGGTGGAAAAGTGGAGAGGAGACAACACGAGAAAGAAATAAAATAGCGCATACATCAATGGTGATAAGTGCTAAAGAGAAAAATAAAGCTGCAAAGAGGACTCATGTGTGTTGGGGTATGCAAGTTAGACAAGGTGGCTGAGGCAGGACCCACTGAAAGTGGGAAGTTTGAGGAAAGACCCAGGGGAGGCAGGAGCCAGTCGTGAGACACGCAGGGGAAGAGCCTTCCGGGTGGAGCAACAACCAGGGTGCTGAGAGGAAAAGGGACAGGAGGGGTAGAGGTGGAGGAGCAGGAGGCCCAGGTGACCAGGAAGGGCAGGGGATTTCAGCTTCACTTTCAGGGAGACAGGATCTCATTGGAGAGTTTTGGCCAAGGGAAAACATTATCTGACTGAGGAGCATTAAGCAGCTGGAGGAAGCCAGCAGGGGAGGGGAGCTCTTGGGGTTACCCAGGTGAGCAGTGACACTCATTTGGACCAAGATGGTTGCAGTGGATGAGGTGGGATTGTGGGGCTATTTTTTTTTCATTTTAAATATTTTTTATGTGATCACTTTGTGGTTGATTCATTATTGGAATTTATTTTCTACAGTGTTCCTCTACTAGTTATTTTTAAAATTGACTTTATTTTTTAGAGCAGTTTTAGGTTCATAGAAAAATTGAGCAGAAAGTACAGAGAGTTCCCATATAACCGCCCCCCCACACCCCCCACCCCCACCCACACACATAGCCTCCCCCATTATCCACATCCTTCATAGGGTGGTGTGTTTTTTACAACTGATGAACTTACGTTGACACGTCGTCATCACCCAAAGTCCGTAGTTGACATTAGGGTTTACTCTTGGTTTTGTACATTCTGTGGGTTTGGACTAGTGTATAATCACATGGACTTACCATTGTAATACCATACAGAATAGTTTCACTGCCCTGAAATCCTCTGTGCTCCACCTATTCTTCCCTCCCTCCACCCTAACCCCAGGCAACCACTGATCTTTACCTTAGAGTAACTGTCTCCACTGCCTTTTCCAGAATGTTCCTAGGGTTGGAACTGTACAGGATGTAGCCTGTTCAGATTGGTTTATTTTACTCAGCAATGTGCATTTAAGTTTCTTCTGTGTCTTTTCATGGCTTGACAGTTTATTTCTTTTTAGTGTTGAATAATATTCCACTGTCTGAATGGACCACAGTTTGTTTATCCAGTCACCTACTGAAGGACATCTTGGTTGCTCCCACGTTTTGGCGAATTTGGATTCTGGATGTATTTTGAGGGGAGAGTTGACAGGATTTCCTGACAGCTTGGATGTTTTGTGAGCAGTGACTCCAAGGAGAATGCCAAGTACTTGGCCAGTACAGCAGAAAGAAAGGGATTCACGTGGGTCTTCACTTGCACAGGGAGACAGGAGATAATGCACTAGAGATAGTGACAAGAACAGTCATCACAATTGTTTACTGAGCCTTAGCTTTGTGCCGGGCTGGGATGAGTATACTGTGTGCCTTAGCCCATATAATGCAGCACTAGCCCTAGGCAGTAAGTGCTGTTAATATTCTCATTTTACAAATGAGAGAACTGAAGCGAGTTGTTTACTTGCTCAAGGCCACATAGGTCTGCTCATATCTGGCTCCCAAGACAGTAAATATTTATTATATAATAATTGGGTTAATGTGAATCTTCCCTTCAAACATAAGCCACTCATAATGTGCTGACATAAATGACGTCTTTGAGTGTGTAATGTTGAAGGTGAGGGCCTAAACCAAGAGAAATGAATGTCGCCTCCTGAGGCTTCTTGGGAGGCAGTTGGCCAGCCATTTCCCCCAGCAACAACATCCCAACATGCTTTTGGCGGCATGAGTATTTTCTAATTCCCATAAAGGGTTGAGTTTGTTGCGCAGGGCTCAGCACACATTAGGTGCTCCATAAACACTGGCTATCGATTCAGAGAGGTGAGGAATGCTCATGAGTTCATAAGAAAACAACTGCTTATAATCTGCAATTTTGCCTGTGCATTTTCCCTATTGATTTGACAAAAAGTATTAACTGTTTTCTATGATCCCTTTGAGTGGATACAAAAGGTGCATCATCACAGCCATCAGTGGTTCTCAAGAGCCATTCCCCGGACTAATCTGAGCCATGGCAGTTTTCACCCATATGGGGGTAATGAGAATAATCAGAACAATACAGTGAGTTTTTACAAAACAAGTTGTGTTTAACGTAAGCACTCTCCTTTTGTGTGAGATATGTCTGTGTGTGTGTGTGTGTGCGCGCTAAAAAGGTCTTTACTGTGAAATGATAATGAAAGTAGCTAGAAGTGTGCTCATTTAAGTGAGTGTGTTCAGCAAAATATAAATTTGGCAACTCCATGTTGGTCTCTCCTTTTTGTACTTGCTGCTGTTGGTGAAATTTACCAATGCATGAAATCCAAACATCAAGGTACCACTGGTCTTACATGATCATTGTAAACTCAGTTATGTGCAAGCCTCAAGTGTAGCATGTAGAATCAAATGTAGAATGATGAAAAGTTGGGATAGATGGGTCATCTTTATTACCAACCAAAATATGTGCTAATCACTTAGCCACATATGACCCTGGCCTGGGTAGGCAACATCTGGAGACAGAACAGAGAACTAACAATTCTTCACTGTGAGCAAGACCATGGTAGAGCTCTTCTCATCACACATTATCACACTCTGGGTACATACCTTGCAGAACTTTGGGCGTAAATATAGTGTCCCCAACCTCTGTGTGTGGCTAAAGGAGTTGAGTAGAAGTGAAGAGGAGGTGCGTCCTTCACAAGCCAGGGCAGGGCCTTGCACCCACACCCTGGGACCTTGCCATTCCTTCCTCTCCCATTTCATTCAGCAACATTTCAAGCCAGTATTTCAAGAGCTACAGAATGTGGACATGCTGAACCATCATGTTTTGGTTAAAATTTATTGATTATAATTGGCCGCCTAAGTCTCCTAATATAGTAAAAGAAAATTTAGAAGCAAAGTAGCACATCAGCAAAATACTCTACTTCCCTGCTTCTAGCCACCCTTGGACTATCCTTCCATTTTCTCTTTTCAAGAAGGCACATCCAGCAGGAGGGCAATAGAATCTAAAAATCCCATCAGAAGAAAAGGCTGTGGCTTTGCTCACAGTACACATTTCCTTCAAACCACACAGCATAGTACATCAGGTACCATTAAATGTAGGTCACAAGAAAAGAGAGAGATTGCAAACACATGATTCACAGTGCATTAAGTGATAGATCTCCCAGGATTGCTCCTTTGCAGAGAAAGCATGTGTTGTCAAGCTGGCCTGCAGACGTTTAACTCTTCAACTCAAGTATAAAGCATTTTGGTTGCACAAACAGTGCTCCCAAGTCATTAGTGATTCACAAAATCAATACCATACCTGATCACTGGCTCCTCTCCTCTAGTTCTTGCCCAGACACAGCGAGGGTGTCAAGACCTGAGAAGATAACTTCCTAGCATCCCTGGCCACAGTGCATTCCAACCCTGAGCTGGCAGTGCACTACCGATCTGAGCGACACTGCCCAAATCAGGGTTAATAGTCTTTATTACAAGGCCAGGCAAGAACAATCTCTTCTTTTTACAACCTGATTGAAACTCCAGGTGAACACTCCCTTTTTACTCCCAAACAATAGTGGCCCAGGCTACTATTTTTGGAAGAAATGTGTACGGTGAGCAAAGTTCCAGCCTTTCCTTCAGATGAGATTTTTAAATTCTGTTGCCCTCCTGCTGATGTGTCTTCTTGAAAAGGGAAAATAGAAGAATAGTCCGAGGGTAGCTGGAAGCAGGGAAGCAAAGTATTTTGCTGATGCCCTTGCTACTTTGCTTCTAAGTTTTCTTTTACTATATTGGCCAATTATTCATAATTGTCCAAACTTGGAAACAACCAAGGTATCCTTCAGGAGACAAAAGGATAAAGAAACTCCACTGGCTTGATAGTTAAAAATTAGATGCCTTTAAACTGTCTTCCAGTGCTTTCAAGAAGTCCCCAAACAGTTATCTCCAGATGCCCAGAAACCAGTCCATGAGTTCAGCCTCTCTTCTCATTGCACCTTTGGAAATGCTGGTCAACACCTCCCTGCTGGCCTTGGCCTTCAGGGCACTGGTGCCCATCTCCTGGTGCTCTGATGCGTCTGATATTCAGGCTAAGAGAGGGTCTCAGGATTCCACCAAGAGGCACAGTCAACAGCTTCTCCCCATGCTGTTGCAAATGCCTGTGTCCAGCCTTACCCGAGCATCCCTGAATGGTCCAGCCGGCTTTCAGCTGTCATCTTTTGCCCATGACCTCGATGAATCTGCCATGACAGCTGTCAGTCAAAGTTGGTGCAAGGAATCAGCCAGGGATCAGTCATCCTCCCCTTTGGATGTAGGGCCCAGGCCTAGAGCAGCCAGCAAAAGGCCTTTGAGAATATTTGCAATGACATCAACAGGAAAGAACTCCAGAAGCAGATTCCTGAGGTTTTACTGAGGTCCTATTAGATTATAAACAGGTTTCAAAATTGAAATGATAATGGAGTCCTAGAGTAGACTTGTGTAGGACAAGCTCCTGTCTTTCTAAAAGAGATGCAAAGCTGGGTCTTCAACCTCTTACCTGAGAAGAGACATTGGATGGATGTAGGATTTCCATAAGCCCATTTTAAAGCTTACTATAAGTGGCACTTGCTCTCTAGGTGGTGTAGTCCAGTGGCTCAGGAAGCAGATCCTGGCACCTAACTGCCTGGCTTTGAGGGCAGGTATAGAACCTCACTGTGTGTCACCTCCCTCAGTCATACATAAGGTAATAGAGGTGCTCTACCTTGTAGGGTTGTTGGGAGGATTAAGTTAGAATGTACTTGGAAGGCTCCTAACACAGTGCCTGGCACACAGTGAGTATTAATAAATACTGGATATCCTGTTGTTGGCAACTAGAGGCCTGGCCCTGCTGGGCATGAGTGAGGCGGTTAAAGTTTGCAAGGACCTGTGGGCAGCCCAGGTCTCCTGGGCTCATGACGAAGGCCTACATTCCTTTCCCATTGCTGCCCTCACACATTACCTCAAACTGTGTGGCTTAAAACAACACAAATTATTCAGCAACAATGGACTTTTGTATTTACCCAAATGAGTTGAAAACTTATATCCACACAAAAACCTGCACACAGATGTGGATAGCACTTTATTCATAATTGGCCAAACTTGGAAACAACCAAGATGTCCTTCAGTAGGTGAATGGATAAAGAAATCCAGACATTGGAATATTACTCAGCAATAAAAATACATGAGCTATCGAGCTGCGAAAAGACATGGAAAACCTTTAAATGCATATTGCTATGTTCAAGAAGGCAATATGAAAAGACTACGTACTGTATCATTCCAATTCTATGACATTCTGGAAAGGGCAAATCTATGGAGACGGTAAAAAGTTTAGTCGGGGATTAGGGAGAGGGAGGGATGAATAGGCAAGCACGGAGAATTTTAGGGCAGGGAAACTATTCTGTATGTCACTATGATGGTGGATACACGTCACTGCAGATTTGTCAAAACCCATAGAATAGACAACACCAGGTGTGAACCCTTATGCAAACTATGGATTTTAGTTAATAATAATGTATCAGTTTTAAAAACCCACTCATTTGTTCTGGGGGTCAGAAGTCTAAGGTTGGCCCACAGACCAGCATTCCTTCTTGAAGTCCAGGGAGGAATCCCCTTGATCTTCCCAGTTTCCAGAGCCTGCCAACACCCTGTGGCTCCCGGCCCCTGCTCTGTCCTCACAGCAGGCAGAGCAACATCTTCACATCTCTGTCTTTCTCCCTCTGCTTCTGCCCTCACATCTCTTACTACTGACCCTAATCCTCCTGCCTCCGCCTTGGAAAGACCTTGGTGATTATACTCAGGACCCACCCGGATCCAGAATGTCCTCCTACCTCAAGACGTCTAATCACTTCTGCAAAGCCCATTTTAACAAAAGTAACGGTCCCAGGTTCCTGGATTTAGGCCCTAGATATTTTTGGGGGTCATTATCCAGCCTGCCAGAAGGATCGAGAGAGTTGGAGGAGTCGGGTTAAGGGTTGGGGGCGGGGGAAGATGCTAGGAGAAGAGAGAGGGAGCAGAGAGGGAGCAGAATGGTCCCTGTCTGCTGTCCACACCATAAAGCACAGACAGCAGACTGACGGGTAGCTCAAAATCCAAAGAAAATGAAAAACTATTGCTCCATGCGCTTGTGTGAATAAAACATTTCAGAAAGTAACACCTCATTACTCTGCCTCCTCCTCTCAAAAAAAATCCCAACTAAATTTATTAAAATATATATTAACAAAAAGTTTACAGCAGCTTTCTCTGTAAGAGTACATGACATATTACACTTTAATTTTACTTGTAGGCTCCAAATTTTCTGCAATAAGTATTATTAGTTTATAGTCAGAAAAAAGATATTTCTTAAAAAAAAAAACACCAGAATATATGTAGAAATGAAGTAATGTTAGTGTTGACAACGGAGCTCTCTTTTCGCACACAGAACCGCAGACTAAATATTATCTTTGTGTAGTATGTCCCTCCCGTCTTTCTTTCTTTCTTTGATATTTCCATGAACTACCTTTGCCCTCTGTTAAAATGGAAGTTTAGAGTGAATTTTAAAAGGGGAAGGAGGGATGTGTTGTGATTTTTCATAGTCTCCTCCCTCTCCTTAAATAGCAACATGGTATTATTTTAATGGAGAACTAATTATTAAAATGTGCTTTTGAGCCAGCGTTTATCACATGGCATGTACAAGAAAGTTTGTCATGGTTTTAGTCACAATAGCCAAAACCAGAAAACAACCCAATGTGGATCGATAAGAAATAGATGGAAAAATGGCAGCATATTTGTTGTGGTCTGAATGTTTACCCCCAAAATTTCTATGTTGAAACTTAATCCCCAGTGTAGTAGCATTGAGAACCGGGGTTTGGGGAGGTGATTAGGTCTTGAGAGCTCTGCCCTCTTGAATAGGATGAGTGCCCGTAGGAGCTTGTTTGCTCCTTCTGCCAGTAAGGACACAGGAAGAAGGTGCCATCTGTAAGGAATGAGCCCTCACCAGACACTGAATCTGCTGGCACCATAATCTTGAACTTCCCAGTCTCCAGAACTGTGAGCAGTAAATTTCTTTGGCTTACAAATCACCCAGTCTGATGTATTTTGTTATAGCAGCCTGAACGAACTAACACAATAGTCCTACGATAGAATTCCATACAGCAATGAAAAAGATTAAACTACTGCTCCTTGCACCAAATGAATATGTCTCATTAACATAATGTTGAGTGAAAGAAGCCAGACATGAAAGTGTACATACTGTATGATTCCATTCATATAGAGTTCAAAAACAGACAAACCTAATCTGTTATATTAGAATTCAGAATAGTGGTTTCTTTTCAGAGGATAATTATTGGGAGTGGGCAAGAGGAAGGCTTTGGGGTACTGGTAATGTTCTATTTCTCAAGATGGATAGTGGGTACATAGATATATCTATCTGATATATCTTCATGGTACTGTATACTTGTGAAATATGCACTTGTCTATATGTAGGTTATACAGTTATAAAATTTACTGTCAGATGAAGAGATCAATAAAATCAAACTTTAATTTGGGATTATAGTGTATTCTTAGGTGTGTTATAGACCCTTGGCTGGACAGACTAAAGCATGGTCAATCTATGGTTCAGATTACTGCACCAATTAATCAGATCTATGGAAACTGGGTAATAATCATTAACATAAGCAAGAAAGAAGCTGACTGGTAAAATTTCAATACAGACACCATGTGCTGTGCAGTACTGGCTCAGTTTATGACTTGCTCCAGCCAGTAATCTGTGACAGTCTCATGATTTACAAATACAGTTACAAGAAGGGGCTAATAAATGTGCCCTCAGGGTTTAAGTTGGCAAAGATGCCATGTGTGATTAAGACAGGCACCGAGCCTTTCTCACATAAAACAGTCATCGTTACTATAGGTTGTGAAAATGCCAGATCATGCTTGAAGGTTTACAACTTCTTGCTGAAGTTATTTTAAAAAGTGACAAAAAAGGTAAGTGATGAAAAGGCAATAAATGTCACACTTCTGAGGGCATCTGCGGCAGTGTCCTGTCATGGGCGGTGAATACATCGAGAAGACAGCTTTGCAGACAGCTACTCTATGGCCCTCGTTACTGAGGCTGTGCAAAACGTCCCCATTGGCTCACCCAGTTCCAAGCTGTGGTGAATCCCGACCTCCAGACCTGGAGTTGGTGTGCCTGGTGTCCCAACTCACTGTTCCTCTCAGAAATGCCCATTTGGTGAAGTTCAGAGGGATGCCCATCACAAGACACCACATGAGATCCAGGCCTGGCCAACTGATCCACTCTTTCCCTTTAGCTGCCATTGTTGGTTGTGAGCAGGGGGCGCAGCCCAGGCTGGGGCAGAGTTCTCCATGGGAATTCCACTCACAAGTTAAGAATACAGTCTTAGAATGCAAGCCCAGGGCTGCCTGAGGCCACTTTCCATGACTGCCTGGAAGAAACTTGTCTGGGGTAGAGAAGTTTGAGGCACACAGACACAGAGAAGCAAAGACAAGCAGAAATAAATCAGGGCAGGGCTGACTGCCAGCCACCTGTTTCCTGTAGCTTCTCCTTCTTTTATGTGAACCACTCCAGATCTTTCCTAGTCATGCCAGACAACAAAACGCCTTTTTTTCTTAAACTAGTTTGAATTGGATTTCTGCTCCCTGGCAACAAAAGTCCTAACAAATAAACCAATGAACATAGAATCCGGAGTACAGGGAAGTTACAAGTAATCATTCCGGGGGGAGTGGGGACAGAACTGTGAACACAGTTGCTGTTACCAACAGGGGAGCTGAGTGTCCACATCAGTGTTAGCAGCTAACTCCTGGGCTCTCCCCAGTGACGGTATCCAAGCCCCAGGTGTAACTTGCCTCAGTTTCCTCCTTTGACTCCTCCCAGGTTTTACAAATTTTTTTTACAAAAATCTGTATACCTCTGCCATTCACCTCAATACTTTTTTCTCTCCTCCAACACTCAGCTCTTTTTTAAAAAAAATTCTCAAACACATTAACGACTGAATTAAAAAGTCCCACCCCTTTAAGCTCCGTGAAGTCAGGGCCATAAACCATGTCAGTGTTATTGGCTAGAATAGTGTCTGGCTAGCCCTATGCATTCGCTTTCCCTAAACTGCAATGCCAATGTGAGGTGCCCAAAATTTTGCCATGTAGGTTGAGCTATATTATGCCAAAACTACTACATGTTTGTTAAGTGACTGTTCATTTTTCATCGCTTCATTCTAAAATTCTTTGATGCATCATGTAGAATTGAGAAGAAGATTACATCCCTTCATGACAGCATTTGCTGCCTGGCATTATTGTTGATTTGTGTGTGTGTCACTACCAGACTGGAGACCGTGTCTTACTGAATTTCTATGCCCAGCCCTTAGCCCGGTTCTTGGGACACACACGAGTCTGATGCCTCCCCACCATGAACAAGCCACTCTGAAAACTCCATAGAACCTTGCTTCTCAAAGTGTGATCTGTCAACCAGCAGCAGCAGCAGCATCACTGGGGAAGAGGCTTGCAAATGCAGAAGGTAGGCCCACCCCAAGAACTACTGAGCAGAATCTGTCAAGGTAAAAAGTTCAGACTATTCTGGAGGTAGCAGGAGGTCTTGGACATCATGGAATAGATGTGCCAAATCGAGGAGGTTGGGAAAGGGAGAGGCAGGTGGGTACCAGAAATGCAGGTGAGAGGGGATGAGGGCCTCAACCAGGGAGCTGAGGATGATGAGAAGTGGCATGCAGGGAGAGCTGGAGTGACCTTGCAGAGCCAGAAACTGATTGATGGAAGAAGGGAAGGAGAAGCGGGAAGAAAGTCAAGGGTGATTGAGGCTCCGAATCTGTTGGGCTGGGGTAGAGAAGACGTGAGCACCAGGGGAAGGCAGGCTGGTCAGCTGATGATGCCCCTGTAGGGTCCCTTGCCTGCAGACCATCTCCATTCATACAAGAGCCCCTGGGCAAGTGGAAGAAAAGCAGTGGGAAAACCTTCACCTCTGACAGGGCAAGACAAGACTATCACACTTTTTCCTTATCCCATCTTTAAACTGGAGGATCATCTTGGAACTTAAGATCTATGAGGTGCTCTGGTTTTTATATCCAGAGGAGGCATGGGATCATAAAAGCAGACAGCTATCAGGTTCTTCATCTTAGAATCCATTGATGTGGCAAAATGAAAAAATAAATTAATAGTGCCACTTCAGTATCTAAATGAATTGGGGTTTGGCCAATGTCTGCAGGAAGCTTCTACAAGAACTCAGTAAATGATTTCCATTTGAAAACACAGCTCAAAGAGCGCTTAATAAGTGCAATTTGGTGATGATAATGATGATCCACAGAGCAGCAGCATCTATCCAGTCAAGCAAATGTTCCTGGGGAACAGTGATAATGAACCAGGTCCAGGACCATGGGCAATTCTAAAAGAGCGTGCGGGGCATTTTGTTGTTTTAAAGATCTGCTTCCCTAACCTGTCCACCCCGCATCCCTGCTGCTGATCGTGAATATCATCCTAAGCAATTCTTTTGGCCCTGAATGTAGTGGTTTAGGTAAAGGCGTGGAAAAGCCAGGACTGTAGAGACTTGGAGCTCCCCAGGGAAACCACAGGAACGAAATAGGTCACAGGGCTCCAGGCAGCGCTCCCCTGCCCCGCCCGGTGCAAGCCCGGGGCCGCCGGCTGGGGTGGGGCGCGCAGCGCGGCAGGCAGGCAGGGCTACCATGCAGTTCTCAGCCTCCTGGCTCCTTCGCCCCTCGCCCCGCGCCCCTGGGCCGCCCTCGCCTGCCCGCACCCTAGAGCAGCCCTGACCCGTGGGGGCGCGCGGCCTCGCGGGGATCCCGCGGGCGGGCGGGCGGCCGGGCGCGCGCGGGGCGGGGGCGGCGCGCGCGCGGGGAGCGTGTGGGCCGGGCGGGCGCGGCGGGGAAAGCTGGGCGCGCGAGCCGAGGCTGCTGCTCACCTGCAGCCGCGCCGCTCACCTGCCGCGGAGTGCGCGCCCCGCGCCCTCCCGGCCCGCTCCGGAGCCCGGCCGCCCCCCCCTTGCCACAGCGGGCAACTGCGCCGACATGCGACACGAGTAGCCCACGCGCTTCGGAAGCACCGGAGGAGCCCCCTCGGCCTGGGCGAGCCAAGGTGACCCCCTCGATGACCCCCCCGCCCCCGCGGGCCGCCTGTCCCCGCACCCTGTCTGTCCCCCTCGCGTCCGACTCCCGTCCCCGCCGCCAGGGAATCGGCAGCAGTGCATGGGCATCTGTCTGTCTGTCTGTCTCGGTACTTCCATTGCACACACCTCCCTCTCGTGGCCCTCCCGACTGCCCCGTGCGCACGGGGGGAGTCTGGAGCCCCTCTTTGTTCCGGTCGGGGGTGCGTTTGAGGATGTGCACGCGCGCGGGGGATGCGTTTGGAGGGTGGGAGTTCGATGGAAATAGGCGATTTAAATATTCCATCGAGGATGGCGGCCCCTGGCTCGAGACCTGCCGCTGCCGCGTGGTTTTCTCGGCAGCAGCCCAGATGTCAAACAGTTGTTCGTTTTCAGCATGCAAGATGTGATTTTCCAATGTGCATTCCCAGCGCTGTTGCAAACAGACCGCCGCGAGTCCGTGTGTGCCTGCCTCGCTCACGCTGGTGTTTTGAAGTCCTACCCTGTGTTTTCCCCAATGCCAAACGGCATTTTTGTTGTGGGGTTTAAACCACAGAGACTTTGGCTTTTGTTTCATTTCCCAACAGTTCCTCATTCCCGAAGCTTGTGGCATTTGGTACTGGTATCTGAGCAGGGGCTGGCTTTCTGTTTGTCTGTGTGTTTTTTGCATGATCTTGGATTGTCACCCTGCTGTATTTAAACATTAAAAAGCCTGTCTTTTCGTTGAAGAGGACAGGGGTTAAAATGAATGAAGACCTGAAGGTCAATTTAAGCGGGCTGCCTCGGGATTATTTAGATGCCGCTGCTGCGGAGAACATCTCGGCTGCTGTCTCCTCCCGGGTTCCTGCCGTAGAGCCAGAGCCTGAGCTCGTAGTCAACCCCTGGGACATTGTCTTGTGTACCTCGGGAACCCTCATCTCCTGTGAAAATGCCATTGTGGTCCTTATCATCTTCCACAACCCCAGCCTGCGAGCACCCATGTTCCTGCTAATAGGCAGCCTGGCTCTTGCAGACCTGCTGGCCGGCATTGGACTCATCACCAATTTTGTTTTTGCCTACCTGCTTCAGTCAGAAGCCACCAAGCTGGTCACGATCGGCCTCATTGTCGCCTCTTTCTCTGCCTCTGTCTGCAGCTTGCTGGCTATCACTGTTGACCGCTACCTCTCACTGTACTACGCTCTGACGTACCATTCGGAGAGGACGGTCACGTTTACCTATGTCATGCTCGTCATGCTCTGGGGGACCTCCATCTGCCTGGGGCTGCTGCCCGTCATGGGCTGGAACTGCCTCCGAGACGAGTCCACCTGCAGCGTGGTCAGACCGCTCACCAAGAACAACGCGGCCATCCTCTCGGTGTCCTTCCTCTTCATGTTTGCGCTCATGCTTCAGCTCTACATCCAGATCTGTAAGATTGTGATGAGGCACGCCCATCAGATAGCCCTGCAGCACCACTTCCTGGCCACGTCGCACTATGTGACCACCCGGAAAGGGGTCTCCACCCTGGCTATCATCCTGGGGACGTTTGCTGCTTGCTGGATGCCTTTCACCCTCTATTCCTTGATAGCGGATTACACCTACCCCTCCATCTATACCTACGCCACCCTCCTGCCCGCCACCTACAATTCCATCATCAACCCTGTCATATATGCTTTCAGAAACCAAGAGATCCAGAAAGCGCTCTGTCTCATTTGCTGCGGCTGCATCCCGTCCAGTCTCGCCCAGAGAGCGCGCTCGCCCAGTGATGTGTAGCACCCTTGCACCCAGGAGGACTCTGCATTTACCAAGCACTTCCACTGCCTGGCCAAGGTTTGAGATGCTTCCCTTGAATTCCTTGCATTGGATTCCCTCTCAAGCCACAGGAGCACTTAGCATTCGTGAAACAATGACATCGTTCAGATGAGTTAAGTGATTGAAGTGAAAATAATGTTACCAGTGTTTTCACCATTAAAAAAAATTGTTGAGCTCTCCACTCAACATTATTTTGTTTTGCTTGGGGGCAAGGGTTTCCTTTTATACTTTGTTTGGAGGGCTGACTGGGGGTAGGAAAGGAAGGGATATGATACGCCCATGATGTTATTAGAAGTAAATGAGTTTCAGAGTTTTTACCTGGACTTTAAAATAAATTTGAGTGATTGAGGAAAATTGAGAAAGACTTACTTTTTCCAGACTATTTTTTTTTTTTACATGATGGTAGATTTTTTAATGCTGCATGTATGTAACAGAATATGACCCCTTTCAATCCAATACAAATAGTTTACATAATTGTGTTTGGAAGGGACCTGATTTTGCTAACATGAACTCAGTAATGTCACCGACACTGAAACCGTGAACCCATTCTTATCCATTCTTTCTTTCCTTTCGGCAATTACTGTTCACGAGAATTCCTTCGGTATTTCTATAAATGTTGCAACTCCTTCTGCATGGTCGACTGTGTTAGCTAGACCACTTGTTTCAAATGTTGCCATGTCAATCTAGATTCCAACGGGTCATTTTTCAATATAGTTTTCCAATATGTACTTTCTAAAATGAATCCTGAAGTAGGTTTTGATCTTCATATGAAGTAGGATTGATTAGATCCACCATTGTAGTTTCTTAAGCTATTGTCTGATTGTTTTCAGAAAACAAAAGGAAAAAATATTAGCAATTGAGAGTAGATTAAATTTATTTTAATATATTCTGAAAAAAACTAATGTGACATTATCATGAAATGAAAAAAATCACCTTTCCTCTCTCTCTGAGAATATACTAATGGTTATTCTTGATTGAGATAATTAGAATAAATATTATAGGCCAAGTTTTTCTGGTTCATACTGTCTGTGGTGCATAATGCATTTGAAACAGGCAGTCCCCTATTTTAATGATTAGGTTTGTTTGTCAGTGCACAGCGTCCATCTATGACTGTGACATATACCAGCTATATCCTGTAAGGTCATAAACAGAATGACCATTGGCTGTTGATGAAAAGTTAAGTTTGAAATCTTTTAACTCCTTTTCACCAAAAACCAATTTATACACAATAAAAATCACATTGCCTGTTTTCAGAGAACAAGAATGTAGTCAGGAAATTGCAAAGAAGAATTCACTTTAAACACATTGTAAAATCGATGTGTCTCAGGTTTCTTTTCTGTTCATGCAGACAAATGTAGACGCAGGTACCTTCCCTCCATTTGCAATGGATTTATAGTTATGTCTATATAATCAGTGGAAAAAATTCTTGGCAGCACATTAATTGAGCCCATTCAGATGGCAGCAAAAGCAGTATTTCAGGGTCATTGGGGAATCATTTGTAATAAATTAACCTCATCGGTTTGTCCCAGATGTGATGCCCAGGGTGCTCTCAAGACCATTCTGGGAGCCTGCATGCTGATGCCTTCTCTCCAGAGCATCTTCTAATGTAGCACACGTGTGAAAAAATCCTCTACTTGAATCTGTGTCTCCTCCCTGAGGTTACTTATGGAAGCAGGAGAGGGACTGAAATACTTAAGAAGTGGGAAAGAATTTTCAATACATACCACTGTATGATCAATCTAATAAAACTGATGCCTTTAAAACATTTCTTTTGAACATTTGATGGAGTTAGTAGGTTGAACATGATGAGTCTGTTCGTTTTTAATTAATTAAAATTGAATAGCACCACCATAGGAGACTTGACAAAGGTAAGTTGGTTTTGAGAGGGGCTAGGAAATATCCGTAATGAGGTTTTAAAGGAATAAATGATGATTTTATAAAAATAGTGGCTCCATTTGCATATCTCCAATAGTCAGAATTATAAAGAGAATAATATGTACTTGTTGTGACCACATGTGTGCCAGGCCCCATGCTGCGTGTTTTACTATAATCACAAAACTACTACTTTTATAGGTGAGAAAACTAAGACTAAGAGAGGCGAGGATAAAAAATGTGCCCGAGGCCACAAAGCACAAGGATAGAGTCAGAATTTGAAGCCAGCTTTTCCAAAGTCTAAGTCTTGCTCCTTCCCTGTACCTTGCAAGCTTTCATCCCTCAGTGGATACCAGGGCTGAGGAAACTGATTTGTAACACGTTCCTGTCACAGAGTTTTGGCTCTACATTTAAGACATAAAACTTGGCCTGGCGCAGTGGCTCACGCCTGTAATCCCAGCACTTTGGGGGGCCAAGGCAGGTGGATCACCTGAGGTCAGGAGTTCGAAACCAGCCTGACCAATATGGCAAAACCCTGTCTCTACTAAAAATAAAATTTAGCCGGGCGTGGTGGCGGGTGCCTGTAATCCCAGCTACTCAGGAGGCTGAGGCAGGAGAACTGCTTGAAGACAGGAGGCAGAGGTAGCAGTGAACAAAGATCGCACCACTGCACTCCAGCCTGGGTGACAGAGCAAGACTCCATCTCAAAAAAAAAAGGACATAAAATTTCCTGTTTAAAGTTACACTAGTTACGTGGTTGCTTTTGGCCCATGTTTTTAAAACATATAGTTTCAGCTAAGAGATTTTTCAGTTCAACTAACAACATGCCTTTACCGTTTAAATTGTGAAAAATGTTGGATATTTATGTGGTTTTCTACAAGGTTTCTTTTTTCCTGTGGAGCTAATTATTTTTAAATGTGCACACATCTCAATGTACATATGTGTATGTATGTATTTATGCATACGTATACCCAATAATATTAACTTTGCAACAGGACCAAAGACCTCATGGAAAACTGTCTTATTTCCAACAGTCCTGAGGTAGCAGATAATCTTTTACTCCACATAATTAAAATTTCTAGCTACCAAGGAATTGATATTTTTCCAGTAGAAACAGTTATCCTTGTAACTAGGACAGTTCCATTACTTTACCAGAATCCTGAATTAGTCAAAACTAGTCATCGAAGTTATGACTATCTAGGGTTTTGTTTCCTTTTATTCCTTTAACTCTGTATTTCTTTCTATCAGTGAAGTTTGTTTTTAAAGGTACCTGGGGCAGGGAAGCAGGGTGGAGATAGAGCCCCTCCTTGCCTGGAGCCTACAGTAAGGAGCCAGGTTCAGGAGGAGTGGATTCCTTGGTTGACTTGGCCATGCAGAAATAGTCTTAGACTCCCCCAGGATTTAAAATAGGATTGAAACAAGAAGTTTAAAAGAGCAGAGGAGGAATAGAGATACTTAGTGCCAATAAAAATATCATGGAGACTTCTTCGGCTTTTTAAAAAAAATGCTTAATCCATTATTAAAATAATGATTGACTTTATTTTATAGTAATATGTGATAATATGAAGTTAGGATGACTTGCCATTTCAGATTTAAAATACATATTAATTAAGTGACTACTATGTTGTGATTTTGAATAATGTTTAAGTTTCTATATTGATTGTATGCCTGGTATAATAAAGGAAAAGACTGCCTTATTGTCCCCTTTAAAATTTGTCATAATTATTGAATGTTTCGATATATGGTTAGGACTTCTGTTTAGAATTCTAAGAATCACAAACTAATAGGTTTATACATCACGGCTTGAATTCACAGACAAATCTGTCTTCTAAAAAAATTACAGGCCGGGCGCAGTGGCTCATGCCTGTAATCCCAGCATTTTGGGAGGCCGAGGTGGGCAGATCACGAGGTCAGGAGATCAAGACCATCCTGGCTAACATGGTGAAACCCCGTCTCTACTAAAAATACAAAAAATTAGCCGGGTGTGGTGGCGGGGGCCTGTAGTCCCAGCTACTCAGGAGGGTGAGGCAGGAGAATGGCGTGAACCTGGGAGGCGGAGCTTGCAGTGAGCCGAGATTGTGCCACTGCACTCCAGCCTGGGGGACAGAGCAAGACTCCATCTCAAAAAAAAAAAAAAAAAATTACAGAAAAAAATATTGGTAATTTTGGCTAGAGCTCCTCAAACTTTAACTATTTGAAGAGTATACAAATCACCTGAGAATCTTGTTAAAATGCAAATTCTGCTTCAGTCAGTCTGGGGCATGGCTGAATTTCCAACAAGCTCCCGTGATGCTGATGCTGATGGTCTACAGACAACACTGATTCACAATGATACGTGTCACACTTTTAATATAACGTATAAATACATATATATAACATATAAATATAACATATAAAAATATATATCTGAATATGTATAACATGTACCTATAATGCATAAATAATATATATTTGAAGTGTTTATTTTTGTCAGAGGTTAATAACTAGTCTGTATTCAATGGAGATGAACTTTGAACTTTTCCTACAGCTTCTCAGGGTCTAATAAAGACCCATAAATGTATTTTTTCCATGTTAATGAACTAACTTTTTAAAATCCTAATGTTCATTATCTTAATTTAGTTCTTTCAGAAGCTTTATGTAGATGCAATGTGTTTCTCTAGGTGTGTGTATGTATACCTGACAACAAAGGTTTTCACCTCCACCTCAAGGACAGTTTTCTTTAGGACATGAGTGGCTTATGTTTGGGGGCTGCATGTGTCTGCATGTATTTATCTTGAGATGATTGAGATGAAAACCTTTGTTCTCTGAGTTCTAAAATTCAACTGAACTTATTCCAAAGCAACCTTTTCTAGACAGGTACATCAGAGAAATTTAAAAATAGCTCACCTTCATTTGACACTTATCTGTAGCCTTTTATTTTTCAGCATCAAAAATACTATTAATGTTAATAGTTACCCTGGTCACAGGTACTCTGCTACCTTTCTGCCCAAGGAAGTGAGAACATTTTTTAATCCAATGGAAGCATATTAAAGTACATAGTTAAAGTAGATTTTAATATATAACTTATATATGTCCACTGTATAA
Source organism: Homo sapiens (assembly GCF_000001405.40). Lineage (NCBI taxonomy): Eukaryota > Metazoa > Chordata > Mammalia > Primates > Hominidae > Homo > Homo sapiens. The sequence goes on along the minus strand of NC_000013.11, from coordinate 26,753,827 downwards.
GATACTTACAGAAGACATCTAGGAATTTTTTAATCATAAAAAATTCAAATACTAACATCAAGCATAAGTGAACAAATTTCAATTGAAAATAAGTTTAGGACATAAATAAAAACATTTACTAGGGCACAGATTCCCTTGGTAGTTGACTATTTGAACAGACAGTTATCAACAGAATATTTTAAAAGGCAAAAGAGCATCTTATGGAATTCTCTCTATGGCTTGGATTTGCATTTCTCACCAAACAACATATTTTGAATCTACGGGATTCTTATATGGGTTGACGAAAATACAAACCTTCCACATATGGAGAAATGAAGGCCTGTCTTTTACAGATATATGTGGTTACTGGGATAAAACCTAAGGGAAAATGTGTTCTGATCCAACTATATCCTTACTCCTTCCTAGATCCTTTTGAAGCATGAACAAATTTACTCTGGGATTCTATAGAGTCTAATAATTGGAAGAAAACATATGAAGTAGAATTTTCTATATCAAATCTAAATCACCTAAGTCAAGATCTCTTTGGAAACTGAAGTTGTACACTTTTTTCTCAGTGCCTTGCAGTGTTTTGATATTCCAAATCTTGATCTTTCTTATTATATTGTAATTCTATTTTTGTCTTGGCCAAGCCCCTGGAGGTACAGAGAACCCCTTAATCCCAGCTCAACATTGATATATTGAAAATATTCATTAAACAATATTGTTCTCTTCTTCTTCAAATAAAACTCTAAATTATTTATGTCATATGTTTCTGATTTTATTTTATATCCTTTTGATCATTTTCCTGATCCCTTTTTCCATATCATTTACCATTTCTCTGCATACCTTTTCATATCTAGTGATCAGAATGAGGATACAATAATCTACTAAATGGAGCAGAATGATGGACTATTCTCTGCTTCTGGTTACTGGATGGCAGTGGTTCTTTAAGTATGAGCCCTCACCAGCAGCACCAGCATCTCTTGGGAACATGTTAAAAATGCAGTCACCCAAGATTTACTGCTGAAAACTCAGGGTATGAGGCCCAGCAATATGAGTTTTAATAAGTCCTCCAAGTTGATTCTGATGCACGCTAGAGTTTGAGAACCATGCCATATAGCTTTGACTGAATCCTAAAGTCTTCCTGACATTACTAATAACGTTAATATCTCAGCAGTACTAGGACCTCTCAGCATTTTTTGCTATGTCTATGCAAGGCAGTCTTCACATTGTACTGTAGCAAATTATAGATGATTTTTGTTTGTAGATGTGCTGCCTTGCACTGATTTCACTGGAATTTGTTGCTCTTTTCAAGGTTATTTTCTAATTCATCAAGTTCAATTAAACTTCTGCCCCTTCCGTTAAAGCCATATCACTGTCATGTGCCTCAGACAGAAAGACAATTCAGTGAGAAGAAAAAAACCCAATCAGACCTCTTTTTTGGCATTATGGAGATAAGTCTTCCTGTTCGTATTTGTTACTATCTGTAAATTGCCCCGAATATTCCACAGTTGCAGCCTCAACCGTCCATCAGTGCATCAACTGTCCATCCATTCCCCCATCTGTGGTCTGTGGTTATGCATAGACACACACACACATATGCATGCGTACAATCACACCCTTTACCTTCCTCTCTCATACTTCCACACCCTTCCACTGTCCTTCTACAATCCCAGACCAGAAATCTTCAGTGAGGAAGTCCAGAGAACTAAGGCAGTTGATTGAGGGTCTCATTTTAGGCTAGTTTTGTGGTGTTGATAGGCATGGTTTTGGCAAGCATAGGTCAGGATAAAAACACTTCCGTGATTCCAGACCGAGGACAGTTTCTACGATACAGGTTGGTTTACATCTCACCCCACTTCACACTAACCTCAAGATGCTGTGATTCATAGTCCAGAAAGTTCAATAAATAAGAGCAATAAACACATTTTACATAAGAGTTTTCTTAATTCTAGGGATTGACTTGAGGCTAGAACTATGAAATAGTTGCATCTACTGACAGCACAGAGGGATGTCATTTTTTCTCTTTTTTCTTTTTATTTTTTTAGACAAAGTCTTGCTCTGTTGCCCAGGCTGGAGTGCAGTGGCACAATCTTGGCTCACTGCAACCTCCACCTACCAGGTTCAAATGATTCTCCTGTCTCAGCTTCCTGAGTAGCTGGGACTACAGGCGTGTGCCACCACATCCAGCTAATTTTTTTTTTTTCTGTATTTTTAGTAGAAACGAGGTTTCACCTTGTTGGCCAGGCTGGTCTCAAACTCCTGACCTCAAATGATCCATCCGCCTCGGCCTCCCAAAGTGCTGGGATTACAGGCATGAGCCACCACGCCCGGCCTAGGATGTCATTTTCATGAGTGCTCTTTAACCTTTCAAATTACTAAATCAATTCTGTCAGTTTTCTTTAGGAATATTTGAAGCTAAGAAAACATAGTTTAAGTGCCCAAAAATGTTTCTTACTAAACACACTCTCTTTTTTAAGTTCAAGATCCAGTTTAAGAAGCAGCAAATCCCACAATACAGGCTACAGAGAGGTTTTTCACCTATTAATGAAGACTATAAATCAGATATGGTGGCTCGTGCCTCTAATTCCAGCTTTTTGGGAGGCCAAGATGGGAGGATAGCCTGAGGTCAGGAGTTCAAGAACAGACTGGGCAATAAAGCAAGACCCCATCTCTACAAAAAATAAAAAAATTAGCCAGGCATGGTGGTGTGTGCCTGTAGTCTTAGCTACTTGGGACTTAGGTGAAAGCTCTGAATGGGCTTTGGGACAGAGGTGGCTACTCTCCCAGCCCAATTACCCAATATTTTTCAGATGTAGACGCATTTTCCCTTGAGACTTTCGAGATGTCTCAAGTGAGGATCTAGCTATTTCTGAAACACCTCAATCCAGAGGTGATGATAACTAAAGTAACTAAAAGGACTGAGGTTTTGCTCTCCTAAGCCCTAATCCAGGAGATAACAGCCATGAGACGTGCCCAATGGGCCTTGTGTCCCCTCCTGTTTGCATTCCTCTTGAAGTTTGTCACAGGGATGAAGGTTTCCTCCCCACCCTCGCACTCCAGAGAACGGAACACAAACAAACCGTGCCCAGATGGTGAAAAAGCAAAGCTGCCCAGGGCTGTGGGCAGCCTATTTCAAGCTGTTCTTATGAAAAAGTCTTCACTCTGCATAAGGTAATTGTTTCAGTCCATGAACACTTGACAAACCCTGACAGTACTTCCCAGATAATATGCTTTGAAGCTTATCCACTCTAACCAGCTTACTGTTCATATGAAGACAGTTTCTTCCACTTTTAGACATTTTCCCCCCTCTAGTTACTAGCTGGCTCTCAGGGACTCATTCCAGGATGTCTGGAGAGGTTGAAGAGGTTTGGAAAAGAAAACCTGATGGCTACAGGGTGCCTCCCTCGACCTGCAGACCTTGATGGAGTGACATGGCTTGAACAAGCAATGTTGATGACAGATGCCATTGTGATGTAAACTGACAGTTCCATAGTCTTTTAATTTATTTACTTATTTAATATTTTTAGAGATGGGGTCTTGCTCTGACACCCAGGCTGGAGCGGAGTAATGTGATCATAGCTTACTGCAGCCTCATGCTCCCAGGCTCAAGCAATTCTCCTCCCAAGTAGCTAAGACTACAGGCACACACCACCATGCCTGGCTAATTTTTTTATTTTTTGTAGAGATGGGGTCTTGCTATGTTGCCCAGTCTGTTCTTGAACTCCTGGCCTCAAGCTATCCTCCCATCTTGGCCTCCCAAAATGCTTGAATTAGAGGCATGAGCCACCATATCCGATTTATAGTCTTCATTAGTAAAAAGATTAAGAACTCTTGCTCTAGACTTAGGCTGCCTGGGTTCATTTCCCATCTCTGTCACTTTCTACTTGACTAGCCTTGGGCAAGTTACTTAACTTCTCTGAGGCTCCATGTGTTGGTTCGCCAAAATGAGCATGCTGCAAGAACCTTCCTCATGGTATTGGCTGAGATAAGACATACGGACAGTTTAATATAGTATTTGGCACATATCTACTTGGATGCTACTTTCCAGTAGTATTATTATCACTACTGTTGCTGCATTGGTATTATTATTACTGTTACTTACCCAAAACCTGTCAATTACTAATATTGCTTCCACTAGTTAGTGAAGTAGAAACCCAGATAAAAGCTTTACATACATAATCTCATGTAATCTTTTCAGCCGTGCTATGAGGTCTGCATTGATATTCTCCATTACAAATAAGGAAACTGATACACAGAGAGGTTGATTGGCTGCCTAAAACCACACAGCCTTTATGTAGCTCACCGTGAACTCTTAGAAACAAGCAATGCCTGCTAAGAAATCCCCAGTCAAACCAGCCTTTGCATAAAAAGGTAAGAGGAGTCTTCAAAGGCAGCCCAAGCTCAACTCGAGAGGCGTGGCCAGACACACCCAGGCACTCGGCGGGGGGGGGGAGGGGGGAGGGGCGGGGCCCGCCTTGTGGGCTCTGGAAGGCAGACTCCCTGGAGACAAATGGGATGCTGATGGATCTCAAAGGGCAGACTGGACCTAGGTAAGTGTAAAGAAGACCGAAGAGTTTTCTGGGAGAAGTAACTGTGATGGGATTCAAAGGAGTGAAGAGGAAGTGACTTTAGCTTATTTGAAATGGGGCAAAATTGACATTTTTTTAAATGACATTTTAATTTGAACCAAGTCTCAAAAAAAAATCCTGCAAACTATATTTATATGAATTTCAGTTTAATCACTAAAAGCTCACATTTAGGTGCTTTGTAAACTTTATAAATGTAAGATTTTAAAAAATGTATTCATGTTTATTGAAATCCATCAAAGCGTGTGTTCCAAAAAAGAACTTAGAGATCAAAAGTTTGCAGTTGTATAGACATGGATTTACATAAATAAAAAATATTTATTTTTAAAAGTCAGCTATTTTATGTGTACTTTTCAACATAAAACATAACATGCTCAGAATTTTTCATTTTAAATAAACCTGTTAGATGTACTGGTAGCGTCCAGATTCTTAAGCTGGAAAGGACTTTGCAAGCATTCACTTCACTGACCAGGAAGCCCAGGCCCCGGACAAGCTCTGACCGGGCAAAGTCATTAGCCAGGGAGCGGCAGACCCAGAACATGAACTTGGAGTCGTGATTCCTTGTCCAGAACTTTGTTCTTGGGCAGATTTTCACTGACAAGGAAAAGCTTGAAATGTGAAAGGCTTTGTCTAGTATTTGCTTTCTAGGTTCGAATAATTTTTTTCTTTTCTTTTTTTTTTCCTTCTTCAGATGGAGTCTCGCTGTCACCCAGAGTCGAGTGCAGTGGCACAATCTTGGCTTACTACAACCTCCGCCTCCCGGGTTCAAGCGATTTTCCTGCCTCAGCTTCCCGAGTAGCTGGGACTACAGGTGCGCACCACCACACCCAGCCTTAAGTTTGAATAATTTGTAATTACTACTGGCTATAAGAAATCCTTGTTATAGTTGAATAATAATTATCACTATAAGGGCTAACACTCTGCACTCAATTTGTTTCAGGGGCCATGCTAACGACTTTATGTGTATTGACTTATTTATTCTTCACATCCACAAAGATGATATTTGGTAGTATTAATTCTACTATTTAAAAGGAGAGTGTTCACACATGCAAATTGAGAGTGATTCTTATAACCCTTCTTTTGTGTCTCCTAATCCTGTGTTGTACACATCCCTGGAGCTTAACACACTTTCACTATGTCTGGGCCAAAACTCTTCAACAATTTATTGGCTTAATAATCAAGGTTGCATTTCAGAAGCCATTGCATTTAAATACAGATTGTATTATGTTTTTGTGCCTAACATATCAGTACAAAATTTGACAGACACAGTAGTCATTGTGATTCTTTGTCATATCTGGCAAGCTATGAAGAGGGGTAGGCAAAAGTCCAGAACCCGTCTCTATCCTGCCAAAGTGTGTGGCCCTTGCCAGACCTCACCAGTGTGTCTTTCTCGCATTTTTGAGAAGGGGCAGGGAAACTCCACACATGGCAGAGTGATGAGCTTGTGGAAATAATAATGACACAACTAGATTAATGTGTGCAAATATACAGTGAGATGGAAGAAATGAGACCTGGTGTTCAGATGAGTAGGATGCCACAGTTAACATTAACCAGTTGTACATTTCAAAATAACTAGAAGAGAATACTTGAAGTGTTCCTAGCATAAAGAAAAGATAAATGTTTAGGTGATGGATATGCCAGTTACCATGATTTGATTTTATGAATGTATGAAATTATCACATGCATCCCTAAAATATGTACATGTATTTTTATCAATAAAGAATTAAAAAATAAAATGAATGACAAAAAGTAATGACACTATATTTAAAAGTCACAGCAAACAGCACAATGTATTGAGTATTTGCTGTTCCAGGCACTGTCATAGGCGTTTTACATAAGTGAATTCTTTTCATCTTTACAATGACACAGTGACATTTAGGTACTTTTATTATCTCCCTCTCACAGATGAGGAAATTAGGGATTGAAAGATGAAGTAACATGCCACGATATCCCACCTGTTAAGTGGCTGGTCCATCCAAGCCTAGAACCTCCCTCTTTACTACTAGACACACTTGCTTCCTGTCTGTCCTTGAGGATTAACCTGGTGTTTGTCTCTGAGGCCCAACTACATGATATTCACACCAACTGCAATTCCTGGAAGACATAGATGCTCAGAATTTCTTTGTTGTATTGCCTCTAAATAGAAGGCTATTTTCCACCAATGTTGGAGCCAGATTCCTTGCTTCTGCTTAAACACCTGAACACAACTTAAGTCAACTGCATTAAAGGTGTGGACAGGCCGGGCACGGTGGCTCACGCCTATAATCCCAGCACGTTGGGAGGCTGAGGCGGGCGGATCACGACATCAGGAGATAGAGACCATCCTGGCTAACATGGTGAAACCCCGTCTCTACTAAAAATACAAAAAATTAGCCGGGTGTGGTGGCGGGCGCCTGTAGTCCCAGCTACTCGGGAGGCTGAGGCAGGAGAATGGCGTGAACCCAGGAGGCAGAGCTTGCAGTGAGCCGAGATCGCATCACTGCACTCCAGCCTGGGCGACAGACCCAGACTCCGTCTCAAAAAAAAAAAAAAGGTGTGGACAGAGGATGGCTCCACCTCCACTTCCATCTCACTCCCCCTCCACTGGGCCAGTGGGGCACTGGTCCTCTTGATACGAGATTATTTCATGAGTCTCAAACAATATTTTTTTCAAAGAAAGCATAGAAGACATCTGAAATTATACATAATCTGAAGAAATTCTTAAAGTGAGCTAATCAGTAAAAATAGGATTTTTTTTTTTTAATGGAAGGCAGTTGCTTTCTTAGTTTCACTGAGTGAGAAAAGACATAGACTGGCTATTTTCCAGTCTGCCAAGTTTGCAAGATTTTTAAAGAAGATGACCTACACTTTATATTTGATGACAGATATCACTGAAAGTGATGGATTTGGAAAGTCCATTTCAATAAAGCAATCAGCTGACTCATTGACCTTGAAGTCCAAGAATAATAATCCTTACAGCAAGTGACATCTAATACAAGTGTACTTCAGTAATGTGTGTGTGGTTGTGTGTGTGTGTACACACATTAGTGCAGACATCTAATCTATGCGTTCACATTTAGATTTTGGCAATGAGAAACTACTGAAGATATGGAAAATCAAGCTTGCTTTTTTCTGTAAGAGATATGAAACAAAATAATGAGAATCACGCCAAACAAACACCTACTGAATCATTCCAAACTTGTGTTTTTATATAGTTTTAAAAGTACACAATTCACTAAGTAGGGAGGTTTTAAAATTTCAATGTTACTGTACATATTTTGGAATATATAATGTTAGTTGGCAAATATTTAGTATAGAACTGCCCAATTTAGATGGTAACTTATTTAAAAAGCTCTACCAACTGTATTATTATTTATTATTATTTGATCACTGTGGCAATTGAGCATTTGAACTGTGACTAGTGCAACTGAGGGACTGAATTCTGAATATTATTTAGTTTTAAGTGACTTTAATTTAAGAAGGCACACATGGCTGGTAGACACTGCAGTAGGCAGTAAAGATCTAGATGTAAACTAATTTTCTTATGAAGACTACTATAACTACAGGTCCTATTTTCAGAGCTCAGGTCCCCGCCTCATGGTCCTCCTTGCTGGTCTACCAGCTTGAAATTATTCACCACAACACGATTTAAGAAAATCTAATGTTAGAGATTTCAAACCGATAAAACTAAAAAAATCAGGAGTGATTATCACTTTGGGCAAGAATTATTACTTCAGAAGATTCACCACTATCCTTTTAAAATAATATGCTTTTTTTCCTTCCGCCTTTAAAATAAAAATCATTTTCAGAAAGTGAGGCAAAATGTAACAACTCACAGAACCCCATGGAGCATTCCAGTGACAAAAACCAGGCTGTGTGGAGCTCCAGGCCGGCGTGTGCCTATTTTCGCCTGGGTCACGGGTCTAGGCTGGGATTCCGCGTCTGTGCACTGCTTGTCACGGTAGTGTGAGCCGAGGAGACGCTCATCAAGGTATGTAGGGTGGGGACCAGGACAGGGCACGCCCTGTCTCTCCAGACACACACTGAAGGGACTTCCTTCCCATATCAGTCTCTCTACAGAAGACAGTTTTAGTTTGAGCTTTTGATTTTCATTACTCCTTTTCGAAAATTTGAAAGGTCCTGTCAATGTTTGCCACAAAAAGACTTCATCATCGGCTTGTCCGCATTCTTGTGATTAAGCCTCTGTCACCTGGACCCAGTGTGCTAGGCAGACTTGCTTCTCATCCACCAAGCGAGTTCCTGGAGATAGCAGTGGTCTCAGGTTCAGATCAAGTGGTGGGTGACAGCTCGTGGGGCAGGGCAGTGGGGAGCTGAGGGAGGTTAGAATTAGAAACAGTGCCATCGGTCACAAAACATCAGTGTCCAGGACTGGTGGGTGAGCTGGCACCAGAGAAGGAGGAATGCAATAAAAGTGGGAATAGTCAGGTTTCTGCCTCCAGGAGCAGTGGACACGGAAGCAGATGAAAGGGTGACGGTCACCACAAACACAGCTGCCTTCAGGCTTACTTGCCAGATCATCTGCAATGAGGACATTTTCTTGATTCTAATAAAGCACTTTTATCTTTGAAATTGTGCATGTTCTACATTTCCCTCCCTCACCCCCATGGACTTAAAAAAAAAAACAGGTTGTTTTGTTTTGTTTTGTTTTGTTTTGTTTTTGAGACGGAATAGGGCTCTACTGCCCAGGCTGGAGTGCATTAGTGCAATCTCGGCTCACTGAAACCTCCATCTCCCAGGTTTAAGTAATTCTCCTGCCTCAGCTTCCCAAGTAGCTGGGATTATAGATGTGCACCACCACGGCTGGCTAATTTTTGCATTTTTAGTAGAGATGAGGTTTCACCATGTTGGCCGGGCTGGTCTCAAACTCCTGACCACCTCAGCCTCCCAAAGTGCTGGGATCGCAGGCATGAGCCACCTCACCCGGCCCCCCATGGACTTTTGAGTGAGAGAAGGAGGAAAATGTACACCAGTTTACAGTAGTCTTCCTTCTATATAATTTTTCAAAAATCGCTTTTCCCAGGGAATTTAATTTGCTTTAATCTCAGCAGGTGATCTCAGCACGAGATGCTCACAATGCGAGCCCCAGTGCCTCTAACAAAGGCAGACCGCATTAACTCCCCGGTGTGGCTGTGTGTGAGCCCTGAGATGCTGCTGCTCACAGTAATGTTAACAACTGAATGATTATGTGAAGATTCTGTAATTTTCATATGGCCTCTTAAAAAACTATTGTGACACTTAGAAATCTGATCTTTAAACAGTTGAAGACTGAAAATATATTAAATTCTGTCCTCAATGTCAAGATTTCAATTGTGGATTAAAATCAGATTCATGTGATTTGCGTGATAGGTAATGCACTTTAATATTTAAAACAGAGTGAGTAATTATTTGTCAGATATCACAATTGCACTGTGTTGTAACTCTTGCTGAATTGAAGATATATAGCTTTGTAGCTCACGCTGTAATAACAGCTTAGTTAAAAGCAAAACAGTTGTCTGAGTTTCGTGACATTTCATATGTGGTATATATGACAAATTTTGCTTTGTAAAAAGATTGTGCATTTCTTAATGTTGAATAGATGCATTGTCGTTATTTTCAATTTACCTAAATATGCCATTTAGAAACAGGGGATTCTGAGTCTCAAATGCAGAGTGTGACTCAGGAAGTTTAGATCTGAGAAAAACAAAACCTTGTAAACTTAACAAAATTTAATTACATTTCTACAGGATCCTGATTACACTGATTTTTGCATAAACTAAAAAATTTTAGAATGTATAAAAGTGCAAAGGTTGAACCACAGGTTAAGCAGCAAATACATATTTACATGTACCCAAAATAATGAATTCTGAATTTGCTTTGAGGACTTAACTTTAAGAATATTTCTACGGCAGATTTGCTTTGCACTCCTTTCTTCTGGGCTGGAGAGAGCCCGTGAAGTCTGACTCCGGCAGGTGAACCTGTGGCCTGCCCATGGGCTCTGGGAGGGAGGTCACCAGCCCCCTTCTCCATCTCTCTGCCGGGCCACCACAGCCTGTGCTTTTACATGTGGTTTTAACTGGAGCATGGCCCAGAAAGGGTGGGTGTGGAGAAGGACCAAACCCGGAGAGCGCACCTCTCCTGTAGGTGGGAATTTGCCGCCCCTCCCCTCCCCGAGTGTCTATGCTTTATAGAGCAGTCTGTACCAGGAGCTCCCTTGTGGCCCCGCCGGCTCTTCTGCGTGAGACAGGTGTCAAATGAAGAAGGCCAGCTCTGGGTTCTAAACAGGCCCGAGGCGAGGATGCCGCCGGCTGCCGGCAAATCGCCCCACCGCACATCACAGAGTTTTTCCTTGACCTGTGAGTTTTAGAGTCAGATGTAAAGCCGTCAGGCCACACCTCCTTACAGACAAGGAGAGACTGCGAAGGACTGGGGGAGGAGCAGGGCTAGGATTCCCTCTCCTGTGTCTGGGCTTAGTAATCGCTAAGCGACTGCGCGTCCTTTTCTTTCTGTGAATTTGGGGGAGACACACAGGCGTGGTCTGGGCAAAGGCTCTCTCTCCTGTTGGTCAGGGCCTACTCGCAAGTGGTGCCCCCTTCTGAGCAGGGCTCAGGGTGTCATCTCCCTAGCACGTCTAGGGTGGTCGCTGGAGCTGCTGAGGAGCAGGGAGGGCCCACTCAGCCCCACCTCAAAAAGACATCAACTGTCTCCCACCGAAGGGGTGCCGGAGGGGAAAAGAAACAGCGCAGAGACCTATTTCTCTCTGTTTTGAAAACTTTCGCACCAAGCATAGGGTGGAAGCATTGCGGTTGTCCTAAGCTTGTAATCCAAAGGAAGGCTGCCAGAACTGATAGCTAGATGGGGCTCCCGTGCTACTGTCCAGCTGGGACATAGGAGTGAGGCCTTTCCCCAAAACGGACCTTGTTCGTGAGCGCAAGCTCCCCGCAGCAGGGGCATCGGCTCACTTTTTGTATTATGGTCTAGAATTAAGCGAGGTGAGGTGATATCGGTTGGATTTAGAGAATCCTGACCCAGACAATTTTCTGGGACGAGGATTTCGGGGGCATGGTTCAGCTTTACCTAGAACACATCTGCATAAGCCTGTCCCCTGGGCTTGGCAGCAACTCACAGAGCCCATGGAAAGAGCCCAGGTGTACTCCACACCCTCCCCAGACACCGACTCAGTGCCCTCAGCTTCCCAGCCCTCAGGGTCAAGTGGCTTTCATGAGAATGCTTCCTCACCAAAGGCCAGCAATGAGGACCTCTCCCTCTGAGGCAGAAATCTCACCCAGGACCAGCCCTGGGCTGCTCCTCTATCCCACGTGTGGATGCTGAGGTCTGGGGTTGATTGGGGACACTAGATCCACTTGTGCCTCACTCTCTCAGGCTCCGGAAAGCCATAACCCCAAACTCCCACCCTACCCCATCGCACACTTTTCTTTTTAGCCCATCCTGGATAGAAGTCACATGCTTCAGCTGGATTACAAGAAAAATCCCCTGGGGCCAGTTTCCTCTGTTAAGGCAGTTGACTGGTCCTGGGGTTGGATAGACCTGTCCAAGTCCTGGGGTGGTCACTTTCTGTCTGTGTCACCTTGGGTAAGTCGTTTCATGTCTCCAAACCTAAGTCTCCTCACCCATCAGATACTGCTGAGGATATCATGGATATACGGCGGCATCTACTAGGGGCTCATGATGTGGAACTATCTTTATTATTATGAATGAAAATTCTCCCAAATGTCAGCATAAGCAAGTATCCCCTAACCTTAAAAAGTCAGCTATTATCCCCAAAAGGGTAAACAAAGCCTAGAGAGCTGAAGGGAAATACCTAAACTCATAGCTCAGAGGTACAGGGAAGGGTTGGTCCATCTCCTGCTTCCCAGCACAGGGCTTTGTCTAAGACCCTGATGGTGGTAGGACAAGTTAGCAGCTTTCAGTAAGATTCTTTTGTTACTCTAGAGTAAAAGTACTAGTTCATGACCGACAATTCACAAAATTCAAAATCACAAAGAAAGACACACAAATCCATGATCCTTCTACTCATTGATAACCACTTGAAATTGTAATATATTCTTTTCTTTCATTAATTATAACTGCTTCTCTCAAATCTGAGATTATGCTTTTAAAGATGATGATAGCTAACACTTCCAGAGCCAGGCAAAGTGCTAAGTGCTTTACTAGCATTCTGTTGTATAACATAATTTTTTAAACATGCTGTGTTTTCACTTAATGTACAGTGAACGCATTTCTATTAGCATGACACAGTTTTCTACCAAGTAATTTGAATGTTTCCATAGAATGATATAAAATGAAAATACCATTGCTTATTTAACCAATTCTCTTTTTGTCGACATTCCAGACCATTTCCAGTTTTACTCCTGGAAACATGCTTCGAGGGATAGCCCCATGTATGTTTGCCCATGCCTATGATTTTGCTCTAAAAAATCCCAGAAGACGAATAATTTAATCAGAATTTCAAATTGCCCTCCACTCACTCTTCACAACCACACCAGCCAAACATGTAAATGTCCTCAGTAGACTTGATTCCATTCTGGTGTCCATTGCACAGATAAGGGAAAAGGCAGAATGATGTTGATGACTGTGTTGGGTGAGAAGTTTTGCTTGCAGGTCATACTCCAGTGGTGGCTTTTTGGGGGCTCAGTCTGACCCTAGAGGGAGAAGAGAGACTGGTGAGGTAGAAAGGCTCCAAGCAGAATTGGAAGGAAGGCTGAGAACTACCTTCCCTCTCACTTCCATGCCCATGAGATTTCTCCTAGTCCATGTGGGAGCACTGTATTGGAAAATGGTTACAGACAAACTTGAATGACTTCAGCTTAAAAAGTGATTAAAGTTGGCTGGGTGCAGTGGCTCATGCCTGTAATCCCAGCACTTTGGGAGGCCAAGACAGGTGGATCACCTGAGGCTAGGAGTTCAAGACCAGTCTGGCCAAGATGGTGAAACCCTGTCTGCACTAAAAATAGAAAAAAAAAAATTAGCCAGATGTGGTGGTGGGTGCCTGTAATCTCAGCTACTTGGGAGGCTGAGGCAGGAGAATTGCTTGAATCCAGGAGATGGAGATTGCAGTGAGCCGAGAGCATGCCATTGCATTCCAGCCTGGGCAACAAGAGCAAAACTCCATCTCAAAAAAAAAAGTGATTAAAGTTATAGGAAATATAATCAATGAAGAAAGATGAAAAAATTGAGGATTATTTTTCCTGAAGAAATGGAAGCCAGTTACTGATCTAATAACTATCTTAAAGTTACAGAGAACTTTAAAGAGAGTATTTTTTCTCAATATTAATCAAGTAATTGAATAAGAAGGATAGGTCATATTAAAACAGGACTTTTCTAGCTGGATACAATGAAAATGCTTTAAATGTATTATCTCATTTAATACTGATGACAACATTTTGATGCAGGGATCATCTGCAATTTATAGGCAGGACACTTAAAGAGATTATTTAACTTGCTAAAGTGCCTATTCTAATCATCATTGTATACCTGAGTACCTATCACTATGCCTAACAAATAGTTTGTGTTAAGTAAATACTTATTTATTGAATGTGGACTGTATTAGTCTGTTTTCATGCTGCTGATAAAGACATATCTGAGACTGGGCAATTTTAAAAAGAAAGAGGCTTATTGGACTCACAGTTCCACATGGCCTGGAGGCCTCACAGTCATAGGGGAAGGTGAAAAGCACATCTCAGATGGAGGCAGACAAGAGAGGAGAGCTTGTGCAGGGAAACTCCCCTTTATAAAACCATCAGCTCTCATGAGACTTATTCACTATTATGAGAACAGCACAAGAAAGACCTGCCCCCATGATTCAATTACCTCCCACCGAGTCCCTCTCACAACATGGGGGAATTCACGATATCAGTGGGGACACAGAGCCAAACCATATCATTCTGCCCCTGGCCCCTCCCAACCTCATGTCCTCCCATTTCAAAACCAATAATGCCTTCCCAACAGTTGCCCAAAGTCTTAATTCATTTCAGCATTAACTCAAAAATTCACAGTCCAAGGTCTCATCCAAAACAAGGCAAGTCCCTTCCATCTATGAACTTGTAAAATCAAAAACAAGTTAGTTACTTCCTAGATACAATGGGGATACAGGCATTGGGTAAATACAGCCATTCCAAATGGGAGAAATTGGCCAAAACAAAGGGGCTACAGTCCCCATGCAAGTCCAAAATCCAGCAGGGTAGTCAAATCTTAAAGCTCTAAAATGATCTCCTTTGACTCCAGGTCTCACATCTAGGTCATGCTGATGCAAGAGGTGGGTCCCCATGGTATTGGGCAGCTCAGCCCCTGTGGCTTTGCAGGGTATATCCTCCCTCCCAGCTGCTTTCATGGGCTGGCATTGAGTGTCTATGGCTTTTCCAGGTGCACAATGTAAGCTTTCAATGGATCTACCACTCTGGGGTCTGGAGGACTCTGGCCCTCTTCTCATAGCTCCACTAGGCAGTGCCCCAGTAGGGACTCTGTGTGGGGGCTCTGATTCCACATTTTCCTTCTGCACTGCCCTAGCAGAGGTTCTCCATGAGGGCCCCATCCCTGCAGCAAACTTCTGCCTGGGCATCCAGACATTTCCATACATCTTCTGAAATATAGACGGAGGTTCCCAAATCCCAATTCTTGACTTCAGTGCACTCACAGGCTCAACACCATGTGGAAGCTGCCAAGGCTTGGGGCTTGCACCTTCTGAAGCCTGAGCTCTGCATTGGCCCCTTTAAGCCATACGTGGAGAGGCCGGGATGCAGGGCACCAAGCCCCTAGGCTGCACACAGCACAGGGACCCTGGGTCCAGCCCATGAAACCATTTTTTTCCTTCTAGGCCTCCAAGCCTGTGATGGGAGGGGCTGCCTCAAAGTTCTCTAACATGCCCTGGAAACATTTTCCCCATTGTCTTGGCAATTAACATTTGGCTCCTCGTTACTTATGCAAATTTATGCAGCTGGATTGAATTTCTCCTTAGAAAATAGGTTTTTCTTTTTCTATGGCATCCTCAGGCTGCATATTTTCTGAACTTTTATGTTCTGTTTCCTTTTAAAACTGAATGCCTTTAACAGCACCCAAGTCACCTCTTGAATGCTTTGCTGCTTAGCAATTTCTTCCCCCAGACACTTTAAATAATCTCCCTCAAATTCAAAGTTCCACAAATCTCCAGGGCAGGGTCAAAATGCCACCAGTCTCTTTGCTAAAACATAGCATGAATCACCTTTACTCCAGTTCCCAACAAGTTCCTCAACTCCATCTGTGTCCACCTCAGCCTAGATTTCATTGTCCATATCATTTTTAGCATTTTGGCCAAAGCCATTCAACAAGTCTCTAGGGAGATCCAAATTGTCCCACATTTTCCTGACTTCTTCTGAGCCCTTCAAACTCTTCCAGCCTCTACCTGTTACCCAGTCCGAAAGTCGCTTCCACATTTTCTGGTATCTTTTCAGCAGTGTCCCACCCTGTTGGTACCAATTTACTATATTAGTTCATTTTCACACTGCTGATAAAGACATACCCAAGACTGGGTAACTTATACAGGAAAAGGTTTAATGGACTCACAGTTCCACATGGCTAGGGGAGGCCTCACAATCATGGTGGAAGGCAAGAAGGAGCAAGTCACATCTTAAATGGATGGCAGCAGGCAAAGAGAGAGTTTGTGAAAGGAAACTCCCCCTTATAGAACCAAGAGATCTCATGAGACTTATTCACTATCATAAGCGCTGCACAGGAGAGACCTGCCCCCATGATTCAATTACCTCCCACCAGGCCCCTCCCACAACACATGGGAATTCGAGATGAGATTTGGGTGGGGACACAGCCATACCACATCATGGACTAAAGACAGTAGAACTAGAGCTTGAGCCCAGATATGCTAGCCTCCTAAGCTTATGTGGCAACCAGGGAGATACATAGTCCCCAAGGTACTCTAACCTTAACCTAAGGTACAATCTGTACTTGAAGCACTTTAAAGCATCAATGCAACCCAGATTATCAGCTGTTCTCTTGCAAGCCTGACAGAAATCTTAGTCCTGTTGTCAGCTGTCACTCCGATCATATTGTGGCACACTTTGGCTTACACAACATTTGTGAGGTCAAGGGAAGAGTTCAGGGTTCAATGAGTCACCTCACTCCCAAATCCTCCTTGGGCAGCTGCTCCTCTAAACCTCATCTCTGCCCACCCCTGTGCCCTTCTCTCCAGGTGATTCAATCAACTGTCACACCTCTTTCTGAAATAAACTCTTTTCTTTGCTCATCTCAGCACCACCAGCTTTCTCTGGCAGGCAGCAGCTGACCCAAAGCCCCTGGACTCAGCCTCTGTTCCTAATCTTAAGGAGTTTATGGAAACATTCACCTTCCAAAACATCTCATCAGGGAACAGTTTCATAGCAGCTGGTGAGAAAATGACTTTGAGTCCCAATCATCTGGTTTAATAAAATGTATCACCTGCTATGAAGACACAAAAGAATTTCCCTCAGCTTAAGCCCACACAAGCCCCCTGACTATACTTCTGTTACATCCCATGGCTGTCCTGGCCCCTGCACTTCCCACCCATGTCCCCTCTAACCACCAGCATGGCATGGACCAAGCAGGTCTGATGGCCACTGGGTGGGTTTCCTGGGTCTCCAGCCTCTGAGACATTAAAGGCCTGTGGGTTCTTTTAGGAAGAATAGGAAGCCGCTTGCCTGGAGCTTGGAGAGCCACCAAAGTCCAGCTCAGGAACCTCTCTCCTGGGTTGGAAATGGCCAGCGAGGAACAAACAGTGTCAGGAGGAAATAGAGTTGGTGGATGCAGGGAAGAGCATATTATTATAAAACTAGTCTCTTCATCAGAGAGGATAAGCAGTTTTATTTTCCAAAGCATCTTCTTTGGCTGAAATTCAGTTGTTAATGTGGATTTTGAATTTTTGTTGGCCAAAGTGTACATGTGTAATTTTGCACACAGTGTGGCCCTCATAAAATTTCAAAGCTGAACTTCACTGACAGTCTACTAATGACACTCGTTGAGGTTCCACTTGTGACAGCATGCCTGCGAGATAGCTTCTCTGCCACCACATCACATAGGACACGGAGTGTGCAGGGTCTTAGATTGGTCTAAGCCCATATTTGCCATTAAAAGTTTTTTTTTTCTGACAAAGCCAAGGTTTCATTGTGGTGGTCAGTTGAAAGGCAGTGTTTTCGATGTAGAGAGTACCACATGAGACCGTCTTGAGGTCAAAGAGAATTCGAACCCCAGCTCACACCCGCAGTGAGTGGTATTCCCAGGTGAAACACAGTCCTGAGCCATTACAGAAACGGAGGATGTAACTCCTCCCATTTCAATGTCACTCAAGAAAGCAAGTGAGAATGACAGTCACTCTGGAGATAACCTTGAATCTGTTTTACACGGGTTTAAATAATTCAAGCGTTAGCATGTATTGTCGGTAACAGCTTACTCAGGACACACGGTGGCAGGTTGCACGGAAACATGAGTTATTTCTGAAACTCCTGGAACAGAAGGAAGGATGGATTTGTGCATTAGTGAAAACAAGACTGTTTTCACAGGCAGAGCTTCCACAGGCAGAGCAATCGTGGGTACTCACAGGATCAGACCCCAGGAGGAGGTGGGAGAGGCTGCGCTGAATGTTGAGAAAGGCATGCTGCTGATCTTGGCGATGCGCTTTTCAGGCACTATCCCAAACTCCACACCTAAGGTGGGATCAGTGCTGTGATGTGTAGGACACAAGGTTTCTTCATGGCGTTTTTCTTCTCTCGTCCTGCCCTGGCCAAAAAGAATTTAATTCCGTTCACTCAAGTCCTCCTTCTCCCCTACCCCTAGCCCAGAAGAGTATCTTTTGTGACAGAATTGGAGAAGTGGGGAGGCTGGCAGGAGGGGGAAGAAAAAAATGGAGAAGCCCAGTGAGCTGGAGGCAGGGGCTTGGGGTTGGGAAGCGGGGTGGGGATGAAGGGGCCTCATGGCAGCTGAGGACATAAAGCGTGTCTTTTCCAGAGTCTTGCTGCAAATTTGTGGATTGAATATGCTTTCATGATCTTCTAAATATGCAAGCAGTTGTTGAAATGGCTCGAATTGGAGCAGGATGGGGGCTTCATGCACGATTTTGGTTTTCTAAGATGTAGTGGTTAGCAAATCCAGAGAAGCCGCCATGCTGCTCCCATAGCTCTTGCTGAGGTCCCTGACGGTTTTGCTGTTGCTAAATCCAATGGACATAATACATTAATAAATACATAAATCCAATGGATGTAATACATTACATCCACGTGTCGTCTAAATTCACTACTGCTTTTGGCACATTGACCATGGTCTGCATCCATCGAGCTGCTTAAAACGTGAGTCCTGAATCCAGGCTGTGGCTACAGCTAACACCTATGAGGTGATGTTGAACAGACCTTTCAGAATCTGACCCATGTATATCCCTCCAAAAACTTACTGCTGTAAAGTGGGGCTGATAAATGTACCTATCTCGTAGGAGTTATTCTTCAAGTACATTTTGAGCACCTAGTGCCTGACACTATTCTGGGTACAGGGGGACACAGTCACACAGCAACTTAGGGACAAACTGATCTCACGCCTTCCAGGGCAGAACTTAGTGTTGCTGTCAAAGTCCATCCATTCCTTTTCAAATGGTCACGGGAATAGACTGGTGGGACATAGACAGCCCGAGTTTTGCCCTCATATGAAGGAAGACATTTACCACACGTTATCCTAATATGTATTTGGAGTCTTGCCCCTTCTAGCCCCTGGCTTCCCCCCATCACAGCCCAGATGACACTCGGTTGTCCTTAATTGGTGACATGTCTGTCTCCCAGAAGACTGTAAGTTTTGCAAGGACAGGGAGCAGAATGTCCTGAGTGCCCAGCCTGATGCATGGCTGGTGTGCCCTGTACTGCTCAGACCCACCACTGAAGACTGAGGCTAGCATTCCCCAGCTACTGATGGCGGAGTCTCTCCCCGGGAACTGGCCTTGCTCCCTGGGTAGCCCCCATCTAATGACTGGTCAGTGAGAAAGGGTAGGGACCAGGGCCCAGTCCTTTGCCTCAATTCAGGATAATTTGGAGAGGATAACTCTCTGCTCTGTGCTGCTCTCTTCACAGGTACTGTGGCTCAGAGCGCTCTTCTGCAACATCCTACATGCAAACCTTCACCCCAAAGTCCATTTCCTGGAAGTCTGACCTGACCAGTAGGCATTCAGGGAACGTCTTTGAATAAATAAGGCCACTTCCACCACCCAGCAAGTCCCCCTCTCTACCCTGTGGACAGATTCATACATGTGTGAAGTTGTACAATGATACTTATTCCAGAATTGTTTGCAATTATTTAAAAAAGGTGAGGGGGAAATAAACTGCATGACCACTAGTAGAATTAGGGCTGAATAGATTACGTTCTTTCCATTCGATGGCCTGCAAGGCAGCCATCAGAGTTTAAAAAGGCAGCTTTTATGGAAAGATGTAGAACAATCACAAGCCTATAGTACTGAGAAATGTGGAAATCAATGAAGACCAACAAAGGAGAGCAGGCAAAGGCCATTTATGCAGAGTTTGCTCCAGCAAGGAGTCGGCCACCATCATTTGCGGTTGGCCAAGACTCAAAGGCAGGCAGAGGAGTGGGAGAGCTTCACAGTGGGAAAAAGGGAAGGCTTCGGGTGTGCCCTGATTGGAGGCTGTTGGCGTGAGGAAGCTGGAGGCAGCTAACTAGAAGGGGTATCCTATGAGATTAGTCAAAGGGGCCAGTATTTGGCTTTCTCTGGTTGGTCTTAAGTTGGAAGCAGGGACAAAAATTAGGGAAGCTACCAGTCATTAATCAAGTCCTGACCACTTGGGACCAATGGTTATAGGACTTATTGTTTGGCTTTCTGGGCTGTTTGCTAGGGACAGTGGTCTGACTTCCTACAAGTCTGACTTGTAGACAGTTGGCTTCCTGGTTTGGTTACTGTGGATCATGGGTTGGTTTCTCAGGCTGGTTTCTGCACATTGTGGATCAGAGTTCCATTTTTATACATGGTCTGTCCATTGTCTACTTGTATATTTAGTCTCTCAGTAAAAGAAAAGAAAATCAAGGTGTGTATAAAGATCCTCCACGGGCCACCCACACAGCCACACAAACATGCTAGATGTGATGAATCCTTTGGATGCAATTCTGCAAATGCTCTGTGAATCCCCTGGCTTTGCCCTTGAGGAGTTCATGTTTAGTACAGCATGACTGGGTAGTCATAACCGTGGTGTTCAATACAGCTAAGGGAGTAGCAAGGAACTCTTCATTCAATAGCAAGACAGAGCTGGGCCTGGTGGCTCAGGCCTGTAATCTCAGCACTTTAGGAGGCTAAGGCAGGTGGATCACTTGAAGTCAGGAGCTTGAGACCAGCCTGGTCAACATGGCGAAAATCTGTCCCTACTAAAAATACAAAAAATTAGCTGGGTGTGGTGGCACATGTCTGTAATCCCAGCTACTTGGGAGGCTGAGGCACAAGAATCACTTGAGCCCAGGAGGTGGAGGTTGCAGTGAACCGATATCGTGCCACTGCACTCTAGCCTGGGCAACAGGCTTTTTTTTTCTGTCTCAGAAAAGCAAGACAGAAAGTTGTAAGCTCGTGTAGCTGGAAAAGTTTCTGAGAAAAGGTAATAATAAATGTGTTTGCTCAAAATGAGGATTTTAATCCCCTTCCGCCAGGGACCTCTGACAAAGCTGGGGCACCTTTAATTTTTCTGGAGCCTTTCAGCTGGTCTTATACATACTCCCTAGGGGAACCGATGGGGCTTTCAAACAGTCATCACCTCTGGTTGGTTGGTACAGTGTCTGAGAGTCTCTATATTCTTCACACTTTTGGGTGGGTCCCCCTATAATGTCTCTAAAATGCAAAGAACTCTGGGAAGCTCTATGTCAGAGACTCAACTTGATGATGACTGCAAGAAGTCATAGGAGAAGGTAAAGTGATTTTTGTTTATTTTTAAATAAACAAAATGATGGGAGAAACCTGAACATTTAAAAATGGTGGGAGGCTGGGTGCAGTGACTCACTCCTGTAATCCAAACACTTTGTGAGGCCAAGGTGGGAGGATTGCTTAATCCCAGGAGTTCAAGACCACTGGACAACACAGTGAGATCTCCATCTCTACAAAAAAGAAAAAATTAGCCAGGCATGGTGGTGCACCTGTTGTCTCAGTTACTCGGGAGGCGAGGCAGGAGAACTGCTTGAGCCCAAGAGGTAGAGGCTGCAGTGAGCCATGATCACGTTAATTGCACTCTAGCCCAGGCAACAGATTGGGACCTCATCTCAGAAAATAAGTAATAATAATAATGATCGAAATGAGCCAGTGAGAGGAAGGGCTGAAGATACAGGGGAAGAAATAATTAAAGGAACAAGTTTCTGGAGAAATCAGAAGGTGAGTGAAAACAGAACTAAGACATGCAGTAAGAAGGAAGAGGCAAGAAATCTGTTTGTAAAATTGTATAGCAACAATAATCATCATAATTTTTCTAGGGCTGGGTTTTGACATGTTATAATCATCTGGAGGGAATCTTTTTCCCTGCAGAAAAGTCTTCTCTACCATGACAGCTGCTTCGGTTTTGTGAATGATTGCCTGTTCAGAAGCCTGTGAATGCCTAGATTTAAAAGGTAGACAGAGGCACTGGAGAAAGGACATCCTTTTCAATAAATGGTGCTGGGAAAATTGAATAGCCATATGCAGAAGAATAAAACTGGACCCCTATCCCTCACTGTATACACAAATCAACTCAAGATGGATTAAAGTCTTAAATGTAAGACCTGAAACTATAAAAATCCTAGAAGATAATCTAGGGAAAACTCTTCTGGACATTGGTCTAGGCAAAGAATTCATGACTAAGTCCTCAAAAGCACAAGGAAGAAAAGCAGACAAATTAGACTTAATGAAATTTAAAAGCTTCTGCACAGCAAAAGAAATAATCAACAGAATGAACAGACAAGTTGCAGAATGGGAGAAAATATTTGCACATATGCATTTGACAGGAAGTAATACCCAGAATTTACAAGGAACTCTAACAACTCAACAACAACAATAAAGAAAAATCCACAAATAATCCCATTTAAAAGGGGGACATAAATAGACATTTTTCAAAAGAGGACATACAAATGGTCAACAAACATGAGAAAATGGGCAATCATTAGAGAAGTGCAAATTACAACCACAATGAGATATCATCTTACAACAGTCAGAATGGCTATTATTAAATGTGGTTAGTACAACCTTTATGGAAAACAGTATGGAGATTTCTCAAAGAACTAAAAATGAAGCTACCATTTGATCTTACAATTCCAGTAGATACTGAGTATCTACTCAAAGGAAAAGAAATCATTCCATCAAAAAGACACCTGCACTTATATGTTTATTGCAGCATTATTCACAATAGCGAAGATATGGAATCAACCTAAATGTTCATCAATGGATGACTGGATAAAGAAAATGTGGTATATATACATATACACAATGGAGTACTATTTAGCCATAAAAAAAGAATGAAGTCATGCCTTTTGCAGCAACATAAATGGAGCTGAGGGCCATTATCTTAAGTGAAACAATTCAGAAACTAAAAGACAAATAATGCATGTTACTATTTATAAGTGGGAGCTAGAATATGTACATACAGGCATAGAGTATAAAATGGTAGACACTGGAGACTCTGAAGGGTGGGGTGCTGGAAGGAAGGTGAGGGGTGATAAATTACTTAATGAGTAGAATGTCTGTTATTCAGTTGATGAATACGCTGAAAGCCCTGACTTTACCACTGTGCGATATACTCATGCAACAAAACTGCACTTTTATGCCATAAATTTATACAAAATTTTAAAAAGCAAGCAGAGATGTGTTGCTATGCATAGGGCAGAGGGCTTAAAATTTGGGTGGAAGAAAGGGTAATGCAGAGAGAGTGAGACCCAAGAACTGGCCCTGAAGAGTAACTTTGAGCGAAAACCAAAACCCCTAATGGGAATTTAATTAAGCTGGCTGCCATGATGTATGCAAGGTTCTTCTCATCCATCTTCCTGGGAATTCTTAAGTAGAATCAAAGAGCTCAGTCATGCTTTATGATATGGGCTTGCTTTAGGGAAGGGTTTACAAACTTTCACTGAGTCTCAATCTTCAGGGATGGTATAGAAATAAACTTGAGGCCATCATGGGGAAATAGACATGTAAAGTGTGCCTACATATCATTTTTTCATAAAACGACCCATGCTTTTTTAGAATTTTATCTCTGCTACATTAATGTATTTTCCAAAGGGTACCTTTGTAGTTTGGTTTTCAGATAACCATTTTCATTTTGGTAAGACAGTGGCCATAGAAAAAAGCATTCTTTAGAGGTAATGTGGGATTAGAAAATAAAGGAATCAGCCTTAGGCTGTACCTTTTCTAAGCTATATTTCTTTTCTAGACATTCAATTCTTAGGCACCAGCCTTTGAAGATGATCAGTTGCACAAAGTGTCCAAAATGATGAATAATCCCCAAACCTCCTCATCCACCACTGTGACTTTACTTGGTCTCACTTATACTGTGGGTCAGCCTTGTGAACATAGATGAAATGGGCCTCCTGATGTCCTCCACACCTTTGTTTTAATAATAAAATTAAGGCCAGGCATGGTGGCTCACACCTGTAATCCCAGCACTTTGGGAGGCTGAGGTGGGTGGATCACCTGAGGTAGGGAGTTTGAGACCAGCCTGACCAACATGGAGAGACTCCATCTCTACTAAAAATACAAAATTATCCGGGCATGGTGGCGCATGCCTGCAATCCTAGCTACTCGGGAGGCTGAGGCAGGAGAATTGCTTGAACCCAGGAGGCAGAGGTTGCAGTGAGCCGAGATCCCACCATTGCACTCCAGCCTGGACAACAAGAGGGAAACTCCGTCTCCAAATAAATAAATAAATATAATAATAATAAAACTAAAATTGTTCCAGATCCTGTGACAAGCTTTTGTTCCCCTAATATGAGTTCTCCCCTTCCATTAGTATTAAACCTCACATTTTAGCTGAGTACATAACCACTCAAAATAAAAACAATGCTTCTCCATATCCCTTGCACTTAATGTGGCCAATGGAACATAAGCAGAGATGTTTTCTAGAGCTACTTAGAAATTTAGTGTACTTGGAAACACACCCCATTTCCTCTTCTTTATTCTACCTGGCTGGAATGTATATGTGATATGGAGCTACAGCGTCCATCTTAGCTGTCAAATCCCCATGCTGAGAACTGTCAGAAATCCCAGATCCTTCTCCCTTGAGTCAAGGATAAGTAAAACAAGCGTGCTTTACAGAGCAGATAACCATGTGAAGTGTTGCTGAGAATGGGCAGAATGAGGCAAGTGAAAAATCAGAGGCTAAACCCCTCGAGGGGAAGGCCTCACTGACCTCCTCCCCCAGGCTGAACAATCCTGAGAGGTGCGAAACACATCAGCCCTACTACATCAAGCCACACCCACCCCAATTTTGAAACGTGTGAATCACAGCTAAACTTGAACCTGGACTTGGCTCTGTACTCATCCACAACTGTTAAGTGTGGACCTACACTAAAGCACAGCCCCAAACAGGGAAGCTGGAATTCAGGGCCAAGATGTAGCCAGACTCCAAAACACCATGTGAGTGGGAGAAGGGGTGAAAGACACATGCAACAGACAATGTTGCCCCTTTTGACGACCAATTCCTGAATGTCTCTTCACTATTTAGATGAATTTCCACCTCTCAGTATAAAACCAAGGATGCTAGAATATCACTCCCCTGCTGTGGTGCTGAGAAGCAAGGATCCTGTTGAACCGGGTTTGGCAGAGTTGTGGGGGCCAGGACAGCTTCACTCAGTTTCCGGCGCAGCAGGTGGACCAGCAGGGCTCGTGACACCACGGGGCTCCTGCAGCGTCGTGTGCTCAAGCACAGAGTTCTGCAGAGCAATTATGGGCATTTTCCTGCTACACAAACCTTGAGCCTGCCTCTCCGGCTCTTTATCTGCCTGCTCCTATTTCTTGAAGTCCCAGAATTGGGCTTTGTGATGGTTTTTATGTGTCTGTGCCACAGAACATCCAGACATCTGGTCAAACATTATTCTAGGTGTTTCTGTGAGGGTATTTTTTGGTGAGGTTGACATTTAAACCAGTAGACAGAGTAGGGCAGATTTTTTCTCCCATTGTGGGTGGGTCCCTGGATGGGTGCCATCTAGTCAACTGAAGACCTGAAGAGAACAAAAAGGCCAACCCTCCCACCATCAGTAAGTAGGGAGTTCCTCCTGCCTGATGGCCTTGAAAAACACTTGTTTCTTTCCTGCCTTTGGACTTGAATTGAAACATCAGCTCTCATGGGTCTCAAACCTGTTGGCACTGAGACTAGAACTGTACCATTGGCTCTCTTGGGTCTCCAGCTTGCCAACTACACACCTTGAGACTTCTCATCCTCCATAATTTCATGAGTCAATGCCTTATAATAAATCTCCCCCTTCACCTTGAACTAACACAGGACCAACCAGACTGGTTTCTGTTGCTTGTGACTAACTACCCTGCTTAACAAAGACAGAGATTGGCTCTGGGAATGGTTGCTGGCATCAGGCTCTCAGGGAAACAAAAAAAAAGTCTGGAACTATAAGAAAAAGGCAAGTTATTAAAAAATGGGCAAAAGTCTTTGCATAAAGGATATCCAAATGGACAACAAGCATATTTTAACAGTGTTCAACCTAGAAAAATGGAAATTAAGGTGAAATGCAAATTAAAGCCATAATGAAAAAGCACTATACACCCAACAAAACTGGCCCACTGGAAAGGATGGAAAATCCTGGTGAGAGCGTGGAGCAACCAGAATGTTCATGTGCTGCTTACAAGAGTGTTACAATTTTGGAAAACTGCTTGGAATACCTTCTAAAGCTGGAATACGCACATTCTGTGACCCAGTAATCCCATCCCAAGTAATACAGCCAATACACACAAGACATGCAACAGAATGTTTATAGCAGCTCTACTCACAGTAGCCCCAAAGGGGACGCTACCCAAATTCACACCAAGAGTACAGTGGATAAATAAACCATATTTGCAGGATGGAATACTCTAGGGATTAGCAAGCTACAGCTCATTGCCTGTTTTTGTACAGCTTGAGAGTTAAGAATCATTTTTGTATTTTCAAAGTGTTGTAACTAATCTCTGAACCTCACAGAAGAGAACAAGAAGAGGAGGAGGAGGAGGAGGAAGAAAATGTGACAAAGATCACATGTGGCTTGCAAAACCTAAACTATTCATTATTTGGCCCTTTATAAAGTTTTCTGACTCCTACAATACTCTACAGCAAGCTTGTCCAGGCCGCATGAGGCCCAGGACGGCTTTGAATGCGGCCCAACACAAATTCGTCAACTTTCTTAAAATATTATGAGATTTTCTTTCCAATTTATTTTTAGCTCATCAGCTATTGTTAGCATCAGTGTATTCTACATGTGGCCCCAGACAATTCTTCTTCTTCGACTGTGGCCCGGGGAAGCCAAAAGATTGGACGCCCTGCTCTATAGCAATAAAAATAAGCAACAAACATAATGTTGAGAAAAGCTAGACACAAGAATACATATACCGTGTAATTATATTTATAAAAACAGCAAACCCAGGTAGAACTAGTCTGAGCTGTTGGAAATTAGGATCGTGGCTGCCCTGAGGGCAGGAGGCAGTGGCTGGAAAGGAGGCGAAGGGGTTTCTGGGGCCTTGGTACTGTGCCATTCCTCCATGTGAGTGTTAGTTACACAAATGTGTTGTTTGAGAAAAACATTTAATTTCAATTTCTGCAATTTTCTGTATGTTCACTGGGCTTCATTAAAAGGTTCAAAACAAAAAAGCACACCACCTTTTCCCACCACACTCAAAATCACTACACAGGTGTAGCCTCTATGGTGGGGGGAGAAGGGAGGGGCTTCAAAACCAATAAACAAACAAGAACGGGGTTAAATATCTACTGAAGTGAGACTGTTTAAGAGCAAAGTGGAATCTAAATTGTCATTTCCCTACATGTCAGGAAACGGGCGTTCAACATAGCCCAGAAATAGGTCCACACAAACAGAGTCAACTGACATTTGACAAAGGAGCAAAGGCAGTTCCATGGAGCAAAGACAGTCTTTTGAACAATTGGCTCTGGAGCAACTAGACACCCACAGGCAAAAGAATGAATCTAGACACAGAACCTCACAAAAATTAACTCAAAGGGAATCATAGACCTAAATGCAAAACACAAAACATCTGTGGGATACCAAAGGAGAAAATCTAGGTAATCTTAGACTTGGTGGTAAGCTTTTAGATACATCACCAAAAGCATAATCCATGAAAGAAAAAAATTGTTAAGTTGGACTTCATTAAAATTAAAAACTTCTGGCTGGGAGCAGTGGCTCACACCTGTAATCCCAGCAATTTGGGAGGCCGAGGAGGCCAGATCACTTGAGGTCAGGAGTTTGAGACCAGCCTGGTTAACATGGTGAGACCCCGTCCCTACTAAAAATACAAAAAGTAATCAGATGTTGTGGTGCATGCCTGTAGTCCCACCTACTTGGGAGGCTGAGGCAGGAGAATCACTTGAACCCAGGAGGCAGAGGCTGCAGTGAGCCAAGATCATGCCACTGCGCCTTAGCTTGGCTGACAGAGTGAGACTCCATCTCAACAACAACAACAACAACAAAAATTAAAAACTTCTGTTCTGCAAGAGACACTGTATGTGACTGAGAAGACAAGCACCTGTGTCCAAAATATGCAAGGAACCATCAAAACTTAACAATAGGAAACAACTCAGTTTAAAAATGGGCAAAGGACATGAGCAGACATCTCACCAAAGGAGATACACAGATGGCAAATAAGCATATGAAAAGATGTTCAACATCACACCATAAGAGAATTGCAAATTAAAATAAGATACCACTACACATCTATTAGAATGGCCTTAATCCAGAACACTGACATCACCAAATGCTAGTGAGGATATGGGGCAACAGGAATTAACATTCACAGCTGGTAAGGATGCAAAATGGGACAACCACTTTAGAAGACAGTTTGGAAGTTTCTCGCAATGTTAAACATAATCTTATATGATCCAGCAATTGTGCTCCTAGATATTAACCCAATTCAGTTGAAAACCTATGTCTTTACAGAAACCTGCACACAAATATTTATAGTAGCTTTATTAATAATTACACCAAACTGAAAGCAACCAAGATGTTTTTCAGTAGGTGAATGATAAGCAAATGGTGATACAACCAGACAATTAAATAGTATTCATCAATTTAAAAAAATGAGCAATCAAGCTACCAGAAGACATAGTGGCTTTCTCTTTTCAGGAAGAACCTGAAAAGCATATTGCTAAGGGAAAGAAGCCAACCTGAATGATTCCAACTATAACACATTCTGGAAAAGGCAAAACTATGGAGACAGTAAAAAAGTTCGATGGTTACCAGGGGTTGGTGGGAGGGAGGAATGCATAGGTGGAGAACAGGGGATTTTTTTTTTTTTAATTGATCATTCTTGGGTGTTTCTCACAGAGGGGGATTTGGCAGGGTCATAGGACAATAGTGGAGGGAAGGTCAGCAGATAAACAAGTGAACAAAGGTCTCTGGTTTTCCTAGGCAGAGGACCCTGAGGCCTTCCGCAGTGTTTGTGTCCCTGGGTACTTGAGATTAGGGAGTGGTGATGACTCTTAAGGAGCATGCTGCCTTCAAGCATCTGTTTAACAAAGCACATCTTGCACCGCCCTTAATCCATTTAACCCTGAGTGGACACAGCACATGTTTCAGAGAGCACAGGGTTGGGGGGTAAGGTCACAGATCAACAGGATCCCAAGGCAGAAGAATTTTTCTTAGTACAGAACAAAATGAAAAGTCTCCCATGTCTACTTCTTTCCACACAGACACGGCAACCATCCGATTTCTCAATCTTTTCCCCACCTTTCCCCGCTTTCTATTCCACAAAACCGCCATTGTCATCATGGCCCGTTCTCAATGAGCTGTTGGGCACACCTCCCAGACGGGGTGGTGGCCGGGCAGAGGGGCTCCTCACTTCCCAGAAGGGGTGGCCGGGCAGAGGCGCCCCTCACCTCCCGGACGGGGCGGCTGGCCGGGCGGGGGGCTGACCCCCCCCACCTCCCTCCCGGACGGGGCGGCTGGCCGGGCGGGGGGCTGACCCCCTACCTCCCTCCCGGACGGAGCGGCTGGCCGGGCAGAGGGGCTCCTCACTTCCCAGTAGGGATGGCTGGGCAGAGGCGCCCCTCACCTCCCTGACGGGGCGGCTGGCCGGGCGGGGGGCTGACCCCCCCACCTCCCTCCCGGACGGGGCGGCTGCCGGGCGGAGACGCTCCTCACTTCCCAGACGGGGTGGCTGCCGGGCGGAGGGGCTCCTCACTTCTCAGACGGGGCGGTTGCCAGGTGGAGGGTCTCCTCCCTTCTCAGATGGGGCGGCTGGGCAGAGACGCTCCTCACCTCCCAGACGGGGTCGCGGCCGGGCAGAGGCGCTCCCCACATACCAGACGGGGCGGCGGGGCAAAGGCGCTCCCCACATCTCAGACGATGGGCGGCCGGGCAGAGATGCTCCTCACTTCCTAGATGGGATGGCGGCCGGGAAGAGGCGCTCCTCACTTCCTAGATGGGATGGCGGCCGGGCAGAGACGCTCCTCACTTTCCAGACTGGGCAGCCAGGCAGAGGGGCTCCTCACATCCCAGACGATGGGCGGCCAGGCAGAGACGCTCCTCACTTCCTAGACGGGGTGGCGGCCGGGCAGAGGCTGCACTCTGGGCACTTTGGGAGGCCAAGGCAGGCGGCTGGGAGGTGGAGGTTGTAGCGAGCCGAGATCACGCCACTGCACTCCAGCCTGGGCACCATCGAGCACTGAGTGAACCAGATACCGTCTGCAATCCCGGCACCTCCGGAGGCCGAGGCTGGCGGATCACTCGCGGTTAGGAGCTGGAGACCAGCCCGGCCAACACAGCGAAACCCCGTCTCCACCAAAAAAATAGGAAAACCAGTCAGGCGTGGCGGATCGCAGGCACTCGGCAGGCTGAGACAGGAGAATCAGGCAGGGAGGTTGCAGTGAGCCGAGATGGCAGCAGTACAGTCCAGCTTTGGCTCGGCATCAGAGGGAGACCGTGGAAAGAGAGGGAGAGGGAGACCGTGGGGAGAGGCAGACCGTGGGGAGAGGGAGACCGAGAGGGAGAGGGAGAGGGAGAGGGAGAGGGAGAACAGGGGATTTTTAGGGCAGTGAGGCTGTTCTGTACACTATAATGGTGGATACTTGTCATTATGTGTTTGCCACGACCCATAAAATGTAAAACCCCAAGAGTGAAACCTATGAAAACTCTTAACTCTGGTTAATAATAATTCATCAATATTGGCTCCTCAATTGTAACAAATGTATCACACTTGCAAGATGTTAATCACAGGGAAACTGTGTGGGTGCAGAGAGTGTATATGGGAATTCTTTGTACTTTCTGTGCAATTTTTCTGAAAACCTAAAAATACTCTTTTCAAAATTCTATTAAGAATTTAAAAAAAGAAAGTTGGTGAAGTGATATGGAATCTGGCCAAGCTGTCATTTCTTGAAGCAGTAGAAAACGAAGGTTCACAAAGCACAGTTCGAGGGGCAAATAAGGAAAGCAAGACCCTCTTGTTTACAGCTCAACCAAGATTGTAACTCACTAAAGCAATTACATCCATCCATTGCAGATGAGCAAAGCGGATTTCAGAGCCTTTGGTGATGCATCCAAGGCCCCGCAATGGGGAGGTGGCAGAGGCTGGATTTCAGTGCAGCTCTTCTTACTGCAAAGATCTGTATCATGCACCACTCTGAACCCACCAGCCTCCACTGATGGAGGAGGCACCCCTGGATGAGGAGATATAAAAATCAGGTACTTTGATATGACTTGCACATAGCAGGTGTTCCTATATTACTGTTTTACATGAATTGGAAAAAAAAGAAAAGAAAAGGAAAAAAGAACGTTTCGTACTAGAGTGAGCATTTGGGAAAGAATCAATATCCCTCACTCACTATGGAGATGAAAATAAAAAGTAGAGGGCTGTAAAAGCAGACCAACTCTGACCACGGTGGTTTAAATACTGTATTTAGGGGAAAATGAAGCATAGTCTAAAAATAGTCCCCTTCTCGGGTGGGTGAGTGGCAGCGAGGACCACCCACCCGTCCTGACTGCCAGACCACAGTAGCCCCATGAGTGAGGGTCCCATTGTTCAGCACTAATTTTTACTGTTAAGAGCAGATGCAGTTACAAGGCTCATTAAGGCTGTTAGGGCATGGTCTGCTGTTTTTCTGAAAACATCCAGTACAAAGAGTGCGACTTGAGGCTGAATGTGGAGCTCGGGCCAGCAGCTCTGCAGAGTGCCTACTCCCACCGCCACCAATGCGC
This sequence comes from Homo sapiens, assembly GCF_000001405.40. Lineage (NCBI taxonomy): Eukaryota > Metazoa > Chordata > Mammalia > Primates > Hominidae > Homo > Homo sapiens. Next base: position 26,721,917 of record NC_000013.11, on the reverse strand, counting down.
CCTGGTCCTCCTATGCGAGGAGGAGAGTCAGCCGGCACACAAACGTGCGCTCATGGTCGCCACGCTGAGCCCGCAGGGACTGCTTTGAATGTTTGCTTTTTGCTGAACAGCAAGAGGTCGCTGCCCGGGCCTGCACCGCTCTTTGGAGAAACACAATGTCCTGGTGGCTCCCAGTTCTGCACTCTGCAAGCTGGCATTGCGCGGGGGCCTACCCTCTGACAACTAATTCCGGAAATGTCTGAGGCCACCGCGAAGGAGGCTGTGCAGAGGCTCTGTGTTAACACAATCTGGAGGCAGGTGACATTAAACTGTGTGAGGGTGGGCGAAAGCCCTTGCCCCTAGGAATACAAGCCTCATTCTAGGCAGTTTCCCTTGTTCTGTAAACTCTGAGTTTAGATACTGATGTGAGAGGAGTATAAGGACGGATCATGCTCCCAGGTACCCCCGAGCCCCATCCAGGGAGCGGCGGATGCAGCCATGAGGCCACAGGGGGCAGGGCAGATGGCCCCTCCTGCCTCTAAGCCTCCTGAGGATCTTGTCAGATGGTGACCACATCCTTCCTGCCTGCTGAATTTTGCACTAAGCTTCTCTCTCTCATGCACATTAGTCTGGCATTTCCAAGACCGAGTTCCGGAGGATAGCATGGGATGAGCAATACAGGGTCTAAACTGTTAAGGTCTCAATCGTAATAAACATTGCAGAACCCCTGCTATGAGTCTAGGACTTTGTCCATTTCCGCTACATTTTCAAACCTATTGGCATAATTCACTTATCTTTTTAATGATGGTAAGATCATTAGCAAAAATTTGCTTCATAGTGCCTGACCACTGATTATTATTTTAGCTTTTTAGTTCCTTTTTTCCCCTAACAGGCTTGCCAGGGAGTTGAGCTTCATTCACCTCCTAAAAGAACCGCTCTTTGGCCCTCTTCAGCCTCCTTTGTGTGTTAATTTTTCTAAGTCATTATTTTTGGCTTGTATCCTTGTGTATCCTTACTTCTACTTTCTTTGATTTTCCTGTTCTTCTCCCCCCAGACTTTATGACAGATTCTTAGCACATTGATTTTTAGCCTTCATTCTTTTCTAATATAAACTTCAAGGTTATAATTTTTTGCCAAGCATGGCTTTAACTGCATTCCACAAGTTTTGATATACAATATTTCATAATAATGTATTTTAAAATATTTTCTAATTTCCATTATGATTTCTTCTTTGTCCCATAGGTTCTTTAGAAAAGTACTGCTTAATTTCCAAACACAAAATAATTTTCTGGTTATCTTTTTGTTATTGATTTTTAGCTTAATTGCATTGAAGTGAAAAAAACATCTAATTTTTATCCTTTGAAAATTTTCCAGACTTGTTTAACAGCTCAACATATGGTCAGCGTGTCACAGCATCCTTAAAAAGATGTGTGTTCTACAGCTCTTAAATGCAGTCTTCTACATATGTTCATTAGTTCAAGTTTGCTGATTACAGAATATTATTCATTCTGTATTCCTCTATATTCTTAATAAATATTTATCCATTTATTTTATCAATATCTGATAAAAAGATATTAAAATATCTCACAATGAGTATGAATTTGTCTTTTTATCCTTTTTATTCCACAACATTTTGCTTTATATATTTTGAAGCTATATTATTCTGTGTACATAAATCATGAGAATGATTGTATCTTTCTGGAAAATTAAACCTTTTATTATTATGAATTGTCTGTCTTTATCTAGGATAATACCGATCATGCATTTTATCCTAAAGGAAAAGATGTCTAATATTAATAGAGCAATATGAGCTTTCATTTGGTTAGGGTTTGGATGCTACATCTTTTTAAATTCCTTTCTTTCAGCCTTTCTGTATCTTCCTTATATTTTAGTTGCTCTCATAAAAAGTATATAGTCTGACCAACTTTGTATTAATGAAAACATTTCATTTACGGTTAATGAAATTGTACATTTTAGATTATTTTTATTATCTCATTTCCGTCTCTATTAGCTTAGAAATTGCACATTTTTCATATTCATCTAGTGGTTACCATAGTGATTATAATAACAGTCTAAAGGTGTGAAAGTCTGATATTAATTGGCTTATCTGCTGACTCCTGCTGTGGCCTGTTTCCTGTTCCTTTTCTGTCTAGAGCCCTGGACTGTTGAGTGTGTTTAACCAGATGTCCCGGCAGGGCCAGAGCTGAGGCTCCAATTATCCAGCAGGTGGAGTCTTTGCTTTCTTAAGGATCTATTTGTACCCACGATTTTCGGTTGGTGAGTGCACTCAATCTTTATCTACAACTTGCAACCAGATATCCACAGATCATCACCATGATCTGATACTCATGATGCAGATGGCAGAACAGTCAGATTTCAGGAGAGAGCTCAAGGCTCCTCAGAAAAAAATGCACCACCCAGGAGAAGGGGCTGGACTAGGGTTAGAGACCATCTCTAGGCCAAGGTTCTAGAGGGTGCTGGACTTGGACTTGTCCAAGTGTGGACCTGGGTGGGTATGTGACCTGGAAACATGTGGATCCACCTACTAGCGGGGACCTCCCAGGGTGGCTGGTTTCTCTTCCCCCTGAAGGGCATCGCTGACAAACCCTCTGTGGTCAGAGGAAGATCTGAGCCAGCAGGAGGGGCAATGGTAGTCCTCCTAGTCCTCCGCAAAGGGCAAGTGGTCACCTGGCACACCATGCAGAGATGCTCAGAAATATTCGGGATGGCGCCATGAGATCTGTCAGTGCTCCTGTGATTGCTTTTATCCCAGTGGATAATCCAGACACATGAGTGTCTGTGCAAGAAAAGGAGGCCATGATCTAAGTTGAAAAGATCCACGTGGGGATATTTTGTCTCACAGATTGTAAGAAAGGGGTATGGAAATCCCCAGGCAACAGTGTGCTCCTCAGCTTGCTGAAACAGACCAAAGACTATGTTCTAATCAAACCTTCCAGGAATCTCATGGAAATTTCATTTAATGCCTCTCCAGGCACTTTTCTGAAAGCCCCCACGTTAGGGATGTCTTGGCTAAGACATCTCTCATGGTATCCACAGCAACCCTGATGAAGCTCATTTCTGGAGAAGAAGAAAGTCTCTCAACACCTCTGCTAAGTCATCATTCTCCCATCCTCACTGCAGCAGTTCCTGGAATCTCATGAAGGGAAGCTGGGACCCACCGCACACCCTCTGCAATACCTCACAGTAACTTGGAAATGCCGACTCAATTCACAGGCAGCCACGGTGGGAAAGAAAAAACTCTAAGCTCAGGTGCTGGGAGGGCAAATCCCATCAGTCACAACCTTTTCCTGAGAAGATAGCAGTAGACAGGGCCCTGAACAAAGGGTCACACTCCAGTTGTTGAGAGTTGACTCTGAACAGCTTTTAAGCCTCACCCCTCTGCCCTATGGCTGGTCAGGAAGCCCAGAGCTCTCATCTTTGGTACCTGGGGGAGACTAAAAGCATGCGAGCACCTGCCTGCAGGACCCTCACTCACTCTGACCAGCTCCCTAAACACCACAAAAACCCCACGCCAGTCTCCTTTCTCTGCTCTCTCAAGGCATGTGGGGCCTGCTGGGTGCCTGCCCTGCTGTCTCCAGAAAGCCTCATTATGTGCGTCATAAACCTCCTCCTGGACCCTCTTGGGGTGTGTGTGTGTGTGTGTGTGCGTGTGCGTGCGTGTGTGTGTGGTGTGTGGTCTCCCTCGTCTCCATGTCTGGGCTCAGCTTTGAGTGGGGGTCCCTCCTGCTTCTCGAGTGCCCAAACAAGGTCACAGGGACTGGCCCACACTGGGTTCTGAGCCAACATGTCAGCGGGAATGTCTGTCACTGACCCCTAAGCCCAGGGGTGCTTGCTTGTTCATTTCGTGCTGTACTTTGGGGACCAAGGAGCAGTGGGGTCCAAGCAACTGGCAGCTTTCAGTGAGAGAGGGTTACTCAGAGCATGCAGGGTTATTGGAACCACCTGTGCTAAATGTCGTAAAGCTGAAAAAATGGGGCCAGTTGTGGTGGCTCATGCCTGTAATCCCAACACTTTGGGAGGCTGAGGCGGGTGGATCACCTGAGGTCAGGAGTTCGAGACCAGCCTGGCCAACATGGCGAAACCCCATCTCTACTAAAAGTACAAAAATCAGCCAGGTATGGTGGTGGGTGCCTGTAATCCCAGCTACTCTGGAGGCTGAAGCCTGAGAATTGCTTGAATCTAGGAGGCGGAGATTGCAGTAAGCCGTGATTGTGCCACTGCACTCCAGCCTGGGTGACAGAGTGAGACTCCATCTCAAAAAAAAAAAAAAGAAAAAGAAAAAAATGGCCCAGTGCAATGGCTCACGCCTGTAATCTCAGCACTTTGGGAAGCCAAGGCGTTTGAGCTCAGGAGTTTAAGACCAGCCTGGAAAACATAGGAAGACCCTGTCTCTAAAAAAAAATACAAAAATTAGCTGGGTGTGCTGGTGCTCGCCTGTGGTCCCAGCTACTTGGGAGGCTGATGTGGGAGGATCTCTTGAGCCTAGGAAGTCAAGGCTGCAGTAAGCCAAGATTATACCACTTACCCCCAGCCTGGGTGACAGAGTGACACTCTGTCAAAAAAAAAAAAAAAAGATGAAAAAATGAATATGTGACCACTCCCACTACCAACTAAAACATCCCCCAGAGCAGTTTCCTGGCCCATGGCTAAGATCTAGACTCTCACCACCAGGACCTCCCCATGTTCTCTACTCTGGCACACACAGCCCTGGAGCAGGGATGCCCCTACCCTGCCCGCTGCCCTCCTGAGGGATGAGGGAGCTTGGGCTCAGGTCCCCGGGATCCTCACCACTGGGAAGCCCTGGCATGGCTTTATACTGGGAAAAGCACAAGACAGGAGGTAGAAAAACAGGCAGCTGAACCCAGCCCTCGCATTTGCTGGATGAATGATTTGCCAACTCCTTCCCCTCTCCAAGTCTATTTCCTCCTCTCTAACAAAGACCCAAGGAGGCAACATGAAATTTAATTTTAAATTTCAAGAGACAACACCTGAAATTTAAATTTCAGGAGACAACACCTGAAATCTAGCACATCATACGTTCTCAGTTACTTCCTCCCTATCACTGTTTGGAAAGCTAGATCCAATGCTATAGGAGACTTTTCCCTAATAGTCCCCCACTTCCAGGCAGCCCCTTCCCTGGGGCCCCTTCCCTGCCAGGGCAGAATTACTCATTGCTTTCATCAGGAGGCAGTTTGGGATGGCACAAGTGGATTTTTTGCAACTGGAAAAAGAAACATATGGCTTTCAAAATACTGTGCAAACAATGTGAATGGCCTCTTTAAGATCTGGGTTCTTGCGAGCCATGAAAAAGAATTCTGAACAATATCACCCAGTCTCCTCACCCTGTTTTCTGGGAAGACGGGGAGGATGTATCTTTTGGCAGGAGGAGGTCCTTGAAAAAAGTTGTCTAGGTCAAGGGGCTGATGTAGAAAATGGAACACTGAATTCCAGTGCCAAGCTAGCCCTAGACTATGAAGTTGACTTGAAAGTAAAGTACGTCGATACTGCAGGTTTTCCCCTAACTCTCAAATGAACTCAGATCTACAAAACTCTGCACTTATATACAGCATTTACTCAACTGGCGAGACCAAATGAGCCCTCCAGGAAGGGATCCCTGGGGCATCTTGGCCTGTGGCTGTATTAATAGCCACCGTGACCCTTCTCACCCTGCTCCCCTCACACAGCTAGGACTGCAAGGAAGCAGACCAAGGACTCCTCAGATGGGATTTGCACAATGCCCTTTAATTAAATCTGCTGGCTAATAAGTTTATTCAACTCAGGCAAGGAATACTGCTGTCAGGCCTTTAGGGAAATCAACTCCAGCCCTCAAAACATTTTTCCTGAATTGGTCATTGTGCAAAAAATTTTAAATAAATAAATAAATAAATACAACAACTATCAACCATTCTAGACCCACTGGCCTAGACCCAAGGAAAATGTATTGTTTTCAACTGACGATTTGTATGGAACATTTAGTGCACAACCTGAGATCAACAATTCCACTTCCAAGAATTTATCCTAAGACAGTAATCAGACAAGTGTAAAATGATACAAATCCAAAGATATATGTTATAAGCATTGTTTAATAAAATGAAACGGGGGAGTCTTCAATGTCTGTCAAAGGGAGGTTGACGAAATATTATGCAACTCTTTAAAATATCTACATTTATTTACGTGAAAAAGATTCCCATGGCATATTATTGTGTGATAAAGCAGACTGTCATTGTAAATTGAAGTATTTAATGAATATAAAATTGTTTGTGTATTGAAATGTGCATGGACATTTTTTAAAAATCTATATGACTATCAAAATATTAACAGAAAAATATTATATGATCACATTTATATGAGATATCTAGAATAGGTAAATTCATAGAGACAGAAAGTAGAATTGAAGTTACCCGGGGTTGAGGAGATGGGGAAAGGTAGTTATTTCTTTTTTTATTTTTTTTGAGAGAGAGTTTCACTGTTGTCACCCAGGCTGGAGTGCAGTGGTGCAATCTCGGTTCATTGCAACCTCCACCTCCCGGGTTCAAGCGATTCTCCCTCCTCAGTCTCCAGAGTAGCTGGAGCTACAGGCACCTGCCACCACGCCCAGCTAATTTTTGTATTTTTAGTAGAGACAGGGTTTCACCATGTTGGCCAAGATGTTCTTGATCTCCTTGGTGGCCAGTCAAGGTAGTTATTTCTTACTGGGTAAAGAGTTTCTGCTTGGGATGATGAAAAAAGTCTGGAGATGGGTGGTGTTGATGGTTGCAAGACATTGTGAATGTACTTAATGCCACTAAATTGTATACATAAAAACGGTTAAAGGCCAGGCGTGGTGGCTCACACCTGTAATCCCAGCACTTTGGGAAGCTGAGGTGGGCAGATCACGAGGTCAGGAGTTCAAGACCAGCCTGACCAATATGGTGAAACCCCATCTCTACTAAAAATACAAAAAAATTAGCCAGACGTGGTAGCCCGTGCCTGTAATCCCAGCTACTCAGGAGGCTGAGGCAGGAGAATTGCTTGAACCCGGAGGCAGAGGTTGCAGTGAGCTGAGATTGTGCCATTGCACTCCAGCCTGAGCGACAGAGCAAGACTCCACCTCAAAAAAAATAAAAGTTAAAATGGAAAATTTATATTATATATTTTACAACTATAAAAAGAAATTGATAAATTTAATTGAACCCCCTTATCGTTCCCGATTGTAATTGATTTTTCCTTTTTGCTACTGAAAAACTCTTGAAATAAACATTGTAGAACATTTTTTAAAAAGTTAACCATGGCTACCTCGGGGTGGTGGATATGGGGTGAGGCTGAGTAATATATAAGGAAAAGAGGTTTATTTGGCTCACAGTTCTGCAGACTGGACAAGAAGCATGGCGCCAGCATCTGCCTATGGTGAGGCCTCAGGTTGTTTCCACTCATGGGGCAAGTGGAAGGGAAGCTGGTGTGTGCAGATCACATGGTGAGAGGGGAGTAAGAGACAGGGGCGGGGAGGTGCCAGGCTCTCCAACAACCAGCTCTTTCAGGAACTAATAAAGGGAGAACTCCCTCACTCCCCAACCTTAGGGAGGGCATTCATCTGTTCATGAGGGAACCACCCCCATGACCTCCCATCAGGCCCCACCTCCAACACTGGGGATCAAATTACAACCTGAGGTTTGGCAGGGACAAACATCCAAATCATATCAGAGGTATTTTTATTTTTATTTTTATTTGATACGCTCTTTGGTATTGTTGGTAGCATCTTTATAGTCAGAAAGAGAAAACCAGTTTCCTTTGAGGGAAACAAAACAGCTTACCTGCTGTGTGTCCTACATGTTCAGTGCTGTGTCTATATCACAGGCACTCAATGAAGGGGAGTGGCCTTGAGGAATGAATGATTGCTTGCAGAGAGAGCCTGTCTGCAGACAAAAGCCACACAGACATGAACAGAAAAGAGACAGATTGAGAGAGGAAGGACAGGCTCTGAGGTACTGACTCCCCAGTTCCAGTCCCTGAGGCCTGGCTTCTGTAGTACTTCCTGCAGTTCTGTGGCCCACTGGTAGCCTTCCCAACTAAACATTTCTTTTTGCTTGAATTAGTTTGAGTTGGATTTGACTCTTGCAACCACAGAGATATTGACTAATAATCCACCTAAGAAACAGGAAGCCATCATCTACTAGTTTCTTTATTATAAAGGAGGCCTCTAGGATGGCCCAGGGGTTCTGATGCCTGGTCAGTGATCAAGGCTCCTGGCTATATTCTCTCCAGAGCTCAGTAATTCAGGGGAAACTCCAGCCCCTAACTTTGAGGACTCCAGAAATGTCTGGGCACAGGGCAGAGCAGAGCAGTGTGAGCGGAGAGCTGGAGACAGCTCCCAACCAAGGATGTGACCATCCTACAAGGTGGCTGCTTTTGTATGTGCCTCCATTAGCTCTTGTGTAACAGCTCATCCTCTTCAGGACTGCTAGAGCATTTGTTTCAACCTGATTTCAACTGGACAGAAGTGTGGTTTGGACACTACAGCTGAGATTTGACCTGGACTTCAGAATTGCTGCCCAACAACCCCTCCACCACAATAGAATTTGCCTTTCTTAGAGGGTCAAGACAAAGGAGATTCTTTAAAAATGGGCACTGTCACATGTGCCTTCCTCCCCATGCCAGCCAAGCGTAGGCAGGACAGGCTAGGACACTGGCACAGAGCTAAAGGCCAGATCTACCCTTGGTGTTTCCTGGGAAGCTCCAGTGCATTCTTCTAGGTTGTCTTCCTCCCAAAGAAGCCCTGGCCCCTCTCTCTGAGTCTCCTTTCTTTTCCCTAATTCCTAGCTCCCACTGCTGCCCAACTCTACATTCTGCCCAAGGACCACTCTCCATTTCTTAAAATCTAAGACTCCAAACCAACTCTCTACTATCATCCAACTTTTTATTACTATTCTTATGGAGAGATTCTAGGTTGGGGGAAGCAGGTATCTCGAAAGAATCACTAAGTCACATACACACAAACTGATGGGTGATGGCTTTGGTGCAGTGTATGGGAGACACTTCGCAAGAGGCTTCAAAAGGACATCAAGTCTCAGCAAGCTAGAAACAGAGGGGAACTTCCTCAACTGGATAAAGAACATCTACAAAATAACTGAAAACTAACAACACACTTAATGGTGAGACACTGAATGCTTTCCTGCTAGGATCAGGAAAAAGGCAATGGCGTCCCCTCTCACCACTGCTTTTTAATATCATGCTGGAAGTCCTATCTTATGCAATAAGACAAGAAAATGAAATAGAAGGTATACTGACTAGGAAGGAAGAAATAAAACTATCTTTGTTCACAGATGACACAATTGTCTATGTGGAAAATCTGAAAAAAATCAACAACAATAAAACCTTCCTGGAACCAAAAGCAATGAGAGCAAGGTTGCAGGATACAAGATTAATATACAAAAGCCAGTCACTTTTCTGTATACCCACAATGAACACACAGAATTCGAAATTAAAAACACAATGCCATTGACACCAGCACTCTCCCCAAAATAAAACACTTAGGTATGATTCTAGCAAAATATGAACAAGATCTAGATGAGGAAAACTACAGAAGGACATGGGGAGGCAGGGCAGTTGGGTTAACACTGGGACTTGAGCAGGGTTCTCAACGTTGCTCCACACTGGAGTCACTTGGGGCTTTAAAACATACTGACGCTGGTGTTCAACTCCTTCCCCTTGAATGCTGATGTAATTGGTCTGGTACACAAACTGAGCATTAGGAATTTTAAAATCTCCCCAGGTGATTTTTACATGCACCAAGGGTAGGGACCACCAGCCCAGGACACCTGGCCTGTTCTTTTGTGATTCGCTTCAACAAGGCCTATTACCTGATGACAGGGAAATAACCACAGCCAGCTTTAAATGATAATTTCTTTCTTTAATTTTTTTTTTTTTTTTAGATGGAGTCTTACTCTGTCACCCAGGCTGCAGTGCAGTGGCGCAATCCCAGCTCACTGCAACCTTCTCCTTCTGGGTTCAAGTGATAAACCTGCCTCAGCCTCCCAAGTAGCTGGGATTACAGGCACTCACCATCATGCCCAGCTAATTTTTGTATTTTAGTAGAGATGGGGCTTCAAAATGTTGGCCAGGCTGGTCTCGAACTCCTGACCTTAAGCGATCCACCCGCCTCAGCCTCCCAAAGTGCTGGGATTACAGGCGAGAGCTACTGTGCCCGGCCTAAATGATAATTTCAAGTTTGCATTATGCTGTGAAATTCAGCTATCTTGCTATTTTTCCTATCCTAATCATTAGAAAATTGTACTGCGTGGCATAATTTGGAATCTTAATGAGAACTGCTTTCTTAGCCTTAATTGGATTCCAAGTTACATTAATCCTTTATAAAAATCTCTCAATATATTATGCTTACTATGCCAGAAATATTTTGTTAGCACTGCATTTTAAACAAGAGAAGAGAAAAAAGAACAGAGCAGATAGCTCATTTTAAAAACACTCTCAAAAGGCAAAAAAACAGTCCTTCACACATACCACACTGCAGACGTGGATGTAGTCCAAGCTCACTTTGTAAAAACAAGACTTCTGCTTGTAGGAAACAGAAAACGCCCATCCAGGAAGCGGCAAGACCCTGCTTAGGTTACCTAACCTTGGTTTCTCAGTTTCCCGGGTAGGGAAAGAATAGAAACCTAACTAGCTTTTCACTACCTTAAATGGGTCAAGGGCTTTATGTCTGCTGTCCCACTTAATCCTCCCAGCAACTTTATGAGACAAATAGTATAAGACTTGCCTTAGTTCTGGGGAAACTGAGGTCCAAGAGACAGTAAGTAAATTGTCCAAAGTCATACAACCAGAAAAGGTGGAGACAGGATTCAGATGCATGAGTCCAAAGCCCAAGCTCTGTCTACACCAATCTGGTATCAGAATTCTGACTGAGATCAAAAACTGGTTCAGCTTTGAAGACACCAGGCTAAGTGAAAGCTGCCAGACAAAAAAAAAAAAAAAGACTAACAGTGCATGATTCCACCGAGACAAGGTACCTACAGTAGTCAAACTCACAGAGACAGAAATGGTGGAATGGTGGCCAGGGGCTGAGGGGAGGGGAGGAGAAGAGTTATCCTTCAATGGGGATAGAGTCTCCACTTGGGAAGGTGCAAGGTGTTCTGGGGGTGGGTGGTGGTCACGGTGGCACAACGAGGTACTTGATGCCCCTGAACTGTGCACTTAAAAATAGTTAAGATGGTAAATTTTACAAGTATTTTACCAGCATAAACAAATAAAAAATTATATTTTAAACATTTAAGAAGTTTAGAGAAATAGGCAAATAAAGGGGTTGTGACCCACTTTACAGCATGGAAACTGGTAGAATTTCGAAGCCTGAGACTGCCAGCCGCTCAGCTGGCTCCTCCCACCCGAGGGCAATAGAGAGAGAGAGACGGTGAGAGCGAGCGCCAGTCCAGAGCAGCTGCTGTCCCGTATCAGGTGACCTGCGACGACTGCTCAGTACCAGATCCCACCGGGAAGCCCATCGCATTAACTGCCATGAGACCAGGAAGACGGGCCTCTGTGTTGGGCTTGCCCCCCCTCACCTCTGAAAGGGACTCCTCTCATGCTTGGATGGGAAGAAATACAGTCCCTGAGGGCAGAAACACTCCCCGCACACGCAGTGGGGCTTCCAGCTAGAGCCCCAACCAGTGGCCCCAGCTTCCCCTGGGGACTTGTCAGGAATGCACATTCTTGGCCCCACCCCGACCTTCAGAAACAAAAACTCTGAGTGCAGGGACCCAGCAATCCGCATTTTAACAAACGCTTCAGGTGGCTCTGATGCCCGCTGAAGTTTGAGGCCCACCTGCATATATCACTCCCCATAAGGAAAACACAATCACCTCTGCGCTCACGGGACCTTTTGTTCAAAGCAGTAGAGGTGAAGTCCCAACCCCCGCTGCATATGGGAACCGCTTTCAGAGCTCTAGAAAACATGGGTGCCCAAGCCCTACCCCCAGAATCCTGACGTAATGGATGTGAAGTGGGAGTTCCAGTGGCGACAAGGGGTGTCCAGACCACTTTCTAACTTGCCCACGCCCTTTAATCCTGGCCTGGTCTCCTCACCAGCCACAGTGCTTCCTGGCCCTTCTTAGAGCAAAGGCAGCCTGAGGTCCCGGGGAGGGGCGAGAGAGGTCCAAGAGACAGTAAGTAAATTGTCATCTTGGTGGTTTCCCTCACTGCTATCACACAATTCTGGACACACCGTGGGACACTTGGCTGAAGAAAAGCAGACCCCTGAGAGGCAGGGCTCAGAAGCGAATAATGTATTTATGCAGCCTCAAGGGAATGGTGAACAAGCTTGTAGCATGTGGTTGCGAAGACCGCTGTGAGCTCTACAGAGACAGGGAAGTTTTGAAGCAAAATTAGATCGTTGGTTTCCAGGTGGAATGGTCTTCCAAAGAGTTGCCTTAGCCTTCAGTTTATTCTACAAAGACACAGACATTCCCAGGTGTAAATAAACAGACCCTTCACCACTTTCCATGTGGAATTAGAGGAAGAGCATGAGAGGTCTCATGGCGAATGTAGACTGAATGCAGATGGTCTTGGCGGCACAGGCCACATTGTCAGAGTCGCCAGGGCAGCCTCGGGTAGAATCACCCTCAGTGGGCTGACAGCGGTGTGCTGTGAATTGTCCTGCTGTAGTCTTACTCTGGATCCTGTCAGCGAAGGCAGAGCCTTTCCTCTGTCTTCATATAGAATTTAAAACTTGAAGGACAGGACTTCTGCTGGTGAGAATTAGGTATTTTTAGGAGTTGTTGGGCCTCATTCTCTTGTGAAGCTTCTAGGCCTGCTCTTCTGTGCACACCTTTTCAGGAGAGGGTCACAGGAGGGCTATGACTCTGAGCCACCGCAGGAGTTCCAGAAGCTGGGCAGAGGGGCACGTGAGGTCAAGGCAAATAGGTCATCTCTTATATTCCGGAAAATCTAATCTCATGTTGCACTCTGTTTGCGTCTTTTTTTTTAATCTTCCTTGGGCTTAGGTAGAGTCTTCTTTGAAGTTCAGCCTAGTCTTTATTTTTAAATTTATTTTTTATTTCAATAGGTTTTGGGGGAACAGTGGTGTTTGGTTACATGAGTAAGTTCTTTAGTTGTGATTTCTGAGGTTTTGGTGCACCCATCACCCAAGCAGTGTACACTGTACCCAGTGTGTAGTCTTTCATCCCTCACCCACCTCCCACCCTCTCCCCCAGGTTCCCAGAGTCCACTGTATCATTCTTATGCATCCTCACAGCGTAGTCTTTCCACACCCTGGGGATAGGAAGGTAATAGTTGTAAGTCCTGCTTTGCTGAAGGAGGAGTAGAAATTCCCAGAAGCCAGTGGAAGCCAGTTTTTTTTTTTTTTAATTAGGACCCCAAGAAGGAGACGACTAACCAACAGGACAAGAGGAGGCGATGAGAAGCTCCAGGGATGAGAAGCAGCCGCGAAATCCTCTCAGCACTCACAGAAGCACTGCAAGTGAACTTTATTATGTCTCTGGGGTTAGGTATATATGTTTCTTCCTGGCTAATTCCGCTTATAAAAGTCCCCACCAGGATTCTTCAGAGAAAATATAGAAGAACCTATAGGGAGTTGGGAGTTAAACAGAGATTCTGGAAGTCAGACAGTGCTTCCACAAAAAACCTTCCACCTGCCCGCCGCCCCTACAATCTCCCTCTCCCAAGCTCCATGGAGGAGACATTCCTTCGGGTAGGAAGCGTGTACTTTCAAACAGGGTCAGTCTTGGGGAGCCGTAGTTTCAGAATGAGTCGCTCTAATTATATGCCCTTCATGAGAAGGCCCAGTGGTGGTGCCCACCTGGGGACTGGGCAGCCAGGTCACCTGAGGGCATGGGGGAGGCAGTGGCAGGGGCAGGGGAATGAGGTGGGTGGGAAGGCTCCAGGCACCACTCCTGGACCTGCAGGGGAGCTGAGAGGCCCTGGTGACACCTGGCACCGAACATCTTATCCTAGTCCTTTCAAACACGCTCAGACACGGGGATGCCTCCAAGGGTATGCTGAGCACCACTGACACCCAGTGGAAAGCCTTTGAACTTCTCTGTAAGTTGGTTTCCTAGAAGGCCTGGCAGGATGATCTAAACTCACGACAACATGCATCACAATGGTCATAAAGCAATACCTGGCATTTGCTCCCCAGCCCCCAGCAAGCTAAGGAAGAGTCCTCATTGTCACCGAATTTAGATTCATTGATGCTTACAACACACTCTAAGGGTAGGTGCCATTCTTAACAGGGACCAAGGCTCCCAGAGGTGAGCGACCTACCCAGGGCCATGAAGTAAGTGAGGGGCAGGTGAATGACTTGTGTGACTCCAAGGTCAGTGCCCTTCACTTTCTAACACACTCCTCCACCGCCCCCACCCCAGCAGGCAGGCTGCACACAACACTGCCTGGACCCTTCCCATCAGGCCTCTGTGCTGAGTAATGGGGCAGGTGGGATGCACGCATGCATACACACACACACACACGAAAGCACACAGAAACACACACATGCATGCACAAATGCACACACACACGTGCACACACATGCATGCATGTGCACACCCAGGCACACTCAGGGCTTGCCCGTTTGCTGGACTCGGGCCTTACTTTGAACTCTGTTCTGAGTGGCCCTAGGCCAGCCTACTTTCTTTTCTCTAGCAAATCTGTGGGCTGGAGCAACAGAGCCACAATGCTGCACCTTTGTGAGCAGCTGTCCAGATGGAAATGGCTGATGACACTGTTAGTATTCCAGTTCAGGGTCATGGATGGCCTGAACATATCCCAGCAGCTCAGGGTGCAGGACGGGAAGCAGCCCTGCTCAGGATGCCATCCCATTGCAGGATGCATCCACACACCCACACTCACTCAGACCGGGGCAATGTAGACACACCAGCAAACCTAACATGCACAGCTCTGGGGTGTGGGAGGAAACTGGAGTACCCAGAGAAAACCCACAAGACGTGGGGGCAACTGCACACTCCACACAGACAGTGCCCCAGCTGGGAAGCAAATTTTTTTCTCATCAAACATAATGAATGACGTTGATCAAAATGACATTATTCAAGGACTTGCTGTACTTCATTCCTTCATTGTCCTCCTCGCGCTAGAGGCAGTAGCTGTTCTTTTGCATCTACTAATTCTGGGCTCCTGTGGGTCTCCTTTTACCTCTTTTAATAATGAACCACCTTATCCTGTTCTACCTAATAATTCTTTATATTAAAATATTCCTATTTAAATAACCGGTCCAGCTTGTCTCCTGCTTGGAAGCTGACTGGCCGAGCCCCCTACTGGCAGGGTCACACAGGGGCTGCTGGTGAAGGCGGGAAGGCAGGGGACAGGGTCCCAGCCTGGTGTCAAGGCAGGGCGTGGAGGAGGATGTTGGTGCTAAGAGACTCCGTAACTGGAACAGAGGTCACATAAAGATCTTTTCAGGCCGGGCATGGTAGCTCACGCCTGTAATCCCAGTACTTTGGGAGGCTGAGATGGGTAAATCACCTGAGGTCAGGAGTTCAAGACCAGCCTGGCCAATATGGTGAACCCCTGTCTCTACTAAAAATGCAAAAATTAGCCGAGCATCGTGGTGGGCACCTGTAATTCCAGCTACTTCGGAGGCTGAGGCAGAAGAATCGCTTGAACCTGGGAGGCGGAGGTTACAGTGAGCCGAGATCACACCATTGCACACCAGCCTGGGCGACAGAGCAATTCCGTCTCAAAATAAATAAATAAATGAATATCTTTTCAGATGAGCATAATAAGAGCTTGCCACCAGCACATCCTCACTAAAGAAAGTTCTAAAATAACGTACTTCAGGAGCTCAAATGGAAGGTCTGAAATATACAAAGAAATGATGAGCAATAATAAAGATAAACATTGTGATAAATCTAAAAGAACACTAACTGCATGAAACAATTCTATCTTATGAGGTTAGGATAATGAGAAAAAAACATGTAAGTCAGACAAAAAAAGATTGCTATGGGCTGAACTCCCTCCCAACCCCCATAAATTCATATGTTGAAGTATTTGGTATTTGGAGACAGAGCTTTTGGGAGGTGAGTAGTTTACATCAGGTCAGGAGGGTGGATCAGGTCAGGAGGATGGGATTAGTGCCTTAGAAGAAGGGCCTCCAGGGAGCTCTCTCTCTCTCTCTGTCTCTCCCTCTCTCGCCCTCCATGTGAAGTCACAGTGAGAAGGCTGCCATCTGCAAGCCAGGAAGAGAGCCCTCACCAGACGCAGAATCATCTGGCACCTCGATCTCAAACTTCTAGCCTCCAGAACTGTGAGAAGATTAATCTGGGTTGTTTAAGTTGCCCAGTCTGTGGTATTTTGTGATGGCAGCCTGAGCTGACTAACACAGAGGCAAATGGGGTATAGCCCATGTGCCGTCCCAGAGGCATGTGAGCACGGGGCTGTGTCCTGGTGGTGAGCATCCCTGCATCCCCCTGCATGACCTGGCCGGTGTGCTTCTGATTGATCTATGTGTGTGCCACACTGGCTGTTAAAAATCTTTTTTTTTTTTTTTGAGACAGAGTCTCATTCTGTCACCCAGGCTGGAGTACAGTGGTACAAATTCAGCTCATTGCAACCTCTGCCTCTCAGGTTCAACTGATTATCCTGCCTCTGCCTCCAGAGTAGCTGAGATTATAAGCACTTGCCACCATACTTGGCTAATTTTTGTATTTTTTTAGAGACAGGGTTTCACCACATTGGCCAGGCTGGTCTCGAACTCCTGATCTCAAGTGATCCACCCGCCTTGGCCTCCTAAAGTGCTGGGATTACAGGTGTGAACCACTGCGCCCAGCCTAAAAATCATTTTTTATTACCTCTGGGAAAAATTATTGGTTAACTTTAGACTTTGATACATTGTTTCCGTATTACAATTCTTAGAGTAGTGATTTTTAAAAATATAAAAAATAACTTAAAGGAAAAATTAGAATGATTAAAAAAATCAATCCAAATGAAGGCAAGAAGGGAAAAGAATGAAAGAACAGACAAAGAAAAAGTACAACTTAACCTGCTAGCTCTAAACAACAGATATAAGAAGTCATATTAAACTTAAGTTTTTCCAACTAAAATACAAAAGCTGTCAGAATGGAAAGAACAAAAGTATTTGTTGTTAACAAGAGACATATCTAAAACATAAGGATGCGGAATGTTGAAAGTGAAAGGAGAGGAAAAGATAAACCAAGAAAATGTGAATTTTTAAAAGTCGGTGGAGCATTATTAATAGCAGACAAAATAGATTTAAGACAAAGAAAATTACTAGAATGTAGTTCATGTCATAAAGTCAGGAGTTCACTCCAGAAAGATACACACATTTGGTTAAAAGAACAGAGTCCAGAGTCAGCCTGCCTATCTCAGCCCGGCTCTGCTCCTTTCTGTGTGTGTGATCTTCAGCACATTACTTAATCTCTGCTATTTTCACTGTCCTCCCATGAAAATGGGGATAATACTCATACCTCCCTTTTTTTGTTTTTTTTTTTGTTTGTTTGTTTGTTTGTTTGTTTTGAGACGGAGTCTCGCTCTGTCACCCAGGCTGGAGTGCAGTGGCCCAATCTCGGCTCACTGCAAGCTCCACCTCCCAGGTTCACGCCATTCTCCTGCCTCAGCCTCCAGAGTAGCTGGGACTACAGGCGCCCGCCACCACGCCAGGCTAATTTTTTGTATTTTTAGTAGAGACGGGGTTTCACCGTGTTAGCCAGGATGGTCTCATTCTCCTGACCTCGTGATCCGCCCACCTCGGCCTCCCAAAGTGCTGGGATTACAGGCGTGAGCCACCGCGCCGGGCCAATACTCATACCTCCCTCTAAGGGTAGTTGTGAGGATATAACGGAGCTAGTATGTAACGAAGGCAGTTAGAACAATGCCTGGCGTGCGTGTTCATAGCAGGCACTACATAAATAGGACACGAAATTACAAACCCTAATGACAGGTATAAAAGTATGTGAAGGAAAGGCTGATAGAACTTCAAAAATAAAGAGATACTAGTCTGAATTCTTTTTCAGACAGAGTCTCGGTCTGTCACCCAGGCTGGAGTAAAGTGGCATGATCTTGGCTCACTGCAACCTCCACCTCCTGGGTTCAAGTGATTCTTCTGCCTCAGCCTCCCAAGTAGCTGGGATTACAGGCATGTACCATCACGCCCAGCTAATGTTTGTATTTTTAGTAGAGACGGGGTTTTGCCATCATGGCCAGGCTGGTCTCCAACTCCTGACCTCAAGTGATCCACCCGCCTCTGTCTCCCAAAGTGCTGGGATTATCGGCGTGAGCCACACACCTGGCCTGGACTTTTTTTTTTTTTTAACAGACATCCTCTCAGTGATTTAAAAAAATTCAGTAAGAATATAGAAGACTTGACAATACAAAAAAACTTAAATCAATGGACAGATATAAAACACTGCATCCAATAACCTCAAATACACTATTTTCTAAAACTGGCTATGTCCTGGATCATAAAGTAAATCTCATCAAATTTCATAGACAGCATGTATGCTATCATGCAAAGTGTCTTCTAAAACTACAGTGCAATAAAGTGAGAACTAAAATCCAAAAACCTAAGCAGAAAATCCTCATCTGTTTGCAAATTAAGAAACCTGCTTCTGAATCACTCACACATGCAAATTAGAAAATATCTTGAACTGAATGTTAATTAAAAGACTCCATATCCCAACTTACGGAATTTAATTAAGCAGAATGTAGTAAAACTATAGCCATAAAATGTGTATGATGGAAAAGAAGATTGAAAAATAATGAACTAAGAGTCCATCTCATGAAGTTAGAATAAGAATAGTAAAATAAACCTGAAGAAGTGAGAAAGAAAGAAATCACAAAATTCTGAGCACAAACAAATAAAATTGAAAACAAACATAATAAAGAGGACCAACACTAAAGGTTACTTTCTTTAAAAACAAAAACAAACAAACAACGAACTAATAAATTTGGCATAGCACCAGTGAGCTGGACTCAGAGGCAAAAGACAGCACAAACTGCTTTCAACAGAGCATCACGATAGTGGTTGCTGGCATTAAAAAGATAACAAGAGAATATAACAGATAACTTTTTCCTGAAATTTAGAAGAAATAGTCTAATTTTTAGGTAAAGGTAACTCATCAGAAATGACTCAAGAAGAAATAAAAAGCGACAATTGCCCTAAAATACAAAATACTAAAATACAACAAAAAAAACTGAATCAGCATCAAAAACCAAAAGAAAAGCCCAGCTTCAGATGGCCTCACTCTTGAGTTCAGCCAAACCTTAAATTAAAGACCAAAAGTGCCAATCTTATAAAAGCTTTTCTACAGAATAGAAAACAGCAAAAATGCTTGTTTGCTTATTCTATAAAGCTGACAAAGCTTTGTTCCCGAAATAAAAATAGTTTTAAAAAGGAAAATTGTAGACTAATCTCACTCATGAAAATAAATATAAAACTTCTAAACAAAATAGTAACAAAATAATGTAATCTGTAGTTAACGGGTTAAGGGAGAAAAGTCACATGAACATCTGAATAAATATAGAAAGTCATTTGTAAAATTCAACAACTACTTGTGATTTTTTAAACAAAATTTTAAACTAGAAATGGAAAGAAACTATTAATCTGATGAAGCTATTTTAAATAAAGATTAGAAAAGAAAGCTATTCATTACATAGATGTATGTATATATGTACGAACATGTGTATGTATGTGAAACCTATTTAAAATGAAAGGATACGGAAAGTTTCTTTTAAGTTATTAAACATATCCCAGGCAAATATAAATGAAAAGAAAGCTGTATATCAATTTTGGTATCAAAACTGTTTTAAGGCCAAAATTTTAAAAATCAGAAAGAAAAGGAAAGAGTATTAAAAATAAAAATATAAATTAGATATTTTAAAATATTCCTTTGAAGCTAACAGATCAAGCAGGCAAGTAATAACCAAAGGCATAGAAGCTTCGATTAATATTTTGAATAATCTTGGTTAATTAGAGATTAAAGAAAATGAGCATTGCCTCTAAGTGCACACAGAACAGTCATGAACACGAGCGATACATAAGCCCATGAAGGAGGGCCCAATGCATACCAAAGAATCAGCAACATTCAGCCCATCTTCTCTAGCCTTATATAAAATTTAAAAAATCGGTATCAAAAGTGGGAGGCTTAGGCAGGAGAATTGCTTGAACCTGGAAGGCAGAGGTTGTTGTGAGCCAAGATCGCGCCACTGCACCCCAGCCTGGTCAACAGAACGAGACTGTCTCAAAAGAAAAGAAAAAAAATCAATATCAAAAGGATCAATGTATATAATCCCATATAGATGAAAATCAAAAACAACACATACATCATCTTTGTAATAAAGAAGAAAAATAAGGAAAATTATTAAATATTTCACATTGAATGACAAGAAAATGACCACATGTCAACATTTGTAGGACTAAGAAAGTTATATTTAGAGGTAAAACTATAATTTTAAATGCATTCATTCAAAAACAACAAATGAGGTAAGCTCTGAGTCAACAGGCTTCACAAAGAAGAAGAGTAACCCCAAGCAAGCAAACACCCGAGATAAGGGCTGACACGAATGAAAGAAAGAATAATACAAAAAGAGAGAAGATGAATCAAACCAAATATTCATTTCTTTGAAAAAAGTTGGAATATAGAAAAGCCAGTAGTAAAACTAATCAAGAAAAAGAGAGAAGCAATTCAAATTTAAAAATATATATAAAAATAAAAATAAAATAAAAAGAGAAGGGGAAATGGACACATTCTCTTAAAAACTTGAAACGCTGGCCGGGCGCAGTGGCTCACGCCTGTAATCCCAGCACTTTGGGAGGCCCAGGCAGGTGGATCACCTGAGGTCAGGAGTTCGAGACCTTGCTGACATGGTGAAAACCCCGTCTCTACTAAAAACACAAAAAATTAGCTGGGCATGGTGGCAGGCACCTGTAATTCCAGCTACTCAGGAGGCTGAGGCAGGAGAATCGCTTGAACCCGGGAGGCGGCGGTTGCAGTCAGCTGAGATCACACCACCGCACTTCAGCCTGGGCAACAGGAGTGAAACTCTGTCTCAAAAAAAAACTTGAAATGATTAATTGACATAAGAATTAGAAAATCTGAATAGCTCAACAGCCAATTACCAAAATCTGAATAACCCTTTGAGGTAAGCACTATTACTCCCCCACTGCAGAGATGAGAAAACTAGAGAATTGGTCATTTGAGTACCTTGGCCAAGGTCACAGAACAGAGCCAGGATTTGAACCCAAGCAGTCTGATTCTGTGACTTCTCTCTACCCCATGGTGGTGGATTCTATGTGTCAACTTGACTGGGCCACTGGGTGCCCAGATTAAACAGTGTTTCTGGGTGTTTGCAGATGAGACAAGCATTTGAATCTGTGGGCTCAGTAGAGCAGACTTCTCTTCCTAATGTACGGGGGCCTCAGCCAATCCCTTGAGGGCCTGAGTAGAACAAAAGGAGAAAGAATCCGCCCCTTTTGCTTCCTGCCTGCCTGCGTGGGCAGATCTCATCTCATCTTCTCCTGCCCTTCAACTGGGATTTACACCTCGAGGCCCCTTGGTTCCCAGGCCTTTGGACACAGACTGGAATTGCACTACCCACTCTCCTGAGTCTCCAGCTTGCAGATGGCAGGTCATGGAACTTCTCAGCCTCCATAATAGTGTAAGTCAATTCCTCATAATAAGTCTCTTCATGTATATGTTAACTTGACTAAGCCACTGGCTGTTCAGATTAAACACTACACATTTTTTTAAATAAATACATATATACACATCTCCTACTGATTCTGTTTCTCTGTCAAACCCTGAATAATACAACCCCCCATTGCTTTACTGTTTTGCCTTGATAGTAGAGCAATAAGGCAAATTGTATGACAGTGAGCAGCAGCTGTGTCTTTCATCTCAACATCACTCTGCCTAGCATATCAAAGAGGATTTTTACATTTAAAAATAATTAGGACTTTTTTTAGATAGGTAAACGCTCACATGATGAAAAGTACTAAAAAGGTCTGCAGTAGAGATCTCCCTACCACTTTGCCCCAAGATACTCAGGGGCTCTGCCCCGAGGTAATGCTATCACTGTCCTGTGGATCATTTTAGAAATATTGTATGCACGTGTAAATGAAGATATATATTGTTTTTTCCTTTTTTAATCTAATAGATAGCGTATTATATACACATTTTCCTGCTCCTTGCTTTTTTTTTACTTTAACAATCTATCTTGAAGATCATTTTAACTCAATGAAAATGGCCTCATTCTTTTTACAGCTGCAGTGTATTCCAATGTGCATAGACTATAATTTAATCAATATTCTGCTGCAAGAACAGTAAGATGTTTTCTAATCTGTTGTTATTTCAAACAGTGCTGAATTGAATATATCTTTTTGTTCATGTGCAAATAAATCTGAAATGTATATCTGTTACAGTTATGAAAGCTGTATAATGAATTACCCTAAGTCTAAGTAATCTAAAATGGAGACCATATTTATTTTTGCTCAGAAATCTGTAATTTTGGCAAGCTGAGCTCAGTAAGGTTGGGCCCTGTCTGTCTCCCTGCAGTGGCTAAGACCCCAGCTGGGAGCAGACCCTCACCTGTGGCCTCTCTATGTGGCCTGGGCTTCCTCACAACATGGCGGCTGAGTTCCAGAGGTAGCATTCTGAGCAAGAGAGCCAAGCAGAAGCCTCGTTACCTTTTAGGGTGTAGCCTTGGAAATCAGGCACTTCCAAAATCCCACCAGGTTCAAGGAGAAGGAAACAGGGCACACCTCTTGATAGGGAGTGGCAAGATTCTGGAAGAGAATATAGGTCTAGAAATACTGTCATCAGCATTTTTGGAAAATCCAGCCTGCCTCAGATATGTTTCTAGAAACGAAATTGGTCGGTCAAGGGTATGTACAGTTTTAATTTTGATACAGGGTTGCTAAATTGCCCTCCAAAGAACTCGTACCAGTTCACTCTCAACAGCAGTGCATGAAAAACACATATTTGTTTAATGAAAGAATGAAGGATTGAGCAAGTGAATAGGGAGCCGAACTTGTGAGCCTGGTCTTCAGAGAACGCACTTCATCATCTGGCCACCAGAGGGCGGTGTTTCCCCACAGACCCGCAGAAGGGCGCCCTCGGAAAGGAAGAGCTACTGGCTCTGCAGCGATATTAACTAGCTTCCAGGAGGCGGAGGCCAGCGCCTCCCTGCATCCCCGTCTCGGCATTAAACCAAACGTGGACGCCCTTGATAGACTTTTAAAGGGAAAGCAGGAATCGTCCTTTACACTTCACCTGCTTTTTACAGCGCAGGGGCCTCTGACATTTGTGTAAAATCCACCCGCCAGGAACCGCAGGCTCAGAGCTCAGAAGCGCCCTGTCCTCTTCAGGAGCCCGGGGGCTGACGCCACTCCTTCGAGGGGGCCAAGGCTGAAAAATCAGCTGGCAAAAGGCAGATTAATTGGAGAAAAGGCATACACGTTTATGTAACGTATGTACACAGGAGCCTTCAGCATAAAGAACGAACGTACAGGGGAACTTGTCCACTTTTATGCTTCTGTCCAACAAAGTATGGACGGCCGGGTAGAATATGATCAGACAAGAAGGGTGTGATCTAACGCTGAGACCGAGTGAGGACACCCAGCAAGGCCTGTCCGGCTAGATTCTGCCTGGCCTCTCTGAGCACACATTCCTTCCTTCTGGAATGAGGGGGTCTTATGACCAGCAGTCAAACAAGGTAGGTCAGATCATTTCTTTATGACCAGTTTTTACACAGAGAGTCTGAGAAAGAAAAAGAGTAACAGGTTTTATGGCTGGCTTTGGAGAGAAGAGGGTGTGGTTTCTATGACCCATCTTGGGGAAGAGGGATTCTGGTTTCTATGGGTAGCCTTGGGGGAAAATGGGACTAAGAGACAGGAGGGCGGGAGGAGGTCAGGGAAAACCTTTTGCTTCTGAGGCTGCTTCCAAGACTTTCATTTTGGGGTACAATTTTCTGAGCCCCAACACTTTCAAAGACAGATTTCCAAATGGTTTTAGTTTTAAATGTTCAAATACCTAGGCCTGCACTCCAGCCCTGGGAGAAGCAGGAACACAGGTAGAGGCCAGGGACACGGTGACGCTGCGTCCCCCGCATCTCCTCCAGAGTGGTCACAGAGGACACCGCCACCCCACTCCACCTTCATGCAGCTCACTCCTGAGGAGGGCTCTGAGCCACAACCCTGAGCCTCGCCTGCCTCCTTCCTGCTCAGGGAGCCCTTGGGGCTGGGGTGTGGCATCCCAGGGTTTGGGGGGTGTCAAGCAAGATTTCCCAGCCCACACCCACATTGGCAACCCCACTCCGCTCTCTGTACACATGGTGTGCAGGCTGACCTCCATATCCTCAGCTCCCAGGCCACTCCGAAGCTAGCCTGGTCACACAGCTGCCTGTTCCCCGACACTCCCCAGCTCCCTTCCAGCAGCCGCTCTCCAAAACAGCCACTCCTCTGTCCCTACTCCTCTGCCCGGTGTAGAACCAGTGCCCCGTGCACGCTCCTGGTGTAGAGCCAGTACCCCGTGCATGCTCCTGGTGTAGAGCCAGTGCCCCGTGCATGCTCCTGGAGGAGGCCTGTGCAGCGCAGGGCTGCTCTTGAGGAACCCCGAACCCTCACGCCTCACCCCTCACCCATGGGGCCAGCCCTGCTTCCTGCCTCCCTAAACACCCTCCTTCAACATTTGCAGGGAAAAAGGCAGGACAGTTCAACAGCGCAGCTCTGATGTCAGGATGATTCCATCACGGGTAAACTTAAAAATGAAGTGAGCCAGGCAGACGTCCCCTACTCCATCCCAGACATTTACTTCAACCTAGACCCAGGGTGGAGCTGGGGAGGGTGGGAGTCAGGACTGGGAGCAACCTACAGCTCTGGGAGTTTAACCATTGGCTTCTAGGCCAAATCTGGGGGCAGGCCACACTCTGAGGCTAGCCCTGCAGCCTCACATTGAAAGAGGCCACATTGTTCCTTGTTCCTCCTATCAAGCTCATCTGCTTTTGGGTGTCCTTTTGGGCCTCCAGCCATCACCCTCCAAGTGGCAATCAGGGCCATGGCTTCCAGGCAGAGCAGCTGAATGGCTGCGAGCTGACCAGCTTCCTCCTGCAAAGGGCCCTTGGGGAGGAGCTCAGAGCCAGGGATTCAGGTCTGGCATCAGAAGGGCTGGGCATGGAATACAACATAGCAAGACCCCATCTCTACAAAAAATAGCCAGGTGTGGTGGTGTGCACCTGTAGTCCCAGCTACTCCGGAGATTTGAGGCAGGAGGATCGCTGGAGCTCGAGACTGCAGTGAGCTATGATCGTACCACTGCACTCCAGCCTGAGCAACAAATGAGACCCTGTCTCAAAAAAAAAAAAAAAGATTGCTCAGCCCAAAGCTTCTGCTTCTTCATCTAAGCGGGAAATGCGATGGAGGATGTCACCACGCTCCAGCAGAGATGCACCAGTCTGAGGCTCAGACCTGCTTACCCTGTAGGGCCCACAGCTTCCCTCCGGCAGCTACAGCTGTTCCTTCGGTGGACGTGTGGCGGTCCTGGGGATGCAGTGGTTGATTTTCGTGTCATCTGCCCCTCTAGGCGGGGTCAGGCACAGAGGGGTCCCCAGTGAGAAGTTCACACACTGAGTCACGCTAAGCTGGAGGACTGGGGACTCCAGGCTCCACTCATCTGCTCCCCACCGCCCGACCCCGCTGTCAGTGGCCCAGGCCCCAGAGGGCGGGACTGTCCTCCTTTCCTGCCCTGGCTGCACCTCGCACTGCTTCCTAGTTAACACCCGCTGAGCTGCTGAACTCAGGCGGCCCCACCTCCTCCCTCACCAGGCCTGAATCAGGGAGACCTCTTCCTAATCGCCTTCCACAATGTCTTCCTTCCAAGGGCCTTAGCACAGACAGTGCTGCTCCCTTTCCGTGCTCGGCTGGGAACAAGTCCAGCTGGGCGACAGGGAGGGGCAGGCACCGACTGACTCCAGTCTCCTGGGCCACCAGGTTCAACACAGACGTGGCCTTTGTCAGAACGAGGTCGGGGGCCCACCAGGTGTAAATCAGTCTCTGGCCCAGGTCTTAGCAGAAGGCAGATAACCAGGATTCCTAGGTATGGTGGCCACCCAAGAATGTTTACTCTGTTTCCCATTTAAAGTCAAGTAATATGTGGGAAAGTGGATCTGGGACAGGCCCCACGGGTGGCCCCTGCGCACCCCCAAGGGAAGCCGGTCAGGAAGAGAAGGGGAAGAAAGCTTCCTTCTCCACCTAAGTGTGAAAGCCACAGACAGCCCCCAGCAAAACATCTTTGTAAAAGGTGTGACCCAAAGAAAATCAGTGCAGGCCTTTGCTGTCCTAAATGCATCCTCTGATGCTGCCTGTCCCAGCTGGGGCCACGGGGTGGGGTCCTGCTGCTGTGGCGCAACGCCTCTTAGGTCTCCACTGCCTGCTGGAGGAGGAGGGAGGGCTGGCCCGACAGCGCAGGAGATGCATCACGCAAACAGCCTAGGGCAGAAGTCAGGGGGCAGGACACGGGCCATGCAAGGACACGTAAGAGTGCCAGGCTGATGTCAGACACCTAAGAGTGCCAGGCTGATGTCACGGCAGCCAGTGGGGGGAAGCTAGAAGAGGCCATGCTGACTTTCTCCGCCTGCATGCAGTGTGCCAGCCCCTGTGTCTGCCACAAGGACCCAAGCAGAGACTATGACCCTCTCCCTACTCCAGCCCGGGAAGGCCATCCAGTGAGTAACATCAGTGGGGACAGCCCACAGGCAAAGCTCAGGCCCCCACCTCTCCTCCCTAGGCCCTGAATAGGAAGGAGCTCCTGAATGACCTGTGCCAGGACCGTGGGCTCCCACGTGCTTTGTGCGGCCAGCACCGTTGATCTGACCAAGCGGGAAGCTCAGGGGCGTGCAGACAGCAGGGGCTGTGGAACAGGGAGAGCTGCTCCGAGAGGAACATGGGAGTTAAGGATGGCAGCTCTGCATCTTTCCATCTGGGGTCCAAAGATGAAAACGACTGGGTCATAACCCAGCTCACCTTTGTGGGCAGGGTTTCAGCTGCTGCCAACCAGACACCGGAGGAAGGGACAGCCCCTGATGGAGAGGGCGCTGGGTCCCCCTGGAGTCCATGAGGCACCATTAGTCGTCCAATAGCCCAGAACATCGCAGGTGGCATCTTCGGGCTCCTGTCAATCATTCCAGGTCAGCACGAAGGGCAGGGCCTAACTCTGGCGTGCCTAGTAAGAACCACTCCAGAAGGCTACCGGGTAAACTGTGGATTCTGGGTCCTGTGCTCAAGGTTTTGATGCAGTAGGTTTGGGATGGGGCCTGGAAATCTGCATTTGAACACGCATACCAGGGGAGCGGGTGAGTGGAGCCCAGAGTCCCCCGTCCTCCAGCTTAGCATGACTCAGTGTGTGAACCCCTCACTGGGGACCCCTCTGTGCCTGACCTCGCCTACAGGGGCAGATGACACGAAAATCAAGCCCTTCTGATGCCAGATCTGAATCCCTGGCTCTGAGCTCATCCCACAAGGTTCCTTGTGGGAATGAGCCTGGGAGGAACCCAGGCTCAGCTGAGAAGGCACTGAAGGGGACTCCTTCCTGGTGCCCAGGGGCATCTCGGCTCAGACACAACTTCTAATCTCTGCTGAGAGAGGGCCAGCTCCTTTATTAACTTATGTGGGCTTCTGCACCCCCAAAACCCAGTGTGGCAGGATCTGACCGGGTTGGCATTGGAAGCATCAGGGGAAGACAGGAGAGGACAGGTCACCTGTCGGGGGAAGAGGGAAGGACAGCAGAAACCAAGGCGATGTGGGGGCCACAGGGACCCACGGCCTCTGTGAGGAAGGAGCCTGGCAAGGAAAGTCGTGCTGGTGGAGGGAGGAGGGAGGCTTACAGTGACAAGGCGAGCCAGAGACCAGGGACAGGAGGGACACAGGGCTGCTGGAGCCACAGCAACACTGCGACCTGTGCAAATGGAAATGTGGCCAGGTGCCCTGGGAGGAGGCAACCTGGGGCCCTTCATGGTGAGTCATCCAGTGCTGATCACCATGCTGCTTCCTGCCCCGACCTCAAGGCATGTCGCTGAAATTCCCCAATTGGAAAACCAAATGAAGGCCCAGGTCTTTGATTTTTGGTGTGTGTGTGTGTGTGTGTGTGTGTGTGTGATTTTTGTTGTTTTTTTGTGAGACACAGTCTCACTCTGTCACCCAGGCTGGAGTGCAGTGGTGCGATCATAGTTCACTGCAGCCTTGACTCCCTGGGCTCAAGCAATCCTCCCATCTCAGCCTCCTGAGTAGCCGGAACAACAGGAGTGAGCTGCCATGCCCAGCTGATTTCTTTTTCTTTTTGGAGCAATGGGGTCTTGCTATGTTGCCTAGGCTGGTCTCAAACTCCTGAGCTCAAGTGATCCTCCCATCTTGGCCTCCCAAATTGCTGGAGTTACAGGCATGAGCCACCACCATGCCTGGCTAGGTCTCTGAAATATTAAAAGACATGTCAAGGAGCTGAAAGCTGCTCCCCTAACTTAATTATCAAGATCTTCAAGTGTGGCTCTCAGAAGATACACTTCAAACCACCGTCACCTACACACATGCAAAGAAACATCTTCTGAATGCGGATGCTAAGTCATGTTCACAGGTTCAGGACGTGCCAGCTGCAGAGTCAAACTGCTGTTTCAACTGGTTTTAGGCCACAGCAGCTGACGCACATCCTCGAATATGAAATGCTTTTAAATGTCACTTCACGTTAAGTACCACTTGGTAGGTTTTTAAATTACTCTTAAATGGCATATTTTCTTAATTTTTCTTCATGGTAAATCATCGGCCAATTCACCACCTCTAACTAATCATGGTGCTGTATTTAAAGCTAATTACTCACATCACAAGTACACAGGGCAAATGCAGTGGGGCAATTAAAAGATCGCACGTACAGATATCCACAGGACAGTGCTCACGTGTTTTGGCAAATCAATGTCCAGGTGCCAGGCCCGGGAAGAAAGTATACTCGGGAAGCAAATCTCCTTCTCATCTAGTTCCCTGTTGGGACACCTCTACAAGTTACCCACACCTCCAAATTAAATATCCATGTCCTCAAAAGCTTGTGACACAGCTCTGTATTGGGACTGTCTTCACAGAACACAAAATCTGAGTACAGTACACAGTCCCATAACAACGTGAACCCTTACATACTGGTGATGCTAGGCAGTGGTTACAAAGTTTTAGGTAGTGGAACCCTTGATTCAAATGAACCCCAATAATTAAAAGTAAATATTTTATGTGTATAGATTTATTCCTGAATCTAAATTTATAAAACTCAGTGAAAATATTAAAGTTATTTGATGAACATAAAAATGGAGACTGGGGGTAAGGCTGACGATTTGTTAAAGTAGTCTTAATGCCCATGTGACTCACATACTGTTCTGCTTGCACGGTTTAAAGAACATTCTGGGTTTGGGTTTTTTTTGTTTTTTGTTTTTTTTTTTTTGAGACATAGTCTCTCTCTGTCGCCCAGGCTGGAGCGCAATGGTGCAATCCGTGCTCACTGCAACCTCCGCCTTCCAGGTTCAAGCAATTCTCCTGCCTCAGCCTCCTGAGTAGCTGGGATTACAGGCGCACACCACCATGCATGGCTAATTTTTGTATTTTTAGTAGAGACGGGGTTTCACCATGTTGGCCAGGCTGGTTTCGAACTCCTGACCTCAAGTGATCCACCCACCTCAGCCTCCCAACGTGCTGGGATTACAGGCATGCCACAGCATCCGGCCTTAAAGAACATTCTGATTCACAGATAAGACGTAGACACATGTTTCCTATCACATCATGCAATACTTGGATACCACTTTGTTAAAGAACTATGTCACCAGTTTTATTGTGGGGTCCTTGCAAACACAAGTTTGCTTGGCAGAAAAATGGAGACACTGATCATTTGTTGTAATTGGGTATTAAACATCAGTTTGCATTTTTAAATTTACATTAACATTTTTAAAAATAAATGTTGCATCAAGTATTTATAGAATGAGGCTTCTGGGACTGGAGAACTAGCTCATTTCAGACCAAATCACTACAGATAACAATTATGAACTGGACAAAATACACCTCACAGCCATCGAAGGCATTGCACAGAAATCAAAACCAGAAACACATGAGAGGGGAGCTGACGCTTGGCAGAAGAAAAAGGCTTTGCATTTCTGATTATTAAAGGCATTTTGGTGAGGGCAGGCCCTGTTCTGCCAAGCAGGCAGCTAAGCCTGAACAGAAAATCTGCAGTCTTGGCTGGCTGACTTAACCCACCATCTTATTGGCTTAAAAAAATGAGAGGGCTGAGTTCAGAGCGATCAAAGAAGATTGAAAGTGAAGTGTTCCTACAAACAAGAGCCAGAGGGGGATCCAAAAATTCTGTGTAAAACTGCCTGAGTCTCTGTTTGATTCTGTAACCAAGCGTGAGCCAAATAAACTCCAAACAGCCTGGCTAAGGTTAAAAGAACTTAAGAAATTTCTGCTATTGTCTATTGTGTGTGTGCTGGGTGATGGGGGCAGGGAGGAATTGAGAGTTTAATTCTAGCCATGTTAACTGTCTTCTTTAAAAAAAAAAAAAATCAGTACTTTTTGGAGGAACATAACAGAATCGAGAGTCTCTAAAATGTATCATTCACCGAGTTTACAATACAATCCAAAACTATTAGGCATGCACTCAAGAGTGAAAACACTCAATAGCGACTGATCCTGAAAAAAAAAAAATCCAGATGTTGGAATTAGCAAAGATTTTTAAAGAGCCAGTATAACTATGCTCAAAGATGTAAAGGAAAATAAGCTTATAATAAATGAACAACAAAAAAGAACCATTAGGACATTCTAGAGTGAAAAAATCCAATGTCTGAAATAAAAAATTTACTAGATGGGCTTAAGAGCAAATTATATAACAGATGACAGAATAGAGTCAGTGAACCTACTCTAAGTGTATTTTACATTATAAATATTAAACTCTAATGATATGTATGCTGAAGAATTCGGGGTGAAGAATACACATTACTTTGAAATGCATAAAAGATAAGAATTGATGAACAGATGGAGAGGGGTATATGAGTGTTTACTGAACAACTTTATTGTAGATTTTAATTTTTTTCATAATGAAACAGAGGGTGAGGGATATTTACCTAACTCTGAAAGGTGGAACAGGAGGACCTTGAACTCTTGAAAATTCAAGAGTCAAGAGACCAAGCTTTGAGCCCCCATCAATGGAAGCAATGGCCTTTTCCCCATCTTTAAAGGTAGGAGCTAGACTAGCAGAGCACTAAGATGCCTTCTAAATACATATAAATAAAACGGACCTAAGATCCTTTCTAAGATTAGTGCCATCTAAGGCATGAGGCTATCAAGATCAATTAAAAAACCAATAGGCTGTAAATATGAATATTTTGATAGGTGTGCAGCTATGGCAGACATGTCATCATGGTGGGGTTTGTTGGTTCAGAAAGCTCCCTAAATCCCGAATGCTGGGCATGGGAGGTTTCCAGCATCTTTGTATCCCATCTCATGACACTTCTTCCTCTCAGTGCTTCCATTCCACAATACTTTAGTTCCATTCTCACCCCATATTGTCTTTCCCATCTTAGGGAATGCACAGGCTGTTCTCTCTACTGAAAAACTCCTTTCCCTTCCCTGAGCTAACTTCTGTTCATTCTCAAATCTCAGCTTCTCTTGGCCCACTGAGATTGGGCACTTCTCATTCTGCCCCAAACTTCAGCACATGTCAAATGATCTAAATTACTTATTCGACAATATTTAATGTCCTTTTTTCTCATTAGATGAGCAGCCCCATGAGGGCAGGGCCCAGCCTGCCACTCTTTTTCAGCCAGTGGCTTGTAGACGAAAGAGGTGGGTCACAACCACTGGGTGTCTGCTTAGCACCAGGCACTCTTCCAAGTGTTTTACACATATCCATGTATTTAAAAATCTTATTAGGCTCACAAACAGTTGTTGAAGAAGCCTCCCCTTTTTCCCTATGAACAACAATCCCTAAATAACTATTTGAAACCTAGAAAGTGCCAGGCACTGTGCTCAACACACAGGATACAGCAGAACAGGCCCCTTCCTGCCTCCCAGAGCTCAGTCTGGTGGGGAATACACACCATAAAGAGGGAGCCACACATCAGATGACAAGTACTAAGGAGGAAATGCAAGGTCAAGGTATTTGGTAGAATTTGCCATGTTTAAAAAAGTTGCTCACACTTTACTTTTTGCTAAAGAAAACCACTCAGGAATCCATCCACTCATCTAATCATGCAAAAAGCAGCTGCTCATTGTCTAGGAGACTGGGTGCTGTGCCAAGGCTCTCAGGATGCAAAGATGACTTACATCTACAAGGAGCACACAGTCCAGTGAAAGGCTACACACAGAACCAGCCATCATACCACATGATGCGTGCCATGGTAGAGGTACACACCGTGTGCATCAGGAACTTGAAAGCAGCTTCTACAGGAAGCCTGACCTCCAGTCTGGCTGTCTCTGAAGTATGTGGCCACACTTACCCACCCAATCTCGACTCTCATTACCCCAACATGTGATTCTGCCCCAGAACTGAGTTTTCTATCGACCAAGGTCCCTGAGAGAGTAACTTAGCTTCACTCTAGTTTTCCCACATATGAAACAGAATGTTAAGGATTATTGTAAGGATTAAATGAAAACATCTCATAAGCAATACATACATACTACAGCGTGTTATTCACTTTTACCGTTGAGAGTAAATGTGGTTAAGACCCTCTTGCCCCAGGCTCTATCCTCTCAACAGGTGGCTGCCCTACTCCCAGCATGGCCTTTTCTTTCTAACCAGACTAGTGCTGCCCCGAGTCATTCAGGAATTCAATCTGAACTCTTGGTGACACAAAAATTATGTAGAAATTTAAATGGAAACCAAAGTAGTGTCTTCTGTTGTCTAATAAGGAAAATGCTAAACAAAAGCAAAAACAAAAAACCACTTAACACCAAGTTCTCTTCCAAAAAAGCCAAACATACAACACTGTTATTAATAAGCAAAACCTCTTAGGGTTAAAAGTGTAATTTTATTTAGATGTTACTTGTACATAATCTATAGTAAGATATACAAACAGATAAAAATTGTTTAACAGTTTTTTTTAATACCACTTTAAATTCAATTTACAACAGCATTGGTAATACTGCAAGATGACAGATACTATGATTTATAAAACAAAAATTACTTGCTACTCTGGCTGATACATTCCCACTAGTCTTTAATGGATTAATATGTATCATGTATTTTAATTGCAAATTATTATAAAACTTTTACAACCTAGCCACTTGGAGCTCAGAAAACATTTTGATGTTCTAAAAACTTACTGAGATGAAAATGTTAATTTTTGAATAGTATCCTTAGTAAAGAAAAACATCAGTGTAGCCAAGCTTACGGTCTGGGGCTGACAGTGCAAACTCACTTGCCTTGTGCTCCGCCGCCTCCTGTGTGCGCAGCCATCGGGGACTGGGCAATCTTCCCATCCCTTCCCTAGGTCTACGCTATGAGAGAAAAGCTTAGGAGACATTAAACTAAAACAGACGTGGAGAAATAATACGAGGGACAATTTAAAATTACCTTACAATTTATAACTATAATTTAAAACACAAAGTTTGGAGAAATGAAATGTGCTTTTGGATGTTTCTTCTCCATTTGTTTTGGTAAATAGTTTTTGAAAATGAAACTGAAAATTCAAATCTTCTCTTTATTCTTTTCATTGTAATACCATATTAGAAAAGATCTGGATTTAAATTTCAGAATAAATTGAATTTGCTGGAAAAATACTCTAAAAATAATCTAAATTGGATTTCAGTCATTTTCCATTCTTTTAAATGTTATGGTACACAACAGGGCAAAAGCTTTTTCGCAAGTCATAAAATTGAGTTGAAAATAACTTGTTGATTCAGCTACAGGAAGACAACTAACAATTAACAGGCTCATGAATATTTATGAATAAAGTGCCACTAATTTTATTGTAATAAGATATAAATAGAATAAATCCTGACATGGATAGTAGCTTCTGTGTTCTCTCCATCCTGAGAACAGAAGGGCCATAAAAAAACAAAGAAGCATTACCAAAGGGGAGTTCTAGACCCACACGGGGAACTCCTAATACAAAAGCAACAAGAAAGACAAGTAAGACTTTAAAAGTTGCAGAAGTCCTAAGAATAGCGCCAATGTAGTAGGCCCTTTTTAACAACAACAAAAAAAAAAAAAAGAGAGAGAGAGAGAAATTAGAAATTTAGAAGTTCATTAATAACTGTTACTTATATTCAAGGAATTTATAGTGACAGCCTAGTGGTGACCAGCTCTAGGAAAAGACGCTGAAGAGGACGCTCCCAGCACCTGGGACAGAGGAGAGAACAGACACACCAGGGAAGCAGCCTTGGAAAGGGGATGCAGACATGAGGCTTTTCAGGGCTTCAGATCTACATGACTGCACCCAATGGACAGGCTCTGTACAATCACTGCCCACAAGCCCAACAGGTAGCCACTCGAGACACACACACTGAGGGGACTTCGGGGCTGGCTGACTTGCTCAGATGCATTTTAACAAAAACCCCCATCACCATCCTGCTCACATTCCTACCGTCACCTCAAACATCTCTGCTTTTAGCTCCAGATTCTTCTCAACATAACTGAGTAACTAACCACAATGGATATGAAATACTGTTGAGTAGGTTAAAGTCCTTAATAAGTCAAGCGTCTTAGCATATTTTTGAAGTCGTATCTATAATCAAAGCCTGGAGCACCTGTTTGTTCAACACAGTTATCTTTCATCCAGAATTACAAAATATAGAAGCTGTCATTCTTGAGTTTCCCCATGGGTCCCTGGTATTGCCCACGTGGGAACAACAGGAAGGGTGGAGGTGAGGGCACAGCACTGTACTACAGCTGCAGGGCTGATCAAGGGAATCTCATGAGGTGCTTTTTATCATTTAATGTGCCAACAACAGGAGGACAACCATGTGCTTCTAGAACAGGGTGAAGGCCCTCCTCACGGGAGTGATCCCTAATCTGGCCCCAGCACCGTGAAAGGTGAATAGCTGTCAATATCTACTTTCACCTAAACCTAAGCTTTTAAAATTCTGACCAAGTGGTGAAAGGTGCCATCTAAAGTGCTCTCTGTTGCTCGCTGAGGAGCTAAGAACTCCTGCGGCTCACTCAGGACACAGGTGTCAGGAAACTAAAGGAGCAGGGCTCCTTTGCAGCCCAGGCCCTGTGCCGCAGCTCTGCCCAGCTCAGCGGTGTAGCTCCCAGAGTCATGGACTGCTCGCATCTGTTCTGGCCGGCTGGTGCCCACACTGGAGAGACTGGCAAGTATCTTGAGTGTCATCCCCAATGGCCCCAGGAAGGAAAATGGACTCTGTTCTTCACTTTCATTACTGTTGAGCTGCTGAATTCTCTTGCAAAAACCATCAACAGGCATTTACTAAGCAAATGCCCACAGGGAACCCAGCCTGAAAAGGGCCCTTCCAATTTCATATTTGACAGGCATGTGCAGAGGTAATGAAATTATTCAGCAGAGCATCAGATTCACTCAGAGGCTACCAAGCCAAGAAACTGAAAGCAGAAACACTGGATTCTCCCTGTTTGTTGAACCTTTCCCTCTAAAACCAACTTATTCAGAAACACATCCTTTAAAAAAACAAAAGGAAAAACCAAAGCGGTGAAACAATATCACTTACTGGTTGGAAGACATCACTCTGACATAGTCATTAGTCTTGCAGAGACCTAACACCAGGCAGCTTCACAAACACACAGCAAGTCTGCAGAGTTATATTGATCAGTAAGAGTAAACCCAAACTGCACTAAATACTCTCATGGCCAAGAGGAAAGCAGATGCTGTTTTCAGGACAATGTGATAGTGACAGCCTATTTCCTCATGTGCAGCACAATTTGCTATGTTTAGTGGCACTTAAGTATTACACAGTAAATACTGAAAAGACCCAGAATTTTTGGATGTGCAGAAGCAATATCACATTGTTTATACAAAAGGTGCTATGCTACGGGATTAGAATACCACTATTTGGGTGTAGAGACCACTTAAAATCTTCAACACGCTCCCACACGCGGCCTCTCCGCCGGCCTTTGCTCAGTCGGACCAGTCGTTCTCGTCGAACTCTGAGTCGTCGTCAGAGTCGCTGTACTCCACGGCAATGCGCCGGGACAGGATCGTGGCCACGTCATTCCCCACTGGCTCCCGCTTGGCCTCCTGCTCCCGCTGCTCCTGCACCTTTTTCAGTTGAATTCCTGCAGACACAACACGTGGTTCAGAATCACATCCTTTTGCTGGCTCCAAATTAAAGATAAACGAACAAATATGTCTATTGGACTTTTTTTTCTACTGACACTAAGGACAGAAAGTTTTAGAAATTTGAGGGGAGAAAAGCTCAGGGAATATTAAAAGTTTCATGAGAAAAAACATGCATTCAAAGTGAGAAGTTTTTTTGTAACAAAGTAATGTGTTAAAATATTAAAAATTCCTAATTTCAGTGTACC
This sequence comes from Homo sapiens, assembly GCF_000001405.40. Taxonomy (NCBI): domain Eukaryota; kingdom Metazoa; phylum Chordata; class Mammalia; order Primates; family Hominidae; genus Homo; species Homo sapiens. The sequence goes on along the minus strand of NC_000013.11, from coordinate 26,685,438 downwards.
TGAACACCATTAGAGAAAACTGTGGAGCTGCACCATCCCAGACAGCAGCCACTAGGCACATATAGCCTTAAAAGCATGAACTGACATGTGGCTAGTGGCTACTCTCTGGGACGCTGCAGGCTGGAGCATTTCTATCACCACAGGACATCTACTAGGCAGCAACAGCATCCAGAGCCTTGGAAACAGTGTTCTATGCTACTCACTCTCAGCTAACCCAAGAAGTAACTGAGAAACCTTTATTTCAACAATTACTGTGGAAACAAACATAAAATACAATCATCTACTTTCTAGCTTAGTAACAAAGTAAGATATTTGATGATTTAATGTTTATCCATTTTTTTTTTTTTTTTTGAGATTGGGTCTCACTCTGTGACCCAGGCTGGAGTGCAGTGTTACGATCATGGCTCACTGCAGCCTCGACCTCCTGGGCTCAAGCAATCCTCCCACCTCAGCCTCCTGAGTAGCTGGAACCACCGGCGCACGCCACCATGCACGGTTAAATTTTGTATTTTCTTTTTTGTAGAGATAGAGTCTTGCAATGTTGCCCAAGATGGTATCCATTCATTTTTTAACTGTTTTGAAATAATTTCAGATTTACAGAACAGCTATGAGACCAGCAGAAAAACATTCCCATATACTTGGATTCCCCAACTGCTAACATCTGACCACATTTATTTCCCAATCTTCCCCTATCATCTTTACACAGACAGACACAGACACTTTTCTCTGGACCATTTGAGAGTGAATGGCATATAATGTCCCTTTACCCCTAAAATAGTTCATGTGTTACCGCCCCCGCCTCGCCCACCCAAAATATCAAAATCACAAAATTAGTTTGGATACACTACTACTATCTATCCTACAAATATTATTCAAATTTTGCAAAAAGACCCAATCTAATTGCAAATGGAAAAGATTATCCCCTGGTTCAGAATCCAGTGGAAATTATCCGTGACATTGGTTGTCAATTTTGTTAATGTCCTTTAATCTGGATAGTTCTTCACAGTCTTTGTGTTTTACAACCTTCTCGTTTTTGAAGAATATAGGAAGCTATTTTGCAGAATGTCTGTCGATTTGGGTGTATCAGATGTTTCCTCGAGATTAGATACAGATTATGTATCTACTCTTGGTAGACAGGGCTTATAAGGTGTTAAAAAAAAAAAAGGCAAATCCAACACCGTCCTACAATGACCCCGAACTTGATATTCATGAGCTAATATACCTCTAGGACTTTTTTATCTTGACAAAATAAAAGTGTGTCAATGATGTCCAGGTACACAGAGGACCCTGGGGTCTTTAGAAGGGTGCGTGGGCCACACTGTGGGCCTGGTTCATGGGCACACAAGAAAAACGCAGAGGCAGCAGCATCACAGCTCCTCTGAAGGACATCCCTGATGCTGAGCTGGCGGGCTGCAGCCAGGCTCCTTGCTTGGTCACTTCCAGATGAGATGACTAAACTGTGACCAAGTCTGTGCAGCTCCCCACAGGCGAGAAGCTCTTGGATATTCCCATAACATGTCAGGGACCCTCGACCAACCTGGGTTGGGACCTGGTTAAGAATCCATGGTGTGGGCTGGAGGTTCCCAGGGGCTCTCTGGGCAGCCCAAGACAGGCGAGGGCAGACTCCCCACCCAATTCCACCTGAGATGCTCTGTTTCCATGTGTTTTGTGGTCAGGGGGTCAACGCGGGACTTTCATCTGACAAAAGGGTTATGCTGTTGAATATTATAGATTCTGAAAAACCACTGGCTTAGGACATCAAGCAAATATGACAAGTCCAGCACAAACTCTTTTTTTTTTTTAAAGAAATCATTAATATGAGCTCACTTTCTTTCATTTATACTTTTCCCCTTAGAGCAGAATGCAGAGAAGAGATCCAATTAATTAATCGATCACTTCAGTTATTGGGTTTCTGGTTTCAAGGTAAGTAAAAACTTCCTAATTTCAATTCTTTTTTTTTTTTTGAGACGGGTCTCGCTCTGTCGCCTAGGCTGGAGTGCAGGGGCGTGACCACGGCTCACTGCAGCCTTGACCTCCCACACTCAAGCAATCCTCCCACCTCAGCCTCCTGAGTAGCTGGGACTACAGGCTCAGGCCAACATGCTCAGCTAATTTTTTTTTGCATTTTTTGTAGGGATAGAGTTTTGCCATGTTGCCCAGGCTGCTCTCAAACTCCTGGGCTCAAGCAATCCAACTGCCTTGGCCTCCCAAAGTGCTGGGATTACAGGCATGAGCCCACCGCGCCCGGCTGTTTCCCAATCTTTATCACAATTTGATTACCTTACACTGGACAAAAACACAACTACTATTCAAAACAAAACAAAAAAATCAAGTAAGACCCCTTTAACTCTATTTTAAAAAACGTAGTGAGTAGTCATTTGAAGACAAGGAGGCTGTAGCTGGCTGGAGACATGAAGAAACCTCTTGCTGAAAGGCAGGCTGTGTGTCTGGGGGCTCCACTTACCCATTCGAATAGCAGCGAGGAGGTCGCTTCGAGCATCACTGATTGGTGGCTGTGCAGGCTCTTGCCGCTTCGCCTCAGCTACTGGGGGGCCATGCATTGGGGAGGACGAAAGAGAAGACCCGGGACCAGGAGGGCCTGGCGGGGGAGGTGGTGGGCCCGGGGGTGGCGGGGCTGTGACCAGGAGCCCGGTGGAGGGTGGGTGAGGAGGAGCTGCGTGCGTGGAGCTGGCTGATGCAGGGAACGGGGGCTGCATGGGCATCTGGAGAGGGCTGACGAAGGCAGTTTGTGCTGAGGGAATCACAGGAGGAGGTGGCGGAGGAGGTGGTCCGGATGGGTTGTAATACTCAATTATCTGCGCTGGGAGCATCCTGAGAGAGATATGAGGCACATAGTCACCAAGGGAACAAGAGAGGGTCACGTCCTGGGAGCTCTTAGACACCTAACGGAGCCATCCCCAGACACAACACGTATTGTCACCTGAACTTCAATCATGGCAGGATGCAAACATGCACACCTTGGGTCAGTTATTTTCACAGTTTGACATTATTCATTATGACAGAAGTCAAGATCTGCTACTGAAATGTGCCAAAAGGAGGACCACTCAAAAAGTGCAGCACTTCCTGAAGAAAGGCAGAATAAAGCAGCTGACTGCAGAGGCCAGGACGGCAGCGCCAGTGAAGGCTTCACACTGGGATCTCAAGGCGGTAGCTCACAAACTTGTCTTTTAAGGGTCCTAAGGTCAACCAGATTGGGAGCTTTCTACATTCTCTAACCCACCTCCGTGGAAATGCCCCATGCCTGCAGTGCCCAGGTGTGTATCAAAAGCTTCGAAAAGTCACACAGCCAAGAAATCTGCTGAATTCTATTCAGCCGAGGGTCTTCCAAACTAACTGGACCATGGGCCCTCTCTTGGCCTGACACAGCCTCAAGCCACTCTGGGGATCCTGACTTGGCATGCATGGCCAGGGAGAGCACTTCTGAGAGCAGGATTGTCATTCAGACAGGGGTGTGCAGACACGTGTTAGCAGTGGACACCAACACACGGTAATTTTCCTGGGCACCAACTCTGAGGAATGAAGTCTTTAAAGACTAGAGTAAAGCCAAAAAAAAGAGAGGTGGGTGCCTAAATTGATAAACGCCTGAACATGAAGTCTCTGAATTCTACTTCTCAGGGAACAGGAGGGCCTGGGGCAGAATGATGTCTGGGTGGTCAGAGGTCACGAAAGCAGATTTTGGTCAAGTCTGAGAAATGAGGCACAGGAGCTGCATGGTGTGGTCTTCTCGTCTGTGATAACAATTTTCTGTGGTCCACTCAGGATGTGTCCAGAAACTTGAGGGTTTGGGACAGGTTCACAAAATCAGCACTTAATACCCTTTATCAATGCCTTGGCTTAAAGAGCCATTCAAACACCCAGAGTGTGTGTGAGGGAACACACATGCATGCACAGTGTGGCCTGAGACTCAACTGTAAGTCTGAGCTTATGCTGCACCTGCTTTATTTCACACAGAATGTTAGAGTTGCTAGTATCTACATCCAGTCATCCTTGACTCTATCTTGGCCTCTAAAATACCGGAGTTAAAATTCTCCTACCACATAGAGCAAGATTCAAATGCAAGGCCAGGAGGGATTAGGGTACAAGGCATGCTGAGTTACCCGTAGTCTGCTGGAGCCATCGGTGCAGAGGCCTGGGACCCCTCTGGGGCCTGAGGGGGAGGCGGGGGGGGCGGCTGCTGAGGTCTGTTGAGGGCCATGTGCCTCGCCGAGGCAGATGGGGGCCGGTACTCATGCTCCGCAGCCTGGCTTGCAGGCCCGTGTGGTGGCACGTCACCAGCTGCATAGGAAGGGGTCACAGGCTGGGGGTGCAGAGAATGGTTGGGAGTAGCCGGGTAAGAGTAATCCGTAACGTCCGATGCATGTGACCTGGCATTTGAAAACAAGAGGTGGGAGAAATTTAAATTAATTTAAAAATTGTCGGCTAACAGGCACATGGATGTATTTGAATAATAACATTGCTAATACACAAAAATCAGACATTAATTTGCTTTACTATCAACTAGGTATAGCCCCGTGAGAGATTCCAAGCAACAACATAATTATTATAAGTCGGCAGCAAGCCCCAGTGTTACATGGATTCAGATTCACAGCTTTGAAGTGAATAAGTCAGACAGACCGGCAAGCAGGAAACAGCAGAGCCTCCTTTTCACAGTATTTCAGCATACGTTTTCTCTAAGAAGGCTATGAAAGAAACCATTCCATTTAGAAACAGGATATAAGACAGAAGATTTCAGTGGCAATGAAACTGACAGCATATAATTAGAAAATATAAAATGGCAGGTTAACTGGATAAATATTAACAGTAAGAACAGGAAAAGAAATCGAGAATGCAGTAGAGTGAATCATATTTTTCTTAAACAGAAGAAATGTACTTAACAAAAAGGGCAGAAAGCAATGCGGTGCACTATGGAAAGGCCTTCTTTCCATAGTTTTCTTTGCACACAAACTGGGTGTGAAACTCCGAAAGGAAAGGGATCTTGGATTAGTGGAGCAGAGCTGAGACATGGGGTGCAGGGACGGGATTCCTGCTAAGCCCTCAGGAGGAGAGGAAGGACCCAAGTGTGGCAGCCCGGCAGTGCCGTGGGCGTTAGTAAGACAGTCACACGCTCCTGGCTCAGGTTACAGGACATGTGGCCAGGAGGGGCTGTACATCCTCTCATGGCGGCAGAAGCAGGGGCAGTCTGAGTCTGGGAACCCAAAGAAAGCAAAACAACAAACCCGCTGGGCACTCTGTCCTCTTTGGCGCTCCCTGCCTGCTCCAGTTTCTTTGCGTCACTCATAAACTCAATGCCCATTTTCCTTCTCTCCCACTCTTCTTTTCTTGTTCTGACTTTTCTCACATTTACTTGCTGGTTTCTGTTAGGGTTCAGCTTGTGTTTCTCTCTCTGAAGGAAATACCAAACACACATTGGGGGTGCTGAGGGAGCAGGGAAGATGCACGCTGCATTTCCATCTTTGGGATTCCAGTTGGTAGCTTTTCTTAACTGGGGCACCATGTGGCACAGAAAAGCCTTCCAAATGAGAAGAGACAGCTTCTTTTCCTTTTTCCTTCCTTAATTGAAGTGTAACAACTAATAACTACTCATTATTTTCTTCCCTAATTGCAGTATGAATTCTGGATTATGGTGCACTTCTGATTATGTCTTTTGAACTAGGTGAGCTGCTAGCAAATGACTTAAAAATATATTTAATGGGGGAAGGACCTGACCTGTATTTAGATTTAGAGTATTTTAAAAATGTAAATTCCTATAACCCTTGGAGACACTGATGATGTGTGCTTGACTCTGCGCATGACTACGAGTCACTGGCTTACAGTGCAACCTTTTAAAGGAAACAGAGTTCTCCAGCCAAACATGGACAGCTTTCTGATGAGATGAGGGTAGGAAACTATAAATACTGTGGCATAACTAGGAGGGCGATCCCTATCAAGGAGCCTTGCAACACAGGGTAGAAAGGAAGCAAGGAAAAGGGGCTAACCAGATGGAGGCAGAAGTGAAGGAAGACTCGATAAATATCTGAAGTAGAAACCAGAGATTTCTACAGGGCAGAACCCTGATGAAGGGTGCCCATCAGGAGGACGGGGGCTGGGGGAAGAGGGGACTGGTCAGTTGAAGAGGGAAGGACCACAGAAAAGGGATGTGCCAGCAGGCAGGAGGAGGAGGAGGGAGGAGCAGGCAGCTGTTGGAGATGAGCCCCACTCCCAGTGGGGAGGCAGAAACCAGCTGCAGACGCACGGCCAAGGTGGAGGTGAGTGGAGATCCCGAGGCCTCATGATGGTCAGTGATCACCTATTACAGAAGAGAGGACTGGGAGGGCCAGAGGCGACACTGACACGGGAGGAAGAGGACTGGGAGGGCCGGGGACGATGGGAGGAGGAGGGCCGGGAGGGCCGGAGATGACACCGACACGGGAGGAGGAGGAAGAGGGCTGGGAGGGCTGGAGACAACGCTGACATGGGAGGAGGAGGGCCGGGAGGGCCAGAGGCGACACCACACGGGAGGAAGTAGGCACAGCAGCAGAGACTCAGTGTGAGAGGTCGATATATCCCCCAGGGTTTTTTGGGTAGACAGGCGGGCAGCCAGAGATCTGCACCAGGGCCCAGAACTGGATGAGAAAAAACAAGGACAATTGGGCATGGAGGTGTGCGACTCCCTGAGTGGCAGTGACAGAGAGCTGGTCATACAGCAGGCAAGCACTTCCCAGCGCTCATCTTAAATTTATTCTCAGGAACAAGCCATTCCTAACAATCTAGAGAGAGAGCAAAAATGTAAGATGGGTTACGGTATATTACTTATATAATAGCATATACACACACCATGAAACCTGGTATTTAAATTTCCCTCAGTATCTTGGATGCACTCAGATGAGCGGATACAATCATTAAAAATCATGTTGCGAAATAATACCTAAAACATGGGATATAATTTCTAAAAGTCAAAAGAAAGAAAACATGGCATGACTCCAATTTTGTAAAAGAAAAAAGAAACACATGTATAGAAAAAGACTAAAGAGAAATACACTAAAATGCATACAACGGTTTCTCTGCATGGTGAAACTATAGATCATATTTCATTTTAATTTTTTCCTGTAACTTCCAGATATAATAAGCATGTCTTATTTTATAATAAAAAAGTGACACACTGTAGTAAAAAAAAATAAAAATTTCTAAATTAAGGGTTATAATCCAATACAATGATGAGTTATAATCTATTTATCTGATAGTAAATAATGTATGCAAATAGTAAGAAGCCATGGGAAATAGTAGGAGACAACAAAAGGAATTCTGAAGAAATAAAACAATCAGACTTATTTTTTGAAAATTAAGAGAAACGCAGATGTATGTAAGCAACATAAATACAAAGGCAGACTATATCTGAATAACCATCCATTTTATATCCAACATGGAATAATCTCAGATGCTAGAAGGAGTATCATTCAACTGAGAGATTTTTAAAAATCCATCATTTTCCCATCTGCATCTATTTTTGAAAAGTCTATATAGGATAAAAACAAAGTATACGTTTTGCACGAGTAAACAATCATAGCTAAATTATTTAGAAAAAAAACAAAAAAGCAGATTGACATCATGGGAGCTATTAAGTTCATACATTCCTCCCCACCCAAAGAACTATGAGCAGAACTGTGTTATAATTCCTACTTTCTATAGAAATAAACTCACACTAAAATTCAAATGAGGCTAAAACTCAGTTAAAGCTCCAATAATTCTCTAATATTTAACAAATAGAAGTTTGTACAGAAAAATTACCAGAACTTGCCTCACATCCTCCCAATGACTTATAGACCTTCTGGGGTGGGAACATTGAAGGCACGTAATACGTTAAGAGTTTGTGCTAAACACTGAGTTTTACAAAGGTAGAAAAAAAGGGCACAGATACAACCCAAAGTCCAGGTTGCTGTTGTTTTGAAACATTCTTGATCACATATTGTAAGAATTCTCTATTCAAATTTTTAAATGCCGATGAGAGTTTATGCAAATGGAAGACTACAACTTTACAAAAGCAGAAATAGAAAACTGAATCAAACGTTAAAATTGACTAGTCATTTCCTGTTGTTCAATGAATGCCTTTGGTGACAAGTGTGACTTAATGACCACATCATTCACGCCTGCAAGAAATATTTTTACTTAACTGCTAATAAATTTTTAAGTAAACGCCAATAGAATTCTTCTCCTGAAATCAGAATATATAAGTTATCTGAAATAAGAAGTAAATCTCTCTTTTGTTCATCATTTTTTCAAAGGGTTACTAAAGGAACAATGAAGGTACTCCTTAGTTACTTTACCACCTGCCAATCATTTTTAGATACCAAGTGGCAAAGGAAATTCAACATTCCATGCTAAGAGAAAGAATTAAATGATTATTAAAGTAAAAACTTAAGTCATAAGCAGTTACCCCAAATTCAGAATCAGTGTTAAAACACTACATCTAGATGAACTCAACAATACATTTTAAGTCAGAGAGATTTTCTAAAATCAAAGGAACCCAATGTAAAATAACACTGTCTTCAAGTATTATTTCAAAATCAAAATACAGATAAACAATTTTTAAGGAAAATCTTAAGACATCAAGGGCCATATAAACCCCGAAGCTATTGATGCATTTCAAATGATAATAAAACCAGGTAGTACCCAGTTGCCCAAGCATCAGGGCTGAGGGAGCAGTGACACACACACACCTAGTATCTGGGGACAGGGATCCCTCGGAAGACGCTCCATGGTACACACTCTGAGACAACCTGTTGTCGGGTCTAAGCTCTTTGTCATATGCCATCATATTCCACTCCTGGCGCCTGTTTCTGGCTTTTCTAACCTTTTTCACCTCACGGGTGGTGCCATCTATACGCTTTTGCTCCTGATGTCCAGGAAAGGAAAGAGAGCATGCCAAGACAGAAGGGAAAGGAAAACAGCTGGTTAAATGCAGTTATAATGCACAAGGCCCATGCCTGATGAACAGACAAGACACATTCGCATTTCGATTACCCTAATGTTACAGAAACTCTAAAGCAGTGCACTCCTCTTACCCAACAGAACCAACAAAACAGAATCAACAAAAAGTTACCCTGCTACAACTGTTAAGAGTTGCTTACCATCGTTTTCATTAAAGTAAAAAAACTTTCACTTGAATATGCTTGTAACTTGTTTTAAACCTAAACAAGGTCTTTCAGATCTATATTACATGGGTGAACAACCTGGAAACACCATAAAGAGAAATTATTTCCCGCCACCACACAATTTTGACTGACTTCTTAACGTACAATTATCTTTCAAAGAAAATAATTCAAAACATTCTGTTCCCAATTTCTAAAAGATTACGGAATAAGTGAATCCTGTAAATAGTTTAACACAAAATTAAGCAAGATAAAAACTTACCTGCTCATAAAAAGCACCATTCTTCCTCTAGCCCTACTTGGCCAGAAAATGTTTCATTCAACAAATACTTAGTTCTTAAACAGGTGCTTCTTGAAACGTGAGAAGTTATTTCTATGTGTGCCTCTAAGTTTTTCCTGCCTCCTATACAAAATTTTATGATCTTTAAGGATGAGAATCATGTGTCTTTATTTCCTACGTTTCCCTCTTGTCTTATGGTATCTCAACATACTGTTTTTACACAGAATACACACTCAATACATGCTGGCTAAATGATCAAATCCACAGCCAGGCAGCAAGCATGAACTTCTAGTGCTATGCCCGAGGTACTGCGCCAGGCACTGACAACACAAATGGCAAACACACACACACACACACACACAGACATGGCATCTGTGCTCATGGAGCCTGCAGTCCACAAGAGGACACAAATAAAGGTACTATTATAAATGTACCATAAAAATAAATGTATTTATTTTCACAAATATATTTTTATGTTTAAATATATACGTGTGTGTGTGTGTGTGTGTGTGTGTGTGTGTGTGTGTGTGTATGTGTGTCTAGTCTGGAAGTCAGGGAGGCATCCTGGAATGACTGAGAGTATTGAAAGTGTATTGACAGTGGCATCAATTCTGCAGAGGAGTATGGGTCAGGTGCCTGCCAAGAGGAGAGGACAGACTGTGTGAGAGCTCTGGGGAGGAGGATAGCACTGCACTCAAAGAAATAAAAGAATGTAAATGGTACATTGGGGTGAATGGCCCAAGATCTGAAAGGCAGGAAGACCTTAGAGGCCTTTATCCCAACAGCAATGCGAACCCATTAAAGAACAAGAAGGGAAGGCTGACATGCTGAGAAGGCATTGGAGAAGATCTCTCTGTGTTACAGAAAACAAATTAAAAGAGGGAAGATAGGGACACAAGTGAGAAAGCTACTAAGTGGGTATAGGGTGAAAGAACAGCAGGTGGCCCAAGGGTGTGGTGAAGACAGAAAACTGGACCGTTTTCAGAGGCATCCCGGAGGCTTTAGGCATGGATCCACAGAGGATGTGAACATGAAATTCACAGAAGATAAAGAAATGGTTAATAAGCATATGAGACGATGTAACACATTCAATCTTTCATCAAAAGAAAGTAATATCCAGGACTGGAGAAGGCCTGGTAAGAACATAAACTAGTTCTTCAGTCTTTTAAAGATTACGGGCAATATAATTCTATCTTTCAAAATTTAAAATTCACATTCTCTTCAATAAGAGCAATTCAACTTCTAGAAATTTATCCTGAAGAATTATCTGCACCTAAGTAGAGGGATAACCACTGCAGTATTGTAAGAGCAACAGTAATGGGTAATTTATGAAGCATTTATATTTCAGAATACTACACAACTATTAAAAAGAATGAAGTACATTTTTAATAATGTCAGTGTGTGTATGTAAGTCATATGTAGTACAACTATGTATACACAAATACTTCGTAAAATGTTTATGCAAATATTTATGAATGCTAAAAGGTCTTAAAAGATGCACACCAAGCTGTTAACCGTGGCTAGGTACTCCCAGGGAAGGGAGTGCTATTTGAGTATTTTACAACCAGCATGTATTGGGTGTGTACTTTGAAAAACCAAAGGAAAAAAGTGGGGGAGGAAGATTTCAATGTGATTCCAATATGCATCCTGATTAAGAACCATCGTATTAAAAATAATGAATAATCGCTTCTCGGCCTTTTGGCTAAGATCAAGTGTAAAAATAATGAATAACTATTCCCCTTACTTTTTAAAAGATGCATGCTGACAAATTCAGGGATGAAGTGTTATGATATTTGCAACTTTCTTCACCATGGTTCAGCCTCCAAATCTACCTATCAACATGCACACAGGACACACAAGCGCATGCGAACCAAACATGAAAGAATATGAACAGTGATGAATCCAGGCTCCAGCTACACTGGCCTACATTAAAATCCTTAGAAGCTGCCAAACTGGTTCCTCCCCCAGGATGATCTTAGACACTGCTACCTAGAAGCCTCCTCAATTCGGAAGCACGCCACCTCATCTGCCCCCCACACCTCTCCAGCCTCCCCGTAGCACCTTCCCACTGTTGAGCTAACTTCTGCTACCCTCCCTTGGAACCCAGCCTGCATGACACCTCCTTAGAGAGGTCTTCCTTGACCCCTCACTGTGTGTACACTGTCACACACCAGGTCATCTCACTCAGAGTGCTCTGTACTTGTCCTTCACTAAACTTACCAACAGTGTAACTACATATTTAAAACTTCATATTTATTTGTGTAATTAAGTTTTTAAGGCTTTTAAAGCATTAAACTAAAGGAGACAAAAGTTCAAAAACATGGGTTTTTTAATCCCCAAATTTTCTAAACTAATTTTTCCTTCAGATTTGTCAACTGCAAATTGAGCATGATTTGGGTTTCTGAAATCCTGGGAAATAAAGAATATCTTGCCTCATTTTCTATTTCCATATGAAGCGGACCTATATGAACATTTTGAAACTTCTCTCCCTCTTTCTGCATTTCCGAGGGCTGCATGATTATTTAAGGCCTGTGTCCCTCACTATATTGTCCTCTCCATGAGGGTGGTAATCCTGTTTTTTTCTGCCACTGTTTATCCAGCATTTAGAAGGCATTCAACATCAAGTCATTATATAAGTGAATGAAAGAAATTCTTATCAGAATTTTATGTGTTTGAGGAAGGTAGAATGAGACAAAACAGCACAGGAAATAACAAATGATTTTAAAGACATAATATTCATACATAAAAATTGTTTCCCCTTCAAGAAGAGTGGCAAAAAATTAAACAGTTTTGCCAAAAGCATCATTGAGAAAGGAAACCTAGAAGGCCTTTTAAAAAAACAGGCACATTTTAAAGGCAGGTAAGCCCCAGCATTTTCCCCTGTAACTATAAAAAAGCATGAGGATTAAGGTAAATATGCTTTTTAAATATTTGTTCCTTTTCCACTCAAAAGATTGGTATCTTTCTTTTTTCTTCACTTGAATATTCTGCAAAACCTAGCAACTTTTCCAAGATATATCCCAATTAAATCTCCCAAAGCCATGAGCACAAGAAGACTGTGTGTGACCAAGTCCTTTGCATCCTCTTTCCCGGAACCAGCCATGGTGTCTTACAACAGCACAGTCTGCAAACTGTTCTCATGTTCTCTTCCCTTTAATGCTGTTTTCGATTTTCAAATTCTCCTCCAGACCAAACTGTCACTCCTACTGGGCCAACACACCTCAATGCCTCAAAACCCTAAGGCTATCAACTCACAAAATGCTAAGCATTTCTCCTAAATAAAGCGCTCTAATCTGTAAAGCAAACTGGATGGTCATTTTTAAATACAGCTGACATATAAAAATATTAATAAATACTTGCCCTTAGAGAATTATTCCTCTCAGTGGCCTAAGTCTAATTTCTGGGCCCAAAACGAACAATTTTCAAAACACAAATCCCTTAACCTGAGTAGAGTGGGCTTCTCCTTTGAAGACTGCTTGTAATGCATGCAGATATTTCTCAACCTTCAAACTTGCAATTCTCTTCCTACCCCTACCCCTTAAAGGGAGGCTCATTTTCAGTAAATCCTATCCGCTGAACGTGCAAATCACATATGCTTCTCAATCCCATGTGAACATCTTCCCAAGATTTTAATTACAGCTAGAAGGCAACCAAACAATTAAAAATGTTAAGAAGACAAAAGCACATCATTGTGCTGCATGATCATTGTATCTGATATGGAATACTGACTGCTTTACAAAAATTTGAGAACGCAGGAGAGGAGTTACTAAAACATGGTAACAAAACAAAGTTTAGGAACTACTTTTGTTAAAGCAAAGCAAGTGCTGGAGAACATATCAGTATTTATTGAAGATAGTATTACTGTGTTTGACTGAATTGTCAGGATCTTTTGTGAGAAATGCAACCTCTAAAAAAACTTCAGCACTATATCCAATATCTCAACCATTTAAATAATTTACTATTTCTAAACAAGAATCTCCTTTGAACACTGATATGCACATTTCCCATACTGAAATTATTTACCTTTTGACGCCTTTTCTCTTTCCTTTTGTCTTCTGTGTCCTGTAGCATTTTTTCTTTCCAGAGGTCAAAGAAATAGGAAGGATCAGTATAGAACTTCAGCCCATCCTTCTTGTCATCTCTACAAATCAATGTATTGTAAGTCAGGGAAGAAAAGATTGTTAGAGACTTTTATATGTAGGTTAATGTTAACTTGATTTGAACTCATGAAATTATAACATCTACATGGGGCACTTAAACTCTCCTACACATATTAAGTCTTTAAGTTTCCTTATTTGAAAAAATGTGAAAACATAAAATAGCAACCTGTTGTAGAATAACCTGTTGTAGGTTAAAAGTACTCTTGCAAATTTAGAATTGAGTATAGAAAATTGCTCAGAAAAAAAAAATCACAACATGACTCATATTCAGCAATTTATAATATCTCAATCACTTCAGGAAATTTTTTGCTTATTCCAACATGGGGCCATACACAGAGATGGATGGATTCTTACTAAGAACACATTCACTTCTACACTGGAGCTTCAATATCATTAGGATAAAAATTAGTAAGTACTCTTATCTCTTTTTCTCAATAAGGTTTGCCCAACATCTATAAGTTCAATTAGGAAAGAAGCAAAATGTTTATGGGGCATCAATGTAAGGAAAAATAGTGATGAACTATGTATTTTCAAACTGGAAGTAACCTACACAGAAACTTTATTCACCTGTGGCCATTTCATTTTAAAGCACTGTCACAGGCAATTACTGTGGTCTAAAGAATATTTTAAGTCTTCATATAAGTAGCTCATTTATCATAAAACCAATGATGGAGCTAGCAGAGGTCCAAAACTGTCATATAAATCAAGTCATGATCAAAACCATCATGATACAAAGTAAACACTGTTTTCTATTAATGCTTTTGAAGACTACCTTCAAAAGGAGGCAGAACATTTTATATTACTTCATATCAGCATTTCAATGAGTCATTAAGGAACACAGGGGAAGCAAAATCAGTTAAATGAGTATAGGAGAGTTTATGCCCAAACAGTCAATGGCTAATTTAATTGTTCAGAAGAAAACAAAGGTCTGTCATTAAAGCCCCTGCTATGCCATCTCCTGTTAAGTGTCTTACCATCAAATACAAAGGCCTGGGTGCCTATGGGGCTATTCTAGTCGCTATGTCTGAAAATCACTGAAGAGCCAGTGCAACTCACACTATACCTTAACCTTTGACTATTAATGTCCTTCCTTTCTTTTCCTAGTTTCCTAATTGATAGGCAACCTGCATGATAGAGATTTTATTAATAACATTATTGTGAAAAAGATAATTTGTTTCCCTAAGATACCAAGGCCTTGAATAGGTAGAGGTCTAGAAAAAGCTGCAAAATTTAAGACATATAAGAGGTACATTTGTTTTTTAAAAAATGGAGCCAGTACCTTCATGAAGGCGGGAACTCACTTAAGTAAGCAAATGTTAACCTTGACAAGAATATAAACAGATACGTTCTTTTTTATTATTATACTTTAAGTTCTGGGATACATGTTTAGAACATGTAGGTTTGTTACACAGGTATATGTGCCATGGTGGTTTGCCGCACCCATCAACCTGTCATCTACATTACATAGTTCTCCTAATGCTATCCCTCCCCCTTGTCCCTCACCCCCCAACAGGCCCGGTATGTGATGTTCCCCTCCCTGTGCCCATATGTTGTTCAACTCCCACTTATGAGTGGAGAACATGCAGTGTTTTTCTGTTCCTGTGTTAGTTTGCTGAGAATGATGGTTTCCAGCTTCATCCATGTCCCTACAAAGGACATGACCTCATTCTTTTTTATGGCTGCATAGTATTCCATGGGGTATATGTGCCACATTTTCTTTATCCAGTCTAACATTGATGGGCATTTGGGTTGGTTCCAAGTATTTGCTATTGCGAATAGTGCTGCAATAAACATACGTGTGCATGTGTCTTTATAGTAGGATGATTTATAATCCTTTGGGTATATACCCAGTAATGGGATTGCTGGGTCAAATGGTATTTCTAGTTCTAGATCCTTGAGGAATCACCACACAGTCTTCCAAAATGGTTGAACTTATTTACACTCCCACCAACAGTATAAAAGCGTTCCTATTTCTCCACATCCTCTCCAGCATCTGTTGTTTCCTATAGCTTCTAAACACTTAATTTTTCCGTCACTTAGGCTGGGCATGGTGGCTGATGCCTGTGATCCCAGCACTTTGGGAGGCCGAGGCAGGTGGATCACCTGAGGTCAGGAGTTTGAGACCAGCCTGACCAACATGGTAAAACCCCATCTCTACTAAAAATACAAAAATTAGCCAGGCTTGGTGGCACATGCCTGTAATCCCAACTACTTGGGAGGCTGAGGCAGGAGAATCGCTTGAACCCGGGAGGCAGAGGCTGCAATGAGCTGAGACTGCGCCATTGCACTCCTGCCTGGACAACAAGAGTGAAGCAAAACTTCGTCTCAAAAAAAAAAATTTTTTTTTCAGTCACTTTGTACTTCTTATATTAAGACAATATTGTTACAGTGCCATATTTAAGTTCAAATGTGAAAATTTATATGTTATATACCCCAAATATTGCTATATTAATGAAAAAGCAAATTTGGGCTGGCACTGCTATCCTTAAACACACTATTAAAAAGTCAAAGATATCAGGAGGCTGAGGCAGGAGAATCGCTTGAACCCAGGAGGCAAAGGCTGCAGTGAGCCAAGATCACCCCACTGCACTCCAACCTGGGCGACAGAGCGAGACTCCATCTCAAAAAAAAAAAAAAAAAAAAAAAGTCAAAGATATGCTTTATTTTCCATAAGACTGAATACACACACACACACATATATATGTGAAAGTCAAATCAGTTTTCATACTATAAATCACTACAACTATAAATCACTACAAATATTTTATCATGATCTAATCAATGTAGTGGTTCATTGGGTTATCTGATTTTTTTTCCTTAGAACAGAATTTCCAGTGAGGTTTCTTAGCAACGGCAGGTAGAAAGTTTTCATGAGCAAGCCTACATGTTACATTGTGTTTGAGGCTTCACTGCTAAGTAAAAATGAAACTGCCCCAGGAAAATGCCTATTGAACAAATGCAAAGCCATAAATTAAAATATTTGGCTCATAATGCTATATTCATACATATTCTTAATTTTTTTAAATAAGTGTGCTAAAACCTCCAGAAAAGTCTACTTTTTCCATAAAAAGGCGTGGCATCTTGCTCCTCTGCCATCAGTTTGGCCTGTTTTTCTGAGAGCCTCTCCCTGTCTGTGCGGAAAGAAAGTGGTGTAGTTTGAACTGCACTTTCCTAGCACAGCTGCAACAAAGGGTGGCTCCAAACATCTCCCTGTGGACCCTGAGAAAGGACAGGAATTAGGACCAAGAAAAATTCTATGCACTCCCTGAGATGGGCCAAAGGGCCCCTGAGGGTAGGACTGCTGAGAGGGTAGTAATGGAAGTGGAGAACTCGCAGGCTCCTGGAAGGTTCTCACAGGAGAATCACCAGAGAGCTGGCCCGGGGCTGTGAGGACCACTGGTCACCACAGCCTGTGCTTGTCAGAGGCCAAAGGATGAGCTCCACAAGAGGGTACAGAGGTGGGGAGAGGACAGGACATACCACAAGGGATGGAGAGACAGTGTGTGAAAGAGGGATATGGGACAAGAGGTGACAGCAGGTATGGGAAGAAAGTGCTGAGCTGGGAGAAGGCAGGAGGGGTGTTTAGAAAGAGCATTTTTAGTTAGTCTCTTCATATTATTTTTTTGCACTATTTATTTTCCATTGTTTTTCTTGGAAGTCTCGTCCTGATAACGTGTCCTACCATTTTCCAGTAACAGAAGGTTAATTTGCTGACTATATTTTCACTCTTCAAAACCCCTAACACTACAGAATACATTTTTTTCTGAATTAAATATCAAATGTCTCTGCAGTGCTGAAACAGGTATTTTGCTGCATTATAAATGAATTATGCAGTTCCTAATTGACTTCGAATCTAAAAACAACAACATAACCACACACAATACTGTTATGCAACTTACTCACTTCTACTTAAGGTAGCTACATCTAAAAGTTAAAATCAGAACTCACATTTCTACTGTTAAACGTATCAATATGCTGAAATACTGTAACTTTAATAATTATGTACCAATGAGTAGTTTCATTGTATATAATTCAATCATTATTTTCAAAGTTTGAAGCAATTCTGATTTTAACCCAGATGAACCATCAAGGACATTCCCACACAATGCATCAGCTTGCTCCCAGCTCTGCCCAGCTCTCCCCTCATCTCAAGGAGAGGCTCTGGGACTCATGAAGCTATACCTGTATGGTGTCAGGATGTTCAGAGGCGGTGGCTTATCACTCTGGTTGTAAATATCAGCAACAGGATTAGGAATGCTGTTCTTTGAAACCACTTGCTGGTCTTGGACTGTGGAACTTTTGAAAGCTTTTTTCATGTTGATATCCTGTAGTGAGACTATTTAGAGAAAATCCCCCAAGTTGAGTTATATAGAAATATTTTTAACTGTTTAGAAGTAAATACCATTTGACTCACAATTAAAAACACCTCCTAGAACAACCAAATAATATTTTTTATTGTCCATTTAAAAACCATGTTTAAGAGCATGTGCATTCCTTTCCTTTCACAGATAATAGCTATCACTATGAAATGAGGTCAAATCATGGCTTTTTTTTTGTAGTAATCTAATTATTTCACTGAACCTAATACTAGAGTAACATTATTTAAATAGCATTTCTCAGAAATCACATAGGAATATAGTTATGAATGTAACAGGCATGTAAATGCACAGATTTGAATATCCTAAGGAAAACACCGTTCAAACAACATTAGTTTAAATATAATGCATGTGGGAAATACTTCTGCAAAAATTACACAAATGGAAATAACACATTAAGTTTTTCTGAAACAAACATTAAGGAAAGATGGCAAATGGCAAAGCTTTTCAACATGTATCTAGTCCCAAAAATTAAGTAGCTTGATCGATGATACAAAATTACACTAAGGATTCAGAAAATTGGGGCTGGGTAAAGTTCTTTCTTGTGCTTGTACAGCACTTTACATTTCATTTATTAACTCACCTCTTTTTTTTTTTTTTTTTTTTTTTTGAGACAGTCTTGCTCTGTAACCCAGGCTGGAGTGCAGCCTCCCGGGTTCGTGCCATTCTCCTGCCTCAGCCTCCCGAGTAGCTGGGACTACAGGCACCCGCCACCACGACCGGCTAATTTTTTGTATTTTTAGTAGAGACCGGGTTTCACCATGTTAGCCAGGATGGTCTTGATCTCCTGACCTCATGATCCGCCTGCCTCGGCCTCCCGAAGTGCTGGGATTACAGGCGTGAGCCACCGCGCCCAGCCAACTCATCTGACTTTCATCAAACTTTTTGAGGTGGACAGACTAGGCTATTAACCTACCTATTCAACCACTGAAGCTGAGCTTCAGAAATGTTAAGATTCCAAAAACTCCAGCAAAAAAGTGGCAAGACCAAAACAGAATACAGACTTCCTGTCAGTCAAGTATTTTTTCTACTGTAACATCCATGGCAAGGAAAGTAATAAGGTAAAATCTTGTTTGGAAAAGGATTTTAAAGATATGACATGTACTATAAAATCTCATAAAATTTAATTTACCAATTAATCTTTTCTAGGGTAAGGTTTATCATAAGCATTCTAACGGCAACAGCCAACAAAAAGTTGAAGAAAGATGAATAGCTAATTTAAAACGTGAATGATTGGTTTAAAATGTTAAGAATTCCTTACCTGAACAGACCAACTAATACTTATTGTTGGAAAAGTAAGAATGCTTCTATAATGAATATTAAAATCAATGTTTTACATTTTTGTTATATTTGTAATTCACTAATCAAATTTTGACCTTTGAAAAAGACTGAACATGAGATAACATATATTTTTTAAATGATGAGAGATGAATTCCACAACTACTTTTTTTAAAAAATAAAAGCATTATTTTTACCAATACTACTCTATAGATATAGCACAAAAATCAGACACTAGGATCTTTTCAAAGCAACAAGAGCAATTGTTAACTGCCATTATTTAAAGGTAAAACTAAATTTTAACCTAAATATTTTTCTCAAAATAAATATGAAGTGGTATATTTTGTACTTTTTAAGCATATTTTCTCCAGCTCAATCTGAGTCTTTCATTCAAGATACTGAAAGTAAAATTTTAAAAAAGGGATCGTTGATAGTTTCAATTTTGTTGAAACTGACAATTTCAGGGTGTATCATCAAATGACTATCAGTTAACTATACAATGCTTGTCGACATTAACATTATTTTAAAGCCTGCAGCCTAAAGGCTTTCGGTAAATGCTATTTCTGAGAAGGTTAACAAAATTTTTAAATCAGCAGAATCACCAGGATTTTACAGGCATCAATCCTAAGAACACCAGGTGCTTGTGTCACACAAGGTATGTGTAACACTGTCTCAGTTGGACCATATCTCTAGAGTGGCTCTGTAAGTTTTAGGTAAGAAACTATTTTTAAAATAACTGTCAGTAACCTAAATTGGGGCTTCTAATACTGACTGTATTCAAAGAAGCCTTTAAAACAAATACTATATTTGTAATTTTTTAAAAAAGAGTATAGAGTTATGAGGTAGACCACATATGAATCTTTTCATCGTGAATTAACACAAAGTTGTAGGTTTTTCCCCCTCGCTATTCTTCTAGGAAAGACAAGATGAAATATCAGCATGCCATCCCAAGGAAAAAGCAGTAATTACACTGCAATTAATTACTACCATCTTGTCAACATCACTTCTAGCTCACTGCTTTCAGGCAATTACCTACCCTCTTCCACTGTTGAATCCAGCTGGGTGACTTTGACAGCAAGGCGATCAATTCTGTCTTGAAGAGAATTTGCTCTGATGTAGAAGTTGTTAGCCTCATTAAACAACTCACCAAATATGTCTTCAGCATGTTTGCCTGTAGAATAAAATGAATGGAGAAGGCCATCTGTTAGGGAGCTGATGAAGCGGCCCTCACACATCCTCACCAGTGCTTATTCCTGTCAACATGTGGGATTTTGTGCAAACGAGTATGAAAATAAAGTGTCACAGTCCAAGGCCTTTAGAACTTTTGAAGTTTATTAGAGATACTCATATAAATCTGAAACTGACTCAATGTTGTAGAATTTTAAAATATCCCAGACAGTATAGAATCTTTATTGCTACATGAGCTATCGCTCAAGTTGCTTCCCACTAACTGCAACTTAAGTTCTCATTTTTCACGCTTTAAGTGTAAATACAATCTCAGGAACCAAACTTTCACTTATTCCTCAAGATAATTCAATTATCATGTTGGCCTTTAAATCTGGGATTTTATCTCATTCACAATCAGAAACATTAGATATTTTATTTGTGCCTAACACTTTCCAATGGCATTAAATTCTTCTAATTAATATTGTGAAATCTAGGTATATAGCGCTGACTCAGGCACTCTCTATAAACCAAGATTTTGAATTCTGAGTTAAATTTTTCTGCGTGGCTCATTTCCACATTCCTCTGAGTGCCAGATATAACTCCCACTTTTCTTAAAATGTAACATTTCTGAAAATTCAGCAAGCAAGATAAGAATCATTATCTGCTTACACTGAATTTCCAAATCCTAACACCATTACTTTATCCATGCAACAAATATTAAATAGCTGCCTACTCTGAGTGTGCAAGGCACATCTCACCTTAACTTTTCTGACAGACATACCTACCACTTCTTTTTATTTTCATTTTCTATCAGTTTATCACTCAAATGAGAGAGAGAACCTGAACCTCCCAGGAAGAAAACTTCATTAGAGTTAAGAATAACCCTAAAGTTCCCATGGTGCTTTATAGTTTATACGCTGCTTTCACAGCCACTTTCTGTACTCTTTGCTATAATCCATGAGACTGTGAACTCCGTGTGTTCCATGTTTTAGCCTTAGCCCTGTGTGATGCCTCCTGCACACACCTGTTCAATGAATAAGTGAGCCCGGGAGGTAAACAGGAAGTTAATGTTTTCATTCTCTGGCTGACTAAACAGAGGATCAGAAAGGTGATCCGTCCAAATCCCATGGCTAGTACATGGCAGAAATAGATGAAACAAAAATATGGTCTTCTAACTTTTAGTTCTCTGCTTTTATCACATAGCTCCCTGGACTCCCTTGGCTGCAATCTTCATGAATTATTTCATGCCATGAAACACTCGATAATTTCTTATCTACTTAATGAAATGGACTAAAATATTTTACTGCTTAAATGGTTACACCTAGACACTGGGAATGAATTCTTATGAATTTAAAATTAGTATAATTTCATAGATTCTGTGTAACTGTTTTAACAAGAAGAATTCCTCTTAGAAAATAAGAATAAATCAATAAACATGTACCCCATCCCCCACCAAAAAAGGAGAGAAAAACCCAGATTTCAGCTTTCAGCTAAGCATTAAATTGCTTCTCTTAAAGCTCAATATCCACAGCATGGTCTTCTGGGTTCACTTAAAATTCTGTCAACAGTTCCCATTCCCATAATATGCAAAATGGTTCCACAAAGGCAAAAAAATAAAGCCTTCACACAAACTATATACATTTTAAAATACTATAACTAGCTGCAGCATCCAGAATTAATGCTCGTTTATTGCTTTATGAACACCTTCCTGAGCTCCAGACTTGTTATCTAACTAGCTACTGAACATCTCCATGTTGACGTCTGTTAAGATTCTCAAATCCTGTACAAGCTGAAATATAACTCCTTTTCACCTTACCTCAAACCTGCATCCCCATGTTAAAAAGAACCCACCATCCAAAATGAAGCCCAAGCCAGAAATGGTGTCATTGTGACAGCTCCCTCTCTCTACGGCTAACTCAACACCAAGTCTTGTCCCTTCTACACCCACCGCCATCTTGCCCCAGACCCTCGTTTCTCTCCTGAATTACATCAATAGCTTTTAGATTCACCTCCCACCCCCGAACCCATGCATCACACTGCTGCCAAATGATCTAACAGAAAGAACTGACTACGTCATTTCTATTTAAATTCTTTACTGCTCCTCGTCATTTCAAGATAAAATCTAATAAGTATGTGTATGTGTATGTGTATGTGTATGTGTATGACACAGAGGGCCCTGTGCACTGCACTTCATTTCTTTTTTCCCCGGTTTTTTAAAAAATAATTTCAACTTTTATCTTAGATTCAGAGGGTACATGTGCAGGTTCGTTACATGGGTATATTGAGTGACTGCAGTTTGGGGAATGAATGATCCCATACCCAGGTAGTGAACACAGTATCCAAGAGACACTTTGTTGGCCTTTGCCCCTCTTCCTCTCTCCCCATCCAGTAGTCCCCAGTGTCTACTGTTCCCATTTTTATGTCTATGCGTACCCAGTGCTTAGCTCCCACTTAAAAGTGAGAACAGGCAGTATTTGGTTTTCTGTTCCTGTGTTAATTCTCTTACAATAATGGCCTCCAGCTGCATCCATGTTGCTGCAAAAGACATGACTTCATTCTTCATTATGGCTGCGTAGTATCCCATGATGTACCACATTTTCTTTATCCAATCCACCACTGATAGGTACTCAGGTGGATTCCATGTCTTTCTTACTGCAAACAGCACTGTGATGAACATACAAGTGCATGTGTCTTTTTGGTAAAATGATCCATTTTCCTTTGGGTCTATGCCCAGTAATGGAATTGCTGGACGGAATGGTAGTTCTGTTTTAAGTTCTTTGAGAAATCTCCAAACTCCTTTCCACAGTGGCTGAACTAATTTACATTCCCACCATGTTTACAGTAAGTAAGCATTCCCTTTTCTCTGCAGCATTGCCAACATCTGTTATTTTTTGACTTTTTAATAGTAGCCTTTCTAACTGGCCGCACCTCATTTCTGCCCTTGCCTGGTGCTCCAGCCAGAATGCACTACTTGCAGCCCCACACTCTCCCACTTCCTCACACTCTGTGCTTCTGCACAGCTGCTCTGCTCCCTCTGCCTCAGGCATGGGCACCCCCTTCCTCACAGTAGTAGCTGACTGACACTCCTGAGCACTCACAGGGGCAGACCAAAGCCCAAGTGCTTTACCTACCATTTCTCCTCTTACAAATCTGCCATGATTTCAATCATTTTAACAGTTTTAAGAATGACTGAAATCCCTCTCACCACCACCTCTCATACCCATTAGGATGCTACTATTTAAAAAACAAAAACAAAAACGCAGAAAAGTGTTGGTAAGAATGTGGAGAAATTGGAACCCTGTGCGCTGTTGGTGAGAATGTACAATGGTACAACTGCTGTGGAAAACTGTGTGGTGGTTCCCCCCAAAATTAAACATATGACCCAGCAACTCTACTTGAGTATATACCCGTAAAGAAGTGCAAGCAAGGATGTGAAGAGACATTTGCATACCTATGTTCACAGAAGCACTATTCACAGTAGCAGAGGTGGAAGAACCTGAGTGTCCAGCAATACATGAACGGATAAACAAAATGTGGTACACACATACAATGGAGTATTATTCAGCCTTTAAAGGAAGGAAATTCTGACACATGCTACAACATGGATGAACCTTGAGGATGACATTAGGCTAAGCAAAATTAATCAGTCACAAAAGACAAATACTGTACGATTCCACTTATATGAGGCATGTAAAGTAGTCCATTTCATAGAGACAGGAGAATGGTGGTTGCCAGGGGTCAGAGGAAGAGGGAAATGGGGAGTTCTGTAACGAGCGCAGAGTTTTGCTTCTGCAGGATGACAACATTCTGGAGATCTGCTGCACAGCCATGTGTACACAGTGGTTAACATTACTTGCTACAGCGTGGATGCTGGTTGCCTCCAAATCTCATGTTGAAATGTGATCCCCAATGTTGGAGGTGGGACATGATAGAATTTGTTTGGATCACAAGGGTGGATCCCTCGTGAATAGACTAATGCCCTCCCTGGGTGAGCGAGTTTTTGCTCTAGTAGTTCCTGTGAGAGCTGGCTGTTAAAAAGAGCCTGGCGGCACCTCCCACTCCTTGTTTCCTCTCTCTCTCCATGTGACCTCTGCACACACAGCTCCCCTTCACCTTCCTTCATGAGCGGAAACTTTCTGAGGCCTCACCAGAAGCAGATGCTCGTGCTATGCTTCTTGTACAGCCTGCACAATCATCAGCTAAATAAACTTCTTTTCTTTCTAAGTTACCCAGCCTTTACAGCAACACACAAAGACGCTACTGGACTGTCCACTTAAAAACTGTTAAGGTAAATTTAATGTTATGTAAATTTTATCACAGTTTTTTTTAAAAACCTGGAGAAGAAAATCATAAAAATCTAGAATTCTGCACTGAAAAACCCTCCCTCTTCCCCTGCTCCTCACCCTACACTCTTACTCTCCTCCCTTCGCAGCAAAGCTTCCCCAGAGTACCCCATGCTGCTCTGTCCTCGCCCCTTTCCCCATTCTGCCCAACCCCACGCCAGTCCTGTTTTTGCCCTATCACTCTATGAAAGGGCTGACCCAACTCAGCAGACCATTTCTCCCTGCTAAGTCAAGGGCCAGTTCTCAGGCCTCATCCATCCGGCCTCTCTCTGGCATGGCCCAGTGCTGACCATGATGCCCAGGCCAAGCCTGCCTGCCAAGAGCCTGCAGGTGCCCTCCTGCCTCGTGGGCCCTCTGCTCCCTCTGCTGCTTCCTCCCTCCCCAGACTCAAAATTCCACAGGAGTCCAGGGCTCGAGGTCTTGGCTTTTTCTTTTTATTTAACAAAAGTTCTTTTTGCTAAAAAAAAAAAAAAAAAAAAAAAAAAAAAAAAAAACCAAACAAAAAACAAAAGCTAATTACTTCTGCTTCTAAACCTAGTGTTTTAATATTTCCAAAAACTCCACTTTTAAAAGCTACTGACACAGAAAAAAAGATCTGTGTTAAATATTCCAACCTCTTCTCTTTTCCATCAACATTCATTTAGGCATCTCATCCGGTCTAATGGCTGTAAACACTTCCTCTATGCTGATGATTCCTAAATTTCTACCTCCAGATGGGCCTCTTCCTGAGATCCTGATGCATGTATCAAACTCCTTACTGACAGCATCACTGGGTGTCTAATAACTGAAACATAACTTGCCCTGAATGGAGTCCTAATACCCCCTCATAAGCCTGCTTCTCTCCCATCTTCCCCTCTTGGAAGAGCCAGCTCCATTCTTCCCGTTGCTCCAGTCACAGACTTTAGGGTCATCCTTGCCATCTCTCAATCACTCACACTCCACACTGGCTCTCCAGCAAACTGTCATACACATCCATTTTCAGAATATATCCAGGGTCTGACTGCTCTGCACGCACCACCTGCCCTGATCCTACCCTGTCCCAAGGCATAATCACCACTCACCTCGACCTCCCTAACCGCCAAGGGATTGGTCTTCCAGCAACCTTGCCTCCATCCACGCCCCTGCTCAGTTCACTCTCAACCGAGCAGCCCCAGTCATCTTGTCCAAACCAGTCTCAGATCCTGTTACTCCTCTGAGTGTTCAAATCCATTCCATGCCTTGCCAATTCACTCAGAATAAAAGCTAAAGGCCAGATGACCACTTATAAGCTCCTACACGACCTAGCTCCGTTCACCTTTGGGCCTCATCTCCTATTAACCTCTCGCTTGTATGTCCCACTCCAACTACCCTGGCTTCCTCACTGTTTCTCAGACATACCCAAGCATCCCCCTTCTCCCCAGGCCTTTGCATTTCCAGTTCCTTCTGCGTAGACCACTTCTGCTCCAGAAACTCACATGGTTTGCTCCCTCACTTCCTCTAGCTCTACACCCAAATGTCACCTTCTAAGTGAGGCTTTCCTAGCAGCCCTGGCTAAATGCCATCACCTCATCACACATGTGATCACACACCCCTCTTATCCCTGCTCTGCTGTATTTTCCTGACTAGCACTAATCACCAAGTAATAAATTATGCACTTGTATGTATTCATCTTGTTTCTCATCTGTCTCCCACCACTAGAACATATGATCCACAAAGACAAGGATTCCCCTTAGCTCTGTGTACTGCTATATCAGTCTCCAATGTCTAGAGCATGCCTGGCTTATAGTAGGTACTCAGAAAAGATTTCGGAATAAGTGAACAAAAACATAAGAACTGAGTCCTGGCTAACTCAGGATGTAGACTGGGCTCTGTAAGAGCATTTGACCCCCTCTGTGCTCCACAATGCCCTAAGCTGACCTGGATCACAGGACTCGTCAGGGAACTCTAATCTTGCCTTCATTCATCTAAGCTCTAGGAGAGTTGGAGTTCTGCCTTTCACCTCTGCACTGCTTGTGCTCAGCCAGTGCTCAACAACTATCAGCTGAATGAAAAACACATGATCTATGCCAGTGTTTCTTGTTAACAAGCACAAAGCCAACAAATGCTTCCTGCTCAAGGCAGGCTGGGCAATGAGGAGCTAGAAGGATTAAACATGTTTCTATGCCTTGGGGTGTCTTAAAGTCATTAATAAGCTAATGTGCACTGGCAATCTGCAAGAGAAGCATCTAACATATCATGTTCTCATAGTGACTGGGCCTGGAAACGCCTAATAACATCTTTCAGAACTACTGTTTTATAGAATCCATTTGGTGAAATGCTGGGTGTTTTGTAGATGAGCACCACGTTCCAAATGCTTCATATTCAAGTCTATCAGTTCTTTATTTCTGAATGTCTGACATAGTCACAAAATGAAACCAATTATTGTGTTTCTGCTTGACCATTCATAGTTTAAAATAAATTTATATATACACACATACTCCAGTCCAACTTTAAAAGCTCCCATCCCATCCCCTTCGGCTGTACAGAAAACTAATTAATAGGGACAGCATATACACCAAGACTATGGGAGTGTATACACAATAGCCTCTTGCAAAAGTGACAGCAATACTCTCAAAGCACACCAACTATTGTTGAGAACAACATCATGTACTCTCAGCTCGATGCTGCATAAGCAGAAAAGGACAAGCAACATTTGCTTCTAGGTCCGATGCCTAACCCTATTTGAAAAACATGCAACTGATACTACATTTCCACTCAGAAGTTCTCAATTTATAAAGGGACATAAAATTTAGAGACTTGCATAATTAATATTTTGCCAGCTGCTGAAAGCTGACAAGTGTCTGAAGAGAAAAAAATGGAAAGAGCTATATTTTCTGATGAATAAGAATAGTGTTATAATTACAATCTTCAGTTTTGCAAACAGCAAATGATTTGAAAAGCTGAATTCTACTCACTCTTTCAATAGCAAGTCCATTAATAGCTAAACTAATTCTGAATTATGGAGCACATTGAGGTAAATGCAATTTATTCATTCTTTGTTGACAAAGGTTCCACTTCTGGACTTATTAGTACCACATGAACTCATGTCCAAATACATCAGGTTGAGATAAATGCCTCTGTTAACTAAAGAAAAATCAGGCTTTTGAAGAATTAAAGTTAGCTTTATTTGTAAGTCTTACTGAGGAATGTAACCCGGGAGAGGCTTCTCAAGAGTTGTTATACTATTTTAAAGTAGTATTTTGGCCCACAGTTTATATATAAGTGATGGCGGCCCTGCCTGTGTCTAGCAGGTACATCAAATGTGTTTAGAAGTAACATTAGATACTTTTGCACCAACCTAATACAAGTTACAATAGAGTAAAATGTGAGGATACATCTGGTTACAGATGATAAAAGCAAAATCCTTAGACATTATCTTCTGTATTTGGAAAATGCAGTGATTTAGAACCTGCGCTCTACCCCGTGTATCATCTTTAGGGCATTCTTCCAGAGGGCTGCTCTCAGTCCTTGAGTCAGGCACTTTGTGAAGTTTTGTTGACAAGGGATTTTGTTGAAATTCTGCTGGCAAGCCAAGCGAACAAGCAAAGGGCTTCTTACTTTTGTTACTTTGTCTCACAAGTTCCCCCTTCTGGTCGTAATTCAACCCTCTGTTGTATATACAAGACCAGCAGTGATTGTATTATGTAGTTGGGAAGGCTCTTCTCTAGGAAAGTCCATAGTCTTTAGTCACAGTTGTCATAGTCATAAGGAATGAGTATCAGGTTTGGGGTGTATACTTGTCTATTTATTAGAAAACATGTTTTGGACTGTATTTATTTCTTTAATTAGTATGATCTCGTTTTTTTCTTGATGTAGTCTTTTTCTGTACCTAATCTATTTTAATGGGACTATTACAAGGAACTATAGATTATATATGGTAGTATTTATTTAAAATAAATAATTTTAAATACCATGAAAGTGAGTTACAGATCGGAGAAAACATAACTAACAAAATTGGGATATATTTGTATATTAACTGTACTTTTAAATTAAAAACTTTAATGGAAGTATTGACGATGAATTTTTGTTTGGGTTAGAATGATAAGACTTTTTTTTATTTCTTAGTATTGGGAAGGTTTATTACCAGGAAGTCATGTTTCTTGGTGGGGGAAAAACAATTTTGTTATTTATTGTAGGCTGGCCAGATTGTTAGTAATATGGGGTCAGTCACGACATGAAATTATATGTTATTTTTTGAATAATGAATTATTTTTAGTAACTGAGTGACAATTATTTTGGCCTTAGCCACTGATAAATAGTTTCTAAATTCTGGAGAGTTTCAGGTAAAGAGAATTTAGGTAAAGAGAGTTTTAAGTAAAGAGAGTTTAGGTAAAGAGAAAGGTAAATGTTTTCATTTGTTTATGAAACTACACTTTACTCAGTTGTTTTAAGACACGAATAGCTTAAAAGAAACTTTTTTTTACTTTGGAAAACAAAGTATAAAGAAAATCACTAATGTTTTGACTTTGTCTCACACCTCTAAATTGCCAAAGCATAAAAACTGTACGTGGATTTTCAGCTGTATTTAAAAGTAAAGATTTACTGGAAACAATCAAGGTATCTTGTATGAGTCCTTTCTGGGGAACAAAAGAGCAGTCATAACTAGGGCTTTCATAAATTTTAGCACACACACTGGAACCTAGATCTTGGTTTGACAAGATTTTGGCTTTTTGTACTCCACTAAAAGGAATCAAGCTTCTTGGAAAAATGACTCCAGGGCTGAGGGCAGAAAACCACATGAACCTAGAATGTATTGCTGTGCTAGAAAGAGTAAGGTACTCAAAGGACTTTACTTCCGAGATTGGTGGGGAGATGTCAAAAGGACACAGAAGCCTGTCTGAAAGGGCTCCCACCAGCCAAATGTGGAAAAACGTAAGGATCAAAATAAGTCAATGGATTATAAACCACAGAATAAAATAATCCATCAGTCCATACTGATATAAATGAGCAAGTAAATAAATAGGGAAATAAATGAAAGCATTTGCAGCAGAATGCTTACTAACTAATGTTGAAGAAATTATGGCATGACAAAAAAATCACCATTCTGCAACCACCACAGCAACTGTTTCTGTCAAGGATCATCAATGGATGCTGAGACTAGTGGGTTCATAGAAGGATGGGAAACAGAACATTTATATAGTCTCAAAGTGTCTCCCCATATGACACTTTTTAATCACATAGGGAAAAAAATCTTTGCATTACAGAAACTTGGGGTAATCAATCCACTGATGAAAGTCAATACCACCAGTTATGACACAAGCAGACACATGAGCTTCCTAATGAAACGCACAGGGGAGAACACATCATCACCGTGTGATATTTCTTTCAATATCTTAAATCCAGTCACGAGGAAACATTAGAAAATCCAGACCAACGGACATTCCATAACATAAATGCTGTTTCCCTTCTAAAGTGTCAAGGTCATAAAAGTGTCAAGGTCATAAAAGTGTCAAGGTCATAAAAGTCACAGAAAGACTGAGGAACTATTTCAGATTAAAGGAGACAAAAAAGAGATCATTTTTAATATATATGCATACATGCATTTGTATGGTGGGAAAGTGGAAGAGAAGTCTGAGAAAAAGAAGAAATGTAAAACAAAATCTGGGAAATCTGGGTGAAAGTTTATGGAAATTCTTTGTACTGTTTTTGGTCTTTTTAAAGTCTAAAATCATTTCAAAATGAAAAGTTAAAAAAGAAACTTTATTATAGTATCTGTAATGTCAGTTCCTATTGAATTCCATAAAATAACAAGTCATAATATTGGGCTTAAAGTTTTTTCCTCTTTTTTAAACCTATTTTTTCTCCTATAAAAGCAACACATGCTTATTGTAAGAAATACAGAAAATACAGGAAAGTAAACGGTAGGAAAAATGGCCCAAAGTCCAATTAAAGACTCTACTGCTACCGTCCTGATTATAAAACTAACACATGCTCATGATAGAAAATTTGAAAAATTAAGAAAAACAGAAAGAAAAGTCAACCATAATTAACTATAATGAACTTTTAAAATACTTCTTTACAATATTCTAAGCATTTTAAGAACTTAGATAACAGACATTGATTATTAAGCATATTCATTTTTTCAGCAAATATTCAAGCATCGACTGTGTATCAGGCCTTGTCCTTGTTGCTTGAAGAAATATACTTGTGGACACAGCCCCTGTTCTCATGAAGGGTGTATTATGGTTGAGGAAAACAGACAATAAACAAGCAATATGTCTGGTGAAAATAAGTGCTATGGGGAAAATAAAGCAATATTTTTTATAGAGAACAGAGTGGAAGGAAGTGGGTGGTGGTATTTCAGTGGTCACAAAAGCCCTCTCTGATAGGATGGTATCAAGTGACTGAAGAGGGGGAAGATGAATATCTAGGGAAAGAACCTTCCAGGCTGAAGACAAATATGTGCTTGGTGTATGTCAGCAACATCAAGGAAGCCAGTGTGGCTAAAGGCTAGTGAGTGATGGGGAAAAGGGTAGAAGAAGAGGACAGAGAAATAGATGCCCTTCCCTTTGTGTTGGGGCGGGGGTCGGTGGGGAGTGACTGGAAATCCAACAGAAGGCAAGAGGCATAGTGACTTGGATCGGAATAGTGACATCAGGGCAGCTAACAGGCATACAGACTTGCTACACATTTTGAAGATGACTGACGTCATTTCACTATTGGACTGGATGTCTCTGATAGGAGAGAAAGAAGACAATCAAAAGCACTGTAAGAGGAGAGCTTCCACTTGCTAAGACAGATAGGGGATGGCTGGCAAAGAGAGAAAGAAATCATAAGTGAAATTTTAGACATGTGGGATTAGAGATACCTATTAGAAATCCAAGTGAAGACACCGAGTGGACAGTTGTACAGTTGTATATAAGTTTGAAACTAGGAGATAGGTCAGAACTGAAGACACACATTTGAACATCATCAGCATAAAGATGTTACTTTGAGCCATGGAACCTGATGAGGTCACTTAGTAAATGAGAACAGGCAGAGAAGAGCCAAGTGGGGAAGATCACTGAGGAGACAAAGCACAGCTTGGGAGGTAGGAAAAACACCAGAGTGAGGTGGCGGACCACTGTGCAGGTGAAGAGAGTTTCTCCAGAGGAGACAGTTATCTGTGAGTCGCATGCCAGTAACAGATGAAGTAAGAAGGCTGATCCTGGCCACTGGATTTTAGCAGCATGCGAGTCACTGGTCATGCCAATAAGCACAGTTTCAAAAGCGTTGAGTGTGATGAAATCTCAATGGGGACAACAAACAATGTGGGAAATAGAGGCCATGGAGATATGAATACATCCTTCAAGGAATCTTGCTGTGGGAGCAAGAAATGGGATGACAGGGAGAGGATGATCTGAAATTTACTCAAATTGGGAGACTTCTTTGCATATTTATACTTGATGAGAATGACACAGAAAGAGGGGGAAAAATAATACAGAGAAGAAAGAAGGTACATGTATCCTGGAAGCACCCTGAGGATATGGGATCCAGTGCTCCGTTGGAGGAGACAGCATGGATAGGAGCATGAACAGCCCATCCATTTAAGGGAGGGTGAACAGGACACGTGGATGCAGAGCCTATCAGCGTGCAATGTGTCAGAGGGAGACCTTTACTTCTGCTCTGATTGCTTTTCTTTTACCAGTGAAATAAGAAGCACAGTCATCAGCAGAGTGGGGAGGTGCGAGGTGGAAAGATATGAAATAGGCAACTAAGAGCACAAAAATTAATTAACACAGAGATTACAACGGGAATGCTGAGCAACACCAAGGGCCCTACCTAAGGCATGGGCTCATGATTTTAAACCTTTCTTCTTTTCTAACATAACATTTAAAGCTACAAATTTTTCTCTATACACTTCTTTAACAAAATCCCACAAATACAATGGCATTTTGTGTTCACTACCACATGGTTAGCAATAGTTTCTAACTTCCCTTTTGAGTTTTTCTTTGACCCAAGGATTATTTTTTAAATACTGTTTGATTTTCCAATATTTGAGCATTATCTAAAAAGATTATAATTATCTCATTATCATCACTCTCTGTATATTAATCTTTTAAAACTTACTATTTTATGGCCTACCAGATGTCCCGTTTTGGTGTATGTTTCACGGGAAATTAAAAGAATGTGTATTCTACAACTTGGGAGTTTGGTATACAAAGATGAATTAAGTCAGACTGGCTGGTATATTGTTCAAACCCCCTATATCCTTACACATTTTCTGTCCACTTGTTCTTTCAATTACTGAGCGGTACTTGTTAAAATCTCCAACTATGATTTTGAGTTTGCCTACTTCTCCCCTCAGTTCTATTTTTATTCCATGTAGTTTGCAGTCCTCTTGTTAGGTACATATACATTTAAAGCTCTGTGTTCTTGACTCTTTTATCACCATTAAAGGTCCTGGCTTATCTGTTTTATATTCTATTTTATCTGACATTCACAAAACCACACCAGCTTTCTTATAACTTGTGTTTGCAGGGCATATTTTTTCATTAACTTTCCTTAAATCAGTGTCTTCATCCTCAAAATGCATGTATTTTAGTCTCACTTTTTAATTTAACCTGATAATCTCTGCCTTTTAAGAGGAAGTTTAAAATGTTTCTATTTAAAGAAATTATTGATGTGGTTAGGATTCAATCTATCATCTGACTGTTTTCCATTTGGCCCTTCTGTTCCTTCTTCCTTTGTTCTTCCTTTCTTGCCTTCTGGGATAATCAAATCATTATTTTAGGATTTCATTTGATATCTATGTTATTCTTGATGGTTACTAGAAATTATACTATGTACCCTTAACTCATCTCTACTTTCAAATAACATAGTACTTCATAAACAATGTAAAACACAACAGTGTAAGTCTATTTATCACTTTCACACTCAGCATTTACTGTCACATATTTTACTGTCACATACATTATAAATGCCATAAATTTTAAACAGTTACTAGTCTTTTAAGCAGATACAGACCTAATTATTGATGACCTTTTCTATTTAATCCCATATTTACTTTGTCTGGACTCCTTGCAGATCCAGGTTTCCAAATGGTATCATTTCCCTGAAGCGTTAAGAATTTTTTGTAGTACAGGTTGCTGGAGGACTAATTCTCTGAGACTTTTGTCTGAACAAAATGTCTTTCATTTTTAAAAGATATTTTCACTGACTATAGAATTATAGAATGACAAGTTTCTTCCTTTTAGCACTTACCCACTGTTTTCTGGTCCAATGTTTCTGATGACAAGTCAGCTGTCATCCTTAACATTGTTCCCTTCTTTTACATGATGTATATTTTTCCTCTTTCTTCTTTTAAGATTTTCTCTTCATCTCTGTTCCTTTAGCAAAATTTTTGGTTTTTGGTTTTTGTTTTTTGTGTTTTTTTAGAGTCTTGCTCTGTTGCCTATGATGGAGTGCAGTGGTGCAATTTCAGCTCACTATAACTTCTGCCACCAGGATCAAGCCATTCTCATGCCTCAGCCTCCCAAGTAGCTGAGACTACAGGCATGCACCACTGTACCAGCCTAATTTTTGTATTTTTAGTAGAGTTGGGGTTTCATCATGTTGGCGAGGCTGCTCTCGAACTCCTGGCCTCAAGTAATCCACCTGCCTTGGCCTCCTTAGCAATTTTATTATGACGTGGTTTTCTTTATACTTTCAGGAATTTGCTGAGTTTCTTGTGTCTGTTAGTTGATATCTATCATCAATATTCAAAACTTATCTTCCATTACTACTTCTGCTCTATTCCTTCTCTTTTTCTCCTTTTGTTCTGAGATTCCAATTACGTATGTGTCAGACGATTTGATATGGTCCCATATTTTGAATGCTCTAAAATTTTGTTGTTGCTTTCTAAATTCATTTTCTCTTGTGAATCACTTTAAATAATTTCTATTAACTTATTTCCAAGTTCACCAATCACTTCTGCTGGGTCCTGTCTGCTATTAGGTCCATCAGATGAATTCTTTCTTTCTGATACTGTATTTTTCAGTTCTGGCATTTAAAAAAATGATTTCCATTTCTCTGCTGAAACTGCTATTTCCTCACACGTTGTTCATCTTTTGCAGTACATTCAATATATTTTTCTTGATTCTTAGAATTTCCATCTTTCTGACATTACCTATCAGTCCCTGCATGTTATCTACTTTTCCATTAGATCCCTCAGCATATTAATCATAGTTCTTTTAAATTCCTGGTCTGACAATTCCAACACTCCTCCCATATCTGAATCTTGTTCTGATGCTAGCTCTGTACCTTCAAACTGTGTTTTTTGCCTTTTAGTATGCTTTGTAATTTTCTGATGAAAACCAGACATGACAAACAAGGTGAAAGGAATCCCACTACACAGGCCTTTAATGCTGTGCTGGTAGGGTGTCGGGTGAGGGGCAGTGAAAAGGGAGTGTTATACAGTCCTATGACTGGGGTCTCAGTCTTCTAGTGAGCCTGGGGCCCTGGGTCTCACTCCCGCTTCCCCTCAGGTTAGGCAGGACGACCAGAAGGGACTGGAGTTGGGTATTTCCCTCCAACCAGGTCTGTTAAGCTCTGGTAAAATCTCAGTCTGTTAGGCTCTGTTGAAATAATTTCTTTTGAGGGCAGGCATGTTAAAAAGAGTCAAATGTTTTGGGCGCTTTTTTTCTGAGACAGTTTTACTCTGTTGCCCAGGCTGGAATGCAGTGGTGTGATCTCTGCTCACTGCAACCTCCGCCTGCTGGGTTCAAGCAATTCTCTGCCTCTCCCCCCGAGTAGCTGGGATTATAGGTGCCCACCACCACGCCTGGCTAATTTTTGTATTTTTTTAGAGAGACGGGGTTTCACCACCTTGGCCAGGCTGGTCTTGAACTCCTGACCTCATGATTCAGCCTCCCAAAGTGCCGGGATTACAGGTGTGAGCCACCGTGCCCAGATGTTTTGGGCTTGTTTTAAAGTCCATTCCCCTCTCCTGAATGGACGAACAAAGAGATTTTTCTCCAATCTTCAATGTAAGAACCTGGTAAGGTTGCTGGCAGAAAAACACACAAGTGTGGAAGCCCCTCTGACTGGGCCCTTCTGGAGCTTTTAACTCTCAAACTTGTCCTCAATGAGCCTCCAGCAACTCACCAAGTTTCTGCAACCCTGAAACGGTTCCCACAAGGCTTTCTGTTCCAAATTTGGGGGCATCAGTTTGTCCTGTAACTTCAGTTCTTTGATGGATCTTTCAAAAGGCTGGTTTTCAGATTATTGAGCTTCCTCTTATTGTGTAGACAGGAGTGACTTCCAAGCTCTTTAAAAGCCAGATCAGAAACTGGATGCCCCTTCAATAAATTTTTCATAACTACTCGAAAGTACTTATCAGCCATTTCCAAAATTGGGGTCATCTGTGGGTCTTGCTTCTACTGACTGTCTTCTGTTTCTCTTGATCACAGGTCACATATTTTTCCTTTTCCACCTATCTCATATTTATATTTTTATTTTGCCAGACAACGTACGTAAAAGAATAGTAGATTAAAACAGAGAATGTTTACTCCCATAAAACGGCATCTTTTAAGGAAGACTACTACTTTAGGCTGCTGATAATCACAATCATGTACCTGATATGAGATAAAATTATATGAAATACAAAGAAGAGAGATGATAAAACCAGATAAATTTAGTGATAGCCAGAACTGAAAATTCAGATTTGGCTGACTCTCTAACTTGTGCTCCTAAGAATTATGATGCATTAAATCTTGCTATATTAAAATCCATATGGAGGAAGGAGAAATAAAAAACCTAACTAATAATTACTTCTACAATACCCTTAAGAAAGTATTTCTGACATTCCGGGTCAATGGGTAATGAGAGTGTGAATCCCCTATAATCCTGCCTTTTGTCGGGGTGGTGGGGCTCTTATACTTGCCATCAATTCTCCTGCTGACAGAACTTCTATCTTCTAGTTTCCTAAGTATACATTACTTTTTACCTACCTGCACTGGCTTTCTTTGTTCATGAGAGATGCAAAAATAAGTTTGCAGCATTAAAAATTCTTAAATTCTTGCTGTGTTCCTCCCAGTCAACTTCGGTCGGACACCTCAATATATTTTATCTTAACTTACCCACAACCCTAGCCTCAAACTGTACAGAAATTTACTTATAATCTAGTTCCTTCATAAACTGTGTTCTATCTTCCTCACCTCCCCAAAAAATCTTGTTTGGCTAAAAACATCCAAGAAAGTTATTCAGCGCATGCCTTTAAAATTCTTAAATCTTTATCCTGAGTAGAACTGCACTTATGTCAATTAACACACCTCCAAATTTCAGATCCAATTATATAAAGCAACTGAATTAGAGTGCATTTGGTTGACTGGGAAACACAATGTGTGTCTTAAGGAGTATTAATAAAAACAATCACTTAAAAACCTTTGAAAAGAAAACAGACTTCCTTTCTCATTTGTACAATTACTCCACACATGAAAATTAAATAGATTTTATAATGATTTGCAAAGAGAGAAGCATATTTAAAATTAATGGAGTCACAGGATTTTGGGCCATTTATGACGACTATCCCTGCTCATTATGAAGAAGCCTGATGACTCCTAAGACATAAGAAATCTTTTTTAAAAAAATCAAAAACAACCAGAGATGTATGTAATTATTTTGAGTAAGAATTTATAATAGCGTTCCCCCACAAATAACTATATGTCCAACATTAGTAAAATGGTTAAATAATTATGGTGTATCAATATAATAATCTCCAGCTATTCAAAAATGTGTCTTATAAGAATACAGATGTTTACTGTACAGTGAGTATGGGCTATAAAACCATATGTACAATGAAATACCATCTGTATAAAAATATGTTCAAAGTATTACAATTTTTTCTGATTAACGGAATTTTGTAAAGTTGACTCTTTTGTGTGTTTCTATGCTAAATTTTCTATATTATCTTAATAGTACCATTAATGTCGCCAAATTTTTTTTTTTCGGCAGGGCTCACTAAATTTCTAACTCCTTTCTTTGTGACATCCTGAGAAGAATTTTATGGGGGAGGAGCGAAAAACAGCTATTATCACAAGAACAAAGAAAAAAAAAGTAGCAAAACCATACATATGAGGTATTAAAAAGAAGTTTTGTCATCCTTGGCACAAATGTCATCTCCTTTTTAAGCAAATTATATTGAAACTACATCATAATACCAGTAGGAATCTGATTACAAGATACTGTGATTTTAATTGATCAACTAGCTGACAGGAACAAGAGCATTCAGATTATTAATCAAGGAAAATGATGAAAAAGCACTCCCGGTTTAATGTTAATTAACACTAAACTGTCATTATTTGAAGAAAAAAAAATCAAAATTCCCTAGCTGGAAAACCAAGTAACACACCTAAAACTGTTTGCCAAGCGGCTATCCTCCCCCAGCCACTCTGATTGCTCACACTGTACTGTATCAGAAGTAACACTCAAAGAAAAAAATCTGAAAATTAAAACAGACTTAAAAAAAATTATTGGACAAACCTTTGAATGTGGTGATCTTTTTAAACTATATCGTCATTCATGTTACAAATTTCCTCTCTTTCATTTCTATGACTGTTACCAAATTCAATATAGTCTCACTGGAAAGATTTCAATTCCCTAAAAAGCCTGTTAAAAATTTAACGGTGACAAAATTTCTGGCCCTTGAAGTGAAGTGTCTGATTTGGATGTAGTAAGAGCATATCCAGAGCTAAAAACCTACAGATTTCCTAAAAGTTATGTAAAGTTGTAGGGCCTTCAGAATTCCATTTGCTATCTAAGACCAGATTCTTTTCTTGCTTTATGCAAAGTCATTTAAATCCTCATGACCCTGAACTGTCTCCATAAGTGTGACAAGAATCAGAATGATCAGGTAACTCTCTTCCTATTTAGAAAAGACCAAAGAAACTCCCTGTGGAGTCCTGGTCTGTTTTTCCTTCCCTAGAACAATTAGTTGCCCTGGGTTTTCACAGTAGGTCTCCCAGGGCAAGTTCCTGCTGCTCAAGCAGGGATGACCAGGGCAGGCTCAAGGCAAATCCCTAAGTTGCACTGGTGTTTCCCCTAAGATACATATGTAGAGAAAGTCTAGTCCCCCTCTGTATCACTTACAGGAAGCAGATAATTAAACATCATCTATCCCAATCTGTACCTGAAAATGATTTTCTGCTGTGGGGAGTGGAGGTAAGGGTGGGAGGGGAGTGACACAGGTGTGGGGGGTGAGCAGTGAAGTGGGGAGGATTAAGATGATCCATTCTCATTTGGACCCACTGAATAATGGCCGGGTAAGTACCCAAAGGAATTTAAAAACAGATTATGTTTTGACTTTGTCACAGGAATGAACACTCTGTAAAAGAAGACTTTTAATACTATAGGCTCATACATTCCTAAAATTTTTAAATACCTGATGAATGATTACAAAATTTAAAAATAACATAAAAACATTCCTTTACATTCTCTTATTCTTCCTAACAACTTTAGCTCATATATATTTGCATATAACTTTCCTCATCCCCTGTAATATATTAATATCCAGTGGCAAACCACGAACAACTGAAGATTCATGCAAAACATTGACATCATTTACTATGTGCTAGTGTTGTCTTGTAGCAGGTTGTAATAACTGCATATCTGTTTCCTACTTTATAATCATGTTGATGTGACTTATCAATTATTTTTAAAATTATAAATGTGGTTAACTTCTAAGCAGAACCCAATTCAAAGTTATTTGCTGTCCCCTGTACTTACTTTCCAAATTTGGGGGCATCAGTTTGTCCTGTAACTTCAGTTCTTACATGGATCTTTCAAAAGGCTGGTTTTCAGATTATTGAACTTCCTCTTATTGTGTAGACAGGAGTGACTTCCAAACTCTTTAAAAGCCAGACCAGAAACTGGATGACCCCTCAATAAATTTTTCATAACTATTCTAAAGTACTCATCAGTTATTTCCAAAATTGGGGTCATCTGTGGGTCTTGCTTCTACTGACTGACTTCTGTTTCTCTTGATTACAGGTCACATATTTTTCCTTTTCCACCTGTCTCACATTTATATTTATATTTTTATTTATTTTGCCAGACAACGTGTGTAAAAGAATAGTAGATTAAAACAGAGAATGTCTACTCCCATAAAACGGCATCTTTTAAGGAAGACTACTACTTTAGGCTGCTGATAATCACAATCATGTACCTGATACGAGATATAATTCTATGAAATACAAAGAAGAATGAATGAATAAACACTAATAAACTACAGATAATCTACTTTGATATTCTATCACCAATCAGTAATTCAGTGTCACAGGCAATTTGAGCTACTATGACAGAAGACCACAGAGTAGGTGGCTTATAAACAATAGAAATTTATTTCTCACAGTTCTGGAGGCTGGGAATTCCAAAGTCAAGGTGCCAGCAGATTTGGTGTCTAGTGAGGGTTGCTCTCTCTTCTTCAAGACAGTGCCTCATTGCTTTGGCATCACTAGGCAGAAGGGGCAAGGTGTCTCTCTCAGGCCTTTTTAATAAGGGCACTAATCTTATTGATGAGGACTCCACCTCATGACCTCTTACTTCCCCAAAATCCTAGCTCTAAAGACCATTACAATGAGGATTAGGATTTCAACGCGGAATTGTTGGGAGACACAAACATTCAGTTCATTGCACTCAGTTATCTTCGTTTTCCAAAATTATATCCTTGGCAGTATATATCACTGTGCTTCTCTTTCTGTAATGCTCTTTGGGTTGTAAGCCCCAGATGCACTCAACGAACCTGAAGTGAGGAAGGGTCACTGTGAGGACACCCAAGCCCTGCACCACAAATGGGAGGGGAAAGCCATCCTGGGCAGGTCAAGAAGCAGCTGCTGCCTCCACCTTGTGGGCCTTGCGGTCTCGCTCATGTTCTTGCTTCTCTTTGTACATCCTTCTTTTGCCTTTCCTCATCAACTGGCTTCCTTCTGCTTCCTCCCGGGTTCAGCCCCCTCCACAACTCTGCCTAACCGGTGGTCATTACGGCTTTTTCACCCCCAGATGACATTTTAGCAGTAGGTCTCATAAGAGACTAGCAAATTCACTGCATTTCTTAGTTCGAACTTCCTGAAAGGATCTGACTCACCCAGCTCATCTTTTCCATCCAGACACATGGGTGTCTAATTTTGTGGGTCATCTCTGGTGCTTACCGGAAGCACAATCTCTCGGGTGATTCCTAGCATCCTGTTTTAAAGCTCACCAAGTGACTCTGATAGAGAAGCCAGGTTGAGATGCACTGCAGTAGCGTAACTCAGAACTGACTATCCACTAGGCAGGTTCCCAGCCCCGGCCCAATCATGAGGCTACAGTGGATTGGGTGGTACAAAACACAACCAAAGCTAGAGTGGTTTCCTATTGCTGTTGTATCAAATTACCACAAACATAACAGCT
Source organism: Homo sapiens (assembly GCF_000001405.40). Classification (NCBI taxonomy): domain Eukaryota; kingdom Metazoa; phylum Chordata; class Mammalia; order Primates; family Hominidae; genus Homo; species Homo sapiens. The sequence goes on along the minus strand of NC_000013.11, from coordinate 26,644,326 downwards.
TAAAATAACACCAATTACTATCCTACAGTTCTGGATGTCAGAAGTCAGAAACGAATTTCACTGGGCTAAAACTAATGTACGGGCAGATCTGTGTTCTTTCTGGGGACTTCAGGAGAGAACCAATTTCCTTGCCTTCTCCAGCTTCTCCAGTCTGCCTGCATTCCTTGGCTCATGGCCCCTCTTCTTCCATCTTCAAAGCCAGCAATGGCAGTTGGGTCCTTCCCACATCACGTCACCCTGGCACTGATTCTTCTACCTCCCTCCTTTCCCATTTAAAGAACCCTTGTGGATTACACTGAACCAAACCAGATAAACCAGGGTAATCTCCTTCTCTTAAAGTAAGCTGACTAGCAATCCTAATTCCCTCTTACACGTAACATAACACATCCACAGGTTCCAAGGATAAGGACATGGACATATCCGGAGGGGCTATTACTATTCTATTTACCACAAGGGCCATGTAGAACAAGGCATACTGTGTGGGCAGATTCACTTACAGGAGACTGTGGCCAAGCAAACACCATAAACACAACTAACACAACACTCCGCCGATTATTACAGCATGAGATACAGATTGATTATTAAAACTCTGACAGTTTATGTCGGCTTTCATCACTTACACTTTGTGCCAACAGGCATTTCAGCCATAAAAACAAGAGACTAAAAGCATTCCTACAAAAATAAATACACGCAAAAACAATTTTACCCTTCAATAATTTACAAGCAGTCTTCATGTAATTATGTGAATTTGTATATTTTTATCAATTACCACTACCAAAAGTCAATCATAAGAGCTTAGATTCCAGGAAAATTTTATTTTAAAAAACATTTTATGTAATTTCTTTACATACTTTTGCCTTAGCTAATGATTATAGATATTATTAAAAATATATCCGTAACAATACAGTACAACTCTATTAAAGAAACCAATACTTACCTGCAGCGTTTCTTCAAGATAAATAAAAGTAGTTGAGTTAAAAAAAAATTTGCCCTTCGCTTGAGGCTACCAATATGGGACATTTCATGGAAGATTTTCTAGTTATTAACAGAGTTTCTGAAAAATTTAACTGTGAAAACCTGTCACCAAAAATGCCACATAAACCACCTAAACTGAAAAGGAGCAGGATGAAGTGAGAAAACAAGATCAGAAAATAAATGTAAAAGTTTGGGGGAAAATAGTGCAACTTCAAAAAGCTTTGAAGGAAAAAGCATTTTCATGCATATTTGAGTCTTATAAAATATTCTTCAGATATTTAATATTAATATTCAAAATGAGAATAAGAAGCAGCCTTTTCTTCCTAGCTTGCATTTGCCATACATCTATGCATGCCAATATATACGTGGTACCATATACATAAAATAACCAGCTGATCTGTTCACCTCAATGCAGAAATCAGTATCTGCATTTTAACTTTTAGTAGGTTAAAATCAGCAAATCTATTGTTTGGCTTTATACTATGGTTCATTTGGGATGTTATTCAATCAACAGATATTTATTAAGTAGGTACTATGTGCCAGGCATATTACAGGTGTTAACTAGTTTTCAATCTATTACACTTAAAAAACAAAACAATTGGTCCTATTCAAGTTTAACAAAATAATTCATAATAATTGATAGTTTAAAAAATTACCAATTATCTTCATTTTCAAAAGCTTTTAAAAATTAACACTATTTTAAATCTGTACATTTGATCTCATCTAATAATTTGTGAGTTGGTAAGAGCATCACATCTTCATTGCCTAAAGTTAAGCATCACAAGCCCAGTACAGGTGCAGTGGTCAATTTCATACTGGGAAATACAGAAGGAGAAAGGATCTTTTCCTTAAAGCTGCAATCTCTTCTTTGGACAATCATTTAACTATTAAAATCAATTTGCTAACAAAAAGTTAATGTCATTGGTAATCAGAAAAAAGATGGCTTACTCAGACTGCTCAGCTGGCGTATGATAGCGGCAAGAGTACTATTGGTTACACATTCAAGTTCGCTGGTAATCCCTTCAGGCAGAGCTCCCCGGCACAAGTGCCGGGGCTCAATGTTCCTCTTCACTAAAGGCATGGTTCACAATCTGAAAATTGAAAACACATTCTTTATAAGCTCATATTCACATTTTAACAAATCTGGAATTTTAATTCCCTTGAAAATTGACTATTTTCCAGGAATTTTCATTATCCTAAAATTTCTATGTGACAGAATCAGCTAAAATGCAACAAACAGTGAATTACTTTAGTGAGTTTTATAGAGCCTGAAGGTACATGTATAGTATAATCTCACTTCATAGAAAAATAATATATTCCATATTTCTGACTTCTCTCTTCACTGAAATGAGGAGAGAGAGGAAAGGCAAAAAGTCCACATGTATCAAGAGCAAGAGAGGAGACACAAGCCACAAACCTGAAGACCACTTAACCAGATTAAGAGACAGGAAAGGCCACCATTATGACATCACCCCAGTTGTCCCACAGAACTGGTGTTTATGGTTTCTTTGAATAAACGTAGAAATTGACCCTCCGAGTCTTGAAGCCTGAGCAAGTTACATTTGTCTTATCTGAATTGCTTTCTCAGGCAACCATCCATCCGGCCTTCCAGGTAGTATTAAAAAACTAAAACTTACTAGATCATCTCATCTGGACCATGAGAAGTCAGACTCCTCACCCATCATGACTGCTTAAGACCACCTGTTCCCTGTTGACCAACTCCTCTTCCTTATCTCTCCCTAATTCCTGTTTTCTCACATATAGTTACCTTTCTTCCTGCTACATAAACCCCTAATTTTAGTAGGTCAGGAGGATGGATTTGAGGCTTATCTCCATCTCCTGAGCTATAGCACCCAATCAAAGCTTTCTTCCCTAGCAACACTCATTGTCTCAGTGATTGGCTTTCTGTGTGGCACGCAACTGGACCTAGACAAACCTCTGGCATTTTGGTACACCTAGGCTGCTAACTGGGGGCAGCAGGTCAATGTCCCCATTTACCAACCCAAGCAAGTAAGCCCACCTGAGCCACAGAACCTTCTCCCTCCCTACAAAAGGCTCAGGAGTAGGAGGCACCAGGTAAGTGCGAAACGGGAATTGAGGGGAGATAAAACAGGTGGGGTGGCTTTTAAAACTCCTTTTAAGAATGCCTTCTCCCTTCCTGGGCTGTCTTCCTCCACCCAACCCAGGATGTTTTACTCTCTGGAAAAGAAAGGTAAATTAAAGAATTTGAACTTGGGACTCTAGGCATAGCTAAAGGTAGGGGAGGAAATGTACTGGAAACAGGAATACTAAATCAAAGTCTACAATGACTGGTGAGACAGCTCCCCAACCTCTTGTTCCACTTGGCTCCTAGAACACAGGCAGCCTGGCTTTTACTCCCATCCAAAAACACTGGAGCATTCCTTCCTGGGGAATGTTTGAAGAGAAAAGATCTACAAATATGAACACTGGGGAGGGAGGCTTTCCCCTGCTGAAACTGCCACCCAGGCAGTAACACCTGTCAAAATCTCCCCAAGCACCCAGAGTGCACCAGCTTTTAGTGCCTCAGACTTAAATAAGAGTCAAGGATCACCAAACACTTCAGAAAAGCCTTCTCCAACATCCTAGGCATCCCTTTCACCCCTCTCCTCAAAAAGGAGATGATATGCTGGGCTCAGTGGCTCAAGCCTATAATCCCAGCACTTTGGAAGGCCAAGGTGGGTGGATCACTTGAGGTCAGGAGTTCGAAACCAGCCTGACTAACATGGTGAAACCCCATCTCGACAAAAAATACAAAAAAAAATTTAGCCAGGCGTGGTGGCACATGCCTGTAATCCCAGCTACTCAGGAGGAGGAGGCAGGAGAATCCCTTGAACCCAGGAGGCAGAGATTGCAGTGAGCCAAAATCGTGGCACTGCACTCCAGCCTGGGTGACAGAGTGAGACTGTCTTAAAAAAAAAAAAAGAAAAAAAAAGAGATGATAAATAAAATCTTAACTTCCTACTTAAGGAGTTTATAGAGTTTCAAACCTCCTAATCATACAACCAGCCTCATCTTCATACAATACTAGAAAATCCAATGACTGGAATATATTTTCATTTTGACAAGATTAGGGATATAGTTTGGATGTTTGTTCTCTCCAAATCTCATGTTGAAATGTGATCTCAGGTATTGAAAGTGGGGCCCAGTGGGAAACTTTTGGATCATGGGGGTGGACAGCTTGGTGCCATCCTCCCAAGGTTACTAATTCCAATAGATGGAAAACAGCTCACCCAAGAGGGCCCTCTTCAAAATGCAAACCAACCAATCCAGAGCCCACACACCTATCACACCTATCACCTCCTCGATGTGGCTCTCACACTCCTAGCCACTACCCACCTGCACATCACCCCATGGCCAAACTACTAGACAAGTAGAAACAGCCCCCAAGCTGAGAGCCCACTGAAATTATTCAAACCCGCCAATCCTGACTCTGCTTCCCCTTTGTCCACTCCTTCCCACAGAAACCACAAAAAAGACTCCGGCCCACAGCTCCCCGTCCCGCTCTGCCTCCTCAAGGACCCTGTGCTTCCTATGTGGCCCTGCGTGGTGTGCTGTGACCCCCTCCTCTTGGGAACTGTAACAAGCTATCTTTTCTATGGCAATTGTCTCCTAATCTGTTGACCTCACTATACCTCACATTTTCTATAAATACACTCTATTTTAGAGCAACAGGGAGCTCTGAGAGGGATTTGGAAGGGACAACATGTCGGCACTTCATTCATTTCCCCATTAACCATCCCAAGCAAACTGTAGGGGTCTCTGTGCCTGGCAGAGGCAGGACTCACAGTTGTCTTCTTCCCAGATGAACTATGAGCTGCCTGAATTTGGGACTGAGTCCATGAATTCTGTGTTCCCCACAATGCCCTGAACAGCCCTCGACACAACCTGATTATTCAAAAAATGTTTGCTGATTGTACAGCCATAGACATTTACATATATATTTCTCTTTGGCCTTCCCTTGGGGTACTTCATATATTGTTGTTGCAGTATTTCAGCTTTGACTAATTAATCCCCAGCCTTCATTTCTCATGTTCATTAAACCTCTATTTGGAACTCCTATGCCTGTATAAATACAAAAGACAAGAGAGAGAGGCCATGCTACCTGTCTACAACTTCAGAAAAGACGGCTTTGCAGCTCTTCTTTAAAGTTCTAATAATGTAGTAATGATTTTTATGGTTTTCAAATTCAGTGTCAATTACTTGTCTTAGTTTAGTGGTGCTATACAGAGTACCTGAGACTGGGTAGTTTATAAAGAGAAGAGGTTTATTTGGCTTATGATTCTGGGCACCTGCACCTGGTAAGGGCCTCAGGCTGCTTCCACTCATGGTGGAAAATAGGAGGACAGTGGGTGTATGCAAAGAGATCACATGGTGAGAGAAGAAACAACAGAAACCAAGGAAGCCAGACTCTTTTTAACCACCCACCCTCACAGGAAGTAATCCATTCCCACAAGAGTGAGAACTTACCACATAGGGAAAGCACTAATCTATTCATAAGAGATCCCACTAGGCCATACCTCCCAACATCTGGGGGATCAAATTTCAGTATCAGTTTTGATGGAGACAAACTGCATCCAAACCATAGCGTACTCTAACAAATGTATTCTTCTCCCAGACAGCTTTTATCGTCTCTAACACTAACTCAGTTTTGAATAAATTGAAGAGCGAGGAAGAGTCAAAGGAAAAAATGCTGGGTCAGTGATTACCCTTGAAAATACTTTGCAATTACAAAAACAAACATTTAATGAACTGATCCAGTTAGTCACCAACAGAATACTTAAGTACGCCTCTTGATTCCTTTATTGGAAGAACTATGACCCATCCAAATCATTCTTCAAAGTCAGTCTGTCTGTGAAGAATAAAACAATGATTGCTAATAAAATGTTTAGGACTATTAGAGGTTATATAAAGTATTAGTGTTAGGTCTGTAGTTTGTCCAGCTTTTCTGGGAAATGTCTCAGTTTAGAGAGATAAAACCTGGTTCACCTAACTGTGAACTAGATCCCAGACATGGCTGAAACTGGGCCAGGGTCCTTCCCTAAGAATTTGGAGGTGGGACTATGCTATCCAGCTTGGTCTGGCTGCTGTCTTCAACTATGGAAATGGATAACTCCCACCACATGAAATGGAGAATGACAAAACTAGTCTGCAGCAAGAAATCAGGATGAAATAACCGAGAAAAGCTGACAAAGGTGAATTAAAGACAAGAACCCCTCATCGGCTCTGCTGAATCTCCCTTAGACCTCATGGCAGACTAGGAAAGCTCGCTAACACCCAACCCCCTCTCCTCCCCACTGCAAGGGTCAGGTTTGCACTGTGGTTTGATGGCTCTCTCAGCCTCCCCAGTTTCTACCCCCTTTTCTTTCACATAGGTGATATCCTTAATCAAATCCTATAGCTGTGATCCCACCTTGGTGTCTGTTGCTCAGACCCAGACAAACCCAAGTGCCCTGAGAATGATCTGAGAAAGCAGGTGGTGAGATGGGGGATCTGGGACATGCTCACAGACCACTCTGCAGTTGAGGATGCCATCCTGATAGGAGGGTAGTCCCTGGCACAGGTCATGGCTCGATTGCTAAAGATTACAGTGACGGTGACCTGGAAAATGTCCAAATGAAGGGATACCTTTCATGTCCAAGGCAATAATGCAGATTCAGTGGAAAAATTCCAGAAAAGCAGCGGAGTTGGCTAGTCAGTGCTAAAATTGTACTAATGCCCTGCATAAGGATAACGGGATACTGAACTGCAGTTAACAAGCAGTTAACAGCTAAATGTGAGGGCAACAGGGCCTTCCTAGTGGGTACAAAGCAGTCTTCGCCACCATCTGAATTGGATGGGCAGACAGAATGAAAAGCTGTGGGTTTCCCATTTCCAAGGTCCAGTTGTGAGAGTAAGAGCTGGAAATGTTTAAATCTCAGCCAAGGCAAGTGAAGTATGCAGGTCTGGGCCCTAAGAGAGAAAACCCAGCATTCTGAAAACTGGGATGGGGAATTCTAGATGAATGCCTATGATATTGTTGAGTCTAAACAACCTACCTGCAAGTCCCTCAATTGGGACTCTCTGGGCTTGCACTTGGCTGAGCTGGAATATGCTGCAGAGGCCTCTCCCCTACAGGGCAGCAGGTACCCTCCCCCTGCAGGCATTACATGCAACTCTTCTTTCTGGATGCTAAGTTGATAACAAAATACGAATTCCAGCAACAACCTAGCTGTGAAAGTGCTGGGCCTAAGAGAGGAAAGAGAGCAACACCGTCATGCTGACTGGACAGACTAAGCACAGGGTGGCCAGCACACAGGAGCCCTTGGTAAGACACACATGCTCCAGAGGGTGGCAGATAAGCCCTGTGAAGATTCAGGGTCTGGCAACTGCGGTGAAGTTCTGAGGGACCCAGTGCTCAGAGGCATGCTGGGTATCTCCTCCTAAGGAAAAGACAATTTGTTATATCTTGCATCCCCCAATGCTGAGGAAGCCCAGTGCTGATTAGGTTGGGTTCTGGGGGCAACACACCTGTGATATGGCTCTGGTCTACAGACTGCATGACACGGCAGCTGCCAGTTTTGAGTGGGGCTCAAGGCAAGAAAGGACCCTTCAGCAGGTCTAGGCTGTGGTGCAAACAGCCTGGCTGCTAAGGCTGTATGACCCAGCAGAGATATTGGTGGTAAAAAATAAAAATAAGTTCTGTTCCAAGATGGCCGAATAGGAACAGCTCTGGTCTGCAGTGCAGCTCCCAGCATGATCGACGCAGAAGATGGGTGATTTCTGCATTTCCAACTGAGGTACCTGGTTCCTCTCATTGGGACTGGTTGGACAGTGGGTGCAGCCCATGGAGGGCGAGCCAAAGCAGGGCGGGGCATTGCCTCACCCAGGAAACACAAGGGGTCAGGGGATTTCCCTTTCCTCGTCAAGGGAAGCCATGACAGACTACCTGGAAAAACAGGGCACTTCCGCCCAAATACTGTGCTTTTCCCACAGTCTTAGCAACCAGCAGACCAGGAGATTCTCTCCCGTGCCTGGCTCGGTGGGTACCACACCTGCGGAGCCTTGCTCACTACTAGTGCAGCAGTCTGAGATCAACCTGTGAGGAAGCAGCCTGACAGGGGGAGGGGCATCCGCCATTGCTGAGGCTTGAGTAGGTAAACAAAGCAGCCGGGAAGCTTGAACTGGGCGGAGCCCACCACAGCTCAGCAAGGCCTACTGCCTCTATAGACTCCACCTCTGTGGGCAGGGCATAGCTGAACAAAAGGCAGCAGAAACTTCTGCAGACTTAAAAGTCCCTGTCTAACAGCTCTGAAGAGAGCAGTGGTTCTCCCAGCATGGCGTTTGAGCTCTGAGAACGGACAGACTGCCTCCTCAAGTGGGTCCCTGACCCCCATGTAGCCTAACTGGGAGACACCTCCCAGAAGGGGCTGATAGACACCTCATACAGGCGGATGCCCCTCTGGGATAAAGCTTTCAGAGGACGCATCAGGCAGCAATACTTGCTGTTCTGCAATGTTTGCTATTCTGCAGCTTCCGCTGGTGATACCTAGGCAAACACGGTCTGGAGTGGAGTGCCAGCAAACTCCAACAGACCTGCAGCTGAGGGACCTGACTGTTAAAAGGAAAACTAACAAACAGAAAGGAATAGCATCAACATCAACAAAAAAGACATCCACATGAAAACCCCATCTGTAGGTCACCAACATCAAAGACCAAAGGTAGATAAAACCACAAAGATGGGGAGAAAGCAGAGCAGAAAAGCTGAAAATTCTAAAAACCAGAGCACGTTTTCTCCTCCAAAGGATCACAGCTCCTTGCCAGCAATGGAACAAAGCTGGACGGAGAATGACTTTGACGAGTTGACAGAAGCAGGCTTCAGAAGGTCAGTAATAACAAACTTCTCCGAGCTAAAGGAGCATGTTCTAACCCATTGCAAGGAAGCTAAAAACCTTGAAAAAAGGTTAGACGAATGGCTAACTAGAATAAACAATGTATAGAAGAACTTAAATGACCTGATGGAGCTGAAAACCATGGCACAAGAACTTCATGACGCATGCACAAGCTTCAATAGCTGATTCAATCAAGTGAAAGAAAAGATATCAGTGATTGAAGATCAAAATAATGAAATAAAGTGAGAAGACAAGTTTAGAGAAAAAAAGTAAAAAGAAACAAACAAAGCCTCCAAGAAATACGGGACTATGTGAAAAGACCAAATCTACGTTTGACTGGTGTACCTGAAAGTAACAGGGAGAATGGAATCAAGTTGGAAAACACTTTTCAGGATATTATCCAGGAGAACTTCCCCAACCTAGCAAGGCAGACCAACATTCAAATTCAGGAAATACAGAGAACACCACAAAGATACTCCTCGAGAAAAGCAACCCCAAGACACATAATTGTCAGATTCACCAAGGCTGAAATGAAGGAAAAAATGTTAAAGGCAGCCAGAGAGAAAGGTCGGGTTACCCACAAAGGGAACCCCATCAGACTAACAGTGGATCTCTGGACAGAAACCTTACAAGCCAGAAGAGAATGGGGGCCAATATTCAACCTTCTTAAAGAAAAGAATTTTCAACCCAGAATTTCATATCCAGCCAAACTAAGCTTCATAAGTGAAGGAGAAATAAAATCCTTCACAGACAAGCAAATGCTGAGAGATTTTGTCACCACCAGGCCTGCCTTACAAGAGCTCCTGAAAGAAGCGCTAAACATGGAAAGGAACAACCGGTACCAGCCACTGCAAAAACATGCCAAATTGTAAAGACCATCGATGCTATGAATAAACTGGATCAATTAACAGTCAAAATAACCAGCTAACATCATAATGACAGGATCAAATTGTCACATAACAACATTAGCCTTAAATGTAAATGGGCTAAATGCCCCAATTAAAAGACACAGACTGGCAAACTGGATAAAAAGTCAAGACCCATCAGTGTGCTGTATTCAGGAGACCCATCTCACGTGCAGAGACACACACAGGCTCAAAATAAAGGGATGGAGGAAGATCTACCAAGCAAATGGAAAGCAAAGAAAACAGGGGTTGCAATCCTAGTCTCTGATAAAACAGACTTTAAACCAACAAAGATCAAAAGAGACAAAGAAGGCCATTACATAATGGTAAAGGGATCACTTCAACAAGAAGAGCTAACTATTCTAAATATATATGCACCCAATACAGATGCACCCAGATTCATAAAGCAAGTCTTTAGAGACCTACAAGGAGACTTAGACTCCCACACAATAATAATGGGAGACTTTAACACCCCACTGTCAATATTAGACAGATCGAGACAGAAGGTTAACAAGGATATCCAGGACTTCAACTCAGCTCTGCACCAAGTGGACCTAATAGACATCTACAGAACTCTCCACCCCAAATCAACAGAATATACATTCTTCTCAGCACCACATCACACTTATTCTAAAAGTGACCACATAATTGGAAGTAAAGCACTCCTCAGCAAATGTAAAAGAACAGAAATCACAAGAAACTGTCTCTCAGAACACAGTGCAATCAAATTAGAACTCAGGATTAAGAAACTCATTCAAAACCGCACAACTGTGTGGAAACTGAACAACCTGCTCCTGAATGACTACTGGGTACATAACGAAATGAAGGCAGAAATAAAGATGTTCTTTGAAACCAATGAGAACAAAGACACAAATACCAGAATCTCTGGGACACACTTAAAGCAGTGTGTAGAGGGAAATTTATAGCACTAAATGCCCACAAGAGAAAGCAGGAAAGATCTAAAATCGACACCCTAACATCACAATTAAAAGAACTAGAGAAGCAAGAAGCAACAAATTCAAATGCTAGCAGAAGGCAAGAAATAACTAAGATCGGCCGGCTGTGGTGGCTCAAGCCTTTAATCCCAGCACTTTGGGAGGCCGAGGTGGGCAGATCACCTGAGGTCAGGAGTTTGAGAACAGCCTGACCAACATGGAGAAACCCCACCTCTACTAAAAATACAAAAAATTAGCCGGACGTGGTGGCACATGCCTGTAATCCCAGCTACTCGGGAGGCTGAGGCAGGAGAATTGCTTGAACCCGGGAGGCAGAGGTTGTGATGAGCTGAGATGACGCCATTGCACTCCAGCCTGGGCAACAAGAGCAAAACTCTGCCTCAAGAAAAAAAAAAAAAAAAGAAATAACTAAGATCAAAACAGAACTGAAGGAGATAAAGACACAAGAAATCCTTCAAAAAATCAATGAATCCAGGAGCTGGTTTTCTGAAAAGATCAACAAAATTGATAGACCACTAGCAAGACTAATAAAGAAGAAAAGAGAAAAGAATCAAATAGACACAATAAAAAATGATAAAGGGGGTATCACCACCAATCCCACAGGAATACAAACTACCATCGGAGAATACTATAAACACCTCTATGGAAATAAACTAGAAAATCTAGAAGAAATGGATAAATTCCTGGACACATACACCCTCCCAAGACTAAACCAGGAAGAAGTTGAATCTCTGACTAGACCAATAACAGGCTCTGAAATTCAGGCAATAATTAATAGCCTACCCACCAAAAAAAGTCCAGGACCAGACAGATTCACAGCCTAATTCTACCAGAGGTACAAAGAGGAGCTGGTACCATTCCTTCTGAAACGATTCCAATCGACAGAAAAAGAGGGAATCTTCCCTAACTCATTTTATGGGGCCAGCATCATCGTGATACCAAAGCCTGGCAGAGACACAATAAACAAAGAGAATTTTAGATCAATATCCCTGATGAACTTCAATGTGAAAATCCTTAATAAAATACTGGCAAACCAAATCCAGCAGCACATCAAAAAGCTTATCCACCATGATCAAGTCAGCTTCATGCCTGGGATGCAAGGCTGGTTCAACATATGCAAATCAATAAACGTAATCCATCACATACACAGAACCAACGACAAAAACCACATGATTACCTCAATAGATGCAGGAAAGGCCTTTGACAAAATTCAACAGTCCTTTGTGCTAAAAACTCTCAATAAACTAGGTATTGATGAAACGTACCTCAAAATAATAAGAGCTATTTATGACAAACCCACAGCCAATATCATACTGAATGGGCAAAAACTGGAAGCATTCCCTCTGAAAACCGGCACAAGACAAGGATGCCCTCTCTCACCATGCTTATTCAACATAGTATTCGAAGTTCTGGCCAGGGCAATCAGGCAAGAGAAACAAATAAAGGTATTTAATTAGGAAAAGAGGAAGTCAAATTGTCCCTGTTTGCAGATGACATGATTGTATATTTAGAAAACCCCATCGTCTCAGCCCAAAATCTCCTTAAGCTGATAAGCTACTTCAGCAAAGTCTCAGGATACAAAATCAACGTGCAAAAATTACAAGCATTCCTATACACCAATAACAGACAAACAAAGAGCCAAATCATGAGTGAACTCCCATTCACAATTGCTACAAAGAGAATAAAATACCTAGGAATCCAACTTACAAGGGACGTGAAGGACGTCTTCAAGGAGAACTACAAACCACTGCTCAACAAAATGAAAGAGGACACAAACAAATGGAAAAACATTCCATGCTCATGGATAGGAAGAATCAATATTGTGAAAATGGCCATACTGCCCAAGGTAATTTATAGATTCAATGCCATCCCCATCAAGCTACCAATGACTTTCTTCACAGAATTGGAAAAAACTACTTTAAAGTTCATATGGAACGAAAAAAGAGCCCACATTGCCAAGACAATCCTAAGCAAAAAGAACAAAGCTGGAGGCATCACGCTACCTGACTTCAAACTATACTACAAGCCTACAGTAACCAAAACAGCATGGTACTGGTACCAAAACAGAGATATAGACCAATGGAACCGAACAGAGGCCTCAGAAATAACACCACACATCTACAACCATCTGATCTTTGACAAACCTGACAAAAACAAGAAATGGAGAAAGGATTCCCTATTTAATAAATGGTGCTGGGAAAACTGGCTAGCCATATGTAGAAAGCTAAAACTGGATCCCTTCCTTATACCTTATACAAAAATTAACTCAAGACAGATTAAAGATTTAAATGTTAGACCTAAAACCATAAAAACTCTAGAAGAAAACCTAGGCAATACCATTCAGGACATAGGCATGGGCAAGGACTTCAGGACTCCATGAGTCCCTGTGCAGTAATATCAAAAGCAATGGAAACAAAAGCCAGAATAAACAAATGGGATCTAATTAAACTAAAGAGCTTCTGCATGGCAAAAGAAACTACCATCAGAGTGAAGAGGCAACCTACAGAATGGGAGAAAATTTTTGCAATCTACTCATCTGACAAAGGGCTAATATCCAGAATCTACAATGAACCAAACAAATTTACAAGAAAAAAACAACCCATCAAAAAGTAGGCAAAGGATATGAACAGACACTTCTCAAAAGAAGACATTTATGCAGCCAACAGACACATGAAAAAATGCTCATCATCACTGGCCATCAGAGAAATGCAAATCAAAACCACAATGAGATACCATCTCACACCAGTTAGAATGGCAATCATTAAAAAGTCAGGAAACAACATATGCTGGAGAGGATGTGGAGAAATAGCAATGCTTTTACACTGTTGGTGGGAGTGTAAATTAGTTCAACCATTATGGAAGACAGTGTGGTGATTCCTCAAGGATCTAGAACTAGAAATAGCATTTGACCCAGCGATCCCATTACTGGGTATATACCCAAAGGATTGTAAATCATGCTACTATAAAGACACATGTACACGTATGTTTACTGCGGCACTATTCACAATAGCAAAGACTTGGAACCAACCCAAATGTCCATCAATGATAGACTGGATTAAGAAAATGTGACATATATAAACCATGGAATACTGTGCAGCCACAAAAAAGGATGAGTTCATGTCCTTTGCAGGAATATGGATGAAGCCAGAAACCATCCTTCTCAGCAAACTATCACAAGGACAGAAAACCAAACACTGCATGTTCTCACTCATAGGTGGGAATTGAACAATGAGAACACTTGGACACAGGGCAGGGAACATCACACACCAGGGCCTGTTGGGGGTTGGGGGGCTGGGGGAAGGACAGCATTAGGAGAAATACCTAATGTAAATGACGAGTTAGTGAGTGCAGCAAACCAACATGGCACATGTATACCTATGTAACAAACCTGCATGTTGTGCACATGTACCCTAGAACTTTAAGTATAAAAACAAAACAAAACTTAACAACAGTAAAACTCATCATGCCTGAGAGCCATGATTACTAGCTATGTAAACATTATTGCTGAGGTAAAAACATTTACAGGATAATTAAAATGCCCCTTTTCAAACATGTTCCTTACAAAATAAATGCCCTGAGACTCAAAAAATAAATAAATAAAAATAAAAGAAAAATTTAAAAAATAAGGAAAACAGGACAATATGGAGTTTGTGGCAAGCTCCAGCAGGAGAATCAAAGGCAAGGCCCTAGGACCTGCCATCACATCAGAGTATTAAATGTACTATATTACCAAGACCTGGTAGAGATCACAGAGAACCAGGGGTCCAGGCATGCAAAGCTCCCCAGAATGAGCTAAGTTCTGTCAGTCAAGTTATTAATTCAAACTAGCAGCAGTTGACCATAAAATAGAAATGGGACATTCAAGATTGAACCACAGTAGAACCACAGGATACAAGTGAGTCCCATGAGCAGGAAGCCCAGACCTCCAAGTCACCCCCAAGAGCTGTAGTGCCCCTCCCCTGTGTGCCTAGGTTACACAGGCAGCAGACTCATACATCCAGGGGAAGGAGGAAGGAAAGCCTGAGCTTGGTTTTTCAGACGGATCAGCTCAGCACATGGTGTTAGTCAAAAATGGACTGTGTGTGCTGCAGCAGTACTCAGGATGGCCCTCAGAGACAGTGGAAAGGAAAATCTTCCCAGCAGGTGGAGCTGTGGGCAGGACACCAGTTCATGACACCGCGTAGCTTGATCTGAAATGCGTGCAGATGTGTGGGCAGTGGCCAACAGCCTGGTTGTATGGTCAAGGTACTGAAATAAAAAGAACTGGAAGATGAGGAACAAGGAGATCTGGATAAAGGCCATGTGGGTAGAAATTCGGGAGTGGGCACAGGGTGAAGATTTCTGTATCACTTGTTAACCTCCACTGGAAAGTTTCCCACCAAAGAGACACTGAACACAAAGCAGGCAAAATCCGCCAGCCTGCATCATCGATAAGTCCACCCAGAATTATCAGCCTGATGGACCCCACACATCATCGCATCTGACGAGGGGACCCACTTTACAGTGAAGGACGTCGAGCGTGGGCCCATCGACAGGATCCAATGGTCACATCACATATCAAACCACCCAACGCGGGTCCATCCCAATGAACGCTGGGCCAGCCTTTTCAAGGCACACTGAAGCACAAGCTTGCCAGACACTCTGAAAGGATGGTCATACTCCACAACACAGTACACTTATACATCAGAGGCCTCTAGATGGCAGTGGGATCCCAAGGAGGAGGACATGTGGGCTTAGGCGCCTAGGGCTGGAGGCAAGAAAAGCCCTACTTAATGATCACCACCAACAGCCCAGGGGAACTTTGTGCTTCCCATTCTGCACCAGTGGACACTGCAGGGCTGGGGGTCTGAAATGGGGCACACACTTAGCAGGAACAAGGCAAAGATCCCACTGAACTGCAAGTTCTGGATGCCACCACGG
Source organism: Homo sapiens (assembly GCF_000001405.40). Lineage (NCBI taxonomy): Eukaryota > Metazoa > Chordata > Mammalia > Primates > Hominidae > Homo > Homo sapiens. Next base: position 26,628,681 of record NC_000013.11, on the reverse strand, counting down.
TACTTTGGACTCATGTTACCATGGAATAGAAAATGAAAAGAGGAATCTCCGTACTGGCAGAGGAAACTGACTCCAGCCAGCAGGAAGAGGTAAGACTGTGTTCATGCAAAGGAGGCAGGAAGGAACCCAGGTGATCCATTCAGGATCCTTGAACTTGTAATCCTACCTTGGCATCTCCTCCTGGGAGGAGCCAGGTAGCTTAATTACCTACCTTAATTCATACTTGCTGTGCTAATTCTCTGTGTGCATGTGCCCTCACACATGTGCAGCACCTGCTGACACTTGCTAGTGTGTCTAACCTCTTACTGCAAACTCTTTCTCATGGTGGGGGTAGGGGGTTGTTCTCTGCACCTTGTTTTAGAAAAGTTTCCTTGTAGAACAATTTTATGTTTTCTTTTGCTGTGCCCCTGGCCAAGACTGTGGTTCTAATTTCTCCCTAACACATTTGTTTGTTTTGTTTTCTTACTATTTGGAGCCCCAGGCAGATGGCAAGCTATTTCTCAGGATTGGCGAGCGCAGGTTTTCTACCCAACTTTTACGGGATTTGACAGCCCTTTGAACATCCCAGCATTTATTCTGAGGTCTCAGTTCTAGCTCATTCCATCAGGTTGGCCTGAAACACATTTCCATGTACGGGCAGCATTAAACCCTGGCCTCTAGCTCTAAGCATCTTCCCTCCAACTCTCTCAGCTCCTAACACCTAGGGAAGATTGCTGATTCGTTCAAGCATGGCAATGTTTTAAAATACATATATATTTTATTTTATTTTATTTTTAGGGTTTTTTTTTCTTTATTATTATACTTTAAGTTTTAGGGTACATGTGCACATTGTGCAGGTTAGTTACATATGTATACATGTTCCATGCTGGTGTGCTGCACCCACTAACTCGTCATCTAGCATTAGGTATATCTATTTTAAATATAAATATATACATATATAAGTGCATACACACATACTTGGTTATACTCTATCCAACATTTGTATGTGTTTATAGCAACTTGGGTAGCTAATTTTACTTCCTACTGCCATTTGCGAGGATTCTCTTAAGAATTCTTAGCCTTCGTTTTAATTGTCCCTTCATTACTACAACACCTACCACATTTCACGTCCCCCCAGCCCACCCCAATGTATCCTCAAATGTATTCTGAATGAATAAACAGTGACACATATAAACTTTGACTAGGTATAGGTGAAAAACCAAAACAAAGAACCAGATAGATATTGAGGATATTAGTTACAGGAAATGGGGTAGACAATGTTGCATGCACAGCAATAAATGTACACCCCACCTCTGATTTTATATATTACCCTATCAAAATAACTCCATGAGTCCCTGTGCAGTAATACTAGTTACACCTTCCCTGCCTGCCTTACAGGTTGTTGAGAGGCTCACATGAAAATAAAAAAAAAAGTATAGTATAAGATGTTGATAGTAATATAATTTTAATTAATTTTATATTACCAAAATAAGATACTAACATTTGTCCTCTAATTTTATTTCTCATGCAATTAATCTAAACCTAAATTTCTCCTCTAATTTTACATGTTGTACAATTAAATGCCTGAATACTGGCACTGAACTTCTCCAATTGGTACTCTTCCAATTAAAGCCAAATGATTAAAGAATTTCAAAATCATATCAATGTGCTTTCTACTTTCTACTTTCTTGGTTATACTCTATTCAGCATTTATATGTGTTTACAGCAAACTGGGTAGCGAATTTTACTTCCTACTGTCCTCAGAGAGGAGTTGTTGAAGACGTCAACAATAATTGTGTATTTGTCAACTTCTCCCCTGAGTTCTATCAGTTTTTGTTTCTGTATTTTAAAGATCTGTTGTTGAATGTAGCCACATATTTAAGATTATTAAGTCTTCTTGGGGAAATGATCCCATTATCATTATGTAATGTCCCATTTACCCCTAATAATAATCTTTGTTCCAAAGTCTACTTTGATATAACGGTCATTCCTTATTTTGATTAGTGTTTACAAGTTTTTCCTTCTAATTTTAACCTTTCTGTTTCTATGTATTTAAAGAGAATTTATTTTGGAGAGCATACGGTTGTGTTGCTTTTTTATCCAATTTTACAATCTCTGACTTTTAACTAGGGTGTTTAGATCATTTACATTCAATGTAATTGTTGATGTGGCTGAATTTAAACCTTCCATCTGACAAAGATTCTTTGCTTGGCCAAACTTCAGTCAGGCTTCTGAACCTTCTGCTAGGCCCATCTGTGCACCTTCTTTGTAAAATTCAGTTTCTAGCAAAGACCCCTGCTAAATGTGTTTAGCAAGAACATTCCTTGCCATCCTCAAAATTTGTTTATCCTCAATATCTCATCAGGTTCCTAACTGTCCACCATCCCCCAGATGACATCGCATCACCCTGGCTATCTTCAGCAAGAATCCTCTTAGGCGTCAGCCAGAATTCTCCTAACCCCTGACGTCCTCCTCTTAGTACTTTTCCATCCACTGACCCTCTCACTGATCCTTGGCTATAAGTCCCCACTTGCCCATGCTGTATTCAGAGTTGAACCCAATCTCTCTCCCCTACTGCAAGATGCTGTTGCAGTGGCTCCTCTACCTTCTGCAATGGTCCTGAATAAAAGTCTTTACCATGCTTTAACAAGTCTTATTAAATAATTTTTTCTTTAACACATCCTGCTAGTGGTTTTCTATTTGTCCCACCTGTTCTTTGGTCCAAAAGCTCTTTTTCTGCTTTCTTTCAGTTATTTGTTATGATGTCATTTCATCTCCACAACTGGTTTTTATTCTTTTTACGTTTTTCATAGTAGTTGCTCTAGAGCTTACTATAGATATATACATTTTTAGCTTATCACACCTACCTTCGAATAATACTGAACAACTTCATGCATAGTGTGAGAACACTGTAACTTTAGAATAATGTAATGGTTCATTTTATGTGTCAAGCTGACTGGGCTAGGAGATACCCAGAGCTGCTGAAACATTATCTCTGGGTGAGTCTGTGAGAGGGTGCTTCTGAAAGACATCAGCACTAGAATCAGTGGACTGAGTAAAAAAAGATCCACCCTCACCAAGGTGGGTGGGCATCATCCAATCCACTGAGAACCTGAACAGAACAAAAGAGTGGAGGAAGGATGAATTTTCTCTCTCTCTCTCTCTTCTTAAGTTGGGACATCCATCTTCTCCTGCCCTCAGACATTGGAGCTCCTGGTTCTCAGGCTTTCAGACTCCAAAGCTTACACCTGCACCACCTTCCCAATCCCAGGTCCTCGAGTCTTTGGCAATGGACTGGGAGTTATACCATCAGCTAGGCACAATGAATTACACCACTGGCTTTCCTGGGTCCCCAGTTTGTAGACAGCAGATTGTGGGACTTCTCAGCCTCCATAATTGTGTGAGCCAAATTCCATAATAAATCTCCTCATAAATCTATATATCCTATATGTTCTATTTCTCTGGAGACCCCCTAATATAAACAGTATATTTCCATTTTCTTCTTCCATGCTTTGTCCAATGTTGTCATATATTTTACCTCTTATAAACCCCACATTACTATTGTTTTTGCTCTGGACAATTATCAATTAATGTAATTAAAAATAAGAAAAAATATAACATATTTATTCTCTTTTACCATTTCAGGGTCTCTTCATTTCTTTGTTTAGATCCCAACCGCCATCTGATGCCCCTTCTGCCCAAGAACTTCCTTTCATTTCTTACAGTGCAGATCTGTGGCAATAAATTCCCTCAGCTTTTGTTTGTCTGAAACATTCTTTATTTGGCCTTTAATTTAAAAATATATTTTTGCTGGGTATAGAATTATGCATCGACAGGATTTGAGCTTTTTCTCTTGATACTTTAAAAATGTTATTTCACTGTCTTAATGACTTTCATAGTCTCTGACAAGAAGTCTGCTGTTATTCTTACCCTTGTTCCTCTGTTTGTAATGTTTCATTTTCTTTAAACTATGGCTGCCTGCAAGACTTTCCCCTTTACCTTGGGTATTTCAGCAACTTGATTCCAGTGTTTCTAGAACTTGGAGGGTTCTTAAAAAAAAAAATCCTGCTTGGGGTTCTCTGAGATTCTTGGATCTGTTTGTCTTATTAGTTGTTTCCTGTCTTTCATTAATTTGGGATAATTCTCAGCAACTGTGCCTTCTAGTATTTTTTTCTGGACAGTATCTTCTCTTTTCCTTCTGGGTTTCCAATTACATGTGTGTTAGACTACTGATACTGTTCCATAGTTCTTAGATGCTCGGTTTTGTCATCCCTCCCCTTCCCCACTCCACTTTCCTCTTTCCTTGTTTCTTCTTTTGTTTCACTGTTCCTTTTTATATTCTGCTGATTTAGCTTTCATTATTTTCTCAGCTACATCCAGTTTGCTAATAAACCCAATTTGTTTTTACATTTCCAACAGTTTCCATTTAACTCTTAAAAACTTGTTTCCTTATTTCTGTTGATATAGACTTTTCTCAATACATTTTTCAATACATTAATCACAGTTATTTTTAAGTTCCCATATCTAAGTTATCTCTGAGTCTGTTTCCATTGATTGCTGATTGCTTTATCTCTTGATTTACAACACGTCATTCTTTCTTGCCTTTTTTGTCTCATAATTTTGTGCTGAATGCTGGATATCATTTGCAAAGCAGTAGAGACTAAGTAAACAGTATTTCTTGTCCAGCAATGAATTCACATGTTCTTCTAGCAAGCCATTACTAAGGTTGATTGAGTCAACCTAGTCAGGGTTTGAGGGAGATGGCTGCTATTGTTATCTGATACACCAAGCATCAAAATCCCCTAGCCATGGGCTGCTGTCTTGTGCCTAGTGTGCTAGACTTTTTTCAGTGTTCCTGATCATCCTGTAGTTCCTTGACATTTATGTCACAAAGGTGACACAAATTCCTCTTTACATTCTTGCTCTCCAGAGATGACTGTTATTGCTACGTTACCAGGTGCTAGGCTCCTTGCTCTCCCTGGCCCAGCCTAAATTTTAGGAATGATCCATATACCTGGACCTCAGAGTGGGGCCTTCTCAGGATCTGTGCATCTCTTCTCCAACACAACTAAACTCTGCCTGATATTTGTCCCTGTCTTGGGCATGAAAGAGTTCCTGTCCCTCATGCAGCAGAAAGAGAACTTTGCTTTGCATCAGTGAAAGATTATGAGCCTAAGAGTCTGTCCTGCTTTTGCTATTAATTACCCTTCGTCCCAGAAGCAGAGGATCTTGCTGGTCACAGGGCAGGAAAGAGGGTTTCCTAAACCTCTGCCAGAAATAGATCTTTGCTGAGTCCTATGGGCTAGAGGTTTCATTGCCCTCCTGGGAACTCTGTCATAGGAGAGAAGGCTGTGGGGAAGCAGGTGTTACATCATGCCTGTCTCCCAGTGGCAGCTGAGATTACCTCCCGCAGAGCAGCACGATCAAAAGAGGTTCTGTCTAGTCTCCAGGCTTGCTCATAAGCTTTCTTAAGAGTACCCAGTGGAGGGCTGTAGAAAACAGCTTATGAGTAAGTGTAACCTTCCCCTTGTATCTGGGGTACCTGGTTATCCTAAACTGATGCATTAGCCCATACTCAACCTTAAGAATGCATTACAATTTTTGCTGAATTCTTCTTATGCACTTCTATGATGGTTACCTGTTCCCCCTGTGCTCTGCTAAATGTGAAACAGTTCAAGTGTCCTGTCTACTCTCAGATGGGTTTGTCACCCTTTGGGATTTAAGAAAAGTTATTGCTTTCTAGATAATCTGGCCTTTTTTGTTTCTTAAAATAGAAGCAATGTTCTCTTATATCCTAATTGGAAGAGAAACTCCACCTTCACAGTAAGAACAAGGGTAACATATCAGCTTCTTCTTTTGTTAAGACATTGAGCTGATAACTATTTTCACAAAAAAAGAAAGAAACAGTAAACAGATTTTTTTTTTTTTGAGACGGAGTCTCGCTTTGTCTCCCAAGCTGCAGTGCACTGGTGCGATCTTGGCTCACTGCAACCTCCATCTCCCGGGTTCAAGTGATTCTTCTTCCTCAGTTTCCCGAGTAGCTGGGATTACAAGCACCCACCACCACGTCCAGCTAAGTAAACTGATATTCTCAATGAGTGAACATATGAGTACACTCTTAAGAATTTATGTGTGCAGACCCCAAAGAGAGCAGACTATTCTGGAAAGAAAAGAACACCACCACTACTCTATTAACATGGATAACAGCTTTCATGCATAGAATACACTGTAATGGGGCAAATAAACTGAAGCCCACAACTGTGGTCATTCTCCACCGCAGTAAGGGTTCATGGGATGTAGAGTAACATGTTAACTGCATTAAGTCTTTATTACATATTTTAAAACGATATTACTGGTAGGTAGAGGTAGTTGACTATACAAAATTAACTGAATAGATTTTGTAGTGGATTTCTTTCTCCACTATGCAGCCATTAAAGACTGACCTTTGAGCTTTCAGAACAACCAGTTTGCAGAACCTGACAGTGTTAATGATTCTCTCTTCTATGTGCTGGTAACCTTTGCTCTGATTGCTGCATGCCAGGTAATTAGAGCACAGTGCATGATAGCACTAAAACATGTGGCACAGACTATATTATACACACAAAACTAAATGTGTGTATACTGCAGATGTTGGGCTTTTTAACCATGTTTTACTTGTATGTATGAGTTTTGCCCTCGGAATGAAAGTGACCCAAGCAAAAGTAGCCAGGGCCCATAGAGTAGAGTGACACAATGCTGGCCCAAGCCCTTCCTCTGACCTTTCCCCTCAGTGTGGCCTTCTCATTTTGAAGGACAAGGGCTATGTCTGCCTGCCTCCACTTTACAGCACTCTGCTTGGAGTTAAGTGCCTACTGACAACTCCCAAAAGATACTCACTAACATAACATTCCCACCGCCAAAGGAAGGGCCTCAGCTTCCTAAACTCCTCACTTCGCACACTGCCTTCTAGAGCCACACTGCTTCTTTTTAAAGCTTTATTAAAAGTTGTGATTTAGGGGGAGGGAAGGAAGAAAGACCACATAAAATTCAATCAACCTCATTTCACTGGGACAAATGTTCACACTTTGCTCTTTGAAATGTGGTCTGTATGTTTCCACAGGATGGGAGACAGAGAGGTACAGTGAAGCAGCAAAGGACTAGGAATTGGGGAACTGGGGTTCTAGTCCAAGTTCTGCCACTAACACTACACGACTCTGTGCAAGTTTCTTCATCAGGGTGGGCCTCAGTTTCTTCATCAGGGTGGGCCTCAGTTTCTTCTCCTGCAGAACAGATTTGCTCTCTTGGGTTCCCTCCAGCTCTGGCATACTTTCCTTTTCAGTTAGACATTCAGCTGGCTTTCAGAAACTACCATATCAGATTCACCTACTCTCCAAACATTCAGTGTGTTTTCATGATGCTTTAGCTAGTGGAAATGCAAAAACTGAACAAACGAAAATAAAACAAACCCCATTCCTCAAGATGCTAATGGTTTAGTGGCAGAGACAGGCATATAAATAAAGTTACAACACAGTGTGATAAGCACTACATTAAAGGTATGTCTCATTCCTGGAAATTAAAACGCAACTAGAAATACTCCATTCTCAGTGGGGAATGGGAGATGACACGGCATCACAGACCCCCCAGCATCCTGCTCAGCATCGGGAAGCTATTCAACAGACGTTTGAGGATGGAAGAGTGAAGCTCTCACTCAAGGCTTAGAAGCAGCATTCCACCATTTTAAAACGTCACTTAGCTTTTGCTATACAGCCTCAACAACTAAATAATAAGTCTCCCAGAAAAAGGCAACTTTGTGTCTATGGAATAATGTAATGAAAAACCTTGTCAAGTACCTATTTTTAGAGGACATTCTGGGACACAGTTTGTCTTTCAAGGGCCACAAAATGGCATATAAAGATCCTCCAGGTAGAAGCTAATATGGTTCTAACTGAAAAGGTAGGGATTTGAAGTCTAGGTCAAGATTTCTCTCCACCAGGGTTTTCACCATTAGCTCCTGTCTTGCAGTTTCTCTGTTGTGGGAAGAAATCTCGGAGTAAAAGTGAAGAACAACGTATCATGGGTGGGGATACAGAAGTGGTGTGGGAGCCTGTGAAGATCAAGCCTTTGGTCTCCCTGCCTTTCTCTTCTAGCCATGGACAGGGTAAAGGGAGCTCTGAAAAAAGCTGCTGTTCTACAACTTGCCACGCTCTACATATCTATGCTTCAATTAATCTTTATGCTCTGTGTTATGTTCATTTAATTCAGACTTTTTAAAGTTAAATAAATCACTAAATTCCTATTAGATAAAAAATATTTTTAAAATATACCCATATTTTATTTCTAAGTCCTTTTAGACCATGGTGTTCATTTAACTAGATACTCAGAACATGTGGGATTCAAGAATACATTTAATATTTGAACCTACATCTGTTTTATAGTCCTTTATTGTGCATAAAAATTTATTCTGATGCACATTATTAACCCAGGAACCTCCGAGATGCTTTGACCAGGAACTATTTTTCTTCCCTGTTTTGATCAGCCAGACAAAATCAGCTACTTAATAAAAAAAATTTTAAGATAAATGGAACCTTGGAGATCTAGCATAACTTTATTTTACAATCAAAGATTAAGACAAAGAGACCCAAAATCTCCTACATCCTGGAGTAGACACTAGAATCTCGGTCTCTCACTTCCACTGGTGCTCTGCCCACCACATCCCCATTGTAAACGCTTCCTACAGGTCCCAATTATAAATATGCCAGTAAGCCAAGGCTACTTCATTTCTGTGTCTTACCAGGATAAAAAGGCAGCCAAGGAGGGGAAAGTTGTCTGCTTTGGTATTCAAGTAATCCTTGACTTCTAATATGATGCTTCTATTCATTCTCTTTCCCTCTATCCCAGCAGGTCCCTCCCCATTCTTAACCCTCTAAGCACCTGATCATTTGTCATTAAGAGTCAGCTCTGACCAAAAAGGAAGGAGGTGGTTTACATTTCCAAGGTTCCTTTTATATCAGATTTTATTATCTTATTAAACAGATGGTTTTGTCTGGTCCTTCAACTCCTGACACTGCCTTGTTGCTGATTGCATGCATAAGCTTCAGACCCCCTATCTTACTCTGTTTTGTATTTTTGATATACATGACTTTTTATAACATGACTAACCTTTGGTTAACCACTGAGTTGACCCAGATATTTGTATCCACCCCACTTCCCCAGCCAAGGATGTGATCCATCCGCATCTCTGCAGACCATGATTCAGTACGACATCTGGTAAGTCAAATTCCATTTGATGTCTGCCAGGAAGCTGTGTGCATAAGACTAGAATATATACCCAGCCTCCAAGGAGACTTACAGAAATGCTGCTGTGGGTAAACTAAGGAAAACAGCAGTTTAAGGTGACATTTCAGACAAGGAAGAACAACAATCTCCATTTCCTTGATTTGGGATTAAATGTAATCTACTTTCCATTTAAGGCTGCAGCATATGCTAAGCATATTTCTCCATTAAAATGAGACACTTATAAGCAGGTTGTGTATGGCATGTATGTGCATAACCTTAGCTCATTCATAGGAAATCCTTTCAAAAATTATATAATTTGAAATGGAAGATTATAGAAATAGAATATAATAAACAGAGCACCTAGACTAGGCTTCTCCTTTGTTTCAAACCCACAGAAATGATGAAAAAGATGTACATTTAAAATATGTGCAACAATACTACAGGACTACAAATGATAGATAACCTCCAAAGTTGAAAGGCAACGGGATGAGATTAAAGGAAGAAACCACAAGCCAAAAATATGACAGGAAGGACTGTGGCCACGAGATGTGTGGTTGGAGAACCACAATGAAAAGATCTTGGCAATTTACACCAGAGAAATACAAATGGCAGCCAACCATCAAATTGTCCTTTGAAAGAATTATATCTAATAAAACTAGGAATATGCATACTATGGACCCTAGCATTTCCATCTCTTATTCTGAGAAACATTCTCACTTGTGCACAGAATTCATGTACAAGAATGTTCACAGCAGCACTGTTTGACATAGAGATAAACTGGAAATGACTACCAATAGGGGAAAGGCAGCTGTTAAAAGAAACAAGATAAATATATATATGGAGTGTCCTCCAAAACATAGCAGTGAATGAAAAATACAAAGTTCATAATTACAGTATGCCATTTAGTAAAAAGTACTATGTAGTCCTACATGTATGAAAGAGACGGGGGGGCGGAGGTGGGGGAGACGGTGGGGAGAGAGAGAGAGCGAGAGAGTGTGTGTCAGAGAAGGAAATGTCTCAAATTCATAATAATGAATTTATTATTCTAAGGGAGGAGGAACAGAGCTGAGACTCAAAAGGTACTTTAATTGCAAATGTGTTGCAAGTTTTTAAAAGACGTATATATTCAGGTGTTATCTGCATGATCAATATTTTGATTTCGTACAAACAACTAGAAGATACTGGATATATAAATAACAAACCATTACAGGAAAAAATTGTAATAAAGTCAGCAATGGACAAGAAAGTATTAATTTTTTTAACAAAAAGGAGGCACTAATAGTGACTATGGCCTTCCAAATAATCACAGTAAGTGTTAATGGGTGAACTCACTATTAATGGCTAAGACTTCATATTCGTCTGTTTTCACACTGCTAAAAAGATACTCCCAAGACTGGGTAATTTAGAAGGGAAAGAGGTTTAATTGAATCACAGTTTCACGTGGCTGGGGAGGCCTCAGGAAACTTACCAACATGGCGGAGGGCAAAGGGGAAGCAAGGCACCTTCTTCACAAGGCAGCCGGAGGGAGAATGAATGCAGGAGGAACTACCAAACACTTAAAAAATCATCAGATCTCATGAGAATTCACTATCACAAGAACATCATGGGGGAGACTGCCCCCATGATTCAATTACCTCCACCTGGTCTCTCCCTTGACACGTAGGGATTATGGGGACTACAACTCAACATGAGATTTTGGGTGGGAACACAGCCAAACCACTTATAGAATGTGCCATGCACTGTCAAGAATTTTACATATATTAGCTCATTTAATTCTTATAAAATGAGATAGAAACTATTAATATTTCCATTGTATAGGGAAGAAACAGGCACTAATATTTAAGTAAACTTGACAGACACCACACAGCCAGTTTATGCAGTGCCTGAATTCAACCCCAGGCAGCCTGGACTCAGTCCATGTCCTTACCACTCACCAAACAGCCTCCACTGAACAAAGCAGCAACACACTGAGTTGTTTGGGTTTTGTAAGATAAATATTCAAGAATACATCTAAAATGAAATAACTAGGAGTGATAAAAATAAAGAGATTAAAAATATACACCAGGCAAATGCTAACAACAAAAGGGAGTCAGGCTCTAAGACACAAGAGAAACTCAAGGTGAACGCAACAAAAACAGATGGAGGGGAAGACACTTATCATATTCAATTGGTAAAAAAAAAACACTAAAAATGACAATTATGAACTTTTATTATCCTTTTGTAGAAGACCCAACATACTTTTCTCAGAAACCAACAAAGACCAAGATTTGAATAATACAATTAACAAGTGTTAATTGATAGTTTTTAAAAATGTTATACATAGATGTGAGAATGCATATTTAAAAAAGAAAACACGGAAAAGTTGTAAGAAAAAAAGCTATGAATTAGGTCACACAAAAAAGTTAACTGCAATCACACAGAAAATTACAATCACACAGTAAGCACAATACAATTCAATCAGAAATGAACATGTAAAAATCAAGGGATGTTGGTGAATTGTCGCCAGCATTTTCATCATTGAATCTGAATCTGGCCCTGTTCTGGCTTCTGACCTTGTAGTACTTCAGGTGAGGCCTTTGACTACACCCCAGGGACAACGAGTCAATACTGATGACAATTGGAATGGCAGATCTCCAACCTCCAGAAATAAAGAGCTGACCATCCCAGCCATGCAAACATATTCACTAATTAGGGGTCTTCTGTCCTGCACAGCTATTGACTCATGTACAGCCCCCCAAAAAGAGAATACAAACTAAGTGCCCTGCCAGAAAATGGAAGAAAAGGAAGATGACAAAGAGTAACTACTTTTATGGGAGTTGGGGAAAGTGCAAAAAATAAAACCAAAAAATAATCCCATATTGGCTCCCAAAAATTTCATTCTGGGGTAAAAAGGAAAAAAAATGCTATTAAAATGAATAAAACTACAAATCATATATCTGATAAAGATCTGATACAGAATATATAAAGAATTCTTGAAAATCTATAATAAAGTACCCAATTTCTTAAAATGGGCACAAGATTTGAACAGACACTTCACTAAAGAAGTTATGCAGATGGCAAGCAAGCACATGAAAAATGCTCAACAGCATTAGTCATTAAGGAGAGGCAAATTAAAACCGCAGGAGATATGACTGCACACTGATGAGAATGGCTAAACTTAAAAAGACTGTTCATACAGAGTGCTTATGAGAACATGGATGAACTGGAACTATCATCCACTGCTCAAGAGAAACAAAATAATCTTTGGAAAATGGTTTGCAAGTTTCTTAAAAAGTTAAACATACACTTATCACACGATCCAGCCATTCTACTCCTAGATATTTACCCAAAATAAATAAAAGCATGTGCCCACATAAAGACTTGTATATGAATGTTCATGCAGCTTTATTTGTAACAGCCAAAAACTAGAAACAATCCAAGTGTCCATTAGCAGGTGAATGGACAAACAAACTGCATTACATCCATACAGTGAGGTACTATTCAATGATAACATGGAATGAACTACTGATACATGCAACAACAAGAGATGAATCTCTATGCTGAATGAAAGCCAGACGAAAATACTACATACTGTATTATTCCATTTACATAACATTCTAGGAAATATAAACTTATCTATAGGGACAGAAAGCAGAGCAGCCGTTATGTGAGGGTAGGAGGGAAACAAAAGGGAAAAATGACCAAGGGCCATGAGGAAACAACGGTCACCAGTTCAACTACATTGATGGTATCATGGGTGTATACATATTTCAAATAACTTATCAAATTATACATTTTAAATAAGCATAGTTTACTGTATGTCAATTATTCCACAATAAAGCAGTTTAAAAATGAATCTGTGGGCTGGGCACAGTGGCTCACACTTGTAATCCCAGCACTTCGGGAGGCAGAGGCAGGGGGATCACAAGGTCAGGAGATCGAGACCATCCTGGCCAACATGGTGAAACCCTGTCTCTATTAAAAATACAAAAATTAGCTGGACATGGTGGCACATGCCTGTAACCCCAGCTACTCGGGAGGCTGAGGCAGGAGAATCGCTTGAACCAGGGAGTCAGAGGTTGCAGTGAGCCGAGATTATACCACTGCCTGCCAGCCTGGTGACAGAGCGAGACTCCGTCTCAAAAAAAAATCAAAACAAAAACAAAAACCAAAAAAAACAAATCTGTGGCAACAGATAATCTGAGTATGACAAAGTAGGAGATCACTGAACATTTATTTAATATGTACATTCTAACATGAAGGTCAAGTAAAAATAAGTCGACTGTTAGCCACACACAGGACTAAATATCATGATAAAAGAAATGAGACAGGAAAGACACATTTAGCAACCAGATAGACATAGCTCCAAAACGGTACTTAAAAAAAGGCCACCTCTGATGGGCATAATACAAACACCAACGGAAATGCCTAAGAAAAAGCACTCCTCCTAGAGAATTCCCTCATCCAACAGAATCTGCCTCACCAAGCTAATCAGAGTGTGCCACCTACAACAACAGTCTGAACACAGACAGCGCTTCTACAAAAAGCCTGGAAATGCAGCACAGCAGCAAAACAAGCAGATGGCGTGGCAAGCAGAAGCCCCGAGTTCTTCAAGAGCTGAGACCTCCATAAGCCTCAAGTCCTTATTCTAAATATGAAAGCAGTAATATCTGCCTGGTTATCTCAAAAGGCTGTGGTGAGATGACACACCTGAAAGCCCCCCAAAAACTATAAAGTGGAACACAAATACTAGACAGTATCCGTGTTAAAAAATAAATGCTTGCCTGACAAAAAAATTTAACTATCTCCCCTTTTCATATAAATTGGATAGGAAGTGAAAGAAACCATTTATCAGAACTACAATCAGCCTGTAACCCATCATGACATACAGGAAAAGCCCAAAAGCTATTTAACTTTTATTTTCTAATATAAGCATTTAACACTATAAATTTCCCCTTAAAGTAGTGCTTTAGGTGCATCGCATATATTTTGATACGTTACGCTTTCCTTTTCATTCAATTCAAAGTATTTTGCCTTGTAAGCTCCTCTTTAACCATGGATTTTCAGGCTGTGATCATTAATTTCAAAATATTTTGGAATTTCTTGGGTATGTGATACTGATTTCTAGCTTAATTAAACTTGGTCAGAGAACACAGATACATTCCTGAAAAATTACCTGTAAAGTGAAAGTATGGAAATCAAGTTCAATTTTCCTATGGTAAATTAATATGTAATGATATGCCCAAGGTCAAGGCAAGCTAGGATTAGAGATCAATCTTCCAGCTTCTAATTCTGGTATAATAGCCTTTCTTCTACCTTATGTTCTCTTTCAATATCATCTTAAAACCAAAAGACGTGTTATTCTCTCCCTATCCTTCCAAAAGAAAAAAGAAAGAAAGAAAAGGAAAATTCCATATACATCCTCTCATTTGATTTTTACAGTTTCATAAATCAGGCAAGACAGATGATAGTATTCTGCATATGAGGAAAGTGAAGCTCAAAGAAATAACTTGCCCTACTAGTCTGCTATGTCTCATTGCTCCTCAATTACCCCTTAAAATTAGAGTAAGACAGGTCACTGAAATCCATAAATAATTCAAAAACCTCATTTTAGCCACTATCACGATCACCACCACCTCAGTTCAGAGTAAATTATTGTAAAACTGACTAGGTTTGCTTTTGGTTTTTTGAGGTTTTCTTGAGATGGAGTCTCACTCTGTCGCCAGGCTGGAGTGCAGTGGCACGATCTCGGCTCACTGCAAGCTCCGCCTTCTGGGTTCACACCATTCTCGGGCCTCAGCCTCCCAAGCAGCTGGAATTACAGGCACATGCCACCACACCCGACTAATTGTTGTGTGTTTTTAGTAGAGATGGGCTTTCACTGTGTTAGCCAGGATGGTCGCGATCTCCTGACCTCATGATCCACCCACCTCGGCCTCCCAAAATGCTGGGATTACAGGCATGAGCCACCGTGTCCGGCCAACTGATTAGGTTTAAGTTTTTAAATCTTGACTTCTCATACCCATTCATTACTAGAAAGATTCAGATAACAAAGAATTGGTTAAATTCCAGGAAATAAAAAGTAAATGGGCAAAAACAGAGGTAAGAAGACTGAGATCTCAGCTTAATAAGTCATAAACTACATAATCATGTTTTTCACACAAAAAAATTAACATGGAAGTGAATATATCAAGTTTTTTTTTCTCTTTCAATGTCCCAAACTATTAATTAGGATCTAAAGCTCTAAAATATTACCTGCTGTTAATATTTATATATTAAAGTATATTAATATTAAATATTTAATATTCAAAAATATTAGAATATTTTATGCTATTTCTATTTCTAATTAAATTTCTAAACTATGTTACAGAA
This sequence comes from Homo sapiens, assembly GCF_000001405.40. NCBI lineage: Eukaryota > Metazoa > Chordata > Mammalia > Primates > Hominidae > Homo > Homo sapiens. The sequence goes on along the minus strand of NC_000013.11, from coordinate 26,613,096 downwards.
ATTAAATGGCTTTAAGGGTAAAAGGCACACACTCTTACCATGTAATCGTTGACTATGGGTTGCAGAAATTCCCCTCAAGTAGCATCACCACTTTGGCTCAGTTATCAGTAGTAGTTAACAGCAATCAAAACTAAAACTACAAAGAAAAGAAAAAAAATTAATTACCAGTAGGCAAAATGCATTCAAGTCTTCAAGAAAGTCTTAAATTCAAATTTCACATTTCAACAATTTCAAGGGAGCTCTAATCCCTGAACTAGTTCTTTTTTAATTATTTTAAGTAAGGAGCTAATAAGGTGTGTGAAATCCTGTATAATTCCAACCCCCTATCCTGAAAAACCTCTGAAATTAACTTCAAGGACTCACAGTAAATAATAGCTGAAGGGCAGAAAAAGAAAAAGTCAAGTCTAAGTGTATTCAACTGAACTGCTCAATTCATTTACTCAACAACACATATATTTTAGGTTTTGTTACTGCCTACAGACTGAATCAAATAATAGTAATCATTCACATAAGAACTGTAGCTAATAAGAGCATTTGTATCGATTTTTCCCATAACAATATTCAAATTCAATAAAAGTCTTGGAGATCATTTTATAAATATTCTAATAGTAGCTACAGGGATAAAATAGTAACAGATTTAATAACTGCCAAATACGCCCTAGAAGGTGTTTCCAGGACACTGGACATTAACAGCAATGCTACAGAGCAAACTGATCAATGTTGTATACCAATGTGCTAGAGCTATGAGGTAACAAGAAGCATGACATGGTTTCCTACTCAGAATTATGGTCTACTTGGGAAGAATACATACAAGAAAATTTTAGTGAACATGCATCCATTCACTCAGCAAGACTGTACCAAGCATCTTGTAGAAGTCAGCCCCTCTTTAAACACTGAACACATAAAAATGAATAAGAAAATGCCTGTTTGTGAAGGTACTCAGTCTTGTGAGGGTAACAAATAAATGCAGATAATTTTAATACAAGGTAGACGCAAGAAAGCGAGAGAACAGCGGCCCAGAAGTGGGGCGGGGTGCAGCTTCAGGAAGGTCAAACAAGGGTGGGAGGCATCAAGCTTGGGAAAGGAGGTCCAGGCATGAGAAAACAGATAACTGTGCCATTTCATTATGGAAGAAAAGCAACTTTGAGTCTACTAAAAAGAATTATCTGGACCCCCATGAATTCTATGTAGGCCAGTAGATTCTAAGAACTCACATAGTTAAGACCGCAACCATCCTTTTAACAGTACAAAAAAAAAAAATAGAATGATCATTCAGCGATACTCCATTTTATACATCCTATTTTACTTATTTAAAACTAAAGCAGCACACAATTTTCTTCTCTTCCTTCAGAGCAGCTGTACTGCATGCTCTTGATGCTGAGTAAAAGAGAAAAGTGAGCTTTTTCCTAAGTAATCTGCATAAGTGATCACCTTATTTCCAAATACAGAAAATTATCCCTGGGTTTAGATTACCCAGGCCTAATTTTACCTCTACTAGATCAGCTGATTCGACTTGATGATTTTGAGGGTAACCAGCCCTATACATTTCACTTAAGAGATGGTTATATCCAGCTAACTATGCCTAAGGACAAGGAAAATGTCCAACATCCTATGTATTTTCTGGATGACCATTTATGTTTAAGAATCACGTGTTAACTCTTCCTTTGTGAAACACAATTATGAATTTTCCCATTTGTGTGAAAGGCTATGGACTTATTATTTTTGTTATTAGCTATTACTGGTAAATGTTTTACTCAGGTCTAAGCATAGAGCTAACATGTCATATACATTTAACTTAGTCCTCACAGGCAGGTAATATCTCCATTTAAAAATGAAGAAATTAGGATCAAAAAGTGAGTTTTTTAGGATCACACAGCTAGGAAAAAGAAGAGTCAGGATGAGTCTGACTAGAAAGCAACTGTTCTTGCCAGGCACGGTGTGGCTCACACCTGTAATCTCAGCACTCTGGGAGGCTAAAGCAGGCAGATCACGAGCCCAGGAGTTTGAGACCAGCTTGGGCAACACGGCAAAACCCCACCTCTACCAAAAAAAAAAAAAAAAAAAAGGAGTAAGTAAGTAATATCTACATTGGATTGTCTCCTTTTGGGCACGGACACATGCCTTTTTCTTTGCTGCTGAGCTGCTAACATTTCTAACATAAGTCAAGAACCATAAAAGTCTTGAAGAATTAACTAGACTTTGTGAATACGTAGCCTCATTTGACAATGGAGAGCATATCAGTAACTCCTTTGAAGTCACAGGTTAAGGCTGCTAAGTGGAAACACAGCACCTCTACTACGAGCTGCAATACTGGCCAGAACAGGGAAGCATGCTTCTATGCAACACCATCACTCCAATTCTATTTCCATACATGGCTACACTCTGAATGGTGCTGACAGTGCTCTCCTGTGGCTACTGTCCAGAAGCAGAATTGCCCTGTAACTTCCTACCTCTGGCCTTGCATCTGTTACACTCCCTGTGTCACAAATGCCCTCCTGTCGTCTAGTTTCCAGGTATCCAAAGGTCTCTTGCCTTCAAACTGCAACCTGCTATGGCCTCCATCCATCCATGCCTCTACCTGCTCAATAAACACATATATATGTAGTTATGTGTCAGTCACTGTGCCTGCCCCTCCCCCTGGTAAAACCAAAGCCCAACCCTGGACTCCCAAGAACCTCTCAGTCCACAAGAAGAAAAGTCTGTAAACAACCATGTAGCATTCCGTGGGGCCAGTGCTCTGACAGGTGTATATGGCGGATGCACAGAGCACAAGGGAGAAGGTGGCTACAGCTGGAGGGGCAACGGCAGGGACAGCTTCACAAGGCTGGTCACTGAATTTAAGCCATAATTCAGAAGACAGGTGATGAAGACCTAAACTAAGACAAGGGAGGATTCTTTAAAGGGAACAAATCTGACAGACGTAGGTCTCGGAAGATTAAGTGGATGGGGATGGGGATGCTGACTCCCCTGGAGTCAAGGAGTGCTCTGAGGTAGTGCTGTCCAAATGAATGTCCCGCAGTGATGGAAATGTTCTACACAGTGACAGTGTCCCAGAGGGCAGCCTCCAGCCACATGGATCCAGCTTGAAATGTGCTAATGTGAGTGAGGAACTCCATATTTTACTTCATTTTAACTAATGTTCATTTAAATAGTAACATGTGGCTAGTGGCTACTAGGTTGGACAGTACTCTTCTAAGATTTTTGGCTTGAGATAGTTGTACTGAAGGTGTTATTACCAACATCTGGGAAAAGAAATACTGCAAAGAAAAGCATATAGACACTCAAATATTTGAATAAATGAACAAATCACTGACTAGAGGAACAGACTGGGTAATCTTTAAGGACCTCTCCCCGCTAAAATCCCATCACAGATGTACTTATCCTTGTTCACTCAGGTTCCAAATAATGACCTCAATATGGTAGCAACAAAATATAATCCTGCTGTCTCTAAGCCTAAGTATTAAACTACTACTACTAAATAAAAATTATTTATACCATTCAGGGAAAAAAGAAAAGAAAAATGACATCATGAAACCACTGGAAGTCACAATTTAGAGAATAATCACAGACCACAAGTCAAGCCAGGAAAAATAACTGCCTAGTTAAAAAAAAAAAAAAAAAGTCTTTTTCTAAAAAGAAGAGGGGAAGAGGAGGAGGGGACCATGCAGCGTTATGACAGCCAATATGAGTGCAGGTAATTTCAAATACTTTCAGACCATTCACCTTGTCAGCAGCTCACTTCACATTCAGGTTACATTTCTCTGTAGTCTGATGAGAGAAATGACAGAGTTTATCTCATGATACCTCATTCTGTACTATAGGGCATTTTACAAGGTCAATGATAATAAAATTTTCCCTAGTAATACGCCCTTTAATCTTACTTATCCACGACATCCAAAATCAATATGAAATAAAGAATTCTGCTACATGAAAACACTTAACCTGAGAACAGGTTGTATCTAAATGACTCATTGTTAATCTATCAATATTATCCTAATCTGATTGTATTTGGATTTACTATTTTGGTCCCTGACATCTCTTGTAAGCCTCCAAATTCTAGTTTTCCAGAAATGAGAAGCTAGCTCGAGATATAGCTCTATTTCCCCACTTATTTTTCCAGCCTTACCTCCTAAACCAGGCTGAAATTCTATGTTCTTCTTTTCACTTCTATCGATGAGATCACATCATCAATGTTTTTAACTATTCACGTATAATGTTCTATTTATGAGATTGCAAGACACTATAGAAATGTAACCACTCCTAGATTCAGAGAAATATATCTCGTAAGAATGTCGAATATGAATTTTTTAGCAAAAAGCATATGTCTAGCATAACAAGACAGCAATCTTTGTGTTTCTCCTCTTTCTTGGTCTCTCAGGTTGACTACCTGAGCTTCGATACCCCATTGCTACAACGGTTCCGCACCTTTTAAAGTCAGAGCCAGTATGAACACATTTTAGCTGGCCCCACCATACAATTCAACACATAATTGACCTCTTATAGAAAGTGAGGCAAAAACAATGTCAAATAGTAAGGTCTTTGCCCCCCAGAAAGTTTATCTGGTGGGGAAGAGTAAACAAACATAAATAAATACAAAACAAGTAGCAGAAGAGATACTGCTGTAAGCTAAAACAAAAATAACGTTAGCTGACATTCACTGAACACCTATGTGTATCACATTCTCAGCTAGGTGCATTTTAATTTCAATAAAACTGTATTAATTATACTAAGAGAGAGCAAATAAAGAGAAATTCTCTGAGTTTTGAGTACTTTATTCACTCAAAAATTACTTACCACAGATCTAAATACAAGAATCGTAAGATAATATTTTCTTTCTCTTCCATTTAATGAATAACTGCCTAGTAAAATACAAAGAAAAAGGAACCCATGCCTGATATGGCATTGTAAAGATCCATGAGTGGCCCATACCTCTGGGCTAACAGTCCCTCGCCAGAGAATCTGATAACCCAGGCAACGATCTGGACCACATCAACCACTCTTCAATTCATTCAAGCATTTACTACTGTTCAACACAGTTTAAGGGGGACGGGGGGGTGGGGAGGGGTACATTATTTCGGACTGAGCTCCTGTACTAGGCCCCAGTAGACCACACCAAACCAGAATGGAATCACTTGTGGTAACTACCACTTAAACTGAACTCAGCTGGGTACGGTGGCTCATGCCTGTAATCCCAGCATTTTGAGAGGCCTAGGTAGGATTATCTCTTAAGCCTAGGAGTTTGAGACCAGCCTGGGCAACACATGGAGACCTCATCTCTACAAATAATTTAAAAATTAGCTAGGCATGGGGGCCCACTCCTGTGGTTCCACCTACTCAGAAGGCTGAAGCAGGAGGATCACCTGAGCCCGGGAGGCTGACACTGCAGTGAGTGAGCTGAGATCACTCCACAGCACTCCAGTCTGGGCGACAGAGCAAGACCCTGTTTCAAAAAAAAAACAAAACAAAAAACTGCTCTGAAACAAGCCAGTTTTCTATTAAAAACAAAAAACAAAAATAAGAGATTCATGGCCACCAATCAGAAGAGGCCCAGTTTACCTGAGCTGGGATAATAAGAAAAGTTTCCTCTGTTTTAACCCTGTAAGGAAAGTAATTCTGAAATGACCAATCTGCTGTTCATTCTTTATTTCTGCTTTCTTCAGCCTTTTTTTTGCCTATAAAGCCAAGCTCCTCTCCTCAGTTCACTGGAACACCCATCCTGTTTTACAGAATGAGGTACGATTCAATGCTAGAATCACAAATAAAAGCCAATTAGATCTTTATTTTTAATTAGATTTTTAATTTGCCTTTTGACACTAGCCCACTATTAGGCATTAGAAATATAACTATGAATCACACAAACGTAAAGCATTATATCAAAAAATACCACACCACAAGCTAGAAAGTGTTAAGTGGAGAGACACAGGAACCCTCCCTACCATCTGAGAGGTATACAGTCCAAGACACTCAGCAGATGCCTAAAACTGCGGATAGTACTAAACCCTATATACTAAATTTTCTCCTATACAGACATACCTATGATAACTTATTTTATAAATTAGGCACATTTAACTTATAAATTAGGCACAGTAAGACTAACAATAACTCATAATAAAATAGAACAATTACACCAACATACTGTAATAAAAGTCACATGAATGTGGTCTCTCTCTCATGTGCATGCACAAAATTATCTTAATATTTTCAGACCACAGGTGACTGCCAGTAACTGAAACTGCGGTAAGTGAAACCTCGGATATGGGGGGACTACTGAGCATGGAAAGTGCTACGACAGAAGACTGGTTCCAGCTGCAGTAAACAAGAGAGGAACAGTGACACCAAGAGACTGATTTCTGTCCTTTGAGATGCAAAGAGTATACAAAGTCAACATGAAGATAAACTCTTATCACCAACTAAATATTGTGCTACGAGAGGTAGTCAAAGGGCCAGGGCAGTGGCTCACACCTGTAATCCCAGCCTTTTGGGAGGCTGAGGCAAGAGGATTGCTTGAGCCCAGGAGTTTGAGACCAGCCCGGGCAACAGGGCAAAATCCGTATCTTAAAAAAAAAAAAAAAAATTAGCTGGGCATGGTGACGCACACCTGTAGTTCCAGCTACTCAGGAGGCTGAGGTGGGAGGATCGCTTCAGCTTGGGAGGTCAAGCCTGCAGTGAGCTACAATCACACCATTGCATTCCAGCCTAGGTAACAGAGTGAGATCCTGTCCCCGCCACAGACACACACACACACACACACACACACACACACACACACACACACGAAAAAAAAGAGAAAAGAAAAAAGAGAAAGTCAAACAGCTCCAGATGGAGAACTTGCTCCTGAAATAAAGTGTGTGTGTATCCACCTGTCTGTCTCCTGTGAGGCTACAGAAAACTCTGAGCAGTTTATTTAAACCTAAGTTTCCCTAACTACAAAAATTAGACTGTGAGAATTAAATGAGCTAACCCATGGGAAGAGCCGTCTACCTCATTTAGCAAGCAATAAAGAGCACCAAGTACTGTTACTGCACCACCAGGTGCCGCCCCACCAGCCTGAACAACCCACCAGAGCTGGGGCATGTTCACTGCATCTCAGTACCAATCCCAGGGTTTCACACAGAAAGGAATTCATGGCACCCTCTCAATCAATGTGGATTCAGAACAAAACAAATAGTAAACAAATGAGCAAACAAAAACCTAAAACCAAGATGATTTAAGTTCAAATTGAGTTCTACTCTTGCATTTGCCTAGTTATTCATTACCACAACAAAAAGTGAACTACTAGAAATAAAAAAATTTAGAGGTTGAAAATGGTTAGAAATCCGTAGTAAATATAATTGGTTTCCAAAGGAAAACTCGATTATCTAATCGATGTTTCTGCCTTCGGGTAACAGTTAAGCTTCGTTTTTTAATGTTCACAGTAGACAGGTCTGGCCCCGGGCAGCCACCTGTGGATCCTAATACTTTGATCCCTAATTCCATTCTTCACTGTGACAAATCTTTTTCTTTTTAATTCCAGCACTTGGCACAATACTTGGCACATAGACAACACTCAAAAACATTTGTGAAAGTTATTTTTTTTCCCCAAATGCAGAGGTTTAAAAAAAAATGCATCTTCCTAATCTACTTCAACTAGAAAAGCTGAACTTGCCCCGTATTTAGTGACCCTGAGTTGCCTCTGTGATCACCACTTTTAAGTGCCACACAAGCATGAGCATGAGAATTTGAATCAACAGTTGTTTCAACTCCACCAAACAGTTAATGAGCTTCTTTGTAACGGGCATAAAAAGATAAAATAATAATAACTTTCTCATGATAAAACAAGGCTTCCAGCTTGAGCAAAGACTGCTGACTAGAACCAAGTAAAGAAGCTATTCAGCAACATTCTGAATAATCTACCATCATTAAATACAAATGTGGACTGGTACCAAGGGCATCATTAAGCAGTTTTCTTTAGCAATACTCAAAGGCAGACTGAGAACTGGAGGAAAACCAGGGGCCAGCAGGGCAGCTGGACAGAGGGGCAGAGGTCCTGAGGGTGGAAGCACTGACCAGAAGGAAGGGCCTGAGGACAGGAAAGACAGGGAGAGACCAAAGGACCCTGGCGCCTCTGTCCAGGATTGTGCAGAGAACACAGATACAAGATCACCAGTTATGAAATACCAGGATTCCAGAAGTTTTAAAACTCCCCTGTTCTAAAAAAGTGGGACACTGTGTCCTTGGCTGATCTTTTGGCACTTTCTGTTGCTCTTGACCCCACAAAGATTACAAAAACAGTGGCTTCCAGGGAGGCCCTTGAGATGACAGTTTAAACCTTGAAACAAATCCAACCCAAGTAAAAAGATTTTCTTGCCCAAACTACTTTGTATTTTTCTCTGCTTTAATTACTGAACCCTATAACTAGAATTCATCCCTGATTCAAAGAGATGCTAAAAATAGCCTATTTCAGAATGTAGAATGAGAAGCATCGTGTAATTTTGCTACTAAATGGACTCCTTCTTTTTTTTATAGTTCAGTAACTTACTCTTCAAATACATTTATTTTTATCAACCAAAAAAATGCAAAGCACTTCGGATGCACATTAAACAGTAATTTTCAATACTAATTATGTATTTATAAGTTTATAAGTGAAATCTCAGGCATACACCAACCTTACTTAAAAACAGCCGCCTGACTCTTTCCCCCTAATCATGACCTTCATTAAACAGCTTTGATTGCAAAGAGTACCACCTCATTTACATATGATGAATGAATTAAAGCTCTTATCCAACAGGCTCCCCATTGCAACTGGCAATTTATTAATAACAACTTACATCTGAATCCACAGTGCCATTTACAAAGGGCTTTCACATAAATCATCTCATTTAATCCCCTACAACCTTGACACCTGCAAGGTAGGAATTAGTTTAACTATCTTGCAAATTAGGAAACAGTCTAATGGAAGACTCATCCAAAAAAAATCACACAGTAAATACAGGTGGAAGACACACTCACCTACATCTATCTCACCTAAGTCCCAAGGTTTATTCCAAACTCCACTCCTTCTATGACTGACTCTATCTTCTTCACTATGGCTGCAGGACCACACCAACCTAGCTAGATCACCCCACCCTCCTAACTCCAACAGAACTCACTAGGAGTATCACCAGTGTGAAACCCAACACATGCTACTTTCCACTGGGATTTACCTTCAGAGGCCTGTGTTTTGTCTTCTCAACTCTATACATTAAACTACTGTTTATCATGCCACCTATGAATCACCTGGTAGACAAATGTCTTTCTTTCCTTAATTTCAGCAACCAAACCAGGGCATTACCCTTAGCTTTGGCCCCACCATCCTGTCTCCAACCAGAAAATCCTTGAAGTTGTTCACAGGCCATCATAAATAAGTATAAAAGAGGTTTCCCTTTTTTAAAGTTTTTTACAAATATTTTTAGTAGAGAGACACAGAGTCTCACTGTGCTGCCCAGGCTGGTCTCAAACTCTGGCCTCAAGTGATCCTCCTGCCTCAGCCTCCCAAATGCCAAGATTATAGGTGTGAACCACCACACACAGCCCAAAAGAGGTTTTCTTAACTGTGCTTAAAGTTGCTTTATATCCTTTACTGGTTTGAGTCTCTGCCTTTCTCCCATGCCTATATCCCATCCCTGGTCTCTGACTTCCTATTGCCTCCTGAGCACCTGCTCAACCAAACAACTAGTTATTTGTGTTTTTATTTCCTTGATTTGACCTACCTTGATTCCTGAATATTCACCTGGTTCCTGTTCAGGTGCTGGAACACCTTTAACTTCCAGCCTCACCTTGCTCTCTGAAACCAGATTTTCTAATCTGTCCTCACATTAACTACAGTCCAACCCCTACAAAAGGTACCACCCAGGCCCCGACACAAGAAGCTGCTGAGCTTTCTACAACTGGCCAGAAGAAGAATAGTGCTGTCTTTTTTACCTTCAGCTTATACCTGCAGCTCCACACTTCCACAGCTATTTCAGGAGAAAGACAAATTTAACAGAGGTACCAACAGCAGTTACTCTTACCTCCCCATGGGCCCTTATCGCCTTCCTCTTCAAGCTCAGACTTAAAAATCAGGTGACAAATATCCTGGGCTAAAATACTACACAGTCAGCAATCTGTTGGATACCAACGGGTTAGATCATAACCAGATCAGGATTTCCACTTAGTTTCATTAAATGTGTTGAGTCTTACATTTGGACAAAGAAAATAATGAAAATCATGACATAAGTGCACGAAATATACAGAAAATCTGTACATTATCAAATAGAAATAGCAAGATGTAAATACTGCATTGCAGAGGTATTTTTTTCATTATTACCATGACAATTTTTAAATACTCCAAAATCAAACTATATTTCAAAATTACCTCTATAATACTAAACCTGACATAAAGATTTCATGTGCAATTCAACAAATAACTTCAGTTTTTCTTTTTCTCTCTCTGAGGATAAAGTATAATAGTGGCCACTATAACAAAGAGATTCATAAACCTGTACCCACAGGGGATCCTATGTGTTCAAACAAAACTGACAAACACAGCAGTACCATTTTTACAACATGTCTACATTCAAAGCTCCTGAGCCTCTAGTCAAAACCTAACTCACTATATCTAAAGTAATCAGGGAACTAAATGGCCCACCATCATGCCACAAGAATACTACAATTTATGAGAGAAGATACAAACGAACAAAAACAAGGAAAAAATGACCTCCTAGAAATAAATGTAAAAGTTCAGTCACCTAAGTAACTCATTATTGCCAAAAACATTTCTAGCATCAAATTCTATCTCCAATTAATTAAGTAGCAGTAATCATTTAATCAGTGGCATCCAATATAATCCTGTAGGAAACATTTTCTGAAGCCCAGAGGCTGCATGGTAAAGGGGAAAGATCAGAGGTATGGGGGTCAGAGATCTGAGTTCCACCCCGGAACTACCATCGAAAAGCTCTGGACCTTGGAAGAGTTAGTACTGTTTGAGTCTCAAGCTCCCCTTTTATAAAAATAAAGCTAACCATACCTCCCCTTAAAATGTGAAGGGGAGGATGAAGTCTTATGGACAAAGAACACAGCAAGGTAGCAGAGGCATTTAATAACCGGCAGTTATTATCCCTGGACAACTAAAAGCAAAACATGCTCCCTGTCGGCAGACAAGCACAATCACCACAATCTGGCAAATTTACTCAGCCCACTCTTGGCAAAAAGGAAGTGATGATATCTTTGCATTTGTGTATGCAGATGACAGGCCACATCCTCATTCTTTGAGGTTAGGTGGCAGCACTGATCTGTCTCCAAATGACAAAACTCATGCTTGAGGCCAGTGGCCAATATATCACATATCCCTGAACCAGCACCTCTTTGTTTTCTACAAATAAAGATAATTATGGCCAATTTACTCACTGAAAGGGTACAGGAATGTAGATATTCCAAACAGTTGATATTCTGATATTTGAAATCCTCATGTTTATTTAACTAAAGCTTCATTTGCTCTTGTAGAGTTTTCTGTTAATAACTTGAATTCTGCATAAAATGCCAGCTGAATCTGTCAACCCTGAAGGCAGGAGGGTACCAAGATCCAGATTCTGCCCCTATCCTCTCCATCATCCCCCATCATCCATACTCCAGTGACAAGATGCTTCTTTCAAAGTCTAGAAGAGCCCAAAGGCAGGCCTCATCTCTGTAGAACCTTGAGCACAGGAATAATGATTAAATGACTATAGAACTCCACATACAAAGTAAACTGAAGAAATTAAAGTGGTAATAAACCTATACACAGAGACAGTCAACAGAATTAAAATTAAAGCACTCCAGTAAGTTACATCTACAGTATTATCTTCTCCCCTCAAAACTGCTGAGATAAATGGAATTCCATGGAAATTTCCTAAAATAAATGCTACGTAATTCACATACCAAATACACAGAGATTAAGTACCATTTTTATCAATCTGCTTAAAATTAATGACCTCAAATCTTAATACAAAAGTAATCAGCAATTTTTAAAATACATCTGAAAGCAAGTGAATGTTATTGCACCTAAAAGTGCTGAAAATACACTATATAAACCCACAAAACCATGAGATTTCAACACAGCATGGCTCTATCTACTATATAACCTATAAATGTAAGCATTTTCAACCTAAGAGAACCAAATTGCTAATCATCTCTACCCTGCCACAAAGAAATCACCCTGACTATATACCACATTCCCACAACTAAGGAAAGGAGGAAAGACAGAAGTGGAGAGGTGGAGAGAGGGTGTGTAGGGAAGAGACATTAACATTCTACAGTGCTGCGACAGTGTTTCTTCTTGGAGGTAATAAGTAATGCAGAGCGGATGCTCCTGTTCGTCTTTTGGTGATGAATCCAACACAAGATTAAAGTCATGAAAGAGGAGCTAAAACATCTGGCCTCCAGTACTAACCAACCAACAGCAGAACGGAGACACCCCAGCTCCCATGAGCATTGTGAAACATCTTACTAAATACACCTTCTTAATCAGGATTTGTATCTGAATTCTCTGCTGGGATGAAAAGCTAACCAGGATTGTCTCTGCCCTGCCCTGACATGAGAGCAACCAGAAAGGAAAAAATGAGAAGCAATGTACTTCACTGCTACTGAGCCTGCCATGCTGAGCCAGAACTCTGCTTTACATTCTTAGCCTCTCACTTGGTCCTCATAGCAATCCTATGAAGTAGGAACTATTAATATCCCCATTTTACAAACAAAGGAACTAAGAAACAGAGAAGTGAAGTGGCTTGCCCCAGGTCACACAGTACATAATAGAGTTGAGAGTCAAACCTAGAAAACCTTTTTTCAGAGACCATGCTTTTAACCACTAGCCTTCTCTTCTTTTATTTGAAATGAAATATAATCTTGCTGTAAAGACAGCTCAGGAAATGTAAAGCCATCCTGTATCCATCCCACTCACCTTACTGCCCACTCTACCATTAAAGGTAAATCTCAAAATCTTTCCTACAGTAATCCTAGTCAAACCACTCAAGCCCTGGGAAGTTTACTTTGTACTTCTGCATCATTTAATCTTCGGAGCCCAAAGAGGATGACAGATGTGGGTGTTTTAACCTCCAATTAACAAAGCAGTACTTTCAGAGAGTAACTGAATACTACTACAAAGCTCTAAGTGGCAAAGCCAAGGTGTGAACTCCCCAGTCCACTTAGAAATGATGCCTTTTGGAAATATTTTATCCACTTTGCCTCAATGAATCAAATCCCATGGGATGACTGTAACCTCCATTCTATAACATTACACAGAGACAATTTGCCCCAGGATTTAGAAAATGTGGATAGAACACAAAGAAACCTACAGGAAGTAAGTATCAGATATCAAGAAGGCCTTCATAGGCAAAGTAGTAATCCACAGCTGTTTTCATCTGTGGCAAAGTGGTGGAAAGACAAAGAATCTGCCAATAGATAAGGGTAAGAAGATACCAGCTGAACTGTTAACAAACTTTTAATGTCTCCATGTGAGCTGAAATGATAGATTAGAATCTCCAGGAGCCCCAAAACACAGCAAATCTGCATCCACTTGCCAACTCTTTCCTGTGGGCCTTAATCAAATACACATGGGTAGTGCACAAGGTGCTAGGGCAGGAGAGCTGAGAGAGCCCCTATGTCACGTCAGGCACCTGTGAAGTCCCTAGATGCAGAGCAGCAGCCTGACACCAGGAGGAAGGCAAGTAAGTGGACAGAAATCAGCTTTTACCATCTCTACAAAAAATACAGAAAATTAGCCGGGCTTGGTGGCAGGCACCTGTAATCCCAGCTTCACCAGAGGCTGAGGCAGGAGAACTGCTTGAACTCAGGAGGCAGAGGTTGCTGTGAGTCGAGATCAGCCACTGCACTCCAGCCTGGGTGACAGAGCAAGACTCCGTCTCAAAAAAAAAAAAAAAAAGAAATGAAAAGAAGAGCAGGGCAGGCCAGGCGCAGCGGCTGACGCCTGTAATCCCAGCACTTTGGGAGACCAAGACGGGTGAATCACCCGAGGTCAGGAGTTCGAGACCAACATGGCGAAGCCCTGTCTCTACTAAAAATACAAAAATTAGCCAGGCGCGGTGGCATGCATGTGTAATCCCAGCTACTCATGAGGCTAAGGCAGGAGAATCGTTTGAACCCTGGAGACAGAGGATGCAGCGAGCCAAGATCGTGCCAGTGCACTCCAGTCTGGGCAACAGAGCGAGACTCCGTCTCAAAAAATAAATAATAATAAATAAAATTAAAAAGAGCAGGGCAAAGAGATACCTTCTGAGGAGCTGAAAGCCATCGAAAGAGTATAAATAACTCACCACTGTCCAGAAAGGCTAGCAGCCAAGCTATAAAACAAAGAGAAATCTCCCACCACTCAGGAAGCTGGCAGCTTGGCTCTGAAGCATAAAGAGATCTCCAAGATCTTACTGGGGTTCGGAGTGAAAACTGCCGAAAACAAACTCGTGATCCCACTCTCAAACTATGTGAATCCAATGGTAAACTGACTCTAATTAATGCTACTTCAAAGCCCAGATCCAGCTCAGTCCCCCTCATTAACAGTGTGACAAAAGGAAGAGCAAGCCTTTTGCCGGGATAGATATTCCTCAGTCTTTCTTGTTCTTAATGTCCAGCAAACAATAAAAAATCATCGGGCCGAAGAGCTTCTGCACAGCAAAAGGAACTACCATCAGAGTGAAGAGGCACTACAGAATGGGAGAAAATTTTTGCAATCTACTCATCTGACAAAGGGCTAATATCCAGAATCTACAATGAACTCAAACAAATTTACAAGAAAAAAACAACCCCATCAAAAAGTGGGCAAAGGATATGAACAGACACTTCTCAAAAGAAGACATTTATGCAGCCAAAAGACACATGAAAAAACGCTCATCATCACTGGCCATCAGAGAAATGCAAATCAAAACCACAATGAGATACCATCTCATACCGGTTAGAATGGCGATCATTAGAAAGACAGGAAACAACAGGTGCTGGAGAGGATGTGGAGAAACAGAAACACTTTTACACTGTTGGTGGGACTGTAAACTAGTTCAACTATTGTGGAAGTCAGTGTGGCGATTCCTCAGGGATCTTGAACTAGAAATACCATTTGACCCAGCAATCCCATTACTGGGTATATACCCAAAGGATTATAAATCATGCTGCTATAAAGACACATGCACACGTATGTTTATTGCGGCACTATTCACAATAGCAAAGACTTGGAACCAGGCCAAATGTCCAACAATGATAGACTGGATTAAGAAAATGTGGCACATATACACCATGGAATACTATGCAGCCATAAAAAATGACGAGTTCATGTCCTTTGTAGGGACATGGATGAAGCTGGAAACTATCATTCTCAGCAAACTATCGCAAGGACAAAAAACCAAACACCGCACGTTCTCACTCATAGGTGGGAATTGAACAATGAGAACACATGGACACAGGAAGGGGAACATCACACACCGGGGCCTGTTCTGGGGGAAGGCAGAGGGATAGCATTAACATGTTAAATGACAAGTTAATGGGTGCAGCACACCAACATGGCACATATATACATATGTAACAAACCTGCACGTTGTGCACATGTACCCTAAAACTTAAAGTATAATAAAAAAAAAAGACTAAAACGTAAAAACAACAACAACAACAACAACAACAAAAAATCAAGGGGCCAGGCGTGGTGGCTCACGCCTGTAATCCCAGCACTTTCGGAGGCCCAGGCGGGCAGATCACTTGAAGCCAGGAGTTCGAGATCAGCCTGGCCAACATGGCGAAGCCCCATCTCTACTAAAAATACAAAACATTAGCCGGGTGTGGTGGCACACACCTGTTAATTCCAACTACTCAGGAGGCTGAGGCATAAGAATGGCTTAAAGCCAGGAGGCAGAGGTTGCAGTGGGATGAGATTGCACCACTGCACTCCAGCCTGGGTGACAGAGTGAGATGTCTCAAAAAAATAATAATAATAAATAGAAATAATGGGACACAAGGAGGAGACAAACATGGTCCATTTTTAAAAAGTCAACAGAGGGTACATCCATATATGATCCTGATGTTGCAACCAGTAGACATAACTATGATAAATGTACTAAAAGACTTAGTGAGAAAGATGAGCAGGTGAACATGAGCAGTTGGAAGATTTCATCAGAGTAAAATAACAAAATAGGTAAATAGAAAAGCCAGAAATGGAAATTACAATTTCAGAAAGAAAGAACTCATTCGATGAGCTTAACAGAAAACTGGACATAGCAGAAGGTGGTTCTATGAGCTGCAGAGAGAGAAAAATGGAAAACAAACAAGGAAACTGCCCAAGAGCTGAGAAATAATAAATGGCTTGAATATACTGGAGTCCCAGAAGACAAGGAGAGAACCGGATAAAAGATATCTTAAGAAATAATAATCTGATAATTTTCCAAATGTAATGAAGGACATCAACCCACAGATCGAAGAAGCTCATTAAACCCAAAGATAGTAAACACAAAGAAAAATCACACCTAGGCACATCATAGCCAAATTGCTAAAAACCAAAGACAAAGAGAAAATACTCAAAGCAACCAGAGGAAAATGAGACATATGACTTGCAGAAAACTGCAATAAGGGCAACATTTAAGAAGGCTAAATTTTATCAAAAATAATTAAAGTCAGAATATGATGAACTGACATGTTTAGAATGCTGAGGTGTGGGGAAAATGACTGTCATACAAGATTCTTTGTCTAATGAAAAAAACTAGAGAGAGAACTCTCAAAACTAGCTTTTTTTAAAAAAAAAAGTAAACAATCCAATTATGAAAAGAGCAAAAAAAAAATAAACATTTCACCAAAGAGGATATACAGACGGCAAATAAGCAGAAGAAAAGATGGTCAACATTATTAGGCATTAGAAGAATGCAAATTAAAACCACAATGAGATATCATTATTCAGGTTAGAACAGTTAAAATAAACAGTGATAATACCAAAGTCTGGTGAGGATGCAAAAAAAAAAAAAAAAAAGGATCACTTACACACTGCTGGTGAAAATGTAAAATAGTACAGCTACTCTGGAAAATAGTTTGGCACATTCTTACAAAACTAAAGATTCACTTTCCAATAATCACATTCATGGGTATTTATCCCAGAGAAAATATATTCATAGAAAAACCTGTACACAAATGTCCATAGCAGCTTTACTCATAATAGCAAAATAGCAGAAACAATGCAAATGTTGTTTGCGTGGATTGTTGAACCAACTCTGGTATATCCATACAATTGTAAACTGCTCAGCAATACAAAGGAATGAACAATTGATACATAAAACAACCCGGACAGACCTCAAAGACATTTTGCTTAGTGAAAAAAGTAATCACAAAGGTTAAATATGGTATGATTTCATGTATGTAACATTCTGAAAATGATACAACTAATAGAGATGAAGAACAGGGGCCAGGGACAAGGAATAGGATGGCTGAGGGTACAAAGAAATTGCACAAGGGAGATTTTGTGGTGATGGGACAGTACTGTATCTTGAAGGTGGCAGCGGTTATACGAATCTACACATGTGCTAAAACTGCAGAGAACTTTACACACTCACACACACACACCTGCAGTTTAAAATACAGTGAACAGTGAATAAGGTCGTTAGTACGTACCAGTATCAATTTATTGGTTTTGGTATTGTACTACAAGCTATAAAAGATGTCACCTTTGGGGAAGCTGGGCAAGGGTACATGGAACTGTGAACTTCTTTTTTGCCATGTTCTGTGAGATTATTACTATATAAAAATAAAAGGTTTAATATTTAAAAAGGAAGGCAAAATAGACATTTTCTGATAAGCCAAAGCTGAGCAGATCCATATTTAAAAAGATGCTGAAGTTCTTCAGACTGAATGGAAACAATATCAGACAGAAACAGGAAGAAAGAACACCAAAAAGACATCAAGTCAAAGTACGTTCCTCCTGAGATATTCCTTTGTTCAACTAACATTTGTTAAATATCTTTTCTGCAAGTCTTTATGGTAAGTGCCATGGGATCAAAGATAAATAACACTCATACTGTCTATGATACAAACATACACATAAATATTAGCAACAAATGACATTGAAGACTACGTTATCAAGGTACTTATACACTGCTGGTGGTTATACAGAAAAGGAAGTTGTTGTTGGGAAATGGTAGGTAAAGAAAGACTTCCCAGAGCTGAATCTGAAGATGAATGTTAAACGAACAACTGAGGGACAGTATTCTAGACAAAGAAGTCTGCCAGAGAGCAGCCACAGAGGAGTGAATGAGGAAGACAGACAATGTGGAGCTCCAAAAGGTCAAGATACCCAAGAAGGAGAAGGAAGAAAAATCCCCAGGAAATGACAGAAGGCAGACTAGGGAAGGACTAGGCAGAGCACACAGAGCCCCTGTTAAATAAGGAGGATCTACAAGTAACCGGGAGAGTTGGAAGGAACTTAATTTACTTAGGAAAGGAATAGAAAACAGGCGTTCCAGGGAGGTAACTTTGGCAGTATGAATGATGTACACGGGGAAAGTGATACAGGAGCTACAACAGGGCAGTAATACAATCGTCCAGAAAGGAGACGGTAGTAAGCTTAGGCCACTGCTGCAGCCAGGAGCGCAAGAGTCAAAGGGCATATACAAGTTAGCTGAGGATCAAGAGGAAACGGAGGAACTGACGATCACTCCCACAATTCCAGCTTGAGTGCTGAAAAGATTTTACCTTCATTTATCTCAAAAGGGAACAGAACAGCAAAGAGCAGGTTTTGATGGAAAAATAATTACACTTTTGGAGATGGTGATCTTGAGGTACCGGGGGAACCACCAGATATCTAACAAATGCAGAGTTAGACCTTGGAGCAGAGGCCATAAATTAGCCCTCGCTGGAACTGAAGGACTAGAATAGAAGAGCATTTGATGGTATGGCCAAGGGGAGTAAATACAAAATGAGAAGAAAATAGTATTAAGAATGAAATTCCAGGAGAAAAAGGCCCTTTGAAAATTTATATTTTAAAAAGTATAAATTGGAATACTTTTGTTGTCATTATATGTTAAGAGCCTTAAATTACCTAAATCAATGTAACTAATTCTTCTTCTAGTAATACAGTAATATATGAATAAAGGAATGAACACAAATGTGGACAAAGATTTATACACGAAGATGTTCCCTTCAGTGTTATGTATGTAATAAAACACAGAAGCAACTAAATCAGCCAAAGGAAGGAACTGATTTAAAGCAAACTATGTTAGAGCTATAAATTATTATGCAATGACCTATGCAGTATTTTAGAAGACTTGTTAATTATGTGATAACATTTTTCTGACATGACACTAAATGGAAAAGCATGCAAAGTAGTGTCTATAGGATTTATTTATGCAAGAATATTTATTGGATACCTACTATATGCTAGTACCTAAGTGCTGAATATAAAATGCAGTAAAAGGCAGACAATTCCTTGTTTTTATGGACCTTGGATTCCACTGGAATGTGACTCAAAAAGAGCAAATAAATAAATCTGCAAGAAAATATGACATGAAATAAATGCTAAGGCACACAAAACAGTGACAAAAGAATATTATCAATTACATAAAAATACCTGAAGTTAAATTTAAAGACATAAAGCACAAGACTAACAGTAAATAATAATAACAATAATTTAAAACAAAGCAAATTTCAGGTGGCTTGGTAAATGGCCTAGAAAAATAAAGGTGAAATTATAAACAGAGTGGACACTTTATGATTTGATCTTCAGCATATTCACAAGACAGAACTTTCATAACCTTTCATCTTTCTCACCCTCAAACCAAAAAACTCAGGAGGCACCGGCAAGCAGTACGCTGAGGGAAGCCCATGCTTCGGCCAAGTCGGTTTGGACCAAAATGAATTCCTCAGTAATGCTAAAGGTAGAAAATTTTGCAAGATAAATGACCCTTCCATAAACAAGCTAAGATGATATTTTTTACATTTCCACTTTCATTACAGTACAACGCCCCCACTCCCCACCCACATACATTCACCTAAGTTTATTCATCCATTCACTGAACCAATATTGCACGGCAGGGACTCCCTAAAAACCGTTAACATCCCCTAGAAACAGTACTCAAATGCTACAGAAACCCAAAAACCAATTCCTGAAATAAAAATATTAGACTGCTTAAACATTTGTGCAAAAACATTTGTGAAGAAAATCACTGTAAATATTGCCACAAGTTGTGTATCATTACAGAAATGACCTTAGAAAATAATCCATGTATGCTTAACCCACAGAGACAGGCACACGCATACACAGCTCAATGACATTTATCCTGAAAAAATTACCCTGGAACAGACAACTGACAAGACACTGATAAGAATGTCTTCATATTAGAGGGAGAGAAATTGAGAAGACATTGTATTATACACTGAATTGTATATAATCCACCAAAATCATGTGGAAGCTCCCAACCCTAATGTGATGCATTTGGAGGTAGGGCCTTTATAGTGGTAATTAAGGTTAAATGAGGTCATAGGGTGGGAGCTGGATCCTATGGGACCTATGGCCTTAGAAGAAGAGACACCAAACTCACACTCTCTGCACCCACTCAGAAGAAAGGCCATCTGAGGACAAAGAACTCGCAGGTAAACCAGAAAGATGGCCCTCACCAGGAACTGAACCCTGCTGGAACTGTGTTCGTGGACTTCATAGCCTCCAGAACTATGAGAAAATAAATCTCTGTTGTTTAAGCTATACAGTCTGTGGTATTTTGTTACGCAGCCTGAGCTAAGACACACTGTAAGGTAAAATTACCATAAAATTCATAAATAAAACAGATTCACTCCCGCAAAAAAACAAAAATATTTCCAATATTCTGGAATCTTTCCTGAAAATTAATTATCACTCAAACTACTATTAATCACATGCTTCTTAAAAAGTCAGCTGTCAGGTTGAAATATTTTATTATTAGAGATTAGTTAAATAAATCACTTTGTAGAGATTGGTGATATCATGAACTTCATTAAAACTGCAGTTCAGCAAAGCTTATTGGTCCAGAAATCAAGCAAAGCCCAAAATAATCTAGAATCACTGCGGTAGAAAGCAAAAAAAAAAAAAAAAAAACTCGCCTGCTCCTTTGAGGTCCTTTTGAATGACTACCTAGTATCTTTCCAGTTAGACATCCATTCTGAAATAACAGCTGAGTGCACTGGGATTAACACCCCACAGTGAGCCCGGCAGGGATGCAAGTACCTTAAGGGGTGACCAAGTAATAGTCACCAGTGCCCAGCCGTTCCTAAAGCATCCCCGACCTCAAGAACCTACAACTCAGTCCTCGGACCTTTTCTCTTCTCTATCCCGACTCCCTCCTTTCCTGATCTCATGGTTTTAAATGCCACATATATCCTGACAACTCCCAAATTCCCATCTCCAGCCCAGACCACTTCCATGAACTTTGAAACTGTATACTCAACAGCTAACTCAGTGTCTTCACGTGGATGTCTAATACACAACCCTAATATGAAATATAACATGCCCAAAATTGAACTCCTGACGTTCCCCAGCAATCTAGAGCTCGTAGTCTCCCCCTCTCAGTTCATGGCAACCCCATATCTCAGCTGCTCAAGTCAAAAACCCTGGGCATCCTTAATTTCCCTCCCTCACTGTCAGATCCACCAGTAAATCCTACTAGTGTTTCCACCTTCTAAATACATCAAAATCCTACTGCTTCCCCCACCTCAACTGCTTGCATCCTCACCCAAGCCTCCCGGCTGGTCTCCACTTTATTCTCTGTTCCCCAACAGACTGTTTTCCTGAGAAGCTAGAGCATTTCTGTCAAAGAAGTTGGATCACATCTCTCTTCCATTTCAAACCCTCTGGTGGCCGTTCAGCACACACAGTGTGATGAAAATCTAAAACCTTTACGATGACCTAAGAGAGCCACATGACCTGCTTCCTTCCCTCCCCTAACCACTCTGTCCTCATCTCTTACTCTCTCCCTCTCCCCTCCTCATTCTACTGCAGGTCTCCTCCCTGAACACACACACTAGAGAGCAGCCCACCAAGACCTTTGCACTTGCTACCATCTCTCCTGGAATGTTCCGCCCCACCCACCTACACCTGCGTGGCTCAGTCCCTCACACCTCCTTCAAATCTCTGCCCAAATATTACTTCTGCCTCACCCCAATTAAAACTGCAAGTCCTGAACCTCCTTACCCTTTTTAAATGATTTAGTTCTCTCCATTACCATCTATTATCTTCTAATATGCTACATGTGAATAATTTATTAATTTGTCTCCTTTACTGCCCAATTCTCCCATTAAAATGTCAGCTTTGTGAGGGCAGGGATTTTTTTGAGGTTTTGTTCACTGATGTGTCCCAGTGCCCAGATCAGTGCATGGAACACAGTAGGTGTGCAATAACTCACTGCTGAAAGGATAAAAAGTGTATGTGGCATTTTATTCCCACATTTTACATAGAAGAACGCAGAGAAATATTAGCTTAGCAGACTTTTGACATATTGATTTGGACCCTTTCTCTGTGTGCCCTCCCTTGGTGATCTCACCTAACAATCTCATTGAGATCTGCCTGGGCTTAAATCCCATCCAGATTACTTTTGTGAGTAGATTTATAGGGCATATTTCTGGTTTAAGACTCACATTTAAAGGTGACATCTGTAGGAGTAAAGACATTTAAAGAGAAAAAGAAATTTTAACCAAATAATCTATTTTCCACCTTCTTTCGGGTTTCTTTTTTCTCAAATAAAAAAAGGTCAAAATTCAAAACTATTACTGGAGTTAAAGTAAATACCATGTTACATTTTTACAAAGAGTTAAGAGGTGGCAATCTTATTAGTACAGAAATAACTAAAAATACCACAAATTTTACTTTTTTCTCTGTGATTTAACAGGTGTTGGGGGGGCCTCTCAGCAGAGGGTCACGAATAAAAAATTAACAGGATGGAAATTAGCGCGATGGGAAATGAAAGCATCCAGGCTTCAAACCAAGAACATTCTGACAATGTCTTACAAACTGAGGACTGACAAAGCATATTAATGAGAAATACTGTTAGAATGCTATTCAGATATGGGTCTTCAGTTGCAGCTTTCCAAAAGAATTGGTTTCAAAGGGGAAGGGGAAGTTACACATAGAAAAGCAAAAGCATGTTCATGTTTTCCATTCCTTCCTGTACACTGAGCTCATGAGGTGAACCTTCTTCTGCCCTGGCGTAAGTCCAGCAATGGGGGGTGGCCATTCAAGAAACTAACACAAGAAGCAGGACAGCACTGCTCACTAACATTAAAATCTACAGATACATCTAGTCAAATTGAGTATGTTTACCTCTGTTCAAAACAATCCAAAGCATGAGGTCTAACATTCCCTCAGAGGCAGAAGGTATCCTACACCCCAAACTACACTAACAGCATTATCTTTTATTTTATTTTAAGTTCACACATAAATCTGCCAAACTCTGTTGTGCTTTGGAGAAATAACTAAAGAAAAGCTTTAAATACTAGATATAGTCAAAAATCATTCTAAAAGTATTAACATGGTACCAATTTTATTCTTAACATTCAACTAAAGCCAAAACAGCAAGACTCCTCAAACAAATGCATCTATTGACGATGCCACATCAGGCTTGCATCACTAAACCTCAGTAAGACTTTACCACTTGCCTACATAAGTCACTTTCTAAGCCATATGGTTGCCCATCCCTGCTGGGCTCAATTTGCAGTAAAGTTCTGATATCTTGCAATCACAGCAATTCCCAACATGACACCCTGTTCAGTGGCCACTTCTTCCTTCAATGCTCTCCAGGCACTGCCCCCTCCACTCCACATTACCCAGTTCTGAGAGGAACCATTTTTAGTGCTAAACTTCATGTCTGATAGAACAAGTTGAAACTTCTTCCAAACTAATACTCTCACAAAATGCCCCACAGTCTACCTATTTGGTTGAACAAAAACAGAAAGGAACGAAGTAACTATCCATCTACTGAGTATTTGAAAAGCAGACATGGAAGAATGCTCAACCTCAAGCAATATAAAGAAATACAGGGCCAGGCACAGTAGCTCGTGCCTATAATCCCAGCACTTTGAGAGACTGAGGCAAGAGGGTCATTTGAGCCCAAGAGTTTGAGACTAGCCTCGGCAACATGGTGAAACGCCATCTCTACCAAAAAAAAAATAGCTGGGTGTGGTGGTGTGTGCCTGTGGCCCCAGCCACTTGGGAGGCTGAGGTGGGAGAATCACTTGAGCCCAGGAGGTCAAGGCTGCAGTGAGCCATAATCATGCCACTGCGCTCCAGCCTGGGTGACAGAGTGAGACTGTCTTAAAAAAATAAATAAATTATAGAAGAAATACAAATTAGAGCTGCAATGCCATACCATTTTAACTTGTTAGATGAGCAAAGATTAAACATATGAAAAATCCCGGTGTTGGCCAGGATGGGGAGGGACACAGGTACTCTCTGACACTTTACTGGAGGAAGTAAACTGTTACGCATTTTAAAACTACAAAACGTTCGACAAGATCAAATTAGAATCCAGAAGAAAAATATATACACATTTCCTAAAATGTAATCTGTGATGATAACTGAAACAGAAGCCGATTTGGGGATACTATTTGACTTTGGTAAAAACACAAGTAAGGTTTAATCTCTTACCCCAACCTCCTGGCCACAGCTGACTGAATGGGGACAGACACTACCTAAAATGGGCCAGGTTTCCCTCCCAGAAATCTGGAATTGGGACTCTGTGGTTCTGATTTGGTCTGGTCATGTTGTGTTTTTAAACAGTGAAAACATAAACCTCACATCACATTAAGTTATGCTGCCTCTATTTCCATTTAGCATACAAACAAACAGCATTTGAGGATTCAATAAACCAACTCCCACTCTGAATTTTTCAGACTTACACTCTAGGGTTATTTTTTGCTTATATTCTTGTTTTTCCTAACCTTCCTTCTCATCTTTCTGATTTGAAGAATAGTAATTTCTATCAGCTTATCTGATTTATCACATTTACTTCTGCTTAAGAACATTATTTACAGTTATTTAATAGACTGAGTCTTGTGTAACTAGAGTCAACCAATTCCAAACCTTGCCCTCTACTTCAGAATATTATTCTTGATGGGATTATGGAGTTGCTGGTAAACTTTTCTTTAGGATTTGGTTTTGGATTTTTTAGTCTTTTTTCTTTTTAAGTCCTATAGCAATCATAAATCAATGAATTCTCAATGTAACTTTCCAAAAGAGACAAAAAAAACTTTTGGTCTCTTCATTTTAAAAACTCATTTTAATTTAATAGTGACTGACATTCACCAACAGATGAAGACCAATTTTTCCTCTTCATTTGTTCCATTATTTTCCAATTTGTTACAGAATTATACAAGCTACAGACTGATGTGCCCTTCAAAATGTCAAGTTTGACTTTAGAGAATTACCACCCCCTTGATTGTCTTCTCCCATGAACCCATCATTCTGTCCAGCAGCTCTCAATCTAGCAACACTCAAAAAGCAAAGAAGATATACATCCTTATTTCAATCATAATAGTCAATTATGACAGCACAAATAATTTAAGCTTTCAAAGCACTTAATTGTGCTGAAGATACAATCATGCTACATACTTCAAAAATAATACTCCTCCATCCTGTTTTTAGAGAACTCTGAAAATCTAGACAATATGCTTCCTTTCAAAACACCAACTGGTTATAGAGGAAAAGAAACAGACAAATGATCTTGCCAAGAGCCATTTCTGTAGTTTCCCTCCACTGTGTAGCCCTTTCAGAGGCCACAAAGATTTAAATTCAATCCTTGATTGGATTGATGATACACCACCTTTTATTTATTTAGAATTGAATTTTCAAAAAAAAAAAACAGAGTTTAGGGAACTCTAATTCAGTTGTTTCCAATTTTTCCAAGTATGAGGACCCCTCTGCAATACTAAAAAACAAACAAACCACCAAAAAAAAAAAGCAAAAAAAATGAGGATTCTTTTTAAAAAGAAAACTGAGGATTCTTCTTCCTTTTTTTTTTTTTTTTTTTTTTGAGGCAGGGTCTTAATCTGTCGCCCAGGCTACAGTGTAGTGGCACAATCCTGGCTCACTGCAACCTCCACCTCCCAGGCTCAAGTGATCCGCCCACCTCAACCTCCCAAGTAGCCAGGACTACAGGTGTGTGCCACCACACCTGGCTAATTTTTTGTATTTTTGGTAAAGACAGGGTTTCGCCATGTTGACCAGACTGAAATTGAGGATTTTTAAAATAGCTCTATTTAGTGATGAGAATATAGAAACCAAAAAAATTGTCAGTACAAAATAACTCTCTTAAAAGCACCTGCAAACATCTATAAAATAGTAAAACATGAATTTAATCTTTTTATTACAGAGCCAGTTAATGTCAGAATAAGGTCTAAAACCCAGTCTCCAGATTTATAATACAGATGGGGCTCTTAGAATTGATCACAAAGGGCAGGTGTTTCTTGAGTATCCCTGACAATTCTCTTAGGAACTAGACAAGCTTACTTGAAAGTTCTTATAGAAAAGCAAACAAAGACAGACAAGACAATTCTGAAAAAGAAGAATAAGGGTAGAGAACATCCCCTATCAGATATTAAAACATTATATAGCTTCAATAATTAAAATAGTGTGAATAAATAAACCTATAATGGAATAGACTAGAAAATGCAGAAACTGGCAGTATATATAGGAACTCAGTATAAGATGGATGTGACATTTTAAATCCCTAGGGTAAGAGTTATTGGTTAAATGCTATTATAACAACTGGATACTCATTAGGAGAAAAAAATCAAATTGAGTCCTCACTTTACCCCTTATACCAAAAGAAGTTTCAGATGTATTAACAGCAAAAATGTGCAAAATAAAACCAATAAAGAGCGAAAAGAAACACAAAAAATATTTTTAACAATCTTGAAGAAGAAAACGTCTTTCAAAATATTATTGAAAAACAATAAAGGGCAAATATTAAACTACTTGAAAAAAATCAAATATTACTTCATTACAGAAAATTCTATAAACAAAATCAAGATTATATATCAAATGAGGTATTTTTGGGGCATCATAATTCTATCCACAAACCCAGGGTTCTGTGACACCCAAGTACAGCACTCTATTCCATGCAATCCCAAATCACTGGAAAGGAAGCTTTTAATACAGTAAAAATCAAGTCATCTAACAGAATCCATGATGATAGCCTTAAACCTTTCTTTCCTAGGCCTATGAGGTAAGTTTTCTACAGCACCATCCTCAGCTATTACCTCCACTCACATTAGAAACTGTCAGCCACACAGCAAGGCAAGGGCTTTTATTATGCATTTGGGGGGTTTATAGTTTAATTTCAGCAGAAGATAGAGCAAAGCAATACAAGTCAAAAGGTTTTTCTAGGTAAGACCATTATATGGTTTTTCTAGGTAAGACCATTATATGGTCTTACCATCAACATGCAGGTTCAGCAGTGAACACTTATCAAATTTATAACATCAACAGAGATTCCTGAGCCCCTACTATATGAAAGGCATTATGCCAAACCTGAGATGAAGAACAGTCTTCTGCCTTCCAGAGGCTTACAATCTAACTTAGTCAAAGAGACCATGAGGTAGGGACATCTGCTTACCAACTAGCAGTAACACAGAATTATACTTCAGTCTTCAAATCTCTCCATATGACTGAGTATAGTAAAATTATAGTTATTTAACTTATCATTATTAAGGAAAGCACAGCTAACCATATGATTTTTCTCAAAGCAAGTGTGTAGGCATACCTAAGTGATTCAACCCAAAACCTGAAAGCACTAACGTAACAGCATATCAGCTCAGTGAGGGACTCCATCCACAAGATAATTAATGTAAACAGCTGCTGTTTACATTTGGATCTTTAGTTCTATACCATCTGGATTTCCATCATTTTTATTTCCCTTTATCCATAGCTGGTATTTCTCCAAGTTCTTGTCAATTTGTTCTTCCTTTTTGACACAAAATATTATTTATTACAACTATAAATTGGCTTTCTTCATCTCAGTCCACTTTTTTTTTTTTTACATTTTTCTTTCTTTTTGCATTCCACAGTATTGCTTGGGAAAATGATATTATTTATGGCATGGTGAAAGCTGAGTCAGGCAGGGATCTGCCACCTCACTATTTTCCTTCCAGATGATGGAATGCTGGCTGTATTCTTCCACTCCCTTAACTATTTAGTTAGCATGAGTTATCAGAACTATCAGCAGAGTAACAACAGCTTTCATATTTTAATTTACAAAGAAGACTTTGAAACACACAATAAGGACTTTCTGTAAGGTCAATCTATAGGGCAATACTGACTTTGCAAGAAATTCCAAAACTGCTTGTCACGTATATGCCTTCAACACACAACCACGAGCAACTAAAATTTCTGAATAATTATCTCACATCCTTTCTTTGCTGCATGTTTCCTAGATAACTGAACATAAAACTGAGGAATGCTTTACAAATTCCTTATTTTAACTTACAGAAATAATTAAACTCAAGACAAATCATCTTTTACCTCGTAATTACAAAGAAATGACTGAAATTACAAGTCAACTCCAATAAGCCATCCTTAATAAATTTCTATAATACTAGTAATTCCGCTGGTTAACGACCAGAACTCTCAATAAAGTGCAGTGCGTTTACCAATACAGATTAACAGAGACCATATAGTCTTCATTTCAAATCCTAGAACTAGTTTCCACAAAAATTGTGTTCACTGCATA
Organism: Homo sapiens; assembly: GCF_000001405.40. Taxonomy (NCBI): domain Eukaryota; kingdom Metazoa; phylum Chordata; class Mammalia; order Primates; family Hominidae; genus Homo; species Homo sapiens. Next base: position 26,584,405 of record NC_000013.11, on the reverse strand, counting down.
GCACTGGAAATTAAGGTCACCTTTTTACTTTACAAATAAGCACCTTAGAGAAGAAGTCTTAGTATTTCCCAGGAATTAAAAAGACACTCTTTCACATTTGCCACAGTCAGGAATTTTCATAACCTTGAGATGGTTCATCTCTGTTCCAGCAGAAACCACTAGTCATCCAGCAAAAGCACCAAGAAAAGGAAAATGTTCACCATTCTGTTAATTTACTGGTCCCTTGCAACTAAGTGATTAATCTATGATGAGAGGGAAGAGAGAAAGAGGTACCTGGAAGGAAGAGTCTTTGTTAGATGCTTGTTTGATCTCCATAATCCTGCAAAACCAATTGCGTATCTTTTTCCCCTCCAGGGAGGTGGGGGAGGTACCACTTAGAAGTTAGGGGGTTAAGTAAACATTACAGGAAGTCACAGGTCCAATGCACTGAGCCCAAACACACTTCACTGAATTGAGTTTTCAGAACCTTTTTAAGTGGATCACATCTGTGGTAAGCCATTTCAGCTTCTGCACTGCAAACCTTTTTGGGCTACTTGAGTGGCAACCACACTTCTGACTCCTGTTACTATCTGCCGCTGCTGTAGCTATTTGAAGAGACTGAAACAGGCTTTAGGTAGCCTCCTGATCACAAAGCAAACTCCAACAAAGCTAGAGTGGCTTCAAAAGATGGTCGAAGCTAAAAGAAGTGGGAAAAGGATGTTCTAGAAATGAAATACAGAGGGTAAAGTACAAACACCATAGCAGAGTGTGCTCAGGGTCATTCTTCTGAAAAATGGTTCAAAGAAATAACAAGTAATATAATCAAATTCATAATTTAAAAAAATTTTCAATGAAATAAGGAATTTTCAATGAAAGACACTACCTAGCAGAAAATAACTCCTACTTGGGCTTAAGGAGCCTTCGACTCTTAGCTTCACCCCCACTTCTGCCTACTCTAATTATGAACTACTCTGCATCTTTAAGTATTTCCATTTTGAGTAAAAACAAAATAATAAACACTATAGGAGAAGGAGCCCTAGACTAGAATCAGGATTTCTTGAACCAGCTTTACTGTTCACTTGCCATTTGTGACTATAAGAACCTTTCCGTTTCTTAACCATTACGGAAAATAATTGTTTTTTCTGTCCTTGCTTGCTCCCTTTGGAACTTGTCCCCATGTGACCAGTGTCATCTGAATAATAAGCCACCTTATGGTGTTGTATACATCAAATGAGATCACATAACTAAAGACACTTAACCCATAAATCATTATGCAAACATGTACTCTTATCAAAAGTGATAGATGCTATCCACAGTAACTGTCCAAACTGCTTTACCATGGCTATTGCTATCTTTCCACTAAGACCCTAGGCTTCAAATTACCACTTTAGCATTAATTTCTTTCTGCCCCCATTTTAAGCATCCATAGAGGTGCCTGTCATTATCTTTCTTATTGACTAATTATTCTCTCAAGGTATCTATCCTATTAGAATATATGTTAATAGCTGGAAAAAGAGACCTACATTGTTTTTGCCCTCTCTTCCAAGGTATGGTCTCAGAACACACATACAGATCTGAAGGTTTCTTAGGGATTTTCTCTCTATTGCTGCTTTCTTTACTCTGCCAGTTACTGGGAAATTTTCTATTCTCGGTACAGTACTAAGCACTTTATTATTTACATTCTCTTACTTAAGTATACTCTTTAAGTACAACACTGTGAGGTAGGCTTTTTTTTTTTTTTTTTTTTTTTGAGACGGAGTCTCACTCGGTCACCCAGGCTAGAGTGTAGTGGTATGATCTCGGCTCACTGCAACCTCCACCTCCCGGGTTCAAGCAATTCTCCTGCCTCAGCCTCCCGAGTAACTGGGACTACAGGTGCACACCACCACACCTAGCTAATTTTTTGTATTTTAGTAGAGACAGGGTTTTCACTGTGTTGCCCAGGCTGTTCTCGAACTCCTGAGCTCAGGCAATCCGCCCACCTCGGCCTCCCAAAGTGCTAGGATTACAGGTGTGAGCCACCGTGCCCGGCCCGGCTTTCTTTTTTAGATTAGGAAATCAAGGATCACAGAAGTTAAGAAATGTCCCCGAATCACACAGCTAATAAACAACAGAGTCAAGATTTGAACACAAATCAGTCTGGCCCCAAAGCCCCTGCTCCTGACCTGTCCCATCAGGTCTTAGAGGCAACAGAGCATCCAGTCCAGAGCCTGAAACCTACACAAGGGTGTAGGTATAGTCAGGAACCATCCGTATGTAATTGCATTTATGTATAACCTACTTTGTTCAGAAAGCAAGATAACATTTATTGGAAGTGAAAAAGAAGTATCAAATGAGTTAGAAATCAGACTCATGCAAAGACTCATCCTTTTAAATCCTATACACTGGCTTACAGTGAACCATAAATTTGGTTCAAGAACTTCTAAAGAGGAAGCTCATCGATTATAGAATTTACTGTCTATAAACCACAAATCTATCAAATACTCAAGGAATGTTCCTTCATTCCTGACTCTAAAACCTGAAAATAATTTCAGCAAACATAGTTAAGTCCATACCTGGTAACATTCTATGCCAAAGCAAAGGCTGAAGAATCACTTTATTTTCCTCTGTATTTGATACTCCAAATGATGCCTTCTATTCTGATCATATCAAAGCCTAGTTTATAGCAAATAACTGTCAAGGAAAGACTCTCTAGTAGGCGCTAATTTTTTAAAAAAGCCAAGAGACTCTGATAGCTTTCCACTCATACTTATTTGGGATCCCTTCCCCTTAAAAGCAGTGGTTTTGTAACTTTTTTTTTTAAAGCAGAACCTTTCTTAAAATAAAACTTTAATCAAAACACTAAACAACTAAAAGGGAGTTGCTCTGATTGGAACAAAAGTGAAAGTTTTCCCACTGATTTCTGTGGGGAAATAGATCAAAATGCCTTGCTCAACTCAAACTTTTCTGGATTTCTATTCATTCAACTGTTAAAAAAAAAAAAAATTGGCTGGCCTAGGTTAACTCCTCAGATTACTACTTCAGAAATTCTGTTAACTTAAATTTAAATGAAATTTGCAAAATCTTCTGAGGATAGTCAGATTAATCAAATTCTATTCAACTTAGGAAAAGACACCACATTCCATCCATTCACATATGGTTTCCTCATTTTATCACAACCGATACTTTCAAAATAATCTTAAAAAAAAGAAATTTGACCAGGTATAGTGGCTCACACCTATAATCCCAGCATTTTGGGAGGCCAAGACAGGCAGATCACTTGAGCTCAAGAGTTCAAGACCAGCCTGGGCAACATGGCAAAACCCCATCTCTTCTAAAAATACAAAAAATTAGCCAGGCATGGTGGTACATGCCTGTAATCCCAGCTACTCAGGAGGCTGAGGTGGGGGGATCAACTGATCCCAGAAGTCAAGCTTGCAGTGAGCCAAGATTGTACCACTGCACCCCAGCTTGGGTGACAGGAGTGTGACCTTGCCTTAAAAAAAAAAAAAAAAGAAATTTATGCTGGGTGCAGTGGCTCACGCCTGTAATCCCAACACTTTGGGAGGCCGAGCTGGGCAGATCACCTGAGGTCGGGAGCTCGAGACCAACCTGACCAACATGGAGAAACTCCATCTCTACTAAAAATATAAAATTAGCCGGGTGTGGTGGCACACGCCTGTAATCCCAGCTACTCGGGAGGCTGAGGCAGAAGAATCGCTTGAACCCGGGAGGCGGAGGTTGAGGTGAGCCGAGATCGTGCCATCGCACTCCAGTCTGAGCAACAAGAGCAAAAACTCTGTCTCAAAAAAAAAAAAAAAGAAAGAAAAAAGAAATTTCAAAACTACCAGAAATAATTTGACCTGAGAATTAGGCAGCCCCCAAAATAAAACCAAAATATCAACAAGCAACAAAAAATAACATATGAAATCCAATACTTCAGGAATAATATTTGAATGCTAATTGGACCTACAAAAGAAATATTAATCTAATGCTTGTCGAGTTTTAGACAAAGCCCATGGAAAGTTTAGCACCATTCATTCAGGTGTTTCTGAAAAACAACTGAACATCTTGAGAGAAGCAGAAAACTGTATGTGTTTTAAGTTATATTATCCTACAGCACTTCTGACAAAAGAAAACCACAAAAGCCAACTTTTGGACGTATTCATATTAATAAGATTCTATCCTAATATTCTAAAAGGTAAAAGTTGGAGATTTTTTTAATGAAAGATAATGGAAAGCAAAAAAATGCACAGTAAGAATTGTCTTAATTACTGGAAATGCAGGCACCTCTAATTTTCAATATCTAAGGCAGGGGTGTCCAATCTTTTGGCTTCCCTGGGCCACACTGGAAGAAGAATTGTCTTGGGCCACACATAAAATACACTAACACTAACACTAAAGACAGCTAATGAGCTAAAAATAAGTAAATAATAAATAAATCACAAAAAAATCTTGTAATGTTCTAAGAAAATTTACAAATTTGTGTTGGGCTGCATTCAAAGCCATTCTGGGCCACATGCAGCCCATGGGCCATAGGTTGGACAAGCTTGATTTAAGGTTTCAGAAATACAATCATCCTAGAAAGCATCTTCAGCATGATTCAGTTTTGCTTTCTCTGAGCTCATTTATTCATTTCCCTTGCCAGTTCATTCATTTCTGATGACCAAGCATAATCAGTGCTCACACCAAACACCAGGAGCGCCATTTCCTGGTTTTAAAAAAAGGGTAAACACAAGGGTCTATATCATGCTGAACACTGGGTGAGGGGGTCCAGGGGGCTGTTACAGAGAGAATCATGTTGTTTATTTTTTCTCTTTCAGGAATTCACTGAAACAAACAAAAAACAAAATAGTAAACTAGGCAAAGTGACAATGTAGATGAGATACCATTATACCTGCAAAACAACCCAAAAAGTAAATGTCTTTTCAGTAAAAGAATGCCACTACTTTCAACCTTACTTCCTATCCTTGGCACTTCAGCTTAACATGTGTCTAGAACCAGACTACCCACCTATATATTTCATGGACTATTAAAATATTTGAATGTATGTGTCTGCTATCCAAAATTAACTAATGGTAAGCAAAAAATAATAATTACTATAATTAATTTGTTAATAATAGTCATCACTATCTTTCCCCTTCTCTAGGCTTGGGTATTTACTTTTGTATTTTAATCTAGTTTCTCTCTCCTTAAGGCAAGAGGACCACTTGAAGCCAGGGGTTCAAGACCAGCCTCAGCAGCATAGTGAGACCCCATCTTTAAAAAAAAACTTAAAAAATTCGCTGGTCCTAGTGGCACACACCAGTAGTCCAAGCTACTCAGGAGGCTGAGGTGGGAGGCTCACCTGAGCCCGGAGTTTGGGGTTACAGTGAGCTATGATTGCACCACTGCTCTCCAGCCTGTGCAACAGAGCAAGACCCTGACCCACAAAAAAAAAAAAAAAAAAAAAAAGGAAATGTATCCCAAGAATATAAGGTTAGCTTAATCTCCAAAAATCAATATAATAACTACTATCATAAAGGACAAAATCACATGATCATCTCAATAGAAAAAGCATTTCCCAAAATCCAATATCCATTCATGACTGTTGATTTGTTAAAGAAAAGATGTTAAATGATATCAAGAACAATACAGTATGTGTGTCTCAATGGAGACACAATGAGGAAGCTAAGGCAAAATACATGAAACGAAAGAAGTTTATTACTCATAGGTCCCAGAGAGGTTAGAGTGCCAAACAGAGACAGACAGGAGGTCCTGAGACAGGAGAGGGAAGGAGCAGGAGGGAGAGGGAGAAAGAAGAACTGTGGAACTACACCTTTAAGGGACATTATTCCTTATGCTTTCCTTCTTGTGAATTGGTTAAAGAAAACAAATGTGAATGGGAACTTATTCACATGACTTCTGAGGCTGACCATTAGGTTTTACTGTGATCGGCAGCTCATGGTGTGTTGCATTTTGGGTCAGTGAGATGAGGCACAAGTAGGCCATATTGCAAACAACTGCAGGGAGGGGAAGTTCTAACTAGGCCAAAGGTGACAGGGCATGACTGAATTACGAACAATTTATGTTAGGCCTAAAATGAATGCTAAGGTAGCAACTTTATTAAACTTATCACAGTGATTAAAAACTCCTAGACTTAGAAGAAAAATTTTTCAACCTGGTAAGTCGTCTACAAGAAAACAACTAAAATCACACTTAATGTTGAAGGACTGAATGCTTTCCCCCTGAAATCAGGAACAAGGGAGGAATATCTAATCTTATAATTTCTACGCAATATTCTAAAGGAAGTTCTATCCAGTGCAATAAGGCAGGAGGAAAGAAAAGAAGGGGGGAAAGGAGGAGAAAGTATCTAGATTGGAAAAGAGGTAAAATTGTCTTGCTAGTCAATTTCATGATTACCACATTTTATGATCCTATACATAAAAAAAAGTCTAAGGAATCCACAATAAAACTACTAGAATTAAAAGACAAATTCAACAAAGTCACATGATACAAATTAATATAAAGAAATCAACTGTAGTGACTACAAAGAGGAAACCTAAGGGAGTTCCTCTGTGCTGATGGAACAGTTCTGTAACTTGATGTGGTAGTGATTACATGAACCTATACACATGATTAAATTGCACAGAACACACAACTGAGTGCATGTATAAACTAGTGAAATCTGAATAAGGTCTGCAGATTGTACCAATGTCAATTTCCTGGTTTTGATTTTTTTTTTTCCACAAATAGGACTTTTTACTTGCCATTATTATAAGTCTGAACTTTAAACAGATTCTTGGACTGGTGGTTCATATCCATCAGCTCATTCAACTTTAGCACCTGTCTTGCTCCCAGTGGCTTTTCCAGAACTACTGCCTTCACCATGAAGCTCCATGAGTTTTCCCAATTCAAACTTGGGCTTCTTCAGCATTTTTACTTTTCTAACGAAGACATCATGGAGAGGATAAATGGATTGGCAAGTCTTTTCTATGTCTTTTCCAATGCTGTCTGGAATCAATTTATTGACCACTTCTTTCAAGTCATTTTTCTGCACCTCCCGGGTCTTGATTTCCATCATATTCTTCCGGATTTGGCGGACCTGTTGGTGCTGAGCATAAAAGGTTTTCCATATCGGATTGTTACATTGTTTTTAGGAAAACCAACACAGAACAGACAAAGCAAGTAACCATCGGTAGTCCTGACATCAACATGAGCTTTAATCACTGTCTGCCATTTTTTGACCATGGAACACATTTTGTCACAGGTAAGATCCATGCCAAGGAAGTTAGGAAGTTTTTGCCCTGAACATCTTCAGTAATCAGCTTGAATTTTCTAAATGCAATCTCATCTTTCTGCAAATCAGCAAGACTCACTTCAAACACATGACCCTTGAGGCCATCAGATGCAATTTTGTTTCCTTGGGTCCTGGTGACTAGCATCTTTCCAATATTCCTTATATTGAACACAGAAGGTGCTTTCACATCATACCACTCTTTCTTAGAAAATGGATCAACCACTTTCTTCTTGGCTCCCTTTTTGCCTCCTTTCGTAAGGCGTTTGTTCTTGCCAACAGCCATGGTGCTGCTCAGAGAGCCAAAAGGGCGGTTTTGATATTATACTATAGTTACGTAGGATGTTACCACTGGAGGAAGCTGGGTAAAGAATACATAGAACCTCTGTGAACTATTTTTGCATTTCCAATGAGTCTATTATTGTTCCACAATAAAGTTATTTTTAAAGTTAACTGTAATTCTACATACTAACAACAAACTATGAAAAATGAATATGATCTTCAGATGACTCTTCTCTGAAAACTTGGGAACCACTGACTTAGACCTTTTTTGAGATAGTAAGTACATAAGTTACATAAGCACATGATGTACCACACTCCAAACTATATCTCAGTGAAGTTCCTAAACATTACAATCTCCTGGCTATCATTTAAAATATTCAAAGCCCACGTACCACTTCAGACCACTGCAATTTCTGAGGCTAGGTCAAAGGCCTCAGTACTTCTGAAATTCCCCACGTAAACCACTACTGTATGATGCAACAATTCTCAAATTTATGTTCCAGGACCTCTTACAGTTCAAGACCCCAAAGAAGAGTAAAAATAGAAAAGGAAAAAAAAAGAAAGTAATGAAACAGGAGTGGCTTGAACCCAGGAAAGAAACAAAAGAAAGAAAAAGTCATAGTAGAGAAGGAATTAAGATGTCCAAGGGAGAATAATAGATTCAAATGAAAATTTTACAAAGGGCATTGAGGAAAAGTAGAAAAACAACCATAAGAAAGTGAAATTTAAAAAGAAGTATAAAGGGTCAAAGTTGAAGTGAATAAAACAAATTAGGCAAAGAGGGTCAAATATTTATATAATTAGAAATACATATACCTCCAAGATACATATACATCAAACTCTGGAAGAAGATATTCAAAACACTAAAACAGAATATTTAAAATAATACTCTAAAAAAACTTCCTGAAAATAAAAGACCTGAATCTACACATTTTAAGAGCCAACTGGGGAAAACTGACCAAGAACAAACTACCCCAAAAATGTAACCTAGTAAACTATTAGACTTTACGCATATGAAAGATATCTTCGAGGCCTCCATGCTAAAAGATATCACAGAATGATATCAGAGAATGAATCAGCCTGGCATCAGACTTAGCAAAGCAACATAAAAAGCAAGACTAGTAGAAAATCATTCTAGAACCTGTCTCAAATAAATAAATACTAAAAATAAGAAAAGAAGCTCAGTAAAAAGGATTGTATATCAAGCCTACCTGTCCTTCAACTAACGAGGCTAATAAAAAAACTTTGAACAAGCAAGAACTCATAAAATACTTACACATGTATCTTTCCTGAGGGTTCTAATCCCTTTCTCAACCCAGGTTCATCATCTGGACCACAGGCTAACTATGTTCTCAGTTCTGCCAAGAACATTATACAACTAATAGAATCCTAGATGCACAGGAGAGACACTGACACATTACATTCAATGGAACATCCGGGCTTGAGCTCCATCTAAACAAGGGATGACTAAAGAAACGTAAGCAAAAGGACTGGTCACAAAGTAAGCATTTTATGTATTTAACTGTAGAACTAAGAATAAAAACAAGACAGAAAAATGATACATAAACTGTATATGTCCTGAAAAGATTTGAAAATGCAACTGAAATAATGGGAGGAAAGGGAAGAGAAAAAGGAAAGAAAAAAAAGCCATACAATCATAGGTGATTGTATCGTGAACAGATGAGAAGGAAAAGATGCCTTATAAAAGTAGCATACAAGACAGTAAAAAGATAGGTTAAAAATAAGAAGGGGTTGGCCAAGCACGGTGGCTCACGCCTGTAATCCCAGCGCTGTGGGAGGCCAAGGTGGGCGGATCACAAGGTCAGGAGATCGAGACCATCCTGGCTAACACAGTGTAACCCCGTCTCTAGTAAAAATACAAAAAATTAGCCGGGCGTGGTGGCAGGTGCCTGTAGTCCCAGCTACTCCAGAGGCTGAGGCAGGACAATGGTGTGAACCCAGGAGGTGCAGCTTGCAGTGAGCCGAGATCGCACCACTGCACTCCAGCCTGGGTGACACAGCGAGACTCCATCTCAAAAAAAAAAAAAAGAAGGGGTTAAGGTACTACAAAAGTACGAATTCAATGGTACTATTAGAAGAAAAACTTAGTCCCACCTTCCTGATATCAAAAGAATTTTTTAAATTAAGAAAAACACATCAAACAATAAATGAACAGAGTAAATATACCAAAATACAGACAGTAATTTAACACAATGACAGAACTGAGAACAAACCTATCAGTTATAACAATTAATATGAATCAGCTTAACTTGCTTATTAAAAGAAAGATATTTTCAAATTTGCTTAGAAAGCAAAGACTATGCTGTATATAAAAGACATACTTAAAATGCAGTGATTCAAAAAGGCTAAAAATAAAGGAACAAAAATTTACCAGGTGAATAAAAATAATCAGACAAAAAAAAAATCAAGACAAAAGTTATCTGAATAGTCCTAACTACTTTTAAATACTAAAAGTTAATTTCACAATGCAGAATACATTATTAATCTCTATGAACTAAATAACAAATTATGCCTGATCCAAGAGTAAATAAATAGAAACACACCATAAATAAAACACACTACTTGATACAAAGCAGAGCATAGGAAAAAAAAGATATAAATGATTTCAACAATATAACCAACAAAGTAGTTGTTCTGTATATATAGAGAGAGAGACAGCACTCCACTCTGGTAACAGAGAATATAGCTTCTTGAACACTCACAGAAAATTATATGTTAAGGCACAAAGAAATCATTACTATGTTCATAAAATGGAAATATCACAAAAAATATCCTCTGATCACAGTGCAAAAACAAAACTAGAAATACAAAACACTGAAAATGATACAAATACTGTAAGGAGAGGTGGACAAATGAACAGTGGTACAGTTATACAATGGAAAATTATACAGCAAAAATAACAGATGAATTTAACAAAACTTGTTGAATGAAAGATTTAAAAACAAAACTACATAATAATGATTTATTTCTGTAAAGTTCAAAAGCAGACAAAACTCAATATTAGAAGTCAACTTAGTGGTTACCTTTGGAGAGGGGTGGGCATGAGATGAAGGGAATGTGAGGGCCTTCTGAAGTTCTGGGAATGGTCTGAGTACTGGTTTCATGGATGAATTCATTTTGTGAAAATTCAACTATACTTCTGATGTAGACTTTTCTGTATTCATATCAGTAAAATATACAAAAATAATAATACTAGTAATTAAATCAAGGAAAATAAAACTAGAAATTAAGAACAAAAAAGCCTTTCCACCTAAAAATTTATACAACTCTTGGGTGAAAAGGGATATACAAACAAATGACTGAATTTCTGAGAGATAATGAGAACCTATACATCAGAGTCCATAGAACACATTTAAAGTAGTAATCAAGGAAACAAAAGCAAAAATAAACAAATGGGATTGCATCAAATTAAAAAGCTTCTGCACAGCAAAGGATAAAATGAACTGTGCACTTAAAAATGGTTAAAACCATAAACTTAATGTTATGTATATTTTACCTCAAAAAAAACTGAAATAAAGCACAATCTAAGTTTATCAAGGAAAAATGAGCAAATGCACAAATACAAAAAAGATAAAATATATTAATCACAGGAAAGTACTCTGTACACCTCTATGGAAATGAATTTAAAAGCCTAGATGAAATGGATAATTTCATAGGAAAACAGAGTTTACCCAAATGGACACCCATAGAGATAGAAAGCTTAGGCCAACTAAATTCCATAGAAGAACTGAAAAAAGTTATCAAACTACCCTCCCCCAAAAAACCCAGATGATATCAAGAGGCAAGTCTATCAAACCTATACAAACCAGATAATCCCAATATTACATCAATTTTTTTAAACATGAAAAAATATTGCCAAATCCTTTTTTATAAATCAAGTGTAATATTAATAACTGAACCTGACTGTGATCACACAAAATAGGAACATTACAAACCAATATCACATATGAATATTAATGCCAAATTCTGAAATAAAATATTAACAGACTCCAACACCACATTAAGAGTTTATACCAGGCCAGGCGCGGTGGCTCCCGCCTGTAATCCCAGCACTTTGGGAGGCTGAGGCAGGCGGATCACTTGAAGTCAGGAGTTCATGATCAGCCTGGCCAACATGGTGAAACCCCATCTCTACTAAAAATACAAAAATTAGCCCAGCATGGTGGTACGTGCCTATAGTCTCAGCTACTCGGCAGAATCGCTTGAATCTGGGAGGCCGAGGTTGCAGTGAGCCGAGATCGTGCCACTGTACTCCAGCCTGGGCGACAGAGCAAAACTCCACCTCAAAAAAGGAGTTTATACCAGGAATGCAATAATGATTCCGATTAGGAAATCTAGTAATATAATTCACCATATTCATAAGTCTAACAAGAAAGTCATATAATTGCCTCCACAGGAGGCCAAAAAAGCCCTCAACAAAATTCAGTATTCATTCCTAATATATATATAGAATAAATAGGAGTAGACGCATACTTTCTTAACATAACTTAAGACAGAACAAGAATGAATTAGTGTAAGAGCATGTGCATGCACGCACATACACACGGTGAGTGCAAGTGCCAACATCCTAAAGGGCAAATTCTACACACATTCTCATTAAGGTCAGGAACCAGATACGAATGCCCACTACCTTTTCCACTATTTAACATTTTTCTGAAGGTATTCACCAAGGCAATTAGACAACAGAAAACAATTAAAGGCACAAACAATGGAAAAAAAGAACAACAACTCTCTAGTGGTTGATGACATGTTAGTAAACCTGAAAAACTCCAGGAATCAATGACAAAATTAACTCAAACAATTAAAGAATTAAGCAAGGTAGCAAGATATAAAGTAAACAAACTAGTCTTCACATACACAAAGAATAACCAGTTAGAATGTAAAATGGAACAGAAAGTCCCATTTATAACAGCAACAAAATACTCAGGAATAAACAATAAGAAATGTTCAAAACCTATACAAAGAAATCTATAAATTTATACACATCTGAAAGGCACATGAAAGCAGACGAACATTCGACTGTTCTTGGCTAAGACATCACAACTTCATCAGGTTGTCAGAGTTGATTTGTAAATATAAAGCAATTCCAATAAAAATTACACAGCTTTTTAATGGAGCTCAACAAATTGATGCTGAAGTTCATGTGGAAAAGCAAACACAAAAGACCAGCTCAGTAAATGTGCAAGGGAGGAGCTAAGAGGGAGAAATGCCCTTTCCAAATATTAAAACAAAGCCTCATGATTAAAATTGTGTGAATAGCATATGAACAGACAGAACAACAGAATGGAATGGAACGCCCAAAAATAGACCCAGCTACATACAGAAATCTAATATACAGCAATGGTGGCATCACTAATAACTGGGTAAAGATGAACTTTATAAATGGTGTTGGTACAACTCAATCACTATTCAGAAGAAGACAAAATCAGATCTATTCCTCACACCATATATATCAGAATAAATTTGTAGCGTATCATAAATCTAAATGTAAAAAATGAAAACTACTCAAGTACTAGAATAAAATATTGGTGAATCCCTCTATAAATAATCTGACCTTGACTCAAAACCCATGCCCAATTCAATTAAAGAAAAGCTTGATAAATCTGACTACATGAAGATATTTTCATGGGGAAAAAAATCAGAAAAGTCAAAACTAGGAGAAATATTGTAACATATATCAAAGGAATATTATTCCTAAGGCAAAGAAAAACTTTTAAAAAATGAACAGAAAAGGTGCAAAAATTCTATAGAAAAAAGGGCAATAGACAATTCTCAAAATAATATAAAAATTTCCCTTGAACATAAAAGATCCTCAACTTTAGTCATAATAAAGAAAATAAATATAATTAAACTACACAAAGATTTTTCACCTATTAGATTGGCAAAAATTTGAAAGCTTCACAATATCCTCTAACTAGCAGGCTATAAAGAAACGGGCACTCACACACTGCTCAGAGTAATGCAAAATGGTACAATCTCTATGAAGGGGAATTCAGCAGCGTCTAACAAGATTACATATACATTTATCCTTCAACCCAGAAATCCAAATTTGAGGACTTTATTCCCAAATTAAACCTCCTGCAATATAAAAATACATACACAAGGTTATTCATAGCCACATTATTTGTACTGTAATTGCAAAATATTGGAAGCTACCTAAATGTCCAAACACAGAAGACTGGTAACGAAACTGCATCATATTCACACTATGTGAACAGCACTATACAGCTATAACATTATGAGGAAGAGCTCTGGAATCTGATAAAGAGTAATTAATTTCTAGAGTATATTTTAAGTGAAAAAAAGCAAAGTGCAACAGAATTTAAACAGTATGCCACCTTCTGTTTTTGAAAAAAAGGTAAATAAGAAAACATACATGTATACTGTCTTAAAAGAAACTAGAAAAGTGAGGCTGGTTATTTACAAGAGGGAGAAAGGACACAGTCAAAGGGATATGAGAGGGAGTGACACTTCTCTGAAACTACGGTTTTTGTAGTTTTGTATTAGATTATGTTAAAAAGAAAATCAAATCAACAAGGACCCTAAAACAAATGATCAAGGTGTAATTTTTTGTTTTTTTGAGACGCAGTTTTGCTCTTGTCCCCCAGGCTGCAGTGCAGTGGCAGGATCTCAGCTCACTGCAACCTCCACCTCCCAGGTTCAAGCGATTCTCCTGCCTCAGCCTCCCACGTAGCTGGAATTACAGGCGCCTGCCACGACACCCGGCTAATTTTTTTGTAATTTTAGTAGAGATGGGGTTTCACCACATTGGCCAGGCTGGTCTCAAACTCCTGACCTCAAGTGATCCGCCCACCTTGGCCTCCCAAAGTGCTGGGATTAAAGGCATGAGCCACCGCGCCCGGCTGATCAAGGTATAATTTAAATGAATAACAAAACCACATTTAAGGAAAAACTTGTCCATTTAATCTAAAGTTAAAAATGTATTAGCATAAATGAATATCTTGTTAAAAATCTTTACCGCCTGTAGGATATTTTAGGATGTTCTCTTTTTCATGGCTGACATTGTTATCTGTGCCTTCCGTCTTTTATTTTAATTTATTAATCTCACCAAATTGATTGATATCATCAATCTTTTCAATAAAACTAGTACTGCAGATGTTCTCTACTGTATATTTATTTTCTATTCTATCAATTTCTCCTCGTTTAATGTCTATCTACTTCCTCTGGGTTTAGTATGCTGTTCCTTTCTAACTTCTTAAAATTGATGTTCACATCATTGAGTATTTTTCAGGCTTTCTTCTTTCCTAACACATGCATGTAAGGCTATAATCTTTCCTCTGAGTATGACTTTAGCTGCACCTCACAAATTTTTATATACAGTATTTTCATATTGATTCTAATCAACATATTTTGTAAAATTTTCTAATTCTCACCGTAATATCTTCTTTGATCATGGGATACTTAGAAAAGGTTTTCTAGCTACCTTTTGCTATTGATTTTAGTTTAATTTATAGAACACTCTGTTCGAATTCAATCTTCTAAAATATACTCAAACTTGCTTTTCCCAACAAGCTGATAGATACTGTCCAGTCTACTTACAAAGAATGTGCATTCTGCCATTAGGTACAACAGCTAGACACACTGAGGCAATTTTATTAATTGTTTTGTTCAAATCATCTATATCCTTTGTTCTATCAGTTGCAGAGAAAGTACAAAAAAAAACTTTCCTCTATGATTGTGATTTTATTTTCTCTCCCTACTTCTTTTTAAACCAATATTATGATAATTAAAATTCTCTCTAGATGATCTAGACACCCCATTATAGAAAACAGAAAGGTGAATGTCCTCTTCTACACTAATTTAAAACGGCAGCAATTTTTTCAACTAATTATCCAAAATACTTTACTATCACCTGTCCCAAAAATAAAATCATTTTTACAGACATCCTCCAAAGTTTAATTGGGTCATATCCAATAACTCCAGACAGCAGACCGGTTTGCTTAATTACTGAGACGTACATTGTGCAACTAATTCATACTGCCAGGCATACGGGGAAAGTAGCAATACTCTACAATACATTCCACAGACAATTTACTGAGACTTTTCTACAGTCCTATGGTACTAACTTTCCCAAACCAAAATTACTTTGGTTCTGCTCTCTGGCAAAGATGGCAAATATTTCACCCTTCAGTTCCTGTGGTGTATCCTGCTGAGCTGAGATACCACCTTAACATCACTCTAACACAATGCTCCAGACTGCAATTGTTGGCACTGGCATGTGACCTAAAAGCCACCAAACCACTCATCTCTGGATGAGCACTTGCTCACGTGGTTAACAGGTGGGGAAAATTCCTGCATGCAAGTAGTCCTTCCAAGAATCTCAGAGCTCTGATATACAATCAGAGTCTTCATCAGCCCCCTCTAAATTCTCAGGTCAAGGTGTCACCTTTGGTTTGGATCAGGTACCCCTCCTACCCCATCCCAGGGCACCTTTGCTTCTCTGTCAGCAGCAGTGCATTACAGTGATCTCTTTCTTCTGCTATTCTACTAAGACCTCCTCAAGGCAGGAACCACTGATTCATCCAACAGCCACAGCACTTCGCAATGCCTACCTAGCACACAGAGCACACAGACACCCACCTTCTACCTTTGTCCCCTGTCTATCCTCTACACAGCAGTCCTAGTGATCCTCTTACAATCTAACTTAAATGGTATCATGTCCCTGCTCAAAACTTTGCAATGGTTTTTCATCTCACTCAGAATAAAATCCAAAGTGCACCACAGTCTATACGGCCCTACACAATCTGGCCCTTTAATACCTCTGTCACTACGCATCCCCCTACCCAACCCCCTATTCACACTGCCCTCCCTGCTGCTACTCGGTATCTCAAGGGGGCACTTGCTGTTTCTCCCCAAATAAGGTTCATTCCCAAAATATTTGCCTAGCTGGTTCACTCCTTCACTTTCGTTTGTATCTCTGCTCAAATGTCATCTCACATAGGCTTCCCTGACCACCTTATCAAAAATGGCAGTCTCTGATATTCTCTCTCTTCACGTGCTTCGCTTTCTTTATATATATATACACACACACGTATATATACACGTATAAATACACGCACACACATACACATAGGCTGTATACTAAAGAAAGCATAGTAAAGAAAGCAAAGCAAGTGAAGGGAGATTATATATATATATATTTTTTTTTTAATGTCGTTTATTAGCTTTCTCACCTACTACAATGTGAGCCCCATCAGAAAAGGCAGAAAATATGTTCTCCAAAACAAGGGTCAGGAATTTTTACTGTAAAGAGCCAGATAGCAAATATGTCGTACTGTGTAAGTTAGCCTCTGTTGCCACCACTTACCCCTATATCAGCTCTGCCTTGCAGCACTAAAGCAACCCCAGACAAATAAAAGAACAAACACGTCTGTATTCCAATACAATTTTCCTTGCAAAATCAGGCAAAGAGCCAGATGTGGCCCACAGGCTGTAGTTTACCAACCCCTGATCTAGAACAAGCTTGCCATGCAGGATACTGATTTTGAACTAACCAACCATCTCTCTCGGTCTCTAAAGCCACCTTTAATTGACAAAATACTGGCACTCCAAGCGCATCTGTAACAGTAACTTCAAACTATCTTCTATACATCTTTCACCAAAAAATCCACCTGAGATCACTTATATTCCTGAATGACTGTTTGAGGGATATGAAGTGTGCTTATTCTCACAACTAGAAAATATATAATAAACCATGTCAGTTTGATCCTCCACAGAATTGTTTTTGATTGTTGTACTTTCACTTTATTTAAGGACATGATAAACAGCCAAACAAGAACCACTGTTCAATGTACCACATGAATGCCACTGAGCACATCACCTACTACACCTTTCAATGTAACCAATTCAAAGCCCCAAGTGTGAAATGGGGGACATATTAAGGAAAAGAAACTGGTATCTTCTTTATGCATGGTGAAAATGACAGCATAGAGCTGAGGATGATTTCCTTTCACTGTGGCCACCAGGATGCTCACACAAGTTCCAGTCAGACTGGGGTAGAGACTAGTTATGCTACCAGTCCCCATGACCTCTCTTCTCCTGCGGCGTATAGCTCTGCTATGTGTCCAGCCTAAAGTAAGCTAAGAGAGGCCATGTCTGAGTACGGCTAGTAGGATGAGAAGCAATGTGTGCTGGTCTATAAAAACCTCCCACAGGACTGTCCTCATTCTCCACCCACTGCCTGAACCAAGCAGGTTCCCAGTTCCTATAGGAGGCTAAGTCACAAGGTGGAAAAAGGCTGACCACCTGAACAGCCATGTGGACACCTAACCCATGACGACCCCAACATAAGCTTCCACATAGGTGAGAAACAGATGCTTCTTGCTCTGAGTCACTGAAATCTTGCAGTTATTAAAGCAGTCCTCATGTCTAAGACACTGACCACGGAGACTAGAACTTTATTGATAGTACAGGTTTTGATGTATTCATTTCTGGTCTTTATATATTCTTGATTCTCATTCTTTATATTTAGCTTTATTACTGTGAGCACTTCCTATAAGCTAATCCAGACATTCATTTAATGACAGATGAGAGAAAAGTCTCCATTGCTTATGTTCAATAAATCATCATCTCAAATAATAAAAATCTGAATAAAGTACATATTCCACTTAAAACTCTATCTGTAACTTTCATTTACACACAGTTTATCTAAGTTATGTAACTGTTCAAAAAGAGAAAAAATGCTAAGTAAATATTAAAATGCAGGGCAATATTGTCTCAAATGAAATTTGACAATCATCAGAAACAAAATAGCCTAAGAAATAAAACCACAAATTTCTAAACTCCTGTGTGGCAAGAAAAAGTAACCATAATTATAGCTTAATGTAACGCAGCTGTTCTAAACTCTTCGGTGCCTAATCCCTACACAATTATTTCAAATGATGTTCTGAAGTTTTGTAGTTTTCATAATTTTTTTTTGAGGGGTGGGAACTGGACATGTCAGAAATGGAAGAAGTTTTCAATGAATGCTCTGTAACACAATGGACAAACAGCAGAGACGCTATAAAGATTTCAATTATAGCTCAGGCATCAAGTTCATTTTCATTGATAAACTTTGTAACCATTCTAAATTGCAATGCCAACTTTTGAAAAGGAGTAACCTTTTAATAATCTTCCTCCCTGGGATATCTCAAAGAACAATTCACATTCTAGAGAAGCCTTGGGAAACAAATGCTGTTTGCAGCAAGAATTAAAATCTCAAGACAGGTGTTTGGGGAATTAGGGGGTTACTGTGTATTTCTGGGTTTCTGATCAAAAGCCAGGATGATTAACTCTAAACAATATATGACAAATACTACAGAAAACCAAGAATGGAGATACGTTTTAAATCCTACAGGGCTGGTTTTTTTTAAATGTGTTTTTACATTTATATTGAAAACAGACGTGTTCTATATTGGAAAATTATAGTATTTCTGCCAAAGTTAAGATCTTACTTTTGAAGGCATGTAAAGTCAGTCTCTTCCTTCCCATTCTAAGCTGTGCAACAGCCACAACCTCTCTCAGAACAATATAAACATACTTGTAAGTTGCCCCCTCTCTCTTTACCATCTTTCTGGTTAATGGCACCCCTCAACTTGTACTAGAGTTTCTCCCGTGTACCACAGGAAGCAAGTTTTGAAATTCATGAGCCCTTCTATAAACATTAATTCTTTTTTTTTTTTTTCTTTCTGAGACCGAGTCTCACTCTTTTGCCCAGGCTGGAGTACAGTGGTGTGATCTCACCTCACTGCAGCCACCACCTCCCGGTTTCAAGCCGAGATAGCACCACGGCCTACAGTCTGGGCAACAGAGTGAGACCCTGTGTCTACCAAACATTAATTCTAACATTAGGATAGACTATGCCCCAGCAAAGAGCTGCAAAGCCAACTCAGAGCTGAAACCTGCCTAGGTAATATCCTAACACAGGACTATGTAACAAAACAGGCAAAAAAAAAAAAAAAAAAAAAAACCACAACCTTGTCATGTACATATTTTGAGAAGTTGGAAAATAAGTGATGGTAGTAGAGCAACATGGCTCAGACCATACTGTGTAAACTACCCAGTAGTGATCAAGTCCTGCTTATTATATAACCATGAATCAAAACACATAACATTTTCAGTCAATGTAAAAATACTTGTTGAGTATCTACTACGTGCCAAGAATGAACCACTTCATCCATTTAGCTGATAAAATAATGGCCACACTGATTCCAGTTCACAGTTAATCACACCTATACTTTGGTACTGCAATATAATTTCACGGAGCTTCTCAAGAGCACAAAATGGATAACAGCTCTCAATGAGAGGATGCTATGAGAGGAACTAAAATGGAACTGCCGCAGCAAGCTAATAAAATCTTCAGCATGCACTAGAGGAACTTTTAAAAATTCAATTCAGCTTTCAACTGCTAGAAAACAAGCATTCCAAGATCAAAGATCACAAAGGCTGTGAGAGGACAGCCAGTGGGAGAAGGCACCAAGTGTTACCACAGTGAAATAAGTGCAAAACCTAAATGAAGGTCTCTATATGACGACGACGTTCAAGAGGTTATCTGACAAGCTGGAACACACATATGCTATGCACAGATTATATACAAGGCACCACCCTATGTGGTTCCTGCCAACAAGGAGTTTGTGAACTAGTTAGCAAGATAATCTATCCTGTTTTACCTCACTTGAATATAAGCTTTCTGAGGGCAGCAGCTTGGTCATGTTAAACATTCTTATCACTGCTAACTAGAACAGTGCCTCAGACATAGTTGGCATACAAACATGTGTGGGCTGACTTAAGTATTTAAGGAAAAACTAAAAGGAAGAAAAGATTAAAATACCAAAAAGGTTCAAGAACATATAACACAACAGAAGATATCTTTAGATCAATTTCAAGACCACTGCTCCAAGGTCAGAGGGCACCCTGAGAAAAGATCCCAGGGAAATTTCAGAAAGTACAAAGTTGAGAAATCATCCCAGATGCTGAGCTCAGAGCCAAGGCCTAGAAGCTCCAGGAGACCTAAAAGATGAGAAATACCCTAGAATGTCTGTGATGTTTAAAATGTTTTAAAATTTAAAAAAAAAAAAAGTCAGAAGAGCTAATCTCCCAGAGAAGAGGCACATGTGCAGGCACAGAGAAGAAACAGAAGCATCTTTGGCTCCAAAGATTAAGGCTGAAATCTAAGTATGGAAAAACTATTCTTTTTTTTTTTTTTTTTTTTTTTTGAGATGGAGTCTCACTCTGTTGCCCAGGCTGGAGTACAGTGGCACGATCTCAGCTCACTGCAACCTCTGCCTCCCGGGTTCAAGCAATTCTCCTGCCTCACCCTCCCTAGAAGCTGGGAGTACAGGTGTGTGCCACTACAACTGGCTAATTTTTGTATTTTTAGTAGAGACAGGGTTTTGCCATGTTGGCCATGCTGTTCTCGAACTCCTGACCTGAGGTGATCAGCCTCCCAAAGTGCTGGGATTACAGGTGTTAGCCACCACACCAGGCATTAGTGCGGAAAAATTATTATAATCTATAAACATCTATGACATCGGGGGCGGTGCAACACTTTGGGAGGCCAAGGTGGGAGGACTGCTTGAGCCCAGGAGTTCAAGACCAGCTTGGGCAACATAGCAAAACACCATCTCTACAAAAAATAAAAATAAAAACATCTATGAAGATAGGCGGATAGGATCTGACACAAAACTGGTGCTGAGGTAAGTAGCAGAAAAAACACTGACAGGAGAGAGTATTCTGTCAGAACAGGACAGCAAAGGAGGACAGTCAGCCACAAAGACATCACGACCTGGAGACACAATGGCACCTAGGAAAAGTCCAGGGTGGGAAGCAACCGCCCTGCAAAGGAACAACCAGTCCTCAGAAGAGCATGTCTTGAGAAAGGAAGACAAAAGGTGTTCTTAAGACAACAGCAAAAAAAAGAGAAAATAAAGTCACTGCTAGAAAGAAAAGAAAAGAAAAGAGAAAAGAAAAGAAAAGGGAGGGAGGCGAAGGGGAAGGGAGGGAGGAGGGGAGGAGAGGGGAGGGGAGGGGAGGAAATCAGCCTACACCAGATGCCCCTCTCCAGTTAATGTCATTCTCTCCTCTTCATAATCAAGTTTGGGAAAGAACCAGCTTCCCTCCCTCAACACCCTTCACTCTGCAATCCACAGCAATGAGGTTCCACAGACTCCTCACCAAGATCATTCATCATGTCCTCAGGCTAACTCCAATGGAAACTCTGAAACCGCTATCTAGTGGGCTAACTCCAATGGAAACTCTGAAATTACCCTCTCCTGGTTCTTTACCAGCATTTAAACATGCTCAAATCCCCCCATTTAAAAAACAAAAACCAAAGGGTTCCCCCTTTATCTGCCCTCCCTATAACCACCCCTAACCACCAGCATCAAATTTCTTGAGCATTGCTGTCTACACATGCTGGGCTCCACTCCCTCACTCTCACTCACTATTAAATCCTGATACAAACTGGCCTCCCCCTCCCATCCCTGTCATGTCACTGTTGCCTCTAGTGTCCCCTGTATTACTAACAGCTCGCAGCAGCTGAGCACGCCCTGCCTGCTGAGGTTTCCTCGGACACCATGACCCCCATCCTTCTTAGTCCCAGTGTGGGAGCCTATTATCTGCTTCCCTTTCAAACACAAGAGTGCCTCAGATCTCACTCCACACCACTCCTTTTCTTACTCTATACACACTCCTCAAATGACCTCATCTACTCCAACAGCTTCCATTAACAAATACTGCACAGGCAAAGGCAGGAGTTCCAAAACTTTCTCTGTTCACCGCACCCTTGGAGTCTCAGGCCAAAACAAATGCTTATTGAGCAAAGAAAATGTTAAAAACGTAAGTACTTAATGTCCTAACAACTTGGTACCAACTTGAAAAAAGTACACTTTAATAGAGAGAAAAAATGGCATTTTTATTTCATTCTTAGATAACCACAAGTATTTACTAATACAGTATGTGTACACTTGTTGAGCACTGCACAATTTCTCTCAAACCTTGGAGTCAGACTGGACAATGGCCTCCCTCATTTCCTTTTCTACACTGATTTTCACGTGCTACAGCAACCACCAAAAATCCTTCTTTACAAACATGAGGTCATCGAATGGAATGGAGTGCAATCTAATCTAGACATTTTTAACTATCTTGAGCTAGTAGTTTCCACAGGCTTGAAGAGACGGAACTATGTGTTTTCCTCAACAATGTGAAACATCCCCCAGTCTCCCTGTTTGCTGTAGCACCTTAGCTGATAGTTTGGGAAACTCTCAAACTGTTTGAGACAGTCTGGGACAGCTAATAACTCTCACATGCGTCTCTCTAATCCAGACAACTCCTGATTATCTGGATCCCTAGTGCAGCCAACTGAACACACTGTCCCCTCAGCACCTGAAACTTAACCCAGCCAAGTGTGACCCATAATCTTTTCCCCAAAATGGATGCTGCTCTGTCCCCACCTAAGGACAGTGCCATCACCCAACCACCCAGCCAGAGCTGGACACTGCCCTGAACTCCTCCCTGCCCCAACTCCCCCCACCACATACACACACACGGCCAATGACCAAATCCCAGCAATTCTACCTCCTCAAATTTCCCTGCTTCAAGCCTTCCCTCTTCTAATCCATTCTCCAAAGGGCAAATTTGACCGTGTCCCTCTTTTGCTTACAATTCTTCAACCATTTCCTGTTGCCCACAGAGGTCTCCGAACTCCACACAACAGTAATCACAAGACCCCACAAGGCACAGTCCCTCCTTACTTCTCCTCCCTCACTTCTTGCCACTTCCCTGCCCTTGCCCACAACCACCCCCACTGGACTGAACTCCTGGTGTTTGTGGTTGCTCCAGTGCATCACCTCCCTGACCATCTCTCTGTACACCCTCTCCTCAACCCAGACTTCGACCAATTCCTTCTCATGGTGCTTCCTCTGGGAGGCTTTCCTGTCTCTCTGAACGTCCCTAAGCTTGGGTTTATGGTCCTCCTCTGAGCTCTTGTTGCTGGCCCCTTTCAGATCCCATATCAAACAATACATTGTAACCAACGGTTAAAACTCTTTGAGACTGAACTGCACAGCAAGCTCATCGGGGGCTGACAGAGGTATCTGTCTTGTTTATCTCTGTATCCCCGGCACATATTAAAACTCTGAAGTGTACTGAATGAATAAAGCAAATGAATGAATGGATTAGGTCATGCATGAGGCTCCTACATCCCTCACTGATTACTGACTCTATCATGGTACTTATCACACTGCACTGTAATTGCTTGTCCTGGTAGACTATGAACATCTTGAAAGCGTCTGTCTCTTATTTTTGCAACCCTAGTGATTAAAATAGTACCTGGTACCTAGTAGGCATTCATGAAATGGTTTTTTTAACATACAGGGTTATATATTTCATCTACAGTATTAAATGGAAAAAATCCAGAAGGATACACCCTATATTATGGTTACCTCTGAAGAAAGAAATAGGAATAGGACAACAATAAGACGGGAAAAAGAAAACTTAAGACTTTTTACCTCTATAAATCTCTGTGTTGATATTGTTTATTTTATAATGTACATCATTTATGTATTACTGGCATAAAATATTTCTGTATTACCAGCATAAAGTCAAGCCACAGGTAAAGAACCAGCCCTGAAGAAGAATGTGTGGGGCTGTCAGAAGCATTTAGTTCCACATGCCCAAGAGCAAAGCCAAAAAAAGCCTGACTTGAAAGAAACAGGGCCCTTAAAACGGACTGAGAAGAGAAGTTGAGAGATTCGGCCGGGAGCGGTGGCTCACGCCTGTAATCCCAGCATTTTGGGAGGCCGAGGTGGGCGGATCAACCTGAGGTCAGGAGTTCGAGACCAATCTGTCCAACATGGTGAAACTGCATCTCTACTAAAAGTACAAAAATTAGCCGGGCATGGTGGCGGGCGCCTGTACTCCCAGCTACTCGGGAGTCTGAGGCAGGAGAATCGCTTGAACCCAGGAGGCGGAGGTTGCAGTGAGCCGAGATCACACCACTGCACTCCAGTCTGGGAGACAAGAGCAAGACTCCGTCTCAAAAAAAAAAAAAAAAAAAAAAAAAAGAAAGAAAGAAAGAAAGAAAAGAAAAGAAAAAGAGATTCAAGGTCTACAGCAATGGAGAGCCACCCAAAGTGAAAAACAATCTGGGAGTACTCTTCAAAGAAAGTCCTTGGAATTCCAAAGACGATCACTAGTACTAGCCCGTGAGTAGGGACAATTCATTTAATACTTGCATTATAACGCAATTGTTTTAATCAAAACATCCCAATAACCAAAAGGTTACCTGCCATACATAGGTTTCTATGGGAACCGTAACGTGTGACTACAAAGACACACTGACAAGAGATAGGAGGTTACAATGTTGGCATGACCACTTAGCAAAGTGTGTTCCACCTTTGTTTTCGTAATTGTTGAAGATAGTGAAGCACATCATTGACTATTAGGTTGTAAATTTTAAAGCAAACAGATTTTTTAAAAACAAATGCTATTAAGCAACTTCATGTCAGCCAACTGGAAATGCAAGAACAATTTCTATATGTACATAGTTCTAGAATAAGCACAGGTTGGAAGGTAAATATAATAGTTGACCAAACTTTCCAATATTTAAACATGTGAAAAGACACAGCTTTTGTGAATACCAACTAAGAAAATCTTTCAAGATGAAGAAAAATGAGTACTACACTGAAGTCATTAGAACCCTGGGAGAAGGGAGCTGGAGAGGACACAATGAGAATGCCTTTGGGAAAGGTCAAACCCAGCTTTCGTTTGTTTAACCTCTCAAGCAGATAAAAGAACTAGCTTTAAAGAACCACTGCATTGTTTAACTGCTAGAAAAGGAGAGTTGGGTAAAGCACATATAAAAAGAAGCAATAGAATTTGCCCTAGAGACAATAGAAAGATTAGTCAATTACAATACTTTGAACTTAGTTTTGATAGAGTCGCATTTTAAGCTTTAGATAAACCTAATTTTTAAGATGCAAAATATTTCAAATAGCTATCCTCTCCCCCTTATAAAAAGTAGACTCTGAATCTTAAAATACCATGTTCTGCTATGCATTTAATTTGAAGAACTGCGAAAAGTAGTCTTTTTAATTTTCAGTTTTTGAAAACTCGAGACTGTTGCTGGAAGTAAACCGCTAATTTAAAAATTAACCTTAAAATGAGAAAGAATTCCTATGATGCTCCCATTGATCCCTAAGCCCATCACATAGTTTCTGAATAATTAAGAACTCTCGTCTCCACCAGGGAACTCTCCC
Organism: Homo sapiens; assembly: GCF_000001405.40. NCBI lineage: Eukaryota > Metazoa > Chordata > Mammalia > Primates > Hominidae > Homo > Homo sapiens. The sequence goes on along the minus strand of NC_000013.11, from coordinate 26,558,614 downwards.
TTGCAGAGGGGCCAAATCAAGAAGCAATCGCCATTGCACGTCAGCACCACAAACTGAGAGGAAGCTTCTGCCCTCGCTAAAGCCCAGGCGCGCGGGTAAAGACCCCCGGGGATGATACCCCGCGCGCCGCGGCTCCGTGCGCGCGGTCCCCCGCACTCGCGGGCCGCCCCACCTCCTCCCCTGCACTCCAAGAGTCCGGCCTGGTCTCCGAGGCCGGGAGCCACGCGGCACCGCAGCCTCGAGGGAGAGGACGCCCGCAACCAACACGCACGCGGGCACCAAGAGGGCACAGGCCAGGGCGGCGAGGGCCGAATGGGGCCGGGGGGCACGCGGAGCTGGACCAGAACCAGCGAGGGCGCGCAGACACTGAACGGATGCGAAGGTCCCGGACGCGGAGCGGCCCGGGGCGTCGTGCGTGGGGCGCGAGCGGAGGCCCGGGCGCCACTTACGGCGGGGAGGGCGGGTGGCTGTCCCGAGTCCAGGGAGCGCGCACCGGACGGCAAAGGGCCGGAGGCCCGGAGGCGCGGGAGAGAAGGGCCGCCTGGCCGCGCCGTGACGGCGAGAAGCCCCTGCCAGCGCGGGAGCCGGCCGGGAGAATGCGGCCGGGCTGCAGGGATAGGCGCGAGGCGGCGCCGCAGCCCGCAGTGGGCCCCGCCGCCCGGCCGGAGCGCGCGGCGATGCAGCAACTTCAGTTCGCCGTGGGGCCGCCCCTCCCCCGACAGCCGCCCGGCCCGGAGCCGAGAGGGCCACAGCAGCCTACAGCGGAGAGCCGGGGCGACCGCAGCCCTCACTCACCGGTCCGCGGTCCCGCCGCCGGCGCCGGGGCTGCGCTCTGAGCTCCATGGTCCCGCCGCGCCGCGGCCGCCCGGCGCACCCGCCTCGCACCACACCGCACGCAGCGGCGCGAGCGACGCCGCCTCCGGCCCGTCCACGGCCGCGGCCACGCCCCCTCCCGGCGGGGGGGCTCGGCCGGAGCAGGAGGGGGGCTCAGTGCCGGCTCCACCAACCAGGGCCAACTCACGGGGCCGCTTCACCAGGATTGGCGAGTGCCTCGGCCAATAGGGAGCCGGCGAGCGCGCTGAGCGACGGTGCCGAGGGGCGGGGGATTGCGGAGGCGGTGGCTCTCACCCTTGGTCCTCCGCCCCCAGCTCGGGATGAGGCTTAGGCAGCGTCCTTTCCAGCGAGGAGAGGTGGGGATACTTCGGGCCAAGAGACCCTTGTATCACCTCTGATTGCTAGGTGCCCATTACAGTACCTTTGAGTTTGCGCTTATATCCTAATCCTCCCTGGGTGTTGAGGGCTCCTGCACAGAGGTCCTCTACCTGTAAGGTGTCAGACGTCCTCCAGGGCTGAGGCTTCAGGCAACCCTGAGAGGACTGTAGCCCTGTTCATGGGTTGGTTTTATGCCCTGCTCAAATTCGTTAGCATTCTTAAAATCTTCCCATCTCCTTCAACACAGATTCTTCTGTTTTTATCACCCTATAACCAATCTCTCTCCACCCTAGATGTGAGGAAATCCACAATACTTATTAAAACTAAGATATCCCTGAAACTGCCAGCTAAGCCCTGCCACAGTGGAACATAGCCACGTGCGACCAGATGACTGAGGCATAAACAAACTTAAGAAAAAGAAAGGAGGAAAGGAAAGGAAGAGAAGAAAAGATAGAAAAGCCAAGATAGAAAAGCTAGGTCACAAAGGAAAGGGGTTTAAAAACATCTAATAGAAATGTTACCTTTATTTTAATTTGCATGCCTTTATTCTTTTTATTTACCAATAGGATCACTAAATTGAAAAACTTTTAGGAAAAAATTTTAAATTCTAATGAATAGTTCAAGAAACACTAATTCAAGTTGGTTTGCTCTTTTCTTTACAGATGTGTAATAATGATCAACATCTAGCTAGAGACAACTAAAAGTTGGAAAAAATGAATAGCAGTTAATAATTTCACCAAAGTTTGCAACACCAGAAATGCAGTAGAAAAATCATGCAGCCCTCTTCATAAAATGTCTAATCTATTAACCTGCATTACTTCCAAAGGAGGGATTTTAAAAGCTCTTTTTAAAGATGACGTATATTCAGTTTCCATAAAGTGCCATCATTTTAAAAAATTGCTGGTAATTAACAAGGTAAACAGGATTTTGGTGAATAATTACAGTGACCCAGTATTTTAAATATTGATACTAGAGTGACAAATGTCTGCTGAATTGAAAGCTAAATTGGCATTCAAATTAAAATGACTTTCCTTCATTTCATCTTCACTTACCCAGGGGAATGGCTTCCATGTCTATGTTTAGGTCATTAATTTAGAACTCAAAAATATGAAAGTATAGATACCCAGAGTGTTTTCAAGGTTGCTAATCATATTTCCCTGGCTGCTTCCCTCTTCGGTGACCCCAGCCTTATAAACCGCTGCTACACTTAGTTTGCACTCACTGTTAGCCCTTAAACACATCATCCCAAAGTGTTCAGGTTTGTTTCATATAGGTCAGTCTTACCTCTCTAATTAGATCATCAGTTCCATGAGGATAAGGCCCTTATTTTACAGTCCTCTTTCCTCCTTTTATAATGCCTAGTACAGTGCTGAGCATGTGGTAAATATGATTCTATTCCTAGTGTTGTGGTTCATGGTACAAATAAATTATTTCAAATATGGTCTTGTGTGAACCAGTCCTTTAAATAAAAACTGCTTAGAGCAGTCTTGTTAGAGGATTAGAGCCCACCGCTAATAAGTGCCTCATCCTTAATAAAATGTTGCTGCATCAGGGAGTGAATTGGTGACCTGTAACAGAATCTTGACTAAAAGTGCCTACTAAATAGGAGTGCTTCTTATCACAAAACCAGAAACCTGGAGACAGCCACAGGGCTTCTGTAATATCTCTTCTATGGTGTCGTTGTGTCTCAGGCTCTTTCTAGCCATTGTCTCTGCTATCCTTGTCATGTGATCTCTGTCTTCATCCTCACAGGATGCCTGCTTCCCTTGTAAGCATTGCATCACATTGAGGAAAATGGTAGGGGGATGGGTAAAGGGCAAAAGATCAAAGAGGTGCATGCCCAGTTGGGTCTGCATCTTCCTGGGAAGCTTTACCCAGCACCTTCTGCTTGCATTTTATTGGCCAGCCACATGTCACATGACCACCTTTAGCTGCAAAGGAGTCTGAAATGCTAAGTATTTAAAGTTGGGGCATTGGCTGGAGGAATATTAGAGTTTTGTTAGTAATGGAAAAGAGGAATGCAGACCTTGGGTATGAGAGTGGCAGTACCTGATGTAGTTGCTGAATAAATGAATTCATGATTGAGCCCTCACTCTATTTATTCATAAGACCCACTTTTTTAAAAAGGCCACTCAGGTGTCAATTAAAAAACAATCCAATTTTCAAGTGAGCAAAAGATCTAAACAGACACCTCCCTAAAGTGGAGTTGACAATACACAGATGGCAAATAAACATGCTCAATATCATGTGTCATTAAGGAATTGCAAATTAAAACAAAAATGAAATACTATGACATACCTACTAGGATGGCTAAAATAAAAAAGCTAACGGCAACAACAACAAAAAACCTAAGGATACCAAATACTGGCAAGGATACAAAACAACAGGAATGCCCATCCATTGCCGATGGGAATGCAAAATGGTACGACCACTTTGGAAGACAGTCTGGCAGTTTCTCACAAAGCTAAGCATAGTCTCACAATTCAGTCCAGCCATCACACTCCTAGGTATTTACCCAATTGTGCTGAAAACATGCCCACACAAAAACTTGTACCCGAATGTTTATTCATAATCACGAGACCCTGGAAGAATCAAAGATGTCCCTCACAAGGTGAATGAATAAACAAATTGCAGTACATCCATACAATTGAATGTTATTTCATGATAAAAAGAAATGAGCTATCAAGCCATACAAAGACATGGAGGAAACTTAAATGCATATAGCTAAATGAGAAAAGTCAGTCTGAGAAGGCTACAGACTGTATGATTCTAAGTATATTCATTCTGGAAAAGGCAGTAGGAACCATAGTTAACAGAATAAAAAGAAAGTTTCGTTTCTTAAAATTTTTTAAGCAAGGTCACCTTTGCTGTATTTATGGACCTTTATTGCAGTCACAAATTCTATTGTCCTTCAACTATTGGTAAATCTTTTTTAAAAGTTCTTTATCATTGTACCTTTTAAGAAGTTTTTGGGCTATGTGCAGTGGCTCACACCTGTAATCCCAGCACTTTCGGAGGCCAAGGCAGGAGACTTGCTTGAGGTCAGGAATTTGAGACCAGCCTGGGCAATATAGTGAGATTCCCATCTTTGCAAAAACTAAAAGAATTAGCCAAGAGTGGTGGCATATGCCTGTAGTCCCAGCCACTCAGAAGGAGGCTAAGGCAGGAGTGTCGCTTCAGCCTAGGAGTTGGAGGCTGCAGTGAGCTGTGCTCACACCATTGCAATCCAGCCTGTGTGACAGAGTAAGACTCTGTCAAAGAAAGAAAGAAAGAAAGAAAGAAAGAAAGAAAGAAAGAAAGAAAGAAGGAAGGAAGGAAGGAAGGAAGGAAGGAAGGAAGGAAGGAAGGAAGGAAGGAAGGAAAGAAAGAGAAAGAAGGAAGGAAGGGAAGGAAAGGAAAGGAAAAGAAAAGAAAAGAAAAAGTTTTGGGGAGGTTTTCCTGACTTTTTATATTAAAATTTTTCCAATGTAAAGAAAAATTGAAAGAATGGTAGAAGGAACACCCATATACCTTTATCCAATTACACAAGGCCACATTTGCTCCATCAGTCTCTCTCTCTGTCTCTCCATAATTTTTTTTTTTTTTTGAGATGGAGTCTCGCTCTGTCGCCCAGGCTGGAGTGCAGTGGCGTGATCTCGGCTCACTGCAAGCTCCGCCTCCTGGGTTCACACCATTCTCCTGCCTCAGCCTCCCAAGTAGCTGGGACTACAGGCGCCCGCCACCACAACTGGCTAATTTTTTGTATTTTTATTAGAGACGGCGTTTCACTGTGTTAGCCAGGATGGTCTCGATCTCCTGACCTCATGATCCGCCCGCCTCGGCCTCCCAAAGTGCTAGGATTACAGGCGTGAGCCACCGTGCCCGGCCTCTCCATTATTTTTTAGCTGAACCACTTGTAGACAAATTGCAAACACCAAGATACTCTACCTTAAATACTTCAGCATATATCTCCAAAATAAAAATGTCTGGATCATTCTAGTGTACAAGCAGAGCCGTGCATAGCCTATAAAATGGAACCGTGGAGACTCGATACCTGTAACTCCTCCAGACTCCGTTACTACCCCCTCCCAACTTTTTCTCTGTAAATATTTGACCAACCTGGTATACGATGCTGGTATTATACTGAAGTACAGTAAAATAAAATCTAGCAGCAGGGAAACTGGTGACAAGGTATTGTGGTCAAGAGAATACTGGTGATGCAAGTGACTGTCAGTGTTCTGTGAAATCCCGTGCATGCAGCGTGTAGTGAAGCCAGTCCGGGGCCCACAGGGCAGTGAGATGCAGCTGTCTAGCATTACGATAACTGAACAGCTCTCAAGCATATTCCTAATAAGAATATGCTTCACAACTATTTTTAAAACCTCTTGAATTGTGCCATCTTTGTTCTTTGCCTGGTCAAAATCTTGGATATATTTCTAAAGTCAAAATGTAGGCAGCTTAGGCATCCTCTTAATTTGAATCTGATAGTGATGACACAGTGACTTTCTCAAGACACTTAATAAATTAGGTATTCCCTCAGTGATTTGCTTAATTCTCTTTTGTCATCACTAAGTCTTTAGTGGAAAAACAATTGTCATTCTTTTTACTTAATAACATGTCATCTTACATAAAAATTACAAACTGCTTTGCATTAGGAACTGAGTTCAATCTCACTTTGCGGAAGAGAAAGAACAAAGAGTGGTTACTAATTAAAAGAATATAATTAGAATATGTAAGAAATCAAATTTTAAAAGCATAATAACTGTCATTTTTGACATGCTCATTTGTACTTGTTCTCAGAATGAAGTAAAATAATGACTACAAATACCTCAGTTCTCAAGAATTAATTTAGCTCCATATATAAATCTTTATAAACATACTTCACTTACCCGAGCTTTCTTCTGAAGGATAGTATTTATTTTCATCTTGACATAGAGTGAAATAAATACATACATATCCATATCTACGTCTCAAAGAATAAAATATTTGCTGGAAACATGGCTATATCTTAAATTTTAATATTAACCCAATTATCTCATCAGAGCAAGGCAGTATATTGATATTAACTTTATTTTGAGGTGAGGAAAATTATGAGAAGGTAAAAATAACAAACATTTGTTGAGAATGCTCTATGTGCAGTATGCTGTATTTGTTGTATTTAACCTTCATAACATCTATTGGATATGTGGTCTGTTGCCCATTTTATAGATAAGGCCCAGAGAAATTGTCTTTTTCCCCCAAGGTAACCCAGCCAAGACTCACTGATATTTTCACAGACAAGCTGTTTTTCCAATGAACATGGAGAGCCCTAGAAGTTGCTATTCTTGCTAAGTGAAACAGCAGAGTAATGTGTGCACAATATTCTGAGAAGCACATGGCCAATACTTCCCTCAAATCTATCCCTGCCTCTCCTTTCCCATTCCCACAACCCAAGCTGAGTTCACCACCATCCCTTTTTGTGCTGTGACAATATTTCTAACACATTTCCCTTGGTTTTTCCTTCACTGTGTCTTCACGCTATTTTATGAGCAATTTTTAAAATGTAGATCTGATAGCATCTCTATGCTGCTCAAAAACCGTCAGAGTCTCCCACTGTCTACAGGATAAGTCAAATAAAGCCCTTAAAAATAATCCAGCTACCAGATTTCCTGAAGCATCCTGCACCACTAGCATTCGCCCTACATGCCCTGGGCTTTCTGTCTGAATACCCCTCCTGCCCTTCCTCACCTGGGAAGCTCAACTTTCACAACGCAGCTCAAATTCACCTCTCTGGAGCCTTCCTGGGCACAGTTACCTACACCAGCCTCTGTACTCTCCTTGCACTCCTTCACATGGCTTTATTGCCACGGTTAATTCATTGTCCCCCACCAGACAGGGAATTATTTGAGGCCAGAGACTAGTTCTTATTCATTTTGAATCCCTAGTGCCTAACACTTACTAGGCATAGAGCTAATATTTGTTGAATGAGTTTTCATGATGTCATTGGAACTACTAATATCCAAGCAATCTAAATAGCACTTAAAGACAGAGGGCTCCAAGGCATCAGACTTAGATATTCCCATGGTGAGCATGCGGAGAACAGGCTTCCATCCCCCATGAAGCCACTGTATTAGTTCGTTCTCATGCTGCTATAAAGAACTACCTGAGACTCAGTAATTCATGAAGAAGAGAGGTTTAATTGACTCAGTTCTGCACGCTTAACAGGAAGCATGGCTGAGAGGCCTCAGGAAACTTAGAATCATGGCAGAAGGCAAAGGGGAAGCAAGCATGTCTTACCATGGCAGAGCAGTAGAGAGAGAAAGAAGGGAAAAGTGCCACACACTTTTAAACCATCAGATCTCATGAGAACACACTCACTATCATGAGAACAGCAAGGGAGAAATCTGCCCCCACGATCCAATCACCTGCCACCAGGTCCCTCCTCTGATATGTGGGGATTACAATTCAACATCAGATTTGGGTGGGGACATAGAGCCAAACCACATCAGACATGAAGCTGATGGGGACAGCGTTAGGAAGATTGAAGGTGTCCCCAGTGACAATTGTGTCACTCCAGGCACATTGGCCCATGCAGGCTGCCTACTCCCACATTGCCCCCACTTCCCCACCAGACACTGATCAGTTTCTCCTGGCTCTCATCCAATAGACACACAATCCTGGCCTTGCTGGGGTGGGGAAGGGGAGGGTGCCTGGATCTGAAGTTACCTGGCTGCTGAATGTGTTACAGCAAGATATGCACAGGCCTTAATTAGACACCACTTATTGTCCACTTACCTTGGACCCCAGAACCTTGGGAGGAAGGGGGATGGCATATAAAGACCATGAGCTCTTGAATTAAACTAATCAGGATTAAATTCCCAGTCAATGGCTTACTTAGGAAAGTAACTAAATATCTCTGAGCCCCCATTTCCCTTATATAAAATGAGAGTAAAATAGTTGAATAATTGCCAATGTTCAGTGAGTTTTAATTATTCCTCTTCTTCATCCCTCCCTCTTTGAACTGCACTTGTTGGTGTATAAGATCTGTTCCCTTCAGCACCTGAAGGAAATTTATTTTAAGCCAGACTTTACAAACAACGAAGGGAGTTATCTGGAAATGACTGAACCAAAGCTTATGAGGGGAACTAAAATGCACTGCACTTATTTGAACAAACAGTAAATAAGGTATAGGATAAGTCTATGTTTTCCAATAAGGAATTTTAAAAAAATCAAACCCTGCAGTCTGATGTAGCATATAGACCCTCCCCCAGTTTGTTCATCCTTGTCTGGGACCTATCATGCTTTCAGATCCATGTGTACCTTGTTTTCATATTATTACAAAAATTGAATAGCTATTGCTCCAAATTCAGTTATTGTCTTCATTTATTGCTTGGGTATTACTGTTCCTAATTTGCTCCTAAAAGAAATGTACAACACTCTCTTGCAAAGCATACTCTGCAAAATTACCTGCTGCAGTTGCCTAAGATTGGCTTTTATCTCTGTGCTGTGGTGAGGTGGAGTTATATAAGCCACCCGGGCTTTTGGCAGGAAGAAAATAACTCCCAGAGTGATGCTACCTGAAAGACTTGCCTTCATTATCAAACATTCTCCTCAACCATCAGGCACTGGGGTTTTTGCTGGTTCAAACATTCTAAGCCCAAATCCATGTGGGTTATTTATGCAATGGCTTTTCCTATAAAATTTAAAGATCTTAACAGATTTAGGTGTTTTTAAAATTTTATTTTTTCTTAGGAAAGCCCTTGAAGAAAGGATATTTGACAGATGAGTCATCTAAGGCACCAGAAGTTAAATGACTTGCCTGGAGTCGCAGAGGGTTTTTATTTTTACAAATCCAAGAACACTTCCTAAGGTTGCCTTAGTTCCCAGTCTGGGTCATTCTTTGTAGAAAGGACTGTTGTGTTTTACTCAACGTTGTGATCCCCATGTTAGGTCCACTAACGCTCAATACCCATAATCTTTATTAATAAAGATAATGAAGCTTTATTAATAAAAAGAGAGACAAGTCGTAAGATGCCCTGGTTGAAGCCAAGCTAAGTACAATGTTTCTTGCTGCCATTAAGGAGAACCCCACAGCATGGAAAGGCAAACCCAGGCAGGTAGTCAAAAGCAATACTCATGAGTCAAGAAAAAAATGTAGTGGGATTGGCTAGGCGCAGTGGCTCACGCCTGTAATCCACACACTTTGGGAGGCTGAGGCGGGTGGATCATGAGGTCAGGAGATCGAGACCATCCTGGCCAACATGGTGAAACTCTGTCTCTACTATAAGTACAAAAATTAGCTGGGCGTGGTGGTGCGTCTCTGTAATCCCAGCTACCTGGGAGGCTGAGGCAGGAGAATTACTTGAACCAGGGAGTCGGAGGTTGCAGTGAGCCGAGATCACGCCACAGCACTCCAGCCTGGCAACAAAGCAAGACTCCATCTAAAAAAAAAAAACAAAGAAAGAAAGAAAGAAAAATAAAATGTAGTGAGATCTAGGGGAGAAGTAGATGGTAAATTAAATTCCACCAGCGTATCAGAGAGAGGGAAGATACATCTAATCAAGTAGAAGCATAGAAGAGGTGACATTTAAGTAGAACCTCAAAGGGTAGTTGTCATTTTGACAAGTAGAGACAGCTGGAGAAGGGCACTGCAGGGCTGGAAATGGTACAGTTGGGGAGAAGCTGGTGAGTTGGGGGAATGCTGGAGAAAGTTGCAGAGAAGCTGGAAGAAGAGGCTAGGACTTCACTCTGTAGGGTCATGAATATCTTGCTAGGAAATTCTGGCGTGATTGCATAGACCACAAGGAGCCACTGAAGGCAGTTTAATCAGTTCACCAAAGTGTGTTACGGCCTTGGGTTGGGCTCAGCTCTCTGGGGAAAAGAAGCAAATGCAGAGCTTCTGTGTACTTTGTGAAGATTTCTGTCATGCATGAATAGTGCGTTGGAGAGGAGAAAGGAGGCAAGGAGATGAGTTATAAAGTTCTCAAATAAGTGGCAGATATAATTAAGGCTTCAACTGAGAAAGCGGCAAAGAGAAGGGAAAGAAAAGAGCAGTGTGGGACATGTCTCAGGGATAGGACCCAGGGGAGTTGATCATTGACCTTCGGAAAGTAAGAAGAGAAGGAGATTAAAATGTCAGAGATTATTTCAAGGTTTCAAGCTTCTGGGAAGGAAAAGGAGGATGTTATTACAGACAGGGTAGTCTGGAGAAAAAGTAAATTTGAAGGAAAACATCTGGAGTTTTATGCTGAATGCTAAGGAAATTTATCAGGTGCTGTATAAATGAAAACATAGAAATGCCATGGTCAAAGATATATCTGTGCAGAGGTTTGCCTATGAGAATCCGAAAACCAGAACTCTGTCTCTCTACAAAACTTAAAATAAGGTCAATCTGTACTAACCCAAATGATTGACCCTGGCAGATATTAATAGAGCAAAACCTTGCTCTGCAAGGGAAACCAAGTCATTTTAGGCAATGTCATTCATTGACATTAATGCATGATTAGATGACTCAGTCAAAATCTACCTAGGATGTATTAACTCACCCAACAGGCCCATGCCCCTAAAATGTTCTCACTGGTTTCTGTTTGATATTTTCTTACTCATTTCAATGTGGACAAGTGTCCAGGGAGCATTTTATTTGCACTTAATGGAGATGTTCAAAAAATAAAGAGTCTCAGCCACCAAGGAACTTGCGATTCAGTGGAGAAGATCAAGAGAAGCAAACAGACTATTACAGTTCAAATATACACTATTCTAGAAGGTTCTACAAGAGCCGGGAGAAGTATCTTCAGCAGAAAGTCAGAAGAGAGGAAAACTGATTGAAGAAGTCTTCTCAAGGAGAACATTTGCAGTTCACACCTCAAATATGAGAAGGAATCAGTAAGGCCAAGCAAAGAGCCAACTCTAGACAGAGTTGATACCAAATGCAAAGGTATTAAGGACAATGTGTGAACTCAGGTATGGCTCACTACTAATTCTGGATAGATAGCCCCAGGAAAAGGATGTATATGATGGGTGTGTGTGTGTGTGTGTGTGTGTGTGTGTGTGTTGATGGGGTAGGAGAAAAGTGTGGAGTTATACAGAAATTAGACTGAAGGGGTAAACTGAGGCAGACCATATTAATTTTGTCAGTCAATTTATTTATACCCTATATTATTGCACAGATTTAAGGTATCTCATCAAATATATTCAATAAAACAGGGTTACAAATTAGGAATTCAAACAAAGAACAAATGTGGGTTGGATATTTGTGAAATAAGGTTGAAATTATGAATAATAGTTAAAGACAGATCACCTGTTTTGTTTTGAGCTTCCTAGCTGCCAACTCAGGGGAAAAAAAAAAACCAACCACCATGATATCTATTAAATAAAACGAATCTAGGTGCTTAGAAGAAGTAATGGCCCCTGGAATGCAGTAAGTGCTCCTTCAGTTTCACTGGTAAGTCACTTTGCAGATAGGAGGCTTCAGACATGGTAAGTAGAGATCTGGGGAGATCTGTCCTTGAAAAGCATGAGCTTGATGAAGAGGGTAAGGGTGGCTGAAGGTGAAGTATAGGGAGCATGGCCTCAGCTTCACCTCTTTGCAATGTGGGCTTCTCTCCTGCCCTTGTGAAAATGAGTTAAGGTCACACGCTGGAGCCAGCGGGCCAAATCAGTCACAGATGTGGTTTATTTTTGGCAAGCACAATTTTTGTTGTTGTTTGTTTTTACTTTTTATTTTATTTTATTTTGAGATGGAGTCTTGCTCTGTTGCCCAGGCTGGAGTGCAGTGCCGCGATCTCGGCTCACCACAACCTCCGCCTCCCGGGTTCAAGCCATTTTCCTGCCTCAGCTTCCCAAGTAGCTGGGATTATAGGCACCCGCCACCCCACCCAGCCTAATTTTTGTATTTTTAGTAGAGACGGGGTTTCACCATGGTGGCCAGGCTGGTCTTGACCTGACCTGACCAGGTCCTCAGGTGATCCACCCACCTCGGCCTCCCAAAGAACTGGGATTTGCAGGCGTGAGCCACCGCACCCAGTCTGTTTTTACTTTTATTTTTGTTTTTACGTTTTTTCTCATTATTGCAAAAGCAATATAATTGTAAAAGACTTTGAAAAGACAGAAGAGCAGAAACAAACAAACAAAAATGATAATCCAACTCAGAAACAATCACTATTAACACCTGCTTTTATCTGAGATATTTGCTTCAAGCGTTTTTGCTTCATTTGAATCTTCCAGGCACAACAGGCTGCTGTGGGTGCCGGTACCCTATGGCCCTATATCTGACCCAAATCGCATATTTGTGTTTTCCTGCCTTGTCTTTGTGATCCCAAAACTAAAATCCTAAATTATGTATGACCCCTAAGATTATGTCACAAAGTGAATAAATTTTAAAGAAAAGAAGCAAAAGAGTGAAAGGAAGGGTAGTCATTCAAGAGGAAAATAAATCTAATACAATTAATAGTGTTTTTAAAACATCAATAAACATTTTAAGTAAGATAATTTATTAAACCACATTAAGACTGAAAGCCAAAACATGTTTAAAAATAAAATAGAGGCTGGGTGCAGTGGCTTATGTCCGTAATCTCAGCACTTTGGGAGGCCAAGGCAGGAGGATATCTTGGGGTCAGGAATTTGAGACGAACTTGGGCAACAGAGTGAGACCCTGTTTCTACAAAAAATTTTAAAAAGTAACTGCATGTGGTGATGCACCTGTAGTCCCAGTTACTCAGGAGGCTGAGGCAAGGGGATACTTGAGCCCAGGAATTCAAGGTTGCAGTAAGCTATGATAACACCACTGCCCTCTAGCCTTTGAAACAGTGTGAAGCCATGTCTCTAAAAAAATTAAATACATAAATACATAAATAAACAGAGATAGGATAAATACAATTTAGACTAAAATAGATTTTTTTTAAATCTAGAAAAGTAAAAAATTAAACCATAAAAGTAGAAAGGATAAAATACAGAGAACGAGGAATTAAAAGGTAAAGTTACTGCAATCAAAATTAAAAATATAAAGCCAGAAGGCATTATGGAGACTAACAAGTCAAAAGTTAAAATGAAATTGAAAAGAAATAACATTACAAGGGAAAACAATTTTAAAGAAAATAAATCTAAGCATTCTGAAAATCCATGAAAGAATATTAAAATGATAAAAAGAGACAATGAAAATTACATACTGTATCCCAAAATAATCTTGAAGCACAAAGCCAGAGCTCTGAGGAAAACTCCAATTTTGCTACTACAGTGGAAGGGAGTGAAAGAAAATCAGCAGAAAGCAAACAGCAGCAGAGCTCCTAACAAAGTCCTGGGTTGCCTCTGGTTTCCCATGTCGATCCCATTTATCCCAGGGGTGGAGAGTGGAGGGGCAAAGAACAACACGATGCTCTGAGCAAGCCATGCCCAGTGCCTTCAGCATGGTTTCTCCTGTTCCTGACAATCACGACTCTTTTTAGCTGGCTGATCGTGCCTCAAAAAATGTCCTTCTGTTATTGACATTTGTCAGTAGAAGATATGCTGCTTAGCATACACTGGGTGGACTCTGTGCCTGTCCAGAGTGCCCTTGAGAAAGGGAACAGTCAGAAAAACAGGCAGAGCACGTGTAGCTTTCTGGAATGTCCACAGTATGGTGGGAACCGCCAGGCCACAGTGTGGTCTTCACCTTGACAGCTTTAAGAGACCTTGTCAGATCACTTGACGTGGAGTCCTGCAGTCCTCATGGTAGCCGACTTCACCAAACAGACTCGGGATGCTTGTTTACTCTGACCAATACAGCACCAGGGAAACAATGCCAGATTCTTACTGTGATTCTTCTATAGATGGTGAAAAAACTACCTGTATCGTGACATCACATTAGACATGGTACAACTAATGAGATCTTAACTTCGTTTCTATTCTTAGTAGTCACTCTTGGGTTTTGATGAGATTTGCGATTCACTTAACTCTTTTGATAATACTAGCGGGCATCCTGGCGGCTCCCATTCCCTCTGAGCAGCAGCACTGACCCCATGTTTGTGCAGGATAGCTGGAGGAGATGCTGTGCTGAAAAGAAGCACATTTGCTGGCCCATCAACATTCCATACTCTTGGTATAAAACCGATTTGGGCCTTCCATCTTACTATGCATCTTATGTACTTAGATAAGGGTTCCTTTTGAGAAGCCAAGAAGGATGAAGAGTGAGTAAAAAACAATGATGATTCACTCCCAGTTTGTAAAGAAAATCAAGAGCTTAAATTCACCTTGTATGGTTGTATCCACTCTTAATATCACTGACTCCTTTCTCTCACCCTCTTGAAAACTAAATTGTCTGGAAAAACCATTCCTAGATGCTCCTGTAAGGATTTCATTCCCAAATCTTGTTAGAATTTTTGTGAATTCTTCCTGTGCCTCTCAAATTATAATGTTAGTGGAACAGGGCAGTTACATACAAGCATGCATGGCCACAAAGCCTCCATCCATCCATCCACCCCCAGATCTAGAGTCATTATTTTTTAAGGATTTTTTTAAGGAACGAGCCTATATGTCAATAGCAATTGCTTGGATCTTAGAAATCGGTTCTTGTAGGTTTAAATATGGCTACAGCTAATGACATATTGATTATTGCAGTGAAGCCTTGCTAAAAGCAGTTTTCCACTCGATTGCCAATGGAAACCAGAAGAGGTCAAGCTTAGTGAGGCTGGGGAAACTATCGGTGCCCCACAATCTTTCTGAAATTCCGGGATTTTGAAAGAGAACCTTGAGGCAGGTTCCATAGAACTTATGGCTACAGACACGTGGCCATGAGAATGGATCTGTTCTCTACACCCTGTGAAGGCAATAAGGGCACCAGGCACCAGAAAGCTATGCTGTTTATCATTGTCCCCTCTTCCCACCATCTGTTCGCCCTTTCTCCTCTCTTCCTTTCCCTAGAATCAAGTCTTTAAGATCTGAAATTTAGAAGAACATTGATCTATTACTCTCTCCACCTCATCCCCAGTACAATACTAGTAATAATAATATTTCTCTTCAAATGGTTCAAAATGAAGTCTATTGTATTCTAGAAATTATATTGAAAGCTAAAAGCTTTCTGAATGAATAAATAATAGATTTTCATTCCCAAGGACTTTGCACATGCTGACCCACATGGCATCCCAGTTTCAAGGGTTTGTTTTCAAACTCAGCAGACATCTACCCATCCATCTATGCTTAACTCTCTCCTGCATGTGCAGAGGAAGTCCTGAGAGCCAAAAAGAAAAGCAGGAATGCTTCCAGATAAACAAAGACTCCAGGATCAGAGTCCAGGCAGACACATTCCCACCACCTCCACGTCCCCACCACCTCCACATCACCCCAACATCCTCCTGCTCAGAAATGCCTTAAAGAAGCAGGGCTTGACCCTTCCACACAGGACACTGAAAGGACATGATGTCCCAAAGCCCTGCACTACCCTCCATCATGTTTTACTGTTCATTACCTACTTAACATACTCCCTCTTCTTTAGCCTGTGTTCAGAAATTCTTTGTCCCATTAAAACTGCAGGCTCCTTATGTGCAGATACTATTTCTGCACAGTCCATTCATTGCCTTTCGAAAAGTGACATTTAAAAAAATGTCCCAAGGCAATCAATCAATAAGCATTTATTGAGCACCTATTCTAGGCCCAGGGCAACAATAGCTTCTGCTAATAAACTAACAATGTGTTTCAGACAGGAGGTGACGCAGAGTGCTGTTTAACCCAGATAAAATGTGTTAGGGGCATGACATTGAACTCTCGTTTTCAGATATGTCACTTCAATGTATGTGGCTAACATATAGCTTTGTGTGAATAGGTGCTCAATACTTTAACCACTTCTCACTGACAGATTTTGATGCAGTACTACAATTAAGATTCTGTGGCTCTCTGGCAAATGTAATACAAAAACATTTGAAAGGGAAGTATGATCTAGATGGAGAATAACAAACGATTTATAGTTTATTTGCCAAGACATGTAGGAGGTAAATATAAAACAAAACTCTAGCAAATTTAGCATTTTCCTTCTCCAAATATAATGCTGCTGACTACAGGCCAACAGCACAGCTTTGCACAGCTCCTTGCATTAAAATTGGCCAAGAATGAGATGCCATCACTGTTCCACATTTAGATGCTGTAACAGACATTTGCTAGTTTGTGGCCAGATATTGGTTTATTCAAACAACCTACAATCTTATTTATAACCCACAAGGCAAATAACAAAGGTGTGAAGGGTGGAATTCTTTGCCATGCTGAGCCTTTACTTGTGCCAAAGATCATAATTCTAAGTGTGCAATTCATCTTTCATCTGTGAAGTAATAAAGTAAATATAATTCCTTTGAAGCAGTAAATCTCAGCAATCTGCAGGTGCCTGGGTGGAGATTTCGGTAGGATTTTTGTAAGGCAAATGGGTCATGTTCAAACTATGCAATTCAGCTCAAGTGCTTAATGTGTACCACAGCATGTCAGGCATGATACAGTCCCCCATGTACAGCTCCAAAGGGGGAATAAAACAGGTACACCAACACCTGGCAGAGAAGGCCGGGTACATTCAGGGCTGGGGAAGTGGTGCAGAGTGACAGATGGATTAGGAGGAAAGTGAGACCTCTCCTGGTTGGAGGCTTAACGAAGAGAGGTTTGAGGGAAGGATGTAGCATTTGAGGTGGAATTGAAAGAATGGGTGGGCTCTGGGCCAGGCACAGTGGCTCATGCCTGTAATCCCAGGGCTTTGGGAGGCCAACGCGGGAGGATCACTTGAGCCCAGGAGTTTGATACCAGCCTGGTCAACATAGTGAGATCTCATTTCTTCTAAAAAAGAAAAAAAAAAGTGGGCTTCCGGGATATAGAAAGGAGAAACCCAAAGGAGCTGGGGCTAAGGGTGTTACAGGGCCAGGTGTGTTCTCTACTAGGGCCTGCCTGCCTTCTTCCCTATAATAACTAACACTGCTTGAGCACTTACTGTGTACCAGGCACCACTTAAGTGCTTGTTACATGATATGATCCATTTAGTCCTCAGAATATTCCTATGAGATTATCCATAAAATAGTCTTATCTCATTTTCAGTTCAGAAAAACAAGACATAGAGAGGCTAAGCAACTTACCCAAGGTTGCACAGCTATTAAGTGGCAGGCTGGAATGCAAACCCAGGCAAGCTGTTTTCAGTGCAGTCTTAAGTTCCGCCTTTCCCTGCCCTCGAGATTTGGCGCCCAACACGTTGGGACTCAGCTGCAGCCTCTAGCTGCTAAATCTGACTCCTCTCTCGGGCCAGTGCCCTCAGTTGGATCTCTGCCTTGTTTCTGAGAACCAGGATCCCAAGAGCTATGTTACATTGTGTGTTTGTAAAAACAACTTTTAAAAGTTGTTTTCCTTATTTAAAAAAGCAATACTTATTTACTGTGGAATAATTAGATAATATAAATAAGCAAAATGAAGAAAAGCAAAATACTTCCATAATTCCAGACCCCAGAGACAAGCACTCTTAACGTATCACTGAGTATCTTTCCAGACCGTTTTTGCGCGCGTATATACTTGGAATGAACACATACAAATACAAACTATCTTGCAATCTGCTTTTTCCACTTAGCACCAACACAAACATCTTACTATGTCAACCAACCTTTATCTATAGTCTGATTTTAAGTGGTTCTTCTCAGTGTTATCTCCTAATAGGGAGTTAGATGAGGCCAGATGCAAAGCGTGTAAGGTCGGGGAGGGAGTTGTTTGGGGTCTGAACCAAGGAAGAAAACCCTGGAATTGGCCAAACACAGATGAAGCAGGAGCAGAGACATGGTCTTGGCAAGGGGCCCCCAAGTGTAAATCTAGTCCAGATGGGGCGGGAGGGGCATAGCTAATCCTACTCAATTCCAAGCTGGTGGCAGGAGCCAAGAGGCAATCTGTCAGTGACCAATCCTGGGATAAGACTTCAGACGAGCAGAGCATGGTATATGGGAGGGGTGGACACAGAGGCAGGCCACCCTAGGGAGTCCAGAGAATGAGGTTGTGAGCTGCAGGAAATTAGGAGCCAGGCCAATGCTCGAGGTTGCCAGGACAGTGGAAGAAGAGCATGCTGGGCAGGTGGCTTGGCCTTCCTGCCAGGGTCTCCAGGACTCTGACCTTCAAGGGTCCAGAAACCAAGGACTGTTCCAGCTCCACTTATGAGCCCTGGGCTGCTGCTATACTTCCTGGGCAGATCCTGTTGCCTTGGGAGAGGGGGATGAATGGCAGATTTCTGGTGGTAATTATAATATTAAAACCAGAGATGGAGTAGGAGGAGCAGGAACTGGCATTCTATCTTGTTTTTGTTGCCCAACCAGGTTTGATGGTCAGTCCTTCTAGGGCTCTGCTCCCTGGACCACAAGCCATGGGTGGGACCTGTCTGGCTTAGGATCTTCCTGTCTGCTTGAGTCTTAGGACATTCCTGCCTCTGCTCTGCAGGACATCTTCAATGCCTGCACTGGACTTCATTTGTGCCTGCTCTCACACCCCCCAGACACTCTGTTCCGCCTGCTGGTTGGGATTTCCTTCTGGCACCTACCCATAGACCTGCCCCTTGAAGGGACTTTGACCTGTAGAAGGTAACCAGTCTATACCCAACTGTGTCAAAAGATATCCCAGGAAAACCAGCAAGTGAACCAGTAAGAGAAATGCAAGCAAACTACAGAAGCCAAGACCAGGAATGGGGGCTGGGCCCACGATGTGAAGCATCTCCAACAACAGACCAAGACCAAGGAACCTGGTCAGATTCAGAAAGAAATGGAGAGACATTGAAGAATCAGACTTAGATTTATCTAGAAGCAGCGTAAAGGACAGATGTGTGATGGGGTAGAGGTAAGGGGCTACAGCAGTGGTTAGTTCTAGCAACTATAAATCACCTGGGACAATTTTTTTTTTAATTTAATGCCTAGATCCCACTTTCAGAGATGACTTTCACAGATCTGAGGGACATATTTTTTTATTTACCACAAGAGTCTTAACTGGAACGGAAAATCTTCAGGAAAAATATGCCCCTAAAACCCAGCTAAGGAGTAGCATACTAATTCTTTTCAAAGCAGTCAACTAAAAAGCTATTTGCAGGGTTAAATTGCCTTCCCTGTTTTCTCCCTGGGTCCCTGGTTCCTTCTCTCTCATTTTTCCACCGGATCCTGCATGAGGGTCCATCATTCTTGTATCTTCTACTCACCAGCCCCCCAGACTCAGCTACCACTTGGTCAACCACCCTCATGCTCAGTAACTAACCTTGGCTCTGGTTCCAAATTCTGCATTTGTCCTCCAGGCTCAATTTGATATTTACTCACTGTTTTCCTGGTACCAGCCCCAGCAAGCCACTATCCCCAGACTGCGAACAGAGGAACAGGGAGGGATCCGAGAGGCATTACAAAAAGGAAACATTTGTTTTGGCAACTGATGGGATGTGACAGGATATGATTGCAACATTACAATTAGGAGAAAGAAGAGTAAGATTTCATTGAACAACCAAGAATTCTTGCAGCTTATTGAAAACCTCTGAGAACATGGTGTATACAGTCTGTAAGAAGAAAAATACTTGCTAGGCTGCATGTCTTTAGCTGTAGGAGGATTTATGTTTCAGGTAATGATGTGATCGTGATGGTTAACTATGAGAGGAGAATGAATTGGCAGGCGTGGCAGGCAGAGCAGCCACCTGTCAAAAGGAAAAGATAATAGAAAGAGATTAGTAAACCCAGAGTGGGGAGGATTAGAACCGTGCAGGAAAAGGCTCAGTGTGAAGGAGTATACTGGGGTTTGACTTGAACCATAATTTGAGCTGAGTGAGCCTTCTCTAGTATATTATAAAGCTTTTCCCTTCCAGTGGGAAATGAAATTATAGTAGTGTGAGATGCACATGTGCTAATGTTTTATATTTCCTGTGTAAGTTTAATGATTAACACGGGCTCAGTTTGGAACTGGCACATAAAACAAAAGAGTTCTGGTCTATTGGGGATAGAGCCATGCTTTCATTGGCAAAGGACTCCAAGTCGGCTCTGAAGTGGTCTAGGAGGCCCACAGGCTCACAGAGCACCCCTTCAGGGACCTCGGCCTGAAACTGGACTCGTATTTGTTTCATTTTGCGTTCCCTTCTCTTTGGTCTTCTTTTAAAAATCCAGATACTCTTATTTAGGGATAACACATCAAGCACACATGTACCAAGGTGTTAATGATTCTCAGAGCTCCTTTCCTGATGAAAGATGCTGAGTTAGAGTGAAAGCATCAGAACCTTGGATTATAAAAGAGAGACAGAAAGAGAGAGAGAAGGTTAAGGGTAGTTATTTGTACACCCAAGTTCACAGCAGCGTTACTCAGTAGCCAAAAGGCAAAAGCAACCCAAGTGTCCATCAATGGATGAATGGACAAACAAAATATGGAATTCAATGGAACTTTTGAATAAATAAGTTTACTTGTAAATTTAGTCAACATTCATAATTGACCTAAAAACTTCAATAGGAGGATAAATTTTAAAACCTCTTGGAATGCCATCTCTATAAAAGTAACTTTCCCAGAAAAGTATCTCAGAAATAAGCTAATTTGACACCATCTTAATTAGCAGTGGTTCAGTAAGCTGGAGTACAATGGAATATTATTCAGCCTTAAAAAGGAAGGAAACCCTGTCACATGATTCAACGTGGATGAAACTTGAGAACAGTATGCTAAGTGAAATGAGCCAGTCATAAAAGAACAAGTACTGGATGATTACACTTACATGGGGTATCTAGAGTAGTCAATTTATAGAGACAGAGAGTAGAATAGTGGTTGCCAGAATTTAGGGGATGAGAGAATGCAGAGTTAGTGTTTAATGGTAGAGAGTTTCAGTTTTGCAAGATGAAAAAGTTTTGGAGAGCATAATGTGAATGTATTTAACACCACTGAACTGTACACTTAAAAATGGTTAAAATGGGGTCAGGCACGGTGGTTCACACCTGTAATCCCAGCACTTTGGGAGGCCAAGGCAGGTGGATCACTAGGTCAGGAGATCGAGACCATCCTGGCTAACACGGTGAAACCCCGTCTCTACTAAAAATACAAAAAATTAGCTGGGCGTGGTGGTGGGTGCCTGTAGTCCCAGCTACTCGGGAGGCTGAGGCAGGAGAATGGCGTGAACCCGGGAGGCGGAGCTTGCAGTGAGCCGAGATCACACCACTGCACTCCATCCCGGGCGACAGAGAGAGACTCCGTCTAAAAAAAACAAAACAAAACAAAACAAAAGGTCAAAATGGTAAATTGTATGCTCTGTGTAGTTTTCCACAATTTTTTTTAAAAGTTAAGGGTCATGAAAGCAAAAAATAAATTTTGATGATTTTGAAATTTTGCATAGCGCAGGCCCTGAGGGAAGTTGGTTTGGTTTTGTTATGAGACGGGGGTGGGAAGGGATGTGTTGTAGTTATTGTTTTTAATTGTGGGGTTCCTATGTCTGGATCCTCCTTGGTATAGGCAGTAGGGGCTCTTTCACCATCACCGTCTAGTGCAGCAGCAGTAGCAGTGGCAGCCTGTTCACTCACTGACTCCTATACTGCCAGGCAACCCAGGCAGATTCTGTCATGACTTACAGCAGCCTAATGAGATAGGCACCATCAGGCTCATTTCACAGATGGAGAAACTGAGGGGCGGTAACTCCTCTAGGATCAAAGAGCTGGTAAGTGGCAAACTCCTGTTTTGGCAAGTTCTTTTTTCCCCCTAAAATCAGTATTTGTATTCTTTATTCACCTCAGAAGGTTACAGAAAACTTGGAAAAAGAAAATAAGTGTCTTCGTATATCTTCTTGATAGCAAGTGGAAGGATCAAAGTGAGTAGAAGAGTCCAGTTAAATGACAGCCCACTGTGTGTGCGACTCCAGGCCAGCTTCCTGTGTGCTTAATCTTTACTCTTTCCAGTAATCTAAACTTAGCTCAAGAAAGTGCTTCTTGTTGTTAAGACATATATAAATACAAAGTTGGTAAAAAGTATGCAAGATCCTGTGACCAACAGGCTGGAAAGTGAGGATTTCTGAGCTGATGGTCTTCCCTCCTTCAATTATGCAAGGAGTCTAAAGCAAGTAACTACGTTGACATTGTGCTTACACTTCAGCATGTACAGGTAGAGGTGAGCTCCTGCCCTTCTTCCCTTCTCCATTCAACTATCCACCCCTCACTCCTATCCCACTTAAATCTTTCACTGGCTGTCTCTGGACTTAGGTCAGAGCCCAAACTCTAATTCACAAGGCTCTTAAGAGATGATCCTGCCTTTTCCCATCTCTTCTCTCTTGACTGACACATATGTGGCCCAGTTCCACCCTTAAGTTACCTGTAGTTCCCTGAACACACCTCTTTTCCATACCTTTCACATAACAACTTTGACCTTTATTTACTAAGCGTACCATTGAGCATCTTGCAAGGTAGGTATTATTGGTCCCGTTATACAGATGAGAAAACTGAGGCTAAGAAACATTTTGGAATGTGCACACAGTCCCATAGCTAATGAGCGGCAGTCAGAATTTTAAACAGGGCTGCCTGATTCTAAAGCCAGTGTTCTCAAACACATCTGTCCACATGGCCAGATTGTGCCTCTCAAAATGCTACTCAGATTTTATCTCTACAAATCCTTTCTTAAACCATCCTTACCCACCACCACTTCCCCACCACCCCATACACAGTCACACACAGACACACACACACACATCCCTGCAGGCATAATCTGCAACTTTATCTGACCTGTCACCATAGCATTTTGTCCATCATTGCTACTTACATTAATTTTTTTTTTTTTTTTTGAGACAGGGTCTGGCTCTGCCCAGGCTGGAATGCAGTGGCGTGATCTCGGCTCACTGCAACCTCCACCTCCCAGGTTCAAAGCATTCCTCCCACCTCAGCTTCCTGAGTAGCTGGGACTACAGGCGTGCACCACCATGTCTGGCTAATTTTTTTTTAATGGAGTTTCACTCTTGTCGTCCAGGCTGGAGTGCAATGGCACGATCTCGGCTCACTGCAACTTCCGCCTCCCAGGTTCAAGCAATTCTCATGCCTCAGCTTCCCAAATAGCTGGGATTACATGCACCTACCACTACGCCCGACTAATTTTTTGTATTTTTAGTAGAGACAGGGTTTCACCATGTTGGCCAGGCTGGTCTCAAACTCCTGACCTCAGATGATCTCCCCACCTCAGTCTCCCAAAGTGCTGGGATCACAGGCGTGAGCCACCGTGCTAGGCCTTTTTTGTATTTTTTGTAGAGATGGGGTTTCACCATGTTGCCCAGGCTGGTCTCAAACTCCTAGGCTCAAGCAATCCACCTGCCTCCACCTCCCAAAGTGCTTGGATGACAGGTGTGAGCCACTGCATCTGGCTTCTGCTGCTACTTATATTAAGTCATCTGGGTTGAGCACCTACTATGCACCAGGCCTGGTGTGGGACACATATGACAGAGAGATGAACAAATCATCCTAGTCTATTTTTGTACATGACATCATCCCTTCAAGGGCAGGGACTGGGTTGTATTTTTGGTGATATCTCTCATGCCACACAGCTCCTCAGTTGTTGAACAGATAGACGTGATTCACAGCCATTGGACACCAATGGTTGGGAGACAGTTCACTCGTGGAGGGACCATTTCCCCAGCTTTGTAAATTTATCCAAAGGAGAGATTCTTCTCCCCAAATACCTTTTGATGCCCATACATAGCAGGGCAATCCAGAATTGAGGCTCAGGCCACAGGACCATTTTCCTCCTTGAGATGTGTGATCATCATATTTCCCAAATCATTTCTTTAACAAATCCTTGGGAAACTGCATGAGTCCAAAAATAAACTGGCTTCCAAGTAACTTTGTTTTTTTACAGATGAGGTCTCATTCTGTTTCCCAGGCTGGAGTGCAGTGGCGTTATCATAGTTCACTGAAGCCTCCAACTCCTGGGCTTAAGCAATCCTCCCACCTCAGCCTCTAGAGTGGCTGGGACTACAGGTGCATGCTACCATGCCGAGCGGGCCGAGCTCCAATTAACTTCTAAGAAATGATCTGCTCAAACTTGTCATAAGCCAAGTTTGCCTGAGCATGGGCGACTGAGAGAAAGCAAAGATGGTCCCTTCTCTAGAGCCCACAGGGTCTTCTCTTGCAGGAGATTATGCAAGTGTGACCTCGAGTTGCTCTTCAGGTGCTGGTTGTGAAAGCAGGGGAGTCCTCTCCCATATATGTGAAGACATTTCTGTCTACTCTGCTGGACACTTCAGAGAACTGCCAAGTCATCCATCCTGCCATATGCCTTATCAACCTGGTTACAAGAACAAAAGGCCCTGGTGCCAAGGAACCTGCCCTGGAGAGTAGACCAGCGAGTCTACACCTAGCTCTTTCGGAAGCTCCATTTGCTGTTTTATGCCATGAAAATGCCCCTTACCAAATTGCTGTTTCAGAACAATCAAAGCACCTGACTCATTAAATTAAGTAGTGATAATCACACGGCTACACTAGAGCATACGAGAAGGAATTAACTAGCACACGGAGGCCTTGAGTATTTATTCTGTCTCCTAGGAATCACTCTCGCTTTGGGAAACTTTTCAAACAAGGAATTTTTATAATATTTTATAAGATTTTCCAAATATCCGTCTCTTGGCAAACTGTTAATAGGCGACCTGTGATAGGCTGCCCATCTTTTTAGTGCTTAAATACCTTACATCATCAATATGGAAGGCTAAAACTGTTCCCTTCCAGCCTCTCAGCTTTCTAGGCTGTCTTTTTGCACATGATTTGGGGAAAATGTCCCTCTCTCCCTAAAGTTTACCTTAGTCTTTGGAGCTGGGATGAGCACCAGATCAAGCTCTTTTCCTTGCTTTGACTTATAAATTCACCTCTTTCATTGTTTGTTACAATGTTTGTTTGTTACAATTGTTTGTTACAATTTTCCCAAAAAGTGATTAGTCATCATCAGCAGGGGCTTGTCTCACGTGGATATAACCTTAGGGATGTGACCTCCCTCTCTCCCTCCCTCTTGCTCTTTCTTTCTTTTGGGAGACACTTTAGAATAGTGCATCAGGTAGTCATTTAGACCCACACCTTTCATTCCATTTTCCTTCTATTAAGAAATACTGTATTTATTAATCTGGGCTTACGGAGGTAAATATTTCAACATTTCATCTGAAGTTCTTTTCTATTTTTTTACCCTCTTTTGTATCACAAAATTCTTGATCTTTCAGGTTGTTCTTTTTTTTTTTTTTTTTTTTTTTAAGGCAACTTTGAAACCTGCGTTCTCACAGACTTACAGTCAATATTTTTTTTCTGGAAAAGCGTTTCTTAATGTGGCAGGAATAAATTTTGGTTATTGCTGGAGAAAGGGAAAGAACCAGGTTTGAGGGTGATGGCAAGTGGGATTTTAGTCTTTCTCTATTTGTTGGATCCTTTTAAGCAAGCATATATTCATGTATTAGTAATGTAATTAAAAATTAAATTTTAAATAAGTATAGAGAATAATGTGATAAAATATATTGTAACTGATTTGGAGGTTGTATTTGTCAAGGTTCTTCAGAGAAACAGAATCAGCAGGATATATATATATATATATATATATATATATATATATACATATATACACTCATGCATTAGTTAACAATGGGGATATGTTCTGAGAAATACATGGTTAGGCAGTTTTGTCACTGTGTGAACATCATAGAGTGTACTTATGCAAACCTACATGGGATAGCCTACTACAAACCTATTTCTCCTAGGCTACAAACCTGTACAGCGTGTTACTGTACTGAATAGTGTAGACAACTGTAACACAATAGTGTTTGTGTATCTAAATACATTTACACATAAAAAAGGTACAGTAAAAACATGGTATTATGATTTTATGGCACCACCATGTTATATGTGGTCTGTCATTGATCAAAACATCGTCAGGCAGCACATGACTGTATATATGGAGAGAGAGAGAGTCGGGGTGGAGGAGAGAGATTTACTGTAAGGAATTGATTCATGTGATAAGGGAGGCTGGGGAAATCGTAAGATCTGCAGTTGGCAAGCTAGAAGTCCAAAAAGCTGGTGGTATAAGTTCCAGTCTAAGTCCAGTTCCGAAGATAATAGAAAACTGATGTCCCCACTCAAAGACAGCAGCAGAAAAAGAGCCAGTTCTCCCTTACTCAGACTTTTTAATGTATTCATGCCTTCAGCATATTGGAAGATGCCCACCCACATTGGGAAGGCAACTTGCTTTACTCTGTCTACCAAGTCAAAATGCTGATCTTATTAAGAAACACCATTACAGACATCCCCAGAATAACATGGAACCAAATACCTGGTCACCCTGTGGCCCAGTCAAGTTGACACATAAAATTAACCATCAAGAGATTGATATTGCTTCCCCCAAACACTGCTGAATTTGTGTATCTCCAGGTCCTCATTGCCTTCTGTGGAATATATACTGTCTTCACAAGCTGGTTGCTGCTGCTGCTTGGCCAGGCCTACAGACATGTACCCTAAGTGCTGGGCACCGTCCATTGCCTGCTCATTCTTTCTGCCACAGCCTCCTGAGGTGATGCTGAGTACCCCTGGACTGCATCCAACATTCCCAAAGCTGCAAACTCATTAGAAGCCCAATGGCCCTCTGTTCCCTTCGAGACTCACAGCTTTCTAGGCTGTCTTTTTCACATGATTTGGGGAAAATGTCCCTCTCTCCCTGAAGTTTATCTTAGTCTTTGGAGCTGGGATGAGCGCCAGATCAAGCTTCTTTTCCTTGCTTTGACATATAAATTCACCTCTTTTATTGTTTGTTACAAAGACCCTTCAAAATATCCTCCTTCAAGACTCCCTTCCCCTTGCAAATCACTCAGGCATATAATTTGAAGGGAGGAAAACAGTATCATCTCTGTTCTCATATGCAAATAGTTTAGATTCAGCCATTTACATATTTACTTATACATGCATATACAGAGTCACATACGTGTGTATTTGAAACTGTAAAATCAGCCGGGCGCGGTAGCTCACGCCTGTAATCCCAGCATTTTGGGAGGCCGAGGCGGGTGGATCACGAGGTCAGGAGATCGAGACCATCCTGGCTAACACGGTGAAACCCCGTCTCTATTAAAAATACAAAAAAATTATCTGGGCGTAGTGGTGGGCGCCTGTAGTCCTAGCTACTCGGGAGGCTGAGGCAGGAGAATGGCTTGAACCTGGGAGGCGGAGTTTGCAGTGAGCCAAGATCACGCCACTGCACTCCAGCCTGGGTGACAGAGCGAGACTCCGTCAAAAAAAAAAAAAAAAGAAAGTGTAAAATCATATTTATATCACTGGGGCTCAGAAATTGATACCCTAAAATATGGTGCTTTGACATGAAGAAAAAGCCTCAAGGTCTCTCTGACCTTCTTACCCTCACACCCCATATCTTGATCCTCTGTGTCTCCCAAAGCACAGCAGGATGAAGTTATTCTCTGAAGTTCCTGTATCTGCCTAAGGTCTGTACCTACCAAAGAAGAAAACAACGACCTCTGGTCTCTTTCTTCAGTTTTCGTGAGCTGAATTCATATTGCAGTAATAAATAATGGAGTCTGTCAACATACCCAGGTGGACTTTTGTCACAAACCATTGTCTGCTCTGTGGTTCCAAAAGACTTTGTTTCAGGCCATTGTATATTCTTCAAATGCGTTGAATTCTCCTAAAAATCATCTAATGTCTTCCTAAAGGCATCCACACTTTCCTATCTCCCTTTCCCTAAGAAGTAGGATATGTAAGCATCTGTACCCCATTGGGATATTAGGCAATTATTCTGTGATTCTCCTCCATGCACACTAAGAAATGTGTATGCCATTTCGCCTATTATTCTGCCTTTTGTGAGTTGATTTTTTCAGTCAATCTTCAGAGGGCAAAGGGGAAGTTTTCCCTTAGCCCCTACAATATGTGGGCATATGCATATGTACCTGTCAAATGAGCACACTTAAAGAGGGACTCAAACAATCACTAAGAGCAGTGCCAATTTCATAAATCTACCACTTGCTACTTTTATCATTTTTATTTTACTGTGGTCCAATACATCCTTACTAACATAAGTTCTAGCTTATAATTAATTCTCAGTGGGCACACTATTTCACTGTTTTTAAAAATCTCCTTATACCTTTAAACATTGCTATTTTAAAAACTTGCCAAGGTCATCACAGAGTAACAAAGATTTCAAAATACCACAGATTTATTATTAAAGTTATTTTACAAGCTAAATTATACATTAGGAGTTGGAAATAAAAAAGGATGTACAAGTTTCAATAAGTAGCCATGACTGACAGAAAAAAGTATGAAAGAATGCTTATCTTGTATGTTTTCACATGCCCTGTGTCCACCACATGTTTTCTGGAAAGGAAACTTCTCCTTATATGGCTACTTATACAGTAATTTTTTGTCCTTTGACACAAGCATATGTGAGATAACAGATCCCTATGAATAAATGGAAGAGGCAATGGAAATATGCTAAAACAAAGAAACATTTTTTAAGAGAACTCATTAAATTAATCTTACTTGGTTATTGGAGTGGCTAAGCTTAGAAAATCAGGCTCAGAACATCTGTTGCATGGAAGAATCTGTAATTCAAGGCAAAAGAATAAAAAATGGAGACTAAATATTACTACAGTTCATTTAGCTGGAACACGTGGGCTCTTTCAGGTGTGAGGGGGAAAGGAGAGGGTTATGCAAGTCTACCTACATCTTTAATTTGCAGTGGCTTGGTTCATGGCATAACGCATATACTCGGCAGTAAGAGATAGCGTGCTTAATTACTTAAGAGAGCAGAGACTAGCAGCTAGATCTCTATTAATGGAGGCGTTTCTGGCCTCTTGTGCTTCTTCCTTTGATAAGCTGATTATTGCTTTATTGGGGCCAGGCTTTTCAGGACCGTGGACAGCTCTACCACAGCAGGGAGCATCTCCTGCCTGTTCTTCCACTTGTAGAATTGTAGAAAAAAATAGACCTGAAGTATTAACTATTTCATGCCTCCACTTTACAGATGAGAAAACTGATGCCCATAAAAGTTATATACATACAAAAGTCACACGCTTAAATCCTAAAAATAGTCTCTCCTGTGACATAGCACAATGTACGGAAATGATCACTTACAGCAAGTGGGTTTAAATTCATTCTACTGCTTAACAGCTGCGTGAAACTTGAGTTTTAGTTTTCCTCATTCTGTAAAATGGTGTAAGGATGTCTTCTATACATAGTTGTGAGGATCAGAGATAAAGCAGGTAAAATGCCTAGCACAACTTGACAAAGGGTAAGGGCTCTAGAAATGACAGCCAATGAGATCAACTCTCAACCCACACAAGTATACTGAGAAATAACTAAGTGGAAATGTTATCCAATGTGCTCTTGGCACCCCCAAATTAATGAGATTGTGAATTCCAACATGCTCAGAGTGCTACCTGACTGATTACAAGCCATATACTTCCGTTTAGGGCAAGGAGTTTCAAAGCTAACCATGCTATCCTCTTTTATTCTCAGATCATATGGTTTAAGTATTGGAAAACCATATTTACATAATTGGGTTTTTTGAACTAGGATTTAGCAACCCTGGCAAACTTGACCCTTCTGCAGAATCTCAGAACCTTGCTCTATTGCCTTCTAGACTATGAGCTCTCAGTCTGTCCTCTATATTTCTCTCTCTCTCTCTCACAGATAGTATTAGTATCATTAATATCCATTTTCCCCTTTTTCCCACCTATCCCTTCCTCTTTGTGTGGGATGTTTACTGAGCACCTGCTGTGTGCCAAATACCATGTGAGAAGGCAAACATCATTTCTGGCTTCTTGAAGCTTTCATCTGAAAAATAAGGCAGGCATTAAATAAGCAATTACCATAAAGTAGGGGTGTATCACCTATAAAGACGTTCCTGCTTCACAGAAGTGAAAAGTACCACTTTCTTATAAAGAGCTTAAGGGCTCTTATCCAAATTGAAGAAAAGTGACATAGGAAATCATTATCATGATAATAGCCTGGTTGTTACCTCTACAATGGATGCATAATGGCAAAACCCAGCATTTCAAACCTCATAAAATGCAATATAGGAATTTTCTTAGGGCTGTCTACTTTTTCCTTCACTGGGGAAAAAAAACCATCAGAATGGGGTCTTTTTAAAACATATCTAACACAAAAAAGAAAAATCTTCTAGAGGTGCATTAAAATATATGTTACAAAGCTCTACACCATGCCAGTAATCACATTACAATGCACACAAAGGAGTTTTAAAATTTAGGTTGATAGTTCAATCTGGAATGAGTGTTTGGGAGTCTTGATAATATGATTAATGCAGATGCTGAACATGTACATTATATGTGCTGTTCTGCTTTGGAGCTATGCTACTCAATTTATTGCATAAATGCTGCATCTAAGGCTTATTATGCACAGCACATCCAGCACTAATAAGGATTTGTGTGCAAATCTTCGTCCTCGAACTTTAAGAGCATTAATTAATACATTCAGCCCCCTGTTGAAAGAGGTGAGTTCTGTCTCCCTATTTTCGGAGACTCAGGATTATGTGCACTTCACCTCAGGGTGCTAAGTGAAGCAGTGATGAAACTCGGGTATTAAATGTGTAAAATTATTATCTTCAATTTTTGTAAGAGCCTTTAAGTATGTCCTCCTCCATTCTCTTCAACTTTCACCCTCTTCACTTTCTCCTACTTTTTCTCACCAGTCTTAGAGATCAGCAGTTTGAAAACAAAGTATGTTAAGAAATTAACAGAAGAGAAAGAAGTAAAACTGAAACGAAAAAATATTTTTTTTGTAAATAATTCACAGTAACTTATAAGACACCTACTTTTTCTCCCCATGATTTATTACTATTTTACTAAAGTGATTAATAATAGCTACCATATGCTCAGTGTCTTATTACTAGGCATTTTGCCATATACCAGGAATGAAGATTTTTTAATGGAAGAGACAAGGTCTTTGCCTTCAAGGAATTTATGGTATATTGGGAATGCAACCTTGGAAACAGGTAATTTTGATGTAATGTGGCAAATATGATGGTTGTACTCACAGCGTGTAAAGTCAGCACAGTGAAAAAGCATTTGACCTCATCTAAATCAGACATAGAAGAGTTCCTAGAGGAGATGACATCCGGGCAGTCTTATGAGATGAATGGGCTTGCCCAGATGAAGTGGGGAGAGGGATTCCAGGCCAAGAGACAGCGTGGGCACCAGCAAGGAGGTCTGGACCAGCATGGTGTGCAGGGGGTCGGGGATGGCTGGGGATAGAGGCAGGTTGAGGAAGCAGCAAATTGTTGATCTTTGTTACAGCATAAAGATAAAGGTGAAGAGTGATAGCAGTTAAATTTAGAGCATGGATAGAAGCCAACCCCATAGCAAAGGGGAAGCCATAATTTCCCCCCAGGGGCACTGTATTATCTATATTGTACGCATTTTATGGAACAAAACTGCATTCCTAAATATATTTTTCATAAAATTTATTTCTCTCATCTGAGCCTGTAATGGCACCAGCAGCTACAGTTTTTCT
Organism: Homo sapiens; assembly: GCF_000001405.40. Taxonomy (NCBI): domain Eukaryota; kingdom Metazoa; phylum Chordata; class Mammalia; order Primates; family Hominidae; genus Homo; species Homo sapiens. The sequence goes on along the minus strand of NC_000013.11, from coordinate 26,527,010 downwards.
GGATTCTAAATGAGATAAGGATTTTTCTGCCTATTCACTCATTCTATGAATATTGATGTCAAGCACTGCACTGGGTGATAGGAAGTTAAAGCTGATGAAATCACACTACCCAGTGATCCAGTGGGAGGAGAAATATGAACACCAGTGATTCTCAAACTCTGGGCTACACACTGCTAGACATATGCTCAAGGTGCTACCAGAGCGCAGAAGAGAAGTGTGTTAATTGGTTCAGGCTGCCATAACAAAGTCCCACAGCCTGGGTGGCTTAAATGACAAACATTGATTTTTTTTTTACACAGTTCTGGAGGCTAAGATGAAGGTGTCTGCAGGGTTGGTTTCTCCTGAGGCCTCTCCTCGGCTTGTAGATGGCCTTTCCTCGGTGAGCGCACACCCCTCTGTGAGTGTCCCTTTGTGGGACAGGTGTCCCTTTGTGTGACCAAATTTCTTCTTATGAGGACACCATTCAATCTGGATTAGGGCCCACCCTAACAGCCTCATTTTAATGTAGTCATCTCTTCAAAATCTCTATCTCCAAATACAGTCACATTCTGAGGTACTGGGGTTTGGGGCTTCAGCATATGAGTGTTGGAGGGAACATAATTCAGCAACCCCCACAAGGGGTATTTAACAACTTGGGGCTGAGTGGGGTCAGGAAAGACCTCCAATGAGAGACGTTTGAACTTGCTCCTGGAAGCAAGTGGGGGAAACCGCTGAAGGGCTTTTTGTTAGTGAGAAACGTGATGGGATCTGTGTTTCAGGGAAATCCCCTCCTCACAGGGACAGCAGTGGGGAAGCTACTACTGTGCAGAAAAGAAAGGATGGGGGTCTGAATTAAGACAGTGACAGGAAAGCTTTCAAAGATGTTTAGGAAGAGAATAGGCCAGACTCTATCTCCTAGGGGGTGTGTGTGTGTGTGTGTGGTGTGTGTGTGTGTGTGTGTAAGAGGGGGTGAGAAAGGGGAGGAGTAAGACAAAATAATGCTTTTCTCAACCTTCTTGTCAGTAGGTTCTGAATAACTAGAACAAGAAGATGCCCTGATAGCTCTGCTAATTGTCTGAGTCAGAATTAGCTGCATTGATGCAAAACATAGCACAATCAAAAGAGTAAGCACTGTTAGTGTAATGGGCTGAATTTTGTTTCCCCAAAATGTATCTGCTGAAGTCCTAAACCCCTACCTTAAAATATGACTGTCTTTGGAGATAGGGCCTTTAAAGAGGTGATTAAAGTGAGTTTGTCAGGGTGGGCCCTACTCCAATATGACAGGTGTCCCTATCAGAAAAGGAAATTTGGACACATAAAGAGACACCAGGGATGTGGCTTACAGAGGAGAGGCCATATGAGGACATGGAGAGAATGCAGCCATCTACAAGCCAAAGACAGAGGCCTCAGGAGAAACCAACCCTGCAGACACCATCTTAGACTTTCAGCCTCCAAAACCAGAAAAAATCAGTGTCTGTCATTTGAGCCACCCAGGCTGTAGTACTTTGTCATGGCAGTCCAAACAGACTAATACAATCAATAAACAGATTTTCCAGATAACTGAAATCTATTCATTTGAGTGTAACAACTTTGAAAATGTTTACTTATTTTGTAAAGGCGCATTTCTAAGCTGTATCTATAAATGGCAACACAGTCTCCCCCTCAGCATCCGCAGGGGATTGGTTCCAGGACCCTTGGGGACACTGAAATCTGTGGATGCTTAAATTCCTTACAGGAAATGACATAGTTTCTATTCTTCTTTAGACTTTAAATCATCTCTAGGCCAGGCGGTGGCTCGCACCTGTAATTCCAGCACTTTGGGAAGACAAGGCGGATGGATTACGTGAAGTCAGGAGTTCACAATCAGCCTGCCCAACATGGTGAAACCCCGTCTCTACTAAAAATACAAAATAATAATAATAATAATTAGCCGGGCGTGGTGGCTCACACCTATAGTCTCAGCTACTTGGGAGGCTGAGGCATGAGAATTGCTTGAACCTGGGAGGTGGAGGTTGCAGTGAGCCGAGATTGTGCTACTGCACTCCAGCCTGGGTGACAGTGCGAGACTCCGACTTAAAAAACAAATAAATAAATCATCTCTAGATTACTTATAATCCCTGATACAATGTAAATGATATGCTAATAGTTGTTATACTATATTATTTATAGAATAATGACAAAAAGTCTACATGTTCAGTACAGACACAATGTTTTTTTTTCTGAAGATTTTCGATCTGTAGTTGGTTTAATTCTGAAATAGGGAACCAGTGGATACCAAGGGCCGACTGTTTAATGAGCATGCTTGAACTCCTTGTTGATAGTGTCAGCTCTGTCTTGGCCTGTATGTGTTTGTTTATTTATTAGAGAAAGGCTCTTGCTCTGTCGCCCAGGCTGGAGTGCAGTGGTGCCATCACCCCTCACTGTAGCCTCCAGCTCTTGGGCCCAAGTGATCCCCACATTTCAGCTGCCCAATTAGCTGGGACCACAGTCACACACCATGACGCCTGGCTAAGTTTTAACATTTTTTGTAGAGATGGGGTCTCACTGTGTTGTCCAGGCTGGTGTCACACTCCTGGGCTCAAGTGATCCTCCTGCCTTTCCCTCCAAAGGTGCTGGGGTTACAGGCATGAGCCATCGCACCTGTAATCCCTTGGGCATTTTTTTTTTTTTTGAGATGGAGTCTGGCTCTGTCGCCCAGGCTGGAGTGCAGTGGCGCGATCTCGGCTCACTGCAAGCTCCGCCTCCCAGGTTCACGCCATTCTCCTGCCTCAGCCTCCCGAGTAGCTGGGACTACAGGCGCCCACCACCACGCCTGGCTAATTTTTTGTATATTTAGTAGAGACGGGGTTTCACCGTGTTAACCAGGATGGTCTCGATCTCCTGACCTCGTGATCCACCCACCTCCGCCTCCCAAAGTGCTGGGATTACAGGCGTGAGCCACTGCGCCCGGCCCACTTGGGTATTTTATATCAGGCTGCCTGCCATGCCGTCAGCGGACTCAGAACATTTTCCTGCCTCTCCCTGAGCAGTCCCTGGATGCTGTGCTTGTTGAGGACTTTTGTTGGTCTTCAGGGTTTATTTTGGTTTTGTCTTGGGCTCTTCCCACTCTGTCAGGCTGCCATTTCCTTCTGCTTTTTATGTGCCTGCCTCTAGAAGCCTCCTGCCTTCTTCCTAATGTGGCTTTTAACTCCCTGTGAGTTGGATACCAGATAACCAATTTTTTTTTTTTTTTTTTGAGATGGAGTCTTGCTCTGTCGCCCAGGCTGGAGTGCAGTGGTGCAATCTCCACTCACTACAACCTCTGCCTCCCGAGTTCAAGTTCAATTTTTTCTACTTCCTCAGACTCCTGAGTAGCTGGGATTACAGGTGCCTGCCACCACACCTGGCTAATTTTTGTGTTTTTAGTAGAGATGGGGTTTCGCCACGTTCACTAGGCTTGTCTCAAACCCCTGATCTCATGTGATCCTCCTGCCTCGGCCTCCCAAAGTGCTGGGATTGCAGGCGGGAGCCACCACTCACAGCCTGGGTAACCAAATTTAATGGAATTCTGTGTAAAGGTAGAGTAAATAGGCCCTGAAGAGCAATGTACATGGATTTCTGTGCACAGATTTGGTGACATTTTTTTAACTCCTCAGAGAACATTTTAACTGCCTTTCTAGATTTTGAGATTGCCATCTAAATGATTTTCAGATAAGCGAGATTTTTTTTTGGCCCAAATGATGGAGTCCTCCATAGGTGTGAAACAGTTTCCCAGGAGTCCAGATTGTGGATTCATTTATATTTCTCACCTGTGCTCCATCTGCCTCCGCAGAGAGGCTGTGGTTCAGCATGTGCCGGCTATTCCGTGGAGCCACTGTCAGGAACGCTCGCTTTCTGCCTCCCAGCCTGATATTCTGCTGCATTTGTAACTCTCTTGGAAGACAGATGCAATTCATCTTCCTACATCTCTATAAAGATCCAGAAAGATATGCTAATTTGTTAGAATTCATTCAGAACCATCACACAAATCAGAACCCATAGAATGGTGAGGCAATTTTTTCAATGTCAAAACGAAATCTCAAGGACCAAAATTGAAGTTGAGCAAATTGGTCCAGGAGACAGTCGCCTCTGGCACTGGTTCTGATTGGGCTCTGGCTGCCAGGGGTGGGGGGCATGCCGGCACCTAAGGGGAAGATGCTTAATCCCCCATGCTTTAATTTAAATCAAGTGATTAACCTCCTGCTCAACCCTGAGCAGAGCTGCATTCAGGCCCTGTGTACTCGTTACCTCAGGCCTGCGCACTGATCAAGCTCGTTTTATGGACTCCTAAGCAGCAGTCTCTGTGGACCAAGGAAGGATAAAGTAGACAGGCCACACTTTCAGCAGTCCCCACTGCTACTTCCAGAACCACAAACCCTTCTATCCTCCATGGCTTTCTTGTGGTACTTTGATTCTGACATGTACCTTACTCTGTCAGCAGACACGAAGAAAAGATACGTTTAGAGAAAAGATATTTTATGGACACATTATGGCCTAGATAAGCCAATTAACCATTTGAGGGAGTTTTTTTACTCAAAGACCCAGAAACCAACAACAAAATGTTAACAAATCCACCGAAAAGGAATTTTTTAAAAAAGAAAGAACGAGACGATTCCAGTGAGCAGTTTGCAAACCAGGGGTAGGGAGCCTTCAGTACAGAACAAAGGTGCTATCCATGAGAACAAAGAGAAGGATTAGCCTTTATAGAGAAACCTCCCACCCATGTTCTCTCTCAGGCCCACTCCACAAATGAGGGATGCAAGCTTGTTTAGTTCTGATTGGTCATGCTGGTCACGGTCTATTGGTTAGCTCCATGTGACAAAATGGGGCCTTCCAGCAACCATCGATTCAGGTGGCATAAACAGGAACAAACAACTATGAAACTCCTAAAGTTACTTGATGGTGTGTTTTTTTCCAGGAATGCAGTTTCCAGGAACCTGTGTAACCTCTAGTCAGCAAATGGGCTCTTGGGTCCATTTTGAATACAGGCCCAGTTACTCACTCAGGATCCACCTGAAGGATTGGCTTCCAGTGTTCACAAGAGAAGGTCAATAACCCCTCTCATCCCTCTTTGTCACAGACCCTGGCAGCTCTACTGAGACACCAGCCTCCCCTCCCCTGATGAAACACTGACCCATAGGACTATCACTGGGATTAATGGCAGGAGACTTGGCCATCTTAAGACAATCTCTAAGCTTTTATAAGCTTCTGGTTTTCATCCATATTTTCTTTTTCTTTTCTTTTTTTTTTTTTTTTTTTGAGACAGAGTCTAGCTTTGTCACTCAGGCTGGAGTGCAGTGGCATGATCTTGGCTCACTGCAAACTCCGCCTCCTGGGTTCAAGTGATGCTCCTGCCTCAGCCTCCCGAGTAGCTGGGATTACAGGCACCGACCACCATGCCTGGCTAATTGTATTTTTAGTGGAGACGGGGTTTCACCATGTTCATCGGGCTGGTCTCGACCTCCTGACCTCAAGTGATCCACCTGCCTCGGCCTCCCAAAGTGCTGGGATTACAGGCATGAGCCACTGCACCCAGCCCATATTTATTTCATAGAAGTTAAACACCTACTATATATCATGCACTGAGCTAAGTACTATGAGTGGGGTTTCTAAGATGAGTCAGACTGTGACCTTGCCTCCAAAGAGCTTGCTGTTTAGAATTTAGTGGGGGACATGAGAATTGTACATACATACCTGCACCACCAGATTGAAAATGGTGAGTGTTGTGGTGGATTCACAATGGCCAACAATTCTTTGCTTGGGGAGGTAGAGTGGAGTTCTCCTGTCCTTGAATCTGACTGGGTCTTGTGACTTGTCTGGACCAACAGAGTGAGTGGCAGTGAAGCTGTGTGACAGCTGAGGCAGCCCTCAAGAGATTTACACCTTCTGCTTTTGCAACTTGGCATGCACCCTCTTAAAGTCTTGAAAGCAGTTTAACTTCTGTGAGACTGCCATGCTATGAGGAAGCCCAAGTTAGCCACATGGAGAAAGAGGCTGCATGGAGGATCGCTGAGTTGCCAGAGCTGTGGGAAGCCCTTGTGGCCTTCCAACTCTGCCCAGCCCCCAGCAGGCCTTGTCCACATGGCTGTGCCCATGATGCAGTTGACCCACCACTACATGAGCCCACAGAATCACGAGCAAACAGAAGCATTCCTAGTAAGCTGCTGTGGCTTGGGGTGGGTTGTTATGCAACTCTGGATAGCCACCATAGGTGTCTTTGGGGAGACATAGAGCTCAGAGGTGAGTGCCCAAAGCAGTGTTCTTGGAAACATTTTATTCACTGAAGAGAAACAAAAACCCTCAGTCTGCCCACTTTGAAGGTGCCAGAACCTAAGCAGAACTGAATGAAATAAGGCCCATGCCTCAAGCTGGCAATACTCTATAGTGTTTATTGTCACTCGGGCACCTGAAGCAACTTTTCTACTTAAAAATAAATCCTGAGAAAACCAACAAAAAAAAAGAATCCTTGTCACATTCATAGGAAGTACACAGTGAAGTATTTATAGTTTAAGGGGCAAAATATATGCAACTGGCTCTGACTCTCAAATACTTAAAAGATAGTCTCTCTCTAATGTAATGTGTAATCATATGTGATATATAATATAATCATTCATAGTGAGTGCACAAATAAAGCAAATGGTGCAAAATATTAACAATAGGTGAAACTGGGAGATGTGGGGGTTTGATGTACTATACGTATCCTTACAATGTTCTGTAGGTTTGAAATTACATATTTCCAAATTAAAAGTTATTAAAAGTTAAATCCTAATATATACAAATTTATCCTTGTAACTAAATAGTTATCTTCACCTAGTGTTTACCTATGGATGATAGTGGCCCAGAAAAGCCATTCAATCTTTCTGAGCTACTGGGTTTCTGCTGATAGAAAGGAAGCCACCATGTTTCCCGGCACCCTCTCGAGCACCCAGTGGACAAGCTGACACCAACCGTTATGAACTCAGGTTAGGAAACAGTGCTCAGGTGAGCTCTGGGTGTCATGCATGTTTATCTTGGCTTCTCAGTTAGATGTGAAGCCCCAACTCGGCAGGAACCAGACCACTGGTAAAGTGGCAGTCATTCATTTAAGTATTCATTCATTCCTGTACTCATTTAATTTCACCCAACATTGATTGGATTACTTCTCTAATCATCTGTCTGGCTTGTCTCTCTCATACTAACTAGAATAATGTCAGACATTAAATGCATATTCAGGTTGCTAAGTTTCATGGCCAAAGCCTGAACCCCAGGTTTGGCCTGCAGAGCAGCCACTGGGAGGAAGGAAGAAGAGTATTCCAGATGGACGTCAGACTCTGCCTGTCCCCACAAATGGAAAAGCAAACGCCATCTCTCGCTCTTCAGACGGAAGAACACTGGCTTCATTTTGTCTGGTAGAGCCACTGAACACTACTAGGGTTTTGTTTTTTTGAGACAGAGTCTCACTCTTTCACCCAGGCTGGAATGCCGTGGTGCAATCTCGGCTCACTGCAACCTCTGCCTTCTGGGTTCAAGTGATTCTCCTGCCTCAGCCTGCCAAGTAGCTAGGATTACAGGCATGCACCACTATGCCCGGCTTATTTTTGAATTTTTAGTAGAGATAGGGTTTTGCCATATTGGCAAGGCTGGTCTCGAACTCCTGACCTCTAGTGATCCACCTGCTTCCACCTCCGAAAGTGTTGGGATTACAGGTGTGAGCCACCTAGTAAGCGTGCCTGGCCAAACACTGCTGGTTTAAGGGAATATTCTACGTACCCTTAACCCCCACCCTCATCCTCATGGCCCGTGATGGTTCTACATCTTTTTAACCAGGCATAGCTGTAAAGTTTGGGAACCACCATTTGACCTGTGCTACATCTTAATTTGTGATTTAGCCAGCAGTGTTCCTGTTGAATATTTTTATTTTTAATGGCTCCCATTTCATATAATTTTCATGGTAAGTGGGCTTTTGTGAGCTCCTTGGTTCTGATCCATGCTATCCTCTACAACCTTAATCTGGGATTTTTCAGCCTTGTTTTCTAAGTAGCAGAGACTTGTCTAGTGCAATCAGAGGCAGCCTTAATTGGAATCTCAATCTCCTAACATCTCCCTGCTGGTTAGTGCTACCTTAAGAAAAAGGCTGCTCAAAGCAAGGCTGCAGGCTACCGTGTGTGTGTGTTTGAAGGAAAGTAAAAAAAATGACATTCACGTGATGCAAAGAGGCTTAGAGTTGGGATTTCTTTTACTTTCAAGTGTTCCAAGTATTTAAGCACCTTTGGTCCAGGCAGGAGAGATTTCGACAGCTCTGTAACCTCAACTCCTGCTGCTCTCATGCCCAGACGCTTCCTCCTCCCTTCTTCTCTCCTCCAGTAGCTTTGGGCTGCTGCTCCTGGGGAGAAAGGAGAGGCCAAGAAGTGAAGAAGAAAAGGCAGATTGAGGATAGGGTGAATGTAAAGAAGAAAAAGCTAATTGGTGCTCCCCTCCCCCATTCTGCCTTGTAGTGGGAAAAATAGCTACTGTTCCTTTAATTTAACTCTAACCTCCCCGGCAAAGGTGGGAAAACATTTTACACAGCAAAGCTGCTCTTGGTATTTGCCATTCAAAGCAGAGATGGGGGGCATTATGTGGGGAAAGCATTCTTTTTGCTTTTTCCCTTCCAATCCTGGAGAAGAGAATTCATGTGAGTTAAGAAGGAAATAAAAAACAAAATCAAGGAAAAAACCCTTCAATACACTGTGTTACTAGAGGCATGCCCTAAGAAATTCTCTAAAACAAAGCTGATTGGAAGGGGTGATACAATGAATCAGAAATACTGCCCAAAAGAAAAATGGACAAAAGAGAATATTGCAAAGATTACCTGCCTGAAAATTCTCTGCTCCTGGAACATGAATCACCCAGGGCACACCATCTGGTGAGCTGCGAAGGCAGCTTTAAGCAAGCGCACCTGCTGTCATGTACATCTTAATTATTATATTTTATGGGACTCTAAATTTTATTGAAATACAAATTTGTTTACCCAAATTTCTCTTTGCCATATGGCTCAATAATTGGGCCTGTCTCATAAACTTCATGGGGTCAGGATGAAGCATAATGATGTCCCATAATAACATGTTATTCCAGAATAACAAGGTCCCGGTCATTGAGAAGGTCCAGTTCTGTCTTGGGAACCGGCCTCGAGGACTTAAAACACAATTTGAAAATCTCTCCCAAAAGAATTGCCCTCCACGACTGCTCTCAAATCACTTGAGTAATTTGCATTGATCTTAAAATGGACAGAAATTGTAGCAAAATCGCTCCTCATGGCTGGGCAGGGAGGGGCTCTCTTTTCTGAGGCTTGCTCATTCTTGACAAAGGAACATTTCATTTTGTCACCATAGAAAAAACAATTTAGGTTTCTTATGAAATGGCATATTTTCTGGTGAGATAGAAGGATCCTTCTACTCTGCAAGAAGGAGGAGGCTTTTTAATAAGCCCAGTGTTCCCTTTCTTCATTTAGAAATTGTCTCCTGGTGATCTTCAGAATTAGTCTGAAGACCCGAGGGGTTTGTGAAAGCGAACAGCCCGGGCTGTTCTCCCTCACGTTCTTATTTCATTCGTCCCAACTTGGTGCTGCCTGCAAACAGAGAAGGGAAGACAGTCCCAACAATTTTCACCAGGAAGATAATTGTTCCTCCACTGTGTTAACAGGGAGAGGGGAGCTATCACATGCAGCTCTTGGGAGCTGAAAACCAAGCTCAGAACAAACAGCAAAGGCTTCCTTGATTTACCCCAGCCTGGAGCTGGAACTGCCATTCCCATTGCTGTAAGGGTTACCCCAAACTGGTCCCAGCAGCTGGAAAAGACTGGGCCCTTCAGGAAGCTTGGGGCCCAGAGCCAAAGCAGGTGATGGGTTGAAGTGAGCCATCCTGGGCCAAGGATTAAGGAGCTGGAAGGCAAGAAAGTACAGGCAAATTGATTCTGGCTGCGTAGAGGTGCCTCTGGGATGCAGACCTTTGCATGGGGTGGCTGTGCCTCAGGAACTGGCCATGGCTGCTCGTGTGCTGACCCTGGCAGGAGCTGGGGGCTTGCTCCTACATTCCCAGCCAGGCATGAAGTCCAGGGATCTGCCTCTCCTTCTCTGCCTTTTTTATATTAATTCTAGAGATGATATGGATGATGGTGATGATGGACAAAGACGATGACAAAGGTCATCTTTGTTCTTCAGTCACCTCACTGTAAGGTAGGCAGGTTGGGGGATGATGCCTATTTCAGAATTTAAGAAACCAAAGGTCAGAAAGTTTAAATGATTTATTCCAATCTCACAACGATAAAGTCAGGATTCAAATTATTTGGAGTATATAACTCCACATCCTATGTTTTCATCCTAAAATCCCCCAAGAAAAACCTAGGGGCTGGCCTTTAAGAAATGTCTAGTCATAATGCTGAGAGTGTGTTTAGCCTGCCGAGGGCAGGATTTTCAAAGTAAGGTCATAAAACTCATAGTCTTCTGTTTATACTTTTTTATTTGACAAGTTCAAGGTTGCCTGGAAACAACTAGCAGAAGAAATGAAAAACCAATATCACATTTTTTTTTTAAATCCAAAAATCTAATTGAATTTATTACTCAGATGGGAATGCTGGTTTTAAAATTCTATTTTTAGATAGCCTTCAGAAAGTTAGCTTGCCTTTACTTTAACTAACAAAACTTATTGAAAATGACTTTGTCAATCCACAAGTCCCCCAGAGGTCTCCTTAATGTTTCTGTTCATCAGATAGCGCCAGGAAGGGAACACAGGACATCATCCTTCCCCCGAGGTGCTTGTTATCTGGTTGGGATTGCTGGTACAATCACCAAACAAGAATTAGTACATGAAAAGAGCCCAGAAAGAAGTGAGATGGGGGTATGGACAGGGATGTGCAGGGATATGAGCACATACTGACCAGCACTTGATGGCTGGTAGGAAGCTCATGATGGGTGAGCGGCTGGATAGATGGATGGATGAGCCAAGGTCATTGCGGACAAAGGAAATGCATGAGCTCATATGCACCAGTGAGTGGGGTGGGGATGACAGTGGAGGCTGAGGGCAAAAAGTTTGGGCTGCCCCGGAAGGTTCCTGGAGGAAAGTAGAAAGCATGCTTGGAATGTCATACCAGGACAAATGGTGGCATGTCAAACAAAGCAACTGGGGTTTTAACTGAGGCACAGTGCAGAGGCCTGGAAAGTATTTTGGAAAGCCTGTGGAATGCTAAATGATCAAATGGCTTATGCTGGAGTGGACCATGAGGAGGCCATTGGGCCAGAATGTCAGAGTAGTCAGAGAGCTGGACTACGGAAAGAGCAATGAGAACAAAAAGAGACAGGGAGATTGAGTAAGACACAATGACAACTGCTACCGTGCGTTACTGTCAAAGGCTGCAAGGTCCTACTCAGGAAATCTCTGGGGTTTGCTCGGGTTTGGGAATGCCTGAGACAGTCCTCAGACAGGAAAGGAGGTGAGGAACCAAAAAATAACCAGGGCAGAAGAAAACAGAGCTTTTTCAGACATGGATTCTGCCATTTTTCACACTCCTTTGTCCCTCGTGCCTCTTTAACTTCAGGCACAACATCTATCCATCCATTGAGCCCGTCAATGAATAAATATGTATTAAGAGTCCAATACAAGCCAGGAGCCATCCTGGCCTGTCTGAGGCCACTTCATTGATTTATGTTTCCTCTGCAGCTCTTCCTCGGACCCTGCCCTGTCTCTTTCCAAGACTGACACCTGAGGCTCCATTCCTAGGACTTTTCTACTTTGTGTTGACCTTGGCTTTCTTGGTATAGTTATTTGTGTGATTCTCATCACCACTGACTTGAAGGGAATTTCCAGGACTAATTCTCAGGGCCACATGGTTTAAGGATAGACCACTGCAGGCTGAGTGTCCCCAGCTTGGTGACCTGTCCCACTACTGTTCCACCTGGTAGAAGGAATCGTCCTTCTAAAGCAACCACCTAGGCTGTTTCTCTTTGTAGCTGCCTCGATAGTTCACAGTGGCCTCTCACAGTAGCCTAAAGGTTTTAGGCTATTTCAGCAGTTCTGCCTCTCGGGTGTTCTTCTGTACATGCACTCATCCTGCTTCAATGGGTGGCCAAATTTCAACATCATCCATAGCTTCTATGTGGGGTTTACCTCCAAGGTACCTGATCTGATGCTAGGTGTTTTACTTTATTTGTATGTATCAGCACAAAGAAGGAAATGGCAGAGCAGAATTTTAATCCACCCTCCCCCACTTTTTTTTTTGAGACAAAGTCTTGCTCTGTTGCCCAGGCTGGAGTGCAGTGGCACAATCTCAGCTCACTGCACCCTTGCCTCCCGGGTTCAAGCGATTCTCCTCCCTCAGCCTCCTGAGTAGCTGGGAATACAGGCATGTGCCACCATGCCTTGCTAATTTTTTAAAATTTTTAGTAGAGGCTGGGTTTCAACATGTTGGCCAGGCCGGTCTTGAACTCCTGACCTCATGTGATCTGTCCGCCTCAGCCTCGCAAAGTGCTGGGATTACAGGCGTGAGCCACCACCCCTGGCCTAATCCATCCTTTTAACGGTGCTTTCTTCTCACTTATCTGTAAGTCATCAGTTACACCAGTTTTCAGCCAAGAATATCCCAGAAACTCTCGAACCAAATGTTCATGCCACTGCTCACATTTCATTTCTTCCTTGATGGCTTCCTATAAGGAACCAATGTCAGCGAATCAGAAAATGACCTGGAATCAGAACTTTTTTGAACTGGAAGGAACCTTAAAGATCATCTCTTTTCACCCATTCTTTTTACAGATGAGGGAACTGAAGCCTCCAAAATTAATTTGCTTTTTTCTAAGGCCACCGGCTATTGGGTGATGAAAGCAGCAGTACAGCTCCATACTCCTGCCTCTGCCCCCGGAGCAGAACAGATGTCCACCTCTCGTCAGAGGCAGTCAGGGGCTGGGGCAGGCACTGAGATCCACCCGTCCTTCCTACCTCCCTGATTGCTTGGCATTATTTACGTCTGATTTCCAAATAGGGCTTTTTGGTTGTGATAATACAGTTTAAATGAGATTTTCTGCCCAACTGCAATCTGGCTGACCTTTCTGCAGTTTGCCTTCTCCAGATCCCGGGAAATGTTTGAAGTGAAATTTACAATTAAGTTGATTTCTTTTAAAGGTTAAACCCTTGATTTTAGTTCCAAATCCTTGCCGTTTTATTTCAGCTTTGAAAAATTTCCAGATTTTCCATTTTATGAATATACCACTGTCAAAACTACACAAAGAACCTAGAAGTCAGTGTTAGAATTAGTCTATATAACAATTAATGGGAATATTACGCTATGTTCACACCAAGATATCTACAAAGATGAGTGGAGACAACGCCCTGAACAGAGATTTTTTTCCCCCATCTTCTCTGTAATTTAAGGTTGCATGGTTAAATACTAAACAACTCACAGCTGCAAAAAGGAAGTTGAAGACAGTCTATAATTTTGCATCAAATGCAATTCCAAAAAGGTTTGTGATTTTCGATAACAGCATTGTTACTCTGATTCTTTCCTCCTATAGTGCTCTCCCTTTAATACAAATCATAAAGGAGTCTATGTTTTGAAGTATCAGAACCTCCAATGCAAGAACCAAAGAAGAATTGTTAATTTGTCCACAGGCCTGCAATTTTGCCATTTTAGATGCCTAAGACATTATCATCAAATGCTTCAGTGACAGTCTTAAATTAAGCCAAGGTGAAAAGGAGATATTTTTGGTGGTCGTTTTTTATCAGTAAATGCGGTCATATAATCATAAAATTATGTGGGCAGAGAGGTGGCCTGAAATGTGTCAGGGCACAAAATAACTTGGCATTTAAAAAATACCCAAACAGGCTGGGCGCTGTGGCTCATGCCTGTAATCCCAGCACTTTGGGAGGCCAAGGGGGCAGGATCGCTGTCACGCGCGTCTGTGAGCAACAAGGCTGTTTATTTCACCTGGGTGCAGGCGGGCTGAGACCGAAAAGTGAGTCAGCCAGGGGAGACAGGGGTGGGGCCGTTTTATAGGATTTGGGTAGGTAGTGGAAAATTACAGTCAAAGGGGGTTGTTCTCTGGCGGGCAGGGGCGGGGGTCACAAGGTGCTCAATGGGGGAGCTTCTGAGCCAGGAAAAGAAATTTCACAAGGTAATGTCATCAGTTAAGGCAGGAACCGGCCATTTTCACTTCTTTTGTGATTCTTCACTTGCTTCAGGCTGTCTGGATGTATACGTGCAGGCCTGGGCTCAGAGGCCTGACAATCACTTCAGGTCAGGAGTTCGAGACCAGCCTGGCCAAAATAGTGAAACCCCCATCTCTACTAAAAATACAAAGATTAGCCGGGTGTAGTGGTGCACGCCTGGAATCCTAGCTACTCAGAAGGCTGAGGCAGGAGAATCACTTGAACCCAGGAGGCAGAGGTTGCAGTGAGCAGAGATCACACCAATGCACTCCAGCCTGGGTGACAGGCTGAGAATCTGTTTCAAAAAAATAAAAATAAAAATAACCCCAAATGAAGCAAATTTTATGGCCTAGAGTTTCTAATGGAAAAGACACCAACAGTTAAAGAGTCAAAATGTTTCCATCTCTTTCAAATTCCAGGGTTAGGCACTGCTACAACTGCCATAGATGACTTGGCATAGATGACTGAATTGAGGAGCCAGGCCATCAAGAGCTAATGACACTTCACACATGATTCCGCGTGAAGGCTGAGGCTAGAGAGAGGTCACACAGCCTGCCTGAGTCAAGGATGGACAGAGACTAACCCCCTCGAGGGTTAGAGATGCTGTGGCAAGCACAAAGGAATGCACATTTTTCTTCCAAACTTCCTTGAGATTCTGATATCTCTTGAAAGGTGAAAATCCTAAAAAGGTGGAGGAGATGGAACTGCAGAAAGTGAGCTCAGGGAAGCAAGAGAGAGCTGTCCTCCTTGAGTCCCTGCTCTCGGCTAAAGAAGATCACATGAGTCCTGCCAGCTGGCCACAGAAGGCAGATGAGAAAGCCTTGTGGAGCTCTCAGGAAGCATGAGAGATACCTGGGAAGGCTCCTTTAAAACTAGAGACCCAGGGAGTTGCATTTCAAGATGAGAAAAATTTCCTTGTTTCATCCATCTTTTTAAAAAGAACATCAGATCACCCACCCACCACCCCCAGACGGTCCAGAGCCAATTAAGCTGCTTTTCTTCCTCTTCAAAGCCCAGGAGGAAAGAGACCTTGATATTTAAATACCTGTCATTTCTTCCCCTTTTATCCAAAAGTGTGAAAAAAAAAGAACAAAAAAAAACCCTTGCTTTAGTCAAAATGATAGGGAATTCTCCAGACAGGAGGGTCTAGTTCATGTTTATCTTTTAAAAGCCAATGCTATTAAAACAAAACAAAACTCTTCAATCTGGTCTTCAAACTGGGAACCAACAAGCCTTATTTTAGGAAATTCATCATGTAAAATTTCCAGCAGTGGAGGTTTCTATTAGTCTAGGGGCTGCAATAGCAAAGTACTGCAGCTGGGTGACTTAGGTCAATTTATTATCTAGTCTGGAGGCTAGAAGTCCAAAATTAAGGTGTCTGCAGGGCCTTGCTTCCTCTAAAACCCCCAGGGGAGGATCCCTTCATGTCTCTCTGCTAGTTTCTGGGAGCCTCAGGTGTCTTCTGGCATTCTCCGTGTGTGTATGTGTGTGTCCATGCGTGTGTGTGTTTGAGACAAGGTCTCACTCTGTCACCCAGGATGGAGTGCATTGGCACGAACACGACTCACTGCAGCCTCGATCCCCCAGGTTCAAGTGATCCCCCTGCCTCAGCCTCCCAAGTAGTTGGAACTAAAGGCATGCACCACCATGCCTGGCTAATTTTTAAATTTGTTATAGAGTCAAGGTCTCCCTGTGTAGCCCAGGCTGGTCTCAAACTCCTGGCTTCAAGAGATCCTCCTGCCTTGGCCTCCCAAAGTGCTGGGATTACTGGAGTGAGCCACCACACCCAGCCTCTCCCTGTGTTTTCACTCTGTCTTCCCTCTGTGCTTGTGTCCACATATTCCCCTTTCATAAGGATGCGTGTCGTGTAGGATTAGGGTCTACCCTAATGACCTCATTGCAACTTGATTACCTCTGTAAAGACCGTATCTCCAAACAAGACCACACTCTGAGAAACGGGTTAGGACTTTGGGAACACAGTCCAGCCCATCACAGGATTTTTGTGAGCCTGTAGGTGGGGAGCATGACACTGCAAGCTGGCACCCTGGGAAGTCGTGGCTGCCCCAAAGGTGGACCCTGAGCATTTCTTTTTTTTTTTTTTTTTTTTTTTTTTTGAGACAGAGTCTCCCTCTGTTACCCAGGCTGGAGTGCAGTGGCACAATCTCAGCTCACTGCAACCTTGACCTCTGGGGTTCAAGTGATTCTCTTGCCTCAGCTTCCCAAGTGGCTGGGATTACAAGTGTGCACCACCATGCCCAGCTAATTTTTGTATTTTTTTTTTTTTAGGAGAGACAGGGTTTCACCATGTTGGCCAGGCTGGTCTTGAGCTCCTGACCTCAGGTGATCCACCCGCCTCAGCCTCCCAAAGTGCTGGGATTACAGGAGTGAGCCACCATGCCCGGCCTGGACCCTAAGCATTTCTGGAAGCACTGCTAAAGCACCCCAGACCGAAAGCTCCAGGAGGCCCTGGGTCCGTCCACATCTAACACTTGCTCACAGGGTTTGAACTCAACCTACAGAGGGTTGCTTTCTCTTCCTAGAGAATCCATATTCAATGTTAAGAGAAAAATTTTAGTAAAAAAAAAAACAATAGGATTCATTTACCTTCTACTTGAATGTGGCACATTAAGCACCATCTAGTTTTAATCCCTTCTTCTTCCCCAACCCCACGCAGATGACAGTAAGGTAATTAAAAATATGTAAAAATCATTCATTATGCATCCAACTGTCTGACATTCAGGATATATTACCTCCTGTAATTGATTGTAGTCAACATTTTGTGTTGACCAAGCCATTACAGACTCTGCTACATATTTACAATGTGAACTTTCTGTTCCTTTCCCAGATTCTGTCCCTGCCTTTTCTTCACAATCTATTACACAGTTATAAGGGGCATCAGAAACTGAAACGCTATCTTCTGCTGTTTGAAATAGCGTAATTAGATTTTCTGTAGAGGCTCCAACTCCCTCTCTTCTTAAAATAATTTTAATTAAGCTGAGATAAGAGGCCTATTTACTTTCATTTTCTCCCATTGTTACCCAGGGTTCCTCCCTGCACACAAGCTTACCGCAAGGCTGACCATGGACGTACTTGGGACTCTTTCGTTGACTTGTCTTTCATGCTCACCTTCTTAGCGTAACTTCACCTTAGAGAAAGGCACCCACGTTGGGCGGCAGATGAAGGGGTGGCCTGTCCCTCCACACCTGTGGGTATTTTCGTCAGGTGGGACAAGAGACTGAGAAAAGAAATAAGACACAGAGACAAAGTATAGAGAAAGAACAGTGGGCCCAGGAGACCGGCGTTTAGTATACAGAGGACCTGCATGGGCACCGGTCTCTGAGTTTCTTTTTTTTACAATTTACTACACAGTTTTTAGGGGCATTAGAAACTGAAACGTTATTTTTGACTTTGATTTTTTTTAGTTTTAATTGAGGTTGCAGTGAGTGGAGATCATGCCATTGCACTCCAGCCTGGGCAACAGAGCAAGATTCCATCTAAAACAAAGACAAAAACAAAACAAACAAACAAAAAAATCCCGTGGTGATCATATTTTCCAAAGAAGAAGCACAAAGGACACACTTGCCTTTCCAAATGACTCTTCTGGCTTGTGAATTTATGGGAGCCTCCTTTATCCTCAGTTTCACTTTCCATGGTTTCAGTTACTTGTGGTCCACTTCAGTCTGAAAATATTAAATGGAAAATCCCAGAAATAAACAAGTTTTCAATTGCACACCATTCTGAATAGCATGATGAAATCTCACTCCATCCCTCACAGGACCTGGCTCCCTTTGTCCGGCAGATCCACGCTGGCTACGCGCCCTGTCTGTGAGTCATTTAGGATCAACTGTTGCAATATCATGTTGCTCATGTCAAGGAACCCTTATTTTACTTAATAATGGCCCCAAAGCACAAGAGTAATGATGTGCTGGCAAATTGGACATGCCAAAGAGAAGCCATAAGGTACTCCCTTTAAGTGAAAAGGTAAACATTCTCAACCTAATAAGGAAAGAAAAAAATCCTATGCTGAGGTTGCTAAGATCTATGATAAGAACAGATCTATCTGTGAAATTGTGAAGAAGGAAAAAGAAATTCATGCAGAGGACACATAGGGTTCAGTACCATACATGGTTTCAGGCATCCAATGGGAGCCTTGAAGTGTCCCCCAAAACCCAGGAAAAGAGGGACTGCTGTGTGTTAACTCTCAAAAAGCGTATAAAAATCAAATCACATTTTGATGCACATGTCACATATTACATACATATATTTTAAACTTTTTATTTGGAAATAATTATAAACATACATGAAATTATAAGAGTAGCTCAGAGTTGGCCGGGTGCGGTGGCTCACGCCTGTAATCCCAGCACTTTGAGAGGCCGAGGCAGGAGGATCACTTGAGGTCAGGAGTTCGAGACTAGCCTGGTGAACATGGTGAAATTATGTCTCTACTAAAAACACGAAAATGAGCCAGGTGTGGTGGCGCATGCCTGTAATCCCAGCTATTAGGGAAGCTGAGGCAGGAGGATTGCTTGAACCCAGGAGGCGGAGGTTGCAGTGAGCCAAGATCGCGCAACTGCACTCCAGCCCAGGCAACATAGCAAGACTCCGTCTCAAAAAAAAAAAAAAAAAGAAAAGACAAAAAAAAAAGAGTAGCTCAGAGTCCTATGTGCCCATCAGCGGCTTCCTTCCACATGTGCCCTCAGCGGGAGGTGGCTGTGATTGGCCAGGGACAAGTGGGGACCCCGGAAGACCAATCATGTTCTGCATCTGGACCTTGGATGATGGTTCTTGGGTGTTTGGGATTTAGGTGTGAACTATGCACACAAGCTTTGTGTATTTTTCAGCGAGTTATATTTTACAGTTTATAAGGTGTTCAAGAGAGAATGAAAGAGCAAGAATGAAATCTCCTGGAATTTTTTTTCTTTTTTGAGATGGAGTTTTGCTCTTGTTAACCAGGCTGGAGTGCAATGGCACGATCTCGGCTCACTGCAACCTCTGCCTCCCAGGTTCAAGTGATTTTCCTGCCTCAGCTTCCCAAGTAGCTGGGATTACAGGCATGCGCCACTACGCCTGGCTAATTTTGTATTTTTAGTAGAGACAGGGTTTCTCCATGTTGGTCAGGCTGTTCTTGAACTCCCTACCTCAAGTGATCTGCCCGCCTCGGCCTCCCAAAGTGCTGGGATTACAGGCGTGAGCCACTGTGCCTGGCCATCTCCCGGAAATTTTGACATAGAATAGGGATCCCCTTGTAGGGCCCTGCTGGGCTCCCCTCCACCCCAGCATGGACATAAAGAAAAGATTTTGAATCTCTAACGGAAATTCCAGGCACACCCTGCAACCAGAGGAAGCAAATTAATAACCTGCTAAACAAGAAGATAATCATAACTTCAACAATAACCACCCACATAAATCAGAGTCACAAGATGATTGGTTCCCTACAGAAACTAAAGATAACTTCTTGACATATGTCCTGGAGTTGTTTTTCAGAAACCAGGACCCTCGCCCAATGGAAAATGCTGACCACAGTCTCACAGACCTCAGAGAGACTGAAATCAAACATGCGCTAAGGAAGTTCCTCACTTTCTCTTGCTGCAAATCCCAGTGCTGGCGTTTGGCTTTTTCCGATCACTGGGTGAGCAGACTCACGTTTGGTTTGGCAACACATTTTTCTCCATTACTTTGCAAAACTTTACTAAATGACAGTAAAAAAGATTTTTTAAGCGCAAATTCAGAAGAAGGAAACATGGCAGAAGGAGAAGACAAAATACTTCAACCAAGATTTGGAAGATGAAATGAGTAGACACAAATGTAGCAGAGCGGGAAAATCTAAAACCTCAGTCCCTCTGAAGGCGGGTTAGGGAATAGGACAGGCCAAGAAGAAGCAAAATCCGACCAAAATAGTTCCGTGCAGAGGACAAGGAGATGAGGGTCTGGGGTGGCAGCAAGGCCAAGTGCTATAATCCTAGCACTTTGGGAGGCCAAGGCGGGTGGATCACCTGAGGTCAGGAGTTTGAGACCAGCCTGGCCAACCTGGTGAAATCCCGTCTCTACTAAAAATACAAAAATTAGCCTAGCTTGGTGGCAGGTGCCTGTAATCCCAGCTACTCGGAAATCGGAGGCAGGAGAAATCTGCCTCAAGGCATCTCCAAAGAGGCACCTTCTTAGTGTGTGTGGGTTTTTGATATACATAGGTGATTGTTTATTCACAAAATGAAGAG
The DNA here is from genome assembly GCF_000001405.40 of Homo sapiens. NCBI lineage: Eukaryota > Metazoa > Chordata > Mammalia > Primates > Hominidae > Homo > Homo sapiens. The sequence continues at coordinate 26,506,648 of NC_000013.11, read as the reverse complement.
TTTCAAGGGGGAGGGGCAGCTGAAGAAGCAAGATGATTCTTGCTATGCAACCCAGAGTGCAGAGAAGGCCAGGATTCGGGGTGCCTCTTCAGGTCCCTGGAAAGGCGAAGGGGGTTAGGGTTGGGGCCAAGAGCAGGCGGTTCGTGGAAAGGTCAGACAATCAGAGTTACGCTCTAGCTTCCTTTTCCCTCACCTTCTGGAGATCCTGAGATGGACACGCGATCTCAGGGACACCAGGTGCCACTGGGGGTGGGGTGAAGTGATGTTAGAAGTGAGTGTCAGCTGATGAAATGATGAGAACCCATCCCTAGCCTCCACCGCTGGCCCAGCCATCAGGGCTCTGGGAAGCCAGGCTTATGCCTCTCCGGCCCTACCTGGGCCCAGCCCCCAGGGTGTATCAGGGACTTCTTCTCCAGGAGAGACAGCAGGAGAGACTGAGAAACGGCCTCAGGAGAGGAACAGAAAGTTCCTGCTCGGTAAAACAGCTATAGCATGCATGGGAGCTGCCTCCGTGCCAGGCGCTGTTCCAAATGCTCCACGCAGACAGACCCCTTACAACCGAAGGGAGAGTGGGTGCTATCACCATTCCCCTTGCACGGGAGGGAAGCAGACAGGCTTCTGTCAGCATCCCTGCCCCCTACAGTTAGGTGCAATTTCCTATATCGCCAATTTCCCTTACCCCTTACTCGCCAATCCTCTGTCTACTTTGAGCCTTCAAGATATTGTTTGAGGCTGATCATAGCGGCTCACACCTGTAATCCCACCACTTTGGGAGGCCAAGGCTGGTGGATCACTTGAGGTCAGGAGTTTGAGACAAGGCTGGCCAACATGGTGAAACCTCGTCTCTACTAAAAATACAAAAATTAGCTGAGTGTGGTGGTGCACACCTGTAATCCCAGCTACTCAGGAGGCTGGGGCATGAGAATCACTCAAACCAAGGAGGTGGAGGCTTCAGTGAGCCAAGGTCACGCCCCTGCACTCCAGCCTGGGCAACAGAGAGAGACTCCATCACAAAAAATAAAAATAAAAATAAAAATAAATTGACATTTCCCTCCTTATCTTGGGAGTTAATTAATATTTTAAAATTAATAGACTATTTCTTAGAGCAGTTTTAAGTTCACAGCAAAATTTAACAGAAAGTTTCCATATACCCCTGAGCTCCCAGTAACCTCCTGGGTTCAAGAGATTTCTCCTGCCTCCGATTTCCGAGTAGCTGGGATTACAGGCACCTGCCACCAAGCTCGGCTAATTTTTGTATTTTTAGTAGAGACGGGATTTCACCAGGTTGGCCAGGCTGGTCTCAAACTCCTGACCTCAGGTGATCCACCCGCCTTGGCCTCCCAAAGTGCTAGGATTATAGGCATGAGCCACTATGCCCAGTCTCACCATAGGTTTTTAAGAAAAGTAGGCAGACAAGGAAAGGAAGATAATTCAAAAAATATTTTAAAACTCTATAATTAATTAAAAAAAACCCTATGATATAAGTACTATGATTATCTCCATTTCAGTGATGAGAATATAGAAGCATTATGGGAGTTGCCCAAGTCACACAGCACGTGGGTGGGGAGGTGGCCTTTGTTCCCTTGCTATTACTCAAATCATGGCACCTGGTCACTTCCTCAGCGATGCTTTGCCTCTTGACCCATGTAAAACCACCTTCTCCTTTCCTTTTCTCTCTCCTTAGCCTGGCTTATTTTCCTCCCTAGTGTTATTAGCAACTGACATTGTATCATACAATTACTGTGTTCTTTTTATTGGCTATCTCCCTCTCAGCAAGTATAAGCTTCATGAGGGGCTTTGTCTGCCTTATTTATCTGATTCCTAGTGCCCAGAAAAACACCTGACACATGGCAGGCACTCAATAAGTACTGAATTAATACGTTAATATTAAAGTGAATTTTAAAAACAAAGGAATGCATGTAACCCTTAAGAGAAAAATAGCTCTATGGGAGGATCCTAAATAGAATACCTTCCCACTTAATTTAACACTAGAGCCAGGAAAAAAAATTATCTTCCTAATTAAGTATTTTTTTCAAAATCTTAGAAAACAACAAATATCAGAAAACAATACAAATGCTTGCAGGCAACATAATATTAACAGGGCATCTAACGTTTCCTATTAGATTCATGCCCTTAGGAAGTCAGTAATTTAATAAGTGTAACAGTTGCCATGAACATTACACTACCTGTGAACACTCAGCATCTGAATCCCGCATATTAGAATCTGCTCCAGCCTTTGGAGACAGCAGTCCCTTGTGTTCCAGCAGTGTCAGTGTGCCTCCTGCTATAAACCCTGGGACCACGGCACACACTTTGGTAAATGTATGTAGCGGTTATCTCAGTTGATTAGGACATTCCCAAAGTGTGGTACATGTAAGAAAATATATTACTTTAACAGAAATATGTTATCTCTACTCTAAGAAATGTACCTGGCATTGTCGTGAGTTGGCCCAAGGAAGCCTGAGGATGTTACATTGAGAACGTCTGTAGGATAAGGAAACACAGAAAGTCATTCAGAAGTAATCAGTTTTTCAAGTAGTACTGAACTTTGAAGTCATTCTTTTCACACCCCAATCCTTCTAACACCTCCCACCTCACTGCAGCAGAGTGAGAGGAGTAATTTCCAGACAGCAGACAGTTGCAGCAGAACAGCATAGGCTGTGTCTGTGCCGTGTGGGCCTCCAGAAGCTCCCACTCCAGTGAGGCAAATCTAGCCTAGTGGGGCAGAGGGAGGACCTTCTGTCGGTCTCTTGGGACAAGTTGCTCAGCATCTTTGTTCCTCCATTTCCTCATTGTAAAATGCAGATAATGACAGTACTTACCCAGTGGGTTGGGATGAGTATTAAATTAGTCAAATCCCTGCAGACACTCAAAAACATTTATTAGGCCTGTCTCGCTGGAACAGAAGCTTCCTGAAGGCAAAGATTTTGTCTACTCTGTGTACTGTAGTATCTCAGTGCCTAGGTTGGGGCTGGCATGTGGTAAGTGCTCATTCAAATATTTGTGGCACGAATGAGTGAAAAATTCTAGCATAGCATGGATCTGTGCAGCAGCAGCATAGAAAGAGCATAGCTATATTTATAGAAATACTGAGGAGAAATTAACAGTTGATATCTCAATTTAAGCAATCACAAAGGAAGAATTCTGTCTACAATTGGCAAATCAACCCTGATATAAAGGAGGTAGCACTCCATTGCCAACTGGCGCAGGATTGGAAGCAGAACCAGGGCAACAAATAGAGAAGACGACCAGGCAAAGACCTTTCTTGTAGTCACTCCTGGATAAAGATATTGACTTCTTGGTGAGGAGGGATCAGATGTTAATGCCAACAGAAGGTTGCAGTTTCCCTAATATTTGAGGACAACCGGCATGCCATTGCTACATCTTCTTTTTCCAGTCTACTTGTGCCGTCTCCTTCAACCAGTCCGTGTGATGTGATTCTCAGAGTCCTCGCTACCCCTGACGTCTCATCCTTATCTACTTCCTGGCTGTCTTAACGGGTAGTTCTGGATGGGAAAGTCAGCACGCTACCCAGCCAGTGCAGGAAACAGCAGGCGTTCTAGAAACCGTGCTTTTATTCATACCCCCTAGCAGGCAGTAGCTGTTATAGCAACCGCTTCACACGATTCACAGTGAGCTCCTCATCAGTGACTTGCCCTGAGTCAACTCAACTACCAGATCCTCTGCACGTGGGCTTCTTTCATGTCAGAGAGCTGCCTGCCAGGTCCAGAAGAACTAAGCGTCTTAGTGAGTCAGTAGAACATTTTTTTATTTGGAAAGTTATATTCATATTTTTCCGTTATAAAAATAGAATTATGTAACTGAAAATTTTGAAAATAAAGACAAAAATTATCCGTGACCCTGCTAGCCTATATAATCACTGTTAATGTTTTAGCAAATTTTATAACAGGTTTTTTCATGTCTGTAAAGTTGCACTAATAACTTTTGACTTTATATCCTGATTTTTTTTTCAGTGATTTTGGCATTTTCTCATCATTTGTTTTTTATTTTATTTTTGAGACAGAATCTCACTGTCACCCAGGCTGGAGTGCAGTGGCACGATCTCAGCTCACTGCAACCTCCGCCTTCTGGGTTCAAGCAATTCTCATGTCTAAGCCTCCTGAGTAGCTGGGAGTACAGGCACCCGCCATCATGCCCGGCTAAGTTTTTTGCATTTTTAGTGGAGATGGGGTTTCACCATGTTGGCCAGGCTGGTCTCGAACTCGCCAGCCTCAGCCTCCCAAAGTGCTGGGATTTCAGGCATGAACCACCAATCCTGGCCTTCTCATCATTTGTAATGGCTGAATAATATTCTTTACAGTGTACTTAACCATAATCCTATTGTTGAATATTGAAAGTGTTCACTGCTTTTATGTTAATGAGTAATGCTATAATAGACATAGTCATGAATGTAGATTTTTCAGAATTGAGGTTGATTTACTTTGGTAAATTCCCAGAGGCAGAATTACTTACCCTGGAGTAAGGAAGAGATATACTTTTTTACTAGAGACCAACAGACTTAGCTGTTTGCTGAGAAAATCAAGTTACCCACTTCCAAGCAAGCCCTGAAATAATTTTTACTATTTAAAAGTGTTTTTAAATAGCAAACATTCTTAGAAAAGCTAACGATCAGTCAGCATTAAACAAATGTGAAAGCCAAGCTCCGTGGCTGCTTGTTTGAGTAGGTTGCTGTCTCCCATGCCTGCCTCCCTAGTGAATGGAGTGAGGGAATTAAAGTGCCCTTTTCCATCGTACACTCTGAGATCTATGATCTATATTTCATGTCAAGTTGCAGAGGAAGTAGAATTGATAGATCCTATGGGCCCAGCTCCCTACTTAGCCCTCCCCTGCTTTATTATAGAAAGCCCGTTTAAATGACTGTCAGCATAATCGATGAAGGACAGGATTGTTGTGGACACTGGTGTTTTGCCTGCAGAGGCATGAAAGGCCCGGGAGTGCCCTTTCCCTCACCCACACGGTTCTTCCAGCTCGTTCAGGAGGTCAAGAGGCAGGAAGCTCATTAGCCCTCACCCCACATGCATTGAGTGGGAAAGCTGGGCTGCCTGGAAATGCTCATTGCTCCCAATTTCAATATCAGGAATGGTTTATAATGACTTGGGAATTCCTTCACTGAATGGCTATGGAAATAAATGTGCCAAGATCAAGGTTAGGGAATGATCTCAGGCATGGTTTGTTCATCTAAGAATGGGAACCCACCAGCTCCCTTCTCCCTCCCAGTCAGGCCTTTCATCTGGGAGCATGTGGTGCCGCCCTCCCCACAAACCTCTTGGGCCCCTTGACAATGGTCCCTTCGCAGGCATCTGTTTTGATGGGAGGAAATGGCTGGGCTTCCCAGTCACACAGGTCAGTCACCCTGTGCTCAGAAAGCTCTGAAAGAGGCTGGCAGGATGGGCTGCATGTGGGCAGCCTGCAGGCACTAGAAAACCTGAGTGCCTCAGGATGTACAGACCATTGGCAGTGCTGTCTGCTATCCTGCAAACCGTCTTGCCCTTTGCATTTCCTGTCTCTTGACTGGGGAGCAAAGAACGGCAGGCAGGAAGCTGGCACGAGGCAGAGCCACAGGATAGAAGGCTGAATTCTCCCATGCCGGGCAGTTGTGTGCACTGCAGCCCGGGTACTTCTTGCTCCTCCTTTGCATCCTCCTGACAAGGGCATTACCACGGATCCAGTGCTAAGTGGAAGGATGCTGAGACCAGGACCCCACCCAGCCGCTATCCAGGTTCTGTCCTCGCCCAGGGCTGGCTCCTTCTCTCCAGGCTAAGGGGCCTGCTCCTCTCCAGGAGAGTCAGCCACCCCAGGCTGCCACACTGGAAACCAGCTCACACCCAAGGCGTCTGTTTGGGTATCTTCTAGAAGGGGAATGGGCATCTGGTTGGCCGGAATGACTAAGGGATCCCGTGAGGCTGGGCTGAGCCCCGACCTGCACGCCAGACATATAAGGAGGGAGCCCCCAGAACGGCCTTCGTATCTTGCCTGCCATCCTACCTGCCTGCAGCCACTTCTATGGGGTCCAGGCATCAGCTGTGACTGCCAGGGGCTGTGAACCTCACCTCTGCTGAAATGCCAGGCAGTTCTCCCTCCTTCCCTGGCAAGGCCTGACACAGGAAAGTAGAATGGAGAGTATGGCGCAGACTGGCAAACTTCCTTAGCCAAACGGCCACTTCACTCCCTTCATGGGATAGTATGTGTCCTGAAAGGACACTCTACATCATTTGCAGCAGGAAACCCTGTTTTTTTAAACTTTTTAAATTTTTATTTATTTATTTTTTTGAGACAGGGTCTCACTCTCTCACCCAGACTGGAGTGCAGTGGTGCCATCTCGGCCCACCACAACCTCCACCTCCCAGGTTCAAGTGATTCTTCTGCCTCAGCCTCCCGAGTAGCTGGGATTGCAGACGCACGTCACTACCACCCGGGTAATTTTTATGTTTTTAGTAGAGATGGGGTTTTATCATGTTGGCCAGGCTGGTCTCGAACTCTTGGCTGCAAATGATCCACCTGCCTCAGCCTCCCAAAGTGCTGGGATTATCTTTGCTGCATCTTCCCCCCAACCTTTTTATTGAGATGTGGTCTCACTCTGTTGCCCAGGCTGGAGTGCAGTGGTGCGATCTTGGCTCACCGCAACCTCCACCTCCTAGGTTCAAGCAATTCTCCTGCCTCAGCCTCCTGAGTAGCTGGGACTACAGGCATGCACCACCATGCCTGGCTAAGTTTTGTATTTTTAGTAGAGACGGAGTTTCACTATGTTGGCCAGGCTGGTCTTGAACTCCTGACCTCATGATCCACCTGCTTCAGCCTCCCAAAGTGCTGGGAGCCACCACGCTCCGCCTGCTGCATCTTCTTAACATAAAATAAAGGTGCAAATCAGATTAGGACAGGTTGAGAACTGCTGAATATGTTATTGTATTTCTCTTCTTGTATGTAAACTAGGCACTAAATGCACTAAACACGCATGTGTGCAAAACACGTTCTCTCATGTCTCACCAACACATCTGGAGTGCTTACTGTGGGCCACGCATGTCTGTGCATGGACATCTCATTTAGTCTTCACAAAGGCCCAGGGAGGGGCATATTATTGTTCCTGCTTAAAGATGAGGACAAGGGAAGATGAGATAATTGGCCAGTGTCACATAGTTGGTGATTAAGTGAGCCAGGATTCCAACCCAAAGTGTCCAAAGACCTTTTGACACTCAGGCCCCAGGCTTGCTGCACAGGCACCACCCGGGAGAGGGCAGGCTGTGTCCTTCCAGCAGCGTTGGGAGGTGGCAGGGAACAGAGGGTAACAGGTTAGACTAGAAAATTTAGTTCCTCTCTGCTTTTAACCTGCCAGCTCCTAGTTTTTCTTTGGGAAAATCACTCAGGCCCTCTGGGTTTGAATTGCACTGTCTGTGCAACACTTCATAGAGCATTGGCCTCAAAGTTCTTTTCTAGCTGTAACAGCCTGCGAGTCTGTGAAACCAATTGCTAACTGCACAGCAGACTGACTCCTAGAGAATGTGCACAGCCCAGCAGCTCAGACCATTACTACGGAAAGAAAGAAAAACATCATGGCTGCTGCTTCCTGCTCCTGATAGTGAGTCACATTTAATGTCATTATATTAACAGAGCTGTCATTTCTACACCTCTTTGTGGACTGTCGTGTCTACTGTCAGGGGTGCTGAAAGACTCTGGTGATGTAGTCACTCTTTGCGGGGGCCCTCCCCCAGGGAACACCTGTCAACAGAAAACACTGCGTTTCACGCGGCTGCTGTTAATATTTACAGCTGGAGGCCCTCTCTCCCTAAGGCTCCTCACTTTCGAGATTCTGGTTGCATTCAACAGACATTACAAGTTCCCAGCAGAGAGGAAATACAAGGCGCCTGCTGCACTCATTACAGTGGGGCCATGCTGGGCGGGCAGATGGGCTTTCTTATCTCCCGAGGACCTGAGGTCCAGCAGCAGGTAGGGGCCCGAGCTAGCTGGCACTGGCACCCCCTCCAACCCTGCCTTGCGCTAGTCAGGTCTAGAAATGGCACCTGCCTTCCAGTTGGAGAAAGCAAATGTGTCCCCGCATTGCCCCATGTCACTTCGGGGTATATGGACAAGTCTTCTGGAAAAATTATATTCTGTTGTGGACTCAGGGCAAGTATGGATGCAACTTTGATTCCAAAAGTGGCTCCACTGGGGCTATCAATTTTCACCCAGTTCTTGCCACCAGAGGGGAAAGGCCCAGCCTTCAGAGCTCCATGAATTCTGCTGCCTGATAAGTTACTCACAAATTGCCGGGCTATCAAGGGAGAGTTGGGGTTTAAAGCATCTCTTATTGGCTGCCAGCCACAGTTTCGCATACTATTGGAATTCAATATTAGCAATGACTTCTTGGAGACAGGAAGTGTCTGAAATTGCTCTGTCTAGAAAAGTGTGGGTTGATGGATTTCTTAATAAATATGTAGAATGAGAACTTCTGTGAATCCGTGCTGACTAACACTGGATGGTACTTATACTGATTGTGTTCTTGGTATTCCAAAGCCAAGTCAGACCAACCTGTAAACCAAATGTTTTCTTGTGGGAGGTAGAATTGCAAGGGCTTGCCAGAGCCAGCGCTTGCTGGGAAGTGAGCTAGTGCAGCTCTCAAACTCATCCGCTTTCTCCCCAGAGCTGCTTGATTCATGCTGGTTATCTTGGAGACAAAACTAAAGCTTCTGGTAGAAGTTGGATTTTATTTATTTAAGACTATTAGAGGACCGAGATTAGAGGGTGTGTGGCCAGATCGGGTGCATGTTCTATGCAGGTACTGGGGATTCAGTAGTCAAGACAGCCCCGCTCCCTGCCCTCGCAGACTTAGTCCAGAGATGACACTAAAGTGTGGTCATTACCATCCTGCAGGGTGTCCTGGGGGTTTCAGAGACAGGCTCCCTTAAGGAAGTGGAGTGATGTCTAAGGGATATAGATGATGATCCCTGAGGGACATAGACTGCCCCTAGGTGATGAAGGTGAACGAGTTTGTGTCTCAGATGGAAGAAACAGCATACTCAAAAGGCCAAACATAGGACATGGCACAAAAGGAGTGGGCAACCAATGACCAAGTGTGAGTCGGGGAGCAGGGTTGGTTGAAGGAGGAGATGGTTGATAGGAGCAGGAGCCAGGCAATGGAGATCTTGGAAGTTGGATAAGATTCTGGACTTGATTCTAGAGCAGGGTTTCTTGGCTTTGGCACTACTTACATCTGGGGCTGGATAATTGTTTGTTGTGAGGCAGGGCAGGAGGCTGTCCTGTACATTGTGCGATGTTCTGCAGCATTGCTGGCTGGGCTTACAACATACCAGTGGCGCCTCCCAGTCATGACAATCAAAAACGTCTCCAGTCATTGCCCAGTGTCCCCTGGGTGATGAAGTTGCCCCCTGTTGAGAATCATTGCTCCGGGGCAATGGGGAGCCACTGAGGGGTTTTGAGCAGCAGCTGATAGCAGGAACTCTGCAGTCTTCATTGCTACAGCCATTTCCTCTCCGCCTTGGGCTGAGCTTCTCGTGAGCATCAAAAGTTGTAGGAGAAAAAGAGCTGATGTGCCTTTCTGCTATGGGTATTTTTCAGAACTGAAACTATTAAAACTTTCCTCTTCTGATGAATTGGTATTCTTACTTTTATAATATAAAGAACCCTATCCTTTTCCCTCTTTGCTTTGGTGACCAGAGAGCTTAGAATTACTGTTTCTACTCAGTTGCATGGGCCTCTCTGGATCGGTGTAAGTCTAAGTTGCCTACCCAGGCCCAGCAGTTTGCAGACATCAGTCAAGTAGAGGTGGGAGGGCGGGGGCGGGCGCCACAGTGCCTGGAGGCTGCAGCTCTCTGTCTTCCCTCCAGAGGGCAGCAGGCCCTCAGCTCCCACTATGGGGCCATTGAATCTTTGGATTGTTCAAGAAACACAGGAAATCCAGATTTCTATGTAAAACCTCCCAAGTTTATATATTGGCAATAAATTCAAATGTTCAAATGTCTGTAAGACAAGTACCAGGCCAAATCAAATTGTCTTGGGGCTATTTTCTGCTCGAGGGCCAGTTTGTGACCTCTTTTTTTTTTTCTTTTCTTTTTTCTTTTCTCTCTCTTTTTTTTTTTTTTTTTTTTTTTTTGAGACAGAGTCACTCTGTCACCCGGGCTGGCATGATCTCAGCTCACTGCAACCGCTGCCTCCCAGGTTCAAGTGATTCTCGTGCCTCAGCCTCTCAAGTAGCTGGAACTACAGACACCTGCCACCACACCTAGCTAATATCTGTATTTTTAGTACAGATGGGGTTTTACCATGTCGGTCAGGCTGGTCTCGAACTCCTGACCTCAGGTGATCTGCCCATCTCAGCCCCCAAAGTGCTGGGATTACAGGCGTGAGCCACCGTGCCCGGCCTCCAGTTTGTGACCTCTTGATGGGTGTTTTTTGTTTTGATTTTTTAAAAAACATGTATTTTATATATACACACACATATATAATTTCATTTATTTTATTGCTTTGCTTTTTCCATTTGCTTCTGTTTTCATTGTTTTAATTTCATTTTGGGGGAGGAGTAGGGGATTGTGCTAGGGTATCTTCTCTTCACTCTCCCAGATCCATCTTGCAGCTTCCTCCACTTTGCTCTGTGTCCTGGGAACGATCAGGCTCTCTTGCTCTGTGACTTATGTTGGGAGGCCCTGCCAGCATCTGCAGGTGGGAAGGAAGTGAGGCTGGAATACAGATTCTCCAGCCCACTCCCTGCTGGGGAGGCTCAGGTCCTGGCTCAGGGCAGACAGCCTTGCCTCCAGCTGTCCTCTCCAAGCTCTGGATTCTGCTCCTGGTCCTGGTCCTTCTAGGGCGGGTGAGCTGCGGAGCTGTGGCATCTTCATCCTCACCCTGTTGGTTTTCCTCAACCCTGCCTGGATCTTCGTGCATAGCCCCTTCATTAAGCTTCCCTCAATTATCTGACTTGAGGGTTTTGTTAGCTTCCTACCAGGGCCCATGGCTACTAAAAAATAAGTAATTTAGTGCAGAACACAGGAAAGTTGGGGGGTTGTTTATATGAACAAAACATAAATAATAGACTGGTCTCAGAGGATGTGTATTGGCCGTAAGGACGGGAAACCATAACTACATCAACAGGGAACGTGCCTAGATTCCCATTCATCAGATCAAATCTGCTTCACATGACGTGATTTTGAACCTTGACTTAAAGTAGCTCATGCCATTTTCATGTAAAACTGTGTTTATCCTGCAGGAAAAAACATGGGAAATGTGCCCTAGAGGTGAAATGTGTGAGGAATGTCTCAGGAGCCTCATGATTGCTGTTCTCAGGAGCCTGTTCTCATGATTGCTTATTTTCTGTCTCCTTTCCTGGCTTCTCTTTGGCCTCTCGCTCATGGAATGCAGTCTGGATGTTTCTAGGCAGCACAGAGTAGAGGTTAAGATCAATTACCTTTAAATTAAGTTAACATTTGTGCTGCTGTCTTGCCTCTTATCATGTCACCTGTATAGCTGTGGAGAAGGAAGCGATTCCTTCTCTCTAAGTTTCAATGCCCTCAAAATGCAACCTCCCAGGGTGGCAGAAAGGATGAAAGAAGCAAACGTAAGGAAAACACTTATTGCTCCTGGCACATGGGGTGCCCAGTAACTGGCAGAGATTATTAACAAATCAAGCCCTGTTGCCCAGAAAGCTGTTAACTGTTAACAGTTTGTGCATTAATGTGAACATCTGCCCATTTACAGTACGCAATAAGCTTCATTTGGTGCAATGACCTTGAAGCAATGCATAATTCTAATTGTTCTCTGAATCATCAGAGAAAGATTGAGTGAAATTCAATCTAGTGTTCAATATATTCTTATTGCTTCCACATTTGGAAAATTCCTCTCATATTATCCATCTCCAGTCCTTTGGCACTCCTCCCATGTCACGTTTCTTGAGGATTGCAGATAGTGGTTCTGAGACGACATTTGCAAATCCCATTAGCAGTCTGCGATTACAGTCCCTCTACGTCTAGAGACCAAAACTCATTTAAAGCAGCGTGTTGCTTCCTTCTATCTTTTCATTGATTTGGGGCTGCAGTTCTCATTTTATGTGCCAGTTTCAGTGAGAAGCTCATTCTCCCAATGTACTCTTAATTTGCCAGGATAACAAATTTCACCTTAAAATCAGTATGCCACTTGCTGGGACCAGAGGGCCAAACATGCTGAGTTGGAAAAAAGGAAGACCCAATAAAGCCAACACAGAGTAAAGGGAAAAAATATCAAACCCTCTCTTCGTAGCCGTTGCTAACTCTGTATCCAGTGTGAGACTTGATTCTCTCTTAAAACCTGGATCACACACCCTTCCTGCAAATATAAATAACTCTATCCCTTAGCCTCTTATTCAGTGGCAAGTTGGTACAATCACAAACCCGGATTATAGGCTGCCACTCTCTCGTTACATGGTGCTTAGTTCCTTAACTGTGTGACTAATAAGGTCAGCAATATCTTAGCTGGCATTTGTTGAATATTTACTACATACCAGCACTTTGCAAAGATTATCATGCAATCCTCAAACAAACCTATGAGATGGAAGCTCTTGTTACTGTCACTTTACTGATGAGAGAGTTTGAGTGTGGCCTGGATGGAGCTCAGCGGTCCCAGCAGTATGTGATGAGCAAACTCACCTCTGCATTTTCTCCTTGGAGAGACAGAGCATGGCCTGGAGAAGGGCTTCCACAGTCAAATCAGCACCCTGCTGACCTGCAAGAAGCAATGTGTAGGCTCAAGGGAGGTGGTCCCTCATGGAAGGCGCCAAGATGCCAAGCCAGGTACAGCAGGACAGGAAGGGAGGGAATGAACGTAAGATGGTGGGGAGAGGGTGCTCCCACCTCCCTATTGCCCTTCCCCACCTCTGGTGACCATGAGTCTACTCTCCATCTCCACGAGTTCAATTGTTGCCATGTTTAGTTCCCACATATGAGTGATGGTTAATGGGTGCAAAAATACAGTTAGAATGAATAAGATCTATATTTTATATCACAACAGCATGTCTATAGTTAACAATAATTTATTACATATCTAAAAATAACTAAAAGGCCCAGCACAGTGGCTCACGCCTATAATACAAACATTTTGGGAGGCCGAGGCGTGCAGATTGCTTGAGTCCAGGAGTTTGAGACCAGTCTGGGCAACATGATGAAACCCCATCACTATAAAAATGCAAAAATTAGCCAGGCATGGTGGCACATGTCTGTGGTTCCAGCTACTCAGGAGGCTAACGTACGAGGATCGTTTGAGCTCTGGAGGCAGAGGTTGCAGTGACTTGAGATTGTACCACTGCACTCCAGCCTAGGTGACAGAGTGAGATCTCATCTCAAAAACAAAACAAAACAAAAAAACCCAATAAAAATAACTGAAAGAGTGGAATTGGATTGTCCTTACACAATGAAATGATAAATGTATGAGGTGATGGACACCCCAAATGCCCTGTTGTGGTTATTACCCATCACATGCCTGTATCACAACATTGCATGGACCCCGTCAGTGTATACCCCTATTATGTACCCATAATAATTAAAAATTTTTTAAAAAGAGTGCTCCAAGTAAGTGAGCCACAGGCACAAAGGCCTGGAGATGGGAATGACACATCCAAGGAACTTCAAGAAGGCTGGCGTGGCTGGATCTGAGTGAGTGAGTTAGGCCATGAGATCAGAGAAACTGGCAATGCAAGGGCTGGTCTTTGCATGCTGTGGGCCTTGGTCAAGATTTCTGATTTTATTCTCAGTGTGATAGCAAGCCGTTAAGATTTTGAGATAAAGAGTTACATGGTAAGGTTGGTGTTTTAAAAAGGTGATTCCAGCTGCTGTGTGGAGATGTGTCTGCAAATGGAGGGGAAAGCGGGGAGGCAGTTGGAAGCACTATTACAGATAGGTGAGAGAGGATGGCGGCTTGGACCATGTGCCATTGTCCGAGTCAGAATCTAAGCTGAGAGTAGCGCAGGCAGAACCTGCTGATGGATGGTGTAATGGTTAGTATTGAGTGTCAACTTGATTGGATTGAAGGATGCAAAGTATTGTTCCTGGGTGTGTCTGTGAGGTGTTGCCAAAGGAGATTAACATTTGAGTCAGTGGACTGGGAGAAGCAGACCCACCCTCAATCTGCATCGGCACTACCTAATCAGCTGCCGGTGCGGCTAGAATGAAAGCAGGCAGAAAAGTGTGGAAGGAGTAGACTGGCTGAGTCTTCCTGACTTCATCTTTCTCCTGTGCTGGATGCTTCCTGCCCTTGAACATTGGACTCCAGGTTCTTCGGTTTTTGGACTCTTGGACTCACACCAGTGGTTTGTCAGGGACTCTCAGGCCTTTGGCCACAGACTGAAGGCTGCACTGTCAGCTTCTCTACTTTTTAGGTTTTGGGACTCAGACTGGCTTCCTTGCTCCTCAGCTTGCAGATGGCCTATTGTGGGACCTCACCTTGTGATCATGTGAGTCAACACTCCTTAATAACCCCTCCTTCATATATACATCTATCCTATTAGTCCTGTCCCTCTAGAGAACCCTAATACAGACAGGATATGAGAGATGAAGGAAGAAAGTGGTCAGGGGGATCCCAGGGCTTGGACTGAGCAACTCGGTGAATGAGGGTATTACGTACCAAGGTGGGGAGGAGCCATTGTGGGGGCAACAGCAAGAGAGTTCTGTTTGGAACATGTGAAGTTTGCAGTGGCCATTAGACACTCAAGTGAACCTGTGTGAATTTTACATGTCAACCTGGCTGGGTTACGGTGCCCAGATATTTGGTCAAACACCAATCTGGATGTGGCTGTGAAGGTAATTGTTTAAAGATGAGATAAACATTTAAGTCAATAGATTTTGAGTAAATTAGATGATCCTCTGTAAAACGAATGGGCCTTATCCGATCAGATTAGTTGAAGGCCTTAAGAGAAAATGACCGAGGTCTCCCATGGAAGAAGGAATTCTGCCAGCAGTCTCCCTCCAGACTCCAGCAACATCACCTCTTTCCTGAGTCTGCAGGCTGCCAGCCTGCCCTTCAAATTTCAGATGTGCCAACCCCTATAATCACATGGACCAATTACCTAGAATAAACCTCTACACACACACACACACACACACACACACACGGACGCACACACACGTACATGCACACACACTATTAGTTCTGTTTCTCTGGAGAACCCTGATTAGTACAACATTCTAAAACCTAGAGACCAGAGGCTAGAGTTAGAAAATGTAGGCGTCATCACCGTATAGACTAGAGATAATCTAAAAATTTCCAGCAGCCCTGTTTTAAAAAAGTAGAAAGAATCGAAAGACATCAATTTTAACATATTCTACTTAGCCGAAAATGTTATCACTTCAGCATGTAATTAATACAAAAACATTACTATTTTACATTATCTTCCCATATTAAGTTGTCACCATTGGGTGTGTTTTCACAGTGACAGCACATCTCAGTTGGACCAGCCTCATTTCAAGTGCTCAGTAGCCACGTGTGGCTGGCAGCTGCCATACTGTATAGCTCAGAAATAGACGGTGTTGAACCTCTGGGGCTGGGCAGGAGCACTTCTAACGCATGTGCAGGTAGAGGAGAGCAGGGAACACAGCCAAGACTGAGCCTAGGGCTTTCAAATGTTTAGAGGTTAAGAAGAGAAGGAGGATCCAGCAAAAGAGCCTAAGACCAGTATCCAATGAGGCAAATGAGAGATGAGAGTGTGGAACCTGAAAGCCAAGAGAATAAACAGCACCAGTGGTCTATGAGATGCAGGTGAGAAGTGACCGTTGGATGTGGCTAGATAGAGGTCAGGGCTGGTGACCTTGACAAGAGCAATACTGAGATGAAAAGCTGACAAACAGAAGGGCAGACAAGGATGTGGACAGTGAGAGTGCAGCCAGCTGCCTAGAAGAGAGGAGACTGGCATGGAAGGGAGCAGAGAGTCGGGGCATGGCTGGAGGGAGGTGGTGACTAGGACATAGTGGGGTTTTTTTGTTTTTGTTTGAGACAGAGTCTCGTTCTGTCACCCAGGCTGGAGTGCAATGGCGCGATCTCGGCTCGCTCCAACCTCCACCTCCTGGGTTCAAGGGATTCTTCTGCTTCAGCCTCCTGAGTAGCTGGGACTACAGGCATGTGCCACCACACCCAGCTAGCTAATTTTTGTATTTTTAGTACAGACAGGGTTTCACCATGTTGGCCAGGCTGGTCTCAAATTCCTGACCTCAAGTGATCCACTTGCCTCGGCCTCCAAAGTGCTGGGATTACAGGTGTGAGCCACTGTGCTCGGCAGGACGTAGTATTTTAAACAGGAGGTCCTATTGCACTGTTGGAGAGGGATTCAGTACAGAAGGAGAAATGAATGGTGCAGGCAAGAGACAGTGATCAAGAGTGGGAGAGAAGCCCCACTTAGGCTTAAGCTGGCATTGAGGTGGGATCCAGGACAGAGCACTTGGGTACAAGTGCTGGTGTGTCCACGTGGTGCTGGGAGGATGGGGCAATCCTCTCTTGGGGAGTTAGCATTTGGAAAGGGAAGGTAGGGAAGAAAGGTGTGATCCAATCTTCCAGAGAGTGGCAGAGAGAAGTGATTAGGTGAAATGGTTCTTTGAACCTGGACACCTGTTAGAATTTCCTGGGGCGCTCTTACAATACACCAAAGCCTGGGCCCTACCACAGACCAATCGAAGCAGGATCTCTTAGGTTAGGTCTCAGGAACGAGACCTAGTTAGGTCTCCCCATGTGATTCCAATGGCATCCAAGTTTAGGGAACTAAAGGGTGGCCAGCTGAGTCACATGAAATTGAACCTGATGCCGATGAAGCGGTTTCTATTGAAATTAACATAACAATCTCCAGGAGACAGAGCTTTGGACAAAAAGCCCTCCGGTCCAGATCAATTGGAGGAGAGGCCATCGTGGTCCATGGTGTTCAGATTTACAGAGACAATTATTTCCATCATGGGATGTATAGAATAGAGGCAAACACAGTGTCATCATTGTAGCCATCTAAGGGTTACCATTCGCCCTGCTGGGAGGAACCCAAATCAGGAGATGAAGGAATAAATTCAGAAGTAACATTCACACACTGTGCTTAGGAAACTCTACTAAAGGCTGTTCCTGGGAAGAGTGGGCTGTATATTAGCAAGAGCCTGAAAATCAAAGGGAAAGAGCTTAAGGAGTAGTTACCTGGTAGACTAGGTATTTCTCTATTCATTTGTTCACTCAACATTCAATGTGTGTTTATTGAGCACTTACCTATTATGTGCCAGGGAGAAGTTCTTACGAAAAGCAAGAGTTGACAGCATGGAGCAGTCCCTGTGTGTGTCAGCTGCTCAGCAGTGGCCACCAGAAGAAAATTGTCAGGGACCCTCCAAAGAAAGATGAGAAGGTATCGTGGGCGAAAACAGCAGAGATAGATAGGAGCTGCATCATCTTCATCCCGATCTGAAATGGAATCAAATCATCCTCGGAGATCTCAATCTGCCCACCCTTAGGGAAATGAGTGAGAATGGCCAGGAACCTATCCTCAGGGAGGCTCTGGCCTCTTCATTCCTCCATGGCACCATGTCTACTGTGTGCCAGGCATGTGCTGGGATTGGAAACATGAAGCAGACATGGCCCACCTTTCAAGGAGCTCGCAGCTTAGTAGGAAAAGAGCCAGAGTGGAGTTGCATTTCAGACAGCAGTTAGGTAGATTCTCAAGTCAACATTAAGGAGAAAATCAAGTCTAACCAAAATTACCTTGGGAGAAAAGAATTCTCCAGGGAGATCAGAGGCTGGTGTCTGAAACACAGCCTCTAGTAAACACAACGCAGCCAGTTTTCCTGCAGCATTGGGACAGATGGCCGTCTCTGTGGCTGAGCACCAGAGGAAGCAATCGGCTTGGCTTGCATTTCGAGGTCATGTTGTATGAAAAAGATGTATTGTCACTCTAAACACTGGTGTGCGAGATGCTCGCACCTCGGAGAGGCTCAGAATTGGATGCAAACGTTGGCAGATCCGCTCTCTGGGGCATATGCTTATTGCGGGGAAGGGCTGGCAGAATCACACACTTTATTTACATTGTTTTTCGTTTAAAGTTTTCTTTGAGCACCTACAGTTGAATTCGCTTAAGCTAAATGTGGATGTAATGGGACCAATTGAGAAAAGGCGATTGGGAGGCCACTGGAAGTGTGACACCCTTGCCAGAGGAGGTGAGACTTAGGACGGGAAGATGCCGCAGGCGCCCCTTTCTCCAAGGCGCTGAGCATTCCAGAGGGGCCAGCCACGGGGTCCAGTATTTGTGTGAATGCTGAAGCAAGAGGGAGAGTCCCACCTGACTTCTCCCCCATCCTCTGCAGAAGACCCCACCCCATGAGAACCCTCTAGTGGCCTTGCAAGGAGGGAGAGGAGGCAGGGTCCCTTCAGAAAAGGTCTCAGGGCCCTGCCTCTGCATCCTCTATATGGCCTCCTTCCCTGGAGACCTCACAGGAGACTTAGCCCTCGTTCTCTTCCTAAAGTCAAACCAGAGGCACTGCATGGAGGTCCGGGTGGAGCGTCGCCCTCATCAGTTCTGTCCTGGGCCCTGGAAGGAGCTGGGCCACCTGTGCGGTTTACGGGGGCCTGTCATCACTGCTCCCTGCTTGTCTTCTGACCTTCCCCCTCTGACAAGCCTGTTCCCTCCCAGCCCACGCCTGGAGTCGCCTGCTGGCCTGGCCAGCCTTGTCTGACTTTTTTGCTGAAGAAGGGGATCGGGCTAGATTCCAGCGGCTGGCTGGCTTCCCAGGTTGTGGCAGGCCTTGCCCACTTGGGGGACATCTTGCCTTGTTTGCCCATTGGGGCCATCGTGTAGACAGACCCTTGCTTGGCTTTGTAGCTCCAACCAAGGATCTGAAGGTGGACTTCCGGAAACACATTCCTGCCCAGCTAAGGCGCCAGAGGTCCTGCAGGTGGAGGGAGACTCCTGGGATGGCCAAGGATGCTCACCGTTCCACGAAGCTTGCTGAATAGTTATGACACTCTTGGGGCTTACCTCTCTAGGCTAACCACCCTACAACACGTGCTCACAAAGAGAGAGAGGTTTTCTGCTTTATGGCTGCTCCAACCTCGTGTGGTCTCGTGTCCCTTCCTGTTCTTGCAGGATCGCTGCACTGACCTCCGCATGAGAGGAGAGGGCAGAATGTGGCCCACCTCTCATCCTGAGGAAGCAGGGGCCGTCCACGGCCTCCCCACTGTCCGATCACTCCAGGTGGCATAGACCCTTTCTTGTGCTTGTTTGTATGTGATTTTCATGTTTTCGTGCCTGACAAGGGGAAGTGGTTAGTATACAAGTGGCACATCAACACCATTCTGGTCATTCTTTCTAAATGGAATTTTCCAACAATTTTTATTTCCAGAAGTCCCATGGATCCAAACAGACAAACAACAGAAGAGCAAAGGGAAATAAATGGTTATGAGTGTTCATCATAGAAGCACAAAGAGCAAAGCTCCTTGCAAAGTCCTTGAGGCCTCCTGCCTCAGACCTTCCCTGGTTCTCTGTCCCCAGGCATCATCAGCTGATGCAGAAGGGACTCTGCCTATCTTTAGACAGAGAGAAATCAGGATCAGGGCTCTGCCACCTTCTCTGCTAAGTCCACTAACCTCCTGCTATTCACTTCATCTCTCTTTGGCCTGTGTCTCATGTTTTATTAAATTTTATTAAATGTCCTTTCTGGTTCCCATCACCTCTGGAAGCTTGCTTTTGTCTGGCCACCACCAGAACAAGCCAGGGAGGGAGGCACCTTGTTCCCACAGTGGCACCAGGTATCTGTTAAATGAATGAATTCAAGTGTGCCGCCTGCCCTGGTTAATAGTCACCACGCTGGGGAGGAGCACCAGCACCTCGGTCCTCATAGATTAAGATTGTGGCTAAGAGGATGGAAGCTGTGTAAAGCAGAGCCAGAGCACAGTTGGCTGCAGCTAGAGATCCCTGTCCCTGGCCCGCACTCCCAGCCTGCACTCCCTCCCCATCCTCTCGTCTGGGACACACACATCTTGCCTGTCTCTTACAAGCCAGAGCCAAAAAAGAAAGCAGATATTAACCCAACTAAGAAACTAAAAGGAACAGCAACAAGTAAAGAGATTAAGACGAACAAAATGTGAGAAGGAGATATAAAAGGGTAGTAATTTGTTTTTACGAATAAATGTATTCAGGTAAGTAAAAATTAAGATGTGGATGATAAAAGGGTGTCAGCTTCAGGAAACTAAAATGATTTATAAGTCACACTAAAAGGAATGAGGAAAATTTTAAAGATAGAAGACAAAACGTTAAGGGAAAAATTCTAGACAACAACAGGAAGGAAATTAAGGTGGTTAAAAATGGATCAAGTTGTAAACTAGAGGCCTCAGATCTTAAAGAATTAGAAAGCTGAGTAAAGTAAGCAACTTTCTATGTAAACTAATAAAATATTTTTAAACAGTGCAGAAAACGAAGGCTCTTAAGGCTATTAACCCGGGCAGGCAACACACATGGAAGGTCACTGCAAATAAGATGCCAATACTTTAGAAGCCAGCAGTGGGGGTTCCTGGAGTCTCCTCAGGCAGAGGTCACTGTGGTGAAGGGTCCCTAGCAGGCCTCGGCAGGGCCCAGGTCGCCGACTGTCCACCTTGCCTCGGGCAGCCGGTCCCTGTTCTCTCTGTTCCTTCTGAAGTGCTGGTGAGGTCTGAGGGCCCTGGCCTTTGAAAAGTGCTGCCTTTCCT
The DNA here is from genome assembly GCF_000001405.40 of Homo sapiens. Classification (NCBI taxonomy): domain Eukaryota; kingdom Metazoa; phylum Chordata; class Mammalia; order Primates; family Hominidae; genus Homo; species Homo sapiens. The sequence goes on along the minus strand of NC_000013.11, from coordinate 26,485,963 downwards.
GAGTCTGGCTCAAGCCTCAGAGCGCGTGAGACTCATGCTGGGAGTGAGAGCCTCTCCCCCTCCCGTGACATCCCCTGCTCCCTCCCACTGTGGCACAGGATGGATGATCACATGTGGGTTTCTGCACACTCCTCGTTTTGGGGCACAAACAAGGTAAAAGGCCCTTTTGGGCTCCAGAAAAGAGTAACAGCGAAAAGACAGATGACAGAGGACAGAAATAACGTTTAGGTATGAATATTTCAAGCTACTTACAAAAGCTAGCTCACTCAGTTGGCAATAGCAGTGTGTCCATTGTACAGGGGGAAACCCTGAGGCCTGTGACCCGTTTCCCATCCCCTTTAGCCGCCACAGTACCGCACACTGTGCTGGTTTCAGCGCTTTCGCATCTGATTCTCAGTTCTTTCTGTTTTTCATTGAAGCCATATTTGTTTTCTCTTCAGCCTGCTGATTTCTGGCCCGTCGTCAATTCTGACTGGTGCCCAGCTTCCCTCTTGATATGTGTGTGTTACACAGACTCTCTGTATCCCAAACAATAGAGGGATGAAATCTCCAGCATGAGATTTTAAGTGCTGCTTCCATTTTGTCCACTAAACAGTAAGAAAGCCACACAGGTTCCTGACAAACAAAGACTTCCATGGCTTTCCCAGGAGAAGGGTCATCTCCATAGATGTGACTGCATGATTGTGACATTAATAACAGCCCTTTCCATGAGCAGGCACAAAGACACTAAGTCCCTAGTTCCCTGATGATTTTTCTTTTTTTCTTTTTTTCTTTTTTTTTTTTTTTTTGAGCCGGAGTCTCACTCTGCTGCCCAGGCTGGAGTACAGTGGCGCGATCACGGCTCACTGCAAGCTCCACCTCCCAGGTTCACGCCATTCTCCTGCCTCTGCCTCTGGAGTAGCTGGGACTACAGGTGCCTGCAACCATGCCTGGCTAATTTTTTGTATTTTTAGTAGAGACGGGGTTTCACCATGTTAGCCAGGATGGTCTCCATCTCCTGACTTCGTGATCTGCCCGCCTTGGCCTCCCAAAGTGCTGGGATTACAGGCGTGAGCCACCACACCCGGCCCCCTGATGATTTTTCAAGAGGCAAAGTACATACCTTCCCAGCAGAGAGGAGAGAAACCACTAAGTCAATCCACGGGGCTACATACATCATCAGTGCCTTGGCAGATACTCGCGGCCTTCTAGACCATGGCTCCTGCCCTATGGAGCCTGTCATTGGATCAGGTAGATCACACAAGGTGGCTGACCAGGCAGGTGTCATTAACTGCCCAGTGGGTGCAGAGATGCTGAAGCAATGAGTCCAGAGGCAGATCGGGACTCACCTGTGACCACGGGCACAGGTGCCTGAACGCCTGCTCCTCATTCATAAACCAGAATTCATCATGACACCCCCCTCTGAGGGGACGCACACCTGTTCACGGGGCTCATCTATGTCAAGCATGACTGGTACATGGTATTCACCCAATGAAGGAGGAGCGTGCAGAAACCCACGTGTGATCATCCATACTGTGCCCCAGTGGGAGGGAGCAGAGGGTGTCACGGGAGGGGAGAGGCTCTCACTCCCAGTATGGGTTTTGCAAGCTCTGAGGCTTGAGCCAGACTCAGGAAAAGCAGCACTTTTCGAAGGCCCAGACCCTCAGACCTCACCAGCACTTGAGAAGGAGCAGAGAGAACACAGACCAGCTGCCTGAGGTGAGGTGGACAGCCAGGGACCTGAGCCCTGCTGAGGCCTGCTAGGGACCCTTCACCACAGTGATCTCAGCCTGAGGAGACTCCAGGAACTCTCACTGCTGCCTTCTAAAGTATTGGCATCTTATTTGCAATGACCCCAGCCTTAAGAGCCTTCGTTTTCTGCACTAATTGAAAATATTTTATTAGTTTACATAGAAAGTTGCTGATTTTAGTTTTTCTAAGTAAAGCTAAGTGAGTTTCTAATGGGTTAAAAATGAGGGTGCAGACAGTGTAGACCAGTCAGGAGGGCTGGACTGAGGGTGCTGGACCCAGGAGAGGGTACAGGGTTGGAATTGTGGGTCTGCTTGATGGCAACAATGTGACCAATCTAATCTATGTAGCTCAGTAGTCCTCAAGCTGGGAGCGATTTTGTCCCCCAAGAGATATTTGACAATGTCTAGAGACATGTTTGTTCTCGCTAAGTGGGGAGGTGTGCAGCCGGCATCTACTGGGTGGGGGCTAGGGATGCCTGTCAGCACCCTGCAATGCACAGGGTGGCCCTACAACCAAGAACCGTCAAGCCCCAATATCAGCAGTGCTGCGGTGAGGAGTGCCGCCCTGGATGAAGCTGTGGTGCTCTGGTGAACGTATTAGCAGGTGGGTGTTCCCGGACACTACCCCAGAGATGATCAATTAGAATATTTGAGATAAGTTACCTCCTGCTCCCACCCTGCCCACCCGTATACATAGTACAGAGGTTCAGAAGCAGGCAGGCCCTGGACATGGCACTTAAACTGCTCTCCAAAGTGGAGGCTAACCACGGCACATATGTAACGATGGACAGGCTTTGCACACTGAAGTTTTCCAAACCTTTCCGAGCACCTGACCACATCAAGTCCTAAAACGGTCCTTTAAGTTCAGCTTTATTCCCCTTTTACAAACAAGGAAGCAGAAATATGAGAGTTTCACGTGCTCATGGTAGCAATATCTGCCAAGTGGCAGAATGAGGACTTGAATCCAGCACCCAGCTCATTCCCTGGTTGGCAACAACAAATGTTTGTTGATTGGATGAATGATTGAATAAATAAATTCAAGCCCTCTGACTTCAAAATTCATTTTCTCTCCACTCTTGCATGATACCTCTTTAACTATCTCATAAGGTACTTAGAAGATGTAATGAAACTAAACTTGTATGAGTTATGATAAAAAAAAATAGGAGCAAAGACTTGCTTTTTTCATACAACTGACTTTGAAGTTGTTGAGATATTCAAATCCAGTAATGGAAAACTATTAGTCTATGAGCCTGAACTTTCAAAGAAAGGGAAGAATGACCTGTTGAGACTTGAGCTGATAATAAGTGATGTTACTGAACAGCACAGTGTTCTCTATTTCCAACAATTGTTTATTTAGTGAAACTGCTTAGGCTATAAAGGGTTAAAAATCAAGGCTCATAAAAACAGCCCCAGGGACCAAGAATTTTCAAATAAGCACTTTAGAAGTTTGCCTCCTGGTGGACAGAGGGGAAACTGCAAACAGTGTCAGGTAAATGTGATGGTCTAAGTCAGGCAGCATTTCCCCTTCCTGTTTGTCTGAGGTTCTTCTCACTCAGAAAACAAGGAAGCCACTCTGATGGGCTGGACTGTGTCCCCCAAAGCTTCATGTGTTGAAGCCCTAACCCCTAGCTCCTCAGAATGTGACTGTATTTGCAGGTAAGGCCTTAGAAGTGGTCACTAAATTAAAATGAGGTGGTGACGGTGGTTTGGCCCTGGTCCAATCTGACGGGTGTCTTTTTTTTCTTTTTTTTTTTTTTTGAGATGGAGTTCCGCTCTTTGTTGCCCAGGCTGGAGTGCAGGGGCATGATCTTGGCTCACTGCAACCTCCGCTTCCCGGGTTCAAGCGATTCTCCTGCCTCAGCTGGAGGCAGTAGCTGGGACTACAGGCGCACCGACCACGCCCAGCTGATTTTTGTATTTTTAGTAGAGTCGGGGTTTCACTGTGTTGGCCAGGCTGGTCTCCAACTCCTCACCTCAAGTGATCCACCCGCCTTGGCCTCCCAAAGTGCTGGGATTACAGGCGTGCAGCTGCACCCGGCCTGACTGGTGTCTTTATAAGAAGAGATTAGGGCCGGGCACGGTGGCTCACACCTGTAATCCCAGCACTTTGGGAGGCCAAGGCGGGTGGATCACTTGAGGTGAGGAGTTGGAGACCAGCCTGGCCAACAGAGTGAAACCCCGACTCTACTAAAAATACAAAAATCAGCTGGGCGTGGTGGCATGCGCCTGTAATCCCAGCTACTTAGGAGCCTGAGCAGAAGAATCACTGGAACCCAGGAGGCAGAGGTTGCAGTGAGCCAAGATCACACCACTGCACTCCAGCCTGGGCAACAGAGTGAGACTCTGTCTCAAAAAAAAAAAAAAAAAAGGGATTACACGGAGACCCCAGGGGACTGTGCACAGGGGAAAAGCCATGTGAGGACACAGCGAGAAGGCGGCCATCTGTGAGCCAAGGAGTGAGGCCTCGGAAGAGACCAACCCTGCAGACTCCTTGATCTTGGACTTCCAGCCTCCAGCACTGGGAGACAATCAATGTCTGTTACTGAAGCCTCCCAGGCTGTGGCACTGTGTTATGGCAGCCCTAGTGGACCAATGCAGCCACCATTCAGGAACAAGTTTTCCCAGTGACAAGGAAGTTAAGCATTCAGTCCATTATCGAGCATCTATTCTTTAAACTTGTGTCTAATTTATGAAGGGGCCTCTTTGTGGTTAATTGCAGTCTAATTCAGATGAAGCCCAAACTATGCATCCATGTGAAAAGGTCGGGCCCTCACCATGGAGCTTACTGGTAGCACATTGTTGATTCAAAATGAGCATTTGCTCACCTGTCTGTGCCCCTTTGGGTCCCTAGTAAGACTATGTCTCCATTTGTTGAAAATTTTAATTTGAAAAATTTGAGAGCCATCATTTGTTTCTTATTGCAAAACTTATACACAAGTATTGCAGAAAATGTAGACCAGGAAAAATAAAATAAAATCGAATGAGTCCCTTGCAATCAGAGCTGATCCTGTTAACATTTGTTATTTCTCATCCACAGTGGGGTATTTTCTTTTCTTTCTGTGAATATAGATGAATAGCTTTGGTTCATTTACAAAAATGGGACCATCTTATACAGATTGGTTTTAACTTTTTCTCACCAATAATCTGTCATAAACAACTCTCCGCATCATCAAATATTGTTCTACAGTACCATTTGTATGGCTTTTAATCTTTTATTGCAATAATATATCTTAATTTAATTAATCTGTAGATGGATATTTGGTTCCTTTCTAATTATTATTATTATCATTGCTATTGTAGGAGACAATGTTATGATGAACAACTTGGTAGCCTTTGCTTATATCCATGATTATTTTCTTGGAATACTAAATTTTGATTTTTAAAATTTAACTTTTACCACTGGTAAATGGGGGAAAATCCCTATATTCCCAACCAATAAATAATCTAAACCAGACAGCAGGAATACAGTGATCATTGCTGATGTCTGAAAATATTCACCTTTAGACCGAATTGTGAGGATGATGGCAATTCATGGAGGATGGCTGGGAAGTTAATCAGCAGGGAGGAATGAGGAAGAAAGCAGGGAGAACGTCCACGCCTTCCCATAGCAAGGCTGAAAATGAAGCTGCCAGAAAACAAGTAAGGAAATAAAAAGACAAGTAAAGAGACCTAAGGAGTGGAGAATACGGTTGTTAAAAGGAGTGGAGTGAGAAGGCCGTGGTTTGAAGACCTGATATGACTGGCATGCAGAACGCTCCCGCTCCCCACAAGGCTGGCTGGCATGTCTATTGTCCACCGTGTGCTTTCGGGGGACTTGGAATATTTAGCTGGTTTGCCACCACTGCCCAGAGCCCCTGCCACTGATATGTGCGCAAGAAAACAAGAAGTATAACATTAGATTTGGCAAAGCATGAAAAGGAGGCAGAGCTGCTGCAGGAAGAAAATTCATCTAACACTTTATAAAGTAAAACAAATAAATGTGAGTGTTCTGTTTCACATCTCTGATCGCTTCATTCATACGGAAAATTCAAAATTATCTGCAATGGACATATATTCAGGGTGCCCAGTCTAGGCCATTTCTTTATCTACCACTTTGGCCAGAAAGGAGTGTGTGTGTGTGTGTGTGTGGATGTGCGTGCGTGGATGTGGGTCTGTGGGTGTGTGTGTGCGGGTTTGTGTGTGCAGGTGTGTGTGTGCGTGTGCACGCGTGTGCTTTAATTAACTGTATTAGCCCTTAGAAGAGTGATGCTTATTGTGTCAGAACTGGGCCAAGACTTCTATAGTGAAGATCACACAACTGGCTAGAAAAAGTTTCTTAGGTATGCAAAGCAAGCGCATTCTAGGAGAATGTTTGAAGCTACATGTCCCGGTACCTGCCTTGCTGGCCTGGTCCCAAGCCTCTTCTATGATGATGCCCCTCAACACTTCCTTGCTAGCTTCTGCGTGTGTCTGTGAACTCTTCTGGCTACTTGTGGTCAACTTTTGGCCCCTGACACTTCCCTCCCCCACTCTGAACACAAGCCCACAGCACCACTTGCTCATGGGAGCCTGTGTGGGTCGTATTGTCCCTGGGGCCTGGCACTACACCACTCCGGCATGGTAGACCAGCAGGCAGGTTTACAGTGTGGGAAACACAATCCTCAGAATGAGATTGGCCCTGAATCCATTTTTTTTTTTTGAGACAGGGTCTCGCTCTGTCACCAGGCTGGAGTGCAGTGATGCCATCTCGGCTCACTGCAACGTCTGACTCCCTGGTTCAAGTGATTCTCCTGCCTCAGCCTCCTGAGTAGCTGAGATTACAGGCGCCCACCACCATGCCCAGCTAATTTTTGTATTTTTAGTAGAGACGTGGTTTCACCATGTTGTCCAGGATGGTCTCAATCTCCTGACCTCGTGATCCGCCTGCCTCAGACTCCCAACGTGCTTGGATTACAGGCGTGAGCCACCGCACCAGGCCCTGAATCCAATTTTAAGAGATTGACATTGCTGTATAATCCAGCCGTGGCATTCAGGATTTTGGACATCCAGGTGGGGAACGTAATGATGAGCACAGAGATGTTTCCTTGAAAGGAGGGACCCTTGCCTGAGAAGGAAAGCCTGTGGCTGCCTCTGACCCAGTTGGTCATCTTGGGACGGGTGCTATGGTCCCAGGGGGCTTTGTGGAGCAGGTCACCGCCATCATCATCATCACAGAGGACTTTTGTGACATGAAGCTGAAGTCCACAGCTCAATGGGGACCTGTGATGAGCTCTGGAGACCCATGAAGAGGGAAAAGCAAATTAAAGATTAAAGCCATTATGAGATACTAGTACTCACTCACCAGGATGTCTAAATAAAAATCATGGACAATAAGTGCTGGCAAGGATATGGAGCAATAGGAAGCCTCATAAATTGCTGATGGGAATGTATTAAAATGAGTGGCAAAAAGAGCAATTACTTTTGCGCCAACCTAGTAAGTTGATACAACCACTTTGGAAAACTTGTTGGCATGTTTACCTACAGCCGATTGTATGCATATTCTACGACTTAGCAGTTCCACTCCTATCTTAAGTGCATGCACTGTGCACCAAAAGACATGTGCAAAATTGTTTGGAGATGCACGATTTGTAATTGTCCAAACCTGGAAACCTATTTGTCCATCAAGATTTGAATAAGCCAGTAAAAGGTGGGATATTCTCACAATGGAATACTATTCATCTATGGTTCTCAAAAGTGTGGCATCAGCCAGCCTAGGCAACATGGTGAAACCCCGTCTCTACAAATAATACAAAAATTAGCCTGGAGTGGTGGTACACACCGATAGTCCCAGCTCCTCAGGAGGCTGAGGTGGGAGGATTGTTTGAGTCTGGGAGGTCAAGACTGCAATGAATCATGATTGCACCACTACACTCCAACCTGAGCAACAGAGCGAGACCCTGTCTTAAAAAATAAAGTGCGGGCCAGGCGCAGTGGCTCACTCCTGTCATCCCAGCACTTTGGGAGGCTGAGGCGGGCAGATCACGAGGTCAGGAGATCAAGACCATCCTGGCTAACATAGTGAAACCCCATCGCTACTAAAAATACAAAAAAATTAGCTGGGCATGGTGGCGGGTGCCTGTAGTCCCAGCTACTTGGGAGGCTGAGGCAGGAGAATGGCGTGAACCCAGGAGGCGGAGCGTGCAGTGAGCTGAGATTGTGCTGCTGCACTCCAGCCTGGGCGACAGAGTGAGACTCTATCTCAAATAAATAAATAAATAAATAAATAATAAAGTGCGGCATCAGTATCGCAGGACAATCTGTTAGCATACTCTGGAATTTTATCTCAGACCTCCTGGGTCAGAAACTCTGGGGGTGGGGCCAGCAATCTTGTGTTTTAGCCAGCCCTGCAGGTGACTTTGATGCGGGCTAAAGTTTGAGAACCTGCTGTACAGCAACAAGACTGAAGAAACTACAACTCCAAGCAAAAACATGAATCTCAGCCATAATGTTGAGCAAAAGATGTCAGACCCAAAAAAGTGCATGTTGGAAGATTCCATTTATACGGAGCTCAAAAACAGGCAGAACTGTTTTGTGCTGCTAGAAGTCAGTTATGGGTGAGGCCTGTGAAGCACCTAGAACAAAATGTAAGGGGCTAGACGTGCTTGACCTTGAGAGGGGAGGCCTCCTTACACTGTGCACCCCAGGCTCCTCAACCTTTCCCAACCTTGGTCAGAGTGGTGATTATTCTGGATGGTGTGGGCTAAAGACTTCACACATACTTGAAGGTGAGTGATCCAGGGTAATCCGTGAGGGCATCCAGGCATTACTATTGTTCTGTGTCTCCATCCGGGTGCTGTGTGCACCAGGGTGTTCAGTTCCTAAATATTCTTCAACCTGTACACTTACGGCTGGTGCACTTTTCTATATATAAGTATGGAATAATCTTTCAATAAAAGATTACATATCCAATGGGAATGATGCCCTCATTTCAGGATGAATGGCCTTGGAGTCATTGCTTTCATGCCATCATGGGTCGAGTGTCTGTGTGTGTGTGAGTGTGTGAGTGTGTGTGTGTGAGTGAGTGTGTGAGAGTGTGGGTGAGTGTGTGTGTGAGTGTGTGTGTGTGTTTTAATGGGCTTAGAAAATAGAAAAAAAAATTCAGGGTCAAATCTAGTAGATTATACATAAAAAAATTTTTTCTAAAAAATGACATGGGGTTTCCGATGTAGCTTAAATGGACTCTAAAGGCCTTTGCCAAGAGAAGGGAGTTCCAAGTGTGCTCTGAGTGTGGGAAAAGCTTTGGAATGAGAGTATAACTTCCCAAGGGGCTTCTCTGAGGGGCCCCTCCCTGAAGCCTGTGATTTCTGGCACAGGCACTAACAGATCAGCCAGTGAAGTGTCCCCATCCCGTACCACCTGCATTCTCAGAAAGTGGTGGTTTCTACTTGACTCCGTACTTCTGTTTAACTTCATGCCTTGGTGAGCTCTATGGATGGCTTGTTTTACCTGGTCTTTGAATGCAAAGGGGAATTGTCTCCCCAGGCCGTGCTGCGAGCAGCTGGGCTGGAGTCAGTGACAACACACAGAGGAAGCCAGATCTCGGGAATCCAAAGCATTCTGTGCAGACTCTGAAGGAAACAGGAACAGATAATTCTAGCAACTCCCGCCTGGATGTGGGGATGACTCTGATGGAGGAGAGGGCTGTTGGCCAGAACAAACCCCCGCTGGCTCCTGACACTGGCCCTGGAGCCAGGCAGCGGTTGATTTCTGAATAAAGTTGCCTCCGGAAGCAGAGTGACAAATAGCTCCCTAGCTCTGACTTTGAATAAAAAAGCATGAATGCCGCAGGAAAGCCCTGCAGCTTCCTGTGTGACGGAAGAGGGCTCAGCCCAGCCTGCCCGCTGCCCTCCCTAGGTTCTAACCTACCCTGAGGACAGTCCCCGCCCCTGACCGCCGCCCTGCGGACCCCGCTTCTGACCCTGCCGAGGTCAGCAGGGACGCGGTGACCCAGTGCTCCTGCACAGGAAATACAGTGACCTAACCAGGCCTGGCAGAAGGACCGGTCAATGTGGTGAGCAGCCAATGGAGAATAGCTCTGTCTCTCTCAGCATTACTTCACTGTCTAAACGCCCCTGGAATTCTATTGGATACCTAAGTATTTCAGCAAATGTGCTATCCCACTCTTCCTCTAAAGTCAGCGCCTGCTGTCATTCAGTTCAGCATCCAGGTGCTTACGTGAGGAATCAGCCGTAGTTGCTTTGTCTGCCAGTCTGTCTAGCAGGGACCACCTCCTTCCACCCCCGAAGCCTCAGCCTCACCCAAGCCCTGCCCCCTCCCTGGGGTGTGGCCACAGCCTTGTTCCCATCCTTGCCCCCTTGCCCCATCCCACCTCTCTTCCAGGAGAAGCCAGAGCCCGGCAGACACAGCAGCGGGATCACGGCCTTCCTGAGCCCAGCCCTCCTGAGCCCAGCCCTCCTAAGCCCAGCCCTGCAGCTCCTGAACCCTCTCCATTAACCATGGGTTTCTGATGCTTTGGCCTCTTGAGGCTCTTGAGGCTCTGCTGACCTTAGAGAGGCTGCCTCTCCCCATTTAGCCAGGTCCTAGAGAGAGCAAATGACTGAGTGCAAGCACCTTTCATATGCAAAGCAATTAAGCCAGAGCTCACACCCCGCTACACCACTATGCTCCTGGCCCCTGGCCCCTTGCCCTAATCACCCCAGGGCCAGGTACCAGACAAGTAGGGACTGTCCCATGCCCAGGGCCTGCAGAAATTACTCAGACCAGCCAATCCTAAACCTGCTTACCCTGCCTTGCCTGTTCTTTCCCATGAAAATCAGAATCAACGCTCCCGCCCATGTTTCCCTCCACTCCCTCCCCCCCTTGCTTCCCCAGGGGGCCCCTACGGTGTGGAGCGCTCCCAGCTCACTTTTCAATGGCAGTCCGCTCCTGATCTGTTGGCCTTGCCATACCTGAATAATAATAAAACCTACATTCTAAAACATCCTCAGAGGGAAAGCCAAGGTCTTCATGCGGTCTAGGCTCTGCTGCCCACTCCCGGAGCCACTGGTCACATATGGTTATTGAGCATTTGAAATGTGGCTGGTCAAAACCGAGATGTGCTGTGAGTGTCAAATACACACTGGGTTTTGAAGACTTAACACAAAAGAAAGAAGAATGCAAAAAAGCTCATCCATTAGTTTTTATTATCAACTACATGTTGAAATAATAATATTGTAGATACATTGGGTCAAGTAAAACACATTGTTTCCTTGTTTGGGTTTTTTTTTTAGTACAGCTACTAGAAAATTGAAAATGACTCATGTGGCTCCCATTCTATTTTTTTTTTTTTTTTTCACAGAGTCTTGCTCTGTTGCCCAGGCTGGAGTACAATGGTGCGATTTTGGCTCACTGCAACCTCCGCCTCCTGGGTTAAAGCCATTCTCCTGCCTCAGCCTCCTGAGTAGCTTGGACTTCAGGCGCCTACCACCACACCCAGCTAATTTTTTTGTATTTTAGTAAGGATGGGGTTTCACCATGTTGCCCAGGCTGATCTCGAACTCCTGAGCTCAGGCAGTCTGCCCACCTCAGCCTCCCAAAGTGCTGGGATTACCGGCGTGAGCTACCGCGCCCAACCTCCCATTCTTTTTCCACTGGACACTGCTGGTCTAAGCATCCTTCTTGACCCACCCTGCTGCCTTTTTGTCTTCCTCTTCCCTTCTCTGTCTCTCTCACTCCATCTGCCACACGCTGCCTCCTTGCTATGCCTTGCATGCCCAGGCAGCCCGCTGTCTCAGGACCTCTGCCTGTGCCGTTCTCTCCAGCTGGAGTGAGCCTCCGGATTCCTGCAAAGCTGGCTGCCTCCCTTCCCTCTTGTCTTCGCCCTACTGTCACCTCCTCAGTGAAGCCGGCCCTGGCTTACCACTGTAAAGTATCAGCATCACCCAAATTCCTTGCTGTCTCCCTGCTTTATTCTTCGTGCTTAAATGTATCTCTAGCTAATATTTGCTCATTTATCATATGATCGATGTCTCCACCAGCACGAAAGCTCACAAAGGCAGGGATTTTTGCCTCTTTTGTTCTCTGCTGTATCCCCTGTGCCTAGAAAGAACAGTGCTTCACACACAGTCACACTCAATAAATATTTGTTGAATGAATGAATGCAGAATACAGGCTTTTAGCCTCAGGGTGCTCATTTCGAGTAAGAGAAGTCGAATATATGTGACAGATAGAAACAGTGCCAGAGGCATGGGGAAGCAGGTGAGCAGCCTTCAGGGAGTCGGGAACTGGGCCAGTGGGGCAGGCCAGCCGTGCCAGAGAGGCCCTCAGACCCACTCTGACCTGCTGCAGTCAGCAGAGGTAGGAGGAGGGTACAGCAGCTGCAAAAGTGAGAAGAGAGCATTTTCATTTTCTTAAAGCTTCCCAGAAAGTTTGTGGGACTTGCTTACTGAAATCAACCCTTGGTACTGTGGCTTATTTTTATGAGTGGAATTTGACGCAATGATGAAGAATTGGCCTGACTTGCAGGGCAAGTGGCCCAGAGGTTTCCTGTAGAGTCTCAGACTCCATCTCAGAACAATTGATTAAAATTTGCATTTTAACCACATTCCTGACAAATCCTGTGCACATTGCATGCCAAATTGTAGTGTGTGCCATGAACAGATGAACAAAAAGACAAAATGTGGTATATGCATACAATGGAATATTATAGGAAATAATTCCTCCTCCTCCTCCTCCTCCTCCTCCTCCTCCTTCTTCTTCTTCTTCTTCTTCTTCTTCTTCTCCTTCTCCTTCTCCTCCTTCTTCTTCTTCTGCCTTTTTTTTTGTGTATGTGTGTGAGACAGGGCCTTACTTTGTCACCCAGGCTGGAGTGCAGTGGTGAGATCACGGCTCACTGCAATCTCAACTTCCAAGGCTCAGGCGATCCTCCACCTTAGCCTCCTGAGTAGCTGGGAAGGAAATTCTGACACACACTAACCTTGAAGATACTGTGCTAAGTGAAATAACCAGATGCAAAAGACACCTTTTGTTCAATTCCGCTTAGATGATGGAATTAAGTAGGCAAATCCATAGCAACAGAAAGTAGAATGACAGTGGTCAGGAGCTGGAGGGGTTAGGGAGAGTGGAGGATTGCTGTTTCATGGATTCAGAATTTCAGTCTGGAGGACGAAAAGAATTCTGTGGATTGATGATGGTGGTGATGGTTGCACAACAGTGTGAATGTACTTAATGCCACTAAACTGAACACTTAAAAATGGGTAACATAGGAAGATATATATATATACACACACATAGATATATATATATACACACACACATAGATATATATATACATGTGTATATATATACACATAGATATATATACATGTATATATACACATAGATATATACATGTATATATATACACAGAGATATATATACATGTATATATATACACAGAGATATACATATATACATGTATATATATATACATATGCATGTATACATATGTACATAAATATATACATATGCATGTATACATGTGTATATAAATATATACATATGCATGTATACATGTGTATATAAATATATACATATGCATGTATACATGTGTATATAAATATATACATATGCATGTATACATGTGTATATAAATATATACATATGCATGTATACATGTGTATATAAATATATACATATGCATGTATACATGTGTATATAAATATATACGTATAAAAATATATGTGTGTATATATATACTTGTATATATATATATATATATATATTTTTTTTTTTTTTTTTTTTTGAGACAGAGTTTCATTCTTATTGCCCAGGCTGGTGCAATCTCGGCTCACTGCCACCTCCACCTCCTAAGTTGAAGCGATTCTCATGCCTCAGGTTCCCAAGTAGCTGAGTATAGGAATGCGCCACCATGCCCGGCTAATTTTGTATTTTTAGTAGAAACAGGGTTTCACCATGTTGGCCAGGCTGATCTCGAACTCCTGACCTCAGGTGATCGGCCCGCCTCGGCCTCCCAAAGTGCTGGGATTACAGGCGTGAGCCACTGCGCCTAGTCATGTTATGTATATTTTACCATGATAATAAAAAAAAAGTGTGCTCACAAGTTTCCTGTGCTGCGGCCTGAGAATCTGCATTGCTGAACAGGTTTCTGAGTGGTGCTGATGCTACTGGTCCCAGGGCCACTGCGTAGCCGACTCAGGTCAGTACTTCCCACTTCACATCATCGGGACCCAGCATCAGGCCAAGGCCAAACATCGTGTCTTCTGTCCCCCGAAGCTCAATCCTCTTGGTTAATACCAGCTTGGACAATAAACACCAGGAGCTCCTGTGCCCCACCCTCCACTGGGTGAGTGACCTCTCTTCCTTAAAGGCCCCGTTGAGTTAACCTGACTTCAGCAGCACCTCCACCGGAGCATCCACACAGTGATTTCTCACCCACATGCAAGGGAGTATTCCCTGGGTGGAGGTTTGCAGAGCTTACGATATAGAATGCTCATACAGATCAATGAAGAATGAGAAATACCCTAATGGGAAAACGGCTAAGCGTAGTAATAAAGAAGCATTTAATAAAATAAGAAATACAGGCTGGACACAGCGACTTATGCCTGGAATCCCAGCACTTTGGGAGGCCAAGGTGGGAGGATCACTTGAAGCCAAGAGTTTGAGACCAGCCGGGCAACAAAAAGTAAAAAAAAAAAAAGTTAAATAATTTTTTTACTCTACAAATGTAAAAAATTAGCCAGGCATGATGGCACATGTCTGTAGTCCCAGCTACTTGGGAGGCTGAGGCAGGAGGATCACTTGATCCCAGGAGGTCAAGGCTGCAGTAAGCCATGATTGTGCCACTGCATTTCAGCCTGGGCAACAGAGTGAGACCTTGTCTCAAAAAAATGGAAAAGAAAAAAGAAAAAGAAAAGAAAAGAAAGATGGCCAAGAAATGCCAAAAATGAAAACTCTAATTAGTAATCAAACATGGAAGAAAATAATAAGAATGTATTTTTTTCATATAGTGGGTTGGAAAACAAAATAAAAAGAATTGTAACCAGTGCCAACTTCGGTGTGAAGGAAATGATGCCGATTCTCAGATTAAAGGGACCCTAGATCAGTACATTTGTGGAAAAATTTGGTAATATGTATCAAGAGCCTTCAAAAGGTACATACTCTTCATATAATTCCGCTTCCAGCAGTTTGCTCCTAGGAAACAAGGGGCATGCGCACAAACATACATGCATGAGATTATTCACCGCAATGTTGCTTATGGTCGCAAAAAGAATCCTAGCTTCCTAGATAGTTGGTAAAATGTATTATATCTATGTAAAAGAATATTAAACAGCCATTTTAAATGATTCTGTGGATGATCATTCTGTCTTTACTTATTTGGAATAATGTTTAGCATGTTTGAGCTGAAAAAGCAGTTTAAAGAGCCATTTGTTGCCATCTTTATGTCCAGCAGTACCCAGTGTTTAGCCCCCATTTAAAAGTAAAAACATACAGTAGTTGGTGTTCTGTTCCTGGGTTAATTCTCTGAGGGTAATGTCCTCCAACTGCTTCCATGTTGCTGCATAGGACATGATTTCTTTCTTTTTTGTGGCTGGGTAGTATTCCATGGTGTATATGTACCACATTTTCTTTATCCAATCCACCATTGATGGGCATCTATGTTGATTCCATGTCTTTGCTGTTGTACTGTGATGAACATGCATATACACGTGTCTTTTTGGTAGAACTATGTGTTTTCTTTTGGATATATACCTACTTTTAGGGGAGGGAAGGAGGAGAGCAAGGGTTCAAAAGCTAACTGTTGGGTACTAAGCTGAGTACCTGGGTGATGGAACATTTATATCCCAAGCCTCAGCCTCACATGATATACCCAGGTGACAAACTGGCATATGTACCCCCTGAATCTAAAATAAAAGTTCAAAAAAAAGAGATAAAAATAAAATAAAATAAATAGAACCATTCGTATATATGAATTAAATTTGTTTAAAAAGGATAGATGACACATATTTTTACATAGGGAAAAGTCTAGAATCTATGTTACAGTGATTGTCTCTGGGTAGAAAGATTGGGAATTATTTTAATTCTATTTCTGTTTGTTGCCTATCAATATTACCTAATTTTTCTACAATGATTATGTATTACTAGAGTTTGGTTTCTTTAAAAAAATATCTCCCACATTGGCTTATGAAAAGAGCACGCAAAAGAAACCATAGTTACAAAGAGGAAAGGTGTTTACCAGGCTGAGCTCTTGTGTAACATGGGATCATTGCAGGTAAACCAAAAAGGCAATAATTGGACTGAATGTCAAGGGAAGAGCCATTCAGGGAAGCAGCAATCCCTTTGAAAGAAGTAGAGTCCCAGTGTTTACCAAGCTCCAGGCACCAAATGTGAGCAAGGACTCAGTAAATTTACAAACAGCGTAATGCTGTTGGCAGAAAGCTGGCTTCCCTTCTGCCATTTGCTGCTACCATTTCATGGATACTGGCCAGGTGGCAGCTGCGGGGCTCAGCACTGGACCATGTTCTCTCGTCCAATACCAGTGATAACCCTGAGAGATGAAAATGGTGCCCTGTGGCATGGGCTGGCTAGTGGGTGCCCGAGCCTCTATTTGTTGTTGCTGTTTTAATCTTTTTAATTGACAAGTAAAAAATTGTATATATTTAGTGTGTACAACATGTTGTTTTGAAATATGTATACATCATGAAATGACTAAAGAGAGCTAATGAACATGCATTTTAATTTTTTATTGTGAGAACACAAAATCTACTCTCAGTGATTCAATACATTGCTATTAGCTCTAGTCACTGTGCTGTACAATAGGTCTCTTGAACTTATTCCTCCAAAGTTGAACTGAAACATTGTACCCTTTGACCAACATCTCTCCAGCCCTTGACCCACTGCCTCTGGTAACCACTGCTCTACTATCTCATTTTATGAATTCCACTTTTTAAAATTCCACATATGAGTGAGATTATGTGGTATTTGTTTCTGTTCCTGGCTTATTTCTCTTAGCATGATGTCCTCCGGGTTCATCTATGTTGTCACAAATGGCAGGATTTCCTTTTTTTTATAGACTAAATAGCTGAGCGTTGTGGCTCACGCCTGTAATCCCAGCACTTTGGGAGGCTGAGGCAGGTGGATCACTTGAGGTCAGGAGTTCGAGACCAGCCTGACCAACATGGTGAAACCCCGTCTCTACTAAAAAGGCAAAATTAGCCAGGTGTGGTGGTGCACACCTGTAATCCCAGCTACTCAGGAGGCTGAGGCAGGAGAATTACTTGAACCCAAGAAGCATAGGCTGCAGTGAGCTGGGATTGTGTCATTGCACTCCAGCCTGGGCAACAAATAGATTATTTGTTTAAGACAGCAAAACTCTGTCTTAAAAAAAAAACAAAAAACTAAATAGTATTCCATTGTGTATATACACGACCTTTTATTTATCCATGCATCTGCAGATGGACACTTAGGTTGATTTCCTATCACGGCTGTGGTGAATGCCGCTGCAATGAGCATGGAAGTGCAGACAGCTTTTTGACAAACTGATTTTCCTTTGCTTTGGGTCTACTGTACACCCAGTAGAGCAATTGCTGGATCAGAAGCCTGGATTTGAATCTCGTCTTCCTGATTCCAAAGCCCTTCTCTCCCCAAGACCCTTCACTCCTTCTCCTACCTCCCTGTGTGAGCAGAGCCTCCTTGAATGAGGGAGGGGCACGTTCTCCTGGCAACAGGCACACAACAGGACACCGTCTCTTCCAGACCCTTTGTCCCTTTGTCTTAGGGGCCATCCAAACAGGGACTTGTCCCTGTAGATCTTGTTTATTTTTGCAGCAATCCAAGGGATTTGGTTTTGACAGTACAGCCCCTGAATATTCACACAGCAACCTGGATGCATCCCAGCAATGTTGTGAGAGAGCCACATTCCAGCTAGGGGTGAGGTTATGGTCACAAGGTGGACATCCATGGGTAGGAAGCCTAGCAGGCACGGGTCTCCTGCAGGGATCTGTGTGATCACCATCTGCCCTGCCAGCCACACTGCCCTTCAGCCAGAAACAATGGGAACACCAGGAAATAATCAAGAGCAATATTGGTGTGCATTTTTTTAGTGGTGAGTTCAGAACATCCGAGGCCTCTGTGCAGGGCTGTGCAGGGGATACCCCTGATCTCCTGAGGGTGGTTTCATAGGCTGCAATGAGAAGGCCACTTCTGCAGTCTGCACTGATGTGGCCCTGACTCCCTCCAATCACTCTCTGCATGAAAACTAGAATAATCTATTTGGGGCCCAAACAACACCCCATGGTATCCAGAACTCACTTTTTTTCAGTAACCTCAACAATGTAGAATACAAGTAAGAGCTAGATGGGAAGCAGAGAGACAGATTTTCTGTGTGTGTGTGTGTGCTTTTTTTTTTTTTTGAAGTAACTTTGTGAGTTGATGAATGTGTTAATTAATTTGATTGTGGTAATTATTTGTCTATTTATTTATTTATTTTTTTGAGATGGAGTCTCACTCTGCTGCCCAAGCTGGCATACAGTGGCTCGATCTCGGCTTACAGCAACCTCCACCTCCCAGATTCAAGTGATTCTCCTGCCTTAGCCTCCCTTGTAGCTGGGATTACAGGGACCCACCACCATGCCTGTCTAATTTTTTGTATTTTTTAGTGGAGACAGGGTTTCATCATGTTGGTCATTCTGGTCTCAAACTCCTGACGTCAAGTGATTTGTGTGCCTTGGCCTCCCAAAGTGATGGGATTACAGGCGTTAACCATCGTGCCCAGTCGGTAATTATTTCTCACTGTAGACACATATGAAATCATCATATTGTACACCTTAAAAACATACAATTTTTATTTGCCAATTTTATGTCAATGGATCTGGAAAAAATAAAATACATTTTAAAGTTAAAATAAAAAAATTACTCACTGACAAGTGAATCAGGCTGTCAGAGCAATTTGCTCTTCTCTGGTACACCCTCCAAGTCAGTTTGGTTACCTGGTGTGATAGTTAATTTTACGTATCAACTTGACTGGGCCAGGGGATGCACAGATATCTTGTGAAACATTATTTCTGTGTGTCTGTGAAAGAGTGTGTTTCTGGATGGGATTGGCAGTTGACTTGGTGGACTCAGTAGAGCAGATTGTCCTCTCCAATGTGGGTGGGTGTGTTAGCCTGTTCTCATGTTGCTAAAAAAGACATACCCGAGATGGGGTAATTTATAAAGAAAAGAGATTTAATGGACTCACAGTTCCACATGGTTAAGGAGGCCTCACAATCATGGTGGGAGGCAAAGGAAGAGCAAAGGGACGTCTTACATGGCAGCAGGCAAGACAGCATATGCAGAGGAACTCCCATTTATAAAACCATCAGATCTCGTGAGACTTATTCACTGTCATGAGAACAGCACAGGAAAAACCCACGCCCATGATTCAATCACCTCCCGCCAGGGTCCTCCCACACCATGTGGGAATTATGGGAGCTACAATTCAAGATGAGATTTGGGTGGGGACACAGCCAAACCATATCAGTGGGCGTCACCCAATCCATTGAGCGCCTGAGTCAAAGAAAAGGTGGAGGAAGGGGGAAATCACTCCTGCTTTTCTGCCTGACTGCCCGAGCTGGGACATCTCATCTCATCTTCTTTGTTCTCAAACTGGGGTTCACACCATTGGCTCCCCTGGTTCTCAGGCCTTTAGCTCAGACTGGATGACACCATAGCTTTCCTGGGTCTCCAGCTTGCAGATGGCAGATTGTGATCACATGAGCCAATCTCTCATAATAAATCTCTCTCTCACACATGTATCTCCTATTTGTTCTATTTCTCCAAAGAACCCTCACTAATGCATCTGCTTTCCTGGCCAATAGAAGGTAAGAAGATCCTGTGAGCAAAATGGATGCCTCTCCCAGCCCCCTTCTATGGGGGCCTGTGCACCTGTCCCTTGTCCCCTTGCACCTTGGAATATTGGCTGTTAAACACTCAGAAGTGCCCCCTTCTCAGGAGAATTGTCCTTGGCAGAACAAAATCCAATTTGCCCAAAGGATACAAGCAGCCCCATCCCCACCCCAGGGAAGCCCACAGCCAGGGACTGACTTACACAGGCCACAAAAGCTTGGCTGCCTGGCTCCAAAGGGAGCCAACTCTGGATGCAATTCATGCTCCCCAGCTCCAGGTGCTGCCCACCCCCAGCTGAGATGCACCCTTGCTGAGGTTTCCTCTGCTTGGTCTTTCTCCTGAGAACATGACCTCAATCAATCATGGGCATCCAAATCCTCATCTCAGGCTCTGCTTCTAGGAAGCCTGAGCTGGAGCAGAGGGCTTGGAGGAGACATGTCCATGCATCATTATCAGAGTGCACCACCACCCACTGTTTCCATGTCAGCTGCTGAGTGATCCGGCCTGTCCTCACACTAGACAGCACATCCACCCCAGAGGCCACCAGCCAGCTCCTCGTCTTGAGTTGGCCCACTGGTCTCCATCCCATGGACAGCAGCTGCGGTCGGCCACCCTGCTTTCCTGTGACTCCTGCTGCTTCCTGCTGTGCTCTCTCCAATGTGTTCTCTTCAAGTCCCCAGGGAAAGCACTTGGGACCACGTCACTTCCTGGCTCAAACTGCCCAGTGACCTCCACCCGATTTAGAATGTAGTCCTGCATGACTCACGGACGCGACCCGGCATGCCGGGCCCCTGCCGACCTCACCCCTCTCACCTCCCTGCTATCCTTCCCCTGCATCCCTCCTGGCAACCCCATACCCTCACCCCTCTGTGGGCATCCAGAACCATCCCAGGAGTATCTCGAATATGTGCGGATCTCGGATACCCTGGGCATGCTGCCTAGAAAGCTCCCTGTCCATTCTTCAGGGTGTGCTTGGGCATCATTTCCCACTAGAAGCACCCTGGGTCTCTCTGTGTGCCTCTTGGTGGCTCATGTCCTCAGTCAAAACAAGTGCTTGTGTTCGTGGCATCCCCAAGCCCAAGAAGGCAAGAGTGTAAATGCTTCGTTCATGGCTGTATAATGGGTGCTCAGTAATAATGTGTATAATACATGAACTAACTGACAGCTCACGGCCTCATACCAAGTACTCAGAAAGCGTGGCCATCTGGGGCCACCTAGGGTAGGACAAAGAGCCCTGGCCACTTATTCCCATGGCTCCTGAAAGCCATGCTGCAGCAGTGTCCAGAACTGTCTATTCTGACACAGAAAAAGAGAAACTAGCCGGTTCTCTGGGGAATCCAGATTTTAACTGGACATGTTCCAATTCCCTGTTGTGGTTGCTCTGGCCTTTTTAAACAAGCAGGTAGGCTGTACCTCAAGCTGATGGTTCCCTCTGTCTGGGACACAACTCCCAGGCACCTCCATGGCCTGGCCCCTCACTTCCCTGGCCTTTGAGATGACTCAGATGCCTCTCAGCGGGACCTTCCCAGACCACATAATTTAACATCTCCACTCCCCTGTCCCTCGCTCTCCAGCACCTGATCCCCTTCTCCGCTCTGTTCCCCTGCACAGCAGTTCTCCCCCTCCAAGGCAGAAGTTATTTGACTTATTTATCTTGTTTGCTGTCTGTTTCCTGGTAGGGTATCCACTCCAGGGGCCAGGGTTTGTGTTTTCCGTATTGTTCAGTGCTGTACCCCCAGTCAACCCAGTGTCCGGTACACAGCAGGTACTCAATAACTGTGTGTTGAATGAATGCATACAATGGAAGCAGTGACATCTAGCTGAGGACATACGGTCAGAGTCATGCAAATTTTCAGGCTAGATTCAGGAAGCATGCAGCCCAGAAGCAGAAGCAGGGAAGCTGTGTTGGGCAGGTGGCCTGATGATGGAGAGACCTTCGTGAAAACAGAACCACCCAGTCCTGGTCTGCTCCATTTGTCTTCTCTCTCAGTGAAAATGACTCTAAAATCAGAAGTGGAGCAAGACCTCAGTAATGGTATGAACTAGTTCTGACACGCTCATGGGGGAAAACAAGCCACATTCTTCGGTTTTTCACAATCCCATCAAGCCCCCTTTTGCCCTTTCTTTGAGGGTTAGCAGGAAAGCCAATCTCCATGATTTGGGAAAGGCCTCTTCCCCACAGCCATCATTCTAGAGTCCCTGGAGGGTCGTGAATAGCAGTGCCCTGCAGGCCACTTGCAGTGTCTCCTTGTCTTGACCCAGGCCAGCCATGAGGCAGCCTGGGGCTCCCCAGGCAAACCTCTCACCCTCTTCCAGCCCTGGCCAGAGAGGCCGATCTTGAGTCCTGGATAACTGGAAGGTGTGGTTCAAGAAGGAGGAGGAAACAGGGAGCAGCCTGGGAGCTCTCCATCAGTTCAGACAGGCGGGTCCACGCCGGACCTCCTGTGCTGCCAAGAGGCTTGCTGGAGGCACAGGGGCATGGCAAGGGGGTCCATGAGAAATCCCAGGGAATGGTTTGAGGCAAAAGTACTGTGGATATTCAAAGGGAGAAGGAGCAGAGAAGAAGGAGGATACCAAAAACCACGGAGCAATGAAAGTGACCTTGAATCCTTACAAAAGTCCAGGTTAGTTTAACCAAACCATGGTGTATTATCAAATATTAATATGATGGTTCATGCATAAGGAAAGGAATGAATGATTCCGGGAAGTTAACTTGTATTCAATTGACCTCACACCTCATAACATTTCTTGATAGACTAAAATGCAGCATAAAAGAGAGTACCTTAATTTTGGCAAGAAGATTTCAGTCTTCTAGATATTTGCCACTGTAGCCAAGTTGCGGAAATGTATCACATACGTCACAAACTTGCTGCACGCCGACTGTGTTTGGCTAGACATTGGAATCACAAATATGAATAAAACATGGCTCTTGCCTTAGAGAACCTCAGCCTGGTGAGTGAGACAGCTATATAAAAAAGTTATGATACACTTTGATAAATGCTGTAATTGAGTCATTTAGAAAGTGCTATGTGGCGAGACAACCAGGTGACTTTGTAGCTGGTTGAAGAACATTAATTATTCAACATCAAGATGGAAGAAAGTCTCTACTCCCTCACCATGAAGTTTTATATCAGTTCTATGTTGTGCAAACCCTTTTCAAGACTTAGATGAAGATATCAAAGTCATGTTGATCAAATTTGCCAGTGATGTCAACTTATGAGGATAACTAATACATTGGCCATGCATCAGGATGCAGGAAAAACTCTGAAACCTGGAAAAGGTATGTCAACATTAAAAGATAACATTTGTTAAGGAAAAGTGTAAAGTCATCACTTACATTCTGATATGATTTTTGGAGAAGTTCTGGAAAGGGTTCTAGAGGATTTAGATGTCTGCAAGTTCAACATAACCCAATCTTATGAAAGGACTGCTAAAAGGTGAAGGAGCCACCTTAGGGCTGCTATAATAGTGTGATGGCCAGAACAAAGAAGGTATTCATCCTGTGTTAGTCCCACTCTATTCTGCACTGATTAGACTACTTCTGGAGTCTTTACAAACTGAAAGCACTCCACCTGGGTGGCAAAAAGTCCAGAGACCACGAAAATGGTGAAGCAATTGAAGCCCCAACTATCGGGGGCCGTCCGGCTCCATCTGGCAGCACGGGAGAAGCATCAAATGAGATCTGTCTCTCTGCCATTCCCTTGCTCCTCCCCAGAACTGAGGAGCCTGTGCTGATGACAGCGTTTGCCCCACAAACTAGATCTAGAAAGTTTTCATAGCTCTGTGGTAAGGGTCTCATGCCATACTCTGGCACTGTGGTCAGCAACTCCCTTTCTTCCTTCTATAAGAAGGACTGGTTGGCTTCCTTTTGCTCAAGTCTCTTGGGTATTTCAAAATTTCCCTGATATCAACTGGTGCCTGATGCTGGCTTCTTGCCCCTCCCTTCCAGTCCCCCATCTCTGAGGATGCGGCTCTGTGCCTCCTTCATCAGTCACAACACTGATGGAGTCCCTTGGACAAGTTGGCCATGCATCAAGGGTGCTCTGTTTCTGCACATCTGCCCTTTTCCATCTGCCCCAATCTCTGCTTCCCTTGGTTCTTGATGGCTACTGGACGAAATATGTCAGCTTTCATTTGATCTCTAAATGTCCATTTCCCTTCTGCCTTATACTTGCTCCAGCCAGTGCCTCAACACATGTGAGCATGCATGAAACGTACATGCACACACATGCATGCACAAACACACTGATTCCCCTGCCCTGGGCTGTCCTCCTAACCTCTCAAATCCAGAGGGCTTGGATCTATTGTGCCAGTGGGTAAACCAGGGCAGATGGGTAAACATTGCTTTGTGGCAATTTTCAGCGCAGTAAGAGAAACAATTAATGTTAAGACATCTTGGCTCAGGAATATTGTGGAAGGGATTCTATGCTTGTAGGGAGTTGGACCAGGACAGTGTCCCCAAATCTGGATGTTACATCAGCTTGTTTAACATCCACTGGTCTGGGCCCACTCCAGACCTCCTGATATGGTTTGGCTCCGTGTCCGCACCCTAATCTCATCTTGTAACTCTCTCATAATTTGTGGGAGGTACCTGGTGGGAGATAATTGAATCGTGGGGGCAGGTCTTTTCCATGCTGTTCTCGTGATAGTGAATAAGTCTCATGAGATCTGATAGTTTTAAAAACAGGAGTTTCCTTGCACAAGCTCTCTGTCTTTGCCTCCTGCCATCCATTTAAGAAATGACTTGTTCCTCCTTGCCTTCCATTATGATTGTGAGGCCTCCCCAACCACGTGGAACTGTAAGTCCATTAAACCTCTTTCTTTCTTTTCTTTTCTTTTTTTTTTTTTTTTTTGAGACAGAGTCTCACTCTGTCACCCATGCTGGAGTGCAGTGGTGGGATCTCGGCTTACTGCAAGCTCTGCCTCCTGTGGGTTCACGCCATTCTCCCACCTCAGCCTCCCGAGTAGCTGGGACTACAGGCGCCCGCCACCACTCCCGGATAATTTTTTGTATTTTTAGTAGAGACGGGGTTTCACTGTGTTAGCCAGGATGGTCTCGATCTCCTGACCTCGTGGTCCCCTGCCTCGGCCTCCCAAAGTGCTGGGATAAACCTCTTTCTTTTATAAATTGCCCAGTCCCAGATATATCTTTATCAGCAGCATGAAAACAGACTAATACACCTATTTATGTGAGAATTCAGAATGGAGGGTAGGAATCTATATGCTTAGCAAGGTTACCAGATTATCGGATGCAGTTGGTCCTGAGACTGGCATCTCAGATCCACTGTGAAGATCACATTTGTGCTTTTCATTATGATGAGTCTAAGGGTCGAGAAACTGTTCAAAATATTACAGAGTTTAAAAGGCTAAGTTTCAAAGCTCCTCATTCCTCAACACCAAGTCAGGATCGCACTGTTCCTCGGATTCTGGGATGCAGTTGCTGCTAGGGACTACTTCCTGCTCCAGCTGGAAGGTCAAATGCACAAGCCAGTTCTTTCTAAAGCTGAGTTCCCAGAGCATTTCAGGGTGAATTCCCTGGGGGCACTGGCATGGTCTTGCCTTGTGACGCACCGTGGGCTATTGCCTGCCTCTGCAGATGCCTGGGAACAGCTGTGAGCATCTGTCTTCCTTTGTGACCTGGTGAGGTCCGAGGTGAACCCATGGTGTTAGGCTAGAAGCCAGCACATGACTAAAGGACTGTGATTGTGCAGGAGACCAGACTTAATTTCCTTTGGGAACTCGGCCTGTTCTGCTCTCTCTCAGTGTTTGGCCTTGATTTTCTTCTCAGAAAAGGTTTTGAATTCCCATTATTGAGTACTTGAGATTAGCATCTCTCCATATTTATAGATGTAATATGTAAATATCTTACATATTTAAAATTATAATGTGTACATATATGTGTACGTACATAATATATATGTACGTAATATATTACATTATATTATGTACATATATAATATAATGTACGTAAGTGTGTGTATACATATATTATCTGTCTACCCACCTGTCTGTCTATCTGCAATGCCTGACATTTATCTGGCAATTCCTAACCCCTCTATCATGGGTGCGCACTCTCTCTTTCAATATATCACCTTGAGGCAAAGGAAATGTTTCCCACATCCAGAAAGTGGCTAATAATAATTAGCATTAGCCATAGTCACAGTAGAGCAATTTTAGTTTCAAATGTTACATTTCATCTCATGCTACACTGATGAGATACAAATAAACGTACGCAAATAAACTAGAACACATTTTATTAGTGCTGGATTAAAAAGGACAGCCTTTTACTGAACGAGCGCAAAGCAGTTGCAGCAATAGCTGCAATAACCTACAAGTTGGGACACAAAGAGGACAGACAGAGGAGGAAGCATCCAAGAGCTTAGATGTCCCTGGAGCACTTCGTGGGAATGAATGTACATTCAGAGGTCTGAAATACCACAGCAGCTGCTTAGAACCATTGATGTCCATGAAATCCATCCATGATAAATCCAGGGCCTTGGGAGGATTTCTGCATGAATTTGGAGGCCAAACAAGGATTTTCTAATATCAAAGGAACACACCAAGTGAGTCAGAGACTCTCTGGTGTTTGTGAAAAAGCAAAAACACGTGTAGGGTCCTGCCGGTCCGCCATCTGCAGGACAGTGAACACCCTGCCAAGGGCTCTGTGGTCCCAGGGGCCTCCTTGTCAGCAGACAAGATTACATTCTCTTCTCTCCCTGCTTCCACCAAAGGTGTGGTGTGTCATGGGATGGATCAGTATGACGTTCTGTCAAAGGCATCACTAATAGAAGAGGAGTCAGAAGAGTAGAATCCCTGGCCCAGCTTGTCTTTGAGGCTCCTTGGCTGGCTTTGACAGCCACTCCCTCAGCCCAGGGCAGTGCCTAGCCCCACACAGGGTATATCACCCTTTCTCTTCAGGGAAATTAGGTTTATATTTGTCACCAGTTTTATCAGTCCTGCCTGTGAGTCATATTTCATATCAGATGGTTAACAGGATGAGCAATGAGAGTGTGGCACTTCTTATGGCACATTAAGTGGGGAGTGTCAGGGATGTGGGGAGATGGGTGTGGACTGGGCCAGCCATCCTGTTGCTGCCTTCGGCCACCCACACGGTACAACAGGAAGATCCTCAGAAAAGTCCCTGCCCCTAAAATATCTTTCCCAACAGGGGACCATGGTGCCTGAGTTCCCACTACTACTTACTTTTATTTTTTTTCAATTAAATTACTCTGTAAAGCTATGGATCAACTGGAAGGACTAAGGAATTCCATGAACAGTTGTCTAGTCCTGGTTCATTTATAAGATTAGTTAAGCAGGTCTAGCAGAGGCAGAGGACAATTCAACTTTGAGAGGAGGGAGTCCAGACCAGAGTGTGGCTTGCAGGGAAGCCTTGTGCCCACACAGAACAAGGGCACTGGCAACTAGCTGGGGGGCAGGGGAGTGTGGAATTGGTCAAAATAGCCTGCAGGTCTCCACAATAAATAATTTTCATAATGGGTAATGCCAAAGTCAACTCTACTTGAAGTTTCTATCTTTTAAAATGAGGTGAAGAAAATGCAAGCAGAATTGGTCCAAAAAGCAGAACAAAATCATCCTGAAAAACAACTTGTTCTCATCACCAGAAATCATTTGCTGATTGTTAGGCTCAGGATCTGGACAAAAGCATACCACAGATTTAATCTCTGCCTCCCCAAAGCTTGCCAATCTAAGAGAAACACAGAAGTAGGACACAGAGAGCAGGAAAAAACATCAAAATATGAATGGGCAATGAGATATTTACAGCCAGCGTAACTCTGGAATGCACAGCTGCAATCCTCGGCGCAACTGGGAAATGGAATCAGGGGCAGGTCCATCCGTCAATCCATCCTTCATTCAGTCCACAGTGCTCACTGACTGCCAGCCATGTGCCAAGCCCTGCACTGAGAATTTGAGGCGTGGGAAGATGAAAAACAAGATTCTTACTCTCAAGGAGGTTACCATCCAGAGGGAAGCTAAGGTGTGCGCATGCGCGCGCACACACATGCACACACACGCACACATTGGAGAGGTAAGAGCACAGCTGTGGAGTCAGACAGGCTACCATCAGAATCCAATTTTATGGTGCCACTCTGTGCTAACATTTCCTCTTCTGTTATAAGGGGTAATATTATGCACCTCATTGGGTCATGTAAACACTGAAGTTGCTAATAAAAAGTCCTAGTGCAATAATGGACCTAATAAATGTTCATTCCCCTCCTTTCTTGCACAGATGACTGCGATGCAAGGAAGAAGCTGATGTGTCACAATACACATCAGCGTTCTGAGAGTTTAAAGAATGGAGGTGCAATTATTTACAGCGGAGCGGGGGCGGGGGCTCAGGAAAGAGTTCACAGAAGAGGTGGCACTTGAACTTGGCTTTGAATATGAGCAGATCTGGATATGTAGAAACAGGAGATGTGGAGTGACAGGTAATGCTGGGAGGTGATGAGAGATCATGCCAGGCTAAGGTGGAACTTCAAGTGTAAGCAAGGTGGTTTCAGCAGGAAGATGAGAACAGTCAAGCGATACTTTATAAATACACATCTTATAGCTGGTTTCTTGTCTACTGAAGAATTCTGAGCAATTCTAGAGTCCAGAAAGTGGGACAGTAGGTAATGATGGTATACACTATGGTGATGAAGATGGAACAAAAGGTAGCTGGGAGAGGCACCAAGCAGGATGTGCGGGTGAGAGTATAGAGAGTTCTTTGCTACGTGTAGCCTTAGTGACGGGAAGGATGGTGGCCCCCATAGATAGAAACAGGGAAAATACAGTTGACAAAGATGATAATGAAGGTCATGCTGGCAGATTCTATTCTGGGTTACTCAGACTTCTGAGAAGAAATTGCCTGCAGGCAACTGAGAATCTAACTGGAGCTTAGAGGAGAGATCCCAGGCAGAAAGGCTTGTGAGTCATCAAGGTCAATGGAGAGATGAAGAAGAGAAGTGAGAGGGCTGAGGACAGAGCTCTGGGACATGGACATCATGGGGGTGGAGGAGGAAGTGGGAGAGGAGGGGACAAGGAAGCTGTAATGAGAGAGCCAGGAAGACTGGAGAACACAGTGTTGTGAAAGCCAAAGAAGGAGGAGCTCCTGGCAGAAGGAAGAGGTGGCTTAGGGACCAACAATGCAGACAGGTTAGAGAAAAGGAGAAGCAAGGGTGTAGTTCTGCAATTCAAGACTTACATTCTTATTCATTTTTGTCCATGAAAGATTTGTTTTTGCTTTGGGGTTTTGCATGGATTCTTTTTATAATAACAGTGACAAGATTACTAATGACCTTAAAGAGGTCAAAACCAGATTGTAAATGTCTCAGGGGAGATTGCAAGGTTAGGAAGTATAAGCAATGATTGTAGATTGCTCTTAAAGAAGTTGCACAACAAAGAAGGGAAAGATAACTCAAGCAAGTGCTAAGTAAAGAGAAGGTTTCAGTCAGTGATGTGCTAGAAGCTTCCTACCTTTGGGAAAACTGATTATGAAATTTCCAGGAATTCTGTGAGCTACTTGTTAAACTGGCTTGAAATAGTCCCATGATTGGAGTGTTTGCACTGCAGAAATTGGCAAATGCTACAAAGCAGCCACCCGCCCCCCTCCCCGCCCCAACCCATGCCCAGCCAGTTGTTACACACTTACCAGTACACCACTGTTTCTAGGCTGGGTGGATGAATACCATGGACAGAGAGGGACTGAAAGGTGGATGAGGTTGGGAGAGGGGAAGGGAAACAGTTCCAAGGTTTAGAAAGTCCCAGGTGTCACTGTGCCAGGTGGGGATACTGAGGTTGGGGAGCACGAGTGATTGTGAGGGTAGGATGTGGAAAGCATCATTGCATGTACTCGTGTGATGGAGTTATTAAACCTCCTAACCCACTTGACTCAATTGAACAACAACTCCACATCTTAGCAATAGAAAGAAATCAGGTCAGAACTAATGAAAATTTTGTGGGAAAAAAAATAAATTTTTAACCACTTTATTGAGGTATGATTGGCATACAAAAAGCTGTAGATATTCAATGTATACAACTTGCTGTGTTTGGAGATAATTATACACCATGAAACCATCAAACCTTCATCACTATGGATACCATAAACATATCCCTCAACGAAAAAAGTTTCCTCCCATCCTCTTTGTTTTTCTTTTTTCAACTTTTTTGGTAAGAGCACCTAATATGAGATCTACCCTCTTAGAAAAATGTTAAGTATACGACACAGTATTGCTAATCATAGACCCCATAAAGTAGATCTCCATATCTTATTTATTTTGCATAACTGAAACTTTTTATCCTTTGACCAACACCTCCCATTCCTCTCTCCTCCCAGCCCCTGACAACCACCATTCTACTCTCTGCTCCTATGTGTTTGTCGATTTAGATTCCACATATAAATGAGATCATGCAGTATTTGTCTTTCTATATCTGGCTTATTTCACTTAGCATCAGGTCTTCCAGGCTCATCCATGTTGTCCCGAATGGCAGGCCTTTCTTTTTAAAGGCCAAATAATATTCCATTGTGTTTGTGAGTGTCTGTGTATATACATACACCACATTTTCTTTATCCATTCATCTGTCAATGGACATTTACATTGATTCCATGTCTTGGCTATTGTGAATAGTGCTGCAATGAACATGGGAATGCAGATGGCTCTTCAACATTTTGATTTTATATCCTTTAGATATATATCAAGAAGTGGGACTGCTAGATCGAATAGTAATCCTATTTTACATTTTTAATTCTGTTGATGCATAGTAAGTGTACATATTTACGGGGTATATGGGATATTTTGATACAGGCATACAATGCATAATAATTACATCAAGGTAATTGGAGTATCCATCACCTCAAGCATTTATCCTTTCTTTGTGTTACAAATAATCCAATTATACTCTTTTGGTTATTTTAAAATGTAAACTAAATTATTGTTGACTCTAGTCATGCTATTGTGCTATCAAAATACTAGATTTTATTCAAACTATATGTTGTATCCATTAACCATCTCACTCCCCACCCCTTCCCTCCTCTACCCTTCCCACCCTCTGGTAACTATCATTCTACTCTCTATCTCCATGAGCTCAATTGTTTTAATTTTTGGCTCCCACAAATAAATGAGAACCTGTGAAGTTTGTCTTTCTGTGCCTGGCTTCTTTCATTTAATACCATATCCTCCAGTCCACCCATGTTGTTACAAATAACAGGATCTCATTCTTTTTATGGCTAAATGGTATTCCATTGTGTATATACCACATTTTCTTTATCCATTCATCTGTTGATAGACACTTCAGTTGCTTCCAAATCTTGGCTATTGTGAATAGTGCAGCAATAAACATGGGAGCACAGATATCTCTTTGATATAGTGATTTCCTTTTTTGGGGTATGCTCTTTCCTTTCTTTGGGGTATGTACTTAGCATATACTTCGAGATTGTTGGATCATATGGTAGTTCTATTTTTAGTTTTTGAGGAACCTCCAAACTGTTCTCCGTAGTGGTTGTACTAATTTACATTCTCACTACAGTGTACAAGGGTTCTCTTTTCTCCACATCCTCACCAGCGTTTGTTGTTGCCTGGCTTTTGGATATAAGCCATTTCAAGTGGGGTAAGATGGTAACTCACTGTAGTTTTGATTTGCATTTCTCTCATGATCAATGATGTTGAGCACCTTTTCATGCCATTTGTATGTCTTCTTTTGGAAATGTTTATTCAAATCTTTTACCCATTTTTTGATTGGATTATTAGACTTTTTCTTATAGAGTTGTTTGAATTCCTTATATATTCTGATTATTAATCTCTTGTCAGATGCATAGTTTGCAAATATTTTCTCCCATTCTGTGGGTTGTCTCTTCACTATGTTGACTGTTTCCTTTGCTGTTCAGAAGCTTTTTAACTTTATGTGATCTCATTTGTCCATTTTTGCTTTGGTTGCCTGTGCTTCCAAGGTATTACTCAAGAAATCTTTGCCTAGTCCAATGTCCTGGAAAGTTTTGCCAATGTTTCCTTGCACTAGTTTCACAGTTTGAGATCTTAGATTTAAGTCTTTAATCCATTTTGGTTTAATTTTTGTATATGGTGAGAGACAGGGGTCTAGTTTCATTCTTCTGCATATGGATATTCAGTTCTCACAGCACCATTTATTGAAGAGATTATTCCTTCTCTAATGCATGTTCTTAGCACCTTTGTCAAAAATGAGTGCATTGTAGATGTATGGATTTATTTCTCGGTTCTCTATTTTGTTCCATTGGTCTATGTGTCTGTTTTTATGCCAGTACCATGCTGTTTTGGTTACACTCTGAAGTATAATTTGAAGTAAAGTAATGTGATTTCTCCAGTTTTCTTCTTTTTTTTTTTTTCAGAATGTCCTTGGGTATTCTGGGTCTCTTGTGGTTCCACATACATTTTAGGATTATTTTTTCCATTTCTGTGAATCATGCCATTGGTATTTCAACAGAGACTGCATTGAATCTGTAGATTGCTTCTAGTAATACAGACATTTAAACAATATTGTTTCTTCCAATCCATGAACATGGAAATGAACATGGAATATCTTTTGTGTCTTCTTTTGTGTCTTCTTCAATTTCTTGCATCAGTGTTTTATAGTGTTCATTGTAGAGACCGTTCACTCCTTTGGTTAAGTTAATTCTTATGTATTTTATTTTATTTGTGGCAATTTAAATGGGATTACTTTCTCGATTTCTTTTTCAGATCGTTCACTGTTGACATGTGAAAATGCTACTGATTTTTGTATGCTGATTTTGTATCCTGCAACTTTACTGAATGTGCTTATCAGTTCTAGTAGTTTTTTGGTGGAGTCTTTAGGTTTTCCCAAATAGAAGATCATATAATCTGCAAATAAGGATAATTTGATTTCTTCCTTTTCAGTTTGGATGCCCTTTATATCTTTCTCTTGTTTGATTGTTCTAGCTAGGACTTCCAGTACTATGTTAAATAACAGGAATGAAAGTGGGCATCCTTGTCTTTTTACAGATCTTAGAGGAAAGGCTTTCAGTTTTTCCCCATTCAATTTGATGCTAGCTATATATACCATTGTGTATATTCCATTGTGTATATGTGTCTTTCATATGTGACTTTTATTGTGTTGAGGTATGTTCCTTTTATGCTTAGTTTTTCAAGAGTTTTTTTTTATCATGAAGGGATGTTGAATTTTATCAAATGCTTTTTCAGTATCAATTGAAATGATCTTATGGTTTTTGTCCTTCATTCTGTTAATATAATGTCTCACATTAATTGATATGCATATGTTGAACCATCTATGTATCCCTGGGATAAATCCCATTTGGTCATGATGAATGATCTTTTTAATGAGTTGTTGAATTTGGTTTGCTAATATTTTGTTGAGGGTTTTTGCATAACTGTTCATCAGGAATAATGGCCTGTGGTTTTCTTTTTTTGATATGTCTTGTCTGGTTTTGGTATCAGGGTAATACTGGCCTCATAGAATGAGTTTGGAAGTATTCCCTCCTCCTCTATTTCTCAGAATAGTTTGGGTAGGATTGGTATTAGTTCTTCTTTAAATGTTTGGAAAAATTCATCAGTGAAGCCATCAAGTCCTGAGCTTTTCTTCACTGGGAGATTTGAATGGCTTCAAATCTCATTACTTGTTATTGGTCTGTTTAGGTTTTGGATTTCTTCACTGTTCAATCTTGGTAGGTTGTACATGTCTAGAAATGTATCCATTTCTTCTAGGTTTTCCAATTCATTGACATAGTTGCTCATAGTAGCCTCTAATGAGCCTTTGAATTTCTGCAGTATTGGCTGTAAAGTCTCCTTTTTCATCCCTGACTATCTGTCTCTACTCCCTTTTCTTCGTAGTTTGGCTAAAGGTTTGTCAATTTTGTTTATCTTTTTAAAAAACTAACTTTCATTTTGTTCGTGAGACTCAGTGTTTTGCTGTCACTTATAAGTGAGAACATGCAGTATTTGATTTTCTGCTCCTGCATTAATTTGTTCAGGATTATGCCCTCCAGCTCCATTCATGTTGCTGTAAAACATAATTTAATTCATTTTTATGGCTGCATAGTATTCCATGGTATATATGTACCACATTTTCTTTATCCAGCCCACCAGTGATGGGCACCTAGGCTTATTCTATGTCTTAGCTATTGTGAATAGCACAGGGATGAACATATGAGTGCATGTGTCATTTCAGTACAATGATCTATTTTCCTTTGTGCTCTGGTCTTTATTTTTTTTTTCTTCTACTAATTTTGCTTTTCTAGTCCTTTAAGATGTATCATTAGGTTGCTAATTTAAAGTATTTTTTTACTTTTTTATGTAGGCATTTATTACTATAAACTTTTTTCTTTGTACTGCTTTCACTGTATCCCATAGGTTTTAGTATATTGTGTTTCCATTTTCCTTTGCTTCAAGAAATTTTTATTTTACTTTATTTTACTTTAAGTTCCAGGATACATGTGCAGAACGTGCAGGTTTGCTATGTAGGTACACGTGTGCCATGGTGCTTCAACATATTTTTTACTTTTCTTCTTAATTTCTTCATTGACCCACTGGTCATTCAGGAGCATATTGTTTAATTTCCATGTGTTTGTATACTTTCCAAAATTCCTCCTCTTATTGATTTCTAGGTCTACCATTGTTTTCAGAGAAGATACTTGATATAATTTCAAGCTTTTAAGATTGTTGTATGGTCTATCCTTGAGAATAATCTATGTGCTGAGGAGAAGAATGTGTATTCTGCAGCTGCTAGATGAAATGTTCTGTAAATATCTATTAGGTCCATTTGGTGTAGCAAATTTTTTTTTTGATTTGTTGATTTTCTGTCTGGATAATTTGTCCAATGCTGAAAGTAGGGTGCTGAAGTCTCCAGTTATTATTGTATTGGGGTCTAGCTCTCTCTTTAGCTCTAAAACTATTTGCTTTATATATCTGAGTGCTTCAGTGTTGGGTGCATATATATTTACAATTGTTATATCCTCTTGCTGCATTTACCTATTTATCATCATATAGCAGGAATAAGTCCTTCTTTGTCTCTTTTTATTATTTTTGTCTTGAAATTGATTTTGTCTGGTATAAGTATAGCTACTTCTACTTTTTTGCTTTCCATTTGCATGAAATATCTTTTTCTGTCCCTTATTTTCAGTCTGTGTGTGTCTTTATAGGGGAAGTGTGTTTCTTGTAGTCAATAGATCAATGGGTCTTTTGAAAAAATCCATTCAGCTGCTCACTCTATGTCTTTTGTTTACAGAATTTAGTCCATTTACATTCAATGTCATTATTGATAAGTAAGGACTTATTCCTGCTATTTTGTTATTTGTTTTCTGGTTGTTTTGTGGTCTCCTTTTCCTTTTTTCCCTCCTTCTTGTCTTCCTTTTAGTGAAGGTTATTTCCTCTGGTAGTGTGTTCTAATTTCTTGCTTTTTATTTTTTGTGTATCTGTTGTATGCTTTTAAATTTGAGGTTGCCATGAAGATTGCAAATAATATAACCTGTTACTTTAAGTTAAGGAAGACTTAATGCTGACTGCATAAACAAACAAATAAGTAAAGATAGAACTAATAAAAACGACACTTTAACTCGGCCCTCTACTTTTTAACTTTTTATTTCTATTTATATTTTATTATGCTATTTATGTCTTGAAAAGTTGTTGTAGTTATTATTTTTGAAAGGTTCATCTTTTCGACTACTCAGTATATGAATAGTTTACACACCACCATTACGGTGTTATAATATTTTGTATTTTTTCTGTGTATTTAATATTATCGTTGAGTTTTGAACCTTCAGACGATTTCTTATTGCTCATTAATGTTCTTTTCTTTCACATAGAAGAACTCCATTTAGCATTTCTTGTAGGACAAGCCTGGTGTTGATGAAATCACTCAGCTTTAGTTTGTCTGGAAAAGTATTTATTTCTCCTTCATGTTTGAAGAATATTTTTGCTGGATATACTATTCTAGGATAAAAAAAGTTTTATTCCTTCAGCACTTTAAATATGTCATGCCACTCTGAGACACTCCACTGAGAAGTCTGCTTCAAGATGCATTGGAGCTCCTTTATATGTTTTTTGTTTCTTTTCCCTTGCTACTTTTAGATTCTTTCTTTATCTTTAATCTTTGGGATTTTGATTATTAAATGTCTTGAAGTAATATTATTTGAGTTAAATCTGCTTGGTGCTCTGTAACTCTCTTCTATTTGAATGTAGATATCTTTCTCTAGGTTTGGGAAGTTCTCTGTTATTATCCCTTTGAATAAATTTGCTATCCCTGTTTCTCTCTCTGCCTCGTCTTTAAGGCCAATAACTCTTAAATTTGCCCTTTTGAGGCTATTTTCTAGATCTTGTAGGCATGCTTCATTCTTTTTTATTCTTTATTCTTTTGTTGCCTCTGACCGTGTATTTTCAAATAGCCTGTCTTCAAGCTCTTCTGTTTGATCAGTTCTGCTATTAAGAGACTCTGATGCATTCCTCAATATGTCATTTACATTTATCAGCTCTAGAATTTCTGCTTGTTTTAAATTATTTTAATTTCTTTGTTAACTTTATCTGATAGGATTCTGAATACTTTCTCCATATTATCTTGGATTTTATTGATCCTTCTCAAAACAGCTATTTTGAAATCTCTGTCTGAAAGGTCCCACATTGCACTCTCTTTGGGACTGATCACTGTGCCTTATTTAGTTCATTTGGTGACATCATGTGTTCCTGGATGGCCTTGATGCTTGTGGATATTTGTCAGTGTCTGGGCTTTGAAGAGTTAGGTATTTATTGTAGTCTTTACAGTCTGGGCTTGTTTGAACCTGTCTTTCTAGGGAAGACTTTCCAAGTATTTGAAGGGACTTGGGTGTTTTGATATGTCTTTGGTCAATGCAGCTATGTCTGCATTAGGGGGAAACCTAAGCCCAATAATTCTGTGGCTCTTGCAGACTCACAGAGGCACCACGTTGGTGGTCTTTGGTGAGATGTGTGAGAATTGTCTAGATTACCAGGCAGAGACTCTTGTTCTCTTCCCTTACTTTCTCTCAGATGGGTTCTCTGTCCCTGTACTGAGCTGCCTGGATCTGGGGGAGGGGTGACACAAGCATCTCTGTGGCCATCAGCAATGGGACTGCACTGAGTCAGACCTGAAGCCAGCACAGTACTGGGTCTTGCCCAAGGCCCACAGTGACCACTTCCTGGCTACTACCTATGCTCACTCAAGGCGAAAGGGCTCTACAGTCAGTAGGTGGCAAGCTCAGCCAGGCTTGTGTCCTTCCCTTCAGGATGGCAAGCTCCTCCCAGCCCCAGATGGGTCCACAGATGATATTCAAGATCCAGGGCCTGCCTGGAGTCAGGAAACTTAGGAATCTACCTGCTGCTGTATTCTACTGTGGCTGAGCTAGCACCCAAGCTCCAAGATAAAGTTCTTCCTACTCTTTCTTCCCCTTTCCTCAAGCAGAGGATTCTCTCTCTATGGCCACCACTGCCCCAGGCCCACAGCAAGAACTGCCTGGCTACCACCGATGTTCACTCAAGGCCCAAGGGTCCTTCAGTCACCTTGTGGTGAATGTTGTCGTGCCTCGATCTCTCCTTTCAGATAAGTGAGCTCCCCTCTAGCCTAGGGCAGATCCAGAATGGCCATCCAGGAGCCAAGGCCTAGAAATGGGGACCCTAGTAGCCTGCTTGGTGCTGTACCCCACTGTGGCCAAACTGGTACCCAAGCTGCAAGATAAAGTCCCCTTTATGCTTTCCTTTCCTTTCTTCAAACAGAAGGAGTCTCTCCCCATAGCCACCACAGCTAGGAATGTGCTGGGTCACACCTGAGGCCAACATGGCTCTGAATGTCACCCAAGGTCCATGGTGAATACTGCTTGGTTACCACTGCTGATTATTCAGGGCCTAAGGACCCTTTGGTCAGCAGATAATGAATCCTGACATGACTGGGTCCTTCCCTTCAAGCCAGCAGGTTCTCTTCTGACCCAGGGTGAGTCTAGAGATGTCCTGTAGGTATGACCTAGAATAGGGGCCTCAGGACTCTGCCCAGTGCCCTATTCTACTGTGGTTAAGTTGGCATCCAAGTTGCAAGACAAATCCTCCTTTACTCGCCCTTCTCCTTTCCTCAAGCAGAGGGAAAGAGTCTCTCCTGCAGCTGTGAGCTGCACTGCCTGGAACTGGGGGAGGGGTGATGTAAGCACTCTCTTGGCCAGCAGAGCTGGCGCCTCTCTAGGTCATATGCATCTCAAGTCCACTGGCTCTGAGCCCAGCACAGTGCAAGGACTTGTCCAGGAGTTGCAGTCCTTGTGGCCTATTCTGCCTTTCAAGTTTATTTAGGACCCCAGAGCACTTTAGTCCATAGTGATGGGGCTTGCTGAACTCATTTTCTGACTGCTGGAATGGACAATTCCCCTCTGGCTAGGACTGGTCTAAATGCTCCCTCCATGGACATCAGCTGGGTTCTGCCCAGTGTTGCTTTGCACTGTGACTGGGCAGCACCGATTTCCAATGCAAAGCCCCGTAATCACCTTGCTCTCTGTCTCTCTCTCTCAAGAACACAAACTCTCTCTCTGCATCATCCATGGGCTGCCAGGAAACAGAAGAAGGTTGGTGTAGGCAATTCAAGATTGTCTTTCCTGACCTCTTCAGTGTTGAAACCACGTACTGTGATCACTCACCTGATTTCTGGTTCTCATGAAGGTGCTTTTTTGCATGGATAGTTGTTTAATTTGGTGTTCCTGTGCAGAGGGGATGATCACTAGGCTTCTATTCCACCATCTTGGTCTGCCTTCATCTAGAGACCTCTATTTTTAAGCTTTTGCAGAAGCTCCAAGTTAATTTCTATAGTGGCTGTACCAATTTACATTTCCATCAACAGTGTACAAGGATTCCCTTTTCTCTACATCCTCGCTACCTCTTGTTGTCCTTTGTTTTTCACATCATAGCCATCCTAATGTTTGTGGGTTGTTACCTTGTTGTGGTTTTAATTTGCATTTCCCTTATGATTAGTAATATCAAGCACCTTTTCATATACATATTGGCCATTCATATGTCATCTTTGGACTTTTCTCCATTTTAAAATCAGGTTTCTTCCTGCTACTGAGTTTTAGGAGTTCCTTATATGTTTGTGATATTAATTCCTTATCAGCTATATGGTCTGTGAATATTTTCTGCCATTCTCTAGGTTGCCCTCTCATCTTGTCAACTGCTTCCTTTGTTGTGGAGATGCTTTTTAGTTTTAAGCCATCCCAGTTGTCTATTTTGGCTTATGTTGCCTTTATTTTTTATATCATATCCAAGAAATCATTGTTCAGTTCAATGTCTACAAGAAGCTTTTTGCCCATGTTTTCTTCTAAGAGGAGGAAAAGTGATTTTCAGTGTAGCCAGAAAACCAAACCTTCATTACAGTATGATATTTCTTTGGGTTGTCGTGCTTAATGCCTTAGAAATTTCATTACAGCCAATGTCAAGGCTTGGGGTGATGACTCACGATATTACTAAAACCACCCAGTCCATCAACCAGGAGAAAAGCTCAATCATCCAAAATGAAGACAGGACAAGAGGGCACATTAGGAATGTGAGCAAATGAGACCCCTAAATATAACACACTCTATTTCCTAATGTAGGAGAAAATGAACAGTCCGGCTAGACATACACACAAGCAGCTGAATGGGAGGCTAAGATTTGAAGCTTGATTCTGGGGAGACTATAACTCTAAAACCATATTTAGAGCTTACTTTATCAAATAAGATATTTGAGATTTGCTCTTTCCTGATACTCCTATGTTAGCCTTTCAGGATTTTTATATAATTTTAAAAGGAGTTACAATAAAAGCTCATTTAATTCCAAATTAAATGCTTTATCCAAATTGTTGCTTTAATTAGAGTATCTGTGGAGGTACACACACACACACAAGAAAAGAAAATACAAGGAAGAGTAGGAGAAAAAGAAAAAAGGAAAAGAGAGGAATGGACAGAAACAAGGACAGCAGAGAATATGTTTGACTAACTCTGGGGCCAGGATCCAGGTTTGATTTAGGAGCATTCTGTGATTACCCACTCAGGTCTTGCCATTGGACACAAAGGAATTTCACATCTTTTCAGGGCTGCTCTCGGAGGGAGCTCCCACTGGTTCCTATACTTAAGACAGCAGTCCCTCAGCCTCCTTTGTAAATGTAAGAAATGTAAGACCTACTCCCAGATAAACATCTCAGGAAAGACATCTAAGGGCAGCTGAGGACACTTGCTGCCATTCCCTTTCCATCAATAGGGTCTTTGACT
Organism: Homo sapiens; assembly: GCF_000001405.40. Classification (NCBI taxonomy): domain Eukaryota; kingdom Metazoa; phylum Chordata; class Mammalia; order Primates; family Hominidae; genus Homo; species Homo sapiens. The sequence goes on along the minus strand of NC_000013.11, from coordinate 26,446,165 downwards.
AACACACTTGCTCCTCTGCTGCTGAGATTTCCAGCAGGAAATTCTTTGGAACTCTATATAATACCTAATCTTCCCCCAAAATAAAAACCTGCCTTTCTTTCCTTTAAGGATAAACAGTATCATCAATGAACAGGGGGAGAGATTACAGTCCCCAAAGCAAGACAGAGCCCAGGATCTTGGACTCAAGGTCAGAGAAGGGTTATCCTTTTCTGATTGAAGGTTTCAATTAAGGAGAATTTCACTGCTATAGCTCAAAGAAAATTAACTTGGAAATGTGATATGCCATGAAAAGAAACTCAAATGACATTAGAAAGAGAGAAGTAATCATCTCATCAGAAGCTATAATAATGCAAGGTAGGTAATGAGAATTTCTCAGTGTGTCCGAGGCACTGTCCCAAGGGAAGACGTACGGAGAGTAACATAGTATCTGGTTGGCTTGGCACACTTACTGTGAACTAATAATTTGGTATTCTGGTTTATAAAGTGGTATGAATCGGATCACCAGAATTTGAACAGATTGAGATTATAAGAGAATTTCTGAACCTATTTAAAAAACAGCACAGCAATAAAAGTGATCGTTAAGCTATACTGAGACTTCACTGTGTGCTGGGCACTGTGGGAAGAGCTTTGTATACATTATCTCATTTCAACTTCAGAACAGCACCATTTACACCACCACCACCACCACCACCCCCATCTCCATTTTATAAATGAGGAACTTGAGGCTTAAAGAAGTTAAGCATCTTTAGCAATAGTAAGTGGCGGAGCAGGGATTTGAGTCGAGGGTTTATCTGGCTGCAAAACATACTCGTTTAATCACTGACTGAGACAGTGGAAGTGGCTGAGGCTTAAAAGAGCTGGATGCAGAGACATACAGTAGAAGAAAGAGACCTTCACACACCAGAGTTTGGAGCCCCCTTCAGCAAATGAGGTTCTGTGCAGCTTGGGACAAGCCCTTATTTTTTCTGAACCTTGGTTTCCTTGTATGTAAAGTAAGCATAACTAATAGTATCTAACTCAAAGGTTATTAAGAGGATTAAGTAAAACAGCACATGTAGGGTGCCTGCTCCTATGACGCTGGGTCCTTCCAGCAGTCCCCAGAGATTTGAAGTGAGGGCACTACTGCAAATACCCGGGATCGACCTGAAGGAAGGAGGATCTCTTCCTAAGTCCTTTCAAGAGAGTCTAATTTTTTTCCACAACCTTTTACTTCTCTTTTGCAGGTAAATCATCCCATTTAAGTATTTCTCCAATTTAATCTATAAATATGAATATGATGATTATCTTAGTTTCCTGTGGCATGTATAACAAAGTACCACAAACTTGGTGACTTTAAACAACACAGATTTACTGACTGATGGTTCCGGAGGCCAGAAGTATTAACTCAGTTTCACTGGGCTGAGATCAATGCGTCAGCTGGGCCAAGCTCCCTCCAAGATTCTAGAGGAAAGTTGTGCCTTAAGTAGAAAGAGTATGCCTTGGCTTGTGGCCCCATTACTCCAACCTTGGCCTCTGTGATAACATTGTCTTCTCTTATTGTGTGTGTGTATCTAAGCTCCTTCCACCTCTCTCTTATAAGGACACTAGTAACGGCATTCAGGGACCACCCAGATAATTCAGGATAATCTCCTCATCCCAACAGCCTAAAGTGTATCGCATCTGCAAAGACCTTTTTTTCCATGCAAAGTGACGTTTACAGGCTCTGGGGGTTAGGGCCTGATAGCTTTGGGGGCCATCATTCAGTCTGCTACAGGGATATTATATATGCCCTGCTGCTCCTGGGATAAGAAGGTCGAGAATCTGAAATAGGCATGCACTTAAGTACTTATACAAAGCCCAGCAGTGTGCCAGGTGTTTGGGGTTACACAACAGAAACAAGGGATACAGCCCTTGTATTTGAAAGTTTGAATATGAGATGAAGACATAAAATAGCTCCAGAAAAATTCTGTAGCAATCTACAAATAAGGTGGTAGAAATTAAGTCCAGACTTAATTCAAAAGTGTAGAAGGGAATCAGTGCAAGAAAGAAAGGCCATGATGTACAGTGGGAACAGTCAAAGAACGTTTAAAGGAGAAGACCAGTTTTTAGCTAAACTTAGAAGGATCAGATGTCAACTGCTTAAGAAGAGTGGAAAGAATATTCTAATGAGAGAGATTAGCAATGACAGAAGTGGAGAAAGAAACAGAATAACCAGTTGTAGGACAGTGAGCAGTGAAAGGGGAAACTGACCAGCTACTGTGGAGCTCATTCATAGAAAGCCTTGACCATGAAGGTAAATAATTTAGATTTTAATCAAAAGGCAACAGGGGCAGGGCGTGGTGGCTCACGCCTGTAATCGCAGCATTTTGGGAGGCTGAGGTGGATGGATCACTTGAGGCCAGGAGTTTGAGACCAGCCTGACCAGCGGTGAAACCCTCCCTCTACTAACAATACAAAAATTAGCCAAGTGTGGTGGTGCACACCTGTAATCCCAGCTACTCGGGAGGCTGAGGCAGGAGAATTGCTTGAACCCAGGAGGCAGAGGCTGTAGTGAGCTGAGATTGTGCCATTGCACTACAGCCTGGGTGACAGACCGAGACCATGTCTAAAAAGAAAAGAAAAAAAAAAAGGCAACATGGACCCATGGCAAGTGATTGAGCAGAGGGCTGTTACATACTGCTCAGTAGAGAGATCAGAGTCAAGCAAGCCATTAGGAGACTTTTTGACACAATCCAAACCCAAATAAGGGTAGTAAAGACAGAAATAATGGAAAAGGTAGAATCTGAGAGACAATTTACAGGCAGTGTCTGAATAAAAGATTAACAGAGCTGGAAGGATGATGGTGCATCCGGGGAGGAAAGGTAAGGAATGAGGCAGTTCTTTCCAGGAAGAGCTAGTATTTTCCCCCTCCAGACACTCCTTTCACATTACCAGACTCTGGGAACTTTGGAAGTAACACAATGGCTACAATGTGTCCTGTGCCATCTCTGCGGCAGGCAGTTTATAGATTTTTTTTTCCAATTAAGGAATGTATTATTATGACCTTTGTGTAGATAATAAATTGCATAACTTGCTCTAAGTCATAAAACAATGAATTACAGAATAAAGATAGGAGTCCCAGGCTCTGTTTGACCCCAAAGTGTCTCTCCACTACTCATTCCCTTGTTTGTTCATTTGCTTGTTCCTTTTTATTTATTTATATATTCCATTCATTCATTCATTCATTCATTCATTCATTCATGGTTCAACTAGTAATTGAGACCCTATAACGTTCTTGTCACTGTTCTAGGAGCTAGGCTATAATGTGAACAGGCTCAGTTCTTAACTTCAAGAGTTTACAGTCTAGTGAAGAGACAGGCAAGGAATTCTACTGGGATAAGATCATTGCTTTAAAGAAAGTATGAGACAGCATAGTAGGAATGTAGCAGAAGGAGTCCCTAAGTAGGCCTGGGAGAGCCAAAAAGAGCTTAAGGAGGAAGAAACATTTGGCTTTGCCTGACACTTGAAAAATGAGTAGGAGTTAGCCAGACAGAAGTGGGGAAGATTCCTTCCAAAAAAAGAGATAGCATGTGCAGAAAGGTACAAAAGAGCCAGACAGGTCTAGGGAAGTATGTTCACAGGAGATTGCTGAAGGGCAACCCTTGTGACAGTGGCAGGAGGGGGCCAGGATGAGCTGGGACAAGAGACAAGGGCCTGAGCATGGAGATCACTAAATGCGTATGAGGAGTGGACTCCTTCCCATAGGTCCTTTTGCTCTGAAGTTCTATTATTCCACAAGTAACTGATGTGCTCAACTCTTTATCTCAATTCAGTTGAATAAATATCTATTCGGAGACCTATTGGAATAATGTTTGCCCTTTAAAGAAAATCCGCAGGCAAAATCTTTGTCCTCCAACTAATCATAAGCAACTGCTAATTCCACCAAGTGGCAAATGTCCTAAGACATTGCTCTTCAGCCTCCCAGGCAGGAGTCTTTTCCAGGCATGATCTGTGTATAGAGTCTCTGGTTCTTCCTCCTCCAAGGCATCAGCAAAACTCATCACACTCTATTTGCATCTAAGACTCCTAGGCCTCCACATTTAGTTGCCTGAGGCCAACAAACTCCACCTGTACCTCAGCCCTGCCATCTTAAGTTGCCAGCCAAGATGTGGGCCTCACAGTATCCTCATGTCCCCAGACCATGCCATGCTTCCTTCTCCCCAGTTTCCCAGAAGCAGCACCCTCCCTCCCTCCCAATCTGTACCTTGTTATAATCCAGATCAATTGTGCCATCATCTTTAAACTCTTTCACCTCCTACTCCTGCTGGAAACCTGGCCAAGCCCCAAGAACATCTCCCACCCTGTTTTTCAAGTGAGCACCTCATTTTCCTTTATGCCTCAAACATCTTTGAACCCTCGGTTGCTGGCAGCTTACTTGCTCCCTGTTGCTTTTTTCAGACCATTACTCTGCTACTCTTTTGCACAAGCCTTTCCTTTGAAGTCCAGGCCACAGTCGTCATACATATGGCTGATGTCTTGTGACCTTCCTGTCTTCCCTTTCCCATTTATTGAGGACTTTGATACCTTGCTCACAATACTCTTTTTTTTTTTTTTTTTTGACGGAGTCTCACTCTGTCACCAGGCTGGAGTCCAGTGGTGCAATCTCGGCTCACTGCAACCTCCGCCTCCCGAGTTCAAGCGATTTTCCTGCCTCAGCCTCCCGAGTAGCTGGAACTACAGGTACGTGCCACCATGCCCAGCTAATTTTTGTATTTTTAGTAGAGATGGGGTTTCATCATGTTGGCCAGGACGATCTCGATCTCTTGACCTCGTGATCCGCCCACCTTGGCCTCCCAAAGTGCTGGGATTACAGGGATGAGCCACTACACCCGGCCAATACTCCTCTTTACCCACATCATCTTGGGGACTTTAACATTTATGGGAAGACTCATGCACTATCCTGTCCTAGATACCATGACTTTCACTCTCCTTCACCTCACTCTCCCAGTCCCATGCCCATAGTTTAGATCTTGGCATTGCCTAGAACCTCTTCCCTTTTAAATCTTATACTTGAGCATCCTACTCTTGATCATAACCTTATATCAGCCTGCTCTGTCAATACATCAGCTTATCATGCTCTCAGAGACCCCTCTGCCTCTGATCTCTGTCTCTCTCCCATCAATTCTATCACCATGGTTGTACCTTCTCTTCATCCAGCCCGGTTCCTCCTGGAGTTCCCCATTTTTCTCCACTGTGTTAATAAATCCGCAAGTGTCCTCATCACCTTGCTGTTGTACCACATCCTCCTATTTCATCCAAACATCGGATCAATCCAGTGATCTATTTTCCTGGATGCCACACATAGGCAGCTCAATCCTGATCCAGAAAAGTCACAAAACCCTTCTAAACAGAGGGCAGATATATGGAGTCCAACCTTCAGTGCCCTTGTCAATTCACAAATTAGCTTCCTTTCCAATACCTTGCAACAGTCATGCCAACTTTCACTTATTTCCTCATTGAGAAATTAGTCTTCAGCTGTGAACTCCCTCAGCTTCTACCTCCAAACCTTCAAAATTACCCATATCTGTACCTGCCCTCTGCTTCCTTCTGCCTTCCCAGAGGAAAAGGAGTCCTCTTCCTATTTCTACCCTTCCTGTCTCCTTCATGACTAAGACTTATTCCCTGGGCTACTCTCGTATAGTTTCAACTTATTCCACTCCACTGGCTTTTCCTCAACAACGGATAAAATTTAAGTCTCTTCAATGTTTTAGAAACAAATACTTTGATCCTACATCTCTCCCTACCCACTCACTCCCTTTCTCTCTTTTTCACTCCACAGCCAAACTGCCTGCCCACTATCTCCACTCCCCGCCAGCTCACTCATTCCTTGGCCTTCTGTCATCAGACTGCTGCTGCAACCTCATAGCAACCACTCTGGGACATAACACCAACGATCTTCCACTGGGCAATTCCAATGGACTCTTTCTTGTCATGTTTGACCTTCAGGTGGCATTTGATGGTGGTGACCATTCCTTTCCTAAAAGCTCCCTTTTTCTTTGGCTTCTCTGATAACACTGCACTCCCTGGTTCATCTCTGCCTCTTTGACCAGTACTCTCACCTCAAAATTTTTTAAACTGATTTTTAATTGACACATAATAATTGTACATATTTATGGAGTACATAGTGATGTTTCAATACATACAATGTGTAGTGATCAATCAGGGTAATTAGGATATTCATCATCTCAAATATTTATCATGTATTTGTGTTGGGAACATTCAACATCCTCTCTTCTAGGTATTTGAAAATATATACTATATTATTGTGAACTATAGTCACCCTACAGTGCTATAAGACACTAGAACTTATTCTTCCTATCTAGCTATAATTTTGTATCCTCTAACAAATCTTTCCCATCCTTTCTTCCCTCAACCCATCCCAGACTCTAGATACTTTGCCTTACTAGCCTTCCATGAGATCAGCTTTTTTAGTTTCTACATATGAATAAGAACATGCAGTGTTTAACTTTCTGTTCCTGACATTTCACTTAACATAATGTCCTTCAGACTCATCCATGTTACTGCAAATGACAAGATTTCAGTCTTTTTTATGGTTGAATAGTATTCCATTGTGTATACATGCCACATTTTCTTTATCTGTTCATCAGTTGTTGAACACTTGGGTTGATTCTGTATCATGGCTAATGCGAATAGTGCTGTAATAAACATGGAGTGAAGATATCTCTTTGACATATTGACTTCCTTTTTTTGGATAAATGCCAAGTAGTAGGATTGCTGGATCATATGGTAGTTCTATTTGTAGTTTTTGGAGGAGCCTCCGTTCTGTTCTACATAATGACTGTACTAGTTTACATTCTCACAACAGTTCCTCAGAATTCCCTTTTCTATGCATCCTTACCAACATTTGTTCTGTTACAGAGTCTTGCTCTGTCACCCAGGCTGGAGTGCAGTGGCAGGATCTTGTTCACTGCAACCTCTGCCTCCCAGGTCCAAGTGATTCTAGTGCCTCAGCCTCCTGAGTAGCTGGGATTACAGGCGTGTGCCACCACACCAGGCTAATTTTTGTATCTTTAGTAGAGACAGGGTTTCGCAGTGTTGGCCACTCAAACTCCTGGCCTCATGTGATCCATCCACCTCAGCCTCCCAAAGTGTTGGGATTACAGGCATGAGCCACCACACCTGACCTGGCCAGTGATAGCCATTCTAACTGGGGTGAGATGATATCCCCTTGTGGTTTAGATTTGCATTTCCCTCATGATTAGTGATGATGAGCATTGTTTTCATATATTTATTGGACATTTGTATGTCTTTTGGGAAACGTCTGTTCACATCATTTGCCCATTTTTAAATTGAATTTTTTTTTTTTTTTTTTTTGCTGTTGAGATGTTTGAATTCTTTGTGTATTCTGGATATTAATTCCCTGTTAATTGAATAGTTTCCAAATATTCTCTCCTATTATATAGGTTGTCTTTTTACTCTATTGTTCCCTTTGCTCCATAGAAGCTTTTTAGTTTGATACAATCCCATTTATTTATTTTTGCTTTGGTTGCCTGTGCTTTTGAGGTTTTATTCATAAAATCTTTTCCCAGACCAATGTCCTGAAGCATTTTCTCTATGTTTTCTTCTAGTAGTTTTATAGTTTTGGGTCTTAAATTTATGTCTTTAATCCATTTTGAGTTAATTTTTTTATAGGATGAGAGATGGGGATCTAGTTTTATTCTTTTACATATGGATATCCAGTTTTTCCAGCATCACTTATTGAAGAAACCCTTTCCCTAGTGTGTGTTCTTGGCACCTTTGTCAAAAATCAATTGGCTGTAAAAGTGTGGATTTGTTTCTGAGGTCTCTATTTGGTTCCATTGGTCTATGTGTCTGTTTTTATGCCAGTACCATGCTGTTTTGGTTACTATAGCTTTGTAGTATATTCTGAAATTGGGTAGTGTGATGCCTCCAGCTTTGTTCTTTTTGCTCAGGATTGCTTTTGCTATTTGGGGTCTTTTGCATTTCCATACAAATTTTAGGATATTTTTTCTTTTTCTGTGAAGAATGTCATTGGTATTTTGGTCAGGATTGCATTGTATCTGTAGATTACTTTGAGGAGTATGGTCATTTAAAAAATACTAATTTTTCTAGTCCATTAACATGGGATGTCTTTCCATTTTTTGTGTGTGACTTCTTTAATTTCTTTCATCAGTATTTTATAGTTTTCCTTGTAGAGATCTTTCACCTCCTTGGTTAAATTTATTCCTAAGTATTTGATTTTTTTGGGACTATTGTAAATGAAAATGCTTTCTTGATTTCCTTTTCAGATTGATTGCTGTTGCATATAGAAATGCTACTTGCTGTGTCTTGATTTTGTATCCTGCAACTTTATCAGTTCTAAGAGGTTTTTTTTTTGTGCAGACTTTAGGTTTTTCTATGTATAATATCATATCCTCTGCACACAGAGACAATTTGATTTCCTCCTTTCCAATTTGAATGTCCTTTATTGCTATTATTATTTTTTGCTTGCCTAATTGCTCTGGCTAGGACTTTCAGTGCTATGCTGAATAAGAGTGGTGAGAATGAGCATCCTTGTCTTCTTCCAGTTTTTAGAGGAAAAGCCGTCAGCTTTTCCCCATTCAGTGTGATGTTGGCTATGGGTTTGGCATACATGGCCTTTATTGTGTTGAGGTACTTTTCTTCTATACTTAATTTATTGAGAATTTTTGTCATGAAGAGATGTTGACAGAGATGTCAGGACAGATTTTGAATTTTATCAAATGCTTTCTCTGCATATTTTGAAATGGTCATATGGTTTTTGTCCTTCATTCTGTTGTGTACCAATGAGTTTTATAATTTCATCTGTTTTCATTATGATAGTTATTACCTTTTTTGCTTCCAGAGGTAGGTCTCCCTTAAGAATTTCTTGTAAGGCTGAACTCGTGGTCATAAATTCCTTCAGTTTTTGCTTGTCTGATAGAGCTTATTTCTTCTTCATTTAAGAAATAGCTTTGCCGAGTATAGTATTCTTGGTTGGCAGGTTTTTTGTTCAGTAGTTTGAATGTATCATTCCACTCTCTCCTGGCCTGGAAGGTTTCTGTTAAGAAATCTGCTGTTAGTCTAATGCAGATTCTCTTGTATGTGACTTGATGTTTTTCTTTTGCCGCTTTTAGAATTCTTTCTTTGTCTTCAGCTTTTGACAATTTGGTTATAATGTGCCTTGGAGAGGACCTGTTTGGGGTGAATATATTTGGGAGATCTTTGAGCTTCCTGAATCAGGATATTCCATCTCTCTTCAAAGATTTTAGAAGTGTTCAGCTATTATGGTATTACATTGATTTTTCTACACTGTTTCCCTACTCTCCTCCTTCTGGAACTCCCACAATGCAAATATTTATTCATTTAATGGTGTCCCATGAATCCCATGGGCTTTATTCTTTTTTTCCTTTCTTTCTCTGTCCCTTTTTTCTCTGCCTGAGTTATTTCACAAGACTTCAAGTTTAGAAATGCTTTTTTTCTGTTTGGTCTACTCTTGTTGAAGCTCTCAACTGTATTTTTATTTTAGTCATTAAAGTCTTTAGCTCTAAGGGTTCCATTTTGTTTTGTTTTTAATATCTACCTCTTCGTTAAATTTCTCATTTAAATTATAAATTGTTTCTCTGATTCATTGAATTGCCTATCGGTACTTCCTTGTATCTCACTGACTTTCCTTAAGATTATTATTTTGAAATGTTTTATGACATTTTGCCTATTTCCTTATGATTGTTGTCAATTATTGGAGAATCCCTGTGTTCTTTTGGAAGTGTCATGTTGCCTTTATTTTCCATGTTTGATGTGTTCTTCTGCTGATTTCTATGCACTTGATGGAACAGTTGCCTCTTCAAATTTTATGGAGTAGGTTTCATAGGGAAAGACTTATTCCTATATATGGATCTTAGGGTGTTGGTTGGGTAGAGTGCATTGACTTTGGTTCTAGGTGGATGCAATAGTGTAATTTCCATGTAGTTTCTTCAGCTGTAATCCATGCTAGTGATGTCTGTGGGTATCTCAGTGGTCTAGACTACAAGAGTTTGGGGGCAGTGGTGGCAAAGCTTTACCAGGAGTGGGGTGGGCTCACTGGTCTGTTTCTTAGGCTGCGGTTATGTGCATGCACATTGTAGGTTAACAACTTGGGGTTTGACTTGCTGGTTTGGGGGCTATGGTGAGGTTACTCTGGCTAGGTGCACAAGTGTGCAGATCTTAGCAGGCTCAGGGACACGTCTGCCAGGGTGCTATCACTGGGCTGTTTCTCTGACCAGGGGCAGGGCACAAGGCTGCTCAGTTGGCCTGGAGCCTATCTGCCAGGGACATGTTCACCAGGTGGTTTCTCAGGCCCCAGGCATGGGAACAGAGATGCTAGGGGCACATCCACCATGGGGGGGCCCACTAGGCTGTTCCTCAGGCTCTGGACACAGACATGCAACCACTTAGCCAACGTGTGAGCATATCAGCTCCTCAGTGGCATGAAGGCCTCTCCTACTTGGCCGAGGGCATGTGGCAGTTTGGCTGGCTAAAGGGTGGAACTGTCCTGGATAGGTCCACTAGACTGTTCCTCTGATTAGTAGTGCCGGTGATGGGAGTTGGTTTTCCTGCTGTACAGGACTAGAGTCACAGATAATCCTTGGCCTATGTTTCATGCAGCTTGGGTAGAAGCATTGCAGTCAGCCATGTGGTGGGCTTGGTGGAATGAAAAAGGAGCCCTAGGGCTCAGGAGGTACAGCAGCTCCTGGCCTTAGAGTAGGCACACTCCAGAAGTAGCTCTGGTATCAAGATAGTGCTGTGCTGTAGCAGCTTGGCTCACAGTGGGTGGGTGAGAGTTGGGAGTACACACCCTGTGCTCCTAATCTAGAGAAGTACAGCTGTGTGAATTCCTAGCAATTCCCCAAGCTGGGCTTAGGGCTTACAAGGGCTATAGGATTCTTCTGTAGTGAGGACTACAGGTGTTTGTGGTGACAGTGGAGGCTGGTGGGGTTCTTCTGCTTACCTTTTCCCTGCAAGGGGAAGTGCCTCCTTACTTTGGGCCAATCCAGGCAAAGGAGATGAAGCAGTAGAGTCAGGGTGCCTCACTCCCTTTTCTACACTGCCCTTCGGGGCTTCCAAATGCCCATAGGCACCTCTCCACTCCCCTGCAGCACTCCACCACTCTCCCTTTGACAGTCCAGTTGAATCTTAATTGTTATTACCTTTGTCCTTTCTTGTTAGGGGTGAGCCCAAGGAACCTCTAGCTAGTCCTCTTGCTGACATCACTCCTCTTATTTCTCAACTTCTTTTAAGGTTTCCCATTCTCTGCTTATCCCTTTCATAATACATGCCCTCCTTGCTACTCTGTGTGATTGCCTTGGGAAATCTCATGCATTCCTTGGCTTTGATGCTATCTATGCATGGATCACTTTGAACTACACATATAGTCTAGATCTCTCTTCTGAATTTTATTATTGGGTATTTTATCTCCCTTTAAATATTCCACTAGAACGGACCATAGAAAACTCAACATGCCTCCAACTGAACTCATGTTTCCCTCCCAAATATGCTCTTCCTTTGCATTCTCGATCTTGACAAATGTCACCTCCAGCCACCCAGTCACCCATGCCAGAATCCAAGGAGCCATCTTAGACTCTTCAACATTCTCATGCAGCACCCTCAAGCCCTTCTGTCCGGATCTATTGTTTTAACAGCTCTCAAAAATCTCCCCTCTATATCATTCTACTCCAAATAACAAAATCATGATTTATCTTATCTGAATGACTGCAATAGTCTTCTAACTCGTCTCCCAGCTTTCAATCTAGCTAGCACCACTCTTTAATCTTCCTTCCTTTTTGCTTCCAGAGTAATATTCATAAGACCCCCAATTGAATATATATAAAACCACTTAATTTTTTAGTTTATCTATAGGATAACACCTTAACATCTTAGTACATGGTATGCAATCCTTCAAACTCTGCCACCATCCACATGTTCATCTCTGGACACACTCTTCCTGGAACCTTATGCTTCAACCAACTATTTGCATTTCCTGGAATATATTAAGCTATTTCGAGCTTGCAAGGCTTTGTTCTGCTCTTGCTGCCTAGAATCGTTTTTCTCTCCTTTGTTGATTGGCAAATAGCTACCTATCTTTTAAGACTTGGCACAAACACCACCTAGCCTGCTGTGCTGCCCCTGGTTAGAATCAACTTCTCTATCTTGTATACAGATCTCTGTCACAACACTTGCAATGCTTTATTGCACTTTTTTGTTTTTGCAAGCTCTTACGGGAAGGAGCCATGTCCGATTTCTCTTGATATTCCCAGCCCAGTGCCTGGCACAAAAAAACCTTCAATAACTTTTGTCATTTTTCTTGAATTTTAATAATTTATATACATAATTCACCAATCTTGATTAAACAATTCAGTGGGTTTTGACAAATGCATATAGTTCTGTGCTATCACTACAGTCATGACAGAATATTTTCATCACTCCAAAGATTTCCCCCAGTTTCCTCTGCATTCAGTCCCCTCCTCCCACCCCCTGGCCCTTGACAACTTCTGATCTGCTTTCTGTTAGTGTAGTTTTGCCTTTTGCAGAATTTCATATAAATGAAATCAAATAGTATGCAGTCTTTGTGTCTGACTTCTTTCCTTTAGTATATTGTTTTGGCAGTACATTCACGCTGATGCACATATTGCTAGCCCATTACTTTCTCTTTGAGTTTTCTTTGAATATTCCATTGTATGGATATACCATACTATGTTTATAGGTTCACCAGTTGATTAACATTTAAGTTATTTCTACTTTTTGGCTGTTATGAAGAGAGCTAATAAGGAAGTTTTCAAGTGAGTCATAGTGGACATACGGTAAGAGTGGAATTTCTGGATCATATGGTACGTGTATGCTGAACTTTAGGAAAGTGGCCAAACTGCCCTACCAAGTTATCATAACACTTTTCATTCTGATCATCAATGCATGGGAGTTCCAGTCATTTCATATCCTTGCTACAGTATCTTTAATCTTAGCTATTCTAGTAGGTGTGCAGCAGTATCTAACATTAATGATGGCGAGCATCTTTTCATGTATTCATTTGTTATACATATATCTTTGTTAGTAAAGTATATGTTTAAATATTTTGCCCATTTTTTTAAGTTGGAGCTTTTGTCTTCTTTTTATTTAGTTGTGTGTATTCTTCATATATTGTGGATACAAGTCCTTTGTCAGATACATGTTTTGGAAATAATTTCTGCCAGCCTATGTCTTGCTTTTTAATTTTTTTAGCACTGTTTTTGGAAGAACAGAAGTTTTAAATTTTGTTGAACTCTAATTTATCAATTCTTGCTTTTTGTGTCTTATTTAATAAATAATTGCTTAGGCCAAGGTCACTAGGATTTTTCTCCTATGTTTTCTTCTAGTAGTTTATGTATAAAACTACTGGAGTTCTTTCATTTATGTTTATGTTCCATTTCTGAAAAGACTGTCCTTTCTGGATTAAATTGCCTTGACAACCTTGTCAAAGATCAAATGATCATATATACGTGAGTCTATTTTGGGATTCACTATTCTATTTCATTGAACTATATACCTATATTTACACTGATACTACACTATCTTGAGCACTGTTGCTTCATAATCAGGTAATGTGAGTTTTTCAAGTTTGCGCAGCTTTTTCAGAACTGTTTTTACTATTTAAGGGTCTTCACATTTTCATGCAAATTTTAGAATCAACTTGTCACTTTCTACAAAAAAAAGCTTGCTGGGATTCTGATTGGTATTAGTTTTGCTTGAACCTATACATTAGTTTGGGTATGATAGACATCATATTTGTTGAATTTGTGAACGTCTACATACAAGGTGTTTAAGCTCATTGTATTTAAAGTTTATAGAGCAAATTCACAAACATTATCCTATTTGATCCACCTAACAACCCTGTAAGGTCAAAGGGAAATGCCAGCTTCATGTTGCAAATGAGAAAATGGAATCTTAAGAGACTTGACCTAGGTCAACAAGGCGTATGTGGTGGTGCCACTTGTCCTGGCTTTTTCATTTTACTTCTACATATATGTGATGCTTGCTCCTGAAAGTATTGATCTGGTGTATCTAAAATGCTGGCATGTAGGACTAAGCAGAGAAGACCTGGTGATGCAGCAAATCTAACCCTACACTCTCACTGCCTTTACTTGGGGAAAGAGGCATCTAGAGACTCAGTCACCCGTGCTGAATTCAGACCAGCTCTGGGATATCCTAGCTCAGTGGCTTGAACCTTCTTGGGCATCACCAGCAAGCAGCAAGCTTTAAAAATGCAGATGCTGAAGGCTTGCCCCCAAGATTTTGATTCAATTGTCTGGGGTATTAGTATGTATAAAAGCTCCCTGGAGACTGTATTATACAGCCAGATTTGAAAACGGTGATTCTGAGGCTTCCAGTGGCAGGAAGAGCAGAGAGTAAGAAGAGAGATTTCTTAGAATTGGGGAAGGAGAGATCAGCCCCTGGGTCACAGATCACTGACCTAATGGAGGGAAGGAAGATGAGAGAGCTGGGTGCCAATTCCTTAACAGAATCAGGAGGCAATGCTAAAAATATCACAACTCCTCTCTGGGGACTGATCCCAATTCCTTTATAAATATGCTTACCCTGCAATAAGGAATTCAACTCTCAAAAGTCAGAGAAATTCATAACGGAAAGGATTAGAGATTATTTTGCCCAGTTCTCTTACTTCAAAGGTAAGAAAACTGAGGTCACAGGAGTTAACAACTGCGTCAGTATTGTCAGTATGGGCAGAGCCAGGAGTGGAACATAGTGATCTTGGGTTCCCACAGGGGTTCTTTCCACCTTTCTGTCCCAGAGGCCATCCACAGACTTTCTTACTTTATGTAAACCCAACTGGGATGCAGGCTTGTGGGTCATTCAGGCCACAGGCTCCCAAGCCTTGCTGCATCAGAACCACCCGGGAGTTAAAAATATAGACTTCTGGGCCCACCAGAGACTCTAGATCTTTGAGGGGGAGACTAGGAATGATTCCAACCAATCATGTGTCTTTTCTCACTCCTTCTGCTACCTGATCTCTGGTCTGTTTTGTTTAGTGTTTGCGAGCTGCAGCTCCAGAGAGGCCTGGGCACCCGGGGCCTTGTCAACTCCTAAGTTGGTGATTATCTACAAATTTTTGCTTATGAATATATCCAGGCCCCCACGCAGAATTAGAAGTAAACAATACTAGATTTATGCAAGCTAGATTTTTTTCTTATTTCCACCAGATAAGATACAAACTTAAAAGAACAATCATTTTAAGGCCACAGAAAAGCAGATACCACCACAGAAAGAGCAGAATTGGCCACAGCTCCAGGGTATCTGCCCCAGTACTATGGTGAACAGGAGTGGTAAGAGTGGCCATCTTTGTCTTGTTCCAGTTCTCAAGATGAATGCTTCCAGCTTTTGCCCATTCAGTATGATGTTGGCTGTGGGTTTGTCACAGCCAGCAACTTATTATTTTGAGGCTGTTATTATTTTGAGGTATGTTCCTTTCATGCCTACTTTGTTGAGGGCTTCTAACATAAAGCGATGTTGAATTTTATCAAAAGCCTTTTCAGCAACTATTGAGATAATAATTTGGGTTTTATGGTTAATTTTGTGTATGTGGTGAATCACATTTATTGATTTGCATATGTTAAACCAAACTGGCAACCCAGGAATAAAGCTTACTTTATCATAGTGAATTAACTTTTTGATTCACTGCTGGATTCAGTTTGCTAGTATTTTGTTGAGAATTTCTGCATCTATATTCATCAGAGATATTGGTCTGAAGTTTTCTTTCTCTGTTGTGTCCCTACCAGGCTTTGGTATCAGAATGATGTTGGCTTCATAGAATGAGTTGAGGAGGACTCCCTCCTCCTTGATTTTTTGGAATCATTTCAGTAGGATTGGTACTAGCTTTTCTTTGTACATCTGGTAGAATTCAGCTGTGAATCCATCTGGTCCGGTGCTTTTTTTGGTTGGTATGCTTTTTATTGCTGAATTCAATTTCAGAACTCATTATTGGTCTCTTTAGAATTTCAATTTCTTCCTGGTTCAATCTTGGGAGACTGCTTGTTTCCAGGAATGTATCCATTTCTTCTAGGTTTTCTAGTTTGTGTGCACAGAGGTATTCATAATAATCCCTGAGGATTTTTTTGTATTTCTGTGGGGTCTGTTTATTACTTTGAACCGTTTTTTGATAGAGTATTTAGGGCTTTCTAAATATAAAACAATGTTGCCTACAAACAGAGACTATTTAATATCTTAATTTCTGATTTGGGTACCTTTTGTTTCTTTCTCTTGCCTAATTGCTCTGGCTAGGACTTCCAGTACTATGTTACTAATGGTGAACAATTCTTTTAATGTGCTATTGAATTCAGTTTACCAGTATTTTGTTGAGGATTTTTGCATCTATATTCATCAGGGATACTGGCCTGTAATTTTCTTTTCTTGTCGTGTCCTTGTCTGGCTTTGGTATCAGGGTAATGCTGG
The DNA here is from genome assembly GCF_000001405.40 of Homo sapiens. Lineage (NCBI taxonomy): Eukaryota > Metazoa > Chordata > Mammalia > Primates > Hominidae > Homo > Homo sapiens. The sequence goes on along the minus strand of NC_000013.11, from coordinate 26,429,695 downwards.
CCTTGTAAAATAAGTTTGTCAGTTTTCTCTCCTCTTCAATTTCTTTGGAAGAGTTTGAAACAGATTGGTATTAGTTCCTCTTTAAATGTTTGGTAGAATTCAGCAGTGAAGCCATCAGGTTCTGGGCTTTTATTTTTTGGGAGACTGCTTATATTTGATTCAATCTTCTTGTTCATTATTGGTCTGTTCATATTTTCTATTTCTTCGTGGTTTAGTCTTGGTATATTGGATGTGTCTAGGAATTTATTAATTTCTTCCAGATTATGCAATTTGTTGGCATGTAATTGTTCATAATAGTCTCTTATGGTCCTTTGTATTTCTGTGGTATCACATATAATGTCTCCTCTTTTATTTTTATTTTGAGACTACTCTCTTTCTTTTTTAGTCTAGCTAAAGTTTTGTCAATATTTTTACCTTGTCAAAAAACAACTCTTACTTCCATTGATCTTTTCTACTGTTTTTCTAGTCTCTATTTCATTTATTTCTGCTGTTATCTTTATTTCCTTCCTTCTACTAACTCAAGGCTTAGTTTTTCTTTTCTTTTTTTTGTTTTTTTTTTTTGTTTTTTTTTTTTTGGTCCTTGAGGTATAACATTAGCTTGTTTATTTAGGACTTTTAGTCTCTTTTGATATAGGCATTTATTGCCATAAACTTTCCTTTTACAACCACCTTTGCTGCATCCCATGTGTTTTGGCATGTTGAGTTTACATTTTTGTTTGTCCCAAGATACTTTTAAATTTCTATTTTAATTTCTTATTTGACCCATTGGTTGTTTAGGACCATGTTGTTTAATTTCCACATATTTGCAAATTTTCTAAAATTCCTCCTATTATTGATTTCTAGGTTAATACTATTGTGGCTGAAACAAAATATTTGATATGATTTTATTCTTCTTAAATTTGTTGAGGCTTGTTTTGTGGCCTAACTATTATCTATTCTGCAGAATGCTCCATGTGCTCTGGAGAGGAATATGTATTCTTCTTCTGTTGGATACAGTGGTCTGTATATGTCTGTTAAGTCCATTTAGTCTAAAGTGTAGTTCAAGTCCAATGTTTTCTTATTGCTTTTCTGTCCAGATGATCTGTCCATTGTTGAAAGTGGGATATTAAATCACCTACTATATATTGCTGTCTCCCTCTTCAGATCTCTTAACATTTGCTTGATATATTTAGGTGCTCTGATATTTGATGCATATATATTTATAATTGTTATATCTTCTTGTTGAACTGATTCCTTTATCATTATATAATGACTTTTTTGGTCTTGTTTTACAGCTTTTGACTTCAAGTCTATTTTATCTGATACAAATATAGCTACCCTTGCTCTCTTTTGGTTTCCATGTGGATGGAATACATTTTTCCATTTTTTAATATTCAATCTATGTATGTCCTTAAAGGTTAAATGAGTCTTTTATGGGAAGCACATAGTTGGGTCTTTTTTAAAAATCCATTTGGCCACTCTATATCTTTTTATTAGAGAATTTAATCAATTTACATTCAAGATAATTATTGATAGGTAATGACTTACTACAGATAATTTGCCATTTTTTCTAATTGTTTTGTAGATCTTTTGTTCCTTTCTTCCTCTCTTGCTGTCTTCTTTTGTGATTAGATGATTTTTTTTTCTAGTAGTATGCTTTGATACCTTACACTTTATATTTTGTGTATCTACTATAGATTTTTTGCTTTGTAGTTACCATAAGATTTACATAAAACATTTCATAGTTATTACAGGCTATTTTAAGCTGATAACAACTTTACTTTGATTGCATAAAATAATTCTACACTTTTACTCCAACTCCTTTACATTTTGTGTTTTTAATGTCACAATTTGCATCTTTTTATATTGTGTATCCCTTAACAAATTATTGCAGCTATTTTATTTTTAATAGTTTTGTCTTTTAACCTTGATGCTAAAGATATAAATGATTTATATACTACCATTACAGTACTAAGGTATTCTGAATGTGACTGTGTGCTTCTTTTTCTTTTTCTTTTCCTTTCCTTTCTCTTTTCTTTTCTTTTCTTTCTTCCTTAGAGATGGTGTCTCACTACATTATCCAGTCTGGTCTTGACCCCCTGGCTTGAAGCAATCCTTAGCCTCCTGAATAGGTAGGACTACAGGTACATGCCACCATGCTCTGTGCTTAATTTTATCCATGAGTTTTACACTTTCATAGGTTTTTGTGTAACTAATTAGTGTCTTTTTTCTCAGTTTGATTAGAGATTATTTTACCCAATTTTCTTACTTCAAAGGTAAGAAAACTGAAGTCAGAGGTGTTGACAACTGGGTCGATATTATCAGTATGGGTAGAGCCAGGACTAGAACTCAGTGATCCTGGGGCCCCACAGAAACTCTTTCTACCTTTCTGTCCCAGTGGCCATCCACATACTTTCTTACTTTATGTAAAAGCAACTGGGATTCAGGGGCTAATTTTCTGGCTTGTGGGACATTCAGGCCTGAGGATCCCAAGACTTGCTGCATCAGAATCACCCAGGAGTTAAAAATACAGACTCTTGGACCCACCAGAGAATGCAGATCTTTGGAGTGGAGACTAGGAATGATTCCAGCCATTCATGTCACTTCCTTCACTCCCTCTGCTACCTGATCTCTCGTCTATTTTGCTTCTTGTTTGCAAGCTGCAGCTCTGGAGAGGCCTGATACCCTAATTCCTCCAGGAATCCCCACCCTCTTTCATCCACAGAGAAGTGGGTGGACCCTGTGGCCGCAAATGGACTTTGCAGGACATGTCACAGTGAGTGGTAGAGATTCACATGGAGCAAGTCAGGAAGTGGTGTTGGAGCTAGGGAAGTGGAGGATGCTTGTGGCTGCCCTGTCACTCAGGGGATGGTGTGGGCCCTGGTCCTGCATCTGTAGAATCCCATTCAGGGAGTCTCAAAAGCTGAATCCAGCTACTCTGAGGCTTCCTAAACCCTCAGGTCAGCCTATTTCTTGAACCCTCCAGTGTTTAAGTATTAAATAGAGGGATAGCTTTAAATCAGAACATTTTCATTTTAGGAGAGGAATTATAACATGCCTTTGAATAAGGAGCTAGGTTAGCATACTTAAATTGTCATTAGGCTTGCAACACACACACTCTCCCCAACTTGCCCAACTCTCTCTCTCTCATTGCGTCCCTGGAACCCAACATGTTGTCTGGTGCATAGCAGGCTTCAGTGAATGAATGAAGTTTTAAGAGCTGTCCTATTAATTTGTAATCTTGCATCTGTACCTGGAATTCTTTTTAGAGCTCTGGCCAACTCTCAGGGAAAGTGCCCCCTTAATCCACATAGCTGGGGTGTGGCATCTCAGGACCTGATGGGCCAGGGTGGTCATCTGTCCTATGGAGACTCAATCAAGATATCTGTCTGCCTTAAGACATCTGGTGCTTCCATCTTGTTCACTGGCTGTACTTGTCCCTTAAATGAATCATCCAAGCCACTCATTAGGGAAACCAGTTCTTTATGGATCCAGGAGGAGCCTCAGGCTCTCTACCCTTGAGGGCTGGATTGCTGTGAACAACTGCACTCTCCTGGGTCTCTCTTCTCCAGGTCACATGTGCTGTGAGCACTGTCCCCTTGTGACTGTCTCCCGTGGCCAGGACAATGACAGCTGCCTGTGTCCCCCTTTGGAAGCGTTCTGAATACTTACTTGCCTGCCCATCTAATTTCCCAGGCAGGACTGAGCGAGTTCCTTAGCAAGCAGGCTGGCACGACACCAAACCCGTTCAGCACTTAAAACCATTTTCTCCCGGGCCACAGCTCAGTGGCAGCTCACCTGGCTGTGTGATTACCCTTTGGACGGCTGCTTCCTCCCTTCCCTGGAGCTGGTAAATAAATCAAGTGCTTCCTGGTGGACTAAGAAAGTGGGTTCTGTTTAAGGATAAGAGCATCATTTAGACATAATCAAGGATGCAGAAGAGACTTTGGCTTGGACTAAGACAAATCATTTCTAAACCAGTCATTGCTATCTGAACGTGGTAGAATCTCTTTCCACTACAGGACAAGGCTGGGATTGTGCAGCTCTTAAATAAATAAATGAGCTCAGAAATGAGCGTAAGAGGGCTTTGCAAACACAGACTATTCTTGGAATGCACCACTGAGAAATAAATGTTACCTCTGTGTTGATGTGGAGTGGGAGACTTTCATAAACTCTTAGGAGCATGAAATAAACACAGAAGTTAAAAGATGAAAAAAAATCACAAAAACAAAAAGGCATGTGAGTGCCTTTTTAATCATCTACTGATGATTAAAGTAATCTACTGATATGGTTTGATTTCCGAGTAGTGTAAGATAAATATCAATGAAAATTTCATTAAAGAATATTTTTCTCCAGAAAAGAAGCACATCTATAAATAATCTGTAAGCAGAGGAGGTAGTGGTGGATGAGGAATCTCATATCCAGCTTGCTGGTGCTTTTGTTGCAAACAGTCAAAAGTCAGTCAAAAATGGCTTAAAGGATAAAGACATTTACCTGCTTGTGTAACTTGAAAGTCCAGAGGTGAATCAGGCTTCCAGGGCATAGGTGCCTGTCAGGCCCCTGGCTTCTTGCGGTCTCTCTGCTCCTCCATCCTCCCTCCATCACCTTAATGGAACAAGGCAGCTTCATTCCCTCACTGTGGGGGTGAAGGTGCACATTCTAGAGGCTGATGGGCCTGATTTGCATCCTGGCTCTGCTCAAAAGCTGTGCATCATAGGCACAATGTGAACCTCTTAAGCACCGGGCTTCTCATCTGGAAAGTGGGAACAATCATAGAGTTGATGTCCTAGGATTGTTGCATTAAATGAAATGGTGAGATGGTGGCTGGTACGCAGCAGAAACTTCCTAAGTATAGGAGCTCATTCTTGGTCTTTGTGGAACTTACTGAATGGCACCCAGAGCTAGGCACCATGCTAGCTTCTGGAGATGAGAGTAATTGGAAAGACAGATGAGCAACCAGGCTGCTAGGACACAGTGTGGTAGGTATCCTACCCCTGATATCCTTACTCCTACAACAGGGGCTAGGCTGTGGATATGTTAGATCGACACCTTATAGACAACAGAGATGTGCCTGGTGCTGTTGGGGGTGGGGGGAGATATAAGGCTGTTCCTGCCCCCAGGAGCTCCCAGAGTGTGGGCGGATATCGGCAGGAGAACGGGGGTGTTGTGTGGCTCATGTGAGTCCCATCGCAGACCCCCTCAGAGGCTCAGCTTACCCGTGCGGGTGGGGCCCGGGGCCCTAGGCGGACGCCAGCCTCAGCTCCAGAAGTTATCTGCCTGCTTCCATCTAGTGCTCCCCATTCCTCCTACTTCATGAGGGAAAATCTGAGACCCAGAGAAGTGAAGCCATTTGCCAACTCTGTCCCAAGAGCCCAGCTCAGGCCAGAAAGCGGTTCCACGCTCCCTCCGCCAGGACACGACATTTCCTCAGACAAGGAGCCGATGGCCCAGTTTCAGTCTGACTCTAACCCACACATCATCATTTTCTCATTCAGTATCAAAAACCCTGAAAGAAACCATGGTATACAGGGAAGACTGTCTGGCATCTTTTCAGTTTGGTTTGGGAGTTACTGGATGAGAGAGAATGCCATAAACATCATGGTTTCTGGTGCACCTGCCCTTAAGAATTGTGGGCGGGGGGCGGGTGGAACAAGTGCAAAGGAAATAGCATTTGTGAAATGAATCTTTCAAACTCCTTTTTCTTTTTAAAAATGCTTGACTTAGCACACATGAGCTTTTCTTTCCTGTAAAAACGAGTACTGAATGTGAGAGAGGAGCAGGACTGCAGGGCGGACTCAGCTCTGGTTAATGTCAGTGCAGGGCTATGGGCCCTGGCAGAGAACCGTCTGGCTGGCTTGGAGAGAAAGAAATGCCCTGGAAAGGAAAGCAGGGATGTTCTTTAGGGATAGGAATGTGTTGGGAGAAAGTCCTTTTAAGCCAGGGTATAAAGAAGTTGCTAGACCTCCCCATTGCATCAGCCTCAAAGGCAGCAAGCATTCTGATTTCCTTGGAACCAGTGCTATCATCTGCCAGCAAGAACAGCAGCTGCCTTTCTGTCAAAAAAAAAAAAAAAAAAAAGGAAAAGAAAAAGAAAAAAAAAGAAAGAAAGAAAAAGAAAAACGTCACTGAATTTAAGAAGGCAGTGAATATTTTTACTGTGTGGAAAGGATATTTTCAGCACATCTGGGCAAGATCTTAAACTCACCAACTGCTTCATCTAAGATTCTCAAGCTTCCTAGGGATGTTTTATTGCATTTCTTCCAAGTTTTATCACTTTATTTCCAATTTGTATCCTTAGGGGCAGAAGAAAAATGATTTTCTGAATCATGGGAAATGATTCAAGCTGGGGACAATTTGATATTAACTGAGGACACGCAGGAGCCACAGAGAAACTTAGCACTTTCTTATAGATTCTAAAATGCAATCAAAAGTAGCAAATGGTTATTTTTTTCCCTAATTTAATAAAATGACAGAACAAGTTAAGTTATTGAAGATCTGACACTCCATCAGGATTCTGAAGTATTGGGGAAATTGAATTACTCTTTCTAAATAATACAGAAGGGGAAAATGAAAGTATTAGAGTCACCATGCCTAAGAATAAATGGAGACATGTTTAGTTTTATGAAGAAATTCAGTCCTTGAGATTTCTGGGTATTTTCCCCCCGCTTAACAGTCAATTCAACCAAAGGGAAAGGAACATTTCTTCCTAGATACTACAATGTGCCATTTAAATGACTTTCCTGGTACGTGTGGCCTAGGAAACCCACAATCTGTGTAGGCAGGGTGGTCGTGATAAAGATGACATTTGCCTTTGAAACACGCTGGTATGCCAAAAGAATCGGAGGCATAATTCTGAAAATGTGGAAAGAGAAATGAACATACTTACCTAGTTCAAACTTGTGTTAATGAATACCATGTTTTAATTCGTAATGTGTGCTTTCATAGCATAGAGAACTGGTAAAACCAATCTTCTAATATTTCGTTCCCTGAATTAATTGCTACCTCTCAGGAAAAATACTTCCAAATATATTCAAGAGTGCTTATGGTATTACATCCTTTGCAAGAAAGTGACAGTAAAAATTACTATATATCCCTAAATAAAAAGTAAATTTTTTCTCTCATTATTATTCAAAATAGGGGAAATCAGTGACAAGCAATATCTTATAAATGGATTGGTTATGAATAGGTTACAAATTGGTTAGTTGAGGAAGACACAGTGATTTAAAAAAATATGGTTACCAGTTTTAGCAAATAAAAACACAGGTTGCTTAGTTAAATTTAAATTTCGGATAAACTACCTTTTTTTGTAGTATAGGTATGTTCTGTGCAATATTTGGGACGTAATTATACCAAAACATTTTTGTTGTTTATCTAAAATTCAAATTTAACCAGGCTCCCTGGATATTATCATGCAACCCTAGTCTAAACTAACCTTGAAATGCTAGTTTTGGATGAATATAGTGGTCATCTGATGGAACAGATGGTTTGAAAAAGAGAACAAGACATTGAACAGGTTTAGTATTCAGGAATTATTCTTGGGGGTGGAATACACTCAATTACAATTTGTTGGATGTATTGTATTGGAAACAAGCCTTATTAAAATCACTTACAAGGCCGGGCGCGGTGGTTCATGCCTGTAATCCCAGCACTTTGGGAGGCCAAGGCGGGTGGATCACGAGGTCAGGAGTTCAAGACCAGCCTGGCCAAGATGGTGAAACCCCATCTCTACTAAAAATACAAAAAAAAATTAGCCAGGCATGGTGGCGGGCACCTGTAATCCCAGCTACTCAGGAGGCTGAGGCAGAGAATTGCTTGAACCTGGAAGGCAGAGGTGGCCGTGAGCCAAGATCGCGCCACTGCACTCCAGCCTGGGTGACAGAGCAAGACTCCGTCTCAAAAAAAAAAAAAAAAAAAAAAAATTACTTACCAAGCCACACAGTAAATGTCTTGCATATGGTGACTGCCAAATGGAAAAAAAAAAAAAAAAAAACGACACAACTAGCTGTTTCCTGAAACGTGAATGCACACTTGCCGCCTGGGTAAAATGTCCAGCAACATACATAGAAAGTCAGATAGTGCTGAAGCTCAAGCAACTTCGATGGCACAAAGATGATGTTTTAGATAACTCAGATGATAGCAATGAAAAATAAATTATTAAAGTCAAAAATGCATATGAGAATTTAAATAGAATCATTTCAGTGATTCAGCAAGAGTGGGAAAAGGCAATCCTTTAAAATAATGTATTAGTTGATCTAGTGTGTAATTTTATATATTTGTAACTTACTTGAACACTGCAATGTAGATATTTAAGCATTCTGTCTCCAGCCCTTAAAGGAGATGTATTTTTTTCTTCTTTCTTTTATCAATCTCCTCATTGGGAAAGCAAAGGCTCACATTATATACCAGACTGCTTAGTGGTTTGAGCATGGTCCAAAAATATTCGGACAAAATATTGGGCAATTATGGATATCATGTTCATAAATTTCAGGACAATGCATTGATTGTCTTATCAGGATCAAACTCAGGTGTACCTCAATGCTAAGAAATTTGTGAGCCAGCTTCAAGTTTGCACCCATTTAACAAATGGTCACCAGCTGTAACTCCTACTGCCAGCCAAGAGGGAGTAATGGGACCTGATTTACCCTACCCCCTTAAACAATTAGAAAATTGGACAAAATGTATTTAAAAACGTTTTTCAGACACCAAACAAAAGGCAGCACAGTATTGTGATTCCTGAGAAGCAATGTGTGTTTTATTATTGCCTGAGCTTACCACTTAAAAGCAGCTGGCAGGCTGCAGTGCAGAGAGGAAAATCCAAATAAAACCCAGTGGTCTTTGTGTGTTGAACAGATCAAAGCTAAGGTGGCTGGAATTTAAGAAAAGGTGTGTTGGGAAAGAGGGAGCTACGGCAGGGAAGTGGACATGGCTCTGGAAACACACAGCGGGTTCTGTCCAGCCTTTGAGTACTGATCTGTGTATGCGTGACAAGAAACTATCTGAGGTCAGACAAAGAATCCTGAAAAAGAGTAGGCAGAACAATTCCTAGAGTTCAAACAAGGCTGAGAATAGTCCGTGTTTCTACCAGTGAAGAGTTGTAGCTGGGGCATCTGCCAGAATTCTCAGAAGAATGTTTCTGTAGCAGTGGGGCTTCATTAGCCCTGGACTAAAAGTTATTCTGGACCTGACACATTAGGCTTAAGAGCAAGCATCAAAAGGATACAGCTGACTCCAAGTGATTTAACAGTGTGCCATAACAAAATCCAGCACTAAACAAACATAACAAGATACAGCAACCAACACAGCAAATTAATGATGCTCAGCATCCAATAAAAAATTACCAGGCATACAAAGAAGAAGAAAAATATGACTCCTAAATGGAAGAAAAATCAATCAATAAACCTGGATCCAAAAATAACAGAGATACTAGAAGTTGGAGATAAGGATGTTTGAAAAGCCACTGCTCCATATTCAGATACACCTTGGAGATATTGTGGGTTTGGTTCCAGACAACTGCAATAAAGCAAATAACACAATAAAGTCAGTCACATGAATTGCTTGGTTTCCCAATGCATATACAAGTTAGGCTTACAGGCCGAGGCAGGAGGATTGTTGGAGGCCGGGAGTTCTAGACCAGCCCAGGCAACATAGTGAGACCCCATCTCTAAGAAAAAAAGAATAGCTGGGCATGGTGGCACACACCTGTAGTCCTAGCTACTTATGAGGCTGAGGTGAGAGGACTGCTTGAGCCCAGGAGTTCCAGGTTGCAGTGGGCTATGATCGCACCACTGCACTCCAGCCTAGGCAACACAGTGAGACCCCATCTCTAAAAAAAAGAAATTATGCTTACACTATACTGTAGTCTATTAAGTGTTTAATAGCATTATGCCTAAAAAAGCAATGTATCTACCTTAATTTAAAAAGACTTTATTGTTTAAAAAATGCTAACATTCATCTGAGTCTTCAGCAAGTCAGAATCTTTTTGCTGATGGAGAATCTTGCCTTGATATTAATGGCTGCTGACTGATTGGGATGGTGGTTGCTGAAGACTGGGGTAGTTGAGGAAATTTCTTAAAATAAGACAAAAATGAAGTTCAACTCTTCCTTGTCATGAAATATTTCTCTGTAGCATTCAATACTGTTTGATAATATTTTAACAAGATATCTGGGCATGGTGGCTCACACCTGTAATTCCAGCACTTTGGGAGGCCAAGGCAGGTGGATCACCTGAGGTCAGGAGTTCGAGACCAGCCTGGCCAACATGGTGAAACCCCATCTCTACTAAAAATACAAAAATTAGCTGGGCATGGTGGTGGGTGCCTGTAATCCCAGCTACTTGGGAAGCTGAAGCAGAAGAATCGCTTGAACCCGGGAGGCGGAGGTTGCAGTGAGCCGAGATCACGCCACTGCACTCCGCTTGGGTGACAGGGCGAGACTCCATCTCAAAAAAAAAAAAATTAAAAATATTTTACCCATAGTAGAACTTCTTTCAAAATTAGACACAATCCTCTCAAACCCTGCTGCTGCTTTATCAACTAAGTTTATATAATATTCTAAATACTTTGTCGTTATTTCAACAATGTTCACAGCATCTTTTTCAGGAGTAGATTCCATGTCAAGAAACCACTTCCTTTGCTCATTTATAAGAAGCAACTCCTCATCCATTAAAGTTTTATCATGAGATTGAAGCAATTCAGTCGCATCTTCAGGCTCTACTTCTAATTCTAGTTCTCCTGCTGTTTCCACCACATCCACAGTGATCTCCTCCACTGAAGTCTTGAACCCCTCAAACTCCTTCATGAGTGTTGGAATCAACTTCTTCCAAACTCCTGTTAATATTGATATTTTGACCTTCTCCTATGAATGACTAATGCTAATGACATCTTGAATGGTAAATCCTTGCCAGAAGGCTTTCAATTTATCTTTTCCAGATCCATCAAAGTAATCACTACCTATGGCACCTGCGGCCTTATGAAGTATGTTTCTTAAATAATAAGACTTGAAAGTCAAAGTTACCCCTTGATCTATGGGCTGCAGAATAAATGTTAAGTTAGCAGGCAGGGAAACAATATTCGTCTCCTGTATACCCCTATCAGGGTTCCTAGGTGACCAGGGGCATTGTCAATGAGCAGTAATATTTTGAAAGAAATCTTTTTTTTTCTGAGCAATAGGTCTCAATGGTAGGCTTAAAATACTCAGTGAACCATGCTGAAAACACATGTGCTGTCATTGAGGCTTTGTTTTTCTATTTCTAGAGCACAGGCAGAGGAGATTCAGTACAATTCTTAAGGACTATAGGATCTTAGGAATGGTCAACGAGCATTGGAGTCAACTTAAAGTCACCAGTGCATTATCTCCCAGTGATAGTCAGCCTGTCCTTTGAAGCTTTCAGAGCTTCCATCCTTTGAAGCTTTCAGAGCTTCCGTCCTTTGAAGCATTCCATCAATGATGTTATCTAGACCTTCTGGATAACTTGCTGCAGCTTCTTAATCAGAACTTGCTGCTTGCACTGTTATGTTCTGAGGATGGCTTCTTTCCTTAAATTTCATAAACCCACCTCTGCTAGCTTCAAACTTTTCTTCTGTAGCTTCCTCACCTCTCTCAGCCTTCACAGAATTGAAGAGAGTTAGGGTCTTGCTCTGGATTAGACTTTGGCTTAGGGAATGCTGTGGCTGGTTTGATCTTCTATCCAGACCGCTCAAACTTTCCCCGTATCAGCAATAAGTCTGCTGTTTTACTTTCTTATCATTTGTGTGTTCACTGGAGTGACAATTTTAATTTCCTTTAAGAGCTCTCCTTTGCATTCACAACTTGGCTAACTGTTTGGTGCAAGAGACCAAGCTGTCAGCCTATCATGCCTTTTGACATGCCTTCCTCAGTAAGCTTAATTGTTTCTAGCTGTTGATTTAAAGTAAGAGACATGCAACTCTTCCTTTCACTCAGACACTTAGAGGCCATTATAAAGTTATTAATTGGCCCAATTTCAAAATTGTCATATCAGGGAACAGGGAGAATAGAGAGGATAGGGAGAGAGACAAGGAAATGGCCAGTTGATGAAGCAGTCAGAACACACACAACATTTATAGATTAAATTCGTTTTTTGTTTGTTTGTTTTGAGACAGAGTCTCGCTCTGTCGCCCAGGCTGGGCCCCAGAACAATTACAATAGTAGCATCAAAGATCACTGATCACAAAGAACCATAACAGATATAATAATAATGAAGAGTGTGACGTATTATGAGAATTATCAATATGTGACACAAACTGAGAACATGCTGTTGGGAAAATGGCACTGATAGACTTGCTCCACACATGGTTGCCACAAACCTTCAATGTGTGAAAAACGTAACACTGGCAAGGTGCAATAAAGCAAAGGGCAATAAAGCAAAGTGTGCCTGTATTCAAGAAGGTGGAGGTAAGCACGGGCATGGGGAGCAGAGACAAGAGAGATAGAAAGAGGGAGAGGGAGACCCACAGGGAATTTGATGGCATACAGTAGAAACTATCCGAAGTAAAACACACTAAAAAGAAATATTAAATAGAACAACAGTGAGTTGTGGGATAATATCAAGGGGCCTAAGGTACATGCAAGTGGAGTTCCACAAGAAGCAGGGGACAGAAGAACATTAGAAAAAATAATGGCCAGGTGCAGTGGCTCACGCCTGTAATCCCAGCACTTTGGGAGGCTGAGGCGGGTGGATCACCTGAGGTCGGGAATTCAAGACCAGCCTGGCCAACATGGCGAAACCCTGTCTCTGCTAAAAATACAAAAATTAGCCAGACGTGGTGGTGCACACCTGTAATCCCAGCTACTCAGGAGGCTGAGGCACAAGAATTGCTTGAACTCAGGAGGCGAATGTTGCAATGAGTAGAAATTGTGGCCAGGAGCAGTGGCTCATACCTGTAATCCCAGCACTTTGGGAGGCCGAGGCGGGCGGATCACGAGTTCAGGAGATGGAGACCATCCTGGCTAACACGGTGAAACACCATCTCTACTAAAAATACAAAAAAATTAGCTGGGCGTGGTGGCAGGCACCTGTAGTCCCAGCTACTTGGGAGGCTGAGGCAGGAGAATGGCGTGAACCTGGCCTGGGAAACAGAGCGAGACTCTGTCTCAAAAAAAAAAAAAAAAAGAAAAACAGAAATCGTGCCACTGCACTCCAGCATGGGTGATAAGAGTGAAACTCCATCTCCAAAACAACAACAACAACAATAATAATAATAATAATAATAATAATAATAAAGATAATGGTCAAGGAGGAAGGATTGCTTGAGGCCAGGAGTTCAAGACCAGCCTGAGCATGTCTCTATAAAATTAAAAAAGTTAGCCACGTGTGGTAGCATGCACCTGTAGTCCCAGCTGTTGGGGAGAGTGAGGAGGGAGAATTGCTTGAGCCCAGGAGACTGAGGATGCAGTGAGCCATGATCCTGCCACTGTGCTCCAGCCTGGGTGATGGAGTCAGACCCTATTTTGAAAAAGACTTAAAAAAGAGAAATGTTAAAGGAAGTTCTTTGGACAAAAGAAAAATGAATATTAATCCTTTAGACCCCTTCATATTATCCCACAACTCACTGGTGTTCTATTTATTTATTTTTAATATTTATTTTCAGTATGTTTTATAATTTCTTTCGACAATGTTTTGTAGTTTTCTGTGTATAAGCCTTTCAATTCCTTGGTTAGATTTATTCCTAAGTATTTAATTCTTTTTTTTTTTTTTTTGAGACAAAGTCTCACTGTGTCACCCAGGCTAGAGTGCAGTGGCACGATCTCTACGCTTTGTAACCCCCACCTCCTGAGTTCAAGCAATTCTTATGCCTCAGCCACCCAAGTAGCTGGGACTACAGGTGCGCACCACCATACCCAGCTAACTTTTGTATTTTTAGTAGAGATGGGGTTTCACCATGTTGGCCAGGCTAGTCTCAAACTCCTGGCCTCAGGTGATCCGCCTGCCTCAGCCTCCCAAAGTGTTGGGATTATAGGCATGAGCCACCGCACCTTGCCCCATTTAATTCTTTTAGATGCTGATGAGATTCAACTTGCTTTCCTAACTTTTTTTTGGATTTTTCACTGCTGGTGTACAGAAATACAACTGATTTTTGTGTGTTGACTTTGTGAGGCCACAAGACCTTGCTGCATTTGTTTATTCACCCTAATAGATTTCTTGCGGATTTTTTAGAATTTTCTATATACAATATCATGTCATTTGTGATTAGAGGTAGTTTCCTCTCATCCTTTTCAATTTTTAAAATTTCTTTTTCTTATCTATTAACTCTGACTAGAACTTCTAGCACAATGTTGAGTAGAAGTGGTGAAAGCAGGCACCCTTGTCTTGTTCTGATTTTAAGGGAAAGCTTTCAGTCTTTCACCCTTGAGTACAATATTGGATGTGTTTTTATCATGTTTAGGTATTTTATCATGTTGAGGAATTTTCCCTATAATACTAGTTTTCTGAGAGTTGTTTTTTTTTTTTAATTATGGAAGGGTATAGGATTTTGTCAAATGCCTTTTCTGCATCAATTGACTTGATCATGTGGTTTTTCCCTTTTGTTATATTAATCTGATGTATTACATTTATAGTTTTATTTTGAGCCACCCTTAGGGTAAGGAGGCATGAATCAATGGAGCACAGAGGATGTTTTGAAGGTCTGTTATTAGATGTGTAAATGTTTATAACTGCTATGTATCTTGCAGTATCAATGTTTATTAATATGTAATGTATATATTTTTCTCTTATAATTTTTTAAAATGTAAAGTCTATTTTATCAGATATTAGTATAGCTACTCCAGCTCTCTTTTGATGGCTATTTGCATTACTGTCCTTTTCCATCGTTTTACTTTTAACCTATTTGTGTCACTGAGTCTAAAGTTAGTGTCATAGACAACATATAGTTGGATTATATTTTAAAAATCCAGTCTGCCAATCCTTGTTTTTTGATTGGAGAATTGAATCCATTTGTGTTTAAAGTAATATAAGGAGGACTTCCTTCTGATATTTTGCTATTTGTTTTCTACATACCTTATGACTTTTAGCTACCTCATTTCCTGTAATATTGCCTTCTTAGGTGTTTAGTAAAAAAATGATTTCTTGGAGTGAAACTTTTATTCCCCTCTAATTTCCTTTTGTGTATACTCTATAGCTATTTTCTTTGTGGTCATCATGGGAATTACATTTAACATCTTAGAGTTGTAACAATCTAATTAAGTTTATAAAAATTTAACTTTTAAGTTCACTGATTCTTCTGCTTGCTCAAATCCGTTTTTGAAACTTTCTAGTACATATTTTCTTTCAATTATCATACTTTTCAGCTTCAAGATTTCTTTTTGCTTCTCTTTTAAAATTTCTATTGATACTCTTATTTTGTTCATATATCATTTCTGCATATCTTTGTCTATGTCTTCCTTGAGTTCTTTGAATCCTTAAGACATTTTTTTTCGTTTTGTTTTTGTTTTTGTTTTTGTTTTTGTTTGAGACGGAATCTCTCTCTGTGCCAGGCTGAAGTGCAGTGTCGTGATCTCAGCTCACTGCAACCTCCGTCTCCTGGGTTCAAGTGATTCTCCTACCTCAGCCTCCCAAGTAGCTGGGACTACAGGTGTGCACCACCATGCCCAGCTAAAAGACAGTTGTTTTAAAGTCTTTGTCTAGTAAGTCTAATGTCTGAGCTTCATGTACATTTTGTGTCAACTTATTTTGTTCCCTTGAATGGGCCATAGTTTTCTATTTCTTTGTATGCCTTTTTGTTTGTTCATTCTGAAAACTGGATGTTCGAATCTTATGACGTGGAAACTCTGGAAAACAGATTCTCCCTCTTACCCAGTGTTTGCTGTCTTTTGATTGTTGTATGGTGTATTTGTGCCAGGGATCAGCTTGAGGTGAAAGCTTAATGTCTTCTCATGTCTTTTCTGAGCCTGTGTCTTTCCCTAGGCATGCAAAGTGGCATTCTAAATTTCCCCATATACATGCTTGTTTTTGAATGTCCAAAGACAGACAGACAAACAAACAAACAGGTATAGTTCCTTTAAATCTCCTGGAAGCTGCTTCAGCTGGGAGGAATTCATACAATGACATCCAAACTCTTTACTCACTAATCAGTGATCAAACAGCAATCCCGTGAGAACACGGAACCCCACTATTTGAAGGACAAGGTCATTATTGCCTGTCATGGCTCCAGCAAGATGTGCCAGAGATATGGGCTGCCATTCCCCAGCTGCCTGCCACCACACTGATAGCTGATATCAACTGAAATTTACCAGCTAAGCTGGTCCCTGGAAGTTTCAAGTATTCAAATAAACTGAGTTCCAAAATGGTTACTTGAGACTGTTTCTGCCAGTACAATTGTTGTCCAGGTGGACAGATAGATTCCTGATAGCTTCCAATTCTGCCATCTTTCCAGCAGCACTACCCTGCAGACTATATTATAACAAAGAGCAGGAGAGTTAATATAGCCTTGGGGTAAAAGAGAGGCTGTACTATTGTCCTTCCTATGTAAACATGTTTTTGATTTTCCTTATAGAAGGGAATAATGCGTTTGCCACATCAAAAGCCACATACAAAGTGCTAGGGGCTGTGTTGATCTGTTTTAGTAAAGATAACACATCTGGCACAGCAGCTGTAATTGGAGCTATTACTTGGTTCGGTTTACACTGTTTGCATTGGTCTACCATCCATTCTGGCCCTCTGACTTTCAAGCATGCCTCAGGTTGATAATTGGCTTACCTAGGCTTGTCATATTTTTTTTCAAGTCGTTTGAAGAAGTTAACAAAAGCCAGCCAACTCCATAGTCTTTTAAATATCATTGTTTTCATACTGCTCAAGCTTCCAGCATCTGTATCATGTTTCCCCTTCCACCTGTACCTCATCCCAAACGAACACAGGGAAAACTCTGGTAATTGTGATCTCACTTCCCACCAGCAACAAGTTCTTTATTGCTATTTTTGAGGACTCACTTCAATACAAATTTTCTTAGCCTGGATTCCACCCTCTAAGCAGAACATGAAATAAAGGATTGTATGCAGGTGGTTTACTTGCAAATGTGATCTTAGCGAGCGGTAGTATGAGATAAGGAAGAGAACAAGGAAGAAAGGAAACCAGTACAAGGATGCTTTATTCAGTTGGCCAGCCCAATGAACAGTGGGTGCTCCATTCTGCCGGGACCTTCTGAAAAGCCTTATGAAATGCATCTCTAAACAGTTCTGCTCTGGGAATCAAAGGAGGAAGCATCTGCCCACTGACTCCTTTAATCCATTGGTCAAGGGTAACCATATGGCCTTTATAGCTCCCTGTCATATCCTGATTGTGCATTCCTGGGTTCAAAGTTGATTCCTATGGACATTCCACACTGAATCATCAGAGAAGCTCTATGGCAGGAAGGGACACATACTTGATGTGGGCCCAAAGCAAAGCACCTGCACAAACCTGGTGGAAGCCTGTGTAGGACTAGTCACTGTAGCAGTAGCTGAAGGAAAAGGGGCACTTGGAGGGGTGCATGAGAGGAATCCAGTAGAACTTGGCACAGTGAAAACCTTTGATTAATACTAAATCAGAGAAAATTGCTAGTTGTCTATTTTAGCATATTTTCTGCCAATGAAGAAACTCAACTGGCAAAATAATTACTGCGTATTCGTCAAGCTGATTTTGGGGCCTACTGAATTAGCATCCATTTTAAAATCCATTAGAACTGTTGAAGTGTGCTTTAACAGCTATAGTCAGTAACAAGCAAAACACAAATTTATAAACTTTGTAGTATAAATGGAAAAACACATTTAAGAATTCACCTTACTTGTCATATGTAGGACAGCTCTTGTCATAAATGTCATAAATAAGACAGCTCTCTCTGGCAGCCTCCAAGCTTACTAATTTCATCCTTGACTGTTGCTGTCTAGGATACATTTTGCAATCTGGAAACTGTGGCCACTTTACCCAGTATGACCATCACAGCTTATTACTTTCTCTGGGGCCTGGAAGCTGAGGACCTGGGTTCAAATCTGGATTTACCAGTAGCTGAATTTGAGCAGGGAAAAGCCTCTCTGAACTTTATTTTCCTCATCTGAAAAATGGGGAAGATAATAACTGACTCAAAAAGTTTTTGTGAATAATATATGTAAAATGCTTGGCACAGTTACTTTGGGTTTATCTGAGATAAAAAAGTTAATTATGAAACTTTGAATACTGATTTATAGTTTATTTTACAAAGTACCTTTCAGCATTTCTGTAACTCAGTGTGAAAGTCAGTTATGATCCTTATCATTGACAGATACTTGGAAAAGTTGAATGACTTGACTAAGGTCTTACAGTAACAGATAGGGCCACGCCCTAGGATTCTGATTCCAAACCCCACCTCCCCCAAGAAAACTTTCCCATCATGCTGTTCTCTTCCCAGAGACAGATAGTAAACAAATACCCAAACAAAAAAATACACAAGCATAAAAACGCTAGGTCGTGCATTGCTCTGAGGAAAAGTGAAGTAGGAAAAGCAGACACACTGTGGCTAAGGGAAGGGTGGGGAGGGAGGGCTCTCTGAGGAGGTGCCATTTGAGCAGAGCTAAATGAACTGAGCAAGCCAGACAGAATCCAGGGTGAGGGAATTCCAGGCAGAAGGCACAGCAAGCAAAAGCCTGGAGACAGGCATGCGCCTGACGTTTTGGAGGAAGAGCCAGGATGCGGTGGTAACAAGTGCAGTCATCGGGCAGGGGAGTGGTGGGAAACGCGAATGGGGAGAGCTGCCAAACTGGAATGTTTTAGGCAGTGCTGAGAAATTCCGACTTTATTCTAAGTGTGATGGAGGTCTCTTAAGACATTTTTATTTTTTAAAAAAATTTTATCTCCTGAAATTTCTTTTTACTAGCTTTTTTTTTTTTTTTTTTATGAAGACATTCTTATAAAGGTTCATTAGTGTGTGTGGAAGAGAGACTACAGAATGGCATGTGTAGGGAGGCAGGGAGGCCAGGTAGGAAGCTAGATCATACTGAGGAAGGGTGGAGGCCAGGGAGCAGAGATTAGAAAATCTCTCCCGCTTGGAAGTGGCTGGGCCAGCTGGTGAATTTGGTTCCACGGCTGATGAAGGTGTGCAGGCTGTGGCTTCAAGCATCGTGCCATATTCAACAGCAGGAGTCAAGCACCTGGAGCGTCCACAGGTCCTGGTGCTGCTGGTGAGTGGCCACCTCCCCCACATGCCGATGGACCCACAACGCAGGATACTCTCCTGCCTATTTATCTAACTCCTCCCTCACCCACACCTTTGGAGCCACTCTCTTCTGGCACAGAGCTCCCGTTTCCACCAATACCCCACACCCGTCACTGCCGCAGGTCTTTACATTGGTTGCTCTTGCGTGCAAAGCTCCTATGTGCAAATTTCATGTATTTCAAATATTTCCTATTCCTGTTCATATTTCTCATCGCAAATATGAGGTTGGTGCCAAAGTAATTGCGGTTTTGCCATTACTTTCAATGACAAAAACTGCAATTACTTTTGCACCAACTTAATATCACTTCTTTGGAAACTTCTGATTATGCTACTTAAAACGGGCCCTCAAAGACATTGTCATTCACCTCACCTCCTTTTTTACAAAGATTTTAATCAAAATGTGACATTATTGTTATTCTTATCTACTGCTTAACTGTTTATCTTCTATCACTAAAATACACTCTGCATGCGTACAGGAAACGAGCCCTCGCTGTCCTCTGTTGCAGCCACAGCGTCCAGGGCAGTGTTTAGCATATTGTAGGTATGCAATAAATGGAATGAAAGAATGAATAACTTCAGTCCTTTCTAAGGCTAGAGAGTGTCCTGAAAACCTCCTATATCAATCATGGATAGTGTTTGATCTCTGAAACGTCAACCTCTGGTGAATATAATGACCCAAATAATATACACAGAGCTCTCTCACCCCCACTTGATTTCCAGGTACCATTTGGATTCTCATGGCACGTCTACCCATTAGACAGGCCCTCTCTGTACCGATGATGACATACATTAATTCACATATGGAATTCAATAAGTGACCAAGCCAGAGCATGACGCATCTTTTGGAAATTATGCCTCGATGCATGACGTGGCCATCACTTTGTTCAGCCTCAGTAGGTATTTGTTACACAAATCTCTTGTCAATTAGAGGTTATAAGCTTGACCATAGCGTTTTTCACTCATCATTTCACGTTGCCAAGGTATTACTAGCACGTCTTGCTGGGTGGGGTGGCTCATGCTTGTAATCCCAGCCCTTTGGAAGGCTGTGGCAGGTGTACTGCTTGAGGCCAGGAGTTTGAGACCAGCCTGGGCAACACAGTGAGACCCCCATCTCTACAAAAAATAATTAAAAAAAAATCAGCTAGGCGTGGTGGTGTGCACCTGTAGTCCTAGCTACTCAGGAACCTGAGGCAAGAGGATCACTTGAACCCACAAGTTCGAGGTTAAAGTAAACTACGATTGCACCATTGCACTCCAGCCTGGGTGACAGAGTGAGACCCTGTCTCTAAATACTACTACTACTACTAACAATAATAAGCATGTCTTGTATTTTGATTGCCCTAAATTTTTATCAATGAGTCCTATTTTTGTACAATGTTAACTGTAATTATTTTATTCATAGTCTTTCAAAAAAAAGTATATATTCTAACCCATTGCATGCATTTAGTTCTTTACAGCAAGTTAAAAAAGAGGGAGGCCTATGTGTTGTCATTTTAAAAGGGGGATGTATCTGGGTTTGAGAAACAAAGTAGACCTCAAATATCTCTTTTTCTGCTGCAAAGACCAACTAATATTGAAATGCTCATTATTTAAGTCAGAGTAATTTTTGTGTTTCCCAAGGCCAATGAGAATCAGGAATTTGTTAAGCAATAAATCTGGATTATGGTTGGCATCATGATTTTCAAGATTTTTTGCTTTTTAGGGAAGGACACTGAAAATGGCCTCTGTGCTTGGAGGGGTGTGTGTGTGTGTGTGTGTGTGTGTGTGTGTGTTTGAGACAGGGTCTCACTCTGTTGCCCAGGCTGGTCTTGAACTCCTGGGCTCAAGTGATCCTCCCACCTCAGCTTCCCAAGGTGCTGGGATTACAGGCATGAGCCGTGGTGCCTGGCCATTGGGAATTTTTTTGAAAGCTGAAAGACAAAAAAAGGTAGAAGAACATATATGTAGGCAGAAATACAAACAGTAGCACTGATAAATGTGGAGGAGGTCAGTATAAAGTAGGGGCTATTACCAGATTGCAAGTATTTTGGAAAATGTCAACATAACTAATTTCCATATTTAAAAAGTATTCTACCATCGATTGCTCCTGTTCTTGAACTTAGATGTGGAGAAAAAACACTTTCTAGGCCAGGCTTGGTGGCTTACACCTGTAATCCCAGCACTTTGGGAGGCAGAGGCAGGTGGATCATTTGAAGTCAGGAGTTTGATACCAGCCTGGCCAAAATGGTGAAACCCAGTCTCTACTAAAAATACAAAAATTAGCAGGGCATATTGGTGCGCACCTGTAATACCAGCTACTCAGGAGGCTGAGGCAGGAGAACCGCTTGAGCCTGGGAGGTGGAGGTTGCAGTGAGCCGAGATCGTGCCCCTGCACTCCAGTCTGGGAAACAGAGTGAGACCCTGTCTCAACAAAAAACAAAAAACAACAACAACAAAAAACCCAACATTAAAAAGAAAAAAATAAAGAGTTCTCTTTTGGATGTGTTCAGTTCGAGATACTATTTGACATCCAATAGAAAGTCATCCATTCATTCAGCACATACTGATGAGCGCTGCTGTAAGGCACTCTTCTTCTAGTTGCTGGGACTATTGCAAATAAATAATTCCATCCTGCAGTTTCTTTTCTAGCGGGAGAGAAAAAGCAGTAAACAAGTAGACATCTCATCGATGCTCAGTGCTGTGCTGGAAAACCAAGCAGGTACAAGAGAGGGAGAACGCTGGGGTGGGGAGGCAGGCGGGCTGTGATTTTTTTATTTTTTTAGGTGGAGTCTCCCTCTGTCGCCCAGGCTGGAGTACAGTGGCACAATCTTGGCTCACTGCAACCTCCACCTCCCGGGTTCAGGCAATTCTCCTGCCTCAGCCTCCTGAGTAGCTGGGATTACAGGCATGTGCCACCATGCCTGGCTAATTTTTATATTTTTAGTAGAGACGGGGTTTCACCATGTCAGCCAGGCTGGTCTTGAACTCCTGACCTCAAGTGATCCACCCGCCTCAGCCTCCCAAATTGCTGGGATTACAGGCATGAACCACCATGCCCGGCCTCAGGCTGTGATTTTTAAAGCAGAGAGGGAGAGCCTCTCTGAAGATAAGACTTGAGCAGACCCCAAAATGTCACCAAGAAGCTTGCTGGGGAGAGCACTGGAGACAGATGCAGACAGCAGCAAGCATGAAGGCCTTAAGACCAAACGTGCTTGGCATGCTTGAGGGTCAGCAAGGAGAGTGGTGGAGTGGGAGTGCAGCCACCGGGAGGAGAGGGACAGAGGCTGGGACCAACCAGGGAAGGGAAGCCAGGACACTAGGGGCTTCTGGGTACAGCAAGGGAGTGACGTGACCTCCATGCCCAAGGCTTACTCAGGATGCTGTGTGAAGACTAGGAGAAGGGCGGAGGTTACTGGAACAGTCTTGGAAAGAAGGCTGTGCCTTGGTAGAGGGTGGTACAGTGCGGGTGGTAAGGACAGAGCGACTCAGGATATGTTTTCAAGGGACAGTTGGCAGGATTTGCATATGGAACAGATGTCCTGTGTGAGAGATGGTGCCAGGGCTGCTGCCTGGCCTGGACAGCCAGAAGGGGGGAGGGTGCCAACCCCCTAGGCTCAAGCGCTCCTTCCGCCTCCTCTAGCTGGTTGAGTCTGTAGGAGGCGGTGGCTGGAGGCTGGAGTCACCTTTCTGGACATGGACAGATTCAGTCTAGATAATATGTAGGAATGAGTCAGACAGGACAGGGAGGTCTGGACTAGAAGTCTGAGAATTATCAGCCTATTAAAGTCACGAGCCTGGATGGCAGCACCCAGGGCATAAGTGTAGATCAAGAAGCCAGGTCTGAGATGGAACAGGACCCATGCTCTCAGGGAGCTTCCATTCTACTGGGAAGAAACAGAAAATTGGCAAACAGATGTCATCAGTCAGGTCTAAGTGTTATGTAGAAAAATAAAGCCGGGGGAGGGAATAGAAAATGCTGGCAGGCATGTGGATGTGGATGGTACTTATCACAGATGCAAGTAAACGCAGGAACCTGGCGCTCAGGGAGAAAGCTAGCTGGATGTACACTCAATGGTCACCTCCATGTTTAATGACAGGAGAGGAGATGGCGCAGGATCACTCAGGGAATGAGGACAGACAGAGAAACAAAAACCTGAGAATTGAGCCTTCAGGCTCTTGTACCGTTAGAGTGGAACGGTCCACTCTAGAATGGGTTTCGCTTTTGGAAATTCACATAGGAAACTCATGTCAGTAGAGTAGCCCTCCCTGAAGGGCAGAAAAATACTCCAGAGGATTCTCATATCCACTAAGCTTGAAAAACCTCAGCTTTAACGGTAGGGAGCAATATTAGAAAACAATGAGAATGGACAGGAAATAAGAAGGCACAGTAAGAGGTAAAATTGACAGAAATCAGCTCGGTGCAGTGGCTCATGCCTGTAATCCTAGCACTTTGGGAGGCCAAGGCGGGCAGATCACTTGAGGTCAGGCGTTCGAGACCAGTCTGGCCAACATGGTGAAACCCTGTCTCTACTAAAAATACAAAAATTAGCCGGGTGTGCTGGCGGGCACCTGTAATCCCAGTTACTTGGGAGGCTGAAGCAGGAGAATCTCTCGAACCTGGGAGGCCGAGAATGCAGTGAGTGGATATCGCGCCACTGCACTCCAGCCTGGTGACAGAGTGAGACTGTCTCAAAAAAGAAAGAAAGAAAGAAAGAAAGAAAAAAAACCCAGACCAAACTATGGAAGGCAGGGAGCTCCTGAGGGCTCAGGAGGGGAACTCATAACCAGGTCCACACATCCTGAGAATGCGTTGGGGCAGGAGGACTTAAAATGGAAACATGAATTCAGCTCCTAGAAATTACCATTACTGTACTGTCGGGCCTATAAGGACAGAGATTCCTCAGTGATTTTGTTTTAGAATGTTTTTATATCATTGAGTTGGGTTTTTAAGAAAAAAGTTAGTTTTTTTTCCTAATCTTCTGTATTTTCTGGAGGAGGAAAATTAATTATTAGGGATACAACAGTCAAATCCTTCTCAGTACAACACAGAATAAATTAGGAATGATTCCAGCGATTGAAGGCTCACCAATATCTTCCAATTAGATAGGTGTCTGTGTTTCATATCTTACATTATGGTACCGAGTATAGCAGGAAAAAAGGATCCATATCTAAGACTCAAGTCAGTACTCTATTATGGAGACAGACACATAGATATTCTTCATGAAAAGTGAAGAGATTTCTTCAGAGGCTACTTATTAAGGCATATTTTAAAATTAAAACAAAAACCCTTTGTACATATAAAAAAGACAGCTGACTCCATGTTT
Organism: Homo sapiens; assembly: GCF_000001405.40. Taxonomy (NCBI): domain Eukaryota; kingdom Metazoa; phylum Chordata; class Mammalia; order Primates; family Hominidae; genus Homo; species Homo sapiens. Next base: position 26,405,235 of record NC_000013.11, on the reverse strand, counting down.
TGATTTATGAAAAATAAATTTATTACATAACACCTTGTTTTTAACAATGTTCAATTATTTTTTATTCAGAATACTTGTGTCATTCATGTAAAATAGTTTGATACAGTACATTGTATGTTATAGGTTTTTTTTTCCTCAAAAATTCTAAGGCTCTCCTACTCCTTCTCCTTTGCTGAAGTAAGGGCACCCTAAACAACGTGCGAACAAGTTTTCAAAAGGAAAATTAACTGAACGAAATTTTAATAGCACTACACCAACCAGCTTTAAAATCAGGACGAAAATATTTGAATTGGATGCCGCACCTTTTTAAGGAAGTTATCATTCATGCTTTTTTCATCTTAAAGCATGCTCACAAATCAGCAACACCAACAGGAAAAATAAAACACTGTCTATGACAATCATTTTAGTTTGTTTGCTGAACCAAACAGGTTTATATCAATGACAACATATTTAATTACTATCAAATAGCAGCTTTAATACCAGTCAAGTCATAGATTGAAAATAAAAACAAACTTATAAGTTGGAAGTTAATCTTTGGGAGTTTTGAAACCTTTCTGGAAAAACTATGTGGCTTTTTGTACTTTCAAAAAAATCCAAGCAATATTCTTGGTCAGAAAACACTGATTAATGTAGAAAATGAATCAGCCCACTGATAAGACACTAAAAAGAAAGGTGTACCAAAATAATCTCATTTCGAGTCTTGGTTATTTCGTTAACATATACTGTATGTTTCAAGTACCAGTTAAACTTTGTGTCTGTGTGTGTACTATTGGTCAGATAATGTTGTTACACTGAAAAAATTCACCACATACAAAGACAAATGCTTGCCCCTAGCACATTCACAGCTTCAACTGCTACAGACTGTCACTGAAAAAAATGCATTGGTCAGTCTGAACCATGTCAAGTAAACTATGGAAGTAGCAAATCCACAACACAAACTGTGCTAGCACTTTCTTTTCAAGTCTAACTCCAAAATAGGTACAACTTGGAAGCCACTACCCCAATCTGTGAAAAGTGGTGGAACTTGGCTACTGGACATTTTGAAGATGTGGTTGTACAGTACATTCTCATGGCCCATACCAGGTTCCCGCAGAGAGCTGCACAGTCAGCCCTGCAGCATTCGCAACAGTGCATGGACAAGATTCCGATGCAGCTCAGTACCGATGTGTCTGATGTGAGTACTGTGGAGGCTGCTGGGAGGTAGCTGAGTATCCCATGCTGCTCTGCGGCTGTGATGTGCTTGGTCCAGGGTTGGGATAGGCAGCATGTGGATTGGAACGCTGGAAAGGAGATGAGGGAAAAGTGTGATTCAGGTGCTTCTAGGGGAAGCTCAATCCCAATATGTGACTGAAGTGTCATTATGTTTCAAGGAAGAAAGGATGTATAGGTTTTGTGCTATGTACTAACTTTATAATTAAAGACAAAAACCCCAAATATTTTAACATCCTCTTCTCTTGAGGAAGGTCAGAAATATTGCTAGTAAATAATATTAAGCCTAGGCTTATTACTATGCTGTGCAAATACATTTTTTTCTACAGGAGTAACCCCTTTTTATGCTGTTTTGTATCTACTTGGTAAATTTGCTTGAGATGTTTACCCAGAAACTTAATGATGTATACATAAAAAATTCAAAGCTTATTTACATGCTTTCTTCAGTAGAAAACTCACCCCCACACACATGACTGAAGAGTAAAAGTGAGTATGATAGGAGAAGGTATCACAGAATCCATTTCTTTGGCATTAATACATTTTTATGCCCTTTAAACTATTTTTTTTTTCTTTTGAGACAGGGTGTCACTCTATCATCCAGGCTGGAGTGTAATGGTATAATCATTGCTAGGATTATAGGCATGCACCTCCATGCTCAGCTAATTTTTAAAAATTTTTTTTGAAGGAACAGAGTCTTGCTATGTTGCCCAGGTTGATTTCAAACTCCAGGCCTCAAGTGATCCTTCCCCTCAGCCTTCTAAACCACTGGGATTACGGGCATGAGCCACAGTGCCTGGCCCCTTTAAGCTACTGAATCTTATTTTCTGCTACAAGTTTATATACAAAAGTAAAAATATAACCACAGTAAGAAGGACGGTATTCTCAATTCTAAAATGGCACAAAGAGAAAGAATGTGATGGTTTGGGGTTCTCTAATTTTGATATGTTAGATTATTATTCCCATTCTCACACCTCTCTCTCATACTATTTGCTCCCAAGACAAACACTATAAAAGATTAACCAGAACTTATTACTTCTGTCTTTCAAAGCATATTTAATAAGACATATAATTCCAAATTCTGCCAATCCTAGAAAAGGTAACATTTTTAAAAAGAGTGGACACATGAAATGATAGTCACAAATACTATTTTAAAATTCATCCACAAAAAACCAACAACAATCACACCAACAAAGCAGCATGGCATCATTTTCTCGGTTCCAGAAGCGAAGGTCAGAGCACTGCTCTGCTTCCTTCTAAGGATGCCATCACCTTAGTGTGCAAACACATTTGTGGGCCAAGAGAGATGCACTCTTCCCATCCGGAAAGGAAGAAAAAGATACTGGAACCAACAACTCCCACAGCTGTCTGCCCTTGGTGTCCTTGTTTAGCTAACTGGAAGAGAATTACTACTCACACAACAGTGATTTCCATGGTGTGATGGGCTGGACTTCTCCCCTAACCAAAAGAAAGAGTTAATACCTAATTCTGAAAGTACAGTAACGAGCACTCGGGACCTTATCAGTTTAATAACATCTCTTTCTCTCTCTCTTTTTTTTTGTGTGTAAATAATTCTAATTGGTCAGATTTTCAGTATCCTTCCCACACTGAACCCTTGTGTAGTTGGGAATATGGTTAGAATAAGCAGAAGAGAAAAGGAGGTGGTATACAATTTTCAAAGAGGGTCTTTCCACAACGTAACTGACAATGCCATGATAGGATCCCTAAGCAGGCAACATAACAGCCTTTGTGGTCAGATCAAATATGAGTCCTGCATCTACAGCTTGCTGGGGATCCATGTGAAAGTTATTTAACCTCTACAAGCCTCAGTTTCCTGAAATGGCTGCAACACTTAACCTCCCAGAGTTATCTCATTTAATCCTTACTACAGCTTCACATTGATCATTATCCAGTCTACAAATGGAAACTGAGAACATCTGAATCACTTACTCAAGGATACAGAGAAGTAAGTGGCCAGACTGGGATCTGAAAGCCTATGTTCTTAATCACTGTGAAACATTGTTCCAAAACAATAGCTATCAAGCTCCTACCATAAGCTAGGTGTCAAGCCACTTCATGTCTAATCTGACAACAGCTGCAAGTTAGGTTTTACTAGTTTCATTTTACAGATGAAAAAACGCCAGGAGATATTATCCTACTTGTCCAAGGTCACACAGTTAATAAATGGCATAATTTGTATTTGATCATTCCAAGTCTGGTTCAAAAGTCTAAACCCTTGCTACCATACCACTGTCAGTACTTTTCCATGCCAGTAACATTTCATGTTAATGTATTTCCCTGGGTATACAGACGTCAGTATTTCTCAATTAAATCACATTTTCCCACGATCATAAACCCATATGTAAACACTGACATGCAGTCAATACAAAATAAACTTGGAATACCTGATAGTCTGAGGTCATGATAAGTCCACCTGAGGTAGTGGTAGGAGGAACAACTCTCACTTTCTTCAACGGGGGTCCCTGTGTGTGACTGCTGTCTTGATTCCCTGGGTGGCCAGTTCCATTAGTGTGGTTATTGCCCTGCTGCTGCTGCTGGTTCTTCTCAATTGGTTAAACAGAAAAAGTTCAGCTCAGAGGGAGAACAAAATATACCCACAATGGAAAATGTTATGGAGGCATTCACGAAACAAGAAGCTGCTAACAGTACTTTAATACTTACTTTGTCTCCTTTGTCATCAGGTTCTTCTTCCGTTAAAAATTCTCGTTTTGGGTAAGGGATTTGACAACCGGCAAAAACGCTGATCATAAGAAAAAGAAAAACCATTTCTGGTATACTAATCAATATTCCAAATGCTTCATTTAGGAGATTCTCATTTTAATCTTTTAAGATGAACTTTGTCTCCATATTTGCAAATATAAGCACCTTTCATGTAACTGTGACAAAACGAATCTTTTCTTTGTAACTAGTAATATTACAGCAGGCTACTTGAGGGCTTGAGCTGTATACAAATGATCAATAATCATCGAGTATGATTCAGCTTTCTTCTTTTATCCCAGCATTACTCTTCTATTAATACAGACCAAATATAGATTCTAGCTGAAGTATGTGTCACCATTCAAAGGTAATTTTTGTTTTACCCTTCCTACTACATTTATTAACAAAACAAAAGATGGTATAGGGAACACATTTGGGAATATTTGCAATTTTGGAACATGAAACTGTAACTGCAGACAGTAAGGAGCTACAGCACGCATAACCAACCTGTCACTGAATAGCTGGATCACTACTGAAACTAATGTGATCAGCATTTCATAAAGCAAGAGATGAACAGGAATGCCTCTTAACTGGAAAGCCCCTAAATGACACTTTAATCAGCAAAGCTCATTTTTGCTTGTCATAAAGGATTTCCTTGGGTTCCCATATAAGAGGAGGAGCAACTTAAGAGCTGACAAGCAGAAGAAAGCATACTCCAAAACTTCCATCATGCTGATGAGTTAACCAACTAGGCCACTTACTCTGATGTAGGAAGTGGGTCTTCTAAGAAATAGGGGTCCTGCATAGCCTGTTCTGAGGTAATTCGCTTTATTGGGTCCATGGTAAGCAGCTTCTGAAGCTGAAATCACAAATCATACAAACATGACGGTATTGCTTCTCACAGTTATCTTTCAGCACATATGTGAAGACGATATATATTTTTTGGTGAATAACATCACAATTTGGAAAATATTTATTCCCCCAAATTAACAACAAAACTCCTAGTTGTTAAATTTAATGTAGTAATTCACACTTTAGTCATTCCAGTTTCATAATCTCACTTGTTTTACTCTTGCTTATGTTCTCTGACTAAACAAATGGATCCCCACCCCCATTATCTAAATGGCTTTATCCAATTTAGAACAGGACCAAAATTTGTGTATTTTCTATTCTTTTTCTATTAAGATAAAAAAGCTGTTGTTACACATATAATACACTAACACATGCAGTGATTCATATTTAGATCCAAGTTAATCAAAACTGAATTAAATAAAAAAGTCAATCTCCCCATTACACCAGGCACATTTCAAGAGCCAAATGTGGCTAGTGGCTACGCTACTGCACTGTGCAGATCATCACAGAAAGTGGTACTGTGCAGTGCTGTTCTAGTCTAAATAAAAATGGTGATACACAACTTACAAAGTACAGAGCTGTGTGATGAGCAGAGACTCTGAAAGTCGACTGCTCCATTCAAATCCTGACTCAACATTTATTAGCTGCGTGACATTGGATAAGTTACCTTAATATTTTTGTTACCTCATTTGTCAAATGGAGATTAAAAATGGTGACTATTATCACAGGTTGTTTTCAGGATTAAATGAGTTAATATATGGAGAGCAATTATAATGGTGCCTAGCATAAAGAAAGTACTATGTAAGTGCTTGCTCTTATTGTTATTATTACTATAAATGCCACACTAATGTGAAGATTCAGTATTTTTTAGTTAAGACATAGTTCATTCAATTGGATTCTAATATGTGGTCTCTTAGTTTATACTCTGATCTAATGCAGTGGCTTTCGGACTTTAGGATGCATGAGAATCACCTGGAGAACTTCTTAAAACAGACTGCTGGGCCCTCCTCACAGAGTTTCTGATTGGTAGATGTGAGTAGGAGCCAAAAGCCTGCATTTCCAACATGGCCCTACATGATACCATGCTGCTGGACTGAGACTGCATTTTGAAAACCAATGAACTAACAGACACATTAAGACTTAAAAGAGAGGCCAGGTGTGGTGGCTCACACCTGTAATCCCAGCACTTTGGGAGGCCAAGGTGGATGGATCACCTGAGGTCAGGAGTTCGAGACCAGCCTGGTCAACATGGTGAAACCCCATCTCTACTAATAATACAAAAATTAGCTGGGTGTGGTGGCAGGCGCCTGTAATCCCAGGTACTCGGGAGGCTGAGGCATGAGAATGGCTTGAACCTGGGAGGCAGAGGTTGCAGTGAGCCAAGATCACACCACTGCACTCTAGCCTGGTGACACAATGAAACTGTGTCTCCAACAAAAAAGACTTAAAGAAAGATGACAAATTTTACAGGATAAAAAGACATTTTTTTTTTTTTTTGAGATAGAGTCTTGCTTTGTTGCCAGGCTAGAGTGCAGTGGCACGATCTAGGCTCACTGCAACCTCCACCTCCTGGGTTCAAGCGATTCTCCTGCCTCAACCTCCCGAGTAGCTGGGACTACAGGCATGTACCACCACACTCAGCTACTTTTTGTATTTTTAGGAGTTTCACCACATTGGCCAGGATGGTCTCAATCTCCTGACCTTGTGATCCGCCCGCCTCGGCCTCCCAAAGTGCTGGGATCACAGGCGTGAGCTACCACGCCAGGCCGACACGACATATTTTAAGATGCAAATAAAACGCTAGAATGGTGAGATTAAAATTTAATTTTAATGATCTGATATTTCAGAGAAAGCACAATTTTATTTTTAGGGTTGAAAGGAAAGGCCTGAATTTGCTATTGAAAATACCCAACAGTTTTAATGGAATTATAATAGGGCTTTCCTAAGAGACTACTCAAGATTACCTCCAATTAAGATGGGTCACCCTGGTAAAAACAAGCACATAAGCTACAAGGAAGGTATATCTCTAGAGTTTTAGTGGTGATGGTAGGCAGAGTCATCCTAGACTATAATGAGTAGCAGGGAATCAAGGAGAATAATAATTCCCCTAAGTCATGACTTCTAATCTTCTGCCACTATCATTATTTTATTAGAATCAGTAAGTCCATAATTTCGAAGGATCTAACTTAGACCTCTAATTTGGGTCCTACTGTAAGTACATTATAATAAACCATTATCTGGATAATATATTGTGTGGTAATATGACAGGTTAAGAATGACTTTTTAAATTGCTGTTAAGATATGAAATACATGATATAAAATGTGAACTGATATAATAGTAAGTAGAAAATACAGAAGGAGAAGCAGTAGAAAGCGAAGAAAAAGGAGAAACAAAGGAAGAACAGAAGAAATGTTTGCCAAATGGCCTGGTTGCAATAAAGGAAAGGTTAACCTCTTCAAGGTGAAAGAATTCTCATTTAAGAACTTAGGAATAAGGATTAAAAGAATTTCAAGCCAAGCAAAATACAACCTGCTTCCCCAAACTCCCCTTCTATGTGTTATAAACCTTTTTCTAAAACAAAAAACATTATTAATTATTACGCTGTAACAATGGAAATTTTATTGTAAACAAAGTTGGTAATGGCTGTATATAATTTCATCACAAATTACCTTGTTAGTGCACGGATTCAATTAGATTCTAGGTTAAATCATTTTTCCATTACACACTGATAAATATGGCATCTATCACATTCTTCCAGAAAAATCAAATAGCACATATAATCGCTGAATGACTGTTAACATTTAAGGTTATAAGAGGTATTTTGGAAATTAAGAACTTTGTAAACAGTCTTTCAAAGAGCTGAAATACAAAACAATCTATTTATCAATGGTGAGAAGTACTTTCTTCTTGATACTTCTCTGGAACTTTTAAAATCTTAAACAGACGAAAAACAATACATGTAATTTTATAAATGTTTTGACAGATTTGTTACCATCGCTATCTTTAGAAAATCTAATGTGACCAAACATTAGTCTGTCAAACCATGATATGAGTCTGGAAGAGCAAATAGTTTATTGTCTTTATTGGTATGCACTAACAAGATCTCTGCATTTACCATGAAAGCACTCTGAGTGCTAGCTAAGTAACCACATAAATTGATCCAAAAAAGCCTCAGTTGGGCTAGTCAATTAAGGAAAAAATGCATTTCATTAATACTGTTAACCAATGCTTACCAAGTGGAATGCTTTACTATCTGGTTTAACTTTATGTTTTTCCATATACTTGATAAGGCTGCAGTTGGTATACCTGAAAGAGAAATACTATGAAATAGCTATATTAGACTTGAGGTTAATTGTACATTGGCTAAAGTCCTTCTGATGAGAATTATTTTGATCATAACCGATATAAAATATATATTGAAAACACTATGAGCATAAAATGAGTAGAATTAAATCAGTTTTCTATTTCATTCAATATCCACAATGGTCACTTTTGAAAGGATACCGATGATTAAATGTAAGACAATTTCATGAATAACAGACACTAAACAGCTTTTTTTTTCACATGAATTATATTTTAACAATTATTTTAAATAACATCTGGGTCAAAAGTTTAATTCAGCCTTACCAATAAGTGTAAAATACTTTTGTCATAGGTATACAAACTAAACTCTCCCAATCCCTGGCTTTGCATTGTAAACAGGTGAAATATCCATTCTTCTCTGTTAAAACCTGCTTAAAATTACTGTAACCTAGATTGGTGAGCAAGTGGCTATTACCAAAGTTTATTTATTTAGATTCTTATTTATTCAGCTGTGATACTTCTCACTAATGTCTAGCTTCCAAAAAGTAGTCAATATGGAAAGACATGAATTTGTTTTATATCCAAATCAGCTGCTAATATTAGTCACTTTTGTATATAATCATTTAAGCATCTTAAGAAATAAAGACTGTCATCATGAAAAATATTTATTAGAGTAAATAAGTAAAATTATTTATTAGAGTAATCTTATATTGAGTATTTTATTATGTTGAATATTCAGTCTTACACTGAGTATTCTGGTAAAGCAAAAATCAACAAGGAGTCTCTTTTTTTCCAACTTACGTATTTCTTCTGAAATCTTTCATTAATGTTGAATGTTCAGGCATCTTTTTTATATCTTCCCAATCTTTATCTGTGAAATACATTGATAAATTTTTATGTTGCCTAAGTTCCTATTCTTGAGAATTTTTAAAAAGGTTATTACCACGTTCATTACATTTCCTATCCGTTCAACCTCCACACAAAAAAGCTGTCTTCAAATAAATGTTCAGCAACAGTAAATATCTTGAAGTGTAAACATAATTCCTTATCCCTTATATAACTTTATATATCTGTTTATATTTTAAATTTTAAACTGCAAACTTTCTGTATGTTTTACTATAAGCTGCCTCAATTTCTGTCACTAGAGAAGAATAAGTTATACATATTTCTATTTATCTTATTAAATGTCCTCTTTCTATTAGTAAAACTGCTTATTTCCCCTTTTCTACCAAATTTCTTGGTTAAGTCAGCAATCAATTTCTTCAATGAGAAATCTAAGATCTTCCCCTCAGTGGCTTTAAACTATACTTCTTTTTATGATACAGCCCTCCTTTCACCTTGTTAAATATATTTCTTTACATAAGCAATCAATGGAAGAAGGGGTAATAACTATTTGCACAATAGGGTAGGATATAATTAGTATATTAATAAGTGGGCTGGTACCTTGGCTAGTCTGGTTAACATTACCCAAAACAACCCCAGCTCCTAAATACGTTAAGTACAAAACGTTTCAGCTACTTTTGCTGGCATCCAAGTTGCTCAAACAATACATGCTACATAATGTGTTCTCTCCAATATCTGCCAATGGGTTTTCCTGAGAGTCTACTAGGTGCAAAGGACTGTCACAGGCAGCTTAACAGCACCTTTAGCTCTTTTTTTTTTTTTTTTGAGACGGAGTTTCGCTCTTGTTAACAGCCCAGGCCGGAGTGCAATGGTGCGATCTCGGCTCACCCCAACCTCTGCCTCCCAGGTTCAAGTGATTCCCCTGCCTCAGCCTCCAGAGTAGCTGGGATTACAGGCATGTAATCCCATGCCTGTAATACATTACAGGCATGTAGCCACCATGCCCAGCTAATTTTGTATTTTTGGTAGAGACGGGGTTTCTCCATGTTGTTCAGGCTGGTCTCAAACTCCCAACCTCAGGTGATCCGCCCACCGCGGCCTCGCAAAACCTTTAGCTTTTAAATGGCCTTTAGAGGCTTGCTTTTCTTTGAACTTACTTGTAAAAATATTTGGTAACTATCCTCCAAAGACATCACATATTGTAAACTAAACATACACTACACTCCTAAATGGAATTTTCTCCTTAACTATTTTCCTTGCTCCAATTTCTGTGTTTTATCAATTTCTCATGCTAGAAATTTTAAGATAATCTTTAGTTTTCCCTTGCTTATACACTTCCTATAAAACATTTCCATCTGCCCTTTTTTCTCCATCCTTATCTTCACTCTACTTTCTGTCTGCAGCACTGCTACAGCTGGTTTCTGATTTCAGTTAGCTCTTTTTAACAGATTTTTACCTACCACCATCTTACTAAATCTTTCTAAAATGCAACATAAAGCATGTCTCTAGTACTCAAGAACTGATGGATTCTCATTCTTTAGCTATCAAATCTAACCTCTGCTGCCTGCTTTCCAAGCTTCCTTATAAACCACCCTAACCTCTGAACCACATATTAAGAGTCACTGATAGACATCTTCACCACATCTACTCCCTCACAGAAGCTATGCCTTTCCCGTGGGCTCAGAAATGGTGGACACATTCAGAAGCAGGAAGAAAACAGAATTCTTCTGTCTCTACTCAAAACCATACCTACTTTTTAAACATTCTACATATAGCAGTACAATGCAAACTCCAAGGGGGCAAAAATCATGTCTGTTACATCATCAATAACTTTTTACTTAAGACAGTGCCTGGCACATGGCAGGTACTCAATAAATATTTACTGAATAAATAAAATTCCCATCACAACAGAAGTCTTCTCCACACTGGTGACCAATTTTGGAGAAAGGCAGTATCTGTGTAGTTATTCTGCATTTACTGATAATTAACACCCTTACAAGGGAATGTAGAATTAAAAGTCCCAGGTATTATCTCTATTAGTCTTGAGTTTATAGTGACCTGAGAAATATTCCTAATAAGAAACACTTTCTACTAAGTACTTGACTAGCCAAAATTTAGGTGTTTTAAACAAATTCTCATTATTCTGGACCTCTGAGCAGTTTTTGGTGATTACCGTTCTGTAATATAACTAGGGATTGAGATACAGTTGGAGAGATCTAATACCAGGGATAGGATACATGTAAACCATCTCTCTGTTGCAAAACAGCAGGCTAACTCACCATAGGGTACTATGACTCTCACCCACATTGTGACTGTTCTAAGAGAAGACTTAAATGCTATTATTCAATATAATGTGATTCTGTATAGTGCCCTAAATAGAAATAAGGTTCAAAATTTATATTTGAATGCCAAATAGTGGCAGTATTATATGTGCTGCCAGAAAAAAATTCCTACTACTGAATTCATTTATAGTTTCTACTGGTAAGAGCTAAAGGTACCTTTTTAATACAGATATTGAACATATTTTATCATTTCAAATACCAAATAACAAAACAAAAAAGTAAAACAAGATGAAACAAAAATACAGTCCTGAAATTCAGGAAACCCATAAATATTTCCATGCCAATATGTAAACTCTACAAATTTTGCTGTTTCTACGGATCTTTGATAAATGCAAGTCAAAAAACAAAGACTCAAGTAAAAGTAGCTTCCATCAGCTAAAAATATATACCTCTCCAACGAAGACATCTAAGTTCAAACAACAGTGATTTAAAAACAAAAACAAAAACGAATAATGTGTACCTGCAGGAAATCCCATTACATTGAATATTCTGTCCAGCTGGTCATGGTGATAAGGATTACTAGTTTTGATGTCCTCTTGTCGACAGTGAAATATTGGTTCTGACGTTAGTAGTTCTGCAAATATACACCCTATAGCCCAAATATCTTTAAAACAAAAAGAAAAAAAAAAAGAAAGAAAAATAGGCAAGGAAAAAAGAAAAAGAAAGGTGCAAAATAAAGTGGTTCTTTCCAAAAGAAAATGCAATTTTATTTTCTTGGGGAGTGTTTTTTTCTTTCTTTCCCTAATAACTCATATTAATTCCTAAGCAATTATAATTACTAAATACCATGAAACATTATTATAAGTATATATTCCCATGCCCTCCACCCCGATTTTTCATTCTGTATACCTCCATACCACCCAAATGGTTTCACTCTAAGCCCAATTAAATGTACTGGCTGGATTTTGGTGAGTTTTCAATGTCCAGGTGATACCTTTTCTGTGAACTACAGTAAAGCTGCATATGGAGCATGGGAACTACAACCAAAGAAAACTAAACAAAAACAAACGGAAAACCCAAACAGTATTTGAAATTGGGCACTCGCCTAACATAATCAGTGTAAATTTTTGTGATAAAATATTTTTTATTTTATTTACTTGCTAATTTGCAAGGTCTAATAATTACCCTCTCATGTTAGCACTAATCAGTAAGGTGGTATTCCACCAAGAGACAATGTCCGACCTCAAAACGCCTAAGAATTAACAGCATTTCTACTTTAACAAAGTTTTTTTTCCAAAGTGGTTCTTGATGCCATAAGCAGTATCAGATTTTGCAAATTTAAGTATTTAATGCAAAGGACAGGAAGCAAAAGCAAAATATTACTGTTAACATGGATTATAAATTCGGCCGGGTGTGGTGGCTCATGCCTATAATCCCAGCATGTTGGGAGGCTGAGGAGGACGGATCACGAGGTCAGGAAATCAAGACCAGCCTGGCCAACATAGTTAAATCCTGTCTCTACTAAAAATACAAAAATTAGCTGGGCATGGCGGCACGCGGCTATAGTCCCAGCTACTCAGGAGGCTGAGGCAGGAGAATTGCTTGAACCCGGGAGGCAGAGGCTGCAGTGAGCCGAGATCGCGCCACTGCACTCTTGCCTGGGCGACAGAGCAAGACTCCGTCTCAAAAAAAAAAAAAAAAAAAAAGGGTTATAAATTCAAATGAATTATTGACAAAAGCCAGGCAAATGGGTTTCTCTGTACACAACAAAGTAAATTCCTTTCATTCACAAGATACAGATTTACTTTCATTCAAATTAAATTTGTACTCAAAAGAACTATTAGTAGAGGTAAGATCTATTTGCCAATTTAGAATTTAAAGCTGAAAATATTTCATTTCTACTCTTAACAAATCCTAAACTAAGTACAATGGTGTGCATATAGCAGACCCTCAACACATGGTTTTTGACTGACTTAACCAATACCTGTGACAAATATAAATAACCAAAGGGAACAAATCAAAATTACTATTTTATCAAAGCTGATTGTTCAGATATGTTAATAACTGTCACTTAAACAGGAAATAAGAAAAAACCTAAAATGAGAATTCCTAAATTCCAAAACTGGAATAGAGATATTTAATTTAATCTAAAATTTCACATATTTACATTTCAAAGTAACAAGTTAATCACCTATTTACTTAAAGATTCACACTGACTGCAGCAAGTGATTTTAAAAAATGACATCGTATTTACATATCAGAGAACCAAGCCTAGCCAATACCATCATATGGAAAAGTCTCATCAAGAAACATAGGCCAACCTATTTTGTTTTTGTCATCGAAAGGTATATGGGAAAATTAATTATTTTGTGATTATTCTTTTTATATGGGTATACCCTATAAATCTAACCTTTGATAATCAATGGCCACATAGGCAGCTAAGTAGGATCACAAAAAGGGATGATGGATGGCTTTGCATGTTTAAAATTCTACTTACAGCACACCCAATAAACACTGTAACAATTCATCTGGTTAGTTATTAAAAATTCCAAAGAAGAAAATAAAATATGTAAAGGAAGATGAAAGGTAAGTAGTTTAGCTATAATTAAAGCTACACTGCTCTTAGCTGAGCATACTGGCATATGCCTGTAGTCCCAGCTACTCAGGAGGCTGAGGCGGGAGGATCGCTTGAGCCCAGGAGTTTGAATCCAGCCTTGACAACATAGCAAGACCCTATTTCACAGAAAAAATGTATGCAAAGCTACACTGCTTTTTAAAGAAAAAGTCCAGTCAACAGGAAAAATAACTTATTGAACCTTGCTTAACTCCCTCCCATCTAGTAACTCTTCTGTCTTTATAACTGCTATTCTCTCTCACCTTTGTCAATTTTACCATTCTTCCTTTCTTCAAAATCCTGACCCATACATTAATCATTAACTCTGAGTCAGCTGATCAGGCTATTATTGCAGATAAATTTCTAATTATTGTAAATAAGTTTCTTTTTCCTACCTTGTTTTTTTTTTTTTTTTAGATTGTGCCCAATTCATGGAAAGTCTCTTTAGTGTTCACCTGCCTGCCAAACTCCTTATAAAATGGCTTTCCAAATTAAAAACATATAAGTTTCATCTACTTCTCAAAATGTGTGATGCTTATAGGTAGCTACTGAGCTAACCAGGCAAAGGAAATAGTAGGAATTGGCATGCTATACAGACCAAATTTGGGAGGAGAAAAGACTTTGCTCAATAATATTTGAATCAACAAGTGTAGTAATAGCAAGCTTCTTGTTTTGATAAAAGGGAAGAAATTCTCATTTTCTCTATTTTAATGTGTATTTCCCACTTAGCAGAATGCCTCACATTTAGTGGCCATGCAGCTATTTGAGGACAAACACCTGAGCTTAAAAGTCCATACTTCAGTAAGACTTTTAGGACTACTTTAGTGGCACTGAATTAGAGATTGATATCCCTTTTTTTAGCCTTTTCCCCAAAGTAAATCAGACAAACAAAAATAAAAAACAAAACACTCAAAAGTGAATTAAACTTAGTTCCTGGGATTACAATGTTTACTAACCTATTATTTCCTCTCTTTGGTTTAGTGACTCAGCTTGCAGTTCTGCACAACGGAATAAACCAGCACAGCACTACAATCTGTTTGTAGTAGATGGGGCATATGTGAGTTTGATGCGTTCTGATCAGATTTTTTTCCCTATGCTTTTGCTCCTTCTTAGTAGCTTCGTAACAGATGTAACCCCTTCATTAAATGGAATGTATTCAGCAAATTATCTGTATGTTCAACTAGAAAGGCTCTTCTATCACCTGCTCACAATTCAGCTATCAAACAAGGAAGTCAAAATGCTGGGGAAGTTCTTGGTAAGCAGCTTTAATGGTGGTGTGAGAAATTTGTTGAGTATTTTAATCTTTAGGCTACCTCTGCAGGAGACAGGAGGAATGGGATTGTGTGGTAGAGGCTGGTATTAAAGAAAAGGTTCCATTTTGTAATTCCTTCTTATTTTTATTTTATTTTTACTTTTTATGAGTCAGAGCCTAGCTCTGCCACCCAGGCTGAAGTGCAGTAGCGTGATCTCTGCTCACTGCAACCTCCGCCTCTCAGGTTCAAGCAATTCTCCTGCCTCAGCTTCCTGAGCAGCTGGGATTACAGGTGCCCGCCACCATGCCTGGCTAATTTTTGTATTTTTAGTAGAGACGGAGTTTCACCATGTTGGTGAGGGTGGTCTCGAACCCCTGACCTCAAGTGATCTGCCCACCTTGGCCTCCCAAAGTGCTGGGATTACAGGTGTGAGCCACCGTGCCTGACCTTATTTTTAGAAACTTAAATTGAAAGTGGTTTGTGTATATTATAAATTTTGAATCAATGTTTCAATAGAAGAAAGTGTTCCCCAAGACTGATCTTGGGCAAGCAGGTGTACACCAGACGACGGTGTGGGTTGGAATCACCACTGCTGAGAAAATGGCACTTACCTTGGTTTCAATCCTTTGCACCCAAGTCAGTTCCCTCTGTAACTTCCCGGCCTCAGAAGGCAGCTGTTTTTATTTAAAAGCTTAAAACTTTTTGGCTGGGTGTCGTGGCTCACACCTGTAATCCCAGCACTTTGGGAGGCCGAGGCAGGCGGATCACTTGAGGTCAGGAGTTCGAGACCAGCCTGGGCAACATGGCAAAACCCTGTCTCTACTAAAAATAAAAAAATTAGCTGGGTGTGGTGGCACAAGCCTGTAACCCCAGCTACTCGGGAGGCTGAAGCAGAATTGCCTGAACCTGGGAAGCGGAGGTTGCAGTGAGCCAAGATTGCACCACTGCACTCCAGCCTGGGTGACAGAGCGAGACTCTGTCTCTAAATAAATAAATAAAAGCACAGAACTTTTGAATTTAGAGAGATCAAAGAGACGACTCAGGCTAAATTCTCATTTTCAGAAACTGAGGCTAAAGCACTAAATGCGTAAACACACCCCAGAGTGATAGAAGTAAGACTACAACTTCGGCTGGTAGTCTTTGTTACTTCCGTTGTTCAAAGATGACTAAATTATTGTATGCATATATTCATACTGTCTTCTCAACTGGACTGTAAATCTCTTCAGGGTAAGGCCCATCATTTGAATTCATATTTGGTCCTCCTAACATAGTAGTTACCCAATAAATGCTTATGTTGGTGAGGAGGAGGAGGGAGGAAAATATGAAGAAAGGCCTCTCTCCCAAATCATACAGCCATTGGGACAAGAGAATCTAGCTCCCTAAGTGCTGGTAGTTTAGATTTGTGGCACACTCCCTGCATTAGAACTGCTAGACTGTAGAATATCCTAGTGAGTAAAAGGTTATATAAATCTTAATGTTTCCAATAAGACATAAGCTTCTCAGGAAAAATAACAAGATAATAAACAGTGAGCCAGAGTCACAAGTTTCTGTGATAGTATATTTTTTACTCAATTTAAATAAATTCAAGTCTCAGGTGTTCAGTGAATAGGAAATAAGATTAGGCAATCACTTTCTTATTTGTATAGTTTGTTAATATGCTTTACCAAAAGTAACACTGCTTTTAAACATTCATTTTCTGAGTGGAAAAAAATCTCTGTGTATCACATTAGTTTATATATGTCCTTAAATGCCTTTAGAGTACACTTGCAAAGAAGATACCCAGATATGTATTTAGGTAATAACATGTATTCCAAAATAGGACTAGAATAAATCATCCTTATTTTTCCTTTTAACTGACTTAACTAAATATTGTATTAATAATTTTATATTTATAGAAAAGTTACAAAGATAGTATAGAGAATTCCCATATCTAACTGACTTATTTTTCTGTAAAATAAAATGTGATCTTAAAGCATGTGTGAAGATTAGAACATAAAGATTTTTGGAAATGATATATTGGATTGAAGATTAATATGGGGGAAGATCACAAACATTGCTCCTTTTCCCTTCTTGAATCTACATTTAATTGACAGCAAAGTCATACAAGTGTAACTGCACAGTAACAAGAACAGGAGGAGACTGTCAGAGACAAGATTCATTCAAGTATCCAACAAAGAAAACTGAGTTCTCACTACATACTATGTAGGCACTGGTTTACAACGGTGAACAGTGAGGTGAGGTACACCTGTTTTAGTGGAGTTTAGATACCCTTTGAGTCAATGAAGACAATAAGGTAAAAGAAGGTGTGAAGGCGGAGGTAGGGTGCTATTTTAGACTATGTAATCCGGGAAGTTCTCTCTGAAAAGGTACTATTTTCACTAAGGTCTGAATGAGAAGAAGAAACTGGCCATGTGGAGACCTAGAAGATGGAAGGCAGACAAGACAGTTCAGAGAAGGTCTCAGGACACAGTGCTGTTGTTGAGTGGGAAGCAGACTTTTCCCCTACAATGCTGCGAAGATTTTGTTCTTGGGAATACCAGCTACAAAGTCTGTATTTGAACAGGAGGAGCTGATCCTCCTCCCTACTCTCTATCATCACCCTGGGGCTGCCAGGTACATACAGCATGGGCCAAAAGTTGGAGGACTCTTCCCTGAAGACTTTGGCTTCAGAGGAAAGACCTGCGCCTTCTGGCATTTAGAGGTTACCCCAGGCAACGGTGGCTCTCTGCTGTATCACCCTAAAGTTCTCACTCTATAAGCCCCATGATTTATACAAAGTTCTCAAGCAGTTTTAGTAACCTGATTTTTAAATACAAAGAGACACTCAAGGGTCACCAAACAGTTGAAGAATGCTTGCTACATGGAAGGGAGAGATCAAAACATACAATGAAAAGAGTGACTGTAAAGAAAACACAGATAATTATTCTGGGAATACTGCAAAATACAAACAAATCAGCAATGTTATCATTGTCTTCACAGATAGTAGGCTTTTCTTTCTATTAAAAAATACAAGATACTATGAAAAAGTAATCAGAGAACAAGAAGAGGTTTTTAGAAATGGATATGACAAAGGCAGAAAAACATGAGAAAAAAGTAGTATAAAGGATTAATCCAAGAAATTTAACATCTGACGACACTGAGTTGAGGAAAGAGAGAAACAGAAAACATTGAGGAGGAAATCAAAGGACTACACAAGAGAATTTCCCACAGATACAAGATATGAACTTCAGATTGAGTGTGCCCACCAAGTGGTCAGCATATCACTGTGAAATACAAGGATGAGAAATCCTTTTTGTTTCTAGAAAGAAAAAACCCAGGTGATCTACCAATGACTGGGAACAAGACAGGCAGGAGACTTCATTAGCAATATTGACACTAGAAGGCAATGGAGGGGTGTCATCCAAGTTCTGAGAGGAAAATTCTTTTGTACCTAGAATTGTAAACCCTGGCAAGCTAGCAAGTATGATACCGACCAGCATTTTTCAGAAATACAAGAACTAGAAAATTTACCTCTAAGATACAGTTCCAAAGGAATTTACATGAGAACATACTGTAGCAAAATAAGAAATGAAATCATGAAATCCAGAAAGCAATAGATCTAACCCAGAGGAATAAAAAAGGGAAAAGGCAGGATGAAGTGGTAGAATATGCCTGGAGACCAACCAATCCAAAATAGAAAACCTCAGGATGCAGTTACCCAGTAAAGGAAAAGTGGGTTTAATACCATCCTGGAGGATACAGAACAAGTTAAGGAAACCATAAAGACACAAAATAAAGAAAAGAAGAAAGGTAAAGCACACACAAAAAAACTACTTGATGATAATGCAACCAAAGAGAATGAAGCAGAATCAGGTTTGAGTAATGGACAAGCGATGGTGAAAGGCCTAGCAGCTGAGCATTAAATGCACAACTTAAGTATAAACAACTGTGGGAACTATGGTTAGCAAACAAAACAATGTCAACATTGACAAAGTGATGAAGATATTACTAATTCTGCTTATAGATTGAGAGGTTGGTAGGGGAAGAAGTGTAAGAGCACTAATTTCCTCATTCTTTATAATAGGGAGGTAACTGATATTATCAAAAACAGAAAAGTGGATTAAAATGTCCTAAAGTGCTAAATTGTTTTTCATAATGTCTTTCCTTTAATTTTAGGGGGCTCTTTTAGAAGTTAGTATTTCTTTTGGTAAAAGAAACATTTGTCTTAAGTTAAAGGACTTCAAAATTGTAGTTTTATAAATTAAATATAAAATTTTAAATAGAATGCATAATATGATCCCATTTAATTACAAAGATTTTTGATATCTTTCTATGCAGAGAGAAGTATGTGGAATGATATACCCCTATTGCTACTGATAGTATTTCTAGGTAGTAGAATGTTGGGTTAGGCCTTGCTCTTACTTTTATTTTTTATTTATTTATATTTTTTGAGACAGTGTCTCCCCGTCGCCTAGGCTGGAGTAGAGTGGTGCGATCATGACTCATTGCAACCTTTGCCTACCAGGCTCAAGCGATCCTCCCAGCTCAGCCTCCCGAGTAGCTGGGACTACAGGTGCACACCACCATGCCCGGCTAATTTTTAAAAATTTTTGTAGAGACAACGTCTCACTATTTTGCCCAGGCTGGTCTCAAAACTACTGGACTCAAGTGATCCAGCTGCCTCCGCCTCCCAAAGTGCTTGGATTACAGGCATGAGCCATCACACTCAGTCTGCTCTTACTTTTATAATTTGCTATACTACTTAATTTAAAAATATATAGGAATGTGTGTCTTTTAAAGAAACTTTTAAAAACTCATGGAATTTTAATTAGTTCTACTCACCAATAGCTTTGGTATAATGCCTTGCTCCAAGAAGTAGTTCAGGGGCTCGGTACCAGAATGTAACAACCACTGGATCCAAATCTGCTAAAGGCTTCAAAGGTGAATTAAATAATCGGGCAAAGCCCATGTCAGCTGTAAAATAATAAAAAAAAAATCATGCTAAGTAAATGATTTTTACAAATCTAACCAATTAGTCTAATTTACCATCTTATTCAGTAAGATGAAAAATGTGCTCAATTCTAGGGGAAGAAACCCACAAAACATCCATTTTAGAAGTCTTACATAAAGCAAGTTTGAAAGCTCCATTCTCTTCAAATTACTGTTACCCAGTTCTTCAATGGGGTTATAGTCAAGCTCTGCTGCCTGAGGTCAGGGGTGACCTTGCTTCTCTGGGCAGATTTTTCTTTCCATGTGTCACCCCACCGTTAGGGACAGGGTTGTTGAGCTGCATTTCCATTCTTAGTACTGGTCACAAGCACCAGGAAATGGGATCAGTTAGAGTAAGGCTTTCCATTATTTCCATCAACAAGCCTGTTCACTGGTATAATTAATCAGAAGCTGACTATGCAATATTTTAACACCATTATTTCCCCTATTACTTGGGATGAATTTCACTAACTTAATTTTAAGGAATCACAGTATTTTTTTTAAAAGCTAGGTAAGACTTTAAAAGTCATCTGATTAAATCACCTCCTTCTCCAGATGAATATGGTTCAAGAAGTTAGGTGATTTGACAAAGGTACATACTCATACCTCAGAGCTAGAACTGAGATTAGATACAGTTCATCATGGCATTTAACACAGTTTAACATGTAGTGTAGTTATTCGGGCATGGCTGTTTATCCTGCTATACCATCATCTTTTAAAGGCAAAAATTGCGTCTCTTTCATATCTATCCCTAATAGTATCATGTACAGTTGTCATTACACATAGCTTTTGCCTAATACATGTTGAATGATCACTATTCATACCACCTATTCAAAAATTTCAAAATTCACCCACCATTTGATAAGTTTAGTTCTATTTTCCTAATACACATTTTTTAATGAAGTAGGCCTTACTATAATCACCTTAATTACAAAGGTAAAAAAAAAAACCCAAAAGTTGGCAAATAATTAAAACTATGAATAAGATTACTAAATACTGATTTACAGAACTAGTATTTCTTCTTAAATGTGAATGCTTTAAGACGTAGCGTTCCCCAAACCTGCCAACATCACATATATTACATAGAACTATAATTCCAAACTAGATTGTTTTAGTGTATTACATAAATTTTCCCTAAATTATACAGTAAAGAACACTTTTGTAATTACTGTTTGGCTGGCTCTTTTCTATTTTGCATGCTTTGAACTTACATTTGAATTTGATGCCGCAAAAATGGACTGGAGAGACTCCTTTAAAAGCACATGTAAAGACTTAACAGGCATTTTGGAAGGCACTAGGGTGAGTGCCGACAGGTTCTGCTTCTCAAGGAAAGCCAAACTTGGAGTATGTTAAGGCACATCAAATTTCCTCATAACTAAACATTTGCAAAGTTTTATCAAAAACAGAGTATTTTAAGAGTCTAATTAGAAGTGGAAAGTGAGATCTGGGGGGATTTATAAGGAAGAATATTAGGATTAAGAACACACATGTGTTTCTTTGTTGGTGAAGTGATACAAATCAGCTGTTACTTCCAATTTATATTAAATCTTGTGATCAGAAGTTGCTATTAACTTTGTTACAATCCTGATGTCTTTAAATTAATACAATTTAAACATTTCTTCTACAAATACACAAAACAAACTAAATATATGTGACAAACACAACTTGGAAATGACAATGAAAAAAAATCAGATTAAATAAACTTAGTTTTATCCTTACAGATTATCAGACCAGAAGTGGGTAAAATTTTGCTTTGATATGTAAGAAAATAGAGCTATCAGAAAATATGTACAGAATGCCCATTATTTTTTCCCATCAGGGAAAGGCCTACTACGAGACAGTCTTGTTAGAACTTAAGGTTCTGTATCTATCCAGCCTCATGGTTTTCCCTAGAGTTTGTATTAACAACTCCTAATCTAGACGAGGTCAACAGAGGCATATGTGCTCATCTAATCTGACTCAAGCGAACACAACTGATAGTAGAATTATTAGCATGCTGTATGTATGCCCTTGTGACTAAAGGTGAGGCTGGCCTCTAACAGAGATAGAAGCCCCTCACCTCTATAGGCCATTTTTAATGAAAGCAGAGGTTTCTGGGAAACTTGCACGGTTTCATAATTAGAATGCTTCAGTCTTTAGGAGTGTCTGACACCTTTCAAGAGTGTGAAACATTTTTCACTTTTATGCATACTCTTTAGAAATGGCTTCGATCATATGGAACTACATGAATATATGCATATTATAGCAAAAATTAGAAGTGATATAGCTGCCTGCAAAAGTTTTAAAAAAGTGCTACACTGTGACTTAGCAAAGATATAACATACCAATTTTTACTCTTCCTCGCTCAGGACCTTCACCCATAACTAAAATATTAGCAGGTTTCTGTGGAAACAAAATAGTGTTTTTTTTCAGTAGACAGTAGTGGTTTCTTTTAAATAGACAATATGCCAATATAACACAAATCCACCTTTTAAAAAATCTCATTTATTCAAAAATTAAAACCAAATACAGGAAGTCACCAAAGAAACTGTGCATGTATATATGCAAAGCGGTATGCAAATTTCATGAAGGCCCAGATATGGCAGTGCTTTTCTCCACAGAAGGCTGAGGCTTTTCTTGGCCCTCTTATCAGTCTGTTTTCACTACTGGCAAGCATCTCACAAAGTCATGTTGTGGTTCCTTCTCACTCTTTCAAGTACATAAAATGTCTTGCTCTGACTTTAAAGGAAAAATGAATCGAGAAAGATGATTTAATACCAAGTAGCAAATTAATTATAGGCAAGGAATCACCAGAAATCCTTTTTTGGAAATGACAAAGTATGCACCTACATTTAAATAAACGAATTATTGAGAAATTTAATAAAGTACTTTAGAAACAAGTTAGTCAAGTAATAGGAATTTTTCATGACAGGAACAGTTTTAAGATTTTCATTTTTAAGTGAAAAAGTAAGCTAAAATTTAAAGAAAGAGTTTACAAAGCTTTCAGTTTTTAAATCTTTAAAATATATACTGATTGTCACCTATAGTCTTTTATGGTGGTATCTACTACACTAATGAATAAAGGCTGCCCTTTCTTTAGGAAAGCGAAGGAAGAGCAGAAGGAGTAAGGAGGGGATGAGGGGAGAGAAAGCAGAGAGGGGAAGAAAAAGGCAACTGGTTTACTCCTTACTCACTGTACTATCCTGCTATCTACTTGATTTGACTTGAATTCTACCAGTCTGCTAAATAAAAGTGAAACTAGATTGAACACCTCTTCGGATACTGACATAAATCACTTTAAAATCAAAGATTGTAGTGAAGCCTGTTTATAGTGGTAACCATTTCACAGGCTTCTCTAACCATATGTAGTGATGGCCCCTAAGCTATTACTGCCAACGTTTAATGTGTAGTATACTAGCCTATCACCTACCAAAGATAGTTATTCCCAGCCAAAAAAAAAAAGGTATTGCTGAAATGGCAGCACTAACATCTCAGAGGTTAAAAACTCCTACAATTTTTAAAGTTGAGTCCACTAGGCACCAGAGAGGTTAAATGACTTGCCCTAAATATAATCAGCAAGACTGGGTAGCAGCAGAGTCTACCCTGTCTTTGAATAGTCTGGGGCTCCCTTCCTAATTTATCATCCTGAAAGTAATTTTATGCAGCAGTTTTTGGAATTAATATGCACTGCTGTAATAATAATAATAATACTGATGTTTTATTCACAAAAAAATCTCAGAACCTCTATCACTACCACACACACACGCACTTCTAACCACAACACTAACAGTATTCCCTGGGAGCTACACACAGGTGCTACCCAGGACAAATAAAATTGTTTTCATGCACCACGGTAATCAATCAAGACTGGTTAGTCTCTGTGGTCTCTTAGGGCCCGGCCTACTTCAGAGAGAAGCCAGATTTCTGAGATAGTGCAAAATGCTGAAGGCAGAGAAAGGCTTTCCAAATGGAATTAGGCAGCATTTCTATTTGCTAAAGGATTGCTCCCAATTCAAAATGTGGGCTCAGGAAGAAACTTCCATGTTTATGCTAGAACTCTCCTCTCATGGTTCTTCAGAGCAGGACTCCCTAAACACCTGTTGAATACACTCCCTATTCTTTAACCCCATTTTGAATCTCTTCCCATCAAATTCATCTTCAGTCCTGCTGCCAGGGTCATTTTCATAAAAGACAAATCTGATTATGTTACTCTCTTGCTTAGAACCTTCCACACGGAAAATTATTCCAAGAAGACTAGGTAAAAACAGCAGAACACAAAATGATATATAGATTGTGATTAGAACTAGGTTAAAAAAAAGTTCCTGTGAATAAGGACTAGAAGAATAAAACTGTAGAGCGATAGAGGTATAAATGAACCTTTTCAAAAGGGTCTTGGCTTTCGCTATGTTTTATGACTATTATCAAAATGTTATTTTGGTTGGGTGCAGTAGCTCACGCCTGTAATGCCAGCACTTTGGGAGGATGAGGCAGCAGGGCTGCCAGAGTCCAGGAGCTCAAGGCCAGCCTGGGCAACACAGTAGAACCCCACCTCAACAAAAAAAATTTTTTTTTTTTAAATCAGCCAGGCGTGGTGACACACGCCTGTAGTTCCTGCTAAGGTGAGAGGATTGCTTGAGCCTGGGAGGTGGAGACCGCAGTGAGCCATGATCATGCCACTGCACTCCAGCCTGGGCAACAGAGTGAGACCCTATCTCAAAAAAACAAATACAAAAAAAGGCCGGGCACGGGGGCTCATACCTGTAATCCCAGCACTTCAAGAAGCCAAGGTGGGCGGGTCGCCTGAGGTCAGGGGTTCGAGACTAGCCTGAACAACATGATAAAACCCTATCTCTACTAAAAAATACAAAAATTAGCTGGGCGTGGTGGTGCGTGCCTGTAATCCCAGCTACTCAGGAGGCTGAGGCAGGAGAATCACTTGAACCTGGGAGGCGGAGGTTGCAGTGACCTGAAATCAGGACATTGCACTCCAGCCTGTGTGACAGAGTGAGACTCAGTCTATAAAAAAAGAACACCTACTTCTACTTTAACTTTGATTGGTCCTCCCCCACTCCTACATAAGGTCCAGTCCTTGTGATGGGATGCAAGGCGCCTGGCAGGCTGCTTCCCATCACCCGCAGCCCTGCCTTCCCCTGCATCCCACTGCTCCTGCTGCATGCATGTTTTCATGTTTTCGCCATTCTTTGAATAGACTGCAACCTTTCACAACTATGTCATCGCTATGCCATTTTCTGTCCCTGACCTTTCTTCTGATCTAAAATTGGATTTTCCCCCTCTCCCTTAATGACAGAAGTAATACACAAACATTTTCTCAATTAAACAATTCGAACTATAAAGCTGCACACAGTTAAAAGTCCCTTTTACCACCCATCCCTCCTTTACCCTACCCCAAATCCCACTACCTTCTCCAGAGGTACAAGTTGATTAGTTAGATTGCTGTGACTGATTTTTCTAACACCGGAGTGTTCAATCCTAAAAGATTCTCTCCGTATCTGGCAAAAGCACAACGAATACATGCACATGTCTCTCCTCTGTCTATCTGAGATGGAGTGGAAAAGATCTCACTCTCACACCATCTTTTTTTCTCCTTCCCTCTTTTTAAACACACTTTCTTACTCATTCAGCAGCTGGGACACAGATCTGAAAAGCCCTGGGATGGATGGTATTGGCTTGGCACTTGAAGAAGGGGAAAATCCCTCTCTTGCTTTTCATTTCAGGTTTCTTTTATTCTAGACTTACTGAACTGGTCGAGTTCTAAATCTAAGTTTGACCACTGGTGGGGGGATAAATAGTATCTTTGTCAAGGTCCGACCTAGTATTAGAGTTTGGGGCCCAAGCTCCAGTTAATAATTAAAAAATTACTTTGCTAGGTAACTCACTGCCTACTGCACCATCTGAAGCAGATTCCACCTTACCAGCATCTCACTTTTATCCCAACACTCTCTCTTTAGTGAATTCAGATTCCGTTTGGGCATGCTACAGCCAGAAACAAAAGACAATGGTCTTAAGTGCTGTTGTAATAGCACTATTTAGAAATGATGGGTCCCTCCTCATGTTACTTTCCATTAACACTACATATGCCCCAGGGAAAGACAGTATGATTTAGTAGACAAATCAAACTCTAAATTTCTTCTTTTCTGAATGTAATCTAATGGGAATCTTAAGAGAAAAACACAGGAAAGGCCCTAATGATGACTACTCTTGTCATGGGTTCTGTTTTGTTGTTTAATCAGTATTAAGGAAGACTTCAAAAGACTTGATGAATAATTTTTGTTTTAGTACTTAATGCAATGTTGAAACAATATTCTACTCGCCCAAAAAACTAATTTCTTGATATATACTTCTTTCCTTTTCTTCCTCGTCTATCAGTAGCAGAATTTGGTAGCAGTTTTTAAGCTCTAGCACCAAAACTTTACATGAAGTGATTAGAGGTAACTTTGGTAAATAATCTCTGATCTTTTATATGCTATCAAACATAATCACCTTAAAAGAACATATAGAACTTTGCTGGTGACATTCTGATGAGGCATATACTCCATTAAACTGTATTTGTTGCCATGGAGATCAGAAATCCTACATGACTTAAATTATAATATCATGGCAACATCTTCAAGTATAGCAAAGCCATGCACAGAAATAATGATAGATCATCCTTGATTGCCATCTGAAAAATGATATAAATCTATGAGATACTACTGTTTGAAGCAATGGGTTCCCTTATCTAATTGTTGTTTTATTTCTCCCAGGCTTTTCTTCTTCTTTTTGCTGCTGCACTCCCAAAAAACTCATTGATATTTCCTAAAGCAGATGTTTGTATTGCAGAGACAACCATTCTGGCAGAAGCTTTCTGTTCTCCAGCATGTCATGCTGGAGGAGAGTGCACCAATGATTTTGGCATACACCAAGGATAGCAAATTGGTTTCGTTTTAGGAGCCAACTCTGATGGAAAAATAAAGAATTCAAAAAGCTCTATCTTGAAAAAGACAAGAACTGGGTTGATGAAGAAAATGCAGCATTTATCAGAGCTATCCGACATAGGAAGTGGAGAATGGTGGCACATCTGCCAAGTTAACGGCAATAACTTTATTCCAGGGGTGAAATGAAGTCTTCAGATATTTACTAATGTATCAAGGCAAATTGGAGATTTTGAGTCAACAGGAAAAGTTGATTCTTGATGGATCTCTCTATTAAAAGAAGACAATGATCCATAAGAAACTATATTGTCAGTGCTTTTCTCTGTCATTTGTCCAGAATTAAACTTCCACAAATGTGTAAATAACACAGCCTGGTGGTAAACTTTCTAGTTACTCTATGATTATTTTGTATAATACACACTGAAGGGACTGACACATATCTCACATTTCAAAAGTCCTATGAGATTCAAAAGCAGGCAGCAAAGTCTTAAATAGACACATACTCAGTAAGTTTTACAAACTGTTTTACTGTAATCTTCTAAAGAGTTAAGTGATAGAGATAAACCTGGAAATCCAGTGATGAAATCTTTATAATACAGTTTTTCCTCTTTTTTTCAGGGGTATGAATTTTTTACCTCTAATACTGAAGTTTACTCCACTAGTACTGCTGAACACCTTAAGCTCAAGGAGAAATTACCCACTTCTAGTAAAGTTGTTTCTTGCCTTCCTCTGTTTAAATTTGAAAAAAAAGCATAGAATTCTTAACCAATTCTGTTTCCTGATAAAAACAACATGTATGTTACTTATAAACACCTAACTTCATTCTCTATAGTAAACAGTTCAAGTACTATACATTCATTCTTATGTTCACTGAATTAAGAGGCACTGAGGATCAACAGAGACACAAACAAACAGTTCCTGCCCTCTAAGAGGTCATAGTCTAGGCTAAATGGGTGAGATAAATTCAGGAATGGGAGAGCTTCACAGATGTGGCTGCCTGGCATCTGAGGAACAGAGTGCCTTCAGGACTCACTGAGATCCTGCATGCAAAAGCCACAGAGCTGGGGCTGCACCCCCTGTTGGGGGATAAAGGGAGCACTCAGAATGTGCCACACACTGGCAGTACTCAAAAATCATAGGGATATTAACTAGTTTCTGACTTACTTAAGAAGTCCCCTTTCAGGGGGAATGAAAGTTATTTGACTGTCATCTTCAATGCAAATCAAAATATTTTATAAAACAAGGACTAACTTCACAAGAGTAATAGTGCTAATAAAAGATGACATTTTCTTTTTATAATTCCCTCTTATTTTTCTCTAATCCATTCTACTAACCCTACCTTTTGCTTTCGTCTATTTCTATTAATACCAAGTTAAACTAAAATGGTCTTTCGTCAATGGTCTATCATCAAACATATTTAAAATAATAAACATTGTTCAGATTAGCTTTAAATTAGTATCCTTAAAACCCAAGGGTTTTTTCTTTTTTTTCTGCAGATACTATGGGGTTTTGAGTTTTTAAATTACAAAATTCTTAAGCTGCCTATTTTAGGCAACTGAGGCATAGCACACTAGTTTAAGTGCTAAGAGATCAATATGGGATAGAACCTTCTATTTTCACTGACACAAAGATCATTTACTTCCTGTAGCAGAGCCTAGCACAGGCAATATTACTTCCTTAAAAATGCAACATGGATGTACAGTACAAAAACTGCATGGCAAGAGAAAACACACTTTTCAATTGCTGGGCACAGATACAACTTACTTCTAATAAAGAATGTGTACACATATTAACATGTGTATATATTTTTTAATAGATGGAAATGGATTTTTTTCAAATCTGATTAATTGCATTTTTGAAAAGCTGTAAAATTTTATAACAGTTTAAACAAATTCTAATGAGTCAAGTAAGAAAGAAGAGATAACTAAGCTGAAGACTAGAAGGCTGAATAACATCAAGGAGACCAAATGCATCTTAAAGGAGAAGTATCAAGGCACAGAGACAGTATCGAAAACTTTTAGCTTTCAAAATAGTTCCTTTCTTTCATTATTATTAATTTAACTTGATGTATTAAAAAAGCGAACCTAGCTTACATTGAAATCTGAAAATCACTCTAATTCCAATTATTATTCTAAACGATGTTAATTTATAGATTTGGTGGTATAACAAAACTAACTTTGCTTTGTCTACTATCTTCCCAAGTATTACTTCCTTGACAAATCTAGATGTTTGTGTATTACTTTTACTAACTATACTGTATTCTTCTATTAACAGACACTTGGTTATGCCACTCCCACCCCCTACTTTTTTGGCAGTAACCCTAACGATGTTCCCATTGCCAGTGTAAAATTATGCTCCTCGCCCATCCCCCAAAGCCCTGATACATGCACCATATAATTTCCTTGGGATAAAATCTCAAAAGTAGAATTATCAGATCAAATCATGCTAACAGATTTATTGTTCTAAAACTGGACTTTTAAAAACTTTTTAAATGTAATAGTATCTCCTATAAATCATATTTTATCAGTTTACAGACATCTTCATTCTGTTCTACAGCCATAGATGCTCCATTGTGTGCATATTTTATGTCATAGTTTACTCAGTGTCATATGCTTGCCTGCTTAAGTGGTTTCCAATATCTTGTAATTAAGAAACAATGCTGCAATGAACTTTGTGCATATATGTTTACACTGTTGTGGTATATTTTTAGGACAAACTGCTAAAAGCAGAATTTACTGTGTGGAAAGATATATGCATAGGTAGATTTGTTATGTATCATCAAATTTACTTCTCCAGGTGTTGAATCATTTTGCATTTCCATTTGCAATATAAAAGGGTGTCTGTATCTTAAGAGTGATAGGCTATCTTTTGGCAAGCCTGGACAGTGAGCAGGCAGTGAAGCTGGGCAACATCCTCCTCTTCATCAACTCCAAAACACAGTACACCTTGGGTTTTCAAGAGATTTTCGTGTTTTGTTTTCTAAGCTTCAAAGGTAATACACGCTCAATGGATAAAATTCATAAAATGAAGAAAAGCACAATGAAAACAAAATCATCTATGATCTCTGAACTAACAATGATCACTTTAAACGTTCTGGAGTAATCTTTTTGGTTTTTTTCTCCTTATAAAATTTAAAAGGCATCAAACTAAATATATTGTTTGCATCCTTCTCATTTAGTATTATATCATTAAAATTTTTAATCTGGAAATTACTCTTCTGATAGAATCTTTACAAAATTACTTTTCTGATATGAATTTACCATAATTTATATAGCTCATTTCCTATTAAACATTAAGGTTGTTCCTAGGTCCTTAAATTTAAAAAAAATGCCTTGAAAACATTTCTGCATGCATCTATCAAAAATTCCTAAAATTGCTGGGTAAAGAATATAAACATTTTTAAGGTTTCTTGATACGTATTAACAGATTTTGCGAATTCAACATTATCATTTCTAGAAATAACACCATCAAGTATAATAAAATCAATCTGTAAAACCAAAAGCAATGTATATCTCATATCTACATCATATAATTTTATTAGCTTGATATATAATGTAACATATTTTAATTTGCATACCTTTCATTGGTAATCATATGACTTACTCTGTAGTTTTGTTTTATTGACAAGACTTTTATTAAGCTAATATATTCATGTTGATTATATTCTAGATAGTAAAGGTATATTAAATTATTTTTGCCATTTTCCTAATATATTGCTTTTCTCTTGCTATTAAATCTTGTATTTACATTTCATATACTATAAGAGTGTTTTTATAGAGCTTTTATATTCAGCCTATTTATCATATCTTTAGTGATATTTGTCAGTTCTTAAATAGGAATTTACCACCTGCTGTAGCTGGACTAAATATGCTAATTTTCTTATATACATTTAATATACTGTGATCCACATGGGCTAGACAATAGTTTAATATACAAGTAATAATAACAAAAATTTAATTAAAGCAAGAAAATTCTTCTCCCTACTTACTGACGATAATGAGCAAGGCCCTTCTTTATTGTGAAATAGCTTCTGGATTCTTATAAGTTCTCATAATCGCATGAATCTATTCATGAATTTTTTTTTGAGATGGAGTCTCGCTCTGTTGTCCAGGCTGGAGTGCAGTCGCGTGATCTCCGATCACTGCAAGCTCCGCCTCCCAGGTTCACGCCATTCTCCTGCCTCAGCCTCTCGAGCAGCTGGGACTACAGGCACCCACCACCACGCCCAGCTAATTTTTTGTTTTTTGTTTTTTTTTTTTTTTTTTTTAGTAGAGAAGGGGTTTCACCATGTTAGCCAGGATGGTCTCAATCTCCTGACCTCGTGATTCACTCACCTCGGCCTCCCAAAGTGCTGGGATTACAGGCGTGAGCCACTGCGCCTGTTCCATTCATGAAATTTTTTAACACTTCTGATACTTAAAAAAACACACACTATCTCTTTTCCCCTCTAGAACATAACATATGCTTTTGCAGGAAAGTTAATTTTCAAATACAATTAAGGAAATACAATTAGCTACTCAAATTTAACTACTGTTTTTGATAAATTTTTTTGTTGATATATTTACACTGTATTTTATTTCCAGTATTTTATAGTCTGCTTTTGTCTGTAACACTGAAACATTATTTAAACTTATCAAAATTTTTAATGACTACATAACAGTTGACCTTTTCTATGTGTCATAATTCAGTGAAACTATTCTCTAGTTGTTAGACATGTAAATATTTTATAATTTGTAATTAGTACCATCAATTCTGTGATGGCCCTTGCACCATTCTTTATAATATCTTTAAGAAAATTTGTTAAAAGATTGTTATATCAAAAGGAATGATTTTTTTTTTATTCTTGATAATTCTTGCTTTCTAGAAAGGCTGTAATTATGTCCAGCAGTTAGTGTTCCTTCATTCATACAGCACAGCAAAGGCCAATTATCTATCAGGTACCATTCTTGGCATGTCATAGTGGGTAACAAAACAGACACTGTATCTATCACATAAGGAAGACAGACATTAGAAAATGCAAACAAATATATGTAAAAAAAACCCTACCAATTATGATTAGTACAATGAAAGAAAAAGAGAATTAGAATAATGGGGGCACTAGTATGTACAGGATGGTGAGGGAAGGTCTCTCTGAGGTGACGTTTAAGGATTGAAGGATGAGAAGGAACTAGCCAGAGGAAAGGGTTACTTACGTATGTGGTACCTAAGCAGGTGTGGACAGAAGAACTTTTCAAACAGAAGTTAAAACAAGAAGGCTCTGAAGTGGTAAATACCTGGGTTTATTCAAGAAGGCATTTGTGGGTATGGCATAATTCACAGGGGTACACTGGCAGGAAATGTGGTTGCAAAGACAAGTGGGGGCCAGGCACTGCAGGGTCTAGTTGCAGAAAAAATGCTCCTTTTATCTTTAAAAGGAAATTTCACTGAAGAGTTTAAAGAAGAGAGTGATGGTTTGACAACAGCAACATGAATGTTAGTTATGTGCCAAGTCCTCTACACAGGTTAATTTTACAGATGAGATGACTAAGGCCAGAAAGGCCTCAGCTGAACTGAGACTTTATATTAGCAGTTCATACTGGCTCATCAGTAGCAGAGCTGGGGTTCAAATACAGGGAGTATGGGTCCAGAATCCACCCTCTTAACTACTGCATTATACTGTCAGTGCACTGTCAACAACTGAGCACTACCATTTAATAGGAGAAATGGCATCTCCTACATTTCAATGTACAACTTTACTAATAAAATTGAACTTTTAAAAAATACATGTTTATACACACAAACTATGTAAGTGTATATTAAATTAACTACATCATTTGTGGTCTGACTTTTGGTTAGTCTTGGTGTTTTTCCAAATGGCTTTTATCATCTATTATTATTTCTTTTTCTAATACGTTCAAAAAGTTTTTCTGTTTTAATGTGCCTTTCAAACAACTGGTTTAAAGCAATATGTTTCTGCCTATTTGTACAATTCCCCATTATTTTAATATTGAGGTGTTTCAATTTGCAATGAATGTATATATTTCACTCAAGAGTCTCTACTTTCAAACTCTGTATTAAATAGCACAGTTTTCAACTTATGCTAACAGGAAAATAAAATTTTATTTTTAGTTTTCTATTACTGTGTTCTGAGAGATTAATGCAGACTTGTGTCTTTGTCAATACTTACCATGCATATCTTTATTTCTAGTACACACTGAACTTTCCTAGACACACACATTTTTGAGTGGTTATTTATTTGAAAAGTATACTCTCTTATATATCCCTAAATGCCACGTAACCTATTAAATTACATGGCTGTAATCTATAATTT
Organism: Homo sapiens; assembly: GCF_000001405.40. NCBI lineage: Eukaryota > Metazoa > Chordata > Mammalia > Primates > Hominidae > Homo > Homo sapiens. Next base: position 26,371,974 of record NC_000013.11, on the reverse strand, counting down.
TTGCTCATTCTTTATTTTTAAAATTTTGTCATAATCTGATAGAAAATGTCAAGTTATGGCCAGGCACGGTAGCTCATGCTCGTAATCTCAGCACTTTGGGAGGCTGAGGCGGGCGGATAACTTGAGGTCAGGATTTCGAGACCAGCCTGACCAACATGGTGAAACCCCATCTCTACTAAAAATACAAAAAAATTAGCTGGGCATGGTGGTGCACGCCTGTAATCCCAGCTGCTCAAGAGGCTGAGGCAGGAGAATCACTTGAACCCGGGAGGCGGAGGTTGCAGTGAGCCAAGATCACGCCATTGCACTCCAGCATGGGCGACAGGGGGAGACTCCGTCTCCAAAAAAAAAGTCAAGGTACACGTGTTTCTATTTCTTTTTGTACAATTGGCAAACTGAACAGACCATTAGTTCTCTGCTGTATTTTCACTACTTTAATCCTTCTGCTACAATATGTTTCAGTTTTTTGAAATAAACTATATCTGATAGTATGACGATAACTTCCATATTCCAAGAGACACAGGAGACTTCAGACTGATAGTTCTCCAACTTTCTTCTCCCCCTAAATATTGAGGAATATGATGAACTTCTTCAGAAGATGAGGAAATACAGTTAGGTGATTAAGAATAAAGCTGAAAAAATCAGGAATGTCATTAGCTATTAGTTATGTAAACTTAGCCTCCATTTCTTCATCTATAAAATGTTGTCAGACAGACTAAATGTGACTTATATGAAAGGCTTTAGCAAGATTCTTGATATATAAAAGTCCTAAATACATTATAATGATAATTAAGATGGCAGCTCACACTATAATCTGTTAACAATGATTCACTACCACAGTGACTCTTAAGTAAAAACTTCTGGGGCTGGGGGTTCAGGGGATGGGACTCATGCATGATTGGATAAGGCCCGCAAGAAGTTCATCTTGCGGGACTTTCTATACCACCCATGAGATGCCCCTAATTGCCTATGATCACTTTCTAGCTTCTAGTCTATGCCTAAAAAACTATTAGCAACATTTAAAAAAAAAATTAAACAAAAATAAACATTTCTTATAGAAAATCAAAACACAGAAAGCATACAGAAAGTGAAATTTAACTGAAATCCTACCTCACGAAGTTAGATCATTATAAACATTTTGTTGGACACAGTTCCAGATTTCTCTAAATCTGTATTTTTTACATGTAATATAAATATCTTATCAAGGCTCTTTTAATTCCTGTTTCTGGTTACTCAACAGTGAGTAAATCTCTTGGCCTCTCTCTCTGTATACATATAGAAACTGGTTTAGCAGTTGGATAGCACTACTGCATTTGTCCTGTTTTAATCAATCCTGTATCGTGACTGTTTATTTCTGAGCCAGAACTCTTTCAGAACACTGTTAAGTAACAGTGGTGCTAGAATATTGGAAGTATATAAAAGCTGCTGATTTGGGATATAAGATGAAACAGGGGATACATACTTTTGATGCTTGGAAGTTTCCTTTTCTTATTTTATTAAGAATTTCAACCAGAAATGAACACTGTTTCACCAGATATTGAATTTTGTGTTATATTTATGACTACTAAGATAATCATAGGGTTATCCACTCTGCACTATTAATAAGATGAATTTTGTTAAGAGGTTTCCAAATATGGAATCATCTGCACATTCTTAAAATGCACTTCACTGACTTAGACCTTAAGTTCACCCGGATCTTATTTGCTAATATTTTATTTAAGACATATGCTTAAGTATTTACAGGTGATAATGGTTTAGGGTTGTAGGCATTATCTTTATCAGGTTCTATGTCAGTGTTATGCTTTCTTCCTATAAAGTTATTAAGGAAATGTTCTTTCTTTTACACAACTCTAGAACAATTTATATAATGTAGGATTATTTGTTTGAAGGTTTGAAGCAACAGTGAAACTATCTGCATTTTGTACATTTCTTAGGGGTAGTCCTGTGACAAATGTCTTTCTTCCATAGTTATTGATCTACTTATTGACCTTTTCTAGGGCCAGTTGTGGTAATTTGTACTTTATTTTAAAATGTTCACTTAATTCAGTGTTCTATAGAGCATCTAAATAGCATAACAATTACTAAAGAAATTGAAATGATAGTCAAAAATCGTCCAACCGGCTGAGCATGGTGGCTCATGCCTGTAATCCCAGCACTTTGGGAGGCCGAGCTGGGTGGATCAGGAGGTCAGGAGATCGAGACCATCCTGGCTAACATGGTGAAACACCCTATCTACTAAAAATACAAAAAAAAAAAAAAAAAAAAGAAAGAAAGAAAAATTAGCCGGGCATGGTGGCAGGCACCTGTAGTCCCAGCTACTCGGGAGGCTGAGGTAGGAGAATGGCATGAACCCAGGAAGCGGAGCTTGCAGTGAGCGGAGATCACGCTACTGCACTCCAGCCTGGGTGACAGAGCGAGACTGTCTCAAAAAAAAAAAAAAAAAAAAAATCGTCCAACCTCAGTTCAGTGCACCACAATAAGAGTTTTACAGATGGACTTTTACTTTTTTTTTTTTTTTTTTTTTTTGAGACAGGGTCTCACTCTGTCACCCCGGCTGGAGTGCAGTGGTGCGATCTTGGCTCACCACAACTTCAGCCTCCTGGGATCAACGATCCTCCCACTTCAGCCTCCTGAGTAGCTGAGACCACAGGCATGCATCACCACACCTGGCGAATTTCTGCATTTTTTTTTTTGTAGAGATGGCATTTCACCATGCTGTCCAGGCTGGTCTTGAACTCCTGGGCTCAAGCAATCCTTCCAAGCAATCCTCCCACCTCAGCCTCCCAAAGTGCTGGGATTACAGCCATGAGCTGCCGCCCCTGGCTGACTTTTACTAACTTTCAAGGAACAAATAATTCCTATATTATACAAACTATTCCAGAGACTAAAAGCGTCTTCTGAGGCTAATAAAATCATGATAACAAAACAGGATAAAGGTAATATACGAACAGAAGATTACTGACCAAACTTACTTGTGAAAATAGACAAAACAAAGTATTAGCAAGCGGAATCTACTAGTGAATGAAAAAAAAACATCATGACAGTGTGTTGGTTCCACTGCAAGGAGGGTTCAACATTAAAAACAAAAGAAAACAATATAAATGTAATTTACCACATTAATGGATTAAAGGAAATAACCATATGATCATCCCAGAAGACGCAGAAAAAGCAATATTATTGATTTAGAAACAAACAACTTAACCAGGCACAGAAGGGAACATCTTTTACCTTTAACTAAAACCCCAAAGTAAATATCATATCTAATAGTGAAACTTAAGAATTCTCCTTAAAGACAGAAATAAGTCACTTCTATTATATTTGCCACTGTATTAGTGAATAAGTCCTAACCATTACTATATGACAAGAAGAAAATGCATTTCATGGATTCCAATTTTTACTTTTCTTTTTAAATCTTAGAATTTCTGAAAGCAAGATGTGTCTCAGCCTCCGTGGTGTGATAGTAAATTGGCAGCATGTTTTCTTTCTTAGTGGTACATAAAATAATGGTGCAGCTTTCACCACGGTAAAAAGACATTATACTGTACAATGTGTTTAGGAAAGATTTTGAATATATCAGTCTCCCAGGTGGGAAGATATTGAGGAATTTTAAATAGGGGAATGACACGATGTGATTTGGTTTTTAGAGAGATCATTTTGTTTGTAGTTATTAGATCAAACAAACACAAGACAACAAGAGAGGAAGATCACTGGGGAGTTTCTGCAGTAATCCAAGTGGCCTGAATTAGAGTAGTGGTGACAGAAACGGTGAGCAGCAAGACCATGAGGCAATTATTGGAGTCCGAAAAATTCGACTGTGTAAAATGTGGGGTCTAGCTAGGGGTAGGGTAAACAGATATTAATGAAATGGACAAGGTGAACCTCTACAACTAGCAATCCCAATGACCATCTGGGCAATCCAAATCCATTTCCCAGCAGCAGAAAATTCTGAAATCTCCTTGTAAGATGGCAAATGATTTATTGGATTGATCCAGGGACACTGGGCTAATAAGTCCAGAATCCCTGCCAAATCTGCCCTTCCTTTCATGGATTCCTCTCCTTGAAAATAAGCACTACAGTTGACTCTTCTTTGAGAAAAAGATACCAGGCAGATGATAAGGACCAATTGCCAATTGTGCTTTATTCGAATTTGAATTCCAATAAGGTCTCACTATAGCTGGATCTGAGATGTTTTGAAGGAAGAGCTAACAAAAAAATCTACTTATTCATTCAGTAAGCTATTTATAGGCATCCAATATGCACCGTGTAACATTCTGGATAGTGATGATATAGCAGTAAACAAAACGGATAAAGCTCTTAATCCTCATGTACTTAATATTCACAGGGCAACTTGAAAAGTGAAATGTACTTAATGAACATTTATTATGTGCCAGTCTTCACATCAATCTCTACCCAAAGGAAAAAACAAATAGGTCTGGCCCCATTTTATAGCTGAGAAAAGTGACAGACAGGTTAATGCTTCCCATGGTAACACAATTAAGTGGTAGAACAAAGATTCAAACAAATCTCAGGTCCACTATAACAGGGGCTTAATTTTTCCTCTTTGGCCCATGCTGATTAAAAAAAAAAAATTATTCAAGGATAGATAACCCAAGATTTTCTATCGCTTCCTACCATGTGCAACCCTTTCTTATTTTTCTTCTTAATTTCTCCTTTTGTTGTTCTTTATTTTGCTCTGCCTTTTATTTTTGGATCTCCCTTAGCCCCTCTTCAGCATCAAGGTTCAGACATTTGTTTTTGTTTTTTGTTTGTTTGTTTTTCAGACATTTGATTTTACCATCTAGTGTTAACCAGAAGGGGGGAAAAAAGAGAAGACCAATCAAGGAAGAGAGGGCCCAAAGGATGAGTATTAGGAATTCCAAATTTCTGACTCTACCTTCAAGGATTATAGCTGTGTAACAACAAGTTTACTCTAATAAGACAGAAAGTTAGCCATGATGGAAATGTTCGACCAGTGTCAGCAGGGTTGTCTGCCCCGCATATTACCAAGAATTACTATGGCAGCTAAGAGACTGGAATAGTCTGTTGCTGCTAAGATGCCTTCCAACTTTAAGGCCTATTAGTCTGTGAAATTAGGGAAAACAAAAAATGATCTTATTTCAAATGGTTCAAGATGTTTACATAAACAGATGTTAAATGAATTTTTAAAAATTAGCAATCTATCTTCCCAACTTCTATGTTTTTATTAAATAGGCATCTTAAACTACACTGACCTGAATTACAAGCCTGTCTGTGATCTGAAAAGACTGGAAATTAGAATAGAAATTGATTTTAGAAATTCACACATCTATTTGGGAACAGAGAGGAATCTTCAGAACACATACCTACTTAGAGTATTATACTTTTAGTAAGATAAAAATCTGGAGGCAAGTTATAAAAATTAAATAATAAAAAATAGATATAGGTCATATAACAAAGTGATCACTATTAAAAGGGAAGGTAAAATCCAGTTGTATTGGGGGAGTAGGAGACTTTAATAAACGAACATTTCTTTCAATAGTTAATTCAGTAACGGTTACTGATTTTACATCTAATTATATTGAGGAAACTTCTCATTGTATTAAATCTTAAAAAAAATATTGTATGTTGATTCAAACAAAATTTATAAAAATGTACACAAGAACTTGAACTTCTGGGTTGAACTGATTTTGAAATATGGCTCTCTGCTTGTGCTTGTTTCTGTAGGAAGACTTACTTTTGTTCTGTTATTTGACCATTTATCATTTGCTTGTATCCAGTAAAGAGATATGGTCGTCAAACTGAAAAAGATTTAATGAAAGCTTTATGTGGCCAATGGCACCAATAACTTAAAATAGGTTTAGATAACAGCTTTAGCTGAGATAAAAGAAAATCTTATCTAATATAGTCCATCTTTAAAGATTCAGGTACTTTTGCAAATCTTCAGAAGTCTGGAAAATAACTCTAAAACCTGACTCTATTACTAGAAAGTTAGACTGAGATATTAATTTTTATGGTTTTTTTTCACAGTATAATTCAGAGTATTCTGAAACTCTCTTTGGAAAGAGAGAGTTTCTTGGTATTGTGATATATTTGTTTTGCTAATGTGAAAGTCCAAAGGTCAAAAGAGAAAAACTGAGGGGTCACCATTAATATCGTATTAAATCAAGTAATAGCTTATATAAGACGCAGGCAGAGATATGAAAAATTCTTGTCTCCCTATCTGTCCAGGTTTTTGGAAACACACTGCTGTGGATGATAGTATATTTTGTTTATAAAAATGGGAGGAGTTATGTAAAATACATAATGATGTATTACATCAATTACGTTATGAATGGAGAAAAACTCAGATAACCCTCTACTTCAAGTCAACTTCCATGGTCACACAAAAACATCTTAAAGAAACTCCATTTAAAACAAAATCTTGATGAGATAATTTAGAATAACCATTCTTGATTGGTGAGATGTCTAAGTAATATGCAAACCAAACGACATAATATTTTTATCAACTTGTAACCTACCCATATAAACATATATGCTATTTGCAATTGTGACATTTAATAAAATGAAGTGGGCCACTTTTTTATTGATAAATAATAAAACAGTACATTGTGCATGCTCAGTATAATAATTAAGCAAATGTGGCATGTACCCAAAAGCCAAATGGGTTGTTTATAATCAGTTTACAGAAGGAAAACTGTCCAGCTGGTCATTTAAGTAAGAATACTTTAGAATAAGCACAATAGTCACAATGTTAACTGAAATTAATGCAAATCTCATTTAAATTTGCCTTAATCAGTTGTTACCAAACCCATGTTTTATCTGCAAGCCTAAATTTTATGGTTGCAATCTTATGTGTTTTATTAGCTACCCAATTAAACAAGGTACAATTAGAGTAAATCCTTGGAGTTCCCAACAAACGAAGCAAATCTCAAGTCATGAGTAATAATTAAACCTGACAACTAAAAGCATTTTTCCTTCAAAAAGCTCTGTTTTAAACACGCTTAACAGGTTCCCAACTCTCATTTCAAGGAAGCTACTACAGCACAGATAAGGAAAAATAGTGGCAACAGATGTCTAGAATGCAGACTCCTCTCTTTCCCACTGTTCCATGACTACTGCTCTGCCCCTCTTTTAGTCTATGGGTAATTTCAGGGTCCTTTCCGCTTGCTTTTTCTTTTCTGAAGAATTTACTAATGCCTCTTTTTAGAAAGAAAGAAAGTGTATATATGGCTATTTTAAAAATAACAATCGCCCTTTACCAACATAAAATATACTAAACCACAATGAACATTACATGTGAGCTTTAATAACACATTAAATAAACATTTTCTTCAGTTTTATGATCCAGATTAAAACACTTTTTTCCCTCTGATTGTAACAATAAGGTATGTTAACTACAAACTATTCCAACAATTTGAAAGGTATAGAAGGAAGAAACTGAAACTTTCCTTAAATTCTACTGATTATATAATCCCTCCTAACCGCTATTCAAAATGATTTTATTACCAATGTCAAAAAGCTTGCAAAAAACATTAAGTTTCTATAATTTGGGCCTAAGAATTTTCTAGTGCAAGGGCTTCCAAAACTTTTTCAACACAACCCACAGTAAAATTTAATATTATGTGACACATTTAATATTACATGACAATAATGACAAATATACATAACTGAATCAAAAGTTTCATGAAACAGTAATTACCCTTAACATATATGATGCACTCTCATATTTATTCTAATTCATTAAAAACAACAACAAAAAAACTGATTGTGTCGTGTGTTTTCCTGATTCGTTTATGGCTTATAATCTGCAATTTAAAAATCACTGAACTAGAGGAAAAATCCTAAATTCGGTAGTCCAGCTTTGCTACAGTTCTCTGAATAACCATAATGAAGTCATTTAGCCTCTTTGCTTCTCAATTTTTCCACTTACTAGTAGTAGAGTTGAGCAGACAATAAGAAAATACACCTCAAACAAAAACAAAAATGTCATATAACCATGAGCAAACATTAGTATTGGTAAGTAAAACACATTAGGTGTTTTTTCACTTTGTCACTCAAATAAAAAGAATCAGACCCAAAATGCCTTAATAATTCATCATGCTATCAATACACAATAAGATGCCTTGATAAAGTGTGCCCTATGAAACTGAGTTTGAGTCAATGGCTCCCTCCAAGATTTTAATCTTATTTAACAGTTGCTAGGAAACCAACATATCCTTCACCAAGGACACATGAAGTCCCACTTAGTGATTCCAAATTACCCAGTATAATTAAAATAAACTGCAGGACAGCAACACTATCAGATTTAAAAAGTAATAATAAATCAGGCTGGGCAAGGTTGTTTGTGCCTGTAATCCCAGCACTTTGGGAGGCCAAGGCAGAAGAACTGCTTGAGCCCAAGAGCCCAAGAGTTTGAGACCAGCCTGGGCAACACAGCAAGACCTCATCTCTACCAAAAACAAACAAACAAAAAAAAGCTTATTTTTTCCAAAATAAGCTTTGAAGTGAGTAGCATACCTCTACTGAAACACTCCCCAAATCTAGAGATTTTCTAGAAAGTTTTACTATGACATTAAAAATCACTATTTTGAATTAGTTAAGAGCAGGAGTGGCCAACCGACGATGGCTGCAATAGTTGAAATACTCCAAATTTCTTTTTTTTTTTTTTGAGATGGAGTCTTGCTCTGTCACCCAGGCTGGAGTGCAGTGGTGCGATCTCGGCTCACTGCCAGCTCCACCTCCCAGGTTCACGCCATTCTCCTGCCTCAGCCTCCCAAGTAGCTGGGACTACAGGCTCCTGTCACCGCACCTGGCTAATTTTTCCATTTTTTTTTTTTTAGCAGAGATGGGGTTTCACCGTGTTAGCCAGGATGGTCTCGATCTCTTGACCTCGTGATCCACTCACCTCAGCCTCCCAAAGTGCTGGGATTACAGGCGTGAGAAATACTCCAAATTTCTATACAATCTTGTAATTGAACTTGAAAATTAAAAAAAAAAAAAAACTACAATGAAAAGTTATAGTATATCTCACTCAACATTATATGCCATTTAGTAAAACAGGACTACAATACACACTGTGTGCCTGCTAGTTCCAAGTTAACTACTACTATGATAAAATCATTAAGGTAACTATTAAAATGAAATTTTGGATATCACATATTTTAAAACAAGGAAAACATTAATGACCATATGAAAATTTGATATAGACTGTGACGGTTGATTTAAGGTGTCAACTTGACTAAAGAATACCCAGATAGCTGGCAAAGCATTATTTCTGGGTATTTCGGTGAAGGTGTTTCCAGAAGAGACTGGCATTTGAAACAGTAGACTAAAGTGGAAAGATCCACCTCCAAGTAACGTACATAGATGGACACCATCTTATTAGGTGAGGGCCCAGATGGAACAAAAAGGCAGAGGAAAGGCAACTTCTCTTTCCTCTGGAGCTGGGATACCTTTCTTCTCCTGCTCTTGGAAATCAGAACTCTCCATTCTCTGGCCTTTGGACTCTGGGACTTGTACAGTAGCTCCCCAGCTTCTCAAACCTTTGGCCTCTGACTGAGAGTTATGCCATCAGCTCCCTCATTCTCAGGTCATCTGGATTTAGACTGAACCATGCAACCAGCTTCCCTGTTTCTTCAGCTGGCAGTTGGCATATCATGGGACTTCTCAGCCTCCATAATTGCATAAGCCGATTCCTCTAGCAAATGCTCTGTCATTCATCTATCTATCCATCCATCCATCCATCCATCCATCCATCCATCCATCCATCCATCTATCATCTATCATCCACACATACATCTACCTATCTATCCTATTGACTCTGTTTCTCTGGAGAACTCTAATACATGTACTTTACAAAAATTAATGGCTACTAGGCCAGTCATATAACTACTACTCTACTTTCAATTAATTTTCTTAGAAAATACATCAAAACCAAGTCTTTAATACTTAGATGTTGATTTAGTATAAATCATTCCTATGGTCTGATACAGCTTTATGAATACTTTCAACAAAAAGCATAAAACACAGCCAATAATAAGTGCATTAGAAAATTAATTTACAAAATGGCTGTGTGTGGTGGCTCAGGCCTGTAATCCCGGCACTTTGGAAGGCTGAGGCAGGACGATCTCTTGAGCCCAGGAGTTCAAGACTAGCCTGGGCAACACAGTGACACCCTGTCTCAAAAAAAAAAAAAAAAAAAAAAAAAAAAAGGGAAAAGAAAAGAAAGACAAAAAGAAAATTACTTAAAAAATGAAAGCAGTCCCAAAATGAGCAACTATAAGCTAGAAATTAGAGATGATCTCCAACTTACAATGGCGTGACTTATAATTTTTTGGCTTTTAAGATGATGTGAGAGTAATATGCATTCAGTAAAAACTGTACTTCCAGTACCCATACAACCATTGTTTTTCATTTTGAGTGTAGTATTCAATAAATCACATGAGATGCTCAACAAATTTATTATAAAATAGGCTTTGTGTTAGATGATTTTGCCCAATTGTAGGTTGACTGAAGTGTTCTGAGCATGTTTAAAACACACTGAACTCATCTCTGATGTTTGGTAGTTTAGGTGTATTAAATGCATTTTAGACTTACAATATTTTCAACTTATGAGGGGTTTATCAAGATGGAACCCCACTGTAAGTCAAGGAGCATCCATAAATATATTATGACAAGTAATAGACTGGTCAGTTAAATGCAATGTAAAAGTGAAATAGAAGAGTTCCAAGTTCAGAACAGTTGGTATGTTTAGAAGAAGGTAGGCATTGCCATCTTATTTGCAATTAAAGAATTTACTCAGAAGGAACCTTAAGATGTTTTTGAATAAAGTGAGGGATGTATATTAACTATGATAGTAATGTTCCAACCTTAAGATTAAAGAAAAAATTTGAGAAAAATAAGTGACATAAAGAGAACATCAGAACACATAGGAAAAGGGTCAGCAAATAGGTTTCACTGAGTGAAACAAAAATATTGCGTATAAGAAGAGAGCAATAAAAGAGATCAATAGGTCAATATCATTAGTTGAATGGTCTTTGAACTGACTAGTAAGAGCTGAGTTCTTCTGAGTAGTAAGAGGGAAGCAGCTGAAAGGATTTAAAATGCAGACGGATGGGGGGAAGCTTTTGTGCACCACTTCACTGCAGTAAATCATAGTAGAGGTAAAAGGGTAGTAAAAAGAAATGCAAAAGGATATGCATGTGTCTGTAGATATGCATAAGCATTAGGTAAAATCAGAAATAACCTTGGAAGCCACTTTGTTTCTGTTACAAGTAAGCTAGTTCATTCATTCAACAAACATGCAATATTGTATACACAAATTGTGTATTTTGGTAGGCAGTGGGAGGCATACAAACACAGAGTAAGACACAGTCTTTGCCCTCAGGAGTTTATAATCAAATAGATTACCATATTACCAAAACTAGTAAGTGGCCCATGGGTGGTTCAAAGTAGCTGTAATAGGATTTTAGATATAAACATTCTCATTTTCAGCTAGGGTGACTAGAGAGAGTTTAATTTCGAGCTATGAAGATGAAGGGATGAGGGGATTCAAGCAGGCAGGGCAACCTCTGAGTTGGCTGGAAAATTAGCTTAAGGAGTAAGATAGGGAAAGAAAAGAAGATTGGAGCTGGACTACATATCAGTCTTCACTTAGATTCACAAATACCAGCATATTTGACAATGTGTTTCAATTTTCTTTTTGTAGAGACAGAGTCTCACTATATTGCCCAGGCTGGTCTCTAACTTCTGGCCTCAAACAATCCTCCTACTTTGGCCTCCTAAAGTGCTGGGATTACAGGCATAAGCCATCATGCTTTGCCTCAAATTTTTAATTTATCACAGAATTCTTCCCAGTAAAAGAAATATTAACTGACTTTGAAATTTATTTCACAAACTGAATGAGAAAAGCATTCCTTTTTTAAGTTTTATAAAAAATAGTTTGAAGTTCTACTGAAATCAGTTCTACTGAAAGAGGCCAGGCCAGGTGCAATGGCTTATGTCTGTAATCCCAGCACTTTGGGAGGTCGAGGTGGGCAGATCTCTTGAGGTCAGGAGTTCGAGACCAGCCTGGCCAACATGGCAAAACTCTGTCTCTACTAAAAATACAAAAATTGGCCGGATGTGGTGGTACACGCCTGTAATCCCAGCTACTTGGGAGGCTAAGGCAGGAGAATCACTTGAACCTGGGAGGCAGAGGTTCAAGTGAGCTGTGATCATGCCATTGCACTCAAGCCTGGGCAACAGAGTGATGACTCCATCTCAAAAAAAAGAAAAGAAGAAAAAAATGAGGCCACATAGCTGCAGTTAGTGAAGTTGTCTAGATGCTCTCAAAATGGTCACAACACAGGCTTCAGTAGTGAAAAACCGCTCATGCCCTTGCCCATGTGTTTTAACTCTATCTAGAAAGGAGGACCACTTTTTCAGAAACAGTTCAGATACCATTGCCAAATCAAAACTGGGCTTCTACACAAACAGTATCAATACAACTTTGATGCATCATGTCTTGTTATTTGACTGTGCTAAGAAAAATTACCAAACTGAATCCAATCAGGCTAGCAGACTTCAAACTTTTCCTTATTATGAATCACTTAAACATATTTTCTCCCGATGTCTTTTATTGTGGTAAAATACACGTAACATAAAATTTATCAACCATTTTAAGTGTACAGTTCAGTATTAAATGCACATTCATAATGCTGTGCAACCACCGTACATCTCCAAACTCTTTTCATACTCTGCATCCATTAAACAGTAACGTCCCGTAACTGCTCCTCCCCTCAGCCCTGGCAACCACCATTCTACTTTGTCTCTATGAATCTGACTACTCAGGTACCTCATGAAAGTGGAATCATATGGTACTTATCCTTTTGTGACTAGCTTATTTCACTTAGTATAATGTCCTCAAGGTTCATCCTTGTACATATGTCAATTTTCTTACCCAAAAGAAATTTTGTAATTTTTATTTTACAGACAGAGTCTTACTCTGTTGCCCAGGCTGAAGTGCAGTGGCACAATCACAGCTCACTGCAGCCTCAAACTCCTGGACTCAAGTGACCCTCCCACCTCAGCCTCCCAAGTAGCTGGGACCACAGGTGCATGCTACCACACCCAGCTAATTTTTGCTTTTGTGGATATGAGGTTTCACTATGTTGCCCAGGCTGAGAAGTTCCTTCCTTTTTAAGGTTGAATAATATTCTATTGTATGTACATACCCCATTTTGTTTACCCATTTATCCACTGATGGACACTTGGGTTGCTTCTACCTTTTGGCAAGCTACTGTGAATAATGCTGCTATGAACATGCATATACAAATACCTCTTTGAGACCCTGCTTTGAATTATTTTGGGTATATACCAAGAAGTGGAACTGCTGGATCATATGGTAATCTTATTTTTAATTTTTTTAAAAACTGCCACAGTGTTTTCCACAGCAGCTGTATTATTTTACATTCCTGACAACGGTGTTAGAAAGTTAAATGTATCTTTACTTGTTTTCACAGTATTTCCCACTTAGTCCCTTCTTTATAATACGAGGTAAAAATTCTTAGAATGCCTTAACTCAATACTCCTATTTTAGTAACAGCAGGGAGAGAGGGGGAAGAGACAGGGCAAATAACTTACCTCACATTATTTTAACTTGTGCTTCTTGTTTATTCACTTGTATAGGATGACTTTTTTATTTTTTATTTTTTTTTGAGACGGAGTCTTGCTCTGTTGCCCAGGCTGGAGTGCAGTGGCGCGATCCCAGCTCACTGCAAGCTCTGCCTCCTGGGTTCACACCATTCTCCTGCCTCAACCTCCCAAGTAGCTGGGACTACAGGCACCCGCCACCATGCCCAGCTAATTTTTTTGTATTTTTTTTAGTAGAGATAGGGTTTCACCATGTTAGCCAGGATGGTCTCAATCTCCTGACCTCATGATCTGCCCGCCTCCCAAAGTGCTGGGATTACAGGCGTGAGCCACCATGCCCAGCCAAGGATGAATAATTTGATGTGTAAATTTGGCTGGACCATAGTGCCCAGATGTTTGGTCAAACATTATTCTGAATGTTTCCGTGAATGTTTTGTTGGATGAGATTAACATTTAAATCAGTGGACTTTGAGTAAAACACATAAGGACTATCCTTAACATGGATATGCCTCATCGAATCAGTTGAATGCCTTCATAGAACAAGACTGACCTCCCCTGAGCAAGAAGGAATTCTGCCAGCAGACTGTCTTTGGACTAGAGCTAAAACTTTTTCCTGGGTCTCCAGCCTGTAGCCTGCTCTGCAGATTTTGGATTTACCAAGCCTCCACAACTGCATGTGCCAATTCCTTAAATAAATCACTCTCCATCTATGTATAAACACCTTGTTGGTTCTGCATCTCTGGAGAACCCTAAGCAGTATAGATGGTAATACCAGAACCAGGACTATAGTAGACTGGTAGTCAAACTATTTTCCCTTCCCAAGGAGAGAAAGAGAATAAACAAAGAAAAGGGAAGAGAGTCATCAAGGGAAGGAGCAAAGCTAACTTAACAGACATAACTTTGTTCTTATTTACCTCTAGTGGACACAGACAAGTGTATAAGCAACAACTTACATATACATATTTTAATGTTCTAAAACTAAAAAGTTTGGTTTGGATCAATGAATTACTTCACAAAATAAATACTGCTTATGTTTCTTTTCTGGTCCATATTTCTTAAAACACCCATACATTTACACTGATTACGACTCTCAGCTCAAAAAGATTTCCAGAATTAATAAATCTCTATTTTCCCACCAAGGATGCCGGATTTCAGCTACTGATCTGCTTCTATGTGATAATTAATAGCAACCAAATAAATCATTATTTATTAAATAGGACTGTTAATTTTAAAAGCTCAACTATACATATCAAAGAAATTCATAACTCTACCATCTCAAACCAGTATTTCTATTAATTAATAAAGCCAATTTTATTAAACAAAGACATCAATAACATTCCAGAGTATTATTAAAATGGTGTTTTTAGGGTGTCTGTGCCAATTATCCACCTTAATATGAAGTTTCTTGTGGCATGTCAGCCAACTGGTCCAATTCATAGCATTAGAAATCTATGAAGAGAGTTAAGGTCAGCATTATCACATTTGATCTAAATCTGACTAAACAGGGGTAAAGAATATAATGAACTATTAATTTTTGTTTTGATAGGGTAAATATTTCATATGCAAGTAACAACAAATATTTGAGAAAAAATGTTAAAAAAGTTATGTGATACAGCTTCTGAACAATGTTCTTGAGAGTTAATATCATATTACTACATACATTAGAATCATATGTAGCTATTGTTCAAACACTATAAACATTAAAACTTTAAAACTTTTTCAGTTGGCAGGAAGGTGTTCACATTTTAAAATGTACATATATGGTAAATGAGATTTTTCTTCAGAAATTGAAGAATTTGAAAGGTGGGCATCTGAACCAGTAGGATCTAGATTAGAGGCAAAGGCTATCATTTTCATGAAACAATGGTTCAGTGGACTTCTGCGTGCGTGAGACACACAGAAGGGTCAGACGTTTATAAAGAACACTAAGTCATGCACAGAAAATATGGGAAATCTCACTCAAATATGGAAATCAAAGAAGATAGCAGCAGACACTGCAGAACTTTTTGGATTAATAAACTTTAAATAATGGCAAGAGGGATGGAGGAGTAAGAGTGATTTGCCTCACCGTAGAGAAATATTTTATTACTGAAATTGTTCAGAATTGCCAGCATATAGTGACAATAAAAAGCAACTAACTTTTAATGTGCTTTATTATTATTTTTAAATCATCTACAGATAATGCATCCCTTGTTGCCTATATTAGGGGGCACCAATCCTTCCACTTTCCACCACTTAGTACACCACTAACAGACAGAGCCTTCTGAAATGATCTGTTCTATACTACCCCTATGTCAAAGAGAATCTACTTAAGATGCATTAGCAGGAAGAGCTTTACCATAAGAGAGATAAAAGAAACTCGGTATCATAATTTTCACTACCATACTTAATACTAATCTAAGTGGCTTAAGTATATTTATATTATTACATGAAATTTAAATATTGGTTTTAAAAACCAGTCTGTATTTACCTAATATACATATGTATTTCAAGTGAAAAAAAAATTTACAAGAAAAAGAAAATGTAGAGCTATCTTAGCATAACTGACTCTACGGGGAAAAAAATGTCCTTAAGCCACAGTTTTTTCTTTTAGAGATCATAAAAAGGACTGGTAGCTCAAAAGTAGAAATGTTTTTCCCTAACTTGACTCCACCCCAATGGCCAAAATTTATTTTGAGCTTCACAAAATGCCAAAGGATTTGTCTTATTTCTGTTATGTAAATCTATTTTTTGTTTTCTTTTATTTTTTAGAGATGGAGTTTCGCTCTGTCGCCCAGGCTGGAGTGAAGTGGCGCGATCTTGGCTCACTGCAACCTCAGCTTCCTGCGTTCAAGTAATTCTCTGCCTCAGCCTCCCGAGTAGCTGGGATTACAGGTGCCCACCACCACACCCAGCTAATTTTTTGTATTTTTAGTAGAGACGGGGTTTCACCATCTTGGCCAGCCTGATCTTGAACTCCTGACCTCGTGATCCACCCGCCTTGGCCTCCCAAAGTGCTGGGATTATAGGCATGAACCACTGTGCCTGGCCTGTAAATCTATTTTTATAAGTGAAATATTCTAACTGTATTAAAAATAAAAGTTTGCATAAAGAAACAAGTTCAACCAAATTTCTGCTGTTACTGGTCCTAGTCTAAATGCTTTGTAGGTATGAGAACTGGAGATAAAGTAACTAACATCAAATGTACTACAAGGCAATTCCCTAAAGCTAGAAGAAAGAAGTATAAACTGTGCCACTGGAACAGCACATTGAAGGCCAGAGACTAAATCCACTAAATTTGTGAAGAACATCTTTGCGAGAGACCAGATGGGCTCCGCCTCATAGCCTACAGGATATTTCCTTTGTATACAGGTGATTAGAGACAAAATAATCACTTTTAGCATTGTGTTTATATTTGTTTGAAATGAAGGTGCCTTTATAAACCTTATTATATAGTTACTATCTTTACAAAGAAAAGAACTATAAAAGCAATGTAATTATGTAGTAAGAAAGGGCAATTTGAAGTTTAGGTAATTTAAATCCATGAAAATTTAATGAATAATAATATGCTAGACCAGCAGTCCCCAACCTTTTTGGCATCAGGGACCAGTTTCATGGAAGAAGTTTTTCCACGGAGCGGGGTGGGAGGGGATGGTTTCAGTATGAAACTGTACCACCTCAGATCATAAGGCATTAGCTAGATTCTCATAAGGAGCGTGCAATCTAGATCCCCCGCATGTGCAGTTCACAATAGGGTTCTGGCTCCTATGAGAATCTAATGCTGCCACTGATCTGACAGGAGGCGGAGCTCAGGTGGTAATGCTCACCCACCGCTCACCTCCTGCTGTGTGGCCTGGTCCCTAATGAGCCATGGACTGGTCTGTGGCCTGGGGGTTGGGGACCCCTGTGCAAGATGGGTGAAAAAAGGCATAAATGACTTTGCAACGTAAAATTAAAAAGTCAGTTTCTTAAGTTTTTAAATTCTCAAAAGTTCAATGCACCTGAACACAGCAAGGCTTCTAATAATATACTTCAATTATGATTAATAAAGGTGATTGGCCAACAGACTGCTAATATAGAGGGGCTTAAAATATAAGCATATTGAATTAACATTTTCCTTTTCTAATATGTAAATTAGTATGCAGTAGGCTCCCAAAATTTTATTTTCAAGTTATTATAAATATATAAATTTCTACAGTTGGCCTTGTATCTAATAATCAATTTAAAGCAAGCCAATGCTTTATTTATGAACTTAAAAGGAAACAGAAGCTTAGGAACACAAATGTCTCTTCTTTCACTTTGAAATAAATACCATCTAGTGTATGTCAGAGAAGCAGGAGGCATTATATAAAAACACTACTAGGCCATGTTTTGAGAAGGTAGCATTCTCACTACTTCTATAAGGTTTGCAGGCCTACATATAGCACTGGTATCTACAGACGACTAGAAAAGTATCCAACTGTAATGCATCTTTCTAGTTTAAACCAATTACAGGTCAACTTACCAAATCTCTGTGCAACACCCAGTTAGCATGCAGGTAGTGAATACCATCTAGGATCTGATATAATAGTGACTTCACCATTCCCCGAGGTAACTGAACTGGCTTCTTGTTTGCTTTAGAAGCTCTGTGAAACTTGATTATATGCTGAAAGAAAGAAAAAAATATCAACAGAAGCTTAAAAAAAGGAAAAGATAATTTGATGTATAATATTTTCCTAACAGAAAAAGAAACACTCAGGGATTCCCATAGATATTGAAAATATAATTTCGTACTCTGCTGAATAACATAAACAACTTTAAAATTCCCTAATAACTGGGGCTAAAATTCCATTTCCTACCCATATGACAGCATTTCAGGAGATAAATTATCACAATAGGGAATCAGAAAATATTGTGCTTTTATTTTTAAAGCATAATTAAAAATCAATTACTTTCAGAGTATACTTGATTCCTGTTTATCTGGTAGATAAAATGAAAAAAAAAAAAGAACAAAATTCAAGAGATACTTCTGGCTGGTTGACATAGCATAGAATTAGAACCTATTTATGACACAGGTTATAAAGAAAGCAAGTGGGGAGATGCTTCAATAAAATACACACAAGCACAAAGAAATGATATACCAGTTCACAATGGAAAAATGTAAAAATGGGAAAGATTCTGAGGAAAATAAAAACTGCCTTGTACCATCCATCAAAGCTTTCTATGTATAATGTTGTTAGACATCCAGTAAAACAAAGCACAACTTTATACATAGAAAAATTACTTTATGAATAAATGTGCCTTACAAGTTTTTTCTTGAAAAGTTTCAAATGCTCTTGATAGGACTCATTTTCTTAATTAGATCACTCTTAAATTGCAGGAAAATCTATAACTCGGCTGCAGTAAACTATGCCTTGCACACCACTGTACATATCCCTGAACCTAATATTGCACAGAGCAGACCCTTGGCCAATACATGTAAGTAAATATTAAGCATGTTCTTGAAATTAGTAGACATAATAAAAATAAGAGATATTTAACATTATAAGTTAACATTTTCACTTGCTATTTTCTTATGATATACAGAATATGACACAAGTAAGGAATAACTAATGATTAATGAATAAAGGAGCTTTACTCTCCAAGGTAAAAATATATAGCAAATATCTACGAGAAGGTAAAGTGTAGCAGTTTGCACATATGTAGTATGACTAATCTAAATTAGCAGCATTAATCTACTTTAATTTTCTTCTCAGTCTTTTTTTCAAAGTATTTAATAGCAGGCAAACAAAACAGAGCTACAACAATTTAATAATCTAGGCTGTTTTGTCACCTGTCCTAAAATATGATGTGACAATCAAGTCTGTTCTCCTTAAGAAGAAGATTCTTGGGCCGGGCATGGTGGCTCACGCCTGTAATCCCAGAACTTTGGGAGGCTGAGGCGGGTGGATCACGAGGTCAGGAGATCAAGACCATCCTGGCTAACACGGTGAAACCCCGTCTCTACTAAAAAATACAAAAAATTAGCCGGGAGTGGTGGCAGGCACCTGTAGTCCCAGCTACTCGGGAGGCTGAGGTAGGAGAATGGCGTGAACCTGGAAGGCGGAGCTTGCAGTGAGTGGAGATCCTGCCACCGCTCTCCAGCCTGGGCGACAGAGCGAGACTCCATCTCAAAAACAAACAAACAAAAAAAACAAGAAGAAGATTCTTTGGCTCTCTCCAAGCTTAATAAAAACAGGTAAAATAAATATAAATAAAAATAAAATAGGTTAATTTTTTGAAAAAAAAAAAATTAAAACTCTGCCGCAGTAAGAATCAAAGGAACAAATATGTAGGAGAGGTAAGGTAATTAATCAATTTCATATATATTTCTTCATGTACACTTTCATTAGAGTATTACAAGTGACTTTTTTTACCAATGTTTTAAAATGACAAATCCTACTGTCATTTTCTTTATATTCCAGGGCTACATAACAAATGCAAAATATACATACCATGAAATCTCACCAACGCCTAAGTGATTTTTAAAAATAACTATTTTTATTGCGACTGCCTTGTTACCCTCTGCTGCCTAACCCCTACCAATTCACTTCAACATTCCAATTAAAATAGATAAAGGAGTGGGTTTTAGTAGGCTAAATTATCATTTGTTTTTTATGAAAATGAACATTAAAAATATTTATTTGGCTTAAATATTATTAAGATGATGATAAAGCTAATGAACTAGTTATATGCACTGTACAATATTACCCACAATAAAATTTGCTGAAGTATAATCATTGTACCTACATGTAAAATTAAATATTACAAACTAGCAGCTAGAAATCACATTGAGTGAAATATTATACTATCTTCTATGCTCTACTGTGGTTTATCACAAATCTTGTTTATAAACCAGCCTGGAAAATGCCTTAAGTTTAAATTATATGACTTTATTTCTTATGAGGCTCAGCATAGTGAGTGTTCAATTTAATACTGGCCACGCTGATTTAACAGGGTTGATCTGATTAGATTTCTTTTAAAATAGAAGAACAGAAGAACCAAAGATTTAAAAAAAAAGAAGAAATTAATAACCAGCATGAACTTTGGAAAGAGTTTCATAAAAGAGAGAAAATTTCATGTATACATAATAAAAAGCATAGCCATGCTAATTTAGTAAATATAGATTAGTATGCAAATCAATACAATGTTTAAAGACATTATTAAATATCATTTAAAAA
Organism: Homo sapiens; assembly: GCF_000001405.40. Taxonomy (NCBI): domain Eukaryota; kingdom Metazoa; phylum Chordata; class Mammalia; order Primates; family Hominidae; genus Homo; species Homo sapiens. The sequence goes on along the minus strand of NC_000013.11, from coordinate 26,351,185 downwards.
GCAGTTCACAGGAGTATAGTAATTCTTAATGAATTAACACAAGGTAATGTTAGATGTTTAGTTTACTTGTTTCTTAAACTATAATCTGTATTAACAGATGTTCTCTATACAGATTGATAAGAATGTCAATTTTGTTACTATGTTTCAAAATTACTTTGGCTATCCTATTATAGATTTTCTATATATATATCTCAAAGTTTTATCTGCAAGGTAACGTTTCAGATTTTTAAAAAATATATAAATGTTATATTTAATAAAAGAGCAAATTTTATAGTTACCTTAGAGTTCCTCAAATACCAATTTAAAAAATAATCTGCTTAGTAAACTGCAAAATACTGAGGCTGGTGTTTGTATTTCAGCTACTCAGACAAGATAAAATTAAGTTCTTATTTTACAGTAATTTTTTTCAATATAGCATCATTTTCTGCAATGCATTAGATAAACTAATAAACTGGCTGGGCTCAGTGGCTCAGGCCTGTAATCTCAGCACTTTGGGAGGCCGAGGTGGGCAGATCACCTGACATCAGGAGTTAAGAGACCAGCCTGGCCAACATGGTGAAACCCTGTCTCTACTAAAAATACAAAAATTAGCCGGGCTGGAGTGCAACAGTGCAAACAGGACCCACTGCAGCCTCGACTTCCTGAGCTTCAGCCCCATGAACAGCTGGGACCACAGCATGTGCCACTGAGCCCAGCTAATTTTTTTTATTTTTTGCAGAGACAGGGTCTTGCCATGTGACCCAGGCTTGTCTCAAACACTTTGGCTCAAGTGATCTTCCTGTCTTGGCCTCCCAAAGTGTTGGGACTACAGGTGTGACCCACTACACTTGGCCTAAAACTATTCTTATCATAGGTCAGAAAACAAAGAACTAAAAGTCCCAAGAGATATTAAAATTTATTTTCACACGAATCTTATTTTGTAATAGAGCTCTCATCCACAAAAAATTCCTCCAATGCAAGATTATGCCCAATTCAAGTAAGTACAATACAGTCATGCATCACTTAATGAAGGGATACATTCTGAAAAATGTGTCGTTAGGCAATTTTGCAGTTGTGTAAACATCACAGACTGTACTTACACAAACCTAGATGATAGACTCTACTACAAACCTAGGCTATATGTTATAGCCTCCTGCTCCTAGGCTACAAACCTGTACATGTTACTGTACTGAATAAGGAAGGCAATTGTGACACAATAGTAAATAAGTGTGTTATCTAAACATATGTAAACATAGAAAAGGTACAGTAACAATATGGTACTATAATCTTAGGAGACCACTATCATATATGCAGTCCCTAGTTGACAATAACATTATATGGCGCATGACTATACTGTATTGAACTACTGCCACTGAAAATAAGAATTAGGATATTAAATTCAATTGTGAATAGTTAATAATTAATAACAGTTTCCTACATTTGTATATTTATAAAACTTTTCAAATACAAGATTGTTCCTCAGAAAAACGTTGTTAAAAAAGGCAAGAAAGTATTACATTTTACAGATGGGGTAAACTACAGCTTCAAAGCCATTAAAAGACTTGCTTAATGCTATACGACAAATAATGGTAGAACTATTAGATCTCTCCAAAGATAGCATATTCGTCCTCCTACATGAGGATACCACCTTCTCATTTTATGTTCCCTTTATACAACGAAATAAAAGGAAATATGCTACTTTTCTATTTTAGAGCAAAATTTTATATATATTAGTTACTTTTTATTTTATCAAAAAACTATATGAAGCAATATTGAATAGTTGTTGAACACTCTTTAGATTCTATTGTTTTCTTTAGTATCTGTTAAAAGATCAAAGTGACAATATTGAAAAGTAATAATACAAAGTCAAATACTCTAGCCTTCGTCATGCCACCAACCACACTCTATGAGGTTACTTTTATTTTAAAAACATAAGTCTCATAATAAGCAGAACACCTAACTGTTTTTAGTTACTCTTAACAATCCCTGACTGTTTGCTCATGTCTGCCAGCAATTCACCTTACCCAGAGGTCATGTTCAGCATAGTCAAACAGAAGCCACACCTTCCTATCAGCATGAGACAGAAACACCTTTTGAAGAGAAATGACGTTTGGATGCTTAAGCTCTCGAAGTAACTGCAAAACAAAGGAGATGCATTAACTATTTCTGTCACAAAAATAATGTAAAAAACCCCACACCATTTGTAATTCAAAGGCAATACAAACCCACAGGTAAACAATCTTAAACATCTAATAAGCACCCACACAATTCTGAGACGGATACTTCAGTAACAAATGAGAAGATATCTGTGAGGAAAAGACACTGAACAGGTATTATCTGAGTAAATCTATTTTGTTGTTGTTTGGTTGGTTATTTTAATTTTTTGATTGTGGTAAAATATATCTAACATAAAAAGACCATTTTAATCATTTTTAAGTGTACAATTCAGTGGCATCCTATAAGTATATTCACAATGTTCTGCGATCACCACCACTATCCATTTTAGAATTTTTTTTGTCATCCCAAACAGAAACTCTGAATCCATTAAACCAGCGGTTCCCAACCTTTTTGGCATCAGAAACCATTTTTGAGGAAGACAAATTTTCCACGGATAATGGGGTGGAGGTGCAGGGCGGGGGCTGGGGGAAGGGGCAGATGGTGGATGGTTTCAAGATGAAACCGTTTCACCTCAGATCATTCATTAGGCATTAGATTCTCATAAGGAGCATGCAACCTAGATCCTTCACATGCGCAGTTCACAATAGTGTTCAAGCTCCTATGAGAATCTAATGCCACTGCTAATCTGACAGGAGGCAGAGCTCAGGTGGTAATGCTCGCTTGCCTGTGGCTCACCTCCTGCTGTACGGCCCAATTCCTAACGTACCGGTGCTGACGCAGGGACCCCTGCGTTACACAATAATCCCACCGCCTTTTTCCCCAAGGCTCTGGTAACCTCTACTCTACTATCTGTCCCTAAGAATCTTCCTAATCTAGATATTTCATGTAAGTGGAACCATACAATATGTATCCTTTCATGCCAGGCTTATTTCACTTAGCCTATTTCATTCTTTATGGATAAATATACTCCACTCTATGCATATCTATATATATATCTATATAGATATATATATAGATATCACATTTTGTTTATCCATTCATCTGTTGATGTTCATGGATTGTTTTCACCTCTGGTTATTGTGATTAATGCTGCTATGAACAGTGGTATACACTATCTGATGAAAGTCCCTGCTTTCAATGCTTTGAGCATAAACCTAAAAGTGGAAATCCTGGATCAAATGATTGCTCTGTGTTTAACTTTCTGAGAAACCACCAAACTTGCAGCTGTACCATTTTACATTCCCATCTGCAATGTATGAAGGTTCCAATTTCTTCATATCCTCACCAACACTGGTTATTTCTCCCTTTTTTCCCTTAAAAATTAACATATATCCTAATGAGTATGAAGTAGTATCTCACTATGGTTTTGGTTTGCATTTGCCTAGTCAATAATGGTGTCGAACATCTTTTCATGTGCTTACTGACCATTTGTAGATCGTCTTTGGAGAAATGTCTATTTAGTATGTCTTTTGCCCATTTTTGAATCAGGTTGTTTTGTTGTTGCTGCTGAGTTGCAGGAGTTCTTTACATAGTCTAGATACTAATCCCTTATCAAATATATGATTTATAAAACTTTCTCCCATTCTGCAAGTTGTCTAGGCTTTGACATCACATAACAATTGAACTTGAAACAAATCTGTAGTTTGTAATCCTTTTTAGAAAATATCAAAGAATATTTGCAACATTAGAAGATGCAACATTCATTAACATCAATTATCATATGAAAATTAAGTTCAGCAACCCTGTGAGATACAGCACCTAATTTCAGGCATTTAAATTACATAGTAAAGTTGATTAAAATTTTGTAACTTTTCATAAAATAACAAAGAACGTAGAGAGAAGCATCCAGGAGAGCATATTTTCATGGGTTTGTGCTTTCTCATCTCATAAAAGGATGTTATTTTATTTAAAATATTTTGTCTCCTTATCTTATGATAACCAAAGTGGCCTAACAATCCATCCAGTAAAAAAGCACCCCTAACCCTGCCAAGCAAAAACAAAAACAACTGCAACAACAAGAAAAAGCCTCTCATGAAGCCCAGTACTATGTCTTTATCAGTTAAAACAGGTTTCAACAGTGCCTTCCAAATGTGCTTCAAATACTGGACAGCCAGGTGAGAAAACCAAGATCTTAAAACTTGTAACTTCAGTGCTTTTTGTAAGAACACTGCCACAAAAATAAGAATCAATGTAAAGTTAACACTATATTGGGGGCTTTGAAGTAAACTTCAGCAAAGACTATAAATCAATTAAATATTCAGTCACATATTAAAGATTATTCTCTGGTGTGATAATTATTTTATTCAGAAGCAAGATTAAGTTCAGGTTATATTATTTCTGCTTTTAGAATATAATTTTCAAACTTATAAGACTTTAGCAATTATATACCAATCCTCAGAAACCTAAACGCTAATATCTAAAATTGACCATTCCCTAATTAATAAACAACACAAATAACCTGACAGGGAAAGTCTAGACTTTGTGGTAATCCTGGATCTCCCAGCTGGCTCAAAGAGCCAAAGCTCGTGCTAAGGTAGTCTTAATTCTAGTTCAGTGTTTTTCTATTATCTCAAAATTGGAACACACTCCTAAGCTAGACAGCTATTTCAAATTCTTTCTAGTAATTGGCAGGGTGTAAATTATAAAAAAACAACAAATTCCAAAGCATTGGCAAAAGAGCTCCACAATTATTAGAAACCTACATTTAAAGTTATTCTTAGTGTCTCCTGAATTTTACCTCCAATGAAAGGTTTCACTTCACTCCTGTATTCAAAAACACTGCAGCAACAATTTGATTAAGCTCTTCTCCCAGATGCCAAGTATGGTACTAGGCATGTGACATGTATTATCTCATTTAATCATGAATTAGCCCCATGAAATATTTATATAACCCCTATTTTACAAACGAGAAAACAGGGGTTTAAGGGGTTTAAATAATTTGCTCAAGGTTACATTCCTAGGAAGTGGTAGAACCAGCAATTAATAAATTAACTTTTAAAACACAAAGCCAGTACTTGTAACTACTATGGTCTAATACCAATACCTCCCAAGAGCTAACATCCTAGAGGAATGGATTATGTCTGGATTATGTGTCTTTACAATCCAGAGACATAAATGTCTTAAATATATACCAGGTGGCAAACTTGACAACGGCAGGCACTAATGTATTCATTCTCATGGCTGCATGGCCAGCTCCTAGCATAATGCCTGGTACTGCAGAGGCCTTTATTAACTATTTGGTAAACACACGAATAAATGATTGTGTAAATTAACAAAATGCACAACTAAACTAAAGAAGGACACACAACCTACTCTGGCTTCTGATCTATGAACTAAGATCACTTCTTTCTTTATAAAACCAATCTACTGTGTTTTACTAAAATTTACTAAAAATATAAAAATTAGCGGCCAGGCACAGTGGCTCACGCCTGTAATCCCAACACTTTGGGAGGCCGAGGCAGGCAGATCATTGAGGTTCAGGAATTCAAGACCAGCCTGGCCAACATGGTGAAACCCCATCTCTACTAAAAATACAAAAAATTTGTTGGGCGTGGTGGCACACACCTGTAATCCCAGCTACTTGGGAGGGTGAGGCAGGAGAATCGCTTGAGCCTGGGAGGTGGAGGTTGCAGTGAGCTGAGATCACACCAAGGCACTCTAGCCTGGGTGACAGAGTGAGGCTCCATCTCAATACAAAAAAACAAAAACCAATCTACTTCATTAAATATCAATTAAAAAAAATTCATCTATCTGATTAACCAGACAACAAATCTCTGAGAGTAAAGACTTCATTCTGGGTAAGTAACTACTGCCAGAGTAGTGAGTAATAGTGTTATGGACTGAACTGTGTTCCCCTAAAATTCCTATGCTGAAGCCCTACCCCCAGTACCTTGGAATGTGACCGTACAGTCACATGCTGCATGATGATGTCACAGTCAATAACAGACAGCATATATAAGATTATAATGGAGTTGAAAAACTCCTATCACCTAGTGACACACAACCTTCATAATATTGTAGCACAACGTGCATTACTCGTGTGTGTGGTGATGCTGGTATACATACATGTATCACGCTGCCAGTCTCATACAAGTCTAGCAAATATCATTATATACAGCACACAATATTTGATGATAATAAATGCCTCTAATACTGGCTATGTTTTCATTACATTACACTTTTTATCACTATTGTAGAGTGTACCCCTTCGACTTATTTTTTTTTTAAGTTAACTGTAAAATATCCTCAGGCAGGTCCTTCAGGAGGTAGTCTGAAAGGTACTGTTATCCTAGGAGAGGCAGCTCTATGTGAGTTATTGCCCCAAAGAATTTTTTTTTTTTTTGAGACAGTCTCATATTGCCCAGGCTGAAGTGAAGTGGCATGATCTTGGCTCACTGCAACCTCCATCTCCCAGATTCAAGCAATTCTCATGTCTTAGCCTCCACAGGCATGCACCACCACACCCAGCTAATTTTTGTATTTTTTTGGTAGAGACAAGGTTTCGCCATGTTGGCCAGGCTGGTCTCGAACTCCTGGCCTCCAGTGATCTATCTGTCCACCTCGGCCTCCCAAAACTGTTGTGATTACAGGCATAAGCCACCATGCCTGGCCTCCCTGAAGACTTTCTAGTGGGATAAAATGTGGAGGTGGAAGACAATGATATTCATGATCCTGACCCTGTGTAGGCCTAGGCTAATGTATATGTACCTTAGCTTACGAAAAGAAACATGCATTTGTATGTTCATTGCAGCACTATTCACAGTAGCATGGAATCAACCTAGATGCCCAGCAACAGTGGACTGGACAAGAGAAAATGTGGTACATATACACCACGGAATGATATACAGCCATAAAAAAGAATAAAATCATGTCTTTTGCAGCAACATAGATGCAGCTGGAGGCCATAACCCTAAATAAAATAACACAGGAACAGAAAACCAAATACCACATGTTCTCACTTAAAAGTAGGGGCTAAACATTGGATAAACATGGACATAAAGATAGCAACAATAGATACTGGGAACTACCAGAGGAGGGAGGGTGAGGTTGGGGGAAGGGGTGAAAAACTGTTGGTAACTATGCTCCTTATCTGGGTGATGAGATCATTCCCACACCAAACCTCAGTGACATGCAATTTACCCATGTAACAAACCTACACATGTGCCCCCTGAACCTAAAAGTTGAAAAAGTAAAAAAAAAATTTTTTAAATAGAAAAAAACTTATAGAATAAGAATACAAATTTTTTGTACAGGTGTACAATGTGTATTTTAAGTGTTATTACAATAGTGAAAAAAAGTTTATAATGTAAAAAAGTTACAGTAAACTAAGGTTAATTGAAGAAAGTAAAATATGTTTTATAAACTGAATGTAGCCTGAATGTGGCCTAAGTGTACAGTGCTTATAGTCTACAGTAGTGTACATTAATGTCCTAGGCCTTCACATTCATTCACTACTCACTGATACCCTGAGCAACGTTCAGACCTGCAAGCCCCATTCATGCTAACAGCCCTATACATACAGGTGTACCATTTTTTATCTTTGTTTTGGGGGGACCTTGAACAAGAAAGAATTTGGGGCGAATCCATAGACAAAAGGGAAAGCAAGTTTATTAAGAGAGTAAAGGAATAAAGAATGGCTACTCCATAGGCAGAACAGCCATTTTTTTAATCATTTATTCCGTATTTTTACTGTACCTTTTCTATGTTTATTCCACATATTTACCATGCCTTTTCTATTTAATATGCTCAGATATACAAATATTTAGCATTGTGTTACAGTTGCCTATAGTATTCGGTATAGCAACATGCTGTATAGGTTTGTAGCCTAGAAGGAATAGGCTACAAACAGCCTGGTGTGTTTAGGTTCTACCATCTGGGTTAGTGTAAGTACACTCTGCGATGGCAGAACAATGAGATCGCCTAATAATGCATTTTTTCAGAGCATATCCCGCTAATTAAGTGATGCATGACTGTATTTGGAGATAAGGCCTTTTAAGAAGTAATTAGGTTAAAATGAGGTCTTTAGAGTGGGCCCTAATCTAATCTGGCTGGCGTCCTCCCAAGAAGAGATGATGAGGACATACAGAGAGACACCAGGAGTGTCTCTGAAATGACCATCTGATGAGACAGGAAGAAGGAGGCTATCTGCAAGCCAAAGAAAGAGGCCTCAGAGGAAACTAACCCTGACAACATCTTGCTATAAGGCTTCTAGCCTCCACAACTATAAGAAAACAAACTTCTGCTGTTTAAGCCACCCAGCCTGTAGTATTTTGTTAGGGCAACTAAAGCAAACCAGTAGAGTAAGTAACTATTACTACTGAATAAGTAAAACACCTTTGTTGGTGGTGGTGTTTTGTTGTTGTTGTTTTTAGGGAGACATATTAGGAGACAGACAGGTCACTTTGGGATTAAAAGAGAATGGCCACTGAGGATTGGTGATGGAACTGTCTCAGTGGACAATTACCTTGAAGTAAATATTTACATTGAAGAAACTCCAAAAGACCTGGGAGCTGTGCTGCACTTAGCAGGGCTAACATTTACTAAATGCCTACTACACGCCAGGCACTGTCCCATTTTACAAATGGGAAAACTGAAACACAAAGAAATCAAATAACTTGTTTTGGGTCCTACAAGCTAGTAAAGTGGCAGAGCCAGGGTAAGAGCCCAAAGAGTCTGGCAAGGTTGTCACCCCTCATGCATTCCTGTGTGTTTGACGCTGTGATGCTGAGAGAGTATGCAGGCTTTCCTTGGTGACGAAAAGAACTTCAGCACTACATGACACTATTTGGAGGCCAGAGCATGTAGATCCTAGTTTTTAATACTGTAGAAGTTACTTTTTGCCTTTTCGAAGATTTTGTGTTAAAATATTTTGAAAACAGCTGGGTGCGGTGGCTGCCGCCTGTAATCCCAGCACTTTGGGAGGCTGAGGTGGGCGGATCACGAGGTCAAGAGACCATCCTGGCCAACATGGTGAAACTCCATCTCTACTAAAAATACAAAAATTAGCTGGGTATGGTGGCATGTGCCTGTAGTCCCAGCTACTTGGGAGGGTGAGGCAGAAGAATCGCTTGAACACGGGAGGCGGAGGTTGCAGTGAGCCGAGATTGCGCCACTGTACTCCAGCCTGGGGAAAGAGCGAGACTTCGTCTCAAAAAAAAAAATTGAAAACAGAAGGTTTAAAGATACTCATATAATAGTTTCCATTACAGAAACCACCTGTTTTCCCAATTCTGCTAAAAGAAAAAAAAAAATCTTATTTTCTGAGTTCTAAGATTACTGTTTTGACTATGTAATTTACTGTAAATTTAATTTATTCCAGCTGTTACATACAGTATCACATTTAATTTGAACTTCTATAGTACAAATATATAAAAAATAAATTAATACTTCAAACTGTGTCTTCTCAATAAATATCATAATGGTGAGAAAATGGGCTTAAAAAGCCTAATATTCACAAAACTATATTGCATTCTAACATTAAAACTTCATAATATAGCAAAGATAAAAAATAAATTCTTAATTTATAACATGAGTATGGTGACAGTTGACTTGAAATCACTGTAAAAAAATAAGGAAAACAATTTCAAAATTATTTCAATATATTTAAACCTGTGAAACCTTTTTCAACCAAATTCTTGCAAATTGATAAAAACTGAGGTATGCTTGGCCGGGCACGATGGCTCATGCCTGTAATCCCAGAACTTTGGGAGGCCAAAGTGGGTGGATCACAAGGTTAGGAGTTTGAGACCAGCCTGACCAACATGGTGAAACCCCATCTCTACTAAAAATATAAACATTAGCTGGGTGTGGTGGCGCGCACCTGTAATCCTAACTACTCAGGAGGCTGAGGCAGGAGAATCACTTGAACCCGGGAGGCAGAGATTGCAGTGAGCCGAGATCGTGCCATTGCACTCCAGCCTGGGCAACAGAGCAAGACTCTGTCACAAAAAAGAAAAAAACTGAGGTATGCTTAGGTTGAAGTAGAGGTGAGTAGAAAAGTCAAGTCCAGAGCTTTACCTCTGCTCCCCCATCACAACTATAAGGCAGCCTTGTGGAATACTGATGATTCACCCATGTGCAGTTTGAAAAATGTCTACACTAGGAATTACAGCTCACAGGAAATTTTGACAATGTATAAGACAAATCACTTACAAAAAAATGAAGATGAAGATATGCAATGCTCTTTGCTTTTAGAAGAAATTTTCAGAGTTCCTTCCTCCCTCCCTCCCTTCTACACTTACTTACAGAGCAAGGACTATACACCACACCTAGCACAAACTGGGGAAGAAACGCATTACAGTCTAGAGGGTTGGGGGAACAGATAACAAAGTAAGTAACCAGGCACACAGATAAAAAGAACCCCCTCGTAATTACATTTGTAATGAGTGTTATATTAAAGAAACAAACTGGGTGTAATCATAGAGAGTTAATGGAGGTGAATGCTGGGGACGCACAACTTCTTCGAGGAAGAATTAAGAAATGTAAAGGAGGAAGGCCTGATAAAAACTTGCCAGAAAACATGGGAATTATTTCATTCTTAACTTTTTGTTATACAAATTTCCAAACTAAATAAAAAAGAATATTAAAAAAAACCCCTACGTACCATTAGCCACTCACAGACAAACTTAATTTATTTATACTAATATCCACTCCTCCCAGCCAACCCTGGATTATGCTGAAGTAAATTCCAGTTATTGTATCATTTCACCTATAAATATTTCAGTATGTATCTCTAAAATACAAGGTCTCTTTTCTCTGACCCACAATGAAAATAAATTAGTAATCAGTAACAGTAAGTTATCTAGAAATACCTCACGTTTAAAAATTAAGCAATATAATTCGAAATAACTCATAGATAAAAGGAAAAATTTCACAAAGAAAACTGAAAATATTTTGTACTAAATTAACAGAATAAGAAAAGAATTATATGGTTGCTTTTATCTATGCAGAAAAAAGCATTTGATAAAATTCAATATCATTTATGAAAAGAATTCTTAGAATCTAGGAATATAACTTCCTAAACTTGATTAATAGCACCTATGAAAAACACACAGCTATCATTATACTGAACAGTGAAAGCGGAAATATTTTCCTCACAGTTGGGAATAAATCAAAGATAACTGCTCTCACCACTATTCAACATTGTGTGAGATGGCCTAACCAGCTCGGTAAAGAAAAAAAGGAAATAAAAGCAGAAATATGGAAAAAAGTAAAAGTATCCCTATTCATAAATGACATAATTATGTAGAAAAAATCCCAAGCAATCACCAAAAACCTACCAGTGAGTTCAGAAATATCTCAGGATATATACTACACTATATATATATATATATTTTTTTTTTAAGTAATTATATAAATAAAATAAATAAATAAATAAATAAATAAATAAATAAAATGGAAAGTATATCTTTCCGCTGGCTTGAAAGTCTCAATACTATTATTCTTCGAATTGATCCAAATTATAATCTCAACAAGCTTTTTAAAAAAAAAAAAAACTAATTAGCTGATGTAAAAATTTATATGATAATGCTAAAGAACCTAAAATACCCCAAACAATTCTGACAAAGAATAAAGCTGGTGGCGTTACACCACCTGGCTTCAAGTCTTGCTAGAAAGGTAGAGTAATCTATTGGTATAAGGCTAGACAGAGAGAACAATGGAATGAAATACAGTCCAAATGTATACTTTCTTTTTTTGCAAAGGTGCCAAAGGAATTCTATGGCAAAGGATGTTTTCCAAAAATGATGCTACAACTGTACATTCACATGGGAGGGGGAATTCAAACTCTGTATCATACCACAAACAAAAATTAATTGAGTATATCATAGACTAGAAATAAAAAAATTATAAAGCATTTAGAAGAAAATATTGGGAAATATTTTCACAATCAGTGGGTACAGATTTCTTCAGCCACATACAGAAAATAGCCATAAGAGGAAAAATTAGTAAGACTTCATAAAAATTAAACATTTCTGTTCATCTTAGATTGAAGAGCCATGATCAAGTACATTAAAAGTAGGCTTTCATACTTCTTTCTGTATTTAAGTGCATTTATAGTTATCACGATATATGCAAAGATAATAGCTGTTTCTGAACTGAGTTTTTTTCTAATAAAAAACAGTTTGTTAAAGACTAATAAACAAGAGAAAAGCATGTGAACAATAAGTACACAGCTCAATGAATTTTCACATATATAACCCGTGTTACTAGACCCAGTGCAAGATCAGAGAACATTACTAGCACCCTGAAGCTCTGTATTCCCTCCAAGGGTAATCAACATCCTGACTTCTAACACCACTGACCATAGTTTAATGGCTTTTAACTCTTTAAAACTGACGAGTATATACAGAATAGATGTTGAATAACTGACAGTTAACATACAGACACCTGGTCTCAAGATTGAAAAGTATTAAAAAAGTATCAATTAAATGAACTACATCTTTCAGCATGGTCTACCTTTGGTTAACAATATCCTCCATCTCACCCCTATTCTTCCCTCATGAAAGTAATTCTTACATTCGTTCCCAAACCTGGAACTTTCCTTGATTTTCTACTTTAGTTTAGATGTACACCCTTCTCCATTCCCATATACTTCTATCACAGTGCTTGACATGCTACTCTTAGATTTATGAGTCTTTTTCCTCAACATAGTGTAAATTATTTTTATCTACTTGAGTTGAAGACTCATTGGTACAGAATCTTAGTAAACTTGCAAAATTGTTTAACATTTCCAGGTCATAATAGACTATTATGGGTAAATATAATAGAAGGGCTGAGAGCAACAAAAGCAAAGATTATAATATATATCCTAGAATATTCTGTGTAAAGCCAGAAAAGACACATTTGGACCCACAGTTTTATAACAGTAAAAACTGAAGAAAAATCTCAAAAAGTAACACTCAGTTTAAATGTATGGATAACTATTAATGCATTAACCCAAAGACTACTTCCCTTTGGAATCAAAATGAGATTCTAATCACAATATGGAAAACTATGCTTCCAAAATAAAAGGGCATAAATGTTTACATACTCAAATGAACAGATACAAGCAATGAAAATCAAATAATACAACCTCATTTTAATTTGACATAACTAATGACATTAGTCTCATTCTATTAAAATAAAAATATTAATTTTCTATGGACTAACATGCCACTTTTACTGCTCTCAATGAAATAACTGGATCCTCTACTATTAGTGACAGGTATTGGGAAAACATGTATTTATATAAACAACTGAAATTTACTTTACCCCAAATAAAGAGTTTATATAGACAGAACTACATGACCCCTTTACTTCTCCTTAATAAATAATATTTTTCTACATATAGTTGATATAAAAATATTCACTAACTTTCAATTAATATGACAAATACAATACAGAGCCTTATATAGTTGGTACTCATAAGTCAGTTGATAATAACGATGATAAAAAGAACTTCACTTACTGCTATTTCTCTACATGCCGACATAGAGATCCCAGTTCCTTCTATTTGTTTTAAAGCATAGTCTTTATCATCCTTCCTGTAAAAACAAAGTTATTTTAATATATAGATAAATCTATATTTATGTGCATTTTTATAAAGTAAAATATAAATAAATATAAATCACGTTTAATACACATTTGACATTATTCAATATAATCATACAATGTCGTACAAGGAAAAACTTTTCAGACAACCTAGTCCAGTCCCATTATTTGATGAGGGAAGTTAGCTTCAAAGGAATAAAAAGACTTTTCCAAGGTTCCACAGTTACTTGTGGAAGACACAGATTGAGATACAGAGCTTCTGACTTCCAGTAATAGATTCCTTCTGCTCTAATATATGAACATAACACACACATATAAAATAAAACCTGCTTTCTCAAACCTATTCAGATATTAGTGGGTCAGAAAAGTTAAGAAATGAATGTGTCCCTAAGACACAAAATGGTTATAATTTAAAACATGTTATAGTAATCATAATTTGATAATAAATAATTTAGGTCATCTCCAAAGACTTTCAAAGACACTCACGCAACATGTGTTTACTGAACACTTACTATGTACCCAGAACTGTGCTAGGTACTGAGGATACAACAAGTTCCTTCTTTTAGAGAGTTTTCTGTGTCTACCGGCTTAAAAAGATAAGTAACACACCATAATACAATATGATAAGTGCTATGATATGGCAAGTGCAACAGAAAAGGTTACTCAAAGGGGACTTGGTGGAGGACCCAAGCAAAGACTCCTCAGAGGCCGGGCGCGGTGGCTCACGCCTGTAATCCCAGCACTTTGGGAGGCCAAGGCAGGCAGATCACGAGGTCAGGAGATCGAGACCATCCTGGCTAACATGGCGAAACCCTGTCTCTACTAAAAATACAAAACAATTAGCCGGGTGTGGTGGCGGGCGCCTGTAGTCCCAGCTACTCGGGAGGCTGAGGCAGGAGAATGGCGTGAACCCAGGAGGTGGAGCTTGCAGTGAGCCGAGATCACGCCACTGCAGTCCAGCCTGGGCGACAGAGCGAGACTCCGTCTCAAAAAAAAAAAAAAAAAAAAAGACTCCTCAGAGAAAATGCCATCTGAGGCCTAAATGGCTGTTCTCAAACCTTTTGGTCCCAGAACCCCTTTATTCTCTTGAAAATTACTGTGGACCCTGACAAGCTTTGGTTTATTATATCTATCAATATTATATCCTATACAAATTTTAAAATGGGAACTTTTAAAACTACAGAAGTTTATATCCACTAGCCACCAGAGCAACGGAATAGCATCATCACATGTTGGATCATCTCTGAAAGAAATCCACTAGGCACTCATTAGAATGAGAATGAAAAAGCAAACAATATCATAGTATTATTACAAAAATAGTGTTGACCTTACAGACCCTCTGAAAGGATCTTGTAGACACCCAGGGGGTTCCAGGATCACACTCTGATCACTTGATTGTGTGTGTGTATGTGTGTATGTGTGTGTGTGTGTGTGTGTATGTTTGTGTATTAGTTAAGAGAGGTGCAGTCACACGAGGAAAGAGAAAAAGCATTTGAGGGAGACTGGATACTGTATACAACTAGAGATGAGGCTGGGGATAAAATCAAGAACCACAACACAAGTCTTTTCATGCCAAGAACAACAAGAAGGGCACCTTTAAAGGTCTGTTGTTGTTGTTGTTGTTGTTGTTGTTGTTGTTAAGCAAGAGAATATCAATTATATTTTATCTGGAAAATGTATCTTTGGCTGCCTTGTGAATGCTTAGTGGGAGTAAATAAGGAAAGGAGGCAGACAGAACAGTTACAAGTAATTAGTATTAAAATTATTCAGTGAGAGATGATGATGGCTATTGCAGAATGGTGGTTACTATAGAGAACAGACAGATAAGAAGTAGGGTCCTTCATGATTGACTACTGTGGGTAAGGAAGAAGAAGTTAAAGACAATGATTTCTGCCACAGGCTACAAAGTAATGACAGCATTATTCACTGAAATTAAAAACCAGGTAGGAGGAAAAGTTTTGAGGGAACAGGTAGGTGATAGCTCCATTCTGTGTAGGCTGAGTTTTGGGGACCAGTGAGACATCTAAGTGGGCATAGCTGCTGGCAAGCAGAATAAACACTAAAGCTCAAGAGCAAGCTGAAGACACAGATTTACCGGAATCAGCATGACACAGTGATCGAAGCCACAAGAGTAGGTTCAACGAGAGCAAAGAGAAGGACTGCCAAGAAAAAGATTTTCAAAAAGGGCAGAATAGCAAATAGTACAAAAATCTGCAGAGAGGTCTAGTGAGGTAAGAATTGTAAAGTATCTACTGAATTTAGCAATGATTAAGTCAACAATGGATAGTGGAGTAGGCAAAAATGGTTGCAGCGATGTGGTGGCAGGGTCTATATTGCAGAAGGCTGAGGGGTGAATGAGACATACGTAAACTAAGACAACATATGTAAGCAATTCTTTGAAGGCGAAAAATAAGGCAGGTGCTGGAGTAATACACGAGGTTAGAGTTATTATTTCTTAAGATGGAAGAGACTTGATTATGATAAGCACTGACAGAAAGGACCCAGAGAAAAAGAGCTAACAATATAGGAGAGGAGAAAAAAATCCAGAGAACAAGCTTTCAGGGTCTTTGCTCTCTGGCTTGAAGGAGAAACGTCTATTCCATCGTAATAGGAAGAAAGGACAGATAAAGGAACGAATACAGATGGAAAGAAGTTGGTTCAGAGGCAAAAAGCTGGGGGAGTTCCGATTTTGATATGTTCATTTTTTTTCTGAAAGTGGCAATGAGGTCATATACTAAAAGGAAGGGCAGACGTGATAGCACTGGAGACTTCGGTAGTAAGACAGTTTAAGTGAACAAATTAATAAGCCTTTATAAAATCAATTAATTTAAGTCAATTTAATACTTTATTATTTTAAATTATTACTAAAACGTAACATTGCTTTATCTTTGTTTTTACAACATATTTTATGCCAAATCCTTACTTGGGAAAAGAAATCACAATTACAACATTATTTTTCTGGAAAAAAATTTGTTTTGTAACAATCAGTTTTACAGCATATATCTAGTAAAGCACCATGAGTACTCATTATATGAAAAAGACATTAAGAGGATCTGTACTTAATATTCACTGTCTGAATGGTTTCTGAAAGAAAGACGAAGTTAAGGACATAAAAATAAAACAAAATTGGAATCAGAATAGTCTATTAGACACTTTCATGGGCAGGGTTATTGATTTAACCAGATGGTCAATCCAAGGGTATAACACATTCTATTATATCTACTGTTTAAGAATTACATCCTAGAATTGAACCCCCTACTAAGAAAGAGAGTGGTGGGAAAGAAAATAATTTAAACTAAAGATTTACCCATTCACCTCCTTAATATCCACCACTTTCTCTTATTTAAAAATGCCCAAGGTGGTATATGACAATTTCTTCTCTGTGAACTAAAAAAATTCTAATATTCAATCAGTCTTCTCCCCTACTCCAAGTAATATATGTTTTTTACTTTATAAAAGTAGATTATTAGAAAGAAATGTGCAATGGAGAAAAATAATACCAAATAAATTATAAATGACATCTGATTATAAAAAAGGCAACCTCCTCTTGAAAATCACCTAATATAATTACAACATAATATAATAGTGCTATGTGGTTTACATGGCAAATTTATCTCTCCATCCACACATTTTTTTAGTAAAAGATACAAAGGAGATGAAAAAGAGTTGTTCACTAGTGTCAGTAATGATCCAAGGGAAGTAGTCAGATTAAATGAATGGTTACAATACAGACCGAGTATCCCTTATCTGAAATGCATGGGATGAGAGGTGTTTTGAAATTCTGATTTTTCAGGATATTGTGGAATATTTGCCCATATATAATGAGATATCTTGGGGATGAGATCCAATTTAAACACAGGATTCATTTTATGTTTCATATACACCATATACACATTGCCTGAAGGTAATTTTATATAATATTTAAATAATTATGTGCATAAAACAAAGTTTGTGTACAATGAACCATCAGAAAGCAAAAGTGTCACTATCTCTGCCACTCCTGTGAATCACCTGTGGTTGTTTGGCATCACCATCATTCATGACTCTGAATTTATATGCTACTAATAACTAATTATTTTCTTACACTTAAGTACTTAACAGTAAAAAAATACAGCATATCAGCCGGGTGTGGTGGCTCACACCTGTAATCCCAGCACTTTGGGAGGCCAAGGCAGGCAGATCACCTGAGGTCCGGAGTTCAAGGCCAGCCTAGACAGCATAGTGAAACCCCATCTGTACTAAAAATACGAAACTTAGCCGGGCGTGGTAGTGGACACCTGCAATCCCAGCTACTCAGGAAGCTGAGGTAGAAGAATTGCTTGAACCCAGGAGGTAGAGGTTGCAGTGAGCCAGGATTGCGCCATTGCACTCCAGCCTGGGGGATGAGAGCGAGACTGAGTCTCAAAAAAAAAAAAGAAGGTATATAATTAATATTGTGAAAAAATGTGTTCAGGGTAGTCCTAAGCAGCACAGTAGCATCACCAGAATACCTTTTCTCCCTTGAGGACGCAGAATCAACGGTGTGTTATGCACCTGCATGTGACTACGGCCTGTCACATGAAATCAGATGTGGAATTTTCCACTTGTGGCATCAGGCATCAAAAAGTTTCAGATTGTGTAGCATTTTGGATTTCTGACTTTTGGATGAGAGGTGCTCAAATAGTGTTCTAAGCACTAGAGAAAGAGGAGACAACGCAATGTATGTTCAAGGTATGAAGCTGGATAAGACAAGCCTTCAGAAAGTCTATTTAAATTAGAATCTGAAGACTTAAGAAATTTGATAAAAATACTTAACAAACTAGGCATAGAAGGAATATAGCTCAAAGTAATACAGGCCATATATAACAAACCGACAGCTAACATCATACGAATGAGGAAAAGCTGAAAATCTTTCCTTCAAGAACTGGAAGAAGACAAGGATGCTCACTTTCACCACTCTTATTCAACATAGCACTGGAAGTCCTAGGTAGAGCGATCAGACAGGAGAAAGAAATAAAAGTCCTCAAAATTCAAAAGGAGTTAGTCAAACTGTCTCTCTTTGCTGATGATATGATTTTATATATATATATATGTATTATATGGAGTCTTGCTCTGTTGCCCAGGCTGGAGTGCAGTGGCATGATCTCAGCTCACTGCAGCCTCCGCCTCCTGGGTTCAAGTGATTGTCCTGTCTCAGCCTCCCGAGTAGCTGTGATTACAGGCACGCACCACCATGCCTGGCTAATTTTTGTATTTTTAGTAGAGATAGGGTTTCACTTGTTGGTCAGGCTGGTCTCAAACTCCTGACCTCAAGTGATCCACCCACCTCAGCCTCCCAAATGATCTTGTATTAAAAAAAACCTAAAGACTCCACCAAAAACAACTCTTAGATTTGGCAAATAAATTCAGTAAAGTTGCAGGTTACAAAATCAACGTATAAAAGTATTGTTTCTATGTATCAAAAATGATCCAACCAAGAAAGAAATCAAGAAGTCAATCTCACTTAAAAAGCTAGAACAAAATTAAAATACCCAGGAGTAAATCTAACTAGGGAGATGGAAATCTCTACGAGAAGGACTACAAAACACTGTTAAAAGAAATTAAAGATGACATAAACAAAAGGAAAAACATCCCAGGCCCATGGATCAGAAGAATCAATATTGTTAAAAGGACCATACTACCCAAAGCAATCTACAGATTCAATACAATCCCAGTCAAAATACCAATGCCATTCTTCACGGAGTCAGAAAAAATAATCCTAAAATTTGTATGGAACCAAAAAAGAGCCCCAATAGTCAAAAGCAATCCTGAACAAAAAGAACATAGCTGGAGGCATCACATTACCTGACTTCAAAACACATTACAAGGCTATAACCAAAACAGCATGGTATTGGTAGAAAAACAGATAAGTAACCCAATGGAGCAGAATGAAGAACTCAGCAATAAAGCTACATATTTATAGCCAACTTATCTTTGACAAAGCTGACAAAAACTTGTATCAGGGAAAAGGACACCCTCTTTAATAAATGATGCTGGGAAAACTAGATAGCCACATGCAGAAGATCTAGGCAAAGAATTTATAACTAAGACCTCAAAAGCACAGGCAACAAAACCAAAAACAGACAATGAGACTTTATTACACAAAAAAGCTTCTGCACAGCAAAAGAAATAACATAGTGAAGAGACAGCCTGTTGAATGGAAGAAAATATTTGCAAACTATTCATCTGAGGGGACTAATATCCACAATATAAAAGGAACTCAAACAGCCCAACAGGAGAAAACCAAATAATCTCATTGAAAAGTGGGCAAAGGACATGAATAGATACATTTCAAAAGAAGACATACAAAGATCCAACAGGTATATGAAAAAAATGCTCAATATCACTAATCATCAGAGAAATGCAAATAAAAACCACAATGAGATACCATCTTACCCCGGTGAGGATGGCATTCATTAAAAAGACAAAAGATAACAGATGTTGGTGTGGACACAGAGAAAAGGGAACTCCTCTTACACATGGTGGCTGGGAATGTAAACTAGTACAGCCACTATAGAAAATGGCATGGCAATTTCTCAAAAAGCTAAAAATCGAAATACCATTCAATCCAGCAATCCCACTACTGGGTATCCACTAAAACAAAAAGAAACAAATGTATCAAAATGATACCTGCACTCACATGCTTATGGCAGCACTATTCACAATACCAAAGACAGACATAAACCTAAGTGTCCATCAACAGATGAATGGATAAAGAAAATGTGGTATATATACACTATAGAATACTATTCAACCACACACACACAAAGAAGGAAATCATGTCATTTGCAGCAACATGGACGAAACTGGAGGTCAACATGGTGGAAATAGCTTAAGCAAAATAAGCCAGACGCGAAAAGACAAATATTGCACGTTCTCACTTAACCTGTGGGAGCTAAAAAAAAAAATGTGAACACGTGAAGGAAGAGTGGAAAAACAGATAACAGAGAGACTGGGAAGGTTAAGTGGGAGGCAAAAGGGTGAATGAAAAGTGGTTAAAGGGTATAAACATACAGTAAGATAAAAGGAATAAATTCAGCCGGGCGTGGTAGCTCACGCCTGTAATCCCAGCACTTGGGGAGGGAAAGGCGGGCAGATCACTTGAGGTCAGGAGTTTGAGGCCAGCCTGGCCAACATGGTGAAACCCTGCCTCCACTAAAAACACAAAATTAGTCAGGCATGGTGGTGCACAGCTGTAGTCCCAGCTACTAGGGAGGCCGAAGCAGGAGGATCACTCGAACCCAGGAGACGGAGGTTGCAGCAAGCTGAGATTGTGCCACTGCACTCCAGCCTAGGCGACAGAGACTCTGTCTCATAAAAAAAATAAATAAATGAAATAAATTCAACATTTGACAGCAGAGTGGGATGACTACAGTTAACAAAAAAGTACTGTAGTCGGATGATAGACATCCAGAATTCCCTGATTTGATCACTATGTATTATATACATGTAACAAATGTTCTCATGTAACTCATAAATTTGGGCACGCACACACACAAAAAGACTTAAGAAGTTTGTCAGGAAGAGAGGGAGGCCCTGGGGAAATAAATCAGTAGTTACATGAGACACCCCAGGAAGTGGAAACAGTATATACAAAACTACAGAAGCATGGAAAGGGTCTGCCATGCTCAGAGAATAGTAAAGACTAGCAGCAAGTAGTTTAATATCACTAAACATACCACAAAATAAATGGCTACCGGTGACAGCCCTGAGGACAGATGAGATTTTAGAAATAGGCGGCCGGGTGCAGTGGCTCAGGCTTGTAATCCCAGCACTTTGGGAGGCCGAGGTGGGCGGATCACCTGAGGTCAGGAGTTTGAGACCAGCCTGCCCAACGTGGCAAAACCCCGTCTGTACAAAAAATACAAAAATTTAGCCAGGCATGGTGGTGGGTGCCTGTAATCCCAGCTACTTGGGAGGCTGAGGCAGGAGAATCACTTGAACCCGGGAGGCGGAGGTTGCAGTGAGCCAAGATCCTGCCACTGCACTCCAGCCTGGGCGACAAGTGCAAAATTCTGTCTCAAAAACAAAAACAAAACAAAACAAACAAAAAAAAAACAAAAAAAAAAAAACAGAAATAGGCAAGGTAAGATGGGGGTATTTTATGGCACCTGTCTCAAAAGAGGTATGTAGAGTGTCCAAAATAAGTTAAGAAGAAAATATTATATTAAAAAAATAAAGCTGAGGGAAAATGTGTTGTGTAAGAAAACCAAAAATAAGAGGATGGGACCATGATGAAAATTCACCTTTAAGAGATGGGAGGAGTAAGATGAAAATATAAAATGGCCGCAAAGGATTGGTTAAAAAACTGAGCAGTGTTTTGGTAAAAGAGAGTATGGAGCACACAAATCAAACTACACTGCTTCCTAAAACTCTATTTAAACTATGGTAAAGGGAATTTTTAAAAGACATAAGGACGATAAGTATAAAAACTGAGACTGAAGATAGCATAAAAATGTGGAAACTAGAAAGCAAATGGACAAAAAATAGCTGATTAAGAGGATCCAAGAAAACAAAATCAGAAGTTGACAGTGAAGAAAGCCAAGAACCAATTAGACTTACACAGCAAAATCATGCAATGGCAGAGAATTGAGACTATAAAATATGCTAGAAGTAGAAATGGCTGAATGGAAGACAAAGTGGAGGAGATATCCTAGAACAGAATAGCAGGAGACAAAGTGAGAGAGGGGCAAAAGAAAAATAGGAAAATTGGAGGAGCAATTCAAGCAATTCAAGAAAACTTCCAAATTGAAAGACATAATTTCCAAAACTGGAAGGGTCTACCAAATTCCCATCCCAAATAAATGAAAATAGGCCTATCCCAAGACACAATATCTACATATTTCAGAAAAGTGGAGACAAACAGTACATTTTACATTTTACAAGCTTCCAGTGGGGATGGGTAACAAATCACTTAGAAAGGGATCAGTAATCAGGAGACCTTTGGTCCTCTCAAAATGAGTTTTGCAAGCTAGAAGTTCTAGACTAGCTCTGCATTGTATAAAATTGTTATATACTGATTACATTGTCAACAGATGTGGTTTAGGGTTTAAGCTCTGTGGTTTAGGGTTTAGGAGCCTGTTCTGGAGAATTAAATTTTCAGTTGCAAAGATAGGAAAATATTCTGGAACAGTCAACCAGATCAAGGAGCTTGCACCAGATTGTAAAGCAGTACACTACTTCTTTCATGGAAAAAGACATGCTTTAAGGAAAACAAAACAGCTGAAATAATCATAATCACTGTGTTTAGTTATATAGTAAGAACTGTGAATTACCTAAAGGCTAATGTGTAGGTCTAAGATTTAATTATCTTAAATATGTGATAATGTGTAAGATCATAAACAACTGCCATTGCATGCTGAGGTATGATGATTATTAAGGGGGAAAGGTCAGTGAGAATGCTGGACTATGACATAAAATCTTAGTGGCTGTGCAAGATAATAAACCAGTTTGGTCCGAATGCTTTAGAGATGTTAAATGAACAGCCTAAGTTGCTTTGGTGTGGTATCTTTGGTATTTTTAGTGACCACAGTATTTCCAACTAGGGAAAGAAAGCAAAAGTTAAAAAAAAAAAAAAAGACAGCTCTTAAATATATGTTCTTGGGCCTTAGCCATATTTTAAATCATTTTTAATAAAATTTCATTATTTAAAACAATTAAAGGTCCTAACAATTATTGTTCTTGCATTATTTTCTTTCTTTTTATTTTTGTTTGAGACAAAGTCTGGCTCTGTCACCCAGGCTGGAGTGCAGTGGCGCAATCTCGGCTCACTGTAACCTCCACCTCCCGGGTTCAAGCGATTCTCCTGCCTCTGCCTCCTGAGTAGCTGGGATTACAAGCACCCACCACCACACCCAGCTAATTTTTGTATCTGTAGTAGAGACAGGGTTTAACCATGTTGTCCAGGCTGGTCTCGAACTCCTGACCTCAGGTGATCCACCTGCCTCAGCCTCCCAAAGTTCCGGGATTACAGGCATGAGCCACCGCACCTGGTTGTTCTTGCTTTATTTTCAAAAACTGCCTAGAACTATTTCTTACCTTGGGTATCATGACTCAGGTTAACAATTGTATCATTTAAAACCCTTCTAGACTTAGGTCCCAAATTCAGAATAACAAAGCTAATAAAACGTATTTTACGCCTAAAACATCCTTAAATTTTCTGGAATGGCCAGGAGGTAACATAAAGATTTATTCCTTTACCTTAAAAAAGGAAGGATAATAGAAATAATTAGATTTGGTCAACATTCCTACAATGTTATTTAATTCAAAATTATAAAAATTCTTATTGATAAATTAATTTATTTGGTAAATCACAAGAGAAATTTGGGCTGTATAAATCAATTATATGCAAATAAAATATTAATGAATATATCCTCAATGGTTATGTACTTTAAGTTGAAAAAAGGCAAACTCATGCTCATATACAAAAACTGGTACAATAACTACTTCAAATTGATTTTTGTTTCTAGATTTCAGTATCCTTATTAATCATGGACAATCAAGGTACACTTGATGATAGAAACTAAAGGGCCACGTAGATTTGTCAGATTCCTCACTATTCATAATATGTCTAATCCCCTGCATAATTACTGACTGAATCTGTGTATTGTATGCCACTAGATGATCCATTCTTTTCCATTCTATTAATTCTAGTTAAGATAATAACTTTCCAGGGCTGCTGAATCTTATCATTGATGGAAACAACTATCAGCTGTATATGGCCGTAGATTAGGTGTCTGGCTATTTTTGAAGCATCATTAGACAGAGACTGCACTTGAACACACTCCAATGACTTTGCCAGATTCTGTTAACAACTAATGCAGCAGTAAAACACATTGGCTCTGAATTATAGCATCGCAACAGATCCTCAAATTACTAAAGGTCTGTCCCAGCCAGAGACCTCAAACTAAAGATTCTTAAGAATCTTCCAGAAGAAGATGATCTTAGAGACAGATATAGCTTCTACCCAAGACTTCTGGATCAAAAGGAACGAAAGAGACAGCTTCTACTCAGGACCCATGGAACAAAGATCTAGATGGCCAGAACCATAAATTATCATGCTTTAATTTGTATGCTCTTATTTTGTGTCCAAGCTATTGTCTTTCCTTTGGTTTAAATTTCTGAATTGTTAACAGGCACTTGTTAACTCCAACAACGATACCTATAAGACCTTACCCATAATATTGCTTTGTGCATCCCTAGTCACTGTCTGTATGAGTCTATTGTCAGGGTACAATTTGCTCGTGATTTAACTAAAATATGCAATCAAACCAATGGTTGAGATTGTAGCCACTTTCTTTTGGGTGCAACTCAGCTTACTCTAGTTCCTGGGCAATTACATTTAACTACTAAGCAACTCTTTAAATAGTAAACTAAAAATAGTAAACAGGACAGATACCCCTATGATGTCATACTTAGGAAAGTTTTTGTCAACACCAAAACCACACTTAGGGACAAAGGCTCTTGGCTTAGAAGTAGAATACAAACTCTGTTAA
The DNA here is from genome assembly GCF_000001405.40 of Homo sapiens. Lineage (NCBI taxonomy): Eukaryota > Metazoa > Chordata > Mammalia > Primates > Hominidae > Homo > Homo sapiens. Next base: position 26,326,046 of record NC_000013.11, on the reverse strand, counting down.
TAATCTCTCAGCATTTGTCAGTGTTAAATTACTCAAATGTGACCTCCAGAACCTTAAATGTGTACAGCCATTTTTCGTTCAGATGACTCAACAGCTAACCTTAAAACAATAACAAAAGGTATACATGAAGAACTGACTTCAGTCCAACAACAGATGAGGTTGTCTTAATAATCTCCTATCTCCTAACAATGGTAAAGATCTGTATTTCATTGAACAATGATCTGAATACCCTGAATCTGGCCAAAAGGAGGGAATGAGAAAGTGAAATGAACCCCACTGATAATCATATTATTATTTCCCTAACAGATCGGTAGCACGGCCAGTACCAAGAGAACCCAGCCCTGCTTCACTCCTCCCAAACGGAATACTGAAGCACCTAATTCCCAAACTGACCTCCCTTCATGACAATATCCAATCCAGATCTGTTCTACTTCCCCTAGTCTTTCCTTAGAATCATTCAGCCCAAGCCAAATCCCTATAAAGAACTTGCTCTTTTCTTACCGAGATACCTCATACTTCATCTGGCGTGAGCTCTCGCTTGCTAGAGCAGGCTAATAAGTTTTGGCTACAGGTGCACTCCTGGTGGCATTTATCATTTATCATGCCCAATAATCTTACACAAGATTACAATGCATCAAAGCAAATTAAACAACACTTTCTTTTAAATGAGGTAAAACCTGAAAGAGCACTTTCTAGCTAGTTATGCTACATTTTGTTTAAGGTCCCTTGCCATATTAACACATACTGCTTTTTTGATCATTCTGACAAATGAAATATACTAGGTAACTTTTTAGTTAATGATGTAAGTTTATTCAAAAGATTATTAGAACTATTAATTCTAGATTTGTGGGAATTTCCTAGCAATTTGGGGGAAGTTCCTGTGCTTGGCACTGTTATAATCTCTGAGATATGGCACTGAACAAGACAGATTCAACAGGAATTACTTTCAAGTTTCCTGGCAGCTCCAGATGCCAAGCTCCAAGAAGTTGCAAGCCTTCTTGTAAACCTAGCAATGAATACCTCTCCTCTGCATTATCTCATGAAATTCAAGCCAGGTTTATACTTCAAATTCATCTTTACCTTGTTTGGAGAAACAGCAGAGCTTAAAAAAATATTTGTCTTGGAGGCTGAAAGAAACACTTGGTCTTTTCTTGTCTGTTTCAGTTATAAAATTACAGTACATTATCAGAACTAGAATGTGGAGGTTTTCCATTAAATTACTTACCAATCAGTCTTTCTTAAATTATCTTCCCAAAGTCATTTGCCTTAACAACTCTATTAAGAAAAAAAAATTTAAACTTATTGGATCTTCAAGAATCATATTTTGACATTGATCATTTATAATCATTCTTTTCTCCTTAACACTCATGCTAGAAGATATGGGCAACCCTAAAAACAGAAATTAATGTACACGAATACTTTTGCACTCAAATGGTTAGTATTTCCTGCTATTTCATAGATCTGCCTAATTTATTTCTACTTGGCCTGAAACATATTTTTCTTAAAAGTACTATTACATTCAGGCATGTGAATGCACCTGAACATTTCTGAAGTGTTCATGTTATACTCCAAGTGTTACTATAAATAAGTACTCAAGAGTGATGTGCTAATAAGACATCCTAAAAATGTCTTTGTCTCCTTAATCGACTTTCTAACATTTCTATCTTTTTAGTAATATAGTCACCAAATCAAAGCTACTTTCTACCCCGTCAACAATACTAACTGTAAATATTTTATGAATGCTAGTTGTTGAAAAAATAAGATGAGATCTAAAATCATTACAACTCTGCCTCACATGGAGAGTCTTTATTGCACCATTAGCAACACAATGTTTGAGGTTATAAACAAATGCCTGAGTTTATAAACAAAAATATCTGACCACAAACTTTTCTATTTAAAGAAATTAATATACCTTCTCACTCTTGCACTCTGTATCAATTATTTCTAGGATCCTTTAAACACTAATATTTAACATTACTTAATGGTTCTCATTTAAATTGGTAAGGATATGGAGGAATGGTTACTATTCCACAGGCCTTGCTACTAAGAGTACAAACTGGTACAAACATGTTAGGGACCAGTCTGGCATAGTGATTAAGTACAGCATGTGTATTTCCTATGACAGCCAATGCCTCTGCTGATTATACACCACAGGAAAGGTTTCATATAGCTGCAAAAAGTACCATCTTTGCAGAGGCAAACACTGGAAATAGATAACCTGTGGTATATGCACTTAAAGACACATTTAAAGAGAATACATGGTCAAAAGTCACAAGCTGAACGTGCATATACGTGAGTAGAAAAATTTTATTTAAAGGAATGAGATTTACACTACAGAATTCCTTATATAAAAATTTAAAACCACACTCAAAACTATATTTTCATGGACACAAGCATGGAAATAAAGATATCTGGGTTGGAAAGTGGGCTGGAAGAACATACACTGAACAAATGAGAACGAGGGCCTAATATAAAGGGAGAAGAGGACAGTGCTCTGGACTGAACTGTCTCCCCCCAAATTTCATATGATGAAGCACTAACCCACAATGTGATGGTATTTGGATATGGGCCTTGGGGAGGTAATTAGGTTTCGATGAGTTCATGAAGGTGGGGTCTTCAAGATGAGATTAGTGCCATTATAAGAAGAGAAACCAGAGCGCTTGCTTGTTCCCTCTCCCTCTCCCTCTCCCTCTCCCTCTCCCTCTCCCTCTCTCTCTCCCTCTCTCTCTCTCTCTCTCTCTCTCTCTCACATGTGAGGACACAGTGAGAAGACAGCCAGGAAGAAAGGAAGCCAGGAAGATAGCCCTCACCAGGAATCTTGATCTTGGATTTTACAACTTCCAGAACTGGGAGAAGTTAAATGTGTGCTGTTTAAGCCACCCACTCTATGTAGATGTAGCCCAAACAGACTAAGACAGAGATGAAGGAATGAAAAATGAAGAACAAAGTAGGACCTTGTACAGACTGACAATGACAATATGCCATGCATCGAGCAGTATTTTCAACTCAATTCTATGTACCTATTGCCCAAAAAACAAACAAGAATCAACCATCCAGTTAAATGGAACTACCGCTATCTAAATACAAAATTAGGGATTCCCAAAATTCTGTAGAAAAAAAATTATCGTGAGAGGAGAGCCAAATTTGGCAAATGCCAAAGATATATAAAATCGACAAAATTTCAGTTGAATTACATAGATATTTGACAGTGTTAAACACAATAAAATTAACAAGACCTGATCAGACTTTCAGAAAAACCATGCAACAAGCAGTACACATTGGAAGGGATCAAGACTGGAGGGAAGAAGACTACTAAAGAAGTGACTGTCAATAACTCGAGTCAGATAAGTACCAAAACTATAAATTTTGCTATTTTCAATATACAATTTAGCACGAGTGTAAACAGGAAGTGATAAACTCACCTTGGCTGCCTAATAGTAGTCCCAGATACAGGTAGAGTGTTTCTCGTGAATTAAAAACTGGCAAGAAGAAACCTGCCCCTTTTTCCCTGTCTCCTCCCACTCACCACCCCACCCCCAATTACACATAAGATAGAAGTGGATTAAGGACTCACTGTAATTAGGTAAATATGTAACACCCTACCAAAAGTGAAATAACCACACAGAGTGAGAAAAGATCAGTATATGTCACAGTGGATGGAGGTGAATGAATGGGAGCATCAGCAGCCAGCGAATCTCACAAGGCAGGGTCATTTAGGGTCATCAAACTTAAGTCTTGTAGCAATGTTAATATTAACCTTTTCTATTTGAGAATTTCATACCATTCTTTAAAAAAATTACTCTAATAAATTTATAAGCCCTAAGTTCTCCTAATTCTTGAACCAAATTCAGTGTTATTTGAAGGGAGGAAACCATGTCATTTCCCAATAGTTGGAAAAACATCATTGCCACTAACTTTCCGGAACACCAAAAGGCCCATTTCTCTGTAAGCAAATATTCAATCAGTGGGACTTCCTGGCAGGAAGACCAGGAATAGGATTTCTATATGATGATGATAACATTTATCCCGAATTTTCTGTATGTCAAGATACTAGGCATTTAAGATACATGTTGAAGTCAGCACCACATGCGCTCTGCAATTATTTATATAAAATATCTATTTTACATGTCTCTAAGTATGTATAATAGGGTATTCATATATGGTCTTTCTATACATATATGTATGCACATGTAAATATATAAAAATAAATAGCATAAATATGAACATATATAATATATACATTTACATATCTGCATATAGACAGACATAAAGCTACATAAAGATATACATGTATATATAGAAGAGAAAGAGAAAAGAGGAAGATGAGATAATTTCTTCTTATACTTAGCTCACTGACTGCCCACAGTACTGTTTTTAACTTATAAGGCCATTAGAACAATTTTACAGGAGTTTCATAAAGAAAAAATATCATAGTTATATAGTTTACATAGCTTATTACACACATTGTCACTTTTTTTCCATTTTTTAATTGTGGTAAAATATGATTAACATAAAATTTACCTTAACCATTTTTAAGTGTACAGTTCAAAGGTATTAAATACCTTTATAATGTGTACAACCATCACCACCATCCATCTCCAGAACACTTTTCACCTTGTGTAAAGAAACCATAACCACTACACACTAACTCCCCCTTCCCCATGCCCCTAGCTCCTAGCAACTATCATTCCACTTTCTGTCTCTATGATCTTAATTACTCTAAGTACTTCATGTAAGTGGAAATATACAGTATTTTTCTTTTTGTGACTGGCTTATTTCACTTAAGCAAAATGTCCTGATTCATCCAGGTTGTATCGTATGTCAGAATTTCCTACCTTTTTAAGGCTTACTAATGTTCCTTACACATTTGCTCATCTATTCATCCTTCAGTGGGCACTTAGGATGCTTCCCTGTTTTAGCTATTGTGAATAATACTACTATTATCATGCAGTATTTATATATTTGCATGATATATGCAAACAGGGATTTATATTCCTCTTTGAAGGCCTCCTTTGAATTCTTTTGGGTATATACCCAGAAGTGGAATTGCTGAATAATACAGTAATTGTATTTTTAAGACACTGCTATGCTGTTTTCCACAGTGGCTATATTATTTAACATCACCACCAACAGTGCACAAGAGTTCCAATTTCTCCACATTCTTGCCAACAACTGTCATTTTGTTTTTGTTTTTTATAGTAGCCATTCTAATGAGTGTGAGGTGTACCTCACTGTAGTTTTGATTTGTATTTTCCTAATAGTGGTGTTGAGTACCTTTGTATGTACTTCTTAGCCATTTGTATATCTTCTTTGGAGGAATGTTTATTCAAGTCCTTTGCCAATTTTTGAATCAAGTTGTTTTTTAGTTGTTGAGTTCCAGGAGCTCTCTATTTATTCTGGTTATTAATCCCTTATCAGATATGTAATTTGGAAATATTTTCTCCCATTCTGTTAGTTGCCTTTTTACTGTGTTGATAGTGTCTTTTGATCCAAGAAAACTTAAAATTTTCATGAAGTTCAATTTGTCTATGTTTTTCTTTTATTGCCTGTGCCATATCCAAGAAATCAAAACTTTTGCCCTATGTTATCTTCTAAGAGTTTCATTGTTTTTTTGTTTCTTTTTTTTTAATTTTTAAGAGATGGGGACTTGCTTTGTTGCCCAGGCTAGAAGGCAATGGCACAATCATAGCTCACTGCTGCGCTGAATTACTGTGCTCAAGCGATCCTCCCGACCCAGCCTCCTGAGTAGCTGGAACTACAGGTGTGTACTACCACACACAGCCTTTTTTTTTTCTTTTTTAAATTTTTTTGTAGAGACAAGGTCTCGCCATTTTGCCCAGGCTGGTCTCAAACACCTGGGCTCAAGCGATCTTCCCTCCTCAGCCTCCCAAAGTGCTGGGATTACAAGCATGAGCCACTACATCTGGCTAGAGTTTTATTGTCTTAGGTTTCACATCTACATCTTTAATCCATTTTAAGGTAATTTTTGTATATGGTGTTAGGCAGGGTCCAACTTCATTCTTTTGAATGTCGATATACAGTTTTATCAGTACCGTTTGTTGAAAGGGCTGTCCTTTCCCCATTAAATGGCCTTAGCATCCTTGTAAAAAAATCATTTGACCATATATGCAAGAGTTCATTTCTAGGCTCTCTATTCTACTCCACTGATCCACATTTCTGACTTTATGCCAGTACCGTATTATTTTGATTACTGTAGCTTTGTAATAAATTTTGAAATTGGGAAGTGTGAGTCCTACAGTTTTGTTCTCCTTTTTCAAGACTGTTGTGAATATGTGGAGTCCCCAGACATTCTATATTAATTTCAGGATGGGTTTTTTCTTTTTATGCAAAAAAAAAAAAAAAGCCATTTGGATTTTGATAGTTGTTGCACTAAATCTGTAATCAATTTGGGTCCTGTTGACATTTTAACCAAATTAAATCTTCCAATTCATGAACATAGGATATGTTTCCATCGACTTATGTCTTCAGTTTCTTTCAGCAATGTGTTACAGCTTTCACTGAACAAGACTTTTACCTCTTGGTTAATTCCTAAGTATTTTATTCTTTTTTTTTTTTTTAAGTGGAGTTTCACTTTTGTTGCCCAGGGTGGAGTGCAATGGCATGATCTTGGCTCACTGCAACCTCCGCCTCCCGAGTTCAAGCAATTCTCCTGCCTCAGCCTCCTGAGTAGCTGGAATTACAGGCATCCGCCACCACGCCCAGCTGTTTTTTTGTATTTTTAGTAGAGACAGGGTTTCACTATGTTGGCCAGGCTGGTCTCGAATTCCAGATCTCAGGTGATCCACCCACCTCGGCCTTCCAAAGTGCTGGGATTACAGGCATAAGCCACCACACCCAGCCTGTTTTATTCTTTTTGATGCTATTATAAATAGAATTTCTTCATAATCTTTTCACACTGTTTTCTATTAGTGTACGGAAATGCAACTGATTTTTGTATACTCACTTTTATCCTGCTACTTTGCTCAATTCATTTATTACTTGTTTGTGTGTGTGTAATCTTTAAGGTTTTCTATATATAAGATTATATAATCTGCCTTTTAAATATTTTACTTGCTTAATTGCTCTGACTAGACCTTCCAGTACTATAATGCACAGAAGTGGTAAAAGCTGGCATCCTTGCCTTGTTCCTGGTACTAGAGGAAAAGTGCTCAGTCTTTCACCATTGACTATAATGTTTACTGTGAGTTTTTCAGGTATAGCTCATATCATGTTGAGGTAGTTTCCTTTCATTTATAATTTGTTTCCATTTTTGTTTTTATGATGAAAGGGTGATCAATTTTGTCAGGATTTTTTCTGCGTCAATTGAGATGAACATGTATTTTTCTCTTCATTCTGTTAATGTGGTATATTACAACAATTTATTTTCACATGTTGAACCACGCTTGCATTTCAGGAATAAAAGGTAATAATAAACATGGTAAATAAATAAAATAACTTGGTCATAGAATATAATCCCATTAACACGCTGTTGAATTTGGGGTGCTAGTATTTTCTGGATAATTTTTGCACAATGATCACAAGAGATATTGGTCTGTAGTTTTTCTTATAGTGTTTGTCTGGCTTTGGTACCGGGGTAATGCTGGCCTCATACAGAATGAGTTAGGAAGTGTTTCCTCCACTTCAATTTTTTTGAAAGTTTTAGAGGGAGTGGTATCAGTTCTTAAATTGTTTGGTAGAATTAACCAGCAAAGCCATCAGGTCCTGGTCTTTTTTTTTTAAATCAAGAGCTTTTTGATTACTGATTCAATCTCCTTAGTTGTATGTCTAGTCAGATTTTCTATTTCTTCATGATTTAATCTTTGTAGGTTTTGTTTGTAGGAATTGGTCCAGTTCATCTAGGTTATCTGATTTATTGGCATACAACTATGTTCATAGTACTCTTATAAATAAAAGTACTACTTTTTGTTTCTGTAGAATCAGTAGTAATATCCCTACTTTCTTTTCTAATTTTATCAACTTAAGTCTGCTCTTTTTTTTTTCTTAGTCCACCTAGCTAAAGGTTTGCCAACTTTGTTGATCTTTTCAAAGAACCAAACTCTTGGGTTTATTATTTTCGCTATATATTTTATTCTCTATTTTGTGTATCTCTGTCCCCTACTCTTTTATTTCCTTCCTTTTGCCAGCTTTGGGTTTAGTTTGTTCTTCTTTTTCTAGCTCCTTAGGTTGCTGGTTTAAGATCTTTCTTGTTTTTTAAGGTAGGCGTTTATAGCTATAAACTTCCCCCTTACTACTGCTTTTGCTGTGTCCCATAAGTTTTGGTATGTTATGTTTTCATTTTCATTTGTCTCTAGGTATTTTCTAACTTATCTTGTAATTTCTTCTTTGAACCAATAGAAGTTTAAAGAGTGTGTTGTGTAATTTCCACAATTTTGTGAATTGTCCAGTTTTACTTCTGTCTCTCATTTCTAACTTTACCCCATTGTGGCTGGAGAATACACTTTGTATGATATCTATCTTTAAAAAACTATTGAGACTCAATCTGTGGTCTAACATATTGCCTATCCTGGAAAATGTCCCATGTGTACTTGAGAAGAATGTGTACACTTTTGTTGGGTAGAATATTCTTAAATATATCTTTTAGATCTAGTTAGTTTATTAAGTCCTCTGTTTCCTTACTTATCTTCTATCCATCATTGAGAGGCGGTATAAGTCTCCAACTTCATTATCACAGAACTGTCTATCTCTCCCTATCAGTTTTTTCCTTTCATGCATTTTGATGGTCTGTCATTAGGTACATAAATGCTTATCATTGTTTTATCTTCTTGCTGTTGTGAATTCTGTACTAATATATAATCTCCTTCTTTGTCTCTTGATTTAATTTGGGAAGATTTCAGGCATCAGTTCTTCAAATATGCTCTCTCTCTGCTTCTTCTCTGGAACTCCCACAATGCGTACGTTGGTCCTCTTGATGGAGTCACACAGGTCGCTTAAACCTTGTTCACTTTTCTTCAACCCTTTCTCTTTCTGTTCCTCATACTTGATACCATTTCCATTGTCCTTTAGGTTTTTAGGTTTTCTATCTCTTAATTGACATTTCCATTTTGTTTCTAGATCTTTTTTGTTGTTTTTGGTTTGTTTTTACTTTCTCCACATCTTCCTTTAATTTTTTAAGCATGTTTAAGATAGCTGTTGTTTAAAAGTCTTTATCTAGTTGACCTGCCATCAGGTCTTTTTCAAGGAATATGAGTTAATTTATTTATTTTTTGAATGGGCCACATTTTCCTGTTTCTTTGTATGTCTTGTGATTTTTGTTGAAAACTGGACATTTGGATCTAATAATGTAGTAACTCTAGAAATCAGATTCTTCTTCTTCCCTGGTGTTTGCTACTTTTCGTTATTGCGTGTCTGTGTGTAGGTTTTTGCTAGAGACTGCCTTTGTACCAAGGATGAGCCTGAGGTGTAAACTTAGTCTTCTCAGGTTTTTTCTGAGCCTTTACCTTTCCCTGGGCATGAGCAGTCACTTTCTAATACTTCCCATATATGCAGTTGTTTTTGAATATCCTAGACTTGAATGCCCTTTTCTAAAAAAGGATAGAGGTGGCAGCTTTTAAAATCTGCCAGAAGTGACTCTAGATGGAGGGAAAGGGGTTTGCAACAATGGGAGGAGGAAAAATGATAACTACCCATCTCCTTGCCTATATCTCTCTTTTTACTGTTGTTGTTGTTGCGACAGGGTCTCACTCTGTCACTCAGACTGGAGTGCAGTGGTGCAATCATGGCTCACTGCAGCCTTGACCTCCTGGGCTCAGGTGATCCTCCCACCTCAGTCTCCCAAGTAGCTGGGACTACAGGTATGTGCAACCATGCCCAGCTAAGTTTCTACATTTTCTGTAGAGACAGGCTTTTGCCATGTTGCCCAGGCTGGTCTAGAACTCCTGGACTCAACTGACTCTCTAGCCCTGGCCTCCCAAAGTGCTGGGATTGCAGGCATGATCCAACGTGCCTGGCTGCCTATACCTCTTTGATCAGAAGTAACAATCAGTGATCAGAGCACAGATTCCCAATATCTGGAGGAACTAATGTGCTAAGAGTGAAATTGACTGAAACTAACTGCAACTTACTTCCAAATCTTCCCCTGGAACTTACAAGCCTTCAACAGACTCCAGGGTTCCAAAATATATGTTACACAGGACAGATTCCGCCAGTGCAACTGGTTTCATAGAAAGAGACAAGTTCCTGGTGCTTCCTACTCTGCCATCTTCCCAGAATCCTGATTGTCCTTTAAATGGCATTTTTTTAGTAATAATGACCTCACAACAATGTATTGTTACTCCCATTTTATATGAGAAAACAGAGACTTAAAGAATTCAAAGTAACATGGCTAGAAAGCAAGCCTCAACTTCAAACCCAGGCAGTCAGATTCCAGAAAACATCCTCAACCACAATGCTAAATTGGTTCCACAGAGAGGAAAGAAATGTGACTATCAACTCTTTCACAAATTGCTATCATTTACAATTGTCTTAGGTAGCTTCATTATAGCCATAAATGGATAAAGTAATGAAGGAACATCCCCTCCCCTAGCTACATGAGCTAATAGACTATTTTTGCTTATCATTAATACATGTGTATACACACATACACAACACACTCACACACACACTGATTGATCCTCCTCCCTGCTCTTGTCAGTGCTCATCTAACTGATCTGGCAATGAACAGAGACATAAGCTGTCAGAAGCCTTTCACTTAAAGCTGTTGTTATATATTCTATGAACAACACAAAGGATGACAGACCTTACAAAACACTACCTAAAGTTTCAAGTTTCATTTGTATCATTCACATATCTATGATCTTTATATAAAACTAAAAAATTAGAGGTGAAAAATTTGAATTGTGTATAGAAACTATGATTTAACAAATTATACACTTTGAGTGCTTTCAAGCCAAAAGAAAAAGCACAACAGACTATAGAAAAGCAGAGAAATATCAGTGATTATCAGAATTAGACTAATCCCAGAATGTAAAGGTAGTGGGAAAAATTAATTTCCAACTAGCTCATAAAAACAGGGATAAATCAATTTAGATTCTCTACTGAAAAAAAAGACATTAATATCTCCTACATGTTTGATGAGCTTTGCTAGCAATATTAAATTGATTTTTTATACCTTTAAAGAACTAAATACTTCTAAATGACAAATATTGTATAAAAGACCATACAGATATAATCTGTATCATATATTACTAATACAATATTTGTAATTAAGCACCTATAAAATTTGTCCTGTATAAACATATGGAGAAAAGATCAATTGCCAGAAGACAGTTATCCGAATAAAATGAGTATATTTTTAAGACTACAAAGCAGGTAAAGCATGGGCTACTACAATGCCAAATTTTCCCATATTACACGCCTCTGGACTTGCAAGTCTAGCATGGTGACTCCATGGATAACTTTTGTCTTCATCCCTATTATTACAATCTCAAGATGAAAACATACATATACACCTAATTCTAAGAATGAAAACACCTGCATGAATGTCAACTCTGCAATTACATATCTGTTTGAATTTAAGTGATTTAGATATGAAACAGACCTATAAAGAACTACAAACATCAAAACTATTTCATCCCAGTAACCTAATTTTCCAAAATGTATTAGCCATAGCTACAGTTAACTTGTATTTTAATGTTTGATTTCTTTCTTTAAATTGAGCTAAAAGCAAAGAATTTAGATTGATGATGTTAACAGAAACTTAGAAATGTTCTTAGTAACTGTTATTTCTCAGAAGAGACCTATTCTGAAAGTTATATGTAGGACAATTTAGACAAAATTATTTCGTAAGACTTATCACCAAAATAAAATCTGGGAAAAGAAAAAAAATTAAATAAAGTCAAAAATATCTTGTGAATAAGAGGTTAAAATGATGGCCATCCACGGCATGATAGAAAATTAACACCTGCAACAGCTCTCAGAGATCTTTTCCTCAGCCTTAAAACTCTGGATTAGCAAAGCGGTTGGAGTGAAAGTAACAGAAGAGTCCAGAGGGATCTGCTTCCATGCTTAGAAATTCTAAACCTTTCTCCTATCCCCTCAATCCAGTCACCTGGTTGTTAGACCCTCAAAACTTGCCAAACTCTGTGGTTCACCATTTACCCAACCTGGACATCATTTTCTTTTTCTCCTTTATTCCATCTATCTATTCAGTTCTATCAAATCCCTGTTCTCCGACCTGTTGTCACCTCTTGTCCACACCACCTCCTTTCTGAGTTAAAGGAGTAAATATTTAACAGGCCTCCTTATCCCCAATTCCACCTTACTTCAATTCACTCACAACAATTACATCAAGTCACTCGCCTCAAATCAACAGCTTCATGACATCACTCAATCTCTCTGAAGTTCATTTACTCATCTGAAAAGTGATACTATTAACATACACTTTGGAGATTAAATATGGTAACACATGTAAATCTCCCAAGCATAGCTGGCTACATACCAAATTCCCTGAAATGTGTAAAGGAGAATGGATTTTAGTCCCGTATCCCAATTAAACTACTAGACACTATTTACTGTCCCACCTGCACCTCAAAGTTATGTCTAAAACCCAAACACGTCTTCCCTACTTCTCTATTTATGTTAATGATAGCCCCTATTTCACATTCAACTCGACATGAAAGTTAAGAAACTTTTTATCCATTTCTTAAGAATTGGTCTGAGTCAAAAAATTATCAATTCTTCATCTCTTTTCCATCTCGTTTTTGCCACCCTTCTTGAGATTATCACATGTAGTAGGCCTCTTTTTCATTCTTAGTACTTAGCACATAGTACTAAGTACATATACACATCTATAATGTGCTAAGTACTATGACTAGTGATGGAGATATCAAGAAAAAACTCTACCAAGCCCTTGCCTTTAAGGCAGTCACAATCTAAGTGAAGAGAATGAAATAAAAATAATAGAAGGTACAAACATGTTCCAGGTGAAACAATAACCAATCTGACCTGGGAGTTAACTGGATGGAAGGTGAAAATAATGTGTCAAAAACAGGCAAGTAATTGATTTCAGGAGAAAATGAGCTTGATATAACAGCATTTACATAGAAATATCCAGTGAAGAAGTAGAGAAATGAAGACTAGAGACCAAGATGCAAATTGCAGACACAGGAATCCACTGTACATGAGTGACATCTGAAGCTATTAAACAAGGGAAATTTCTAAGGAAATTTATTAAATATACACAGTGCTGAGTATCAATACAGTACTATGCACACACTCCGGAAACATAAAGAATCAAAACGAGATAGGCACAGAAGCAAGAGGGCACACAAGGAGGAGCAGACCTTAGAAAGGAGACACCCCTCTGTGCCCGGAATTGGTTCCTTCTGGTGGGTTCTTGGTCTCGCTGACTTCAAGAATGAAGCCGCGGACCCTAGAGGTGAGTGTTACAGTTCTTAAAGATGGTGTGTCTGGAGTTTGTTCCTTCAGATGTTCAGATGTGTCTGGAGTTTCTTCCTTCCGGAGGGTTCGTGGTCTTGCTGACTTCAGGAGTGAAGCCGCAGACCTTCGCAGTGAGTGTTACAGCTCTTAAAGGTGGTGCATCTGGAGTTGTTTGTTCCTCCTGGTGGGTTCATGGTCTCGCTGACTTCAGGAATGAAGCCGCAGACCCTCACGGTGAGTGTTACAGCTCATAAAGGTAGTACAGACCCAAAGAGTGAGCAGCAGCAAGATTTATCGTGAAGAACAAAAGAACAAAGCTTCCACAGTGTGGAAGGGGACTCAAGTGGGTTGCCACTGCTGGCTGAAGTGGCCAGCTTTTATTAACTTATTTGTCCCCACCCACATTCTGCTGATTGGTCCATTTTACAGGGTGCTGATTGGTGCGTTTACAATCCTTTAGCTAGACACAGAGCGCTGATTGTTGCGTTTTCACAGAGTGCTGATTGGTGCATTTACAATCCCGTAGCTAGACACAAGAGTGCTGATTGGTGCATTTACAATCCTTTAGCTAGACAGAAAAGTTCTCCAAGTCCCCACTCGACCCAGGAAGTCCAGCTGGCTTCACCTCTCACCTTCACAAGGCAGTGACAAGTATTTGCTGTTACAGAGCTTAGCATCAGATGCTACTGGTTTACCACCCAATGTCTATTCTTCCTGATTCTTTATAGAATGCTGATTTTGTCCAGGTTTATCTACTTTTACCTAATGTAACTATGTGCCACAAAAGACAATGGGTCAGACTGATCCAAAGATAATCTTACTTCTTTTGCCTGTGATTGGTTCAGAAATAGGCTATGAACCAATTCTGGCCAATGATAATGAGATAAAGACTACTGGGGAAGCTTTTATTACCATAAAAGAGAATGAGAGGGAGAGCAGGAGGGTGAGGAAGAGAGGGAGATGAAGCGGGAGGCTTACTTCCTCAGGAATCACATGGCCCCGCTGCCTGTGGTAACTATTTTGTATCCATGAGAAAGACTTGTTCTCTGGATTAAGTTCATGCTAAGGATAACAAATACGGAGAGGAAAATAATCTGGAATCTTAGTGACATCAATGAGGTACTGTGGCTAGAGTAATGTAACTAGAAGTTGCCTGAAATCATGACTTAATGGTTTTGTGAGATATTAGAATCTCCTTACGGTTTAAATCACTCTGAGTCAGAATTTCCTATTATTTGCGACCAAACGCATTCTAACAGACAAACAAGAACTTAATAAATATTTTTTATTTATTTGGGGAAGAGAAGGAAGAAAGAAAAGAGAAAGAAGTAGGGGAAGAGTAAGTGGAGAAGAACAAAAATATACGGTAAAGGAAAGAAAATGTGAGATCTTTTACAAGGTATGTTACAAAGAATTAAGGTGAAAGAAGGCAGGATGAGAAAAATCACTGCTAGGTGGCCCCATTTTTTTTCAGTAAAATATACAGTGAGTCCATTTATTCAAACATTTTTAATGCACAGCTACCATTTTCAAGATTTTGTTATACATGTTAAAAATCTGCAGTCTATAAGACACCAGCTTCCTAAGGCAAAAAAAAAAAAAAAAAGAGATTGGTGCTTGCTTAAGTGGAACTGAAAATCAAGCTGAAGCATAGCGAACAGGAAAAAATGATGAGAAGTGATGTTGTGGGTGGGTAGGGAGGAGGGCAAAGCACAAGTCACCCAGGATTTACGGGCATGTCAAAGATTTTTGAGTAATCATAAAATGCAATGCAAAGCCAATGGAGAGATTTGAACAAAGTAACTTTGAGAAGACCACAACCAGCTGCTATGTGAAGAAAAAATTGAAACTGAGGGAAATACAATGTAGAGCAGAGGTCCACAACCCCCAGGGCCTCAGACCAATAAGGGTCCATGGCCTGTTAGGAACTGGGCTGCACAGCACGAGGTGAGCAGCAGGCAAGAGAGGCTTCATCTGTATTTATAGCCACTCCCTATAGCTCATGTTACCACCTAAGCTCTGCCTCCTGTCATATCAGTAGCGACATTAGATTCTCATAGGAGAACGGACCCTATTGTGAACTGTATGCGAGGGATCTAGGTTGCACACTCCTTATGAAAACTCTAATGCCTAATGATCTGTCACCGTCCCCCATCACTCCCAGATGGAACCATCTAGTTGCAGGAAAACAAGCTCAGGGCTAAGTCCACAATAAATGTAATGCACTAGAATCATCCAAAACCACCCCTCGCCCCCATTGGTCCATGGAAAAATTGTTTTCCACAAAACCAGTCCCTGGTGCCAAAATGGTTGGGGACCACAGACATAGAGGGAACAAGTTAAAAACTTAACGGCTCACCAACACTGTACAATTTCATTCACATGAGGTACTTAGAGTAGTCAAATGCACACACAGAGAGCAGATGGTGGTGGCCAGAGGCCAAGGAGAGAAGAGAAAGGTGAGTTAGTAGTTACTGGGTAGATAGTTTCAGTTTTGCAGGATGAAGAAAGCTGGAGATAGATGGTGGTGATAGCTGCACAATGATGTGAATGTACTTAATACCTCTAAGCTATATATTAAAAAAGATGGTAAGGCTGGGCACAGTGGCTCATGCCTGTAATTCTAGCACTTTCGGAGGCCGAGGCAGGTGGATCACCTGAGGTCAGAAGTTCGAGACCAGCCTGGCCAACATGGTGAAACCCCATCTCTACTAAAAATACAAAAAATTAGCCAGACATGGTGGCGTGTGCCTGTAATCCCAGTTACCTGGGAGGCTGAGGGTACAGTGAGCCAAGATCACACCACTGCACTCAGCCTGGGCGACAGAGCGAGACTCTGTCTCAAAAATCAATAAATAAAATAAAAAATAAAAAGATGGTAAGATGGTAAATTTTACATTATGGTCTTGAACACAGAACAGATATCTGGGCTGGGATGTAAATGTGACAGTACTCAGCACATTAAGGGTATCTCGAGCCTAGAATTGGGGGAAAACACCTAGGGAGAGAATGTAGGGAGAGAAAAAGAGGGTCTGGAATCCAGGCATATTGTGATCCAGCTATGAGGAACTTTGTGGTAGAAGAAGGAATTCTCATAGAAGAATGAGAAGAAAAAGCCATACATATGAAATGAAAATCACTAAAGTATAATAATTCA
This sequence comes from Homo sapiens, assembly GCF_000001405.40. Classification (NCBI taxonomy): domain Eukaryota; kingdom Metazoa; phylum Chordata; class Mammalia; order Primates; family Hominidae; genus Homo; species Homo sapiens. The sequence continues at coordinate 26,309,491 of NC_000013.11, read as the reverse complement.
AAAGCTAAAAGAAGAAAATATTTCAGGAGAAAATTGGTAAAATATAAAATGATGGCCAGGTGTGATGGCTCATGCCTGTAATCCCAGCACTTTGGGAGGCCGAGGCAGGTGGATCACAAGGTCAGGAGATCGAGACCATCCTAGCTAACACGGTGAAACCCCGTCTCTACTAAAAACATAAAAAATTAGCTGGGCATGGTGGCAGGCGCCTATAGTCCCAGCTACTCGGGAGGCTGAGGCAGGAGAATGGCGTGAACCTGGGAGGCGGAGCTTGCAGTGAGCTGAGATCGCGCCACCGCACTCCAGCCTGGGTGAAAGAGCAAGACTCCGTCTCAAAAAAAAAAAAAAAATCTATATACATACATATATAGATATAATGATGATGATAATGACAGGAGGTGTTTACTAAATACTATGTTCCTAGCACTGTCGTAAGTACAGGAAAATGCTGATTCATTTATTTCTCATAACAATCCTATAAGAAAGCTTCTTTATTTGTCCCCACTTTATAGTTTAACAAGTTAAGGTCTAGAGAAGGTAAGTAACTTGTTCAAAGTCACACAGCTAGCAAACCAGGCAGCTTCCAGAACCTGAATTTGTAGCCATTATGTGATACTGTCTCTGTAAGTGTTCAATGGGTTTACAGTGACATTAGCAAGTACAGTTAAGTGGAATGAGGGAGGCAGAAGCCAAATTGGAGTGGGCTGAAGAGGAAATGGAAAGTGAGGAACTAGAAGCAGTATGAACAAACAACTCTTCTAAAAGATACGCCTGTAAGAAAAGGTGAAAGCGTGGTAACTTGAAGAAGATTCAGTGCCCAGAAAAACTTCAGTTGTTAAACTTGTTACTAGAGGTAGAATAGCAAACTCAAATATCTACCAAGATCAGGAAGGTAATTTATGTAATACTAACAGGGACCAAAACTTATGTACATTTATAATATGCCAGTTACTTCTGAAGGCATATCTTATCTATTAACATATGTAATGCTGGTAACAGCCAAGTGGCCCATTTTGCAGATGAGAAAACTGATGTAAAGAGGGGTCTGGCATTTGGCCAAGGTCACAGAGCTAGCTGGGATTTAAACCTGTCCAGAGTTCCCTCTATTAGAGAAAGGGTCAAAGATGCACATGTGGTAAGAGGACTTTGGTGTCTACCTATACCTCCAACTATGGTTGGTACTGTCCAACACTGCATTCTGAGAGATGGAAATGTCCTATGCCTGCTCTGTCCAATACAGTAGTCACCAGCCTCATGGCAGTATGAAGCACCGGATATAAGGCTCGTGTGACTGAGGGACTGAACTTTACATCTTATTTCATTTTATTTAAACAGACACATGTAGTTAGTGGCTACTGCACTGCACAGCACAATTCTAGAAAATTGTTTACGAATGTACCAACTGTTTAAGGATAAGTCAGAAATAAAGATTTTAATGGGAAATCTAATTTTAAAATACTGGTTTCTTTAAAAACAACAACAACTGTGTATCTGCTTATCAAACAATCCAAACATCCATCAAAAGGAAAATAAGCTTACAAGTTACAATGGAATTGATAGCAATAAAATGAGTAAGGTACAGCTACATGTATCAACATGTATTTAACAAAAAACAATGCTGTTAGTTAGCAAGTGCTAACACTTTTTTTTAAGTTGCAGAATAAGCATTATTAGGTACCGTTCTTATGAAGTTTAAACATGCACAGCAATGCATGTCTTTTAGGGATACATACATCTATACATGGTATAGAAGTATAAAGGCATTCATACAAAATATAACACAAGCATGTTGGTTATTTCTAGGGTGAGAGGTCTACACTGATCAGGGAAGGTGTATTAGTTTTCTACTGCTGCTATAACAAATGACCACAAACTTGTCTTAAAGAAACACAGATTTATATTCTTACAGATTTATGGGTAGGAAGTGCAGCATAGGTCTCACTGAGCTAAAATCATGGTACCAGCAGGACTGCATTCTTCTCTGGAGTCCCTAGGGGATAATCAATTGTCCTGTCTTTTCCAACTTTAAAGGTGGCCACCACACTTCTTTTGCTCATGAATCTCTTCCTCCATCTTCAAAGCAAGAAACAGTGGGTCAAGTTCTCACATAATATCACACTGACCTTGCTTCTGTTGTCATACCTCCTTCTCTGACTTTTCTATCTCCCTCTTCTACTTTTAGGCACCCTGGTGATTATGTAGAGCCAATCTACATAATCCAGAATAATCTTCCTCTTCTGAAATCAGCTGATTAGAAACCATAATTCCATCTGGAACTTTAATATCCCCTTGCCACATTCAAAAACTTCAGGGATTAGAACATGGTTGGGGGTGGTGGGGTGTCTTATCTCCTGTACCACAGAAATGTATTTAAGGAGCTATAACTTTTCTAATGTTTTATTCTTCAAGTAGAGGATAAAGGTGCTCATTATGTTCTTAGTATGTCTTTGTATATGCCCCAAATGTTTAAAAGCTTTTAATATGAGTTTCTCTCCTAAGACAACTTTTCAAAACTTTCATAGAGTCCTAAAATTTCAGTAAGATCACTCAAGAATAATAAGGGAGGCTGGGCATTGTGGCTCAGCCTGTAATCCCAGCACTTTGGGAGGCCGAGGCAGGCAGATCACTTGAGGTCAGAAGTTCAAGACCAGCCTGGCCAACATGGTGAAACCCTGTCTCTACTAAAAATACAAAAATTAGCCAGGTGTGGTGGTGGGTGCCTGTAGTCCCAGCTACTCGGGAAGCTGAGGCAGGAGAATCGCTTGAACCCAGGAGGCGGAGGCTACAGTAAGCTGAGATAATGCCACTGCACTCCAGCCTGGGCGACAGAATGAGACTCCATCTCAAGGAAAAAAAAAAAAAAAAAAAAGAGCAATAAGGGGCAAAGGGAGGGAAGTAGGGAAGAATCAAGGCCTTGGCCTTGCTTCAATCTGAACAGATTCTCTTTTCATTGCCTTTTACAAAACATTTCTTTTAAAAAGAAAGAAAAAGGATTCATATTATTTTAAATAAATGAAAAAGTAGAATATCACTAGCATTAGACTATAAGCAAAACTATAATTAAATAAAATTAATCTATATGCTACAAGAAGTAAATAACAAGCTAACTCAGAATTTAATGATAGTCAAAGAAATATGTTCATTCCCACAAAAGAGACTATTAAGAAGCTCAATGATGCTTCTGATAGTCTTGTAGGGCTCAGCAGATAAAAATTTACAGTCCAGAAACCACTAATGCCAGGGAAGATACAGGAAAGGATGCAAGGAAATGCCCATGGACTTTTGGTTGAGACCCTGAAGAGCAGTCCTCTAACAGTAATATGAACAAGAAGTATACTGACTCTGGTAGGGACTGCAGTTCAGCTTCAAATATCAAAGACTGAAAACAGACTAATGTAGTCCTAGACTGCTAACTCTTTCAGGCACCAAATAAATGTGCTTATTGCTAGAAGATACTATCTCCTAAGTATCAAGTTATTTTTCAAGAAAAATTCCAAATACAGTATAAAAAAAAATAACCAGGCACATGAAGAGAGAAGACAACTAGCAAAACCCACAAGCAATAAAGAGACTCGTAAGGGCTCCAAATAGAGGAGCTGTCTTTATTGCATATTATATATTTATTGCACAATATTCAATGTGATAAAGACTGAGAATTCCAACAGAGTACCTCAAGATAGAACACAGATTTTTGAGGAGAAAAAAAATTCTAAAACTGTAAAATATAGCAACTGTATTTAATAACACAACTGACAGGTTTAAAAGCAAATGCTGTACAGCAGAAGAAATGATTAATCAACTGGAAGAGATACTAGAGGAAAATATTAAAAATATTGGAATGACAAAATGATGAAAACCATGAAGCAGAGGATAAGAAACAATAAACAATACAAATAAGAAGGGCGAATATACATTTTGAATCCCAAAAAGAGAGAGGGACAAGAAAGAGAAAGGGGGTATAAGCAATATTTAAAGAGACAGTGACTAAGAATTTTCTAAAACTAATGACGTCGAATTACAGATTCAGAAGCATTATGAATGACAGCAGCATAAGAAAACCACACTTAAGTACTTCTTAGAAAAATTATTTTAAAAAACAAAGAGAAAATGTTAAAAGCAGCCCGGAGAAAAAGTACATCACCTGAAAAGAAACAGTTTCAACTGATTGACAGTTGATTTATTAATAAAAACAACAGAAATCAGAAGGATAAGAATATCTTTAAAATTCTGAAAGAAAACAATTGCTAACCTAGAATTCTATACCAAGAGAAATATCCTTCAAGATTAAAGGTGAAATAAAGACATTTTCAGACAAACTAAAATAGAATTTGTTGACAGTACCACACTAAACAAAACACTAAAGGGTGTTCTTCAGTCAGAAAAAATAATTCCAAAAAGGAAGCATGATAATGCAGGAAGAAATAAACTGTAAAAGTGAAAGTAATTCTAAATGAAAACTGACTGTATACAACAATGATAATATCTTGTAAGCTACAGGCATACAGAATTAAAATATAATCGTCAGGCCAAGCACAGTGGCTCACACCTGTAATCCTAGCAGTTTGGGAGGCTGAGGCAGGGGGATCATTGAGGCCAGAAGTTCAAGATTGGCCTGGGCTACATAGTGAGACCCTCATCTCTATAAAATAATAATAATTTAAAATTTTAAAATTAAAAAAAAATTTAAATTAGCTGGGTATGGTAGTGTGCACCTGTAGTCCCAGCTACTTGGGAGGCTGAGGCAGGAGAACCCCTTGAGCCCAGGATTTCAAGTTTACAGTGAACTCTGATCACACCACTGCATTCCAGCCTGGGCAAAAGAGGGAAACACTGTCACTAAAAATAATAATAAAATAAAATAAAACATAATTGTCATATCAAGTCAGGGCTGGGGGAGTAAATGGAGTTGAAGTTTGGAAAAAGGGTATTAGTCACAGGTAAGTTTAAAAAAAATGCATGTTTTAATCTCTAGAAAAACCACTAAAGGAGTAGCAAGAATATAAAGCATCCAAGTTAATAGGAGGAGGAAGATAGAATAATACACAATAATATAAAAAGTAGAAGACAAAACATAAAGCTGGAGAGATAAATAGAAAGCATGAAAGATTTAAATGAAATACTAGGTAAAATAAATATAATGTTTGTTAGGCTTGATTTTTAAAATTGAACTTACATATTGCATAAAAGAGATGAAAATAAAAGGATTTCTTTTTTTTCTTTTTTTTTTTGAGACAGAGTCTGGCTCTGTTGCTCAGGCTGGAGTGTAGCGGCGCAATCTCGGCTCACTGCAACCTCTGCCTCCTGGGTTCAAGCAATTCACTGCCTCAGCCTCCCGAGTAGCTGGAATTACAGGCGCCTACCACCACACCTGGCTAATTTTTTGTATTTTTAGTAGAGATGGGGTTTCACCATCGTGGCCAGGCTGGTCTTGAACTCCCAAACTCATGATCCACCCGCCTCGGCCTCCCTGAAGTGCTGGGATTCCAAGTGTGAGCCACCGAGCCTGGCCAATAAAAGGATTTCAAAAGAGTTAAAGTAAAAGGAGGGGAAATAGTACACCATGGCAAACATCAAACCAACAGAAATCGAGTGTAGCTGGGTTAATAACAGACAAAGTAATATTTAAGGCAAAAGGCATTACTGAATTGTGAAGTTTATGATGATAACATTTTAACTAAATTTGCCCTGATACCTATAAAAAATTACTCAGTAACTGCAGAGTACACATGATTTTTAAACACACAAAACATTTATAAAAATTGGCCATATCCTGGATCATAAAAGGAAGTTTTAACAAATTTCATGGAACTGAAATCATAAATGTTTTCTATGTAAGATCATAAATGTTCATGTATGTTCTCTGGCTGGCAAAAGTGAAATTAAGTTAAAAATCAGTAATTAAGAAGGGAAATTAAGAAATGTATTTCTAGGCCAGGCGTGGTGGCTCACACCACCTGAGGTCAGGAGTTCATGACCAGCCTGCCCAACATGGTAAAACCCCGTCTTTACCAAAAAATACAAAAATTAGCCAGGCGTACTGGCAGGCACCTATAATCCCAGCTACTTGGGAGACAGAGGCAGAAGAATTGCTTGAACCCAGGAGGCGGAGGTTGCAACAAACCGAGATCGTGCCACTGCACTCCAGCCTGGGTGACAGAGCAAGACCTGTCTCAAAAAAAAAAGAAATATATTTATAGATAATCCAAGTACCAATAATAAAAGATATCAGAATGGAAATTAGAAAAAAATGTGGAAAAAATGATAATGAAATTACTGCAAATAAAAATGTATGGAAAGCAACTAAAGCTATAGTTAGTAAAGAGAAAAAAATTAAACTAAAAGGAGATAAAAAAGAAAAAAATATAACAGCCAAAGATATACATGCATACATAAAACAGAAAGGAAACACAATATGCCTGCATACATAAAATAGAAAAGAAATATAAAATAAAAAGGACCAACAATTCCAAACACTGACTCATTAAAAATCCAACAAACCAGCCAGGCACAGTGGCTCATGCCAGTAATTCTAGCTACTCAAGAGGATCGCTTGAGCCCAGGAGTTCAAAGCCAGCCTGGGCAACATAGTAAGCAAGATCCCAGCTCTAAACAAAACAAAACTATAAATCTGATAAACTTCTGGATTAATCAAGGACTATGCAATTTAAAGTACCCATAAAACACCCCAATAGAATTTTAAGTTAACAGTTACAATATGTGCAGATGGACTTCAAACTTGTAACCTGGATTAGGGATGTCTCTTGGGGATACTCTCCCCCATCAATATCTCTCCCCTAAACTATAACAATGATCTATCTTATTTCTTGTCTCCAGACTTGTCCATCTAATCTACTCTCCATTCGAGCCAGAGGGACCTTTCTAAAAGACAAAGATAAGACAATCACACATGATGAAAGACAAAGCTGCAAAAAAGCAGCTACAGGAAAGGGTTAGAGTGACTGTAAAATACCAAGAACAGAAACTTAGTCCTCTGGGTCCCAATTTCCTTAGCTGCCCTATCTGTCCCATGAAAAGACCCTTCCAAATGAATCGCGAACACTTTTAGAAACATATAATCCCAGGCTCCCAGATCCATATCAATTGGTTCATATATAGGAAACTCAAATGCAAAAAAATTGGGAAGACCCTTTGGGTGAAACCTTGAATTGTATAAGAAACCAACGAGTTTTAGAAATACTATAGATGTTATAAGTTTTGGAAGAATTCACAATTTCTCTTTTGGAAATCGACTGAAGTCTTTAATTCAGTTCATAAGCAAATAAAGAAGGCATCCATTGCAGAATTCTATTGGGGTGTTTTATGGGTACTTTAAATAGCATAGTCCTTGATTAATCCAGAAGTTTATCAGGTTTATTGTTTTGTGTTTTTTAGAGCTGGGATCTTGCTTGCTGTGTTGGCCAGGCTCATTAACACCTGCAGACAGCATTCAGGAGATTCTGACACAGATGGGTCCGCACTCTTGCCTCACTTTCTGTGAACCATTTTAAGTCAGAAATAGAGAATGTAATATGCAAGCAAAAACCAGAGTGGGAAATAGCCCCACAGACTGACTACCAACTTCTCACTGAACAAAAGCAGGATAAGACTCAGAATACAATGATGGCGTTACACATTTTAAAAACTAGGTGCCCACATTCCAGTCATTAATTTCCAGAGCAAGGAGTCTCTTGATGAAGACGCTCTTAAATACCATCATCAAGGAAGGGAATTGGAATAAAATTAGTTCTACTGTTAGATAAGAAGGTAATCAAAGGTGACATTATGGGGAATGTCCCATCCTATCCTTAAACTCACAGGGAGAAATTTCTTTAAATATTAAAGGACAACCTTGCAGAATCTACATTGATACTAATGCTCTAACGTCAACTTTAAACTCTACCAATGTTACAGAACCTCTCCAATGGAGCCAACAAACTACTCAGATGATGGCATCTCTCATAATGCTCAGACATCCCCCACATACCACTCTTAAGTCTCACCCTTAGGCCTCTAACAGAGGAACATTCTTTCTTCCTGTGATACCATACCAGGTAATTTAACAGGGAGGAATTAATTATTGTACAAAAGAAATTAATTACCACATTAAATTTTGCCTAATGGCCCTTTCCTTGAAATCCCCAAGTTCTCCTCTATTCAACAATGAGGCCATAGCTAATTTGGACATTGATTACTGGTGTTTCTTAATTTACATCAAGCCCACATTGAACATCTCTAGGAAGTTTGACTTTCTGTAGGCAAAAAAAAAAAAAAAAAAAAAAGTCTACTGATAATGGCAGATTTATTGAAGCTGAACCCCATTCAAGGCTCAGATTGACTAACCCGAAGCAAACATCTACCCAAATTTGAACAATACTCTCTAGCTGCAGAAGTGAAAAGGACTAAAACCAACAGTTGAAGACCTAATACAGAAAGGACTCATTACCTCATATTTATCTTTGCAATACTCCTGTCTTCCTGATCAAAAACAAAAAACAAAATCACCACAATGGAAAGGATACAGCTTTGTTCAGGATCCCAGGGCTATAAATAGACTATTCATCTCTCTCCTCACCCCCACTTTCCTACAGTACCAAACTCAAATATTATTTTATCTTTACCATTTCTTGAAGCTACATATTTCACACTTACAAACCTGTGTCTTAATTTAATGTCTTTTTAGAGCGGGATAATCAATACCTGTTTGCTTTGGAAAAATCAATAATATATCTGGACAGTTATGCCCTAGAGTTTACTGAGACACTCTCCAATTTTTCAACAAGTCCTCAACTAGTACCTCAAGGATCTTAAATTTCCCTGTATCTACTCTAATCTAATATCTGGACGACCTTTTGTTGGTCTGAAAAATAAGTAAGTTCCAAGACTGATTACATTTTTCTACTTTAACTCAGACAGGACATAGGCAAAGAGAAATTATAGTCTTATTCAAGTATACAGTAATCCCCCGCCCAATCCATGGTTGGCTTTCCGCAGTATCAGTTACCTATGGTCAACCTCAGTCTGAAAATATTAAATGGAAACTTCTAGAAATAAACAATTCATAAGTTTTAAATGGTGTGCCATTCTGAGTTAGCATAAAATCTCATGCCCCCCACCTCCATCCCTCACCAGAATGTGACTCATCCCTTCGTCCAGCCCACCCACGCTGCATACTCTACTCACCCATTAGTCACTTAGTAGCTGTCTTGGTTATCAGATTAAAAAAATATATTAATAGTTTATATGAAGTTCATGGTTTCAGGCATCCACTGGGGGTCTTGAAAGGTATCTCTCCTGGGGACAGAGAGGGACTACCGCGTTACCTAGTGCATGATTTATCCTAAGGAGGTATGCCTCTTACTCTGGGCAGATTACACACCGTTCAAACCTTTCTGAGGTATGCAACAAAGAAAATCATGAAGATTCCTTTATCTCATTGACTACTGAAGGTAGTAGGTCCCCATTTTTCTGTAATTATATAATTATTAAAGAATTTAACCAAGTTCAGCCCATGGCTCATTTCTGCACTGACCATGAGCTAAGAATAGTTTTTATATTTTTAAAGAATTGTTTTAAAAAATTAGTAACAGAGACTATACATGGCCCAGCAAGCCTAAAACATTTACTATCTGGCCCTTTACAGAAAAGGGTTTGTTGACCCTTGCTACTCCTCTATTCCTTAAAAAGCAGGAAACTACTGTCAGTAAACTATGTCCTAAATAGACTTACCAGAAACTCCTCTAGAAAATTCAGATTCAATCTTGGTTGTTGATGGGTCATGTCTTCAGATGAAACAAGAAAATATGAGGCCGACTTTGATGGAACAGATCTCAACTCACACCCGGAATGAAACCCCATGCTAGAGGCAAGATATGCCAAGATGACTGAAATCACTGCATTCAGCAGAGCTTGCCAGTGAACTGTGTAGCTAGTGATGAAAGGATAATACAGTCACATACTGCATATTGATGTTTCTGTCACAAAGAACCACATATACGACAGTGGCATCACAACTGCCTACAAGATTCAGGACAGCACCATGTACACAGTACAGGTTTGTAGCCTAGGAGCACTAGGCTATACAATATAGCCTAGGTGTGTAGTAGGCTATCCCATCTAGGTTTAAGTACACTACTCTATAATGTTTGCACAATGACAAAATCACCTAACAATGCATTTCTCAGGCTATATCTCCATGGTTAACTCACAAGTAACTGTATATATAAAACTGAGAATGGATCAGTTTTAAGAGTAGTCATGATTTGGGGATGCTTTGAAAATAACGATGGTTCCTGACTTTAGCATTAATCCTTCCTAAGGAAGTAACAATTCTAAAGACATGCCCACAAAAAAAGAGAAATAACATGAACAATTAAGAATATGCCCTGACTGATCATTATGTCAGACAAGAAGCACCCTTTACTAAGATCTTAGCCTTTATGGTAGTTCAAAAGGCCAAATCTTTTAAGAGGTTCAAAGAGAATGCCAACAACTGGCTCTAGCATTAGAAAAGCATATTGGATGAAATCCAGGGGCAAATTACCACAGTTAACCACTGGTGCTCTTAGGACAGGGTTTCTTGGTGGCATCAGAGATCCTGAATGGAACCTCGGAAATTTTTTGCATAAAACTGTATACCCTGGTAAGGACAAATTGGTCAGTCAAGTCTATTAACACTACCGGAAAAGCGTCACTAAAATTGCCAAGGGTGCCGTGGTCTATGTCTCCTTTCTCACCAGCATAATTTTTGACAGTAAAGGTGGAACACAGACAGGAGTAGAGACCTCAAGGTCTCTCTGAGTGCCACAAATGGTTTTCGCACAACTAATCCCCTGCTGTGGGTTTTGACTATATCCTGGTCATCATTTGCTTGTTCTTGCATTAGACTTAAGCCTTTCCTTGTTGGAAATCTACAGCTCAAACACTAGGAAAAAACTGAATTTTGTGTGTTCAACCTGAGGAATTTCAACCTTTCTTTGAGGGGCATCCACTTTGCTAGAGCTGTTATTAAAGAGCTTTGCAAAGTCTTTCCACTTACTCGGAAGTTTCACTGTCCACCTCACCTCAAGAAAGGTAGAAAGAACAAAGGGAATTCTGAGACTAATATGAGCAAAGGTAGAGTCTCTTGAACTTCTGTGGCCTAAGATATTGCCACTGGCTTTAATAACAATGAGATCAATTTTTTCTGGGGCTCAACCATTCCCCAATAATTACTTAGTACAGGCTTGCCCACATACCTAGAAATATTACCTCTGATTATAGACTCCACACTACTGTAGGCAGACATGGCCATATATGCACTGCTTGCCAAGAACTCATAATGTTACAGACCAAATATTTGTATCCCTGCAAAATTAATGTGCTGAAATCCTAAACTCCAATGTGATGGCACAAGGAGGAGATGGGGCTTCGGGGAAGTATTAGATTGGTACCAATATAAAATCGCAGTTTTAATAATTAGTCATGAGGGTGGAGGAGGCTTTAATAGGGGCAATGGGATATTGCCCCTATAAAAGAGACTCCAGAGAGCTCTCCCGCCTCTTTCCACCAAGTGAGGATATAGCGAGAGGACAGCACCCTATAACCCTGAGGGAGAATCTCACCAGAACCCAATCATGCTGGCACCCTGATCTCTTTCAGCTTTCAAAAGTGTGAGAAATAATTTGTGTTGTTTATAAGCCACTCTATGATATTTTGTTTTAGCAGCCCAAACTAAGTAAGACACATGCAATATATCCAGTATTACTACCAACAGGTATAAGTAGCGTTTCCTTAACATCCTCCTAAATGACCCCTGTATGATCTGAAACCTGGAGACATGGCCTTTTGGAAAACAGAGAAAGACAGTCCTTGAACTTGAGAGAAAGGAACTTATCAGGTACTGTTAATAACCAGTATGGCAGTAAGACTCCTTATACTCACGTCTCTCAATTTAAAAAAGCCTAAGTCAGCCTTGAATCACTGGAAGACTATCCCATTTAGAAATCTGAAGTTGACGATTCTCAGCAACCTTCTAGAAGTAGAAGGTCTTTGGAAGGAGGGAGCTTCAATCAAAGATCTTGACCAAGATCCATAGAACAAGGTTAGTGACTGTCATGCTTTAATCTGTATTATTCTGTTCTTTATCTTCCTAGCTATCTTCTTTCCTCTTTTGCTATTAAGGTTACCTTTTTAGTTATATTACTTTAAAGGCCCCTATTCTTAATATTGGCTTTTCCATTCCATTTGTATGAGCCCAATGCCTGATTAAAATTTATTCATAATTTGACCAAAGCATACAATCAGAGTGACTGTTGGGTTTATAAACATTTTCCTTTGGGAGCCACCCTGCTTTCCTTGGTAATTGTTCCTTGTAACTAATCAATTTGTTTCCTGGGTAAATGACTTAACTGTTTAGTAACTTTTTAAATGGCAACCCTAATGATAGGCCATCTATTGTGTCATTCAGAGGAAAGGAGGTTCTTATCTCCAATGAAACATTACTAACGGATCTTAGAAGAGGACTAGAGGTCCTAGTCCTTGGTTAGTCCTTTAATACTACAGGTTAGTCCTTTATTACTACAAGGACCTCTAGTCTTCCAGTCCTTAGAAGAGGACTTAATGTTGGGTCCTTTTAGTAATAAGAGGTCCTTTTATTAATAAAAGGTGTGTATTTGGAGGCGGTCTCAGTTTCATAGACCTAACAGTAAAGACAGACAAATTAAACCCCATGCTCTTGTGCTTTAGAGCTACCTAATGATACTGGCGCTACAAATTTGATTACCTGGCACTGGATCATCCTTGATAAGTTATAAATGCTCTTTGACAACACCAATAGGGGTATTTTACCTCAATAGATTAATGTTAACTTCATGACACAGAAGTCTACTAGCTACTACTTGCAAACTAATCAGGGATTCGTTATCTTAGTAAACTGATGCCTCCCTTCAGGACAGTACCTGATATCACCCAGAGCCCATTTTGGCCCATCAGTTCCTGCTCTTGGAAACAATCTGAGAATCTGATTCCCCAACCACTTAAGAGGATTCTGAATTGCTTCCTTTTCACATCAACCTTCTTTACTTCCAGCTCTACAAAAGGTCTAGAAAGGAGGAAGATTTCTACATGCTAAAGCTTAGAGAATAGCAAGTAAATTAGGTAACCCAAAGATAACCAAAGAGCCCTTTGTCCAAAAGGTTTGTGAAACCAGATAGGTGGTAGTTCAGAAGAGTCACTTTAAATACAACATTTGTCTGTCTTAGGGGAAGATGTGCTTATAACCTTTCGATCCTCTCTGATATCCTTACCATTACTAAAAAGATTACAGAAGCAAGCAAAATAATCATAAAATTAGGCGATGTTGACAATAACGCTACATTTGTTTTTGTGAGCTCTTCGGATGGGATAGAATCAATTTTCATGGCTTAATTTTGGCACTCTTGGCTCCTGGCTAAAAAGTAGAGTGCAGACTCTAATCATAATCCTTTTTTTAGTATCCGTCTGTGGTGCAGTGCTCAGGGGTGTAGCCAGAGTATTGAATGCTGCTGTACAGCCACTGTCCAGTCAAATGATCCAACAAACGACCATGATACAAAAGGAGAAGAATCTCTAATGCTTACGAAGATTGAAATGATCATCTCCATCTTCTCCCCACCCCCAGCCTGTTACCTGACCATTGAGACCTCATACAGTCATAAATAACTGGATTGATCATATTCTCAGATGTTAATGCTTGGGGAAAGGAGGCTGAGAACCAAAACCATTAACAATCACATACTATCTATATTTACATGGTTTTACTCTTCAACTTAAAATGACTTTACTATTCCAGGAACTCCTGCCCAGAAAGATGAAGTTTTAAATAGTCTAGTTGGATTCAGGAACGTCTCCCAAATATATTTATCTGAAAAACAGACTACTCATTACCCCTGCCCAGGACAATAACTCATTCAACAAAGTTCTTCAAAGACTCTTTACTCTGCAAGACTCATTTAAAACCCTTGCTGATTGTCATTACCCAGCCATATTCCAATCAGGCCTTTGCAGTGAAAAGATCTGCATTAAACCAAACCCAAAAGCCTCATAAATATCACTCTTTTGCCTTCCCCTCTGAGACACTACTAAGATTCTGTAAAGGCAGGAGACTCCCTTATTATAATAGGAAATAAACCAGGCTTTCCTTTATTAATAAGGTATTTTGGTCAACAGGGAAGCCCAAGAGAAAAAATCTACACATACCAAAGTCTAAGGGATCCCAAAAAAAGAGCCTGTTCCCTACCTGATCTCCCTATAAGCAAAGATCTGCCAATACAGACAGATCATACAGTCAATGTTTTGGTACTTTACTCTTAAGTATTAATACATTTCCTAGAGTCACCATATTTAAGAAAAACCTTTAATAAGAAAAGACCAAAATAGCTTGGAAGAAACAGAGACAATGCACAAAGAAGAACATTAAAACACTATCATGGGCTGGGTGCGGTAGTTCACATCTGTAATCCCAGCACTTTGGGAGGCCGAGGGGCAGATCACGAGGTCAAGGGATCGAGATCATCCTGGCCAACATGGTGAAACCCCATCTCTACTGAAAATACAAAAATTAGCAGGGCATGGTGGTGCACACATGTAGTCCCAGCTACTAAGGAGGCTGAGGCGGGGTAATCGCTTGAACCCAGGAGGCGGAGGTTGCAGTGAGCCAAGATCATACCACAGCACTCCAGCCTGGCGACGGAGCAAGACTCCTCTCAAAAAACAAAACAAAACAAAAAAGAAACTATCATGAACAAAGAACCTCAATATACATTTTCTGAAAGACTTTCAAATAGCCAACAGACATACGAAAAAATGCTGAGCATCACTAATCATCAGGGAAATGCAAATTAATGCCACAATGAAATATCACTTCCTATCTGTTAGAGTGGCTAATACCAAAAAGACAAGTGTTCGTGAGGATGTGGAGCAAAGGGAATCCTTGCACACTGCTGAGAATAGAAATTAGCACAGCCATTTAAAAAACAGTATGGAGGTTTCTCAAAAAATTGAAAACAGAACTACCATATGATCCAACCATCCTACTACTGGCTATATAGGATATGAATTCAGTATGTTGAAGAGATACCTGCACTCCCATGTTCACTGCAGCATTATTCACAATAGCCAAGATACAGAATCACATAAGAATCATCGACAGATGAACGGATAAAGAAAATATAGTGTGTAGAGCAGGGCATGGTGGCTCATGCCTATAATCCCAACTACTGAGGAGGCTGAGGCGGGAGACTGCTTGAGCGCAGGAGTCTGAGGCTGCAGTGAGCTATGATCCTGCCACTGTATTCCAGCCTGGGCAACCAAGCAAGATCCCACCTCTGAAGAAAAAAAAAAAAGGTGCAGAATATTATTTAGCCTTTAAAAACAAGGAAATCTGGTCATTTGCAACAACATGGATGAAACCAGAGGGCATTATGTTGTTATGTGAAATAAGCCAGAAAGATAAATACCACATGATCTCACTTATATGTAGAATTTAAAAATGTGGAACTTATAAAAGTAGAGAGTAGAATGGTGGTTACCAGGGGCTGGAGGAGGAGGGGAGTGATTGGGGAGAGGTTTGCAAAAGTATACCAAATTTCAATTAAGCAGGAAAAATAAGGTCAAAATATATATTATAGAACAAATGGACTACAGTAAACGTATACTTGAAAATTGCAGAGTAGATATGTGTGAGTTAATGCTTATGGTTAATTAGCTCAACATAGCTAGTCCATAATGTATACATATTTCAAAACATGTTGATACCATAAATATATACAATATTTATCAATTAAAACTGTATATCACAAAAATTTGTTCCACATATTTCAAAACCATGTTGACACCATAAATATATACAAATTTTTTTTTTTTTTTTTTTTTTTGAGACAGTCTCACTATGTTGCCCAGGCTGGAGTCAGTGATGCAATCTCGGCTCACTGCAACCTCTGCCTCCCAGGTTCAAGCAATTCTCCTGCCTCAGCCTCCCGAGTAGCTGAGACTACAGGTGCACACCGCCATGGCCAGCTAATTTTTTTTGTATTTTAGTAGAGATGGGGTTTCACTGTGTTGCCCAGGCTGGTCATGAACTCCTGAGCTCAGGCAATCCACCCGCCTTGGCCGCCCAAAGTGCTCCGATTACAGGCGTGAGCCACCATGCCCAGCCAATATACACAATTTTTATTTGTCAATTAAAACTATTATCACAAAGAGGTAAGCTACTGCATCCATGAAATATAAGTAAGGTTATGAAAAAGAACATTCAGATGACAAATTATATATACATATGAAAGCAGAAATAAAAATTAAATACAAGGTTTGAAAGACAAAATTGAAAACTAAGAATCTAGAGAAACAAAGAAAATACAAAAAGAGAAATTATCAAATAATAGCATTTCCCAAAATTGAAGGACAAGTACTTTCTTGATTCAGGGTCCAGAGTGCTTGCCATTACACCATGGAATCACACAGGACAAATACTTTCTAACTGAAAGCACCCAGTCCTACATCTCAGGACTGAGAATAATAAATAAAATAAAATCCACAAATGCACATAATCATAAAAGTTCAGAAAAATGGAAATTTAAAGTGAAGAAACATAAGAGTTCTTAAGCTTTCTAGAAGACAAACAAGTTATACACAGGGATCAGAAATCTGAATCACACTGGAGTTTTCAACAACACTGAAGTTATAAGAGAATATAACAATATATTCAAAATTCTGGGATTTTAAAAAGGATTTCCAACCTAGAATTCCATATCCAGCCAAAGTATCACTGCTAGTTTGCCCCAATATGCATTCTTCTCTTCCTCCTTTTAGTAACAAATCCCTCCTAGCTAGAGCTGAGCACATAACAACCTAACTAAATATCACATTTTCCTGCTTCCTGTGTGACTTTTAATGGGCTTAGCTATATGGCAAACTTGACCAATCAGATATGAGAAAAAGTGATGTGAGCAGATTTTAGTTCATGCCCTTAAAACAAATCTGCAGACCCTCCACTCTCTCTCCCTTCTTATTAGTTGGAATAAGAATACTGGGTGATGGTAAGCCATCTTACAGCACAAAAATAA
Organism: Homo sapiens; assembly: GCF_000001405.40. Lineage (NCBI taxonomy): Eukaryota > Metazoa > Chordata > Mammalia > Primates > Hominidae > Homo > Homo sapiens. The sequence continues at coordinate 26,292,413 of NC_000013.11, read as the reverse complement.
TGATAAACCCTAAGGCAGTTCTTAACAAACAAATCAATCACTTGGATCCAGTAGGTCTGGGCTGGTCCTGAGATTCTGCATTTCTAATAAGCTCCCAAGTGATGCTGCTGCTCTTTCTGGGAATCGCACTCTGAGTAGTGAGGCCTGAGAGTAGAAAACGGTGTAAGAATAAGGTAAAAGGCACCTGCACCCCTGGATGACTGGAAAAAATGTCTTCATTGTTTAAGCCACTGATATACACATACACACACTTTATTTCCCAAGTTGACTTTTTAAATTTAAATACATGAAATAACTATCTTTCTCTAAAACTTTTGAAATACCCCAATTTTCTTTGCTTTGTTTATATACATTCTATGAACATAATGTATGAATCTGATGTGTGAAATATAAAGTTAAGAATTAATATAAAATTGAATAGACATTTTTTTAAACATGCAAAGACTCGAAAAATGTGCCTTCCATTCACTCCCTTTCAAAAAGCTACTCAGGGAAGTATGCCAGCAAAATAAGGGAGTAAACCCAGAAAGATGATGGAGACCTAGGAATCAAACTCCAACACAAGAGAGAGGTAATGGGAATATCCAGGATGAAGGTATATGGAAGTTCTAAGAGTTCCTATGAAGATGGGGAAAGAAAGTTTGCATATACGTGAGGATGGGGAAAACTATGTAACAGAACCAAATCATTCATGTACCATGATAGCAAATTGCAACAGATTACTCTAAATTTAAAAATAGGAGAAATAATACCATTACGCTGAAATTAGAGAGAAAAAATATCCAAGATCTGAAAGTCCTTGCTTCTTGTAATCAAAAATCATGAGGTAGGGAGAATTGGGCCCAGAGTTGCTGTTTTTTGTTGTAAACTTTACAGTGCAATTCTACTTTTAAAAATCTGAACATATATTGATTTTTAAAAATTCTGAACAGTTGGCATTTTATTGTTCCTATTCAAATTCTCATTCATATGGCTCCCAATTTCAGAATTCTACCAAAAGACCAGCGTTAACAACTCTTTCTATATGTATATACATACATCTATGTATAGTCATGCATTGCTTAGCAATGGGTATATGTTCTGAGAAATGTATCATTAGACAATTTCACTGTTGTGCAAACATCACAGAGTGTACTTACACAAATCTAGATGGTATAGCCTACTGTACACCTAGGCTATATGATATAGCTCATTGTTCCTAGGCTACAAACCTGTACACCATGTTACTGAACACTATACACAACTGTAACACAGTATTTGTGTACCTAAACATGCAGAATTTTTTTTTTTTTTTTGAGATGGAGGCTCACTCTGTCACCCAGGCTGGAGTGCAGTGGCACAGTCCTGGCTCACTGCAACCTCTGCCTCCTGGGTTCAAGCAATCCTCCTGCCTCAACCACCCGAATAGCTGGGACTACAAGCAGGCGCCACCATGCCCAGCTAATTTTTATATTTTTTTTTAGTACAGACAGGGTTTCACCATGTTGGCCAGGCTGGTCTCAAACTCTTGACCTCATGATCCACCTGCCTCGGCCTCCCAAAGTGCTGGGATTACAGGTGTGAGCCACCGCGCCTGGCCCAGAATTTGTTTTTTTGTTTGTTTGTTTGTTTTTTGCAAACCATGCTTTTGATTGCTAAATTTTGATTGCCTGATCATGACACTAAATAAATGTCTTCTTTAAAAAATGTTTTTTCTTTAGAAACCCAAATACCAATATAATGATGAAGTATCTCAACTCACTTCAACGTCAACTAATCAGTGAAAAGAAAGCAAAAAGAGATTTAAAGTAACCTTCAAGAAATCTATTCATAGGAACCCAGGAGAAAAGGGGTGTGGGGTTTGAAAGGGGTGTGTGTGTGAAGTATTCAGCAACCACACTCCAATTGCTCTTTTAATATATATCATAAGGTCTTCCTCCAGTCTGGGTGTGATGACCGTTTTCTTAGCTCCTATAACATACAAAGCATACTATAATCAGGTGAGTTTCACTCTATTACAACTACATATCTGTTTTCCAATCCCCACTCTTTCACTTGTTGAAAACTAAAACCTTTGAGTACTTAAATTCCTGGCATGACAGGCACTTTATAAATGCTTGATAAATTAATAATAAATGAAAGAAAATTAAGTGTATTTCTGAAAAGTGAATTAGCATGATTTTCGCAAATCAGAATTATAGCTTTTAAAACAACTTCAACACTTTTTAATACAGTTATACTCTATATTTCTTCTAGAAATAAATATACTCTATAGTTATTTCTAGAAGAATGCTCATGCTAAGAATTAGCAACTTCCTGGATCTAGTTTAATTTTGCTGTAAGAAATCACATTTAATACAACATTTGGACTACTACCTATACATGATAAAGTCAAAATTTATAATGTTATTTTTACATCAAATATTTGTGACTTCTGATCTAAATGCAAAAGAGTACTCAAGAAAATCTAATCAGTTTTACAAAAAATGTTTGGTGCATTGAATCACAGTAGAAAGATCTTAGGTCAGAAATAAAACCAAGAAGAATTAGATGAATCCTTAAAAAATAATTAAGAAGCAAATTTCGGCCGGGCACCGTGGCTCACGCCTGTAATCCCAGCACTTTGGGAGGCTGAGGCGGGCAGATCATGAGCTCAGGAGATCGAGACTGTCCTGGCTAACACAGTGAAACCCCATCTCTACTAAAAATACAAAAAATTAGCTGTGCATGGTGGCAGGTGCCTTTAGTCCCAGCTACTCGGGAGGCTGAGGCAGGAGAATGGCGTGAACCCGGGAGGCGGAGCTTGCAGTGAGCCGAGATCCCGCCACTGCACTGCAGCCTGGGCCACAGAGCGAGACTCAGTCTCAAAAAACAAACAAACAAGCAAATTTCAAGATGGCTAGATATAAGATCTATGTACAAAAACCAACTGTATCCTTCAAATACTAGCAACAAACACATAGAAAATTAAAGTAACAAACAATATAAATTTACAGTAGGATATCAAAACAAACATCAAATACCTACGTATAAATGTAATAAAAGATGTGTAAGAACTCTACACTTAAAAACTACTGAAGCTGGCCGGGCGCAGTGGCTCATGCCTGTAATCCCAGCACTTTGGGAGGCCAAGGCAGGCGGTTCACGAGGTCAGGAGATTGAGACCATCCTGGCCAACATGGTGAAACTCCATCTCTACTAAAAATACAAAAATTAGCTGGGCATGGTGGCATGCGCCTGTAGTCCCAGCTACTTGGAAGGCTGAGGCAGAAGAACTGCTTGAACCCGGAAGGCAGAGGTTGCAGTAAGCCGAGATCACACCACTGCATTCCGGCCTGGCCACAGAGCAAGACTGTCTCAAAAAAAAAAAAAAAAAAAAAAAACTACAGAAGCTTAGTCTGGATGCAGCAGCTCACGCCTGTAAACCCAGCACTTTGGGAAGCTGAGGTGGGAGGATCATCTGAGGTCAGGAATTCGAGACCATAGTGAAACCCCATCTCTACCTTAAGTACAAAATTAGCCAGGTGCAGTGGCACGTGCCTATAGTCCCAGGAGGCTGAGGCAGGAGAATCAGATGAACCCAGGAGGCAGAGGTTGCAGTGAGCCGAGATCACGCCACTGCACTCCAGCCTGGGTGACAGAGTGAGATTCTGTCTAAAATCAACCCAAAAAACTTACAGAAGCTTGGAGAAATGAAAGTCCTAAATAAATGGGGGTTATACCATGTTCATGGGTTGGTAGGTTTCAGTATTGGAAAGATGTTAATTCTCCCCAAATTATCAACAGATTCAAAGCAACCCCAAGCAAAATCCTAGTAGTGTGTTTATGTGTGTGTTTGTGGGGGGTGGGGTGGGGTAGAAATTTATAAGCAAATTCTAAAAAAAAAAATAAGAAATAAATGACTAGGGTGATTTTAAATAACAAATTGGAAGATTTATATTACCTATTATATTTATTATGAATTAGAATTATTACAAGGCTATAGTAATTAAGACAAAATGTAAAATAAATCTTGACCCCTAAAACCAACATGCAAAAATCAATACCAAATGTACAGTAACTCTAAATGTAAAAAACTCTAAATGTAAAAAACTGTAACCTTACAGTAGGTAACAATTTCCTAAATAGTACAAAAAGCTCACTGCTCATAAAGTGATAAATTAAGTTGCACTAGGCCGGGCGCAGTGGCTCACGCCTGTAACCCCAGCACTTTAGGAGGTCGAGGCAGGCGGATCACGAGGTCAGGAATTCAAGATCAGCCTGGCCAGCATGGTGAAACCCTGTCTCTACTAAAAATACAAAAAATTAGCCGGGCATGGTGGCACGTGCCTATAGTCCCAGCTACTCGGGAGGCTGAGGCAGGAGAACTGCTTGAGCCGGAGAGGGAGAGGTTGCAGTGAGCCGAGATCACACCCCTGCACTCCAGCCTGGGCGATAGAGTGAGACTCCATCTAAAAAAATAAAATAAAATAAGTTGCACTAAAATTAAGAACTTCTGCTCATTAAAAGACAACACTACAGGGGTAAAAACACAAGTCACAGGATAGTAGAAAATATCTGATACATACATGTGTGTAGATTTTCTCCTAGCACTTTATAGTCTTAAAATTGGGATTTCCTATTATTTTACATGTCATATGGTATTATTACTTTTGACTTCTTTCAATCATTTACTTTTTTTTAGAATTATTTGATCTATTTATTTATATTTTTACTTCAATAGCTTTGAGGGAACAGGCGGTGTGTGGTTGCATGGAAAAGTTCTTTAATGGCGATTTCTGAGATTTTGATGCACCCATCACCTGAGCAGTGTACACTGTACCCAATATGTAGTCTTTTATCCCTAGCCCCTCCCCACCTTTCTCCTCCAAGTCCCCAAAAATCCATTATATCACTCTTATGCCTTTGCATCCTCATAGCTTAGCTCCCGCTTATAAGTGAAAACATATGATGTTTGGTTTTCCATTCCTGAGTTACTGAACTTAGAAAAATGGTCTCCGACTCCATCCAGGTTGCTGCGAATGCCATTATTTCATTCCTTTTTATGGGTGAACAGTATTCCATGGTGTGTATGTGTGTTGGAGGTTGCAGTGAGCCGAGATCGCACCACTGCACTCCAGCCTGGGCGACAGAGCTGTATATATACATATAGACACTACATTTTCTTTATCCACTTGTTTGTTGATGGGCATTTAAGTGGGCTCCATTTTTTTGCAACTGTGAAGTGTGCTGCTATAAATGTGTGTGCAAGTGTCTTTTTCAAATAATGACTTCTTTTCCTCTGAGTAGATACCCAGTACTGGGATTGCTGGATCAAATGGTAGTTCTATTTTAGTTCTTTAAGGAATCTCCATACTGTTTTCCATAGTGGTTTACTTTCCCACCAGCAGTGTAAAAGTGTTCCCTTTTTACCACATCTACACCAACATCTGTTGTTTCTTGATTTTTTAAATTACGGCCATTCTTCCAGGAGTAAGGTGGTATCTCCTTATGGTTTTGATTTGCATTTCCCTGATAATTAGTGATATTGAGCATTTTTTCATATGTCTGTTGGCCATTTGTATATTTTCTTTTGAGAACTGTCTATTCATGTCCCTTGCCCACTTTTTGATGGGATTGTTTTTTATCTTGCTGATTTGAGTTCCTTGTAGATTCTGGGTATTAGTCCTTTGTCAGATGCACAGTTGAGAATATTGTTTTTCCCACTCTGTGGGTTGTCTGTTTACTCTGCTGATTATTTCTTTTACTGTGCAGAAGCTTTTTCGTTTAATAATCTACTTATCTTCGTTTTTGCTGCATTTGTTTTTGGATTCTTGGTCATGAAGTCCTTATCTGAGCCAATGCCCAGAAGGGTTTTTCCGATGTTATCTTCTAGAATTTTTATAATTTCAGATCTTAGATTTAAGTCTTTACTCCATCTTGAGTTGATTTTTGTATAAGGTGAGAGATGAGGATCCAGTTTCATTCTTCTACATGTGGCTTGCCAATTATCCCAGCACCATTTATTGAATGGGATGTCCTTTCCCCATTTAATGTTTTTGTTTGCTTTGTCAAAGATCAGTTGGCTGTAAGTATTTGGCTTTATTTCTGGGTTCTCTCATCTGTTCCATTGGTCTACATGCCTATTTTTATACCAGTACCATACTGTTTTGGTAACTATAGCCTTGTAGTATATAGCTTGAAGTCAGATAATGTGATGCCTCCAGATTTGTTCTTTTTGCTTAGTCTTGCTTTGGCTATGTGGGCTCTTTCTTGGTTCCATATGAACTTCAGGATTGTTTTTTCTAGTTCTGTGAGGAATGACGATGGTATTTTGATGGGAATTGCATTGAATCTGTAGATTGCTTTTGGCAGTATGGTCATTTTCACAATATTGATTCTACCCATCCAAGAGCTTGGCATGTGTTTCCATTTGTTTGAGTCATCTATGATTTCTTTCAGCAATGTTTTGCAGTTTTCCTTGCAGAGATGTTTCACCTCCTTGATTAGGTATATTCGTAAGTATTTTATTTATTTGTTTGTTTGTTTATTTATTTATTGCAGCTGTTGTAAAGGGGTTTTAGTCCTTGATTTGATTCTCGGCTTTGTTATTGTTGGTGTTTAGCAATGCTTCTGATTTGTGTACGCTGATTTTGTATCCTGAAACTTTACTAAATTCATTCATGAGATCAAGGAGCTTTCTGGGTCTTTAGGGTTTTCTAGGTATATGATCATATCATTGGTGAACAGTGACAGTTTGACTTTGTCTTTACCAATGTGGATCCGCTTTATTTCCTTCTCTTGTCTGACTGCTCTGGCTGGGACTTCTAGTACAATGTCGAATGGAAGTGGTGAAAGTGAGCATCCTTGTCTTGTTCCAGTTCTCAGGGGAAATGTTTTCAACTTTTCCTCATTCAGTATAATGTTGGCTGTGGGTTTGTCACAGACGGCTTTTATTACTTCGAGGTATCTCCCTTCTATACTGATTTTGCTAAGGGTTTTAATCATATTGTTAAATGCTTTTTCTGCAACTATTGATACGATCTTTGATTTTTGTTTTTAATTCTGTTTATGTGATGGATCACATTTATTGACTTCCATGTGTTAATTCATCACTACATCCCTGTTATGAAACCCACTTGATTATGGTGTATTATCTTTTTGATAAGCTATTGAATTTGGTTAGCTAGTTTTTGTTTTGTTTTGTTTTGTTTTGTTTTTTTGAGACGGAGTTTCGCTCTTGTTGCCCAGACTGGGGTGCAGTGGCATGATCTCAGCTCACTCGACCTCTCGGGTTCAAGCGATTCTCCTGCCTCAGCCTCCTGAGTAGCTGGAATTACAGGCGTGTGCCACCACGCCCGGCTAACTTTTGTATTTTTAGTAGAGACAGGGTTTCAACATGTTGGCCAGGTTGGTCTCAAACTCCTGATCTCAGGTGATCCACCCACATCAGCCTTTCAAATTGCTGGGATTACAGGCATGAGCCACTGTACCCAGACTTTTTTTTTTTTTTGAGGATTTTTGCATTTATGTTCATCAGGGATATTGGTATGTGGTTTTCTTTTCCTTCCTCCCTCCCCAATCTCCCTCCCCCACTTGCTGCCTCCTTCCTTCTTTCCTTCTTTTTGTTTTTGTTGTTGTTATTATAACCTTTCCTGATTTTGGTATTAGGGTGATACTGGCTTCAAAGACTTATTTGGGGAGGGTACCCTCCTTCTCTATCTTGTGGAATAGTTTTAGTAAAACTGATACCAATTCTTCTCTGAATGCCTGATAGAATCTAGCTGTGAATCCATCCAGTCCTGGAATTTTTTTTGTTGGCAGTTTTTTCATTACTGTTTCAATCTTGCTACTTGTTACTGGTCTGTTCAGAGTTTCTATTTCTTCCAATTTAATCTAGTAGGGTAGTATATTTCCAGGAATTTATCCATCTCTAGATTTTCTAGTTTGTGCTCACAGTAAACTTGAATAATCTTTTATATTTCTGTGGTATCAGTTGTAGTATTTCCCATTTCATTTCTAATTGAGCTTATTTACATCTCTCTTCTTGGTTAATCTTACTAATGGTCTTTCAATGTTGTTTATCTTTTCAAATAAACAGCTTTTTCTTGCATTTATCTTTTGTTTTTGTTTATCTGTTTCAATTTTGTTTAGTTCTGCTCTAATCTTTGTTATTTATTTTCTTCTGCTGCGTTTGGGTTTGGGTTTGGTTTGTTCTTCGTTTCTTTAGTTCCTTGAGGTGTAACCTTAGATTTTGTGCTCTTTCAGACTTTTTGATGCAGGCATTTAATGCTATGACCTTTCTTCTCAGCACCACATTTGCTATATTCCAGAAGTTTGGTAAGTTGTGTCACTATTACTGTTCAGTTGCAAGAATTTTTTAATTTCCACCTTGATTTCATTGTTAAGCCAAAGATCACTCAGAAGCAGATTATTTAATTTCCATGTATTTGTACAGTTTTGATGGTTCCTTTTGGAGTTGATTTCCAATTTTATTCCACTGTGGTCTGAGAAGGTACCTGATATAATTTTGATTTTGTTACTTTTTTTTTTTTTTTTGAGATGGAGTCTTGCTCTGTCGCCAGGCTGCAGTGCAGTGGCATGATCTCGGCTCACTGCAACCTCCACCTCCAGGGTTCAAGTGATTCCCCTGCCTCAGCCTCCCGAGTAGCTGGGACTATAGGCGCACGCCACCACGGCTGGCTAATTTTTTGTATTTTAGTAGAGAAGGGGTTTCACCAAATTGGCCAGGCTGGTCTCAAACTCCTGACCTTGTGATCCGCCCGCCTCAGCCTCCCAAAGTGCTGGGATTATAGGCATAAGCCACTGTGCCCAGTCTACTTTTTTTGAGACGGAGTCTCATTCTGTTGCCCAGGCTGGGGTGCAGTGGCACGATCTTGGCTCACTGCAACCCCTGCCTCCCAGGTTCAAGCAATTCTCCTCCCTCAGTCTCCAGAGTAGCTGGGACTACAGGCACGTGCCACCACGCCCAGCTAATTTTTTTATTTTTAGTAGAGACGGAGTTTCACCGTGTTAGCCAGGAAGGTCTCGATCTCCTAACCTTGTGATCCGCCCGCCTCGGCCTCCCAAAGTGGTGGAATTACAGGCATGAGCCACCGTGCCCAGCCAATTTTGTTGCATTTATTGAGACCTGTTTCATGACCTATCATATGGTCTATCTTAGAGAATGTTCCATGTGCTGACAAGAATGTATATTCTGCAGTTGTTGGGTGGAATATTCTGTAAATATCTGTTAAGTCCATTTGTTCTATGGTATAGTTTAAGTCCATTCTTTGTTGACTTTCTGTCTTGATGACCTGTGCTGTCAATGGAGTATTAGAATCCCCCACTATTATTGTGTTGCCATCTATCCCATTTCTTAAGTCTAGTAGTAATTGTTTTATAAATTTGGAACTCCAATGTTAGGTCCATATATATTTAGGACTGTGATATTTTCCTGCTGGATTCTTTTATTATTATATAATGTCCTTCTTTGTCTTTTTTAACTGTTGTTGCTTTAAAGTTTGTCTGATATAAGAATAGCTATTCCTGCTTGCTTTTGGCTTCCATTTGCATGAAATATCTTTTTCCACCCTTTTACCTTAAGTTTATGTGAGTCCTTATGTGTTAGGTGAGTCTCTTGAAGACAGCAGATACTTAGTTGGTGGACTTGTATCCATTCTGCCATTATATGTATTTTAAGAGGAGCATTTAGGCCATTTACATTCAATGTTGGTATTGAGATGTGAGGTACTGTTTTATTCATCGTGCTATTTGTTGCCTGAATACCTTTTTGCTTCCATTGTGTTACTGTTGTGTAGGTCATCAGATTTACGCTTTGAGAAGGTTCTATTTTGGTGTATTTCAAGGTTTTGCTTCAACATTTAGAACTCCTTTTAGCATTTCTTGTAGTGCTGGTGTGGTGATGGTGAATCCTCTCAGCATTTGTTTGTCTGAGAAAGACTTTATCTTTCCATTTATGAAGGTTCATTTTGCTCAATATGAAATTCTTGGCTGGCAATTATTTTGTTTGTAGAGGCTAAAGATAGGATCCAAATCCCTTCTGGCTTGTAGGGGTTCTGCTGAGAAATCTGCTGTTAATCTGATAGGTTTTCCTTTATAGGTTACCTGATGCTTTTGCCTGATAGCTCTTAAGATTCTTTCCTTTGTTTTGCCTTTAGATAACCTGATAACTATGTGTGTGGGTGATGATCTTTTTGTGATGAATTTCCCAGGTGTTCCTTTAGCTTCTTGTATTTGGATACCTAGATCTCTTGTGAAGCCGAGGAAGTTTTCCTCAATTATTCCCTGAAATATGTTTTCCAAACTTTTATATTTCTCATCTTCCTCAGGACCACCAATTATAGTTAGGTTTGGCCATTTAACATAATCCCAAACTTTGTGGAGGCTTTGTTCTTTTTTTTTATTCTTTTTGCTCTGTCTTTGTCTGATTGGGTTAATTTGTAAGCCTTATCTTTGAGCTCTGAAGTTCTTTCTTCTATTTGTTCTAGTCTATTGTGGGAATTCCAGTGCATACTGCATTTCTCTAAGTGTGTTTTTCATTTCCAGAAGTTGTGATTCTTTTTTTCTTTATGATATTTATTTCTCTGGAATACAATATTTATTTATTCTCTAGAATAAACATTATCTCTACGATATTTACTTCTCTGGAGTAAATATCTTCTGGAGCATTTTTCATCCATATCTTGTATTTTTTTTTAATTTCTTTAAGTTGGTTTTCACCTTTCCCTGGTATCTCCCTGAGTAGCTTAATAATCAACCTTCTGAGTTATTTATTTCGCAATTCAGAGACTTCTTCTTGATTTGGACCCATTGCTGGGGAGCTAGTGTGGTCTTTTGGGGATGTTATAGAACCTTGTTTTATTACCTTGTCATATTACCAGAATTACTTTTCTGATTCCTTCTCATTTGGGTAGACTATTTCAGTGGAAAAATCTGGAACTCAAGGGCTGTTGTTCAGATTCTTTTGTACCACGTTGGTGGTCCCTTGATGTGATGCACTCCCCGTTAGGGATGGGGCTTCCAGCAAGCCACACTGCAGTGATTGTTATTGCTCTACTGGGCCTAACCACCCCGTGGGGCTACCAGACTCTGAGCTGGTACTTGCAAATGTCTGCATAGAGTCCTGTGATACAATCTGTCTTCAGGTCTCCCAGCTGTGGATACCAGCACCTGTTCTGGTGGAGATGGTAAGGGAGTGAAGTAGACTCTGTGAGAGTCCTTGGATGTAGATATGTTTAGTGTGCTGGCTTTCTCAGATGCTGGTTATGCTAGCAGTGTTGTCACATGGAGAGACTCAGGACCACTGGTTGCCCAGGATGTTGCAGGCAGTGGAATTAGCTATTGTTTTCTCCTACCTTGAAGCAGGGCTATTCTGTCATGAGTTGCTGTAATATTGTGGTTGGCCTCCAGCCAGAAGGTGGCAGTTTTGAGAGAGCACCAGAGATTTCTGCCGGTCTCACAGAATTTGCAGCAGCCTGCTGCTTCTTTCAAAGCATCTGTGAATTCTTTCAGTTTTTCTAGTACACTCCTGTGGTGGTTCCTGGAGCAAGAAGTCCACAGTGTGAGTCTCCACATGCTGTTCTGTCCATCCAAGTTAAGAGCTGCAGGTCAGCCCTGTCTCCTATCCACCATCTTGAACAATCATGCCAGAAGGCAAAGAGGAATCGGGCATGACTACGTGGACAGAGAAGGAGGAAGAAAGCTGTGTATACATTTTATATTCAACAAGACAGGAAATCTCGCATATCAATAAGGAAAAGGTAGACAACACAGTAGAAAAACAGGCAAAACACTTGAACAGGTATTTCACAAAAGAAGATACTCTGTTCATTAATCATATGAAAAGATGCTGACATTCATTATTTTTCAGTGAAACAAAACTAAAACTACTTTGTGGTACCACTATATCACTGTGGTATCACTGGAATGGCTTTAATCATAGACAAGTTATACCAAGTTCCAATGTTGAGTCACTATGAGCTACTTAGTGTTATGCAGCCCTGGGACCTCTCCGGTTGCCAGTGCCTCCATCTATGCATACCAAATCCTTGTCCACTCAGTCTTCTGAATGAGATTAAGATCTTGACTCCAGAGGCAAATGGGCAAAATGTTTAATAAGGTTATAAAGTCACACAAGGTTACTTTTCGTGCTATTTCAGTTACAGTATAGGTTTAAATGAATATTTGAAAGTTTATTTAAGTTTCTTAGCCACCATTTATAAAATAGCCCCTAAGTATTCTCGCTGAAAATTTTACACGTAATTATTTAACAAATTGTCATACACAGCCATGTGGAATTACAATGTAGTCATTAAAAATCATGTTTTGAAAAATGTAATATTTTAAAATGTTTAAACCTAATAAGAAATTGAAGGATGTATAATAAACATCTATATATCCTTCATCTATATTGTTAACATTTTACCGTATCTTTACACACACATACACACACACACACACACACAATTTTCTTCTGAACCACTTGAAAGTAATTTTTAGCATACGATCAATGTGGTGATGTCAGAAGAAAACAAAAGTAATTTCTAGACATCATGCCACTTCATTCTGAAATACCTCTTCTGAGAATAAGGACATTTTCCTATATAATCAAAATATCATTTATATAACACCCCCAAAATAACATTTTCATAAACTCATCTGTTTTATAATTCATACTCAAATGTTACAAATTGTTCCAAAAATGTCTTTTGTATGAGTTTTTATTAAATCCAAATTTACTGAACTTAATTTTTATTAATCCACTGAATTTGGTTGGTAAGTCTCCTTAGTCTTTTTTTAATTGAATCCCTACGCCACTACCACAAAGCTTTTCATGATACTTTCTTGAAGAGACTAGGCCAGTGGTCATTTAAAACAGCACAAATTCTAGATCTGTCTGATTATTCCATCATGATTAGGTTTAAATTAAATATTTTTGGTGGGACAACTATACCGGTGATTTTTTTTTTTCTTACTGCACCCCATGAAAGGCAAAAACAATGGGCTGTCCCACCGTTCATGATGCTAAGATTGATCATTTTGTTAAGCTGATGATTGCCAGACTCTCAATTACAAAGGTACATTTTCTTTTTTGCAATTAGTAAATAATTTGTGAGGTGATACTTTTAAACCAATGAATATTTAATTTCCCAACAAATTTTCACCATCAATGATTTTTGCCTGAATCAATTTTTACACTGAGAGTTACAAAATGGTTTTTCTGATTCCATCATTCCTTCTACATTTTATCAACTGGCATCCTTCTGTAAAGAACCACCCCCACCCTACCTTTTTTACTATCGAGATGGATTCACGGGTTCGTTATAGGACAAATTATAATACACAGCCCTCTTCAATATCTATGGGACACACTGGCTCCAGGACCTCCCAGCAGATACCAAAATGCACAGATGCTCAAGTCCCTTACATAAAATGACGTGGTATCTGCATGAAACCTACACACACCATCTCATATACTTTAAATCGTCTTTTGATTACTTATGATACCTAATACAATGTAAATACTATGTAAATAATTGTTATGTTGTTTAGGGGAAAATGAAAAGAAAAAAGTCTGTAACTGTTCAGTACGGACACAACTACAGAACACTTTCAATCTGTGGTTGGCTTAACCTGCATATATGGAACCCACAGATACACAGGGTCAACTGTATATTCTGTCTAATGTTCAAATTATCCCAAATCTGGCCAATAAAAACCTCTCCAAGTCAGTGTCTATTACTTTTGGAATAATTTAACATCTTTGAAGACAAAATGTCACTAGAGCACAAACAGAATTCAAGGCCTAAATAATTCAATCAGACAAACAATGTAAGACAGTTCAGGAAGCTTGCTCCGCATAGCTTCCTGTTCTTGCAAGTTTTATCCCATCTCTCAGTTAATGGCACTGCCACTGTGGAGTCAATTATTCAAGCCAAAAAACAAAGACTAATTCTCAACACCACCCTTTCCCTCACTACTAGATGGAAAGGGAAACGGTGGTCGGAGGATTAGAGCACTATTACTTTCTAGCTCATGCCCTTCTACACTGTCTATATTTCTTTCATGACCATTTCATTTTTAAAGAGCATTATTTTAAAAATGTAAAATGAGGCTATGGTTCATCAACTTTTAAAGGCAAAACAGCCATCTCCACATTTTAGCAAAATTTCTTGTACTTTTTCTGGATTTATTGCCCATTCAGGCTGATGTTCTCTAAGAAATAGTGATTCCTGACACTTTATCATAAAATCTCAGAACTGGCAGGACCATACAAGTCACCCAATTCAAACATCAATCCACTACTTGAATTTCTTCCACAACAACTCCACCAAATTGTCATTTAGGACATGTTGAAACCATTTGTAGAAAGAACAAATTCCCCTTTTTCCATTCCATAATCTGGAGTACTTTGTTACAAAGTTCCTCCCTATGTTTAGTGCCAAAGTCATTGGTCACAGTTCTACACTTGGGGGTCACAAAACAGTTGTGTCCCTATTCTACGTAACAGTAAAGCAAATATTTGAACTAGTACCCATATGGGAGAATATGCTTATGCTGCCCCCTTGATTTATACCTCAGAAGGCTTAAAATAGCTTAATTCCATTTAGTAACTAAATACGAATCTATCATTCATAAATATACCTAAACTTTTAGAGAATTAATTACATTTTCAGTTTCAAAATAAAGTGCTTCTATCCAACTGTCTTATTTCAACACTGGGGGTAAAAATAAACAACAGTTCATCAGGCTGAGATTTAAAAACAAGTTCAACTTACCTATATGATCACAGTCTTCTATACTTCAAATTCATCCCTTTAACTTCCAAGTTGAAACACCCAAACCCTTTTAGTTTATATACTATGGTACCTTTCTCCTTGTCATTTTGTGTGCCTTTCTCCAAACCTGCTCTAGTTCTTATCTTCCTATAATGTAACAACACTTGCCAAAAGTAAAAAGGTACTATGACTTTGCACAATAGTAGGATTACATTTTTTACTTTGTTTTGAACCAGTATCCAATAAGTACAGTTTACTGAGCCAGGCTTGAATACCTAGCCAGGGCAATAACAGTGAACCTCAATGAGCCTCAATATTTGAAATAAGTCATCTGGCCATTTGCAATCAACAAGTATTTATTAATACAATACTTACTATTTACCCTGTACTAGCAAATATAGGCAAGTCTCTTACAGCATGAGCTTTTATAACATAATGTAGATATAACATCATCAATTGGGGGAAAACTCAGTACACTAAAGCATTATTACTACAACACCAACAGGAATTAGCACAACGTAAATAGGAAAAATAATAGTTGCATCAAAGAATAGGCACACAGAGCTGCATTGTTTGTGTGTTCTTCTGAAATAGAATTGTTTTGTTTACTCAAGCATTCTTTTATTCTTTTGTTTACCACTGGCAGTTGTGAACAGTTCTGCAAGTAAAACTGCATGGTCAAGGACAAATGTGATAGGAGAAGCTAAGAACCTTCTGAGAATGTGGATGGACTCAAGGGTGAAGGAGGAAAAATTTGGTTGTTTTTATTGAATTTAGTCAGCATATTTATTATTTTTAGAGTAAAGCTACATAAATACTTATGTCAGTCCTACAGAAACTCTCCAGTCCTCTTTCTCCAATGAAACTTCTGTTTTCATAAGAGATTTTTCATAATAAGAGATTTGGCAGAAAAACAAACATGATATTACAGCAGAAACAACCATAGGTTGCTATCTGTAAACAGACATATTTAGGATAATCGTCTACCACTAAGCATCTTAAATTCTTCTTAAAAAATATAAATCAGGATAATTGGGCACTGGAGAAATAGGTAATCATAAATGAATGAACAAGAGAGATTAATTAAAAAAATATATTAAAGTACATGTAACTTATATGCCCTTATGATAGCTGGAAAACTTGTTTTGCATCCATTGCCTTATGTTACAAAAAGATCTCTGTGGGATGAATTCATTTGACAGATGAAAAATCAGAAGTGCTCAGAGAGACTGAATGAACTGCTCAAGCTCAAGAGCTCATAAATCACATATAAGATGTCAATCCCAAATCTAATAATATTAGGAAGACAGAAACAGAGCTTGTAAATCATGTATGTCAATCCCAAATCTAATAATATTAGGAAAACAAAATTTAGTAAGAACTCTTACTTACCTAACACAGAAACACTAGAAATATTTCCATTTAAAAATCAAAAGACAAAAATATCTCCAACACTGCCAGTAAGAATGTAAAGTTATTAAAAAGTTATTTAAAAGGTACAGCCGGTTACTCACGCCTGTAATCCCAGCACTTTGGGAGGCCGAGGCAGGCAGATCACGAGGTCAAGAGATCGAGACCATCCTAGCCAACATGGTGAAACCCCATCTATACTAAAAATACAAAAATTAGCTGGCCGTAGTGGCATGCACCTGTAGTCCCAGCTACTCGGGAGGCTGAGGCAGAAGAATTGCTTGAACCTGGGAGGCAGAGGTTGCAGTGAGCCAAGATTGTGCCACGGCACTCCAGCCTGGCGACAGAGTGAGACTGTCTCAAAAAAAAAAGTTAGAGCCAATGCAATAACACCAAAGTTTCCTCAAGTGGAAGTACTAGAAAAGAATAAAACTCTTAATATATATAACATGAATATCTAAGACAGCAAGCTAAAAAATCAGCAATAAAAAATTTAAACTACCTTTATAAGAAATGCAGAAAGTTTACGACTATTTGAGATACATGGTGGGTTAATGAGGATTTATTGAACCGTCTCTACTTTGGAGTACATTTTTTAAATTCTGTAATAGTTAAAAAATATGCACAGGGTTACTAGATTTAGCAAATGAAATACAAGATGTCCAGATAAATCTGCATTTCAGATAAACATAAAAAAAATTTTCATATGTCACAAATATTACATGAGACGTACAGGTGCACAAACTTGTGCACAACACTACTTAAATAGAATACCTTGTAGTAGGCAATATGTAGGACCCATATGAAAAACACTACAAGGCTTTATTAAGGTTCTTAAGATAAAATCTGAATAAAAAACATAACCATATTGCTGAGTATGGAGAGTAATTCATCTATCTATACATTTAATACAATTCAACCCAAATCTCAAAATACTTTTTAGACCTTGAGTTGTTGATTTTAGAGCTTACCTGGAATAAATGGATAAGAAAAACTGTAATTTATTTTTCAAAGACTAACATCAAGGTTCCAGTCTTACCCCAGATATTGTAGATCTTTATTATAAAAGACGTAAAACAACAAAGGGAGTAACACAGGAATAGACAGATCAATGGACTAACACAGAAAGTCCAGAAATAAATTCCAAGTTGGGAATGTAGGGTAATGATAAAAGCAGCATTTCGAATCAATTGAGAAAGAATTATTCAACAGCATTAAAAGGAGTAGAAAAATTAAAGTTAGAACCCTACCTAACAAGTTTTAACAAATCATTTTAAGATTAAATAAAATTTTAACTGTAATTTTGAAACCCATAAAAACATTAGGTGAAAATGTAAGTAAAAGGCATATAATGGAGAAAACTCAGAAGCAATAAAAGACTGATACATTTGATTACACATTTAAGAAGTCATAAATATAAAAACAAAGAATTGGAAATTCTTACAACATGAATAAAAAAATGAATATCCCAATAAACAAAGCACTTAACAAAAAGAAATATTTAAGAAAATGTAGGCCAGACGCGGTGGCTCACACTTGTAATCCCAGCATTTTGGGAGGATGAGCCGGGCGGATCACGAGGTCAGGAGAATGAGACCATCCTGGCTAACATCGTGAAACCCCATCTCTACTAAAAATACAAAAAATTAGCCAGGCGTGGTGGCGGGCGCCTGTAGTCCCAGCTACTCGGGAGGCTGAGGCAGGAGAATGGCATGAACCCAAGAGGCAGAGCTTGCAGTGAGTGGAGGTCGTGCCACTGCACTCCAGCCTGGGCAACAGAGCAAGACTCCATCTCAAAAAAAAAAAAGAAAGAAAGAAAACATAACAGAAAACACGCAAAATATGATTGGGTAATTCCGAAAAGAAATTAAATGATGAATAAATATGAAATTAAAAATTTAAATGTTAAACAAATGTAAATAAAACCAAAATTCCATAGGTTGCCTATCAAATTTGCAAAGATCAAAGAAAACAATAATAAAACTATTGATCAAGGAGGAGGCAAACATTACTTTTGTCATTATGAAAGACATTACAAATTAGTTCAAACCTTCTAGGAGAAAATCTAGCTTCATATATCAAAAACCTTAAAAATGGATCCAGCAAACCCACTTCTAAAAATCTTTCCTAAGGATAAAATCATGAGTGTCTACAAAGATGCAGCAACAAAATTTTAAATGTAATGAAAAAGTGAAACTATGCTAAATGTTTTTTAAAGTACAATCATATAATACAATAAATACAGACATTAAAACAACAGAAAGATTTAGAAAGATGATTAGTGACATGGAATATACACAGTCTATGCAGGTTTCAAAACAATGTGCACAATATAATCTAATTTTAAAACATGCCTTAAAAAAGTCTGTGTGGCCAAATTAGGGTAAATTTTATTTTCTTCTTAGACTTTACTTGTATTTTCTACAATTGATAGTTATTCTGTAATTTAAAAGTATAAAACTTTTTTTTTAAGTAACAGCTGACAATAAGGAGAAGAATAAAGGAAAACACCATAGGTAGATGAACTCCGAAGACCTAGCTATTTAGTACAAAAGCCAATAGTACTATATATATATATATTTTTTAAAGCACCTGGAAATAACATATGATGGCTAATGTTTTACAATAGTTAGTCTGAACTGCACAGAAAAAGTTAAACTGTGTTCCAAGTATATCATATATGTGTATGTATAATTTTTATTATATAATACCAAATAAATGACTTTCATCCACAGTGATTAAAATAAAGATTTAGTGAATAAAAAGTGAATCAGCTACCCAGAAAACTTTAATTACCTGGAACTAGACATACATTTCTAACATATCCAACATTATAATCTATTAGAAAAGTGAAAAATAATACCAGATGTAGTGTTTAAACTTCATGAACTACAAAAAAGTCAAAACAATCTTGGCAAAAAAGAAAGTACACTTCCAAGTTTCAAAACTAACTACAAAGCTACAGCAATGAAGACAGTGTAGTACCAGCTTAAGGACAGACATATTGAGAGACCAGAAAAATATCCTATATTTATGGCCAACTGATTTTTAACAAAGTATGCCCAAACAATTCAGAGGCTGGGACAACTGTATATCCATCACCAAAAGAAAGAAGTTCAACCCCTTAGAGACCTAAATCTAGGAGTTACAACTATAAAACTCTTAGGAAAAAACATAGAAGTTTTTGTGGCCTTGGGTTAAGCAATGTTTCTTTAACATATAATATCAAAAACACAGCCACAAAAGCAAAAATAGATACACTGGACTACACCAAAATTAAAAACTTTTGTGCTACAAACAATACCAACAAGAAAGTAAAAAGACAAGCCAAATACAGTCATGCACCATGTAATGATGTTTCACTTGAAGACAACAGCACATAGGGAGGTTGTCCCATAAGATTAAAATAGAGCTGAAAAATTCTTCTCACCTAGTGACACTGTAGCCATTGTAACTTCATAGTGCAAAGCATTACAGGCACGTTTGTGGTGATGCTGGTGTGAAGAAACCTACTGCACTGCCCGTCATGTATAGCACATACCGTTATGTACACTACATAATACTTGATAATAAATGACCATGTTACTGGTGTATGTATATGCTATACTATGGTTTTTATCATTAAGAGTGTACTTCTTTCTTCATCCCCAAGAGGTCAATAAAAAGTAAAGAGTGTACTCCAGTTTGACTTATTCTTTTTAAAATTAACTGTAAAACTGCCTCAGGCAGGTCCTTCAGGAGGTATTCCACATCAAGGCATTATCATCATAGGAGATGACAGCTCCATGTCTGCACTACCCCTCAGACCTTCCAGGGGGACAAGATGTGGAAGTGGAAGACAGTGATACTGATGATCCTGACCCTGTGTAGGCCTAGGCTAACATAACAAACACGTTTAAAAAGCAAAAAATAAAAACTTTTTTTTCTTTTTCTTTAAAAAAAAAAGTTTGGTCTTGAACTCCTGCCTCAAGCAATCCTCCCATCTCAAGCCTCCCGAAGTGTTGGGATTACAGGTGTGACCCACTACGCCCAGCCAAAAACTTTTAAAAATAGAAAAAAGCTTACAGAATAAGGATATAAAGAAAATGTTTTTATACACCTATACAATGTTTGTGTTTTAATCTAAGTTATTATACAAGAATCAGAAAGTTTTAAAAAACTGAAAAGTTTAAAGTACTCAATTACAGGAGGCTAAGGTTAATTTATTATTGAAGAAAAAAATTTAAATAAATTTAGGGTAGCCTAAGTGTACAGTGTTTATAAAGTCTACAGTGGTGTAAAGCAATGTCCTAGGCCTTCACATGCACTTACCACTGACTCACCCAGAGCAACTTCTAGACCTGTAAGTTCCATTCATGGTAAGTACCCTACACAGGTATACCAATTTTTATGTCTCTCTCTTAAAAAAAAAAAAAAAAAAAAAAAAAAAAAAAAAAAAGACAGGGTCTCACTCTGTCCCCCAGGCCCTCTACAGTGGTACAATTAGAGCTCACCACCGCCTCAAGCTCCTGGACTCAAGCAATCCTACCGCCTCGGTCTCCTGAGTAGCTGGGACTACAGGCAAATACCACCAAGCCCAGTTAATTTTTTAACTTTTTTGTAAAGATGGGGTATCAAGTATACTGCCCAGGCTGGTCTCAAACTCCTATGTCCTCAAGCAGTCCTCCCACCTCAGACTCCCAAAATGCTGGAATTGCAACCATGAGTCACTGTACCCAGCTCATTTTTTACCTTTTATGCCATATTTTTACTATACCTTTTCTATATTAAAATGTGTTTAGATACACAAATACTAACCACTGTGTTACAAGTGCCTATAATAGTCAATACAATAACATACTGTACAGGCTTGTAGACTAAGCAATAGGCTACACCATATAGCCTAGGTGTGTTGTAGGCTATACCATCTAGGTGTCTGAGTATGCTCTATGATGTTCACACAATCATAAACTTGCCTAATGCTGCATTTCTCAGAAAGTATCCCTGTCATTAAGCAACACACAACTGTATTTGCAAATCATATATCTGATAAGGGTTCAGTATCCAGAATATACAAAGAACTCCTACAACTAACTACTAAAAAGACAACCTAATTTTAAACAGCAAAGCATTTGAATATATTTTCCCACAAAGATACATGAATGGTCAATAAGCACATAAAAAGATACTCAACATCATTAGTTATTAGGGAAATACAAATCAAAACCACAATAAGATACCATTTAATACCCTTAAGGATGTCTATTATCAAAAAGGCAGAAAACAAGTGTTGGCAAGAACGTGGAGAAATTGCAACCCTGGTGCACTGCTGGTGGGAACGCAAAATGGTGTAGCAGCTGTGGAAAACAGTTTGGAGGCTACTCAAAAAGTTAAACATGAGCCGGTAATTCCACTCTTGGTTATAATGAATACCTAGGAATTGAAAGCAGAGACTCAGATAGTTGTATACCCATGTTCATAGCAGCATTATTCATAACAACCAAAAAGTAGAAAGAACCCAAATATTCACCAGCCCAGGAATGAACAAAATGTGATATATGCTACAACATGGATGAGCCTTGAAAACGTTTCATTAAGTGAAGGAAGTCAGTCACAAAAGAGCACATATTGTATGATTTCGTCATTTATATGAAATGTCCAAAACAGGCAAATGCAGGGACAGAAAGGAGATTCCTGGATGTCTAGGACTGAGGATTAGAGGAAACAAGGAGTGATTGCTAATGGGTACGGGGTTTCTTTTAGAGGGACCAAAAATATTCTAAAATCAGATTGCGGTAATAGCTGCACAACCCTGTGAATATATCAAAAAGCACTAAACTGTGTATGTGTGTGTGTGTGTATTTTTTTTTTTTTTTGAGACAGAGTTTCGCTCTTGTTGCCCAGGCTGGAGTGCAATGGCGTGATCTTGGCTCACCGCAACCTCCACCTCCTGGGTTCAAATGATTCTCCTGCCTCAGCCTCTTGAGTAGCTAGGATTACAGGCACCTGCCACCACACCCAGCTAATTTTCGTATTTTTAGTAGAGATAGGGTTTCACATGTTGATTAGGCTGGTCTCAAACTCCTGACCTCAGGTGATCTACCTGCCTCGGCCTCCCAAAGTGCTGGGATTACAAGAGTGAGCCACCACACCTAGCTAAACTGTATATTTTAAATAGATGAATTGTATGGTATATGAATTATATCTCAAAAAAGCCATATTAAGAAAAACTTTATGAACCACAAATGTATATAACTTTTTGGAAGGTATTACTAATATTTTTCCATGAAGACAATTGGGATTTAATATCCCTACTTTGCACACTGCAACTAAATCAAAATTACTTCTTAAACACTTAACTATCAAGTTCTCCTGCTCTAAAAAATAAATAAATAAATAAATAATAAGTAACTAGTAGCAAATGCTATCTTCTATTCCAAAACTTTTCAAGAATATAGTACAGAATTTTACTAAGAAAAAAACCTAATTGCACTACATTCTCATTTGAAAACCACCAAGCACATTTTAAATTCAGTGAGTCCAGTTACTCAAAGTGCAATAGAAATACAGAAAAGACACTACATGATCAAAGTCAAAGCAAGATTGTTTTAAAGTGACATGTACTCAGTATTTTTTGCTTGCATTGAAATTTTCATGTACTTAGGAACATCAGACTGAATCACCTTTTAGAATAGAATGATCCCATAAAAAAAAAAACAATCTAAAGAGAAATAGATCAAGTAAGAGAGGTATGTGCTACTTTGATCGATTTCCTTAAGTTTTTTACTTACTTCCGAATTTAGCTTATGCCACAAACTTAAAGGGGATCTGCAGAGGTCAGCTAGTCTTGGCTAAAACACTGACAATATCGACTTTCAGCTCCAGGATATCTGGTTTAAATTCTCAAGCACAGCTGGACTCATTTGTACTAAAATAGGTTTTTAGATAAAAAGATAAAAATATATGTGTATTTCAGCTTCCTATCTATAAGGAGTACTTTCCAAAGTCTATTAAGCAGTCATTGTATCCATACTATCAAGAATTATGTTTAGCAGTACTTAAAAGTTTCTTCAGAATTAACAAAATACATCAGAGCTGTCTTACAATCACCTGGCTGCTTACCTAACATGAATGAGTACTTCTGTTAAACATGAAGTCAAGCAATTCTACTGGCAACAGAAAGGGCTCCAGCCTCTCATTCTATGGAGGCAAGTCCATAAGTGAACGCAACTGAGAAAGGCAACAATAAACAATGTCAAAGCCAACATCAGTATGAAACAGAAAAAGCAAGCCAAAAAGTGAGGAGAAAGGAAAAAAATCAGGAGTAGGAATGTCAGTGCTGGGTAGGAAATGAGAGGATGACCAAGGCCAACCAACAAGAAATGGAAAGAAAGATGATCTAAGCAAGAGTAAGAGAACTACAGGTCAGTGCTAAATAAACTGCATGGAGGTAGAATACCAAGAGCATCAATCATTTGTCACAAATTGTAGCAACATTATCAAGTTGGAATAGAGAAATCTGATGAAAGTAAACATAAAATAAGATGTAAAAATAATGAAATAACTGTAATTTTAAATACCTATATGGCTCTCGAGTTTTTTTTAATCCCCACCAGTAATCTAAAATACACAGGATTAGCTAAGTATGGTGGCATAGTCCTATAGCCTGTGCCTGTAGTCCTAGCTACTCAGGAGGCTGAGGCAGGAGGAACACTTGAGCTCAGGAGTTCTAGACCAGCCTGGGCAACATGGCAAAACTACATCTCTACAAAAAATACAATAATTAGCCAGATGTGGTGACACATGCCTGTAATCCCAGCCATTCAGGAGGCTGAGGTGGGAGAATGGGTTAAGCCCAAGAGTTCAAGGCTGCAGTGAGCCATGACTGCACTACTGCACTCCAGCCTGGGTGACAGAACAAGACCTTGTCTCAAAATAAAATAACATACACAGGACTGTGTGTGTGTGTGTGTGTGTGTGTGTGTGTGTGTGTGTGTGTGTGTGTGTGTTGGGGGAGGGGGGAGCAAAACTTTCAAAAAAAAATCTCAACAATTCTGACTTTACAATGTATTTAACCCCATGATTCAAACATGTCATTACTATATTTACTCCCATTTCTTCTTTCCAAAAAGTTTTGTTTTTGGAGTTTTGATGTGAGTGTAATTGGTGCAACATTTTTAGAGGACAAAGATTAGACCTCAAAAGAGTCTGGCCCAGGCCTGGGAAGAGATATTCCTAGGAAACTGACCTGCTTGCAGTGATCTGCTAGGGTTGTTACCAGTTACTTGTACTTGAGCATGGTGATCAGAGTTTCTAGAACCATTGAAGGAAGCCAGGAGGGATAAAACTCCCTGTGGATTTAGCAAAGGGAGCTTCTCTTGCTTGATGGAAACCTCACTTTCTGCCAGTGTATCATCCATGGCAAATGTCTCCATGGAGAACTTTGGGAGCCTGGGAAGTTCTACCTCCATCTGACAGCATGTTGTATACAAAGACAGACGCAAAGGACATTTATTGCAGTTCTGTTTCAATGAAAACAACCTAAATGTCCTTGCACTGGACCAGTATATTATACACATAAAACAAAACGATGAACTGATAAAATGAATTGAGTTACAGGTGCTGATATAGATCTCCAAAACATATGAACTGAAAAAAGCAAAGCACAGAATAACACATATTTAAATTTTTTTCCACGGTCATGCATTATCTGCTCAAAAAGAATAAAGTACTAAAGTAAATTTTGAAGTCTACCCATACATATATTTGCTTCTATATGCAGATACACAAGGAGCCACTGGTAATAATTATCCCTAAAAAGTGGAAGCTCAATCTGAGGTAAAAGGGGGACTTAGATTTTCCTGGGTACTCTTATGTACAATTTAAATGTTTTATCATGAGACTATATTAATTTCATAGTCCCATCTTATTTCATAATGAAATATAGTTGTTGAAAGTATATGACCTTTGACCTGAAATTCTACTTCAAGGACTTCATATGACACTGGAGAACTGCACGCATATTTACTGACATCCCTTGCTAACTGCAATGGCTGTAATTTGGAGATTACTTCAACATCTATCCCTAAAAACTGGTTGACTACATATTTATTAATATATGCATATGTATCATCTGATATTCAGCAATAATTAAAAATGCTGATTTAGAGCTACGTTTACCAACATGGAAAGATGCATAATATTTTTGAATGAAAAAATGTAAGATCATAGATGTTATTAATGTATACATATATTCAAAGTCATCTGGAAAGACAAGGAAAATATTAATTGTCTCCTAATTATAGAGTTAGGGTTTTAAGAATACATTTCTGGACTACTTGAATTCATCACAATGAAGAGTCATTATTTTTATAATCAGAAAAAGAAAAAGCCATTTTCTTTTTATTAAAAAATGAGAAATATCCTGAATAGCATGGAGTACAAAATAAATAAATGGCATCTA
Source organism: Homo sapiens (assembly GCF_000001405.40). Lineage (NCBI taxonomy): Eukaryota > Metazoa > Chordata > Mammalia > Primates > Hominidae > Homo > Homo sapiens. Next base: position 26,266,802 of record NC_000013.11, on the reverse strand, counting down.
CAGGTTTCACTTCAGTAACACAGCCAGCAGAGAAACAGGAATGGCAGTGATGCTTTTCATTGCTTTGCTCTGAATAAGGCTAACCATCAAAGTACCAAAAACACTGAATAAAACCTACAAAGTGTGTTATGACTTAAGCTTTGGTATCCAAAAATCTTTAGCTGAAGTTTTATTTCGTTTATTTTATTTAACCCAGACACTTCTTTATCTCCCTTGCCCTCTGAGCCACATGTGACACTTCCTATCTCTGACTCCTGGAAAGACTCTTCCTGGCTGTTATTCTACCTACAAGGTCCTAGTATTTCTCCAAGCTGCCCTGTACAGCCAGTAAGCTGTACACTCCACGGTTCCTGTTATACAATATGGCAACCTTGGGTTTTCTCCTTTCTAGACTCAATTTTTGGCCTCCTAGGTAGACATCTCTTTCTTCGCACTTTATACAAGGCCCTTGTCTTGCTCTATACACTCTCCCTAGGCAATTTCATCACCACTGAAAGCTACCACTTTAAGTACTTTAAGTACATAGTCTAACTCTAGCCAGACTCCTCTCTTGAGCATTAAATTTACATATCTGCCTAATGCACATTTCTTCTCAGATGTTTAACAGGTACCTGAAAGTCAACATATCAAAGCTCAATCATCATCTTCCACCTCAAGCTTGCTCCTCTTTCTGTTTTGGCTATGTGAATGGCAATATCCAGCTGCCCAAGCCAGAAACCTGGGCATCATCCTTGGTTCTCACTTGTTCATCTATCATATCCAATAAATCAACAAGTCCTATCATTTCTCCCTCCTCATCCCCTCTCTCACTTCCCTAATTCAAGTCACTAGCATCTCTCACCTGGATTACTATTACATTCTCCTAACCACAGCTTCCTATGGCCATTCTGATCGTGTTACCAAGCAATCTTTTTAAATGAGAAATCGGAACTTATTACTATCTGCTTAAGACCCTAAGCATGGTTCCCACTGACTTCGGAAGAAAGTACAAAATCCATGACTTGATTTACAACAATCTGCTTACTTCCCCAATTTGATTATTTATACCTCTCCCTCCACCCCTCCAAGATCTGGCATGGAAATTCTTTCAATTGTCTCACCGTACATACCATCTTTCCTTCATGTCTTTGTGCATGCTACTCAGTGGCAGCTGCAAAGGATAGCTTCCCCCCATAATACACAAGCTCCCAAAATTACCTCAAATAAACAATTTCAGTTGCAACTTGCTTACTACACATTACTGCACTGCCTCTTCATCTAGACAGCACCGTCTTCCTTATAAAGTAATTCTGGAGCCACGAGTGATATTACCTCTCTCACCTGCACTATAACTCCTCAAGCCCCCACTAACTCTTATTTATTGCCCATTCACAATTTCTAATTATCTTTCAAGTCACAAGTGAAATATACTTGAGCTCCCCAAGGGCAGATTAGGTACTTCCATGGCAACCTACAATTTTCCCTACTGCAGCCCTTATCCTACTATATTACAATTGTTTACCTGCCTATGCCCCTCAAAAGTCTGTAAGTTCCCTAAAGAGTTATTAGACCATGGGCTGTTCACTGCTGAATCACCTACATCTGGCACAGAACCTAGCATAGTTGGTGGGAATGTAAACTAGTACAGCCACTATAAAAAACAGTACGAAGATTTCTCAAAAAACTAAAAATAGAATTACCATTCAATCCAGCAATCAAAGAGATACTGGGTATCTCTACCCCAAGGAAAAGAAATCAGTATATCAAGGGGATACCTACACTCGCATGTTTATGGCAACACTATTTACAACAGCAAAGGTATGGCATCAATCTAAGTGTCCATCAGCAGATTAATGGATAAAGAAAATGTGGCATATATTCACAATGGAATACTATTCAGCCACAAAAAAGAAGGAAATCATATCATTTGCAGCAACGTGAATGGAACTTGAGATCCTTATGTTAAGTGAAATAAGCCAGGCACAAAAAGACAAATATCATATGTTCTCATTCATACATGGGAGCTACAAAAAAATGAACACAAGGATGTAGACAGTGAAAAATAGATAAAGGGGACTAGGAAGGGTGAGTGGGGAGGGAGGAGAGGAGGAGAAGTGAGTTAAAGGGTGCAGATATAGATTAACGTAATAGAAATAAATTCAATGTTTGATAGTAGAGTAGGAGTACTAAACAAAAATGCACTGCAGTCTGGTGATGAACTTCCTAAGTACCCTGACTTCACCACTATGCATATATACATCTAAGAAAATTTCTCGTGTGCCCCATAAATTTGTACAAGAACCAATCATATAAGAGACATTCAGTAAATAGTTACCAAATAAATTATAAGCACACAAATTTACAAAAAGAACTGCAGCTACTGGGAGGGGTGACGTGCTAGTCCCACCCACTTGGGAGGCTAAGGTGGGAGGATCAGTTGAGCCCAGGAATTCAAGGCTGAAGTGAGCCATGATTGCACCACAGCACTCCAGCCCAGGGAACAGAGTGAGACCCTGTCTCAATAAAATTAATTAATTAATTAATTTTAAGAAAAAAAAGAACGGCAGCTAAAGGCAAACCATAATGAAATGCCAAATATTTAAATAATTTAATTTTACACTTTAAAAAATCAACATTAAGTCAGCATTAAAAAATAAATTACAAGTATGTCTTGCTTTCTGTCTGACATTTTCTTGGAAATTAGGTATAAACTTAATTTTTGCAAAGAAAGTCACATAATAAAACATTAGGAGACTCATTTACTTAAAGGGAGTCTTGGCTGGGAGCGGTGGCTCACGCCAGTAATCCCAGCACTTTGGGGGGCCCAGGTGGGCGGATCACGAGGTCAGGAGATCAAGACCATCCTGGCTAACACGATGAAACCCCGTCTCTACTAAAAGTACAAAAAAATTAGCCGGGCGTAGTGGCGGGCGCCTGTAGTCCCAGCTACTCGGGAGGCTGAGGCAGGAGAATGGCGTGAACCCAGGAGACGGAGCTAGCAGTGAGCCGAGATCGTGCCACTGCACTCCAGGCTGGGTGACATAGCGAGACTCCGTCTCGAAAAAAAAAAAAAAGGGAGTCTTTTAGCCGGGCGCGGTGGCTCACGCCTGTAATCCCAGCACTTTGGGAGGCCGAGGCAGGCGGATCCCTAAGGTCAGAAGTTTGTGGCCAGCCTGACCAACATGGTGAAACCCCATCTCTACTAAAAATACAAAATCTGCCAGGCTGGTGGCACATGCCTGTAATCTCAGCTACTCGGCAGGCTGAGGCAGGAGAATCTCTTGAACCAAGGAGGCGGAGGTTACAGTGAGCCAAGATCGTGCCATCGCACCCTAGCGTGGGCAACAAGAGCAAAACTCTGGCTCAAAAAAAAAGGTAATACCTACTCCCGGCCGGGCGCGGTGGCTCACGCCTGTAATCCCAGCACTTGGGAGGCTGAGGCAGGCGGATCACGAGGCCAGGAGATCGAGACCATCTTGGCTAACACGGTGAAACCCTGTCTCTACTAAAAATATAAAAAACTAGCCGGGTGTGGTGGCGGGCGCCTGTAGTCCCAGCTACTCGGGAGGCTGAGGCAGGAGAATGGCGTGAACCCGGGAAGCGGAGCTAGCAGTGAGCGGAGATCGCGCCATTGCACTCCAGCCTGGGCAACAGAGCGAGACTCCGTCTCAAAAAAAAAACCGAAAAACAAAAAAAACCTACTCCTTCTTTCCTCAAAAATATGACTTGTTTAATATAAACTACATTAGCACGACTTGACAAGTTTTCTTTTTATTCAATCCCTTTAGTCCTCTAAACAACCTATAGATTCAAATGTCTAGAAACACCCAGAGTAGGCCCTTCATCATGATGTAAAAATTCCTCTCTGTAGGATGATTATTTGTTAGAATTCATGGATTACAATAAAGTTATAGACTTTAAAGAACTTGTCTAGTGAGATGAGTAACTGAGTTACCTTGAATAGAAGTTAGTCTAAATAATTTTTTACTCATGTAACAAAAGGTAAATTTCAAATAAAACGATCATGCTATACAGACCAGTGATTTTAGGCAAAATTAAATGCCAACTGTGATTCAGAAACTAATTACGTTTTCCTTAATTTTAGAAATACAGATTTGATCCACATTTTAAAGGGTTCATTTTCAAAGTATATTTCAAAAAAATATTATTTCTAGTGGCTCAATTTTCAAATACCTTGGCCTTCCATTTCGATTCAGCCAACTACCGAGCTTGCTCTTGCCTTTGGATTGATTTTGGTATTGTTCAGTGCCATTCTGGGTAAAAACATAGGAAACCCATCAAATTTTGCTTCTCCTGGTATTTTCACAGGTATTACTTTTCTACTCTTCCCGTAATATGCCTCAAGCTTTTAATGTTAGCAAGTTTAGAAAAAAGATTTTCAAACATGAATTTCAGATACACACACACACACATACACAAAAGTACAAAATACCTGTCAAAATTTGGCAATATGCCAAGAGCTGGGGAGAACACAATCATTGCCCTAAAGGAAATCTATAATTTTAACCCATAAACATTCACCTGAAAGACCCAAAGGACACATAAGCATTAACCACATATACACTGAAGTAGTTACATAATATATCAGTGAATGACTATGTTTTGCAGGGTGACGGGTAAAGTGGGACTTATTGGAGTTGTATGTTAAGATACGTAGTTAGGATTTTTTTCTGAGGCTGTCAGTACATTTCAACTGAGAAAAAAGCATTTCCAGCACAAGGTGCTGCCTGAGACAAAAAAAATTCCAGCACAAGGTGCTGCCTGAGGAAAAGGTCAGAGTGGTCTAAGTTGATGGAGGAGAGCAGCTGTATGAATCTCTGTTTCAGAATTACTGCAATAGATTATGGTGTGAGCACTGTCCTGGAATAAAATAGACTAGTCAGGTCTTGTACACAAAGAACAAAGAACTTGGTCCTAAACCAAAGTCAATGTAAAGTCACTCAAAATTGGTTCTCAGCTGCTTTGGATATGATCCAGAAATTCCACTCCCAGGTATATACTGAAAACATACATCCACCTAACAAGTCACACATAATTGCTTATCGAAGCATTATTCATTTTAGCCAAAAAGTGGAAACAACCCAAACGCCCAATTGATGAATATATAAACAAAATGTGGTATATCTATACAATGCAATATGATCCAGCCATAGAAAGGTATGAAGTACTGATACATGTACCACATGGATGAACCTTGAAAACATTACATTAAATAAAGAAACACAAACACAAAAGGCCACATGTTGAATTAGTCCATTTATATGAAATGTCCAGAACAGGCAAATCCACTGAGACAGAAAGTAGATTAGTGCTTGTCAACGGCTGGGGAGAGAGGGGAATGGGACTGACTGCTTAATGGGTTTCTTTTTGGGGTCATGAAAATGTCCTAGGATTAGACAGTGATGGTGGTTGCACAGCCTCGTCGATCTACTAAAAAACACTATACTGATCACATACTTTTAAAAGGGTGAATTTTATGGTATGTGACTTATATCTCAATTTTTAAAAAGGAGCTCTCAGCATTTTTTCTGCTACAATACATCTGAAGAACATAACTCCATCAGTAAAGGCAGCTTACTACAGCAAGGACTGGTTTTGGGACTTTGACAATAACTATATTAAAGAATATTCAGAATCATGATACCAACAGTCTTTAAGTACTAAGGTCAAAACAACAGGTAAAAGCCACCTTTTAGTGACATCAAGAGCTGCCTTGAGGTGATAAAAGATTGCTAAAGAGAAAAGATAATTTCTAAGTAACATGACCAAGGCTACGTAATCTGGTGTGAAGGAAAAAATTCACAAAGTGTTCTGAAGGAGGAAAGGATAGTAGGAGTTTTATTTTCTAGCAGCAGCTAAGAACAGAAAAAGAGTCAAGAGACAATGAGGATTGGATTCAATAGTGAAAGGCACTACAAGAAAGATTAACACCAGTCACAGGGAATCAAATGTATTTATCAACACTGATTTGCCATACATAGTTCCCATCTAACAAATGAATCACATTTCAAATGTTTATAAATCAGAATTAGAACACATTTGCCCAGAGAATTAATTGTCAAAGTAGTTACGTTTGCAAATGGCCTATAATAATTATAATTTTTCATTATTTCTGTTTTCCTAGCTGAAATTCAGCATGCCAGAAGCCCTGTCCCTACCTTTCATCTTTCCACACATCAGAGCCCCAACAAGAGAAATTCCATTACTTCCTAAACTCTAAGTAGCAAAAGAACTTCTTTCCCCTTCCAATTTGTTACCATCCATCACCTCAGCAGCATATGAAATTCTGACTCCTTACACCTCATGGAGGTGAGGCCAAAGCAGAATCATTTGCCAACCAGAGCCCCAGGCAAAACAGAGTTCTGCCATGGCAGTTTTACACATGAGAGAGTCTTAAATCAGACCCCTGGATTTCAGAGGCTGCTTTTCTTGAATGGCCAATGTTCTCATGATTGAAAACTGACACACACACAATTATGGTGTTCGGTGCAAACGCTGATAAATTTATCTCCACTGTTAAATAATGAGTACCTCACCATGTCCAACGGGTACAATGGAACATTTGTAGTGCATATATATACTACTACACGTACAGCAAGAACTCAAAAAATGCTGGCCAGGGAAAACAAGGGGAAAAGAAAGGCATGGCAAGGAAAAATTAAAACCCACAAAATTTGCTGGGGTCTGCAGAAAATACAATTTTAAAAAAAATCCCTTTGTCCTATTCCTGTTGGAATGTCTTTTCTGATGAGACCTTCCCTGTCTTCTATGATCCAAATCAAATACTGTAAACTTTGAAGCTTTTCCTAAAAACCTTAACCAGTTGGGGACTTCCTTCTCTGTGTTGCCATATACCTTGCATTAATTATTATAGTGCTTATTGAATTGCAACATTTACATGTTTGTTTCCCCAGTAGTTATCTCCCCAAATAATGGAATACTTCATTCGTCTTTGCATTCCCAATACCTTGGACAGTGCTTGGCACATAGAAGGGTCCAATAAATACTTGTTGAATGAATGAGTAATTGACTTCTTCAAATGTTCAAAGACACAGTAAAAGTAATAACTCACATGAACAAATCCCAAATGAATTGATTTTCCAGTATTGCTACTAAAAAAATGAAATTTAAGCATGAAATCTCAACGTGGCCTAAATAGCGGATCTGAATGCACTGATATCTAAGGTAGGTAACTTCAACCACATGGAAATAAGAAGTACACAGCAAATACAGTCATCCCTCAGTATCCACAAGGGGTGCGTTCCAGGACCGTCCCCCAAAATCCACAGATGCTCAAGTTTCTAATATAAAATGGTGTCCTATTTGCATATAACCTACGCATATCCTCCCACACACTTTAAATCATCTCTAGATTACTTATAATACCTAATAAAATGTAAATGCTATGTAAACAGTTGTTATACTCTATTTTTTAAGGAAATAATGACAAGAAAAAAAATCTGTACATGCTCAGTAGAGATGCAACTATCCTTCCCCCTACCCCCTCGAAAATTTTTGAACCACAGTTGCTTGAATCTACAGATGCAGGACCTGCAGACACAGGGGACTAACTGTCCTCTTCTGTCACATTTTTAGAAGGTTATAAGGAATACTCTTTATTGTATACATGACTATTCCAGTGATAGAAATTACATATTGTATTTGGCATTTCTGACATCTAAAGAAATATTTAAATCAAAATGAACTTAGATACAGCATTCAGCCATATTCAGAAGGGGAAAAAGGTAATGGGATGCTCCAATGCAGGTTGAATCAGAAGAGTTCCTTTGTGCTGCCCACCAACTGAATGGTTCAAGGGAGTGGGAACAGGCACTAGTCCATAAATCCTCAATATCTTAAGAGATAAATACAGAGGAATGGCAAGGTAGCGTAAGACATGTTGGGTTAAGTAACTGATAGGTCTTTGGGAGTTACCAAGCTTTTTGGCAGTTGATGAGAACCAACGTTAAAGCATGAGACTAAAAAATATGGAAATGCACCATCATCTAAAGTAAAATTTTTTAGTGGTTGTTTGCCTAATCTTGCAAAAAATATTACATTTTATGTTCATAATTTTTACTTCCTCAAATCATAATACTAGAAAAGACCCTAAAAATTATATGCTGAAACCCCCCTACTAAGAGCTATAAGGGCAAATGACTTGCCCAAGGTCATACTGCTATCAGAAGCACAGTCTGAATTCAAATTCAGGTTTCCAGGATCGCTCATCTAGAGTTCTTTCCACTAGATGAAGTGCTTCCACATGGCTTTCATTAGAGTTTAGTCCTACACACACACACACACACACACCCCTCTAGATACACAAGTATGTTTGTGTATATACGTACAGACACACCCATATATCTACATAAACAGTTTTATAGCACTTGAAAAAAAGGGTGCTTCAGCAATATACCCAGAAAGTACACCAGTTTATTGAAGCAAATATTAATAGTTCTACAAGGTATTTATGTTTTTGAATAACCCACTAGAAATCAAACTCCATAACTATTTTTTTACTTATTCAATATATTAATTATAGGAAGCATAATGGTTAAGAGCATGGGCTCTGGAGTGAAAAACCTGCGCCTAATCCTCTAATCTTAGCTGACATTTAATTAGCTGTGTACTCATGGGTAAATTTGCTTAACCTTTCTAAGCCTCAGTTTCCTCAACTGGAAAACTGAAAAATAACAGAATTGACTTGATATACTTCTTGTGAGGACTAACTAGATGATGAATGTAAAGTGCTTTGCCCAGGACCTGAAACTTAATTACTCAGTAATTTAGCTATTATTGCCATTATCACTGCCTACTTACTAATCTCTGGGCTCTCAACAAATGTGCCCCAAAGAAAGTTGGCAGTATCTCTCTCTCTCTCACACACACACACACACACACACACACAAACACACACTCATTCCTCACTCATAATTATCTATTCTTTGGAACATAGATTATAACAGATTAAAAACCCTGCTAAGAAAATGCCTTTTGTTTTTCTTTTTTGAAGAAAAACCTCTTATCCCAAATTGATATTTTAAATTATCCAAACATTCAGTGCAAATATTGAAGTCTAGAATTTAAAAACACAAATTGTTTTCTGTCTTCTAACGCTCTCTTACTCTTTAAAACAAAATTAGTTTGGTTGCCTAAACTCTGCAAAGAGGAGATACAATCAACTCAGAAAGAAAATGAACCCCCCTGCTTCCCACTGAGTACTCTTTAAGTGTTCAGACACAAAGGACACTATCTCATTTACGGCGACACGAGTGAGAACAAATTAATCCCAAGATTTATTGTGCATTTCTTTAAACTCTATTATAATGTGAAATTAACAAAGTTATAAAAGGTCCCTTTTCCCTACTATGCAATCATGCCTCAAGTAAGTCAAAGAAATGAATCTTTGAAGCTATTTTATTTCCTAAAACTTAATAATTTAAGCAGCTAACTTCTCTGGTCTAAATTATTTTACCAATTATTCATGTTCTATGCTCACTGGGCAACTGAAAGGATACAACGTTTACATACATTCATTTCAATAGTCAAATATGTCTAAACCAAGCTTATTTGCGTTACTTCCTTTTATAGAAAATCTCAGGTTCTCCTTAAAGGTGTTACTGTCTGAGTTCCTAGAGAACAAATCTCAGCTGCAGAATATATAATGTAATTTGAAAGTAAATCAATACTAGAAACAAATTATTTGATCATCATCTTATTATGAAAGATTAAACAGCCACAAATTTTATTTTACCAGGACTAAAATGCATTAAATTACATTTCACTGACATAAGATCAAAAGAACCTCATAAATACTATGCGATACTTTACCAGAGTGAGGTTACAAAGAGAAGTCAAACCGAAAAAAATCCCTGTAATTTTAAAACTCTCTAAAACTATCTCTAAAAGATAGTAATTTTAAAACTCTCTTGACATTTGATCCATTAAAAATAGAAGTTCATCACATAAAGAGAATCATTAAAGACTGATGGAAAACAAACTCCAAGGATTACAAATAATAAGTTCTTTTTTCCAAAATGCAATGTTACTTTTCAGCTGTCACAGATGACTAAGAATGTCCATACATTATACCTTCAACTATCTTTAAATTCAAAGATATTGAAATTATTCTTTCAAATTATTCTTAACGGCCTAAATTAAAACCTGACCATAGAGATATAAAATGTGCTTAAGTACCCCCTGCCAATACACAGTATTAGTTTTCTAATAAAATGTACAACGTTAAAACAAATATGCATATTTTATTAGCTTAAATTGGTAATTTATGAAAACAGAACCGGCTTCTCTCACACAGATTAAAAATAATGCAAAGGCGCTAGAATTTTATATAACATGTCAGTTTGGTCAAATGTACTGTAATGTCTAATCTCATGGGATTGGGGATTTTATGAATATGCCCAAAATTACATAATACTGGGGGAAGGGGAGATGGTTTAAAGCTTTTGAGAAATATTGTATGGTGAGTTAACAAACATAATTTTAAAAATATATGTCATTACAGAGTAAAACTTCAACAATAAGTCTAATTAGACAACAACAGAGTCAGCAATATCTCCAGACGCTGATTTCTCCAGTGTCACCAGACTATCCATTCCGCTAAAAAGTACTTTTAAATACGTGCGGCGCCCAGAATATCAAGTTTTCAAATCCAAATCCCTACCTTCTGCCGATCTGTTCCACTTTACTGTTGCATAAAAGCACTAAAATACACATTCTAAATTAATTAGAACTCCTATCTTCCTCGTAGAGTCCATTGTAAATACTTTTAGAAAGACATTTCAGTAAATCTAAGAAAAATGTCCAATAAATATACACTTTCCTTTCCAACATCCAGAATACTAAAGTATTTGTAAATATGCGCCCCCCTACCCCACAGTAGGGAACTTCAGCTTTATGAATTTTTTTTTCGTGCTAATGTAGTCTGAACATACTCTCCTACCTAATTGGAAATTTTAAGTGATTAAACATCATACAGCAGGTGACTAAACTGGGATGCTCAAGTAAAGCTACTTCGTTTCTAATAAAATCCAAGGATTATATAATAAGCTTTGACTTTTCAATAATTTTCTATTCTGTCAAAGGCAACAGAGACAACATCCATTTTACAAGAAAACATGGAGTTAATAAAATATATTTTCCCCCCAACTAAGAATTGCCTTCTCTTTTGTCAATATTACAAGACATTCATCTACTGACAAAGAGAAAAAATGAACAATTCACTTGCCTGTTAAGAAACTAAATTGGAAGCATTACCAGTCATAGGTTTAATTAAGTTGTTACTAGGGAAGAATATTTAAAGCAAAGGGATTATTTAAAGTTCACTGCCAGCCGCTAAATTTGGGGGAAACCGCCTGAACGAGATAGTCCCTATGTCACTTGCCTTCTTCCCCACCACCCACCCTGCACCAAACCCCCATTGTTCTATGTAAAAATTCACAGCTAATAATATCTAAATAGCAATTGCAACATTTATGTTGCAGATGATCACTATGGGGAACTCTCTCCAGAACCACATTCACTCGCTGCCTTCCTTTCCTCAAATAAAATACAAATTTGATAAAAAATCGATCACAAACTGGTGGGGGAAAGGATCACAGCCTTCCTTCTAGACCGATGGATGACACTCCAGAGGCGGGTGAGGAAATCCCCAGAAGGTTACCATAATAAATCGACCAAGGAAAAAAAAAAACAAAAAACATTTAACCCGGCGTTTTAGAACGAATTTTTTCATGAATCAGCTTTGAAATCCTTGAAAAGTATACAGCCCACGGTGCAGAGGCTCATCTTGCCTCTTACCACCAGAGCAGAACACAGACGCGGCACGCAGGATTTCTCGTGGGTTTGGATCCCTCGTACACCACTTCCTCCCCAAACCTGGCTGGCGGAGCCAGAGGCCGGCGTCGAGGAAGTCAGAGCCCGGCACCCCGGCGGCCCGCTCTCCCTCCGGGCTACCTGCCTCGGCCTGCGGGAGCGCCGCCCAGCGCGGACACCGGCCCAGACACACACACTCACCCATCTTTCCTCTTGGCTTTGTAGACGTGACCATAAGTGCCTCGGCCAACTTTGCAGCCCTCGTATTCAAACAGGTCCTCGACCCGCTCCCGCTCGCTGCTCAGCTTCACTTTAAAGTCATAGTCCATTGTCACAGCCTCTGAGGCCGGAGAGCTGGGTCGGGGGGCCGGGGGGCAGGGGTGGGGACCGGGGAAGCACGGGCAGCCGCAGCCCCCGGGAACCCGCCCGCTCTACGCCCGCCGGCCGCAGCACCAGCCCGACTGATGCGGCAAGAGCAGGAGGAGGCCCCGCGAAAGCGCCAGGGACATCCAGGGGGACGGCGGGGCAGAGGCCGGCCGGGGGTGGAGGAACGGGGAGGATCCCCCGGCGAAGGAGAGCCGAGGGACGAGGGCTGGGGGTGGGGAGCGGTGTCTCTGCCCTTGTCCCCGCGGGCTCCCTGGGCGCCGGCTCCGCCGCTCTCTCCGGCCGCGCGTTCTGCTCCTGCTGCGGCGGGAGCGGCGGGGCGGCCAGGCGGGCTCTCGTCCTCTCACACGCGCACTCACGCCTCACGCTCTCACACACACGCTCACACTCACTCACTCACTCACTCTCCCATACACTCAAACAGAAGGGCAGAGCCGCACAACAGCCGGTACCTCCTCAAAGAGAGGAGGAGGGAGGGCACTCGCGGAACACGGCCGCGGCTGTCGCAAAAACGTCGCGAAGCCTCGGGCTGCCTCCGGGCCACACTCTAGCCCGCTCCCGCGGTGGCTGGCCGCCCCTGCTGGCGCTGGCACCCTGAGGACCGTGTGGAGGGAGCAGGGGAGCCACTGCCCAAAGCTGCCGCCAAATGCACCACGTGGAACCAGCCCCAGCGGTGGCCGGGCCCCAGACTACAATACCCAGAATGCACAGGCCGCCGCCGCTGCCGCCCCTTCTACGACTCCGCCCCACACGGTGGGAATATGGGAGCGTTGCATGATGGGACTCGTAGTCTAGGGTGAAATTCGTTTCAATCATTTGGGGAAAATTTATTTTTATTTTTACAGCGATCTAACTAGAGTCTGATTTCAGCCACAAACTTGATCAAAGAGGTGCACGTGGGAAGGAGAGTCGTTTGCATTAGAAACACATTTTGTGCCACTCTGAACTCCAGATTTTAAAGGCCACTATCATCGATAAAAGCCGGTATGATATTTGTAAACAGCTCGCGGGCCAGCAGTTGGGGTACTCTTGGTGTTCACAATCTGATAAGGGCTGCACAATGATGTCAACATACTGACATTACAAGCACCAATAAAAGTGAATCAATGACCAGTGTCCAAGCTACTCCTAAACATTGTTACTCTTGTGACAGATGACCATCCAAACCTTTCCTATCCATATACAGGAAGTATTGAGTACAGTACAGCCTTCTGCGATACTACCTATAAGAACACCAGTTTCTAGCTATGATTACAGAAAGGATCTAAATCCATGGGAACTAGTTTGTTAATAATCTTAAGGTAGCAATATGTCCTGCTTCAGGAGTCCTGGTATCTTGATACTAATCTATCATTTTATCTTACCCCCCTTGTCTATTTTTAATTTTTGGTTTTCCAATTGTTACCATTTCCACTAAAGCTCCCCACTTCCCAAAGGGAATATGAACTTTGCAGTTTTAATGTGAACTTTTTAACACTTTTTTTCCCACCTTTCCTGTGATATTTATCAAATTCCTTTCATCTTTTATTTCCTCTACCTTGCTAGATCCTAAGTTGTTATAGGAAGTCATATTTGCATCTTCTGTAAAACCTAGTGTCATGCCTTGATAATGATGCACAGTAAACACTTGTTAAATTAATGAATGAATAAACATGTTTATCTCAAAAAGATCCATATACCAATGATGATGATGATGATATCATCTTGTGAAAAAGCCTCCAAAGGGCTTTCTCTTATATAATTTTCCTTGGAGAAAATTAGTGACTTCACCACTGTGTAAAATTAAATTGTTTTTACCTAGCATACTATATAAGTATTGAGTATTTTACTATACTGGGTTTGAATCCTGCATTGTCATTTACTAATGTGTTCTTGGAGCCTAGAATTTTTTCTTTGCAAAGTGCAAAGCACAAAACAAATGTAGGCTTTCATTAATGGCATATTATTTGTTTCCATTCAGTGATGAAAATTGGGTAACTCTCTAGCAGAACTGCTCATTTGCATCCTTAAAGAATTACATCATTTTCTGAATATGGATTTAAAAGATTCTTCCTTAGACAATGTATTTTGTATTTTTTGAGGGATGTGTCTTTTGTGCACATATTTACTCATGGATCTTGAGAAATCAAACTACCACACTGGAGGAAAAGTTGTGAAGAGGCATGGGACTCAGCTTGCCCCTACACTGTATCGGGTCCCCCTTCCCCACCTCCTGTACCAATTATACACACTATTCTGGAACACTGAAGGTCTCAGACCTTTTTTGTTTGTCTTTTTGTGTTTTTATTTTGAGACAGGGTCTGGCTATGTCACCCAGGCTGGAGTGCAGTGATGCGATCACAGCTTACTACAACCTTGAACTCCTGGGCTCAAACAATTCTCCTCCCCAGCCTCCTGAGTAGCTGGGACTACAGGCATGTGCCACTACACCCAGCTAAGTTTTTTTTTTTTTTTTTTTTTTGAGAGACGGAGTCTCGCTCTGTTGCCCAGGCTGGTCTTTAACTCCTGGGTTCAAGTGATCCTCCTGTCTCAACCTCCCAAAGTGCTGGGATTACAGGCATGAGCCACATACCTGGCCTCAGACTTTTAAAAATGTACTTTTATACACTGTTTTGGCTGGCTTCACTCTGGGTGAAGGTGAACTCTCCCTGAAGGAATTGAGTGTCCTCACTGTCAACTGAGTATCCTGAATGTCAGTCCTGACTGTCAGTCTTTTCCTGGGGGCAGGAAAAGAAGCTAACCTTGGACTAGGGAAGAGCAAGATCTGCTTTTCTCTTTGAAGCCAGGGTGAGAGTTAGAGGCCTAGACACTAGGTTGGAGGAATATGGTGGTAGGAGGTAAGCTGACCCTGTAAAATGGTATCAGGATGGGGAGCTGAGAAAGAGATAGCCACTAAGGGCCCCTTATAGGAGAGCATGGCTAATGCTAGGAACAGCAGCATCTAATATTTAGTTTTAAGTGTCTCCTTTTGTGTGTTCTTAAGGTTCTTAAGGGCTAAGATGCTTCCTCATACCATCTCTGACCTTTACAGTCCTACCCATCCCCCAAGTGCTTAATTTGGTCATGAAGTCTTTCCCAGTTCTTGCAACTAGATATGACCTTTCTTTATCATGAACCTCTACCCCAGCCCTGGCACCATTGCACTTTATTTGTAACTCATTATAGCTACCTTGTATTTTAATCATTTATTTTATGCGATTAAAAAAATCTGCCCCTTAATAAATTTAGTGACTGAGTTCCTGCCTTAATCATCTATATATCCCCTACAGTTCCAAGCACATATTGTTTGCGTAATTATATTTCATTAGAATGTGTTTCATTGGATTGATTTCAATAAATGTTGAAATGGACATTAATAATAATAAAGGTCTCCACCTGTCAGAGGACAGTCATTGTAAAACATTTAGTATCTTGCCTCAGTCTTGCCTCTAAAAAGGGCTTTTTATAGCTGCAAAAGGACTGAGTGCTTCATGATATATTAATGTAAAAGCCCAAGTGGCTCTTCTCATAGTTAATCACTGCAGTCTCTACAACTTTGACTTCCACTTTCTCACTCAGTATTAAGGCATGCTTTCAGTGGAAAGCATGTAACCTCTCATTCTACAGGTGGCACGTTCATCCCGCACATATTAACCATCTACATGTGAGCACAGTGTTCGACACAAGGAAGAACAAGTTAGATTAATCAATCCAAGAGCTTTTTTTTAATATTTCATTTTTTTCACTCTGTCTTTCTGGCCTGATTTTTAAAAAATTTTCAAAGAAACTATAGATGCAAAAAGTATCCTTACTAACTCTGCAAGCATCCAGAATATAATTTAGACCTTAGAAATAACCAGAATATAAAAAATACTTTCAAAAATATCTTACTCTTCTCCCCTTCACCATGTGGGTATCATTTGCCTTTGTGGACTCATTTCCTCCACACAACGGGAAACATGACCACCAATAGTTGCTGAATTTTACGTCAGACAATGGCTTTCATTAGCGAAGAATTGACTGTTTCTCAATTCTGGTTCTAAAAATCCCAAGAAGGGCTCTGGTATGGCTGAGTCAGGCCCGTCCTAGGCCAACTAAGTGTAGCCACAGGGACAGGACCATGCAAGAATATGAGAGCTCCTTTATTAGGGGGCATGAGGGAGATGGGGGTAGGGAGCTCACAGGAGGAAGAATGCCCTAAGTATTATAAAGGAAATAAAACAGGACAATGTGATAGAAAGTGAGACCAGGAGGAAATTCCTTTAGATTGGTAGACGGTCAAGGTTTCTCTAAGGAGACAATGCTTAAGCAGAGACCTGAAGGTTGAGAAACAAAATCTGCTGTGGATGAGGGAGCAGAGTAGTCCAGGCAGATTAAACAGACAGCAAGTGCAAAAGGCAAAGCTGGGAATGAAGGAACAGAAAGATGACAAGAATATAATGAGTAAGAGGTGAAATTGTGTGAGGTGAAGACAGAGAGGTAGACAGGGACCAGATTATATATGGCCTTTTTGACCATAGCAAGGCGTTTGGGTTTTATTTGCAGGCAACCTTTCAGAAGGTTATAAGGAGGGGAGTGACCAGATGTGATTTATGCTTTAAAAAGAATATCCTGGTGCTATGTGAAGAATTAATTGTAGGAGGCAAGATGGATGGATGGATGGATGGTGACATAGATAGATAGATAGATAGCTAGATAGATAGATAGATAAATGAATGGATAGATAGATGAGTGAATTGATGGATAGATAGAAGATAGAGGAATGAATGGATGGATGGACAAATAGGTAGACAGATTAGACAGATAGATAGATAGATAGATAGATAGATAGATAGATAGATAGATAGATGAATAGTTAGATGAATGAATGGATAGATAGATGGGTGAATAGATGAATGAACAGATGGATAATGGATATATAGATGGGTGAATAGATGATAGATGGATGAATGAATGGATGGATAGATAGATGGGTGGATGGATGGATGGATGAATGATAGATGGGTAAATGGATGGATGGATGAATGGATAGGGAGGGAGGGAGACAGATAGATAGATGATAGATATATAGATAATAGATAGATAGTATGGAGACAGAGATTTATGGAACTTGCTGATCAGTTGGATGGAAAGTAAAGAAAAAGAAGTAATTAAGATGACTCCTGAGGATGTTGCCACTTACTGAGATGGGGAAGACTGAGAGTAACAAGTTTAGGTGAAAAAAGTAAGTTCCATTTTGGACATGTCAAACATGCAATGCCTCAGAAATCTAAGTGAACATATCTGGTGGGCAGGTGGATGTGGGAGTCTGAAGCTCAAAGCAAAGAGCAGGGCTGGAGATAAGAATTTGGAAATCACCAACCATAACAGTTGGTTAGATTGCCTACAAAGTAAATACGTTACAGTGAGAAAGAACAAATCCCTGAGGACCTCCAACATTCAAAGGTTGAGTATAGGAGAGGAGGCCAGAGGGTTATTTGAAAATCAGGAAATATGAAATCACAAAAGCCAAGGGAAGAACATGTTTTGAAAAGGAGGGATGGGCAATAGCACTGAATGCTGCCAAGAAGTCAAGCAAGATAAAGATCATAGTGTTAAACGTATCATAGTTTCTCAACCTGTTTTAAAATGGTTTCCCCGCTAAGGAGCATGTTTAGATTTTTTTTTCTGTCTACCCCCATGAAATGTTAATTTTACGGATATAGTGTATCTATTTGTGTACTGTAGCACATTGGAGGACCACACACCATTTTAGTATCTTTTTTTTTTTTTTTTTTGAGCCCTTCAGAATCAGATTTTGCCCCTTAGTAAGCGATATTGTCCCACTGAGAATGCATGATTCATTGATACATAAATGATTTTGGACACTAACAACAGTAGTTGCAGCAGTGAAGCAGGGGTCGAAGCCAATCTGCATTGGACTGAAGAGTGAGTTTGAAGTAACGAAATGGAACCAGACATGTAGGTCATTTATAGCAGAATGGTTGCAAGAACTGCCTCAGCAATCTGGCCTCTGCTCTCAAACCTGCCCCTGACTAACAAGGCAAGCTGCTTTATTTGTGTCTCAGTTTCCTTCTTCATCTGTAAAAGTGGAATAATAGTAACTACCTCATAAAGTTGTTGGAAGGGTTAAGAGAGTTAATAGCAATATATGTAAAGTATTTAGAATTGTGCCTGGTATTAATACATGGTGTATGTTCTAAGTTAGCAGTTATTCTTCGGAATGATGATAGTAGCTGTACAATGGAGATAAAAGATAGGACCTGCTGTATATAGTTCCTTATCAAAAAGGGGATTGTCACAGGAGGTGAACATGAAGTAGAAGGAAACATTAGTCAAGAGAGACTGGAGGTATTTCACTGCTGATTAAATGGAGCCACTTG
This sequence comes from Homo sapiens, assembly GCF_000001405.40. Taxonomy (NCBI): domain Eukaryota; kingdom Metazoa; phylum Chordata; class Mammalia; order Primates; family Hominidae; genus Homo; species Homo sapiens. Next base: position 26,248,224 of record NC_000013.11, on the reverse strand, counting down.
CAAGAAGATACTGAAAACAATAGTTCTGTATCTCTAAAATAGGGAGAGGGAATGGTCCCAGGGCATAGGTGAAAGCATTGCTCTTCATCAGGAAAAGACACATCTCTTCCATGGTTAACAAGCAGGAAGAAGAAAAGGATAGCAATCCTTATCACATATCTATTTCTGCCCTACAAACAACTCCCAAAGACAGTGACATAAAACAACAAGGATTTATTATTTCTCATGATTCAGTAGGTTGGCTGGACTCAGCCAAGTGTTTCTGCTGGTCTCATCTGACGTTACTCACATGGCTGTAAGTAGTTGCTAGACTGGGGCTGGAGGGTCTAAGATGACCTCATATGCACGTCTGTGGCCTTGGTTCTGGCTCTCAGCTGGGCCTCTCTCTGCACGTGGTTTTTCCTCATTCAGTAGTCAAGCTCAAACTTTCTTATCTGGTACTGACATGCTTTAAAATGGTAAAGATAAAAGCCATAAGGTCTCTTGAGTTCTGTGCTCTGGAACTCACATATCACTTCCACCACATCTTGGTTAAAGCAAGTCACAAGACCAGCCCAGATTCAAGGAATGGGCAAATAGACTCCACTTCTTGATAGTAAGAAGTGCAAAATATTGTGGCCATGTTTTTCTCTCTCTCCCAAGCATGGATGCATATAAATCTGTAGATCTGGTAAATGTTGAAGCAGTTGCTTTTCAAATGGCTTTGGTTTTCCCTGTAAAGTAGAAGAAAAACTCATCTGCTGTGAAGCAGGGGAAGGAGTGAAAAGAGAGAAAGCAATGATTGCATATCTGAAAAGACCGCAGGTTTAAAATAGTGCTTGAGCAAAATGGGAGAGATAGCTGGCAGGATATCATCAGAGGACTTCTAGCCAATGTATGGGGCCCATTTGCAGGTGCAGCCATGCATTTATATCAATATCCATTTGCCTTGTTGTGTGATTTTCATCACTAGTACTCAACAGCTCAGGTGGAGGCTGGGCAAAGACAGATGTTGGATTCATCCAGGGTTGGGACCTTGCCAGCTGGATATGATGAAAAGAAAATCAGGCGAGGGAGGTTAGGATCACTGGCAGGAGAGTAGTTAAAATGACAGAACACCATGACATTTAAGTTGAGTAGAGAATGAAATGGGGACAGGATTTCCCATTTTACCTTGTAATACTAGCTTGAAAATTTTTACCGTTTTGCAAGATAATTAAAAAAAAAACATAACCTCATTCCTTGCTTCCTTAAGATTGGTAGCAATACACTTTCATCAGATACATACTAAGACAGCTGAAATAATAATGTGAGTGATAGGTTTAAAATGATTTCTCCTTTTCCTGACTAGTAGATTCCTATTACTTTGACTGTTAAGGGCATCCCTGACTGAAATCTCTCAAATTTGTTGTTGGTGAATTCCATCCTCACATTCTGTAAGTATTAAGGAGAAGTTACCTCTTTAAAATGATATTTAGTACTGTAATTTTGTCCTTTTTTTCGCTAGTGGACACCTTTTTAGAAATAAGCATATCACTTTATATTCTTCAGTTCAAAATAATATTTTGCTACACAAGAGTGTAGCAACTAACCTATAGGAACACAGTTTAGTTTTGTGTTCAGTTTTTCAAGGCTTAATGTATTACTCTGACTTCTTGTTTCAGTATGTTTCACCCTCCATTTAGCTGGACTGTGTTACTCAGGCCCAATTGCCAGGAAAGCCAAGTCTTTTCTGGCTGGTTCCGGCACAAACATGTATCTCTCCTGTGAGCTACATAGCTTTTTCTATCACACATAAACATGGCTAGGTCACCTCTGCAACCACCTGATATTTGATACCCAGGGCTATTTGTTTCCACGCAACTCCATGCCCAGAACCTCTGGGACTCTTTCTCCGTTAGTAGCCTTTTCCCTGCCCCGCCTCCACCACCCAAGGTCAGGTTCCATCAGATATCATCCTTCCTGCCCTGAAAGCCTACATCCTGTTTAAATTTCTTAATGTTCTATTTACATCATTCCTCTGCTTAAAAATCTTTAAAGACCCTACGTGATTTTCCATTGCCTATAGCTTAATTTAAACTCCTTCATCTAATATTTCAGGTCCTGTATTTACTTTAGCCTGGCTTATGAAAATACTTTAAGGCAGCTTACAATAGAAATACTAGAATTAAATTAGTTAGCTCCACGTAGCTAAGTTTCCCACAATCTGAGCTCTTCTATGTTTCCAGTATAGCTGCAGAACAGTTTCTCATAGGCTGCTTCCTATTCAATGAAACTGGTTCTCAACCTTTGGAGAACCCAATGGTTGTCCATTGGAATTACTTAGGGAATCCCCCCAGCAATCCCTTTTCCCCCATTCTTAAAATTTTATTTTTATTTTATTTATTTATTTATTTATTTATTTTGGAGACGGAGTCTCCCTCTGTCGCCCAGGCTGGAGTGCAGTGGCGCGATCTTGGCTCACTGCAAGCTCTGCCTCCCGGGTTCACGCCATTCTCCTGCCTCAGCCTCCCGAGTAGCTGGGACTACAGGGGCCTGCCACCACGCCCAGCTAATTTTTTGTAATTTTTAGTAGAGACGAGGTTTCACCGTGTTAGCCAGAATGGTCTCGATCTCCTGACCTCGTGATCCACCCGCCTCAGCCTCCCAAAATGCTGGGATTACAGGCGTGAGCCACCGCGCCCAGCAAAATTTTAATATATTTAATTGACAAAGATTATATATATTCAAGGCATGTAACATGATTATTTCACATATGTATACGCTGTATAATGATTATCATGGTCAAATTAATTAATGCATCTGTCACCACCCATGGTGTACCTTAGATCCTCAGAACTTGTTCATCTTTTTTTTTTTTTTTTTTTTGAGATGGAGTCTCGCTCCGTCGCCCAGGCTGGAGGGCAGTGGCGTGATCTCTGCTCACTGCAATCTCCGCCTCCTGGGTTCAAGCAATTCTCCTGCCTCAGCCTCTGGAGTAGCTGGTATTACAGGTGCGCACCACCACGCCTGGCTAATTTTTGTATTTTTAGCAGAGATGGGGTCTCACCATCTCTGGTCAGGCTGGTCTCAAACTCCTGACCTCATGTGATCCGCCTGCCTCAGCCTCCCAAAATGCTGGTATTACAGGCATGAGCCACTGTGCCCGGCCAGAACTTGTTCATCTTATAACTGAAAGTTTGTATCCTTTGACCAAGATCTCCCCATTTCCCTCACACCACCAACCCCTGACAGCCACCATTCTACTCTGTTTCTATGAATTGGACTATTTTAGATTATACATAAATATGAGATCATACAGTAATTGTCTTTTGATTCTTGGCTTATTTCCCTTAACATAATAGCCTCCAGTTCCATCCATGTTGTTGCAAATGGCAGAATTTCCTTCTTTTTCTTTCTTTCCTTTTTTTTTTTTTTTTTTTTTTTTGAGAGGGAGTTTTGCTCTTGTCACCCAAGCTGGAGTGCAGTGGTGCGATCTTGGCTCACTGCAACTTCCGCCTCCGGGGTTCAAGTGATTCTCCTGCCTCGGCCTCCTGAGTAGCTGGGATTACAGGTGCCCACAACCACACCCAGCTAATTTTTGTATTTTTGGTAGAGACAGAGTTTCACCATGTTGGCCAGGCTGGTCTCAAACTCCTGACCTCAGGTGATCCGCCTGCCTCAGCCTCCCAAAGTGCTGAGATTACAGGCATGAGCTACCACACCCAGCCTTCCCTTCTTTTTCATAGCTGAATAATATTCCTCTATGTGTGTGTGTATACACACCACTTTTACATACACACATCACTTTTTCTTTATCCATTCATCCATTGATGGACATTTAGGTTATCTTCATTATCTTGGCTATTGTGAATAATCATGCAATAAACATGGAATACAGATATCTCCTTGAGATACCGATTTCATTTCCTTTGGGTATATGCCCAGAAATGGGATAGATGGATCATATGGTAGTTCTATTTTTAATTTTTTGAGGAACTGCCATACTGTTTTCCATAATAGCTGTACCAATTTACATTCCCACCAACAGTGTTCAAGGATTCTTTTTCTCTACACCCTTGACAACACTTGTCATCTCTTATCTTTTTGATAATAGCTGTCCTAACAGGTGTGATGCAGTATCTCTTAGTGTGAGTTTGCCTTTCCCTGAGAATTAGTGATGTTGAGCATCTTTTCACATACCTGTTGGCCATTTGTATGTCTTCTTTAGGAAAATGTCTATTCAGGTCCTGTGCCCATCTTTTAATCCGATTGTTTTTGTGCTTTTGGGTTGTGTGAATTCCTCATATATTTTGGATATTAAGCCCTTATCAGATATATGGCCTGCAAATATTTTCTTCCATTCTATAGGTTGCTTTTTCATTTTGTTGATTGTTTCCTTTGCTGGGCAAAAGCTTTTCGGTTTGATAAAATTCCATCTGTCTATTTTTGCCCTTGTTAACTGTGCTTTTGGGGCATAGCCAAAAAATTACTGACAAAACCAATGTCAAGGAGTTTTATTTCCTATATTTTCTTCTAGGAGTTTTATAATTTCAGTAGACATGTTAGAATTAGATTAGTTAGTTCCACGTAGCTAAGGTTTCCACAATCTGAGCTCTTCTATATTTCCAATATAGCTGCTGAACAGTTTCTCATAGGCTGCTTCCTATACAATGAAACAGTGGTTCTCAACCTTGGTTGTCCCTGGGAATTACCTAGGGAATCCCCCCAGCAATCCCTTTTCCCCCATTCTTAAAATTTTAATATATTTAATTGACAAAGATTATATATATTCAAGGTATGTAACATGATTATTTCATATATGTATATGTTGTATAAAGATTATCATGGTCAAATTAATTAATGCATCCGTCACCACCCATGGTGTACCTTAGATCCTCAGAACTTGTTCATCTTTGTTTTTTTTGTTTTTTTTTTTTTTGAGATGGAGTCTCGTTCCATCGCCAAAACCAACATACAAAAGTCGGTTGTGTTTCTATACACTAATGATGAACTATCCAAAAAAGGCATCAAGAAAAACAATTCCAAATTACAATAACATCAAAAAGAATAAAATACTTAAGAATAAATTTAAGAAAGGAGATGAAAGATCTATACACTAAAAACTATAAAACACTGATGGAGGAAACTGAAGACACAAATAAATGGAAAGATATCCATGTCCATGGGTTGGAAGAATTAATATCAGTAAAGGGTCCCCACTACCCAAAGCAATCTACAGATTCAATGGAATCCCTATCAAAATTCCAATGGCATTTTTCACAGAAATACTTTTTATCCTAAAATTTATATGGAACCACAAAAGATGCCAGATAGCCAAAGCAATCTTAACAAAGAAAAATAAAGCTAAAGGCATCAAAGTCTCTGATTTCAAACTATATTGCAAAGCTATGGTAATCAAAACAGTATGGTATTGACATAAAACCGTACACATAAGTCAATGAAACACAATAGGAATCCCAGAAATAAGCTTACACATATATGGTCAACTAATCTTTGACAAGGGTGTGAAGAATACACAATGAAGAAAGAAAAATCTCTTTGATAAATGGTGTTGGGAAAACTGGATATCCACAGGCAAAAGAGTGAAGTCGGACTTGTGTTTTATACCACATACAAAAGTTAACTTGAAATGGATTAGAGACTTTATAAGATCTGAAAACAGCAATCCTGATGTAATTGAACTGGTTACAGGTGGGCACTGGGATTTGTAAAGGCTCTTGGTGATTTTAACATGAATTCAGAGCTTAGAAGCACTACATTAGAAGTTTATTAATTCTCCCTACAGCATTCACTGCTTTCCCCATTAATATTACTATTTTCTTCTTTGTTTGTCTAACCCCTACCCATTCTTTGAGATCCAACTCAAAGTGGCCAAAAGGATAGGTCACAGATCTCAATTCAAAGTGTCATATAGTGACCCAAACTCATAGATCCAACTCAAAGAGTACTATGGGATCTTTCTTTACCACCCAGTGCCAATTAGTTCCCATAGCATATACCTTGTTCACATTTATTTGGCTCTTAGCATATACTTATTTTACTTTCGTGTGTTCTTCCTGACTCTTCAAAAGGATTTCAAGGTGTAGAAGGAAAGGGACGATATTTTACAACTTTTAAAAAATCCCTAGAACCTAACACAATGCCTTTCACACTATGTGCCATTTGTGTGTTTTACGGGAGGTGATGATGATAATGATGACAATGACGGTGATGATGATATAGCAGATGCCCATTCAGTGCTGTGACCTAGCCTCTTAAATTTCCTTATTTCTCTCTTTTTTTTTTTTTTTTTTTTTTTGAGACGGAGTCTCGTTCTGTCTCCAGGCTGGAGTGTAGTGGCACGATCTCTGCTCATTGCAACCTCCACCTCCTAGGTTCAAGAGTTTCTCCTGCCTAGGCCTCCTAGGAATACAGCCATGTGCCACCAAGCCCAGCTAATTTTTGTGTTTTTAGTACAGACAGGATTTCACTAAGTTGGCCAGGATGGACTTGATCTCTTGACCTCATGATCCACCCACCTCAGCCTCCCAAAGTGCTGGGATTATAGGCATGAGCCACCACCCCTGGCCAAATTTCCTTATTTCTTAACGGGGCTGCCCTGAGGCAACTGGAACAGACTCTACTTTTTTTTTGAGACAGAGTCTCGCTCGGTGGCCCAGGCTGAAGTGCAGTGGTGCCATCTCGGTTCACTGCAACCTCCGCTTCCTGGGTTTAATCGATTCTCATGACTCAGCCTCCTGAATAGCTGGGACTACAGGTGTGCACGACCACACCTGGCTAATTTTTGTATTTTTAGTAGAGATGGGGTTTCACCATGTTTGCCAGGCTGGTTTTGAACTCCTGATCTCAAGTGATCCACCCACCTTGGCCTCCCAAAGTGCTGGGATTTCAGGCTTGAGCCACTGCACCCAACCTGGACTCTACTTTTTACAGACAAAGCTGAAGCGTTTGGGAATTAAGCCACTCCCACCTTAACTTAATGACTATGAGTACCCCAGCTCTCCTGGCCCCTGGTTGGGACACAACTGGGGTGACCTACTGTCTCCTGTGTCGCCTCTGGGCTTGAGTCAGTTTAGATTATACCTCATTTAGGCTCATTTCCTTCTCAGTTCCATTCCCCACTACCTTACTGGTTTTCCCGGGGAACACTTCCTAAATAAATCATTTTTACATAAATTATTGTTGAAGGTTCTGCCTATAGGGGGAGTGGGGGCAGGTAGCCAACCTAAGACAGATGATAGTAATATAATAAGAGTAATAGTAATAGTGGCTATTATTTATTGAATATTTTCTATGTGCAAGGCATTAACTAATTTCATCCTCAGAATTCAATAGGTACTACAGTTATCATCATTTTACACATGGGGAAACTGAGGCTTATAGAGGTTAGGTAATTTGCTGAAGGTCACGCAGATAATAAAAGAACAGCTGAAAAAAGGAAAAGGAAAAACAAGGACAGTAGAAGCTCAAATCAAATAAAAAATTAATAAATGTCAATCAGATGACCACTTTAATAAGCTTTATAGGCTGGTTAGAAACTGAACCACCATGTGTACTTTTTTTTGACAAAATAACTTTTGAGTTTCAATAAACAATTTACAAACTTTTGAAACATGACAGTTTGTAGTTTAGAAACTTCATTTCTAGTTTACCGCCAGAAAATCTTCTTCTTCTTCTACTTTCCTCCTTCTTCCTCACTCCTCCCTTAATAGTTTCTTAATAGTATGTACCCCTGATCCCAGGAAGTAAAACCTATATTTGGACAATTAATAATTTAGATCTAGGCTGGGCGTGGTGGCTCATGCCTGTAATCCCAGAACTTTGGGAGGCCGAGGCAGGCAGATCACTTGAGGTCAGGAGTTTGAGACCAGCCTGGCCAACATGGTGAAACTCTGTCTCTACTAAAAATACAAAAATTAGCCAGATGTGGTGGCACATGCCTGTAATCCCTGCTACTCAGGGGGCTGAGGAAGGAGAATCACTTGAGCCCGGGAGGAGGAGGTTGCAGTGAGCCGAGATCGTGCCACTGCACTCCAGCCTGGGCGACAGAGCAAGACTCTGTCTCAAAACAAAATAAAACTTAGATCTAGTACATATTAAATGCCCGTATTTAGGCTAGCCTGGAAACTACCATGCTTGCTTTGTCTCTAGAACAGGCATTCTAAATTACAAACAATGCATTTTGGAATGAATTTACAAAATGTACTATTTATAAACTGAGAATGTTTACATAATACCATTACTTTAATAACATTATAAACTCATACATCTTCTTAAATTTTATGTTTGAATTTTACAGTCGTCTGATCTACTTATATATATAGTGACCCAAAGGGAGGGGAAGAAAAGTGGATCAAAATATTTTTATTATTCAAATCATCTGTCTCCCTCTCAGAAATTTAGTAATGCAGCAGCTTTTCCATTTATAATTTGTGGGATCCTGTGCAAGATATATAACCTCACTTGGCTTTAGTTTTCATATTTGTTAACTAGGAATATTGCCAAGATTGTAGGATTGTTGTACAGGTTAGAGAGATTGTATTTAAAGGGTTCAGTGCAGGGCCTGGCATATAGTAGACATTCAGCAAATTGTATCTAATAATAATGATAATAATTCTTCCCTGGAAGAGTTTTGGCCAGTCTAGCCTAATGCCTTTGAAATCCGTGACTTCTCTTGAAATAAACAATAAGCATTAATAAAAAATGACACAGATGGATGCCAGTTACAAACTGAGCTTTCTGAACTATGCTTCATGCCTCATTTTTTGTTCTTTTTCTCTTTATTCTCACACATGCCAAACTTGTGCCTCCAGCTTTATGTTCTTGCACCTATTCTCCCCATTCCCAGCCAGTTCGGTTGCATCTCTTCCAGATATGTTATGTTTCATATTTAATTTTTTTTTAAGATAGGATCTTGCTCTGTCACCAAGCCTGGAGTGTAGTGCCACAATCTCAGCTCACTGCAACCTCCACCTCCTGGGTTCAAGTGATTCTCCTGCCTCAGCCTCCCAAGTTGCTGGGACGACAGGCACACGCCACCATACCTGGCTAATTTTTGTATTTTTAGTAGAGACAGGGTTTCACCATGTTGGCCAGGGTGGTCTCAAACTCCTGACATCATGTGATCCATTCGCCTTGGCCTTCCAAAGTGCTGGGATTACAGGCATGAGCCACCGTGCCTGGTGTTCTTTTTTTTGTTGTTTTTTTTTTGTTTTTTGAGATGGAGACTCGCTGTGTCACCCAGACTGGAGTGCAGTGGCACAGTCTTGGCTCACTGCAACTTCCACCTCTCGGGTTCAAGCGATTCTCCTCCCTCAGCCTCTCAAGTAGCTGGGACTACAGGCACGTGCCACCATACCTGGCTAATTTTTGTATTTTTAGTAGAGACAGGGTTTCACCATGTTGGCCAGGGTGGTCTCAAACTGCTGACCTCAAGTGATCCTCCTGCCTCGGCCTCCCAAAGTGCTGGGATTACAGGTGCAAGCCAGTGCGCCTGGCCTATCTTTCATATTTTAAAAGATGGTTTAACAAGGCACATGTGCACTACTTGCACAGGAGGTATTCCTATTCCCACCTGCCTTCTGCTCGATGCCTACTCCATTAGATAGATGACTATCCCATGATACTTGCTGAGTTCCTTTTGTATACTGTGCCTCACTGGCTGTTATGCAATAGCTGGTACGCTGTCTGGAACATGATGGGTCCTTATAAATGTTTATTCTGTTTTCACTAACATTGACCTTCATACAAAATTGTACATCCCTGTTCTAATGTCTCTTTTAGTAAAATGGATATGCTTTAATCTTAAACTCTTTTGCCAGGGCTGTGTTTTATAAGTCTAAGCAAAATTTGGTAACTTTTTTAAAGAGAAAATTTGTATTTTATTTACAGTGAAATAAACAATACAATATTGACTTTCTTCACTGAAAATAATAGCAATATTTTCTGCATTATTTCTAGGCAAACCACCATATACTTATTTTTTGTAGATTTTTCAGGTTTTGCTTATAAACCAAGATGAGGGCTGGGCATGGTGGCTCATGACTATACTCCCAACACTTTGGGAGGCTGAGGCAGAAGGATTGGTTGACCCCAGGAGTTTGAGATCATCCTGGGCAACATAGTGAGACCTCATCTCTACAAAAAAAAAAAAAATTATCCAGACATGGCAGCATATGCGTGTTATCTCAGCTACTTGGAAGGCTGTGGAGGGAGGGTCACTTGAGCCCACAAGGTCAAGGATGCAGTAAGCCTCGATCACGCCACTGCACTCCAGCCTGGGTAATAGACCAAGGCCCTATCACTCAAAAAAAAAAAAAAAAAAAAAATCAAGACAAGGCTGTAGATATACTCATTGAAAAAGACAGAAGAAAACAGACATGTCAGTTGTCAGTATCCATGGCCTCTGATTCTGTCTTGACCATGAAACACAAGTGTTGAACATGCACCTGATAAAAAGCTTATGAAGATGTAGCCTCAACAAAGGAATGCAGACAGCCACAACCAAATGTGGAACAACAATGGTGGGCTCTTCCATTCAAACTTTCACTATAACTTGTTCCTTTAAGTTCATTTGGTAAAAACAAAATCTACACTGAAATTCTTGTTTGGCAAACTCACACGTTTCTCTGTCTGGTAGTTCCCTTTACTTTCCATTATGGATTTTTAGCTATACACTTAAAATTCCTACTAGTCACAGATCAATCATGAGCTTCATTGTAACATTTTATAAAATTTATTCCTTCCTCCCACACCTCTTCAACATTTATTTCTTGGAAGAATTGATAGCTCAATACTCGACAATTGGATCCATGGTGATAATAAATACCATGTCTAAAATGACAATTAAAACAATTCAAGAATGCTACTAGCAGAGCTCATGTATAGTGAAACCTGGCAACTTCAGTGTCACTTTCTGGAAGAACAGATAGGTCCCCAAAACAGGAGAGTTCAAACAGGGCCCTTTCAAATTGGCAGATTATCAATGGCTAAAGTATTCAATGGGAGGCCTATAGACAAAGATACTCAGTGATTAAGTGGCCTACATACACCTTACAGCTTTTCTTTCAAATATCAACTATAAGAGAAGCCCTATTTTTAAAGTCTCTTGGGTATTTTAACTAGTTTCTGAATTATCTGTAGGAAGCTCTGACTTAGTTGTATAGAGTTGATATATGTGTTTACCATTAAATCCAGATCATGTTTTATATTAAAATTTATGTTATGCAAAGCCAAGTTACTCGATCTTTAGTCAGTCAACGTGTTCATCAAATACACTTTGAAATGCTTTTGTCCATTTTTATAGCACTCATTCTCAACCTTTATCACAGGAAGACTACATGAGACCTTCATCGATGCATACACATCAATGCCTACACATCTGCCTGATGTCAGGCAGATTGAGGGCTTCATAAATGGGGATGGAAGCTTTATACCTTCTGCTCTGTGTTTCCATTTGACTCTGCAACAATGAAGCTCAGCTGAGAGCATGTCGGGATCCAGTAAGTCACTTCTGTACATGGTGTTCCTCTGACATATTGAGTTTGAGTTATCCCATGACTGATGGTACCAGAGATATGCATTTAAGAGCTCTGAGGTGCTGTTCTGAGAATATACCTTTCAGCTCCTGAAGAACGTGTTGCACTGTTGGAGCACTTGGGGTTTCTTTACAGTAACTCTGAGGTTAGTTGAGATTCCAAGTTGCCTTGCTGAGCTCTGTGGAATTTCCCAGGGAGTTTCATTTGAATATCAGGTTTGGTTGCCAAATTTGTGGCTTCCTCAAACCAAAACTCATGATGAACTTCAATATTTTCCATCATTTCATTGAGTGCATGCAGTACAGCAGTCAAGCTATTAGCTGCAAAGAAGAAATCAGAGGTTTGCCCTCAGAAATTTTCCCCAGAGGCTCTTGTAAAAGATAGGAGACTTTAAAGAACAATAATGATAACAGTGAAATCAAAATCTGCTACTATACTACAGAGTACAAATGCTTGGCCAGCTATACAGTTATTCCATCTAGTATTTGGGTCACTATTTATACCATCTAAAACAAGTGCTTACAGGAGGTCCACTACAATTCAAAAGCATCATGCCTGCCTGTCCACTGAGAATGGCAAATTTCGTTCAGTCCTTTACCCTTTTCTTCACTGTTCTGAAAAAGAACAGAAATTACATTGCCAAATTCTAAAAGCAGTTGCAGCCAACAATGGAAAAAAGAACAAACTTCCTCAACTTTTCCTATAACAATTGTTATAGGAAAAGTTATAGCATTTGTTCCTCAATTGCTCCCATAACAGGCACTGATTTTGCCAACCACATACTTAAGGCACAGGAAGAGCAGAGTATGTAGATAGCTTGAGGGGTTTTCTTCAAAAGTCTAGAAGCAAACAACTTCCATTTTAGAAGAAAATCCACCAGACATAATGTAAATCTGGCCATAACAATATTCCATATTTAGTGCCCACTTGTAACTTTCAGTGTGAAATTTCGCAGCCAAAATTTCTGCATCTGCCTCATAAGGTGGGAAGCCCACAGATTCCACTCCCAGGTCATGAGATTCATCAACAAACCTCACCAACACTGTAGGTGATCTTCCCCGGCTATGTCAGTGATAATGGAAAAGAAGTGTGAGTCTCTCAAGTCCCTGAGGGTTTCTTCCCAAATGCAGCTCCCACAGATCTCTAGCAGCCTCTAGAATCTCACAGACTCTAGCATCTGATTTGGTTGTATTTCAGAAAAAAAAAAGTGCTCATGGCTGTCGTCTCAAAACACTTTCTCAAGACCTCTTCACCTTGGCCGGGCACTGTGGCTCACGCCTGTAATCCCAGCACTTTGGGAGGCCGAGGCGGGCGGATCATGAGGTCAAGAGATCGAGACCATCCTGGCTAACATGGTGAAACCCCGTCTCTACTAAAAATACGAAAACAAAATTAGTCGGGCGTGGTGGCGGGTGCCTGTAGTCCCAGCTACTCGGGAGGCTGAGGCAGGAGAATGGCGCAAACCCGGGAGGCGGAGCTTGCAGTGAGCCGAGATCGGGCCATTGCCCTCCAGCCTGGGCAATAGAGCGAGACTCCGTCTCAAATAAACAAACAAACAAAATCCTCTTCACCAGAATTTATCTGTACTCCAGCAGTACTTCGATGTTACCGGGAGTAAAGAGACCTTCTGGCATTTCATCAGTCTCACATCTATCCAGAGGTATATTTTGTTTTTCCAACAAAATCAACATTTCAAATGGAGATTTTAGGTGTTCTTTATTTTCTTTCTCTTTAGGGGTTAGAGGCAAAATGTCCACATCCTTCCCTTGGCTGGCTTCTACTGCCCTGGGGTTCTGAACTCTGCTGTTGTTGGTTTCTTTATGTTTTCATTCCTGTTCAGAAGTTTCATCAACTTTTTTCTGTTTCAGTGTTCTAATTTCATCTTTCTTCAATTCTTTTATTCATTTTCTGTGTCTACTATGTGGATTGTTCAAATGAGTGGTAAGATCAAATACTGGGCCAGGCACAGTGGCTCACGCCTGTAATCCCAGCACTTTGGGAGGCTGAGGCAGGTGGACAATGAGGTCAGGAGTTCGAGACCAGCCTGACCCTGTCTCTACTAAAAATACAAAAATTAGCTGGGCCTGGTGGCATGCTCCTGTAATCCAAGCTATTCAGGAGGCTGAGGCAGGAGAATCGCTTGAACCCGGGAGGTGGAGGTTGCAGTAAGCCAAGATCATGCCACTGCATTCCAGCCTGAGTGACTGAGCAACACTCTGTCTCAAAAAAAAGATCAAATATTGCTGGGATTGCATTATCTCAAAGATTTTCTATTAAGACTAGCTCTACAGATGGTAGAGGACTCAGAAATGGTTGGCACCTAATTGAGAATGTGTATTTAATTAATTAGATGTTTTATCTAATAGGTCTGCTCTCCGACATTTCTCCACCTACTTTGCGCATCTGGATGGATCCTGTGGGAACCTGAAGAAGACCAAGTTGGACCATGTGCTCTTCCGCATACAGGTGGGGACACCACAGAAGTTCTGCACTGTGGCCCCACACTGCCTCGGGAGGTAGCACGGCCAGCTCTGCAGGGCTTGTGCACCAAAAGAGAAGCTAAAACTAGTTTGGTAACTTTTTTTTTTAAAAATAAATAGAGATGGGGGTCTCACTATGTTGCCCAGGCTGGTCTTGAACTTCTGGGCTGAAGTAATCCTCTCGCCTCGGCCTCCCAAAGTACTAGGATTACAGCTGTGAGCCACTGCTCCTAGTCCTGGTTTGGTAACTTTTTTTTTTTTTTTTTTGAGACAGAGTTTCGTTTTTGTCGCCCAGGCTGGAGTGCAGTGGCACAATCTCAGCTCACTGCAACCTCTGCCTACCGAGTTCAAGCAATTCTCCTGCCTCAGTTTCCCAAGTAGCTGGGATTACAGGCACCCACAACCATGCCTGGCTATGGCTATTTTTTTGTATTTTTAGTAGAGACAGGGTTTCACCATGTTGGCCAGGCTGGTCTTGAACTCCTAGCCTCAGGTGATGCGCCCACCTCGGCCTCCAAAAGTGCTGGGATTACAGGCATGAGCCACCCTGCCCGGCTCCTAGTTTGGTAACTTTTGACCTCCATTTAATGTACACAAGGCAGAGATAATTACTTTTGAAAGCTGAAAGCCAGGAAAGTTGAGGAGTGTCTGGGATCTTACCTGAAGCTATTTGAGACCACGGGAGTGTTCCCTGTGGGTCATACTCTCAGGGATGTTTGTGATCACTAAAGTGAAAAATTAGCTCAGGTCAATTATATTTATAAATATGACTTGATATTAAATGTCAGCTTATGACATCATGAGGGAAAAATGCACTTATCTCTCTACCTTTTACAATCACTTATTCATTTATTCCATATTTATTATCTGCCTACTACAAATACTGAGGCAGGCCCTGGAAATATCTAGAGGAGTAAGACGAAAAATCTACCACCATGGACATCATAGTCTTGTCCAGTGGTTCTCAATCTCAACTGCATATTAGAATAATCTGGGAGCTTTTTTTAAAAAAAATCACTGATGGCCGGGCACAGTGGCTTATGCCTGTAATCCCAGCACTTTGAGAGGCCAAGGTGGGTGGATCACCTGAGGTCAAGAGTTTGAGACCAGCCTGGGCGACATGATGAAACCCCATCTCTACTAAAAATACAAAAATTAACCGGGTATGGTGGCAGGCGCCTGTAATCCCAGCTACTTGGGAGGCTGAGGCAGGAGAATCGCTTGAACCTGGGAGGTGGAGGTTGCAGTGAGCCAAGATCACACCATTGCACCCAGCCTGGGCAACAAAAGCAAAACCCCATTTCAAAAAATAAATAAAAATTTAAAAATCACTGATGCCCAGGCCCCATACCTGACCAATCAATTCTGCATGTTTTGGGAATCAGGCCCATGCATCAGTAGTTTTAACAGCTCCTTAGAGGATCCTAATATGTAGCCAACATTGAAAACCACTGGGCTAGTAAATATTAAAGGGTTTAGGGTAGGGCTGCAAATATAATATAATCACCTGGGAAGTTAAAAGTGTATATTTGTGTATGTATGTGTGAGTACATATGTATCCTTTCCTATCCCTCCCCTCACCCTAAGGCATACTGAGATCCTTAGAGAGGGGAGTACTGTATGTATTTTGGAAAATTCCTTTCCTTAAACAAGTAGAAAGTAGAAAGGAAATTATAATACCATCTGATAAATGAAAGATACAGGTTACTGCAGGTTACTGTAAGATCACATAGACAGAAAACCTAGCCAAGGCCGATGAGGTCAGCGAATCTTGTCCAAAAGGAGCTATAAGAGCTATGACTCCTAAAAGAGTTAGCCAGGCAAAGGGAGATTGGGTAGGTTTTTCCAAATAAAAGGCCTAAGCTCAGGCTAGTCTTTGGCAAATTCTTGTTCAGCTCTTTCCCCTTCCCTGTTCTTCCTCCCTCCCTACTGAAAGGTCTCTCCTGAAGAGTACTTCATGATAAATCACTGACTCAGGCCCAGTTTCCAGGTAGTCCCAACTAAGATAGTTAGTGCCAGAGGAGTTTCAGGAAGCAGGATGGACTTCTGGAGTTGGATCATCTACTAGACAATGGATCATTAGACCTTGGTGGAGTATCATCAGTTCCCAGCCTACCTGCCCAGGCTGCCTTTCACCTGTGGTGGGCTGGAATATGATGCGGGTGAAAGGGAATGCAGTGGCTGGTGCTATGTCCCTGGCATTGTGGAGATATTGGAAAATAGTAATTGAAGGGACCGTAGAATTGGATGGCTGCTGCTGGTCACCGATTATGTGCTTAAGAGAGGAAATGACAGGCTCAGGTCAGCTAATCATGAATGAAAAGTGCAGTGTGAGAGACAGAGGGCCTGCTAGACAGCATTGCAAGAGACTCTCATCACCTGCAGCTGCAGGACAGCCCAACATTTTTCTGTAACAAAGAACTACAGTGAAGGCTTAATGTTCAGTCAAAGCAGATCTCCTTCATTAAAGGCAGAGCCCTGCAAGGGTAGGGTGGGACTCTGAACTGTGCAATAAGGCTATATCTCATTGCTGGGTAGATAGATGCAGCATTTGACCTCCAGAGTCCACCAAACCAATGTGCCTGCAGAAGTGATCCGCTCCCATTGCTAAAAGAGAATGCCCTCCTTTCCTTGCTATGCAGAAGTTTCGAATGAAACGGACCCTTATATGACAATGTTTTCCCTCCTTCCACCTTTCACTTTTGGACACCAGACCAAAACTGGGGTCACGCTTCATCATGACTCAATTGGGGTAATGCTTGCTGTGCTGAGTGGAAAGGGGCTACAAGCCAAAGTGTTACTGGACATGGATAATGTATACCAGCAAAAGAGGGAGAATGCCTGGGAGGGGACTACGAGGTGCTGGACCAAGGGGCATAGGATATCAAGCAGGGGAAGGGAGAATTTGTATGGGGTATGGGGCCCACAAGACAGGATTTCATTCCCTGGAAAGTTACCGTCACAGAGAACATGAGGGTAAATAATAATGATAATAATAATAATAATTCCCTGGAAATTGCCTCAGGGATGGTTCTGTTATGCTGCTGGATGACTCTTGGAAGCTTGGGGGAAAAGCGGCCTACGTTAAATGAAGTGGAGAGGCCAGAACTGCCACGGCAGGCTGTGGAGGAAGAGGTCAAAAGGCTCAGGGAAGTGGGCATGCTGAAACAGATCTACCGTCTAACACCAGGAAGTCTACCAGTGATTACTTTCCTCGGGAGGTTCCAAGGAAACTAATGGAGGAAGAAACTCAGTGGTGAAAGGGATACTGGCATCATTGCGAAGCTGCCCTCTGCAGCTGAGGCTGATGATAAGCATTGCTGTTACAGAGCTAGACTTCCTGGTAGCAAAGGAGATTAGAGCGTTCCAGAATAGCAGAGGCCAGGTGACACCACTTAGCCATCAGAAGCACTTAACCATTAAAACCACTTAATTACTGTAATGGGCAGCCAGGTCAGGATGTCAGCCGGGGGACTAACCTTTGGGGGCCTATGGAGAGGACTAATCGAATATAGTGTTCCTAGGAACAAGAAAGATGGGTAGGAGAATAGTGCAACAGAAAAAAATAGTGCTAAAGGCATATAAATAGAAGATAACCTGCAATTAATAATAGGTTAGCAGGAGGCTGAGGTCAGGCACCCCAGTGGAAAGTCATGATCTCTTGTCCAGTTTCCAGACCTGAGCCATTTCTCAGACTCGGAACCAATTGACTGAAAGAGAGGCTGCATTATTATGAGGAAAGACTGACTGAGAGTCAGGTGATAACTGAAGGTCTGGCCCAGGTCCATCTAAAACAGATTCACTGAGTCTGTGGATTCCACCAGTGGCTATTTCTCTGGTTCCTTCACGGGGAATGGAAATACCTAGCACTCGGCAGAATCCTCACATTGGTTCCTTGAGCTGTGGAACTAGAGCTATTTTAGTAGGAACTCCAATAGTAATCCTTGAAACAGACCCTCTCCCACCAAGAAGAGTATTGCAGGCCCGGAGAATGGCAGACATAAGCGCCATCCTCAAAGACTTCAAGAATGCAGAGATGGTGCTCTTTGTCATAACCCTATTTAATTAGCCAGTATGACCTCAGAAACACTGGTTAGATCACAGTGTACGACAGTGGACTACCAAGAACTTAGCCAAATATTGGCCCCATTGCAGCTGGTTTGTAAGATCTGGTATCTTTACTAGAACATATTACTACAGCCTTGGTACATGTATGTATTAGGCTGGTGCAAAAGTAATTGCGGTTTTTGCCATTACTTGTAATTGCAGTTTTTGCCATTACTTTTACTTTTGCACTATCCTAATCGCTATCCATCTGTAAATGTGTTCTTTTCTATATCCACCAGGAAGAAAGATCAGAAGCAGTTTTTATCCACGTGGTATGGACGTGATATTCATTTGCCAGGGCAATGTTAATTATCCTGCTTTCTGTCATATAATATAGTCCAAAGGGACTTGGACAACCTGGGCATCCTGCAGAACATCGCACTGGTCTCCAATATTTATGACACCATGTTAATTAGATATTAGAAGCAAGAAATGGCAAGTACTCCATATGCCTTGGTAAGAAATATGTTCTCCACATGCAGTCCCTGCTCCCCGCTCAGCTCAGGCAGAACATGAACCTGGGCGTCAGATCCCTTCACTTTCAGGGCAGCCTGAGTGGCGCCATCAGCACAAGCCTGCTGCCCTCCTCCCTCATGCAGGGCCAGATCTGAGCCACGTGTCCATGCAGCAGAGCAGGCTGCCCACAACCTCCATGAGCATCACAGGGCCCGGCTACAGCCACACGGGACCCACCTCGCAGGGGGTCCCCATGCAGGGGCAAGGCACCGTTGGCAACTATGTGTCTCGGACCAAAATCAACATGTAGTCCAACCCAGATACCTCCTCTGCCTCCGCCCAACCCCAGGGAGCCTGGGCCTGCCTCCAAGACCCTTGAAACATGTGACTGCTGGACATGTGGCCCCCAGAGAGCTACCCTCCTGCTAGGTGCTGGGGTGCTAGGGGAGGGGAGGGTGAATCCCTGCTGGCCGCCTCCCTGAGAGCTTCCGGAGGGATGGGCGCCCGTGGGTACATAGCAACTCCTCCTGTCCCCCTGCTTTGAGGGGGGCTGGGCTGTTTCCCATGAGTCTCAGGGAAGGGCCCTAGGAGGGGGCCCTTGGCCCTGGGTCTGGACAGATAGCACTGGGCTCACAGAGGTGGTGTAGAGTCGTTCCCTGGGTAGGGTAAAGCCTGGCCAGAGGCACCACAGTGGAAAAGATGAGGGGTCACAAGCTTTGGGCCAGAGGCCCCAGCCTTTCCGCAGGGCAGCCGGACACTGAACCCAGCCATGTACCGTGGTGGCCATGTGTGGTGTTGGGTGCTTGAGAAGCAGCAGGTCCTTGTCACGTTTCATGAGTGTTGTAGACACACGGACTTCAGAGGCTTAGTCCCAAAAAAGGGTGCAAAGTATCTCCTTAGTATTTCTTCATGATAATTGAATGTTAAAAATTTTTTTGGACATATTGACTCAAATAAAAAGAATGATTTAAATGGTGGGGGGAAGAAATATGTTCTCTACAAGGTAGAGGATAGAGGCTAACAAGATTCAGAGGCCTGCCTCATCAGTGAAGTTTTTAAAGATCCAGTGGTCTGGGGTAAGCTGGAACATCCCCTCCAAAGTACAAGACAAGTTCTTGTAGCCTGAATTCCTACCACCAAGAAGAAAAGCAGAATACTTGGTAGGCCTCTGGGTTTTGAAGGCAGCATATTCACTGTACTTGGCAATATATTTATCAGGTGACTTGGAAAGCTGCTAGCTGTTAGTGAAGCTCAGGTGATAAAGGGCTGTATAGTAGGTACATTCTTTGGTACAAGCAGACCTGCCACTTGGACTCTGTGAGCCAGCAGATCCCATGGTACTAGAGGTGTCTGTTGTAAAGAAAGATGCCACGTGGTACTTCTGGCAAGCCCCAATAGGCGAGTCACAGCACAGACCCCAGGATCCTGGAGCAAGGCCATGCCATCTGCTGCAGAGAACTATACTCCATTTGAAAAACAGCTCTGTCATGATCCTGGGCCCTGGTAGAAACTGAGCATCTGACCATGGGACACTAAGTGACCATGAGACACAGAGTGAACATAAGTTGGATTCTGTCAGACTCTCTGTGTCATAAGGTCAGCTGGGTGCAGCAGCAATCCCCTGTAAGGAATCCAGTAGGTCTGCAATTAGATCCAAGCAAATCCAGAGAGCATGAGTGAGCTGCACAAATAGGTGGCTGAGACCCCCATGTCAACTGCTACTGTTGTACCAACGCCTCTCCCTAAACTCATAGCTATGGCCGCAGGGGAGTTCCCCATGAACAGTTGACAATGAAAGAAAAAAATCCAAGCTTGGATCTTAGATGGTCAGCTGGGTGTGGATGCAAGCTGGAAATACCTGCTGCAGCACTGCTGCCCCACTCAGGGGTGGTTCTGAAAGAGATGAAAGGGGAAGCATAACATTTGGCAGAGCTTCAAGCAGTGCATTTAGTCATCGACTTTGGACATAGAAGTATGTTGCCCATATACAAATGTTAGCTTCGCTTGTTGGTCAAGGGCCTGGAAGAAGGAAGATTGGGAAAGGCTGGAGAATAGGCAGGTAAATACACTTATGGGAGAGGGCACATAGTGTAAGGACCTTTTAGTACATAATGCCCATTAGAAAGTTTCCACTGCAGAAGAGGCATCAACCAACTGTGTAGACAGGATGTCTAGGCCAGCAGATATCAGGCAGCCTCTGTCTATGGCCACCCCAGTTCTCGCACAAGGGGCCCATAGAGGGAGTAGCCATGGTAGCAGAGGTGGAGGCTATGCATGGGCCCAACAGCTTGGACTCTCTCCAAAGCTGATAAAACTACTTCTGCTATTGAATGTCTGACCTGTTTGCAGCAGAGACCAACACTGAGTGCTCAAGAATGCCAAACAGCTACCGGGTGGCAAGTTGATTACAATGGATCCTTCCAGCCTGGAAAGAGTCCCATTTCATCATGACTGGGTTTGACATATATTCCCAGTACAGGTTTGCTTTTCCTGCCTGCAGTGCTTCAGCCAGTACCACTACTGAAGGACTTACAGAATGTCAGACAGTCTGACACAGGATCTCACATAACACTGCCTCAGACCAAGGGTCTCACTTTCCAGCAAGAAGATACAGTGTTGGGCACCTGACCAGAGGATCCACTGGTCATACCACATACCATACCACTTGGAAGCTATCAAATTGATAGAGTGGAGCAATGGCCTATGGAAGGCATAGCTGAAATTCCACCTTGGAAATAACCCCTTGTGAGGCTGGAGCATTATCCTTCAGGATAATGCAAATATACACCTTAAACCAATGGCTGGTATATGGTGCTGTGTCCACAGTAGATAGAATACATGGATCCAGTGATCAAGGGATAATCAGGTCCTATACTCAGAGGTGGGATGCTTTCATCATAGGACACAGTAAGAGTCCCACTAAACTGAAAGCTATGGCTGCTCTCTGATCACTGTGGGCTCTTAATGTTGGAAGACCTGCAAGCAAACCATCAGAACAAGGTGGAGGCTGATGCTACATAATTAGACCAGAGAGGAATGCACTGGGTACTCAGGAGATCCAATGGGGGCATTTCTTGGTATTCCTGTGCCTAGTTGTAACTGTAAATGAATAAGTACAGCCACCGTAGCCTGGTAAAAGCATGATAATCAGGGTCTGAACCCCTCAGGGATGAGTGCCTGGTTCAATCCATCAGTCAAGCCACCTGCACCAGCAGAAGTGCTAGCTGAGGTGGAGGGGAATCTAGAAAGGGTAGTGCAGGAGGGAGATAATGAGTATCAGTTATGGCCTTGGAACCAGCTGCAGCAACAGGGGCTGTAGTTTGTCCCAATACCCTTGTCTTTTAAAAATTTCCCAGAAATTGGGATTAGAAACTGCTCAGATGGAGAAATTTCACATGAGAAGCAAAAGATCTCAGCAATACAAAGCGTGGACCATAGTGAACGTTTTTTGTTTCCTGCCCAAATCCACTCTATAAGCTCATGCATCTGTACTCCAGCTGCTGGGAGTATTGGATAACAATTTCAGCTGCCTTCTTCTCTAGAGAATTTCCCTTGGCTAAAACAGGAGCCACCTCACGCATGAGGTTCTGCTGCAATCCTGCCCCTGAAGATCTCACCCAATGAGGGACAGGCATGTACGTACAAAGAGCTGGCCAACAAGGCCACTTGGTGGTGAATTTCACGGGATCAGTGGAGGCTCATTCTTGTTTCCTTGTCCTCCTGGCCAATCCTGCTTCCTCTATCCCCTTCTCCAGAGTGCACCGTCCTAATAAAACACTTCAATAACAATCCTTGTCTCAGGCTTCGTTTCTAGATAACCTGATCCAAGACCATCTCTGGCCTAATTAAGACCCTGGTTATCAGGAGTATCCTTGAGGGTTGTTTTTATATGCAGAAAAGGACTATTCCGAAGTTTCTCTTGAGGAATGAAATACTGAGACATGCTACAACATGATGACCCTTGAAAACATTATGCTAAGTGAAAGAAACCAGACACAAAAGACCACATGACGTAGAATACCATTTGTTTGAAATGCTCAGAATAGGCAAATCCAGAGACAGAAAGTACATTAGTAATTGCCAGGGGCTGGGAATAGGGTGGAGTAGGAATGAGAGTAATTGTTAATAGGTATAGGGTTTCCTCTGGGGAGATGAACCTGTTTTACAATTAGATTGTGGTGAATGCTGCGCAAGTCTGATTATACTAAAAACCACTGGATTGTATACCTTAAATGGGCAAATTTTATGGTATGTGAATTATATCTCAATAAGGCTGTTAAAAGAGCTATAAGGAAATAAAGAACATATTATTTAAAAAATCTTTGTCTTAAACAGTTAATATTCAACTTATTAGTTCCAAATTCAATGTCCTAGTTACAACTTAGGTTTTTACGTTTGGTTTACAGCTCTTATTATTCTAGTGGTAAGCATAGTAAATCTTTCTGTTTTTGTTTTTTTTGAGATGGAGTCTCGCTCTGTTACCAGGCTGGAGTGCAGTGGCACAATCTCAGCTCACTGCAACCTCCGCCTCCCAAGTTCAAGCGATTCTCCTGCCTCAGCCTCCCAAGTAGCTGGGACTACAGGTGTGCGCCACCACACCCAGCTAATTTTTGTAATTTTAGTAGAGATGGGGTTTCACCATGTTGGCCAGGATGGTCTCAATCTCTTGACCTCATGATCTGCCCGCCTTGGCCTCCCAAAGTGCTGGGATTACAGGTGTGAGCAGCTGTGCCTGGTCAAGTATAGTAAATCTTAACAGTCATTTGGAATTAGCCCTTCACTAACTTTCAATCTCATTCATATACATATTTAATATCTTCAAACCAACATTTTAAACTGTATTTATACATTTAATATTTTATCTCATTCACAAGTACTTCAAATGTTACATGTAATTTCGTCTTTAAATCTTATATAATAATTTTTAAACTAATAATAAAACAATATGGGGAGCCTATATTTCTCTTTGCTGCTCTGATGCCATCCATAAACTTAGCAAGATTTCAACTTCAACTTAAAACTTGAAATCGAGTGCTCCATTTTGTTTTAAATTGTAATTAAGGCTGTCGTTTTATGAAGCCAAAATCTTTTAAACATGACAAGTACATAATTTACCAGATATACAGAGAATCCTTTTAATGTTATGGTTTTAATTATTTTAGATCTTTGTATTCCTAATTGTAAAAAGTCCAGGAGTTACATGAGGCATACACACTACAAAGGCCAGGTACCAATCCAATAAACAGAAATTAATTAGACCAGAGACCTTGGCAGGTTCTGAGACCTGGAGTAGATATCCAGAATGATTCATCTGTCTGTTCCAGCTGTTGTATCTAAGCCCCTCTTTGTAGTCATTTTGTCTTGGACTACAAAAACTGAAGCAAGGTGTTGGATTCAAGTTACATACATTACCTGATTCTCTACTCACAAAAACCTGCAACTTCCTACCTGGTAAATCACTTGATTGGATTTTTATTTAGACATTTTTATAATAGTTTTTTTTTTATTCTTAGGGTATATAATAGGAAATAGGAAAAATAGGAAGAGACACATATGTCTTTTCCACTCAACATGTAAAAAGTATTTGCACTTGGATTATTGCATTTGATTGCACTCTCCAAAATTCACAGATATTAAAAATGATTTCTACTTGTTATTTTCTATGATGTGTGTTCACAATATCTGAAGTCGTTGTACTGTGTGCATTAATCCCGTTTGCCAAAAGATTGCATTTTTCTCTGCTCATCTATGCAGTAGGCTGAGGAGAATGTTCTGCCAAGTGCTGTGCTAAGTTCTGGGATTACAAAAATGAATTAGACCATTTGATCACACTTAAGCAGTTCAGACTCTAGGTAGTAAAGACCTAAAAACAGAAAATCATCTTAAGTATTTGCTCAATGGCTCTTTTTCCATGGGAAAAGAGGGCAAGGACTTCATTCTATGAGGACATGACTGTCTGATTCACGGCTGTCATCACCAGCACCTAATACATAGTCACACTCACTATTTGTTAAATACATGAATACATGCTAAAATAGGGTTTTATATATAGAGGGAGTATGGGAGCCCCCAAAAGGGACATTTGCTTAGTTTTATGTGTAAATATCGGGCTGGAGGGTGAGGTAAGGGTGTTATTTCAGAGGTATCAGGAAAAATTCCTTAAAGATGAGAACTGAGCTGAGTTTTGGGAGACAGAGGAAATTAGGTAAAAGTGGAGTTGGGGGTTGCTTAGGAGTTCCCATATCTTGTGGCGGAACTTCAAGCAGTTTCGGAGTGCCAAGACAACAGCCTGTAAATGTAAGCAGAAGAAAGATCTGGAAGGGCTTTCTAGGCTGTTTTATATATTTCCATTTTAGTATCCATATCCATATGCTTATTTTAAACACTTGTCCATAGATCCTTACTACACTGGTAGCTCATTGATGCTAAGGACTGCATGTAGCTTGTTATCCAGGTGCCCAGCATAATAATGGGGATATGGTAGTTCCTCAAAAGTTAATGCAGAAATGAAAGAACAAACGGAAGAATAACAAGTAACGGCATTGTGAGCACTCTCCAGTGATGAAGTCATCAGATGGTAGGGATGTCAGGAAAGGGGACTATACCAGGTTAGACAGAGACCTACTCAGCATCTTAACTAACGGTGAGGTAAGTTTAGTAAGCCTCACATCTCAGAAATAAAATCAGAGGGAGGAATGTTGGGAGTTTCAAACTGCTTTCCTAGCGGGAAGGTGAAAAAACACAAAATATAGTGGGGTGCGGTGCCTCATGCCTGTAATCCCATTTTGCTGAGGTGAGAGGATTGCTTGAGGCCGAGTACGAAAC
Source organism: Homo sapiens (assembly GCF_000001405.40). Lineage (NCBI taxonomy): Eukaryota > Metazoa > Chordata > Mammalia > Primates > Hominidae > Homo > Homo sapiens. Next base: position 26,222,837 of record NC_000013.11, on the reverse strand, counting down.
CAGCCTGGGCAACATAGCGAGACCCCCGTCTCTACAAAAGAAAAAATGTGAAATTAATGGCAAGCGCCTGTAGTTCCAGCTACTGGGATGAGGAGGGAGGATCGCTGGAGGCTGCAGTGAGCTACGATCGCTCTAGCCTGGGCGACAGGATGAGACCTTGTCTCAAATAGAGATAGACAGACAGACAGACTTCAGAATTTATTAGGGTTTGTAATTTCCAGGTTCCAAAGCACAGCAAGGGAAAGGGCCTGGCTGGGTAGTACGTTACACCCGGAAGTAAAGAGACGCATACACCGTTGGGTGCACTTTATAGTCTGGCTGGCAAACGAGCGACACCGACGCGCAGAGTTAAGTGCTGGGACTTCCCAAGCCTGGAAAGCAGACCGTGTCTCTGCAACTACGCGGCTGCCACGAGCGCTGAGCGGCCGGGCATTTGGCCTCGAGGAGGAGGCACTGTAAGGGCGGCGCAAGAGGGCGGAACGCGGGACGCCAGGCACCCTAGCTCCCGACGGACGCAGTTTTCAGTTGCACGGGCGAGCTCCGGGCCGGCTGCGGAGCGACTCCCCGCCGCCAAGTGGGCGGCGTGGCTGTCGGGAAAGAAGGGCTGGGGCCTGCCGTTCTTCCTCCCGAGTATCCCCTCCAGCTGGACGACCCCACGCTGCAGCACGGGCTTCCGGCTTCTCTCCTCAGTGGCCAATTCGAGGGCACAGCGGGCTCCGGAGGCGCGGCGGCAAGCCTATCCCGCCTCCCAACCACAGCCTCCAGCACCCGAGAGAACGGCCGCCCACAGCACACGTTCTCCGGACAGGAGGGCGAAGGCCCAAGACCTGGAGAGGTGGGCTCGAGGGAAAGATCTGGGTCCCACCACTACTTCCTGGAGACGCCGGGGAAAGCAGGCCATCCTTCGAGCCACCCATCTCTTCTCCGATTGGTTAACTGCCTTCTTATTGCGCTCCGCTGGCTGGTGATTGGTTGGGATGCACCGTCTATCACCTGCTTCCTTGTGAGAATCTAGGTCTCTAAGGGAAGCGTTACTTGAGGCTCGGTTGGGAAGAGGTTGGTTGGGCCTCTTGAGCCCACTTTATTTATCGTAGTGGGGATCGTCCCCCGGCGCGAGCTTCCGTCGCAACGGCCGGGAAAGAAACCAGTAGCGGGACGGAGGGCGGGGGTGGCAAGAAAGTCAAGGTTTAGAAGTAAGCCGGAGACGCCTAACCCTGGTAACATCCGAATGGGAACGGGATAGGAAGGAAGGCCTTTGAGAGAGGAGGCGTAAACCCAGGAACAGTGACAGTGTAGGACGAAAGGCCTAAGTTTGTTGCGGAAGGTAGGGGCCTTGCGGGAGGTTTTCGTGACCTAATTGTATGGGGATCTAATTTTCTAGATGTGTCTAACAAAATCCACTGGAGAATTTGCTTTGGCTTTGCAGCAGAGTGGGGAGACTACCACCCGTTCCTGGCCTTTAAAGAAACAGTTTATTGAATTATTCAACTCTCTTTTATTGCTTCAGATGGGCAGCTCTCAAAAAAGGCACAAACAATTGAAGGATGGATACCATGGCATATGTTAAAAGCGTGTTGAAAGGAAAATAAGGTATTCGCTTTGTTTTCATTGTGATTAACTGTATAAGAAAATTACCTTTAAGGAGAAGCTCAAGTTTTAAATAATATTAGGGTAACTTGATTTTATGATAGGCTTCAACTTGTAAAATTATTTATTACAAAAATCCTATTATTGCTGTACCTACGAAATATGCTCTTTGCTAATTATGGTCTTAATCTGAAGATAGAGATCTTGAGTTTTTAGTAGTGTTAATTCATATTTGAGTGGATAATGTTACTAGGTCATTTGTTCAAAATGACATAATAAAATAACCACAGTGAAAAAAATCCTTGAATTTGTAATTTAGTGTTACAGGTGAAATTGAATAGTTGCTTACTCCAACAGTATTTTAGACTTGTAGGCTAATTTCACCTTATATTTAAAGCAGCTTGCTTATTAAATACCTAGTGTATTTCGAGAGGCAGAGTTGCACAGTTGCTTCACTGGTAGCCTAGCCATTTGAGCCTCCAGCCTCTACTGAGTCAGGTGCTGTATTACTCATACCCTTTAGTGACATGCCAGAAATTGTCGAGGAATAGTTTATTTCATCTGCAGAACACCCAAATTAGCTCTTAACAGCAGACCTGGTCCTACCCTGGAAAACTCTAATCAAGGATTGGGGATGAGATTTGGGCATCTAGATTTTTAAAAATACCCTTAAGTGAGTTTGAGAACCATTGCTTTAGTGTGACTTACTGAATAGATGTATTTAAGAAATTCTAAAATATTTGTGAAACAAACATCTTTCTCTCTTGATTTCCATGTAATTTAAAAGTGAGCTTCTCAGGAGTGACACTTAAATATAATCCAAAAATAGTGGTTTCTTAGGCAAAGTCAGGAAGTTTCACTGGCATTCTGAAACTCCTGGGACTAACCATTCCAGGCTTAAGGATGAGGCTTGATATGGGGTGATACAAAGTGCTCTGATGCACTTTCACAATCCTTGAGCCATACATGATGTCTTGTTTCCTGTTGGGTTTCAAAGTCTTCCTGGTAAGCTTTAATAAGAGACCACCTTCCAGTTTGTTCAGTAGATATTAATTAGGCTAAATGATTTTCACCTCATCAAAGTGCAGTGGGGGATAATATTACATTCATGAGCCTTATTTTGGAAAGAATACCTTGCTGAAAACAAATGTAAATTATATCATCCCAGTATCCCTTTGCTCATTAAGTGAAGAATGTGCATAATTCAAGCCTAAAATTTGTAATTAATGTGAAGTACCCAGATCCTGAAACATAAATGAGGACTTCTGGATCAACTTTTCCAGATCGTCAACATGGTCAAAAATGAGATAATCACTATGGTATTCAGGCATGAGCATTGTGTGGTAAACCCAAATCCAGTCTGACTTAATGGCTTTAGGCAAAGAAGTAAGTGCCAATTGTGTTGTATTTCCTAGAAGCTGTTTTTCATTTTATATGTAAGCTTCTCACTGCAAGATTTGGCAAATACAGTATTTGGGTAGGGGACAACATTTAAAAATTAAGAAAAACTGCAAGTTAAAAATACAAAGCCAAATGTGGTCCATGACTTAACACCTTGAATGTTGTTTATATTGTTTGAACAGAAAGCCAGGAATCTCAGGATGAATCAGTCTAGATCGAGATCAGATGGTGGCAGTGAAGAAACCTTACCTCAAGACCATAATCATCATGAAAATGAGAGAAGATGGCAGCAAGAGCGTCTCCACAGAGAAGAGGCCTATTATCAGTTTATTAATGAACTCAATGATGAAGATTATCGGCTTATGAGAGACCATAATCTTTTAGGCACCCCTGGTAAGAGATGGGTAAAAGAGGAAACACCCTTTTTTCATCATTTAGATGGAAGGATTTCAAGATAAGGAGAATTGGTATTCTTTTTCCTTGCTTCTCTTTATGAAAATATAGTATATTGTTTTTGTGAGTTTAAGAACTTTTTAGTATAATAAAGTAGAAAATCACTGGCTTCTGTATTTTATAAGGTGAAAATAGGGGACATGGAGCACTATTATACAAATGCCAAACTAAGAAACAGGTTAATGTACATAATGGTGTTAAGTATTTACATATATGGTCCTATTTGTAATTTTTATACAAATAAAATATGACTTAAAACCCAATTTGAACTCATTTGGGGTATTATAATTTATTTATTCAGCTGAATTAATAGCTCCCCCCAAAGCCCAATGTGTTCCATAAAGTTTTTACAAATGAACTAATGGAAATTTGTATGTTTATATATTGTGTGTTTGTATATTGATGACCCATATAATGAAGTATTTGGGATAAAATTCAAGTAAATATTTGAAGTTTTCTCTATAAATGCTCCCTTAATTTCTTTTTAACTGACAAAAATCCACAGTTATAGCTTATAGATTCCTAAGTGTATCAACTGGCAGCACTTTACCAACTATTCAAATTAAATCTTATTTTAATAATTTTTAATAAAAGATTAATAAATGAAGCACAACCGAATTGATGCACATTTGTACCAGTTGAATATTTTTAACTGTCTTCAATTTACAGAACATATGAAAGTAATAAGACATTTGTCTTCTATAGGTTACTAAAGATTAGTCTTACCCTTCATGAGGTCTCATAAAACTTAATTCAGAATTCTTAAATGAGCAGTTTTTCATTGTTTTAGGAGAAATAACATCAGAAGAACTGCAACAGCGGTTAGATGGCGTCAAGGAACAACTAGCATCTCAGCCTGACTTGAGAGATGGAACGAATTACAGAGGTACTATGGAGTCCTTTCCATAAGGAACAGGCTTGATTGGAGCACTTGCAGAAATGAAATTCTTAGACCTTGTATAGTATGTTTGTCTTCAATTTTTTCCAGTTTTAATGTGATACTCATTCAGATAATATATATATGAGTAGTAAAGCAGTATGGTTAAGCAGTATAGGACAGAGGAATGAATGCAAAGATGTCTTAAACACACAGATTGCCTTCAGAGAGCTTTATGTAATAATATACAATTAAGTTAATTCCCAGCATGCTTCTTTTTAATCTTGGAATGTACACATTACTTTTTCTAAAGTGATATTACTTAGCTTCTAAAAATTTATATACAGAACCGTGTAGAAAGACTGAGTTAGGAAACCTGTTTTTGTTTCTTTGTTCTGTTTGATGGTTTACATATAAAAAGTTCTTATAAGGAAAGTACTATAAAAGAACTTCAAACTAAATGAAGTATGTAGAGTTAAAAGGAAAAGCCACTTTTGTGTTCCTCTTAACCAGTTCTACTTCCCTCCTCAGAGGTATTTATTAGTAGTTTCACATATTATATCAAAATCATTGTATTAGTTACCATGAAGTCTATGTAAAAACCCCAAAATGCAATGGCTCAATAAGCTAGAAGTTTCTTACTTACGTTAACAGTCCAGGGAAGGAAATCCTCTTGGAACCCACTCAGCTAACAGAATGATTCTACAACTGTGCTGTTCAGTACAGTAGCTGCTAGCCACATGTGACTATTTAAATGGAAATTAATTAAAATCAAATTAAATTTAAAATTTAGCTCATTCATACTAGCCACATTCAGGTGCTTAATAGTCACATTTGGCTAGTGGCTTCTGTATTGGACAGCACAAATACAGAACATACTCATTACTTCAGAAAGATTTATGGGGCATCACTGCTCCAGGGTACCATTTGTATGATCAAGGTAAGTCGCAACCATATCTAGGTTCTAGCTGGTAGGAAGGAGGTCCACGCACTAGCGTGAGAGTAGGATGTATCGCTTACTCTCCCATTCCATTCATGAGAACTTAGTCTCATGGTCACACCTAACTGCCAGGCTGTCCACGAGCCAATTTCCGATGCTTTTACAATGGAAGAAGAGTAGGGTAGCTTTGAGTAGGTACTTGGCAAACTCTTTCACATGCACCATCATCACTACACTTAATCAAATGTTAATCAAAGAAGGAAGTAGCATTTAAAATAATTCATGTTCACCTGCCTTTTACTCATTCTTTTTCCAAACAAATGGGAAGTGGACATTAACACATTTTATTATTTGTGTTTAGATATGTAAGTTGTACTATATAGATGCAATAATTAATACTGATCTTTTGAATATGTTTCAGTGGAAAATGTACTCATCAAATATAAAATAGCTCATCATCTCTGGAATATGGCTCAGTTGCTGTTTATTTTATTGGCATCAACAGCTGATTAATAGCTTCAACTTCAGCATTTAAAAAAGTCTTACGAGAGAGATTGCAGGAATGAAATGAAATCAGAATGATGTCATATAATAGCTATTTTATTTATTTGTTTATTTATTTTTTGAGACAGAGTCCTGTTCTGTCACCCAGGCTGTAGTACAGTGGCACAATCTTGGCTCACTGCAACCTCTGCCTCCCGGGTTCAAGCAATTCTCCTGCCTCAGCCTCCTGAGTAGCTGGGATTACAGGCGCACGCCACCATGCCTGGCTAATTTCTTTGTATTTTTAGGAGAGACAGGTTTTTACCATGTCAGTCAGGCTGGTCTCGAACTCCTGACTTCATGATCTGCCTGCCTTGGCCTCCCAAAGTGCTGGGATTACAGGTGTGAGCCACCGCGCCCGGCCTATAATAGCTATTTTTGAGTAGAACAAACTTTAAAGTTGAAGTTTGTGTAGTTAATGTGTTGATGCTTTTTATTAAGTTTTGTACTTTATATAATATCTACTGGTTATAAATGGAAAATTTAAGCTTGGCACAGTGGCAGTATCTTAGTCAAAAAAGTTTATGGGTGACACATTTCTAAATTGATTAATTGAGCAATATTAATTGAAAGTCTGATTTATACTAGATACTGCTGTAGAGGCTGGAGATGTAACAGTGACTAAAACTACAAAAATCTTTGTTTTCCTGGAGCTTACGTTCTAAATGAATAGAAAATGTATTTTATTATGTATAACAGCTAACATTTATGGGGTGGCTTTTTATGTGCCAGATATTATGCTAATTATGTTATATATAGCGTCTTATTTTATCCTCAGGATAACCCTATGAGATTGATTCTATTATTAACTCCAGTTTATAGACAAGGATCAGCCATAGAGACCTTAAGTAACTTGCCTGGTTTCTCAGCTTCACACAAAGACAAATACAGTAATGTGGTTTTAATGTTATATTCAGAAACTCACATTTCTTGATGTGTACATTTTTGGCAGCACCTGAGAAATAGGAAAAATTTCTAAGATTACAGAAATACCTAGTTGCAAAAATGACTGAGTTGGCTTTTCCAGAAAGATTCCACAAATACAGGACAAATTTTACATAAAGTTTGTCTTTGTATTTTATTGATATTACTATATTGATAAAGCAATTTAAATGTAAACTTTTGGTAGTGGACATGTTTCTCATTTGCCTTAGTATTTTGCTAGTAATGGGCAGATAGAAAGTAAGAATGAGGATTTCTCCATAGCGTTGCATAAATAGTATTTAAAGCTTTGTAACTATGTAAATAGTAATTTAATTTTTATAATATGCTTATAGTAGATATACTTTTCTTTTAGAAAGTTGTCTTTTTGCCATCTTTCATTCATTAAAATCCACAGATGTTCTTTAATTTATTACAAACTTTGTTTTTCTTACAAGTTTTCAATAAAGCTGTAAGGTGTGTCTTAGGAATTGATCTTAAGTTGATTTGCTTTGCTTTCTAGACTCAGAAGTCCCTAGAGAAAGTTCACATGAAGATTCTCTTCTAGAATGGTTGAACACCTTTCGGCGCACAGGAAATGCAACTCGAAGTGGACAAAATGGGAACCAAACTTGGAGAGCTGTGAGTCGAACAAACCCGAACAATGGAGAGTTTCGGTTTAGTTTGGAAATCCACGTAAATCATGAAAATAGAGGATTTGAAATTCATGGAGAAGATTATACAGACATTCCACTTTCAGATAGTAACAGAGATCATACTGCAAATAGGCAACAAAGGTCAACTAGTCCTGTGGCTAGGCGAACAAGAAGCCAAACCTCAGTGAATTTCAATGGTAGTAGTTCCAACATTCCAAGGACTAGGCTTGCTTCAAGGGGGCAAAATCCAGCTGAAGGATCTTTCTCAACATTGGGAAGGTTAAGAAATGGAATTGGGGGAGCAGCTGGCATTCCTCGAGCTAACGCTTCACGCACTAATTTCAGTAGTCACACAAACCAATCAGGTGGTAGTGAACTCAGGCAAAGGGAGGGGCAACGGTTTGGAGCAGCACATGTTTGGGAAAATGGGGCTAGAAGTAATGTTACAGTGAGGAATACAAACCAAAGATTAGAGCCAATAAGATTACGATCTACTTCCAATAGTCGAAGCCGTTCACCAATTCAGAGACAGAGTGGCACTGTTTATCATAATTCCCAAAGGGAAAGTAGACCAGTACAGCAAACCACTAGAAGATCTGTTAGGAGGAGAGGTAGAACTCGAGTCTTTTTAGAGCAAGATAGAGAACGAGAACGCAGAGGTACTGCATATACCCCATTCTCTAATTCAAGGCTTGTGTCAAGAATAACAGTAGAAGAAGGAGAAGAATCCAGCAGATCCTCAACTGCTGTACGACGACATCCAACAATCACACTGGACCTTCAAGTGAGAAGGATCCGTCCTGGAGAAAATAGAGATCGGGATAGTATTGCAAATAGAACTCGATCCAGAGTAGGGCTAGCAGAAAATACAGTCACTATTGAAAGCAATAGTGGGGGCTTTCGCCGAACCATTTCTCGTTTAGAGCGGTCAGGTATTCGAACCTATGTTAGTACCATAACAGTTCCTCTTCGTAGGATTTCTGAGAATGAGCTTGTTGAGCCATCATCAGTGGCTCTTCGGTCAATTTTAAGGCAGATCATGACTGGGTTTGGAGAACTGAGTTCTCTAATGGAGGCCGATTCTGAGTCAGAACTTCAAAGAAATGGCCAGCATTTACCAGACATGCACTCAGAACTGAGTAACTTAGGTACAGATAACAACAGGAGCCAGCACAGGGAAGGTTCCTCTCAAGACAGGCAGGCCCAAGGAGACAGCACTGAAATGCATGGTGAAAACGAGACCACCCAGCCTCATACTCGAAACAGTGACAGTAGGGGTGGCAGGCAGTTGCGAAATCCAAACAATTTAGTTGAAACTGGAACACTACCCATTCTTCGCCTTGCTCACTTTTTTTTACTAAATGAAAGTGATGATGATGATCGAATACGTGGTTTAACCAAAGAGCAGATTGACAATCTTTCCACCAGGCACTATGAGCATAACAGTATTGATAGTGAACTAGGTAAAATCTGTAGTGTTTGTATTAGTGACTATGTAACTGGAAACAAGCTCAGGCAATTACCTTGCATGCATGAATTTCACATTCATTGTATTGACCGATGGCTCTCAGAGAATTGCACTTGTCCGATCTGTCGGCAGCCTGTTTTAGGGTCTAACATAGCAAACAATGGGTAAGGTGATGGGATCTACTCAAATACTGTTTTTTAGTAGAACTGAATGTTCAAGCATTGTTTTGCTGAGTTATTTGTGATTAGCTAACCAGGATGAAAAATAACAGATTATATATAGTTTGAACTATTTTTCGTGTGCTTTTTTAAACTTGTTAAAAAGAAATTTATATAAAATTTAAAATACAAATGTTAAATTATCCAGAAATACAGAATAGTTAATATTGCTAGAACCAAATAACCTCTAAAATGTTTTTATTTTGGTAATTTTGTCATGCTAAGCACTTTTGTATCTGCACAATTCAGTAGGTTAAGAATCAATCTTCTTTTTCTTAATAGTACAGCAGACTTTAGCTTCAAGTTTCATAGGCTTAGTACTTATATCTAGACATTTGTGTCTAAATAAGCTTTTCATTAACTTTTTATTTTAAGGACAGTATCTTTTCATGAAAGAGTATTTGGCTGAATGTTTGCTATATATATGTTACTTGAAATGTTAAATTTAATATGCAGCATACCATAGGTGTATATATAGGTATATAATTTTAAGGTTAAAATATTCAGTCTACAAGTTTGGTTCTTATTTAAGCTTTTGGGCTAATACTGCATATGGCACAATGTTTAATATTGGCAAGTTCATCTCAGAGAAAGGGGATTCAGATATAATTTTAAAGTAGAGATAATTTACTGAAGCGTCTCTGACAATCTAACTTATTAGACAGCAAGCAATATATAATACTGAAAAAGTATTCAGAAATGGAAAATTTACATCATATAGGTTATTTAACTTGTGTTCAGCCTTTTTGTAACTTTTTTGAAAGTGCAAACAATTCTTTGGATTATTAAATAAGGTATACAGTATGCATGGTTTCTCAAATTTAGTTTTAAAATCTAAAAGTCTATAAAGAATCAGATGCATAGGCAATATGTTAAGTTCACTTGGAGGCTAAAAATCTCCAGTGAAAACAAAACGAAAACCTTTAAGAGAATGTAGAGTTTATATAAACACAAAGTATGCATTGAAGATCTGTTTCTACCAATAAACATTAAAACAAAGACTGTATGTGAACTATGTTTTTCTGTTGTTCCACTGTGGTTTATTCACCCTCCACTAATATTTCATACTAGATGCCAGGCAGTGTTATGGGATAGAGTATTTCCCAGACGACAGACAAAAGTCCCTGGCTTCATGGAAAAGACATATTTGCTCTTAGAAACTGAATATCAATTGATAAAGTGAATTATTATTCTTACTTTCATATTTGCTTATTAATATATGACAGGATTTTCTTGTGGTGATACTGTTTGGGCAAAATCACAAGAACAGTACTTAGGCCAGATTCTGTGAGATTTAGAAATATCTCCACATTTAATTTTCCTTTCTGACTGGTGACTATGTTCAATTCATTAGGTTAGATGCATGCCCAGGAATGTTAAGGAGTGCATTTACATGGAGTAAAAGGTTTTCATAAAAGTTGTGACTTTGTTTGGAGTAAATTATTTATGTAGGTCAGTTTGAGGATCTAAGACTGGGAAGGTTGATTTCAATCAGATTTGAAGGCTTTTCATAGCAAACTAAGGACTTTTTATCTTACCTTATAGAGATGTTAGATGTCTCTTGATTTTAGTGGCATAGGGTAGGATCATTTTTCATGGCCCAGGAGGATGGGTCTACTACAGCATATAGAACACAATGGAATGGAGAGAGATGGGAAGCAAAGAAACCAATAAGAGAACTATTGTGATAAAAGACATCATTATTTTTATTACCAGTTGTCATCACTTATCTACCCTAGAATGGTGGCAATGAAACTGAAAGGAAAGAGAAGGGTGTAAAAATGTTGGTTTTTAAAAAAAGACGTTGTTTGGTCTCTAGTTCAGTATGAAGAGGTGGAAGAGAGAATCACCTAGGTGGAGGAGGGAGAGGTAGCACAAATTAGTTACAAGGTATGCCAATTTAAACATCTTGAACATAGCTTAATTCATACATCTCACTTATTTTAGTGTTAAAATTTGCCCCCAGTATGAGGAGAGACTAAATCCAGCATTTTTATTTTTATTTTTATTTTTATTGAGACAGAGTCTCACTCTGTTGCCCAGGCTTGAGTGCAGTGGCACTATCTCGGCTCGCTGCAACCTCCGCCTCACAGGTTCAAGCAATTCTCCTGCCTCAGCCTCCGGAGTAGCAGGGATTACAGACATGCGCCACCACGCCCGGCGAATTTTCTGTATTTTTAGTAGAGACAGGGTTTCACCATGTTGGCCAGGCTAGTCTGGAACTCCTCACCTCATGATCCGCCCACCTTGGCCTCCCAAAGTGCTGGGATTATAGGCATGAGCCACCATGCCTGGCCCGTTTATTTCTTATATGGGATATTCCTCAGGAAGTTCTACCTCCCTGGGCCTGATGCAATAGGAAAATTAGGAGGACAAAGGAAGAGGGGAATGAAAAAAGTAAGGATACAGAAAAAATAAAGGCATATTGATTCTTTGACTTAGTCCTTTGCAAGACATGATAATGTTACTAGCATGGAAAGAAATCCCATATAGGCATTTGAAACAGAAGTAGATTGTGTTTTGTATGGAAAATTCCCTGAAGGCAGCAGTACAGCTTAATGAATTTCATAAATTGATAACCCAGTTGGGAATAAAAAAGGATATTCTTTAATATTTTCATTCATTTCCCAATAAACAAGGCTGATGACAAATACAAAGGCCCATTAATCTATTTATAGCTTCTATTTAGCAATGATTATACCCTTTGTGGTTCCAATATAGAGAAGAACAAATAGTTAGAAATTCTTCATTTGAATATTATGTTCCATGTCAGGTCCGTAGAGCTTGTTCTTTATAGTGTGGCTGTCTGGCAAACTTCTATTTCTAGATTGCCAGCTTCCAGCTGCCCTCTCACATAGTTACAGCCTTTTACCCTGTTTTCTCTTTTCCTAGATTTTTTTAGTTTCAGCCAGCATTATGACCCTTACTTAATTATCACTCTTACGAGGTTATTTTCCTTTCAATATTTAACATGAATTCATAATTTAAACCTCTGAAGCTCTCCTTGAAGTATTTTTGCTACCTAACTTAGTAATTGGCAGAGTTTAGGGAGTCAATCACGTGGCTATTTGCCTCCAAAGCTCCTGCTTTTCCTGCTATGCTGCATTCTGGAGAAGTGGAAATGCCTTGGGAAGTTTTCAGTCTAATTTAATTCCTCCTAAAGATATTTTTCTAATTTTACAACTTTGTTCTATCATATGTCTGATTACCCTAATTTCCATAGGCAAATACATCCTTCTGTCTCATGAATGGAGGAGAAGAGTTGCCCCTAAAAGATATAACAGAATCTGTATTATAAAGATGAATCCAGGAAAGAGATGAATGAGGCATCTGAAGATGCTGCATTAAGGGCCAGAGTTGACAAGCTCAGTCTGAGGCATTTTCATGTATATTACTCCCAGACAAGAACATCTAATGAACTTTTAATCTTCCTGCATCTCTCCATTGGAATAATCTGTGGCCAGGGGAGGAGAAACTAGAAACAGCACTTTACATGAAAGCCAGGGTGTTAATTCACTTTGCAGTAGTAGGTGGCTCACTTGGGGTCTCTCATTCAGTCCTGTGCAACACTGGAAATCAGAGAGCTGGCGTATCTGTATTAGGAGATGATTTCCCAGGAAGCCAGATTCATCTATCGTTGAGAACATCATCCCACGTTTCAAAAGATGATGATGGCTGTCAGTGGTGATTTTTTCTTTAGTCTCTAGAGACAGATTGCGAGTTATTTTCAGTGAGTATGAGTGTGTTAGTCCCTGAATATATTTGCCCTTTTGATCATTGGAGATCCATCATTTCAGCAAGTTTTGTTTGAGTATTAAATCTCTGAAGACTCTGAGTTGGCCCCTATATATTTTTTATTCCTTTTTAAAAATAACTTCACATTTCTTCTGGAAAATAATGACTTTCAGACATATTTTTCCTCTATTGTGTTAATGTCTCATTTGAAGATGGAGTAACTTCTTGGCTGCCCAGTATATATATATATATCTCACATCTTCTCACACATTTAATTGTAAAAATGCTCCTACTTAATCCTAATCCAGCCACCTTCTGTGCAATTCCAAATGTGCTGTGCAATTCCAAATGTGCTCACCTTCTCCCCAGTGGGTAACAATCCAAAATCACATGCAGCTTCTGTACTGTGAAGTGACACAATTTAGCCCCTCTGAGTTCAGGTTTTCTAGGTAGTGTCAATTCCTCCATTAGCTTGGATCTGATCAGGTTTGTGACTTCTCACCATTCTGCAGATTATGGGATAAATGATAAAAGTAGCTTCTCCTGCCTACCCGATACAGTGAAATGGAATAAAAATCAAACAAAAACAGGGAAAGAAGTGCCATACATTGATTACTGGTACAGATTATATAATAGCATATCTCGCTGAGCAAGCTTAGCAGGATGAATGATAGAAACAATGGGTCTCATGAGCATTCTCTTTGTTGCCTCACTTCTCTGGATGTAGAATAAATTGTTGGAACCACCTTCAGAAAAGGCACCAAGGGAGGATTTCCTACTGGTGCTTGTGGTGGTGATGGCAGGCAGGTGTTTGAGGAGATGCTGGTGAATGGCTTTGATCTTGGCATTTCAATGTTGGGGCTTGGTTCAGGGTCTACCATAATGCCGGACAGTCACAGGTCTCTATACAGCAGGCTAGGGACTTTTTGACAATACACTTTCCTTAAAACTGTAACTAGTTTCTTAACAATTGTATTTAGGATCTTGTATCCAATGCCAGAAATCTTGTCTTGTTCTCAATTTGCTAAAGGAATAGCCATGGTCCTCACAACCTTTAGGTCTTTTGTTGGTTTGTTCTTTTTTAGCATTTTGTCAAGAGGATCTTTCTATGACTCTAACTCTTAGCCACATAGAGTTTGCCTCTGGAATAGTTAGGAGTCTTTCTTTAATCTTCCCTTGAATGTCACCCTTGTCCTTTCATTGCATTTCAGACCAGTGCATTGTACGATAGAAGGCATCTTCATTTTTGTCTGTAGGATCGAGCAGCATGACCTTCTTTACTCCAACCAATTGGGATCAGATTATGTGACCAGTCCATTGCAACCATGTAACTTGGGAGGGGTCCACTTAGGTTTTATTCCCAGCACTGAATGACTAGGTGTTCCTGATAAATCTCTGTGTTGGGGGTCTCCAAGACCACATCCAAATTTAGTGATTCACTAAAAGATCTCATAGGAATCTGCATAGAGTTATGTTCACAGCTAAGATTTATTACAGGGAAAAGATATTAGCACAGTCAGCAGAGGAGAAAGGTGCATGGGACAAAGTCTAGAGAAATCCAGGTAAGCTTCCAAGAGTCCTGTTCCAGCAGTTACACAAGACACACTTAATTCCTCCAGCATCAAACTGTGGCTACATGAGAGAAGTGTTGTCTACCAGAAAAGCTCGTGACAGACTCAGTGCCCAAAATTTTACTGGGGGCTGGTCATACAGGCACCCTCTGCCTAGCACATACCAAAATTTCAGACTCCCAGGAGGAAAGCAAGTGTTCAGCGTAAACTATATTGTTTGCACAAACAGTTTAGGCACAGTGGTCCACCCTTCTCAGGGAATAGAGTATTCCCCCAGTCCAGTTCCAGGCTGCCAGCTAAGAGCCAACCTTGCAAACAAGCCTTTCTAGGGCCAGCCTGAGGCCTACCATGTAAATTCTTTTCTGCACACACCTAAATCTTCTTCTCCATTCCAGCACATTCTCCTAAATTCTAGGACCACATTTGTGATTGCCTTAGTTAATGTCTACTAGGTTGTCCCTTTGGAACCTCAAATTCAGCATATTTGGACTGGAAGTAATCATCTTCCCCACAATGGCTTCTCATCATCTTTTTCCTAGCACAGCCAATGCCTCTACCATGCACCAGTTCAAGCAAGGCAGAAAAGTCTGCTCTGCATCCGTGTGGGGGCCAGGTGGGACTGCCTTAGCTGGCATGGGTCCAAGGGGCCAGAATGGGTAGCAGGAGTGCCCCATATTCACGGCACTGGTGTAGTCAAGGGTCACATATGAAACTGTGACCAAGACACTGATAAGCCTTATAGGTTGAGAACTCAGTTTAGGATGTTGTCAGAATAGGAGGGCTTGGAGATGAGGCCAAAAAGTCAGACCAGCAGTTTCCCATATCTGAGATGGCCGGCTGCTTTGAGGTGGTGTGTGTTTGAGGGCTAAGAAGGGAACAAATAGGAACCCAGACTTCTTCCTCATTCCTCCTACCCAATGAATCAACCTGCATCCTTTGGAATACTTGTTATTTTCATTTTTATTGTCTTAGGGTTGTCACTATTTCTCACATAGATTCTTGCCATCATCTCTCAAGTAGTCTCATATTCTGTTTCCAATTATTCCAGTGTAATTTTTCTACAAGCCTCATTTCGACTTGTCACTCCTCAGCTGTCCCTGTTAATTTCCTACTGTTCTTAGAATAGCACACAAGATTCTTCATATTTTGGCTTCTGCCTATCTTTTCCAATCTCATTTTTACCATTTAGGATCCCTCGCAGGGTATCTCATCTTGCCTTTCATACTTTTTTTTTTTTGCCCATGCTGTTCTCTCTTCCTAAAATGGCCTTTCCCCTCTGGCCTCTCTGGTTAATTCCTGCTTGTCCTTTAACTGTCACCTCAGGTGTCACTCCTGCAAGTCCTCATCTTGCCCTCCTCCTCTCCAGGGCCAACCTATCCATTAGGCTCAGTAGGCCCAATGCCTACTGAGGGTCTAGGATACTTTCAAGGTCCCATGAAAATGTTTTAATTTCTTTTAAAACCAGTCACATACCAAGAGAGAATATAATCCAACCTGGATTGTATTTATACCAACACAATTGTAAAATAAAATTTTTAATTTTTTTTTTTTAAGGAGGAAGGGGCCCATGAAGGGAAAAGTGTCGAGGGCCCATGAGAGTCATAATGTGGACCTGCTCAGTTCCCCATCTATGTGCTTCTTCAAAGGACTGTGAACCCCTTGGTTATCCTCAGCACCTAGCATGATACCTGGTACATAGTAGGTCCCTCAATATATATGTAATAAGCAAATGCATAGAAGTTTCAGTATATAGTTACAGCCTGGCTTACAAATAGCTTCTACATTAAAAGCTTGTTTGTAAGATTTTCTTTGAAACTCAAACACATTTCCCATAGAAATAATATCAGATGTTTGTGGTTTGAGGCAAGAGAGGAAAGGCTCCCAGGCGAGTCCAAGAAAATGTATATAACCCATATAACCCACAATGTTTCTGAAATACTATTCAAGTGCAGCCAAAAGCAGAAAAATCCAATGGTCCTGAAAGTTAACAAAACAGAGCAAGAGTTCTTCAACAGTTCAAGTTTACCTTGAACCCAAGTGTTTGACACTCTGTGAAGCCTGCCTTTCTCAAATTTCAAATTCGACAGCCTGCTGCAGACACTGTCTGCTTAACCACAGTGGCTACACCAGGGTCCCAAACTCTGTCTCGTGCCACCCTGCCAGGCAGATGGTGGCTTGGGCTGTGTGCTCTTTGTCTTGTCTCTCACTGCATCCATCTACTTCCTCTGCTGGCTCCCCTCCCCAACCAGCAGGGACGGGGGGCAGTGGGGAGGGTGGTGGGGGGGAGGCGGATGGGAAGGGTTCCCCAGTCAAAGGGCTGGCTGGCAGGCTGTGGCTATTCTGACTGTGGGCAGAGCAAATCAGGAGAGAAGCATGGTAGAGCAGGTTAACCCTTCACACTTTAATGCTGCATTAAGCTCAATGCTGAACTGTGTTCAGATTTTTTTAAAATTTTTTGAGACAGGGTTACTCTGTCTCTCAGGCTGGAGTGCAGTGGCACATGATCACAGCTCACTGTAGCCTCAACCTCCTGGGCTCAGGTGATCCTCTCACCTCACCTCCTGAGTAGCTGGGATTACAGGCATGTGCCACCACACTCAGCTAAATTTTGTATTTTTTGTAGAGACAGGGTTTCGACATGTGACAGGCTGGTCTCAAACTCCTGGACTCAAGCGATCCTCCTGCCTTGGCCTCTGAAAGTGCTGGGATTACAGGCGTAAGCCACTGTACCCGGCCTTTTTATTTTATTTCTTAACAAAGAGAAAGGATTTAGGTTTAATCTTAAAGAGGGTTTATCCTGTGTGGTTGATAGTAGAGTTGTTTGTGTCTTGGCAACTGATGTTAGTAAACACCTTCCTATTCAATATATTACATGAAACTCTTTAAACAGTTTGTTCAGGTGAAAAGCAAGGTTTCACTATCTTGACCACGGAGTATGCTGAGAGAGGAACAATTACCACACCCACCTGAGGAAAATGGATATATATCCCATGGAAAGGCATTTTCTGAACTAGTCCAGTCCTATTGAGAAACAATGACCCCTTAACAGGGTGAGGATTACAACTTCAGTGATTTTATAACATTGAGCCTCAACTCTCAGAATTTCTTAGGTTATCTGGAGAGCTTAAATAATTTATTCAAGGTCATGTGGCTGGTTAGAAACAAGGCAAAATAGTCTTGTATTTTTTAATGTCTTTATTAACTACAAAGACTTTTGTAAAGTTCTGACTCCATGTACTTATTGTACTCCAAGTACTCCATGTACTTATTGTCAGAAGATGTCTAATTGTTGGTGTTATAAGGCTAATAACTGAAGCTCAATACAGAGAAATACCTCTTCTAACCTATTCAGGACAAAATGATGAGCCATGGTCTATCTGGCTTGGTAGGACTTTGGGGAAGTTTGGGCCAATTTATCACGTTGCTCCAGGGACTCTGAGTGCACTTCCCAAGCCGCTTTGGAGGGCCCAGGCTTCAGCTCTGCAGCTTATGGTCTGCAGAGTATGGTCTCTGTTCACCTTGCAATAATTTTAATAGCATCTGTGAGAGTCAAGCAGGTTTCAGATCAGAGAGAGCGGCAGATTCAGTGAAGATGCCATGTCAGGCATTTCTCATTTTCAATTAGAATAACTACTTCAATTAGAATTGAATACCTCTCAATTAGATGAATACCATGCCAGGCATTTCTCATTTTTAATTAGATGAATAGTCATATTTCTTAGGCCCTTCTTACATGGAAATAAACTAGGAACATTTAATGTGTTATATTTAGGTGATGAGTACAGACTTATAGAATCTCAGGCCTAGGAGAAGATGGACGTCTTCTAAACACATCCTTTTTGGGCTCTCGAGGACCTGCACTTAAAATTTCTCAGTTAATTGCCAAGCCTGCTTTTAAAGACCAAAGGAGTTATTGTTTCCCTTTTCTTTTTTCTTTTTCTTTCTTTCTTTCTTTTTTTTTTTTTTTTTTTGAGGTGGAGTCTCGCTCTGTTGCCCAGGCTAAAGTGCAGTGGTGCAATCTCGGCTCACTGCAATCTCCACCTCCCAGTTTCAAGAGATTCTCCTGCCTCAGCCTCCCGAGTAGCTGGGATTACAGGCGCCCGCCACCATGCCCGGCTAATTTTTTGTATTTTTAGTAAAGATGGGGTTTCACCATGTTGGTCAGTCTGGTCTCGAACTCCTGACCTCAGTTGATCCACCCGCCTCGGCCTTCCAAAGTGCTGGGATTACAGGCCTGAGCCATTGCGCCCGGCCTTATTTCTCTTTTCTACACACTCAATATTTTGTCAGTTTGGGTCTCCGAGAAGTGAACACCAAGACAGAATTATACATACAGGAAATTTATTGGGGAAACACTTGTTGACGATAAAGGCGGAGGGAGCGGGAGTAGGTGAGGAGAACCTCCAGGCTGCATTGTGGGTCTGACACCTTCCAGAGAAGAAAGGGAAGGAAGGAGGCTGGAGCAGGAAAAGCCTCAGACTGCATTGCAGTTTTTGTTTGTTTGTTTGTTTGTTTGAGACCGAGTCTCGCTCTGTCGCCCAGGCTGGAGTGCAGTGGCGCGATCTGGGCTCACTGCAAGCTCCGCCTCCCGGGTTCACGCCATTCTCCTGCCTCAGTAGCTGGGACTACAGGCACCTGCCTCCATGCCCGGCTAATTTTTTTGTATTTTTAGTAGAGATGAGGTTTCACTGTGTTAGCCAGGATGGTCTCGATCTCCTGAGCTCGTGATCTGCCCGCCTGGGCCTCCCAAAGTGCTGGGATTACAGGCGTGAGCCACTGCGCCCAGCCTGCATTGTAGTTCTAAGAGAGCTCTCCAGGATCATAGAGGAGCCACCACTGGACAGAAATGGCCCAGTTCTAATATTGCCTTTATGCGTAGTCACTGCTAGGAGCTGCCTGGGGGAAGCATGGCCTGGGCCTGAGCACTGTGTCACACCCAAAGGTGTGACAACTGGAGGCTCTCAGTCAGTCGTGCTTCTCACAGCAGGTTCTCTTAAGTGGTGCACCTCCATGACTACCACAAATATTTAACATCCTTAGCACATTTAGAAACAATCACAATTTGGTTCTGGCTTAGCCCGAATCCTCCTTTGCTCTCCCAAACCACCTGCAATCTATTATCTATTTCTTGATCCCAATTGCCATCAGAGAAGCTAACACTGCTAGGGATCACATCTTAGTTTTCCCTTCTCCAGGTTAAATAACCCTTCTCCACTGCTCTCCTCTGAATCCTCTTAAGGTCTGCCAAGCCTCTTTGTCAAAGCCGAGAACCCCAACCTGCACTCAGTATGAACAGGATGCTCTCGAGAGGTAATTTACAACAGGGATTAGGTACACAGACTTTGGTGACAGATGTCAGCTCATGGCCCAAATTGCCACATAATGGTTTGGAGGCCTTATGCAAGTACCTTAATTTTCTGGTCGTCTGTTTTTCCATTTGTAAAATATAAATAACAATCACACTTACCTAGTGGGGTTAAGTAAGATGATACAGGTATACACTAAAAGTCCTTGGCATGTGTTAAGGGCTTCATAAACATCAGCATAAAATATTATTAACATTGTATCCAGTCTTGAGCTTAATTAATAAAAGGACTTTTGTTGCTGACTCATATCCAGTTTGTGGCCCATTTGCCTTAGCCTTGAGGTACTTTTGTTCATGGTTTGTTCACAGTAAGTAGCTGCCCATGTGATATGGGTGTTTGTTTTTCCTTTCTAAATGTACCATACTATTTTTATTCTTGATCATTGACCCTCTGTCTGTCAGCTTTTCTGAAGAGTCTGTTCTTCTGGGGATCAGTTAAAAGTTTTATTTTCATTTTGTTTTGTATTTTTTTTAAATTTATTTTTAGTGATGCTGTGAAGCAAGAGATAAGAAGCTGCCTTGTGTCATTGCTAAAATATTTCCTCTCTGAGCTTTAACAGTTAATGCTTCTTCTGGATTCATAGTGGTTCTTAGGATTTCAGGAACCTGGCATAGCCACAAAACTTTTTGATCTTTGTTTAATGAATTCTTCAGTATTTTAAAGAGTAATGTGAATTTCTCAAATCATCTAATTATGATCTTAATTTGATCCTCTCCTATTGCCAATAATCTGAAAGGGAAGGGGAGGGTGGCAGCACCCCCTTGGAAATGCTAAGAATAATAACTGGCACATCATCTTAATTTTGTATCACATTTCATTTTATCTGAAGAGATTCCATGCTCATTGTCTCATCTGATATTCAAACCAACTCAAGAGTAGGTTGGTGAGAATTACTTGTGCTTATTTTGGAAGAAACAGAAATAGAGAGATGGATCATTTGCCCAAGTCATCTGAGAGGCCACTGCAGCACCTGAAACAGGCCTCGGTTCTCCAAGTTTACCGCTGTTAGCTTCATTTTGGCCAGACTGCCAAGTATGGTAGGATAGGGCTCCGCTCTCAGAATAAGGGCCTAGTGGCACAAACCGCTCTTTCTTCCATTATCCTGGGGTCTAGAACCACACACCTTCATAAGTAGCCTCTTTTTGTGGTCCCCATAATGAATAAGAAGTTAGTCCTTGCAGCTTCCAAGCAGATCCACAGCTGGGACACTGAGTATCAGTCAACTGGCTCTCAAAGGATGAAACCAAACTTTTGGGTTGTAACGTAATGGCATGTAATGGGCCTCATTTAACCATAAGTTATTATTTTAGGAATCTGAGCCCATGTCTGCCTCTTAATTATGCTACTCTTGAGCAAAATCATTAATAATTTTATACTCCCAGGATCAGAGTCCCATATGCAGTTGTATGCATTTAATCCATGCTCAGTTGTCTCAGGAATTGACAAGCAGTTCTTTGCTTAAATAAGCCATTCCTCTAGATAGTGTCCTAATGTAGAATTGAATCAAACAAGTGCTTTATTGAGGCTGGCAGGAATCTTAAATTTGAGCTCTGCCATCTGCAAATGGAATATTCTCACCTTTCTTACCTCCTTCCTCCCCTCCCCCAACATCCCCCACCATTTATCTTCTGCCTCCGTTATTGTTGCTTGCTCAGCTTCCTTTACTCCATTCATTTGAAAGAATTACCCCTCCTCCATTCCACCTGGTTTTTGTGGGGCTGCCAATCATCAAATCTGTTTCATAGTCTTCACTAGTGTACAAATGTAACCAAATTAGTTCAAACAGCTTCTGGCTCCCATGGGTCATGTGGTAAGTGTGTTGCTAGCTTTACGAGAAATCACCAAACTGTTTTCCAAAATGGTTGGACCATTTTAGGTTCTTAGTAGTGATGTATAAGACAGTTGGCTACATAATTTGCTGGACTCAGTGCAAAATAAAATGTGGGGTCCATTGTTAAAAAAATGGGAAATATAAAGCTTTTTTCTTCTGCAGTCTTGACTTGTCATGGTGTTTTTTATTTGCTATTCATGCTATTAATTATCAGCATGAATTTTACTGCTGTTTCATCTTTATGTTATGCAATGCCAGAGTCTCTGCTTTTAATTATTTGGGCATATACTCAGAAACAGAATTGCTGAATCATATGGTAATTCTATTTTTAATTTTTTGAAAAATAACATGATTACTTTTTACTTACTTTGAGTCTTGCTGAACTCCCATGCATTATGCCCATCAGAATTCATGCTCACAGGTCACTGCAAACACTGTATCTGAATGGGGCAGCAAGAAACAGCACACATATTGTGAGTATCTCCTCTGCTCACACTATCCTCCATTGCCCTATTGGACTTTGCTTACAAAACACTAGTTCAAAGGTAAAATTATTAAGAATTTCAGGCCAGGCATGGTGGCTCACGCCTGTAATCCCAGCATTTTGGGAGGCCAAGGCAGGTGGATCACTTGAGGTCAAGAGTTCAAGACCAGCCTGGCCAACATGGTGAAACTTGTCTCTACTAAAAATACAAAAAATTAGCTGGTGTGGTGGTGGGCACCTGTAATCCCAGCTACATGGCTGAGGCAGGAGAATTGCTTGAACCTGGGAGGTGGAGGTTGCAGTGAGCCTAGATTGTGCCATTGCACTCCAGACTGGACAACAAGAGCAAAACTCCGCCTCAAAAAAAAAAAAAAAAAAAAAGAATTTCAAACAGTGACAGCAGAATATTAAACCAAGTGTGGGGCTCATCTGAGCATGGCACCTGTGAAGCCAAGCCTGGGATGAGAATTCCAATTGTTCTACATTCTCCCTAGCAATCAATATTGTCAGGCTTTTTGATTTTAGCTATTTGTATGGATATGAAATGTTATGGTTTTAATTTGAATGTCCATAATGATTGATGATGTCAGGTATTGCCTTGGTCTGTTTAGGCTGCTATAACAGAATACCATAGACTGGGTATCTTACAAACAGCAAATATTTATTTCTTACAGTTCTGGAGGTCGGGAAGTGCAAGATTAAGGCATGGGCATATTTGGTGTCTGGTGAGGGCTTACTTTCTGGTTCATAGATGGCTGTCTTCATAAGCTTCTGGCTTCTTCATAAGTGGCTTCTTCCACAGGGTGGAAGGGGTGAGAGCTCGCTGGGATCTCTTTTATAAGGGCATTAATCCCAAATTCATGGGGGCTCCACCTTCATGGCCTAATAAACTCCCAAAGGCCCCACTTCCTAATACTATCACATTGTGGGTTAGGATTTCAACATATGAATTTTGGAGACACACAAACATTTAACCCATAAGAGTTATCTTTTTCTGTACTTATTTTTTAATGTATCTTCATCTGTCTCTCTCTCTATAGGTGTCCTTGCCCATTTTACCCCATTGGTTTATTGTATTACTATTGAGTTGCAATAATTCTTTATGTATTAGGAGTATTATTCATTTGTAATTTATATCTACATACATATACAAATATATGTCTGTAGATATATGTTTTATCCTCTCAGTCTCTGAATTTTTATTTTCTTAATAGTATCTTTGAAGAAAAAATAGTTTTTAATCTTGATGAAGTCCAGATTATCAATGTTTTTCTTTTTTGGTCCATGCTTTTTGTGTGGTACCTAAGAATCTTTGGCTATCCCAAAAATCACAAAGACTTTCTTCAGTTTTTATTGTTGTTGTTTTCATTTAGTTTTTTAGCTTTTACATTTATATCTATGATCCATTTTGAGATCATTTTTAGTGTGGCAAGAGGCAAGAATCCAGGTAAATTTTGTTTGTCTGCATATGGATATCCATTTGTACCAGCAGCATATGTTAAAAGACTATCCTCTTCACTGAATTTCTTCAGTGAAAATTAGTTGAACATATATGTGTGGGTCTATTTCTAGGCTTCCTAGTCTGTTCTATTGTCATTCTTATGTCATTCTACACTATTTTGACTGCCCTAGGTCCTTTGCATTTTCATATACATTTAAAACTCAGCTTGTTAATGTCTATGTAAAAGAACATTGGGATTTTGAGTGGGATTGCACTGAATCTATAGATCACTTTGGTGAACTGATATCTTAACAATATTGAATCTTCTAACCTATCAATATGGTATATATCTCCATTTATTTAGGTCTTTTTAAATTTCTCTAAGCAGTGATTTGTATTTTTAAGTGTGTTTTGTACATCTTGTTAAATTTATGCCTAAGCATTTCAAGTTGTCTGAAGTTATTGTAAATGTTATTTTTTCACACTTTCAATTTCCAACCATTTATTATTTACCTATACCTGTACAATTGATTTTTGTATTTTGAGCTTATATTCTCTGACCTTGCTAAATTTACTTATTTAATAGCTTTTAAAAGTATTTCGTATTATATTCTATGTACTGAATGCTATATGCAAATCAAGATACTTTTGCTTTTTCCTTTTCAATATATATGGTTTTTTTTAACTTTTTAACACTATCTAGGACCTTCATTACAGTGTTAAGTAGAAGTGGTGAGAGTGGACATCATTGCCTTGTTTCTGCTGTTAGTGGAAAGCATTCAGTCTTTCACTATTAAGTATGTTAGCTCTAGGGTTTTCATAGATGCTGTGATGGTTAGTTTATATGACAACTTGGCTGGGCCATAGTGCCCAGCTATTTGGTCAGATATTATTCTGGATGTTTCTGGGAAGGTGTTTTTTGGATGAGATTAGCATTTCAATCAGTGGATTTTGAGTAAAGCAGATTCCTTTCCATAATGTGGGCAGGCCTCATCCAATCAGTTGATGGTAGAACCAACACTGACCTCTTCTGAGCAAGAAGGAATTTTGCCAGCAGACTGCCCTTGAACTACAACTGTAATTCTTTCCTGGGTCTCTATCCTGCTGGCCTACACTGCAAATTTTGGCTATACCAAACTTCACAATCATATGGGCCAATTCCTTAAAATGAATATTTCTCTCTCATATATATATGTGTGTGTATATATATATATATACACACACACACACATATACTTTCGTACTACACACACATACATATTCTCACATATATACATATGTATGTATGTATGTATATATACACATCCACAAATTTTGATATTTTATATTTTTAATTTTATTCAATTCAAAACATTTTCTAATTATCTTATGATTTCCTCTTTCACCTACAAGTTATTTAGGATTTGTTTTACTTCCAAGATGTTACGGGGGCTTCCTGAAAACCTTATTGCTATTGATTTTGAATTCAATTCCCATATGATCAGAGAACAGACGGGGTTTCACCATGTTAGCCAGGATGGTCTCAGTCTCCTGACCTTATGATCTGCCCACCTCGGCCTCCCAAAGTGCTGGGATTACAGGTGTGAGCCACTGCACCCAGCCTAATGTATTTTCAGAGATAAAGTTGGACATTAATTAAACAAGTGAAAATGGATCTTATTCAGTAACTATTGCAGTAGAGAAAAGAGCTGAATTCCATTCTGATTCCTACACAGGTAACTGGGTGTTTTAAAAGACCCATGAGAAGGAGTAGGGAGGGAGAGCAAGTAGAGGGCTTGAGCAGTGTCAGGAAAGTGACAAAATTTCAAAAAATGGGTACAAGGGTTGGCCAATGTAAATATAATTAGGCCATCTGTGTTTGTTTACTGCCATTTATAAAGTTAGACTTCTACCTCCACAGAGACTGAGAGATAGAGGCCCTATGCTTTCTAATGATTACATTTCAAAGGAATGGCTTTTAGGTCCTTGGGAAAGACACTCCTGAGTTGTAGGAGATACATGTATATCCCAAATGGGCAGAGAAAAGATTTGTAGTTGTAAGCTTTTTAAGGTAAATACTCTAGGAAAGGGAGGTCAGGGACCTTTCCCCAGGTGTTGGCTGGAACAAATGGTAAATTCTTTGGCAGCCTTGAGTTTTTCTAGGCAGGATCTCAAGAGTGTGCTGGATCATCCCAGGAGCATGGGGCCTTTGCCTGCCAGAAGTCATGTTAGAGTTTGGCCAAATCTCTTAGTGCAGGGGTTTGGATGTAGTCATTCATGCTGAGAGTTTCTGCAGTTCTCAGCATCCTTAACTTATCACTCTTCCCATGTCCCATTTCCCACTTCCCATATTTAACTTTCCATTTCAAACTTCTCACTTCATATATATAAAAACTTCAAAGCAATATAATTCCATTCTTCCATTCATCATTTGTGTTATCATATCTTTGATTTCTATACCTACATTATACACTCACCTTATAATGCTAGTTTTTGTTTTCACAATCAGTTTTCATTTAAGGAAATTTCAGGAAGAGGGATGCAGCCTTGTATATTTACCTACCTACTTAACATTTCTGGTGGCTTGCTTTCTTTTCTACAGATTTGCATCTCTATCTGTATACTTTCCCTTCAGCTTAAAGGACAGTGTAGTGCAGAACTACTAGTGGCAGATTCTCCCAGCTTTTTGTTATCTGAAAATGTTTTATTTATTTATTTATTTATTTATTTTTTGGAGAAAGAGTCTCACTCTGTCACCCAGGCTAGAGGGCAGTGGCACGGTCTCTGCTCACGGCAACCTCCGTCTCCCAGGTTCAAGCAATTCTCCTGCTTCAGCCTCCCAAGTAGTTGGGATTACTGGCTAATTTTTTGTATTTTTAGTAGAGACTCGGTTTCACCATGTTGGCCAGGCTGGTCAGAAACTCCTAACCTCAGATGATCCACCCACCTCGGCCTCCCAAAGTGCTGGGATTACAGGCATGAGCCACCACACCCGGCCTGAAAATGTTTTATTTCTTCTTCATTTTTGAAAGAGTTTTTGTTGTTGTTGGATATAGCATTCTGGGTTGACATTTTTTTTCCCTTTCAGCATTTTAATGATTTTATACTTTTGACTTCTGGCCTCCATTGTTTGTGATGAGAAGCAGTGTATGTTTGTGATAACTTTTTTCTCTTGTTGTTTATAAGAGATTTTATCTTCAGTTTTCTACAGCTTGACTGTGATGTCCCAAGCTATAGTTTTATTTGAATGTATTTTGTTTGTGATTTAGTAAACTTTTGGGATCTGTAAGTTTTGATAAAATTTTAGAAAATTTTGGCCATTTTATCTTCAAGTGTTTTTTACACCTCAGTCTATTTCTGTTTTTCTTTTGGGTCTCCTACTATATGTATGTCAGTCTGTTTGAAATTTTTCCATTAGACCTTGGGTTTATCTCATTACGATGCTGATGAATAAATCATGTATAATGTCTGGTTGAAAATCAGGGTCAAATGAATAATAAGGTCATCTTGAGAGAAGTTACCAAAATATGCAGTCTTGTGTAAAATTGTATGTATGTGTGTGTGGGTGTGGGTGTGTAAGAAGGGAGGTGTTGAGGCTTATCACCCCATGATGATATAGGGGTTAGGACCACTAGCTCTGGAGACAGATATACTTGTTTCGAATTATAACTGCTATTTACTAATTGTGTTATCTTAGGCAAGTTACTTAGCCTTTTGACTTCTTTCAGGATTTTTAATTTGTCTTTGATTTTCTGTAGTTTGAAAATGATATGCCCAGGTGTAATTTGTTTGTGTTTGGCATTTATCCTGCTTGGTGTTCTCTGAGATTCCAGGAGCTGTGGTTTGGTATCTGACATTAATTTGGGGATAATCCTAGTCTTTATTGTTTCAAATATTTCTTTTCTTTCCTTTCTCTTTTTCTTCTTCTGGAATTCCTATTATATGTGTGTTACACCTTCATAATTGTCTCATAGTCCTTGAATATTCTGGTTTTTTTTGTCTTTGTCCTCTTTGCTTTTCAGCTTTGGTTTCTGTTAAGATACCCTAAAACTCAGAATTCTTTCCTTAGCTGCGTCCAGTCTACTAATAAGCCGCCCCCCAAAGGCAGCCTTGATTTGTGTTAGTATTTTTGATCTCTAGCATTTCATTTTGATTCTTAGGATTTCCATCCCTGCTTACATTGCCCATCTGTTCTTCCATGCTGTCTACTTTATCCATTAATCATAGTTGTTTTAAATCCCCAGACTGATGATATTTCTTCTAGTATTTCTGCTATATCTGGGTTTAAGCCAGCTCTGTCTTCAAATACTGTTTTTTGGCCATTGTGATGGTTAATAACTGAGTGTCATCTTGATTGGATTGAAGGATGCAAAGCATTGATCCTAGGTACATCTGTGAGGGTATCGCCAAAGGAGATTAACATTTGAGTCCACGGGCTGGGAAAGGCAGACCCACCCTTAATCTGGGTGGGCACCTTCTAATCAGCTGCCAGCACCGCTAGCCTATAAAGCAGGGAGAAAAACGTGAAAAGACAAGACTGGCCTAGCCTCCCAGGCTACATCTTTCTCCAGTGCTGGACCCTTCCTGCCCTTGAACATCAGACTCCAAGTTCTTCAGTTTTGGGACTTGGACTGGCTCTCCTTGCTCCTCAGCTTGCAGATGGCCTATTATTGTGGGACCTTGTGATCATGTGAGTTAATACTTAATAAACTCATATATATATATCCTGTTAGTTCTGTCCCTCTAGAGAACCCTGACTAATACAGCCATTATATCTTCAAATATTTTAGTAGGTCTTGCAATTTTTTCTTGATACCTGGACATGATGAACTGGGTAAAAAGGAACTGCAGTAAACAGGCCTTTAGTGATGTGATGATAAGGTATAGGGTGAGGTGAAGCATTACATTGTCCTATTATTAGGTATTAGTCTTTTAGCGAGCCTATGCCTCTGGACTGTAAACTTCACAAGTGTTCTTCAGTTTTTCTTCTCCTCCCTTTTGATGGGATAGAATGGCTACAGTGGACCTGAGTTAGATATTATCCTTGTATTTGTTAATCTTTCTTACCAGTCTCTTGCTTAAACCCTCAACTCTCTTGCCTCTCCCCTGCTTTTTTGTACTCACTTGGCTAAACCATAACCACTGTTAAAATTTAATTTGATGCTCACACTCTCTAGCACCTGAATATGGCTTGAGAAAAATACCCATCTGTGTATATTGACCGTTCTCATCTATATCGACTAGTCTCATTTAAATTCATTATTACCAATCTCATGTGGAATCTTA
This sequence comes from Homo sapiens, assembly GCF_000001405.40. Taxonomy (NCBI): domain Eukaryota; kingdom Metazoa; phylum Chordata; class Mammalia; order Primates; family Hominidae; genus Homo; species Homo sapiens. The sequence goes on along the minus strand of NC_000013.11, from coordinate 26,194,080 downwards.
TTGCTTCCGAGCAGTAATATTGTATTTCCTTAGTGCATTTGTGCCATCATCCTAGGTAACTATTTTATATCTTATTATTTAAAATTCCATTACTTTCTGTTCCGTTCTTATTCTAGATAATAATCTACTCTCTATTTCACTAAGAAAATAGAAATAATTACACAAGAACATCTACAAGCTTGTGCTACTACATCTACCACTCACCTTCTTCTCTGCCCATGCATGCTCTTTTCTCACATATTGTCTGTGCTTCAAATTAAGATCAACCCTTCCATTTGTTCAATCAACCATTCTTCAACCATCCAGCAAAACTGCTTTGACAAATATCTACTGTCTCCTGCATCAACAGTTTTTATTCTTGTACTGGATCATTCCTTCAGTATGCAAGGGTATTTTAAAAACTCTCTCTTGATTTTACTTACCCTTCCAACTACCTTACCCTCTCTCCACTTTCCTTCACTGCAAAACTCCTTGGAAGAGTTGTCTACATTCCATATTTCCAACTTCTCTCTCCCCCAGGTCTTGCTAGAACACATTCCAGTCAGGCTTTAGACCCCACCAGTCTACTTAAGTTTTTCTTATCAAAGTCACCAATGTCTACCAGGTTTCTAAATCCTTTGGCTAATTATCAGTCCTCATCTTAATTGACCTACCATCATGATTTCAGTTGCTAACTCCCTCATCCTCTTTCCATAGCTTCCAAGATACCAGTCTCCTGGCTTTCCTTCCGTATTACTGACCTCTTCTCAATCTCCTGGCTCCTCATTTTTTTTTTAACCTCTTAATGATGAATTTTTCCAGGCTCTGTTCTTGTACACTAACTGCCTTAATTATTTCATTAACTTTCATGGCTTTAGAAACCTTTTATAAGCTGATTCCTCCCAAAGTTATATCCATAGACATCTCCCCCAAATGTAAAACTTGTATATCCAACTGCTTACTGGTATCTTATCTTGGGTGTATAATAGGCACCCAAACTTAGTATGTCTGCCTGATCTCTTGATCTCGCCACAGCTCAAACTGGTTCCCCTAACCCAGTTTTCCCCATTTCAGTAAATGGTAAATCCATACCAGTCACTCAGGCCAAAAAGATGTCTTTTTATTAGTTATCTATTGCTGTGTAACAAATTACTGCAAACTTAGCAGCTTACAATATACCACGTTTATTATATTACAGTTTCTGTGCGTCAGGAGTCTGAGCATGTCTTAGCTAGGTTCTCTGTTTCAGGGTCTCTCACAAGGCTGAAAACAAGATATCAGCCAAGGCTGGGGTCTCATCTGAAGGCTCGACTGAGAAAGACCTACTTCAGAGCTCACCTGTTTTTGGCAGGATTCAGCTCCTTGAGGGCTGTTGGATTGAGGGCCTCTGTTCCTAGCTGGTTGTTGGCCAGTGGCCACCCTAAGTTCCTTGCCACATGGGCCTTTCCAAAATGGCAGCCTGTTTCATCAAAGCATGCAAACTAAGAAGGCAATAGAGTCTGCTAGTATGACAGATGTAAAAATATCACATAATCTAATCATGAAAGTGATATCCCACCACCTTTGTAATATTCTTCTAATTAGAAGCAGGCCACTGAGTCCAGCCTACCCTCAAGGGAAGACTATTACACAAGGGCATGAATACCAGATGGCAGGGATAATTGGGGGCCATCGTAGACTCTCCAGCCACATCATCCTTGACTCCTCTTTTTCTTTTGCCTACACAACCAATCCATGAGCAAATTCTATTGGCTTTGCCTTCAATATATTCAGAAACAACTACTTCTAACCACCATCACTACTACCACTCTGTTCCTAGCCATTGTTCTCTTTCCACTGGATTATTGTGGTGGCCTCCTAACTGGTCTCCCTGCTTCTGCCTTTGCCCATTTTCAATATAAAAATAAGAGTGATTCCATTAAAATGTAAATCATATAATGCAACTTCCTATCTTACTTGAAAAAGCCAAAATTCTTAAAATGACTATCAAACTTCTACATGATCTCATCCCCGGCTATCTCTCTGATCTTGTTTCCTATGATTGTTCCTCTGCTCACTTAACTTCAGCCATTTAGGCTAAATATTTCTCAAAAAACATGCTCCCATTATAGGGCCCTTTATTACACATTACCTCTGCCTAGAAAATCCTCCCTCCATTACTGCATGGCCAACTTCTTCACCTCATTTAAGTCTTTACTCAAATGTCATCTTTATAGCAATGCTTTCCCTAAATAATCTGTACGAAATTGTAAACTCCTGTTCCCTACTTCTCTTCCCTGCTTTTATTCCTCCATAACACATATCACCAACTGTATTAGTCCATTTTTACACTTCTATAAATAACTACCTGAGACTGAGTGATTTATAAAGAGGTTTATTTGACTGAGTTCTGCATGGCTGGGGAGGCCTCAGGAAACTCACAGTCATGGTGGAAAGTGACAGGGAAGCAAGCGCCTTCTTCACAAGGCAGCGGGAGAAAGAGAGTGAGGAGAGAACTGCCAAGCACTTTTAAACCATCAGATCTTGTGAGAACTCATTCACTATCATGAAAACAGCATGAGGGAAACTGCCCCCATGATCCAATCACCTCCCACCAGGTCCCCTCCCTTGACATGTGGGGATTACAATTTGAGATGAGATTTGGGGACATAGAGCCAAACCATATCAAATAAATAAGCTAACTGCTTATTTATTAATTGACCGCCACTCTGCACTAGAATGTAGGCTCCACAAGAAAGGAGATTTTTGTGTGATTTTTTTATCCACAGCAACTTGAACAGGATAGTGGCTTAATAACTATTTGTTGAATGAATGAATGCATTTAGATATATTTAATCCATTGGAATTAGCTTTTATGAATGGTTGGAGATAAGAATGTCCCTTAGCCATTTTTTTCCTTCTAAACAGATGGCCAATTATCTCAACATTGTGTATTGAACAATCGATTAAACCACTCCTGCCCTCCAACTTAAAATGTCTTTTTTTCTAAATGGAAAGGCTGTTCCATGGAATATCACCTATTTATTAGTGTTTAATGTTCTCATTTTATGGCATCCTTTAATGAGACTTGGCCTACTGAACACTGGAGCTGGATGATGATTCTGTATTCTCAGAACTAATTTATGGATGGTCACTCTATTCCGACATTTCATATGACTCAGCACCTTTGGATTTATAGATTTTTGTTTCATGCTAAATGACCAAAAAGATCACAATGTTGATACTGATGATGATGAACCCATGAATCCACTGGCCATTGCATCCTTTGAGGAAGAGAGGTGGCAAACAATGATGAATTAGGTCACATTAACAGTAGTAAACCTTGTCTGGCTGATTAATCATTTTATTGCTGGAGCCTAGAATAGCACCCACATATCATAGGTGTTCAAATGTTCAATTGATGAATAGAACATTTGCTGTCTTGAAATATTTTTAAAATTTCATGTGTTGGGTGTGTTATGGGGATACAAGGTGAGGTTTTCTCCTGTGCTTAAGGTAAGAACCCATGTATGTGAATCGTAACTGAACAGAAGAATTTCCTCACATTTAGGGTTGGCCAACATTCTCCTTGGCAGCTTCATGAATCAGCAACCTCCACATCAGTGGAAGTACTGAGTTAGGTAAGCATCTGTCAGAAGTCACATAGGAGGGATTCCAGCTTTGAGAAGTGAGTTGGAAGAGATAACTATGATAGGTAGAAAAACGATGCCCCCACCTCACCCTCTGAAGATGTTTACATCCTAATATCTAGAATCTATAAATATGTTGCCTTATATGGAAAAAGATCTTGTAGATGTGATTAAATTAAAAATCTTAAAATAGGGAGATGATCCTGGATTATCAGGGCGGGCCCAATCTATTCACGTGTCCTCAGAGAACCTTTCCCTGCTGAGTTGAGTCAGAGGAAAATGTGAAGAATGGTCAGAGATGCAACATTGCTGGCTTTGAAGACGGAGGAAGAGGGCCACAAACCACATTCGATCGGTTTCTAAAGGGTAGAAAGGGCAAGGAAAAGATTTACCTCTGCACCCTCCATTAAGGGTCACAGTCCTGCCAACACCTTGATTTTAGCCCCGTGAGACCTGTGTTGGATTTCTAATGCACAGAACTGTAAGAAAATTAATCTGTGTGTTTTAATCCATCAAATTTGTGGAAAATGAATACAGTGATCTTTAAGGCTATTTTCCATATTTTCCAGATCTAAGAATCCAAAATGCTAAACTGTCAGAGTAGTGATTGGATTAGAGTCAGGAAAACAATTCCAACAGTAAGGGTTATTAAACACAGAAGTGGTTACAGCAAAATTGAGCAGAGAGTGTAAATAAATAAACAAACATGGAAGTGGTTTATTAAGCAGACTGTGAAATCTCTATCTCCAAGGAGCTTAAAAATGAGAGTGGATGAATGCTACCTGTCTCAAACTCAGTCTGAAGTTTCATCATCCAATGTGCTGAGGATGAAGCTAAATCACTTTCTACCCCTCTGGATTCTGTAAAAGGAAGCCTGAAGCAAAAACAGGCAGAGTTTCCTTAAGATTGGGGCAAACTGCCTTTAAATGAGAATAGTTTCCCTTCTGAAAGTTTTAGGAGTTTTCCATTTCCTCCTTGGCATGAAATATGAAATTTCGTATGAACACAGATATACATAAACAAAAAATGTAGCCATTGATAGGTTTATTCCAACTCACACTAAGCCTGTTATTTGATTTAGAGTAATTGAGGCAAGGTGGCATATTTTCATCCAACGATCTATTACAATAGGAAGCGTTTTTTTTGAGATGGAGTCTGGCTCTGTCGCCCAGGCTGCAGTGCAGTGGCATGACCTTGGCTCACTGCAACCTCCGCCTCCCGGGTTCAAGCGATTCTCCTGCCTCAGCCTTCCCAGTAGCTGGGACTACAGGTGCCCGCCACCACACCCAGCTAATTTTTGTATTTTAGTAGAGACATAGTTTCACCATGTTGGCCAGGCTGGTCTCAAACTCCTGACCTCAGGTGATCCACCTGCCTCGGCCTCCCAAAGTGCTGGGATTACGGGCGTTAGCCACCATCCCTGGCTACTAGGAATATTTTGATTCTATCTTACATTTAAGAAAGCTCCCTCTTACTTCATGGGAGTGTAAGCCTTTGAGTCTACAATAATCAGTTTGCATACAACCTCTTCAGAAATCTGTTCTGAGCCGGGCGCAGTGGCTCATGCTTGTAATCCCATCACTTTGGGAGGCCAAGGTGGGCAGATCACGAGGTCAAGAGATTGAGACCATCCTGGCCAACATGTTGAAACCTCATCTCTACTAAAAATACAAAAATTAACCGGGCATGGTGGCATGTGCCTGTAGTCCCAGCTACTTGGGAGGCTGAGGCAGGATAAGTGCTTGAACTGAAGAGGCAGAGGTTGCAGTGAGCCGAGATCATGCCACTCCAGCCTGGCAACAGAGTGAGACTTCATCTCAAAAAAAAAAAAAAAAAAAAAAAAAAAAAAGCTCTTTTGACTTGTCCAACTAAAGCCCCCACTAAAAGGGAGAGAACAGCTGCAGCTTTCACCTAAACTCCCCTCAGTCTTCACTTCTGTGTGTCACCTGCTTCTGGCTTATGCAGTGACTGGAATTTTTGGTTATATTTGTTTTGGAAAGTAAAATGTAAATTCAGCCAGACTCTTGATAATTCCAGTAGTTATTCAACAGTGATCAGTGCGTTTTGACTACAGATTCACTGGTCTCAAGAGTCAGTTGCCCTTCCTCTGTGCCACAATTAAGTCCTTGTCTATGTCTGTCACAAGTGGGGTGGAGGATGGGGTAGAAGGGGAGGGATATTGTTATAATTGCCTCCCTTGCCACCATCAGCACTTCTCACCTGTCCTTGTGAACCACCAGTTTACACTTATAGAATCTAGTTTTGCATCAGCAATTGAGGTCACTTCGCCTTGGAGCCACTGCATCAATCTGAAAGTCTCCATGAGCCACAAGACAGTTGTGATGGTCTGGATGGCAGCCTGCAAATGAGCAGTTACACTCTCTAGAATTCCTAGACTATTAGGGCTGAAGGGACCTTGGATATTAACAGGTTCAAGTCCATTTCACCCAGATGATGAAACTGATGCCCAGACACCTACAGAATCTTGTTTTAGATCACTTGTTGACTTCTAGTTCTATTTTTTGACACCTAGTGTCCAGTGTGCTTTACACTTCAGGCCACTGTGGTCTCAAATAGAGCTAGGAACCAGGTGTGGTGGCACACGCCTGTAGTCCCAGCTAGTTGGGAGGCTGAGGCAGGAGGACTGCTTAAGCCCAACAGTTCAAGGCTGCAGTGAGCTAAGATTGCACCACTGCACTCCATCCTGGGCAACAGATAGAGACTGTCTTAAAAAACCCCCAAAATCAAATAGAGCTGGGGCTAAACATTTAATAAACTCCAGCCTCTGGAGTCCAAGAGATCTGCATTTGAATCCTGACTTTGCCACTGATTGGCAATAAGACCTTGGGTACGTTACTTAACCATTAACATACCCACTAAGTCACCCAATAAGCTTCCAGAACTTGGCCTAATCCCTGGGGAGGGGACCGCAGGAAGAACTAGGGTAATTTTTCTTTTATAACCAGTTCACCAGAGGGGGCCAGGGAAGGGTGGTCGTATGTAGCCCAGAGGAGTCAGAAATTCACCTGAAATCCAGAAAAGAGGCATTTTTCTTGCACACCAGAGCTCACGGGCTGACATTCTCACACTGGACATCCCAGTAAGCCTCCTGCTCCGCGATCCCCAAGGCCATCAGCCTTGCCTGACCTCCAAACGTTTCCCCCTTCTTGTGCCGGCTTAATTTTCCAGGGCTTTCCCCCTTTCTATTCGTCTCCTATCAGGTTCCCGGTCCGAAGGCTAGGACGCCCCACGTCGCAGCCAGGAGCAGAGGCGCCCAAGGTGGCGGTACAAGCCGTCTTCAGGCCTGTGGCCCCACTGATGGCAGAAACAGGAAGCGGGGACAGCCCCAGTCCCGGACCTCAGGCCAAGCAAGGCTCTAGAAAGGTCCCTGACGCTTGCCGGGCGCGGTGGCTCATGCCTGTAATCTCAGCACTTTGGGAGGCCGAGGTGGGTGGATCACGAAGTCAGGAGATCGAGACCATCCTGGCTAACACGGTGAAACCCCGTCTCTACTAAAAATACACAAAATTAGCCGGGCGTGGTGGCGGGCGCCTGTAGTCCCAGCTACTCGGGAGGCTGAGGCAGGAGAATGGCGTGAACCTGGGAGGCGGAAATTGCAGTGAGCCGAGATCGCGCCACTACACTCCAGCCTGGGCGACAGAACGAGACTCCGTCTCAAAAAAAGAAAAAAAAAAAAAGAAGAAGAAAGGTCCCTGACGCTTCCCTGCCCTCCCCGGAGCCGGCGCTCTAGCGCCCCCGGGATCGACGGTCAGCACAGCGAAGGAACGCGCTACCTGTGGCCGAAGGTATAGCGCCGCTGCGGGCCCTGTGAGAGCTGAGAAGACGACGGCGGCCGAGGAGGCCCAATTCCGAGGCTCGGCCCCGTCAGGGTCCGCGCTGGCGGTGTGCGCGTGTACGTGCGCTCGTGCACGTGCATGTGTGTGCGCGCGCCCTAACAGACCTGCTCCGAAGCGTCTCCGCTGACTGCCAGTCGGTAGCGCGACTGGCTGCGGGGCCCACGTGCCACGCAGACGCCCCCCGGCGCGTCCCGCTCTTGCTCTGCGGCCCAACGAGCGCGTTCCTGCCGCGGGACAGCCTTGCAGAGAAACGCGGTCTTACACACGCACTGGCCTCCCGGTCTGGGTTTTTAACTGCTCAAAGCTCCACGCGCCCTGGCGTCTCCACACGGCACTCCAGATGTGTCAGATTTCCAGAAATGTTTTGATCGCTTGCTTTCACTTCTCTTTTTAAGATCTGTTTTTGAACTTTTCCTCTGCGTTGTGTGTATCATGACTCTGACACGTTTTAGGGCCGCGAGGCGGGTGATGAAGCTTTGACATGGGCGCCTTGGTGAATGACCTGAATTCTTACTCCCGAGTAAATCGTCTGACTGGCTTCCCTATCGCATTTTAGGGTTAAAACATACATTTTGTGTTTGTTTCATATCTATGTTTATGTAGACTGCAAGTTTCATAAGGGCACGGGGTGGGAGGGGCTATGGCTCTTTTGCCTCTTACTGTATTTTCAGAACCTAGCAGAAGCTAGGACATAGTGTGTGTTCTCTAAATAGATATTGAATGTGAGGGAGGAAGGAACTTTCCAGAAGTGTGACCTTTGGTTTTGGAAAGGCACAAGGTTCGTAGTTAGGCGTAGAGAACACAAGTTTAGAATCATGGCCTCTACACTTCTGTTGACAATGCATTACTTTAAGTAACAACTTTTTTTTGAGACAGGGTTTCGCTCGTTTTGCCCAGGCTGGAGTGCAGTGGCACGATCTCGGCTCACTGCAACCTCCGCCTCCCGGGTTCAAGCGATTCTCCTGCCTCAGCCTCCCAAGTAGCTGTGATAACAGGCGCCTGCCACCACGCCAGGCTAATTTTTTGTATTTTTAGTAGAGACGGGGTTTCACCATGTTGGCCAGGATAGTCTCGATCTCTTGACCTCGTGATCCGCCCACCTCGGCCTCCCAAAGTGCTGGGATTACAGGCGTGAGCCACTGTGCCCAGCCAAGTAACAACTTTTTTTAAAAAAAATGCACTTCAAATGTATATGTATATGTATTTATTTATAAGTTATAAAAATGTAATGCATGCTCATATATATATTTATGTATTATTACAAAGAGCACACCAAATAGAAATTTTAAAAAGCTAAAATAAAAATAATACCTTGGTCGGGGATGATGGCTCATGCCTGTAACTCCAGCACTTTTGGAGGCCGAGGCGGTCAGATAGCTTGAGCCCATTAGTTCGAGACCAGCGTGGGCAGCATAGTGAGATCCCATCTGTACAAAAAATAATTTGAAAAAATTAGCCGGGCATGGTGGTGTGCGCCTGTTGTCCCAGCTGCTTGGGAGGCTGAGGTGGGAGAATGGCTTGATCCTGGGAAGTTGAGGCTGCAATGAACCGTGTTTGTGCCACTTCACTACAGCTTGGGGTGGCTGAGTGAAATCCTGTCTTAATAGTCAATCAATCAATCAATCAATAAAATGATAACAATACCTACAAGTTCTAAAATAATTTCCTGCAGCGCACTTTGGAGCTCACTAGGTAGACAGTTTGTAGGGAGAGGGCTGCCCTCTACTGGTGGAGGGCAGCTAAGGACATTTGCTTTGGATCGCCTGCCTTCTGCAGGAGTCCACAGATTTATCCTTTGTGGCCTGCACAGTGTGTATGCTTAGCATTCAATCTACGTTATTTTCACTCATAGAAAATGTAAGGTGAGGCATTGTTTTAAGCCAGAACAGCTTTAAAAGGCAGAGATACTCGTATTGTGCAGTCATTATGGACCAGGAAACGTTGAAACATCTGCGAGTAGAAGTGACTCAAAACTGAATGTTCGTCTCTGTAACATCATGGCCAATACTCAATAAAGGGGAAACAATTAGATAATCTGTTCTCATATGTCAAGTCTTACAAATCTTTTTACTTTGAAGACAACTAAATTATACTGTTGTAGTTTTGATAGCAGAATATGCCCTGCTGATTTTTAAGCCTTAGAGACTTCTAGAGCAAAAAGCATAAAACAGATTTTTATACAACAACATGTCTTTTTCACTTGAGAGTTCAGTGTTCGAAGACTTTTAAAGTGCCTTTATGCAGAGGCTAAACTGAGGGAGACTGATTAGAATATAATTTGAGGCGGCCGGGCGCGGTGGCTCACGCCCGTAATCCCAGCACTTTGGGAGGCCGAGACGGGCGAATCACGAGGTCAGGAGATCGAGACCATCCTGGCTAACAGGGTGGAACCCCGTCTCTGCTAAAAATACAAAACATTAGCCTGGCGTGGTGGGTGGCGGGCACCTGTAGCCCCAGCTACTCGGGAGGCTGAGGCAGGAGAATGGCGTGAACCTAAGGAGACGGAGCTTGCAGTGAGCCGAGATCGTGTCACTGCACTCCAGCCTGAGCAACAGAGCGAGACTCTGTCTCAAAAAAAAAAAAAAAAAAAAAAAAAATATATATATATATATATATATATATATTTTATTTATCTGCTGGTGGAGGGCAGCTCCACCAGTATGTATATATATGAATAATTATAAAAAAATAAATATTGTATATATTACATATATAAATAAGTATAAAAAAACCTATATTTTATATATATAAAAATATATAAATAATTCGAGGAATATATTGTAGATTTTTTATGAATTTTCAAGCAAAGTAATCTATACTTTCTGTGAGAATATGAGTGAAAAGTATAGCACAGAATGCAGTTAACCATGAAATTGTTTGCTAAGCTGCGAATTGTATATATAAATAATTCAGTTGCTATTCTGTATTAGTCCAAAACTATTTTTTACTGCATGGCTAACATTCCATTTTACCTTCTCAGTTTCACTTCTGCAAAAAGTAATATGTTTCAGAATCTGTTTAAGCTGCTCCTACCTTCAAGTTGCTCACAATCTACTATGGATATACGCAGGGAGGCAAATGATCATAAGTGAATTAGAGTCCTGATCCCCATCCTATCTCACAAATAAAACACCTACCAGCAAATATACACAGATGCCCAAAGTGTCTAGGCAGAGTGGGGAAAGAAAGGAAGGAAGAAAAAGTAGAATTGCTTTACATGTCTCATTGATTTTGAGCTCCTCACATTGGCGCTTCTAAATTGTGAGGCTTCCTTCACAATTTATTGTATTTCTCTGTAATGTCATGGTCAATACTCTATAAAGGGAAAACAATTAGTGAATCTGTTCTCGTGTGTCAAGTTTTACAAGTTTTTCCCATTTGAAAGCAAACTGAATGATACTATTGTAGTTTTGCTGATTTTTAAGCCTCAAATACTTTTAGAGCAAAAGCATATAACAGATTTCTATAGAACAGCATGTCTTTTTGACTTGAATAGTTCAGTGTTCAAACACATTTTAAAGTGCCTTTCAGCAGAGGCTAAACTGGGGGAAAGGCTGTACTTGGCTCAAAAACAAATGTCAGGAAAGAAAATTATGCAGCAGCATAAAATCCAGCCACAGTATCCAAAGGGTACAAATCTCCCAGAATTCTTACCTCAAAGCCCGCATGCTAACTCAATGTTCCCAGCCATTTGGCTACTCAAGGTCACCAAAGAAATTCTTTTTTCAAATCTGTTAATAGGTTCTGTGGGATACCAAGTTGTGTATGGTAATCAGAATTTCTGAAAATAACAGATTTTCTTTTTTTTCTTGAGACAGGGTCTCACTCTGTTACCCAAATTGGCCTGCAGTGGCATGATCATGGCTCATTGTGGCCTTGATCTCCCAGGCTCAAGCAATCCTCCTACCTTAGCCTCCTGAGTAGCTGGGACTACAGGTGTGTGCCACCATGCCCAGCTAATTTTTTGTAGCAATGTGGTTTCTCTCTGTTGCTCAGGCTGGTCTTGAACTCCTGGGCTGAAGCAATCGGCCCACCTCTGTCTCCCAAAGTGCTGGGATTACAGGCATAAGCCCGCATGCCCAGCCACAGATTCTTTGTTAATTACAAATGGAAAAATACCATTTACAATGAAGAAATTTGGAAAACACTATTTTAATTAGATGATCAATTTATCATCAATAAAATGACACACTGATATTTTATAACCCCTGATGTGATTCATTGAGGAGGGCATTCTGTCCTATGTAACATTTTTGCCAAATTTAATTTGAGGAAGCAAAGAGACAAACCTAAATAAGGGACATTCTTTAAATCGATGGGTCTGAACTCTTCAAAAATGTCTAGAAATAAGAATAAAAATAGACATGAGAATGATCGTGAAACACCACATTTCAATCCATGCTATTTGCTTTATGTAATAATGTTTTATTGTAAGTGTGATAATTTGTTAATCATTAAAGTATTTTGTGTGTCCTCTCTCCACACCTGCTTAAAGCATTTTTGAAAACTTCTGGAGATACGTGTTTTCAATTAAATTATCAGAAGAGTTTTATAAAATAAGCCTTAAAAAAGGTCAATGTCATGAAGATTTTTTTAGAAATATGGAGGAACTATTTGTTCCAGATTAAAGAAGGCTAGCTGTTTGATCCTTGATTAGATCCTGGGTCAAGAAATAAAAACAACTCAAAAGATGTGATTGAGAATTGAAGAGAAATGACTTCAGCAAGATGGTGGATGAGGAGGCACCAGCTCTTGTCCTGCAAAAACGGCAATTTATCTACCAAGGAAAATAGTTCTGAGAGTGCTCCAGAGTATAATTAAGAACCTGTAGCATCCCACTGGAGCACAAAAACTGAAGATGGTTGCATAGAAAAGCATTGGAGCATTTTATCTGCATCACTCTAACCACTGCTTGATGCCAAGAGGAATCCCCTTGGTCTTGACCTCCCCTCCTTCTGTGGGCAGGGGTCCAAGATACAGAGACATACCTACCAATGGTATAGCTTGGTTTACTGACAGCTCTGAAACTGAATGCAGGCAGAGTCCACTGGGTTGACCATCTTTTGACTGAGACTGGACGTGGACATTTCCACCCAATGGGTTACACTACCTGCAGTGGTTATGGCTGTGCAGGCCACCCCTGACATCACCTCTTGCTACATTTTCACGGTTTCACAGGCTGTTGCCAACAGCCTAGGCATTTGGTCAGGAGAATGCCAACTGAGTGACTAGATTCTTCAAGGACAAGACAGACGCCTGATCGGCCTCTGCCTGCCTATGGCATCCCAATCTTGGTGTTCCCAACCATTCTTTTTCCTTTCTTCCTTTAGAGTGCACATCCTGGAGGTGCTCTGCAGTTCAGGCCATTGTAGTACCCCAGGCAGAGCCCCCGACTCTAATCTGGAAGCCATGCTTTCCCTGGTGCTGCTTTTCCTGGGTGCACAGGGGCGGGGAATGGAACCAAGGAGTACCTGGATCTAGTCCGGTGCCTTGTCAAGTACAGGATGTGACCCCCCTTCCTAGACTGGAAGGCTGATGGAGGAAGGTCTAGGTTAAGAAGCAGGGCAGCAGGAGCTGCAGAGGTAGTAACCTCAGGACTGGACAAACAGACTGGGTTACAATACCTGGACAGCCAGCACCCCAAGTGATAGACAAGAACATCTCCGACTACAGGAAGTGCAGGAAGCAGGCAAGGGTTGGGGAAACTAGCCTCTCCCCTTCGGGTTCCTTTAGAATACCCAGTGGGCCCTGGACTGACAACACATTGGTGAATATTGGCACAGCAGTGGCAGCAGGTGGTGACTGGACGCTTTGCAGGATCTGCCACCCAGATATTTGGAGCATTTCCTCCCAAATGCCAATAGTCCATGTGTGGCCTATTGCCAATCTGATGGACGTCCCAATAGCCATCAATGGTTCTAATCAGGGAAAGACACCTTAAATGTGGGTTGTCTGGAATACGGACATAAAGTCAGAGACAGACTTTAAACATCAGCAATGGTATGGCAAGGTCCACAGATTCTGCAAATTTATCCTGCTACTTAACTCATGGCTAAACCAGTCACAGGCTGTGTACAATGGGATCAGAGACTTTTATATCAACTGCTCTCTGACCAGAGTGACATGTGGTTCCCTGGGTTATATGTTCCTTTGAGGGGTCTCCTGGGCTGCAGAGTACCTGTCACCCTCAAATGGGGCCTGCTGTTTTGGAATTTTGGGTTTTCAACTGTTTGTGAAAGGTGACCCTCTAAACTGGAAAGGCCCCACACTCTTGACATGTTGCAGGGTTGCTTGAGACACCCTAGTAGGAAGACAAACAGACAGCTGGTTCCACTCTGCTGACCATGTCCTCATACCCAGCATAGGTGTACATGCTCTGGAAAAAAGAATAGTACATGACTGTCTTTGATTGTGGTAGAGATAGCTCACACTACAGCTGGAGCTATTTGGGGCCAACAGGGTCACTGGGCTCACTAGCCAAGATGGCGATGGATAACTGGATATAGCCCTTGATTATCTGGGGGTAGAACAGGGTGTCATTTGGGTTACTGCCAATGGCTCCTGCTGTACCTGGATAAACACCTCAGGCTTATAGGGACACAAGCGGAAGAGGCCCAGAAGCAGGGTCGCTGGCTGCAGACAGCAGAGCCACCTGAGGATCCTTCTTTGATTCTTTAGCAACTTCTTGCCTTGACTGCTGGGATCCTGGACTAGACTCTGCTTCAGGCCAGCCTGGATGTCCTGCTTGTGGTAGTCGTCCTCCTGGGCCTAGTGAAGTGTATTCTGGTGAAAGTTCAATGATGTTGCCCTGAGATCGTGTCAGTCAACGTGCTACATCTATACATCTATCTTAAGAGACAAACCTCTGCCTCTGGATCCAAGGAGGTCGCTGGGTGTGTGAGGTGGACTGGCCTTGCTAAGGGGGTACCTGGTTTGGGGGAATGCATTGCAGGAGGACAGGACCCTGAATGGTCTTGGCAGACATAGCACTTCTCCTTCCCACTTACAGTTCTCATAAGAATAGAATGTGCTGAGAATGCAGAGCCGTGAGATAAGAAGGAACTGTTCAGAATAGCCTGGGCTTTGTCCTTGTCCCTCCCAGAACAGGAGGTCCTGCAATGCTTGTACTCAGTGATCCCAAATGCCCCTGGGATACAGAACCCAGAGTGGAGTGCTTTTGGGGTCTCTCAGCTACAGTGTGAAGTGAGGTACAGGCAGATGAGACTCCATTCACTCCATGCAGCTCTCCTGATCCTTGGGAGACTGGCTTGCCATGGATTCTAGGCTTCTGTTGATTCTTGCTGTCTATCTGTGGGTAATACATTTTCTTTGCCTGACTTGTTATGCGAGTGTCTGTCTCGTCGACTAGATCTAAGAATGCAAATTGTACAGGTATGACTGCTATGGCAGCTAGATCTGCTCTGAGCCCCTGCCAGAGTCAAGAACCCTTACAGAACTCTGGCAGCTGGGTTTGTGCAAAACCTCCTGCCAGACTAGGAACTTTAGCAGAAACTGGCAAGGTGTTTAGAGTCCTCCTCTGGGATTGATAACTGGTGCACAGTGTTCTTCTCCTAGGAATTAACACCAGTGCACAGCATTTCTGCTTAACAATATATACAATGAAATATTATTTAGTCTTAACAAAGAAGGTAAGCTTGTCCTTTGCGACAACATGGATGAATCTGGAGGACATTATACTAAGTGAAATAAGTCAGACACAGAAAAACAAACACTGCATGATCTCACTTATATGTGGGATCTAAAATAGTCAAAACTCATAGAAGCAGACAGTAGAATGCTGGCTGCCAGGTGCTCAGGGGAGGGGAAAATGGGGAGATATTGGTCAAGGGGTCCAAGTTTTGGTTATGCAAATGAATAAATTCTGGAGATCTAATATACATCTGATGACTGTAGTTAACAATACAATATTATATAGTTGAAATCTGCTGAGGATAGATCTTAAGCTTTCTCACCACACACACACACACACACACACACACACACACACACACACACACACACACGGACCAGGCAGACACCTGGTCCGCCAAGGGGGAAGAAAAGAAAATGGTCTGAATGTTTTTGGGTGCCCTCCCCCACCCCCGCCCACATTCACATGTTGAAATGCTAATCCCCCAGATGATGGTATTAGGACGTGGGGCCTTTGGGAGGTGTTTAGGTCATGGGGATAGAGCCCTCATGAATGGGACTAATGCCCTCATAAAAGAGGCCCCAGAGAGACCCCTCTCCCGTTTCACCACATGAGGACACAGTGAGAAGGCACCATCTCTGAACAAGAAAGTAAGCCCTCCCAAGACACTGACTGCTGGGATCTTGATGGGCTTCTTAGCCTTCAGAACTGTGAGAAACAAATTTCTGTTGCATATTAGCTACTCAATTAAGGGATTTTATTTAATTTTATTTTTTGAGGTGGAGTCTCTCTCTGTTGCCCAGGCTGGAGTGCAGTGGTGTGATCTTGTCTCACTGCAACCTCTGCCTCCCAGGTTCAAGCGATTCTCCCACCTCAGCCTCCTGAGTAGCTGGGATTACAGGTGCCTGCCACCATGCCTGGCTAAATTTTTTTGTATTTTTAGTAGAGATGGGGTTTCACCATGTTGGCCAGGCTGGTCTCAAACTCCTGACCTCAGGTGGTTTGCCCACCTTGGCCTCCCAAAGTGCTGGGATTACAGACATGAGCCACTGCACCCAGTTGACAGTAGTGTTTTTAAGCAGAGTGACACATCATATTTGTGTTTTAGAAAGAAATAACATGGTGGAGTAGGGCATAGCTAGAGCTGGGAGGCTCTTGCACCAATGCAGCTGAGAAATGCAAGCTAGTGGCTTGCCGTAGCCTTTTGGCAGAGATGGTAGATAGGAAAATATTTAGGAGGAAATCGTTTATCAATTGGATGTGGAGGGTAAGCTGAAGGGTGGTACTTAGGTTTCTGGCTAGAACAAGAGGATAGGTTGTGAAGCCTTTTCTTGAGATACAGGAAATGTAAGGTGGAAGAGGTTTGGGTGAGTTGGGTTTTGGGCATATACTGTCAGGGCCACTCTCATGGTTATGGTTATCACCTGTGTGTTGAATTATAGATAGGCTCTCCCACTGAGTGCTTAACATTAGAAGAGAAAGAAACCAAGACAGAACTCTGACTGATGGACAGTGACATGTTAGAGAAGGGCAGAGGAAGAGGATGCTGCCAGGAGGTAACGAGAGAGTCTATGAAGAATCCACTAGATCTGTTGACAACCAGGATATTGGTGACCTTGGCAAAGTGGTCTCTATGGAGTTGTGGCAGCCAGTTTCTACTGAGTTGAGGAGTGAATGGGAGTCAATGAAGTAGAGTCGCTGGTATAGACACTGCTTCCAGGAGGTTTGTCTTTCTCTCACTTTCCTAGGGCTTCCACAAACTGCTGGCTTAAACCATCATAGATGTGTTCTCTCACAGGTCTGAAACTAGAAGTTCAAGATTAAGGTGTCAGAGGTTCATTCTCCCTCTGAGACTCTGGACAGAAACCTACCTTGCCTTTTCCTAGCTCTGGTGGTCCCCGCCGATCTTTCCTTCTTGGCTTGTAGACCCATCAGTCTAATATCTGTTGCTGTCATCATTTGGCATTCTCCACTTTGTGTCTCTGTCTTCACCTGGCATATTCTTTTGTTTGTATGTTAGTTTGTTTTTTTGAGACCGAGTCTCACTCTGTCTCCCAGGCTGGAGTGCAATCGCGCCACCTCGGCTCACTGCAACCACTGCCTCCTGGGTTCAAGTGATTCTCCTGCCTCAGCCTCCTGAGTAGCTGGGATTACAGGCATGTGCCATCACACTTGGCTAATTTTTGTATTTTTAGTAGATTCACAGGTTTCACCATCCTGCTCAGGCTGGTCTTGAACTCCTGACCTCAGGTGTTCCACCTGCCTCGGCCTCCCAAAGTGCTGGGATGACAGGCGTGAGCCACTGTGCCCAGCCTGCATTTTCCTCTTCTTTTAAGGACACCATTCTTATTAGATTAGGGCCAACCCTAAACATCTCGACTTGAATACATTGGCAGAGACCCTATTTTCAAATAAAGTCACATTCACAGGTACTAGGGGTCAGGATGTCAACATATCTTTTTGAAGGACACAATTCAATCCCCCAAAAAGTCTTTAAAGACGAGACTGGGAGCTGGGTGGAGTGGCTCATGCCTGTAATCCAATGACTTTGGAAGGTCGAGGTGGGAGGATCGCTTGAGCTCAGGAGTTCAAGGATACAGTGAGCTATGATTGTGCCATTGCACTCCAGCCTGGGTGACAGAGCAAGACCCTGTCTCTCTCTCTAAAAAAAAGAGAAGAGACTGGGAAGAGTATGCTTAAAGCAAAAGGAAAAGTACAGTTAGAGAAGACTGAAGACAAATTCCCTGACATAACAATGGCCAGTTTTGACTAGGAAGGGCGAATTTCAGTTCAGAGAGTTTACCAGCCAACCCCTCTGTCCTCCTTCATTCCTCTTCATTAGTTCACATCAGGCCTCACGCCTTAGACAACCACCATGGCCTATTTAGCAGATTTAACTCCTCTTAGAGCTTTCTACAAGATTTACTTGTAAAGAGTTGATGTGGACAACTCTGTGTCCTGAGGTAGCACCAGAGCAAGTTCACTCCTGGCTTTCCCTGGAATGTGAGAGTGCTGTGTTCCAATCTCCTCCACCCCCTGCTTGTTTTTTTGGTCAAACATACTGATACTACATTTTAAGAATTATGAATTCCAAATAAATGTGAAAGAATCATAAAAAAATCAGGCATTTCTGTTGTTTTCCATGTGCATTTTCAAATCGGAAATTGTCTTGCATCTTGCTATGACTTGGAAGTGCACACTTGCGTAGGAGGAGGTCACTAGGAAGCTGAGGGGAAGGTAGATTATTTCCTGTTACTCTCTCACTCCCTCTTGGATCCCTGTCCTGGTTTTCCCCCACTCCCAGGTTTTCATCACTTTCAGGCAGCTCTTGGCCTGCACCACGGTGCCTCTGCAATCAATTGCTTAGTGTTTGGGGAACTGCGATGGTAACCAGGACGCCAAAGACAGGTAGGACAAGCTTTACCTTAGGAAGTGCAATCAGGTGAGCACTAAGGCTATCCTGCAGGTACCCAGTAGGTCATCTGAGAGGAGACAAGGAGATGGTGAGTGTGCCTGGGGTCATGGGGGCTGGAGAGGAAAGTTTCTTACTCTTCGCGTCAGGTGTCCTCTCAAAAATCACCTGAGGCTGGGTGCAGTGGCTCACGCCTGTAATCCCAGCACTTTGGGGGCCCGAGGCAGGCAGATCACATGAGGCCAGGAGTTTGAGACCAGCCTGGCCAACATGGCCAAACCCCGTCTCTACTAAATCTACAAAAATTAGCCAGGCATGGTGGTGTGCACCTGTAGTCCCAGCTACTCGGGGGGCTGAGGCAAGAGAATTGCTTGAACCTGGGAGGTGGAGGTTGCAGTGAGCCGAGATCACGCCATTGCACTCCAGCCTGGGTGACAGAGCGAGACTCTGTCTCAAGAAAATAAAAAGGCACCGGACGCCAATGGGGAGCATCTTGGTTAATAGTGAACTCCTCAACTGCTGAGGCATCAAGAGGCACCTGATTGTGTCCCCTTCCAAATTCATACAGTGAACCACTAACCCCCAGTGACTCTGGAAATAGGGCCTTTAAAGAGGTGATTAAGTTCAACCGAGGCCGTTAGAGTGGGCCCCAATCCACTCTGACTGGTGAGTGAGTGAGTGTAGGGACGGCAAGCCTGGCAGCCTGTCCCAGAAGCACGGTGTGGAGGGGAGGGACAGCATGGAGCCCTCAACTGCCAGGATTTTACAAGGCGGGCTGGGGAGGTCCTCTCATTCCAGGGGCTGCAATCTGGGATTGGGACCGTTTGTGCCGAGTGGCAACATTCAGGATATTAGCCTTAAAAGACAGTTTTCTAGTCAAAAGTGGTCTCCCCAGCCTAAGGGGGTGAGTAACTTTGTTTCAATATTTTGGGGTTTGTTTTCTTTTTTTTGAGTCTCCGCCTCCCGGATTCAAGTGATTCTCCTGCCTCAGCCTCTGGGCCTCTGAGTAGCTGGGATTACAGGCACCTGCCACCACGCTCAGCTAATTTTTTTTTTGTATTTTTAGTAGAGATGGGGTTGCACCATGTTGGCCAGGCTGGTCTCGAACTCCTGACCTCAAGTGATCCACCTGCTTTGGCCTCCCAAAGTGCTGGGATTACAGGTGTGAGCCACCGTGCCCAGCCTATTTCAGTTTGCTGTCCCTTTACGTATTGCAGCTGCCCCACTACAGTTACAATAACCGAACTCCAGCATATTCTAAAAGTCCTGGCTTGCTTAGCCAGTCCTCCTCTTTCATTCCAGACTCTTGCCCTCGAAATCCTGTGAGACAGGCACCGAGAGGATGAAATCAGTGGCCTGAGTCCTAAATGGCCAGAGAAACAATAAATTGAAATAGGAAGTTCATATGTAATTTACCTGCTGCTTAAAAGTGTTCTAGCAGTTGGGACTGTCACTGGTGGATGGCAGTGAGCCTATGTGATGTGTGTAAGTGTGTACATGGAATTCAACAAACACTCATATTCTCACCATTAAGAATAAACAACTTTTAACATTTTGTTATATTTGCTTTCAGAATTTTTTCTTTGCTTTTTTTTTTTTTTTTGAGACGGAGTCTCGCTCTGTTGCCAGGCTGGAGTACAGTGGCGCCATCCTGGCTCACTGCAACCTCTGACTCCCCAGTTCAAGTGATTCTCCTGCCTCAGCCTCCCGAGTAGCTAGGATTACAGGCATACACCACCACATCCAGCTAATTTCTGTATTTTTAGTAGAGCCGGGGTTTCACCATGTTGGCCAGGATGGTCTCGATCTCCTGACCTTGTGATCTGCCTGCCTTGGCCTCCCAAATGCTTTTTTTTTTTCCAAAGAAATAAATCACTGGAGATAAAGCAAAGCAAAAATCACTTTTATTATGTCCAGCTCCTTCCTTCTGCCCCCAACCCCTGCAAGTACTAATATGAATGTGTTGTGCATGATTTTCATCTGTTTTTTAGGCCTGAAATTTTATTTATATCTATCTATCCATAAGCAAAATATGAAATTGTAGGGCTTTTTAAACATTTACAAAAATGACTCAATAGAGTACATATGTCTATCATTTTCACATCACTCTTAGGTTTTTGAGATCTATTGATCTGTCTTTCTATCTATTTATTGATAGTCACTCCTTTTAATGTCTCTACAGTATTTCACTATATGATTTTATGTGGGTTTTATTTAACTGTTTCTCTGTTGATGAATATTTAGGTTTTCCCACTTCTTCACTGTTACAAGCACGGCTGAAATGCATATCTTTGTTCGTAACTTCTTGCATACATGTATGAGTTTTTTAAAGCTATAGCTTACAGTGGAGGTACTGAACTGTGGGGCATGCACAGCCTAAACTTGCTCTCTCTACAATGGTTGTATCCGTTTATACTCTTATGTGTACTCTGCCGGTTTCTACCTCACCGTGGTCTTGCCAATCTTTGGCATTGTCCTCGTCTTTAATTTTTAGTTTGAGCTTCACTGAGTTTGTGCATGTTCTCATATAATTATGATCCACCTGGCTTTTCTCCTTCTCTAAATTACCCATTCATATCTTTTGTTGATATATTTTGCTCATGTTTCTATTTTTTTTTAGTAATTTCTAGGAGTTTTTTACATAGTCTGGGTAGAAAACCTTTCTCCATTTTCACATTATATACATTATATACAGTAAAGATATATTCTAGGCCGGGTGCGGTGGCTCACGCCTGTAATCCCAGCACTTTGGGAGGCCGAGGTGGGCGGATCACGAGGTCAGGAGATCGAGACCATCCTGGCTAACATAGTGAAACCTTATCTGTACTAAAAATACAGAAAATTAGCCGGGCATGGTGGCGGGCACCTGTAGTGCCAGCTACTCGGGAGGCTGAGGCAGGACAATGGCGTGAACCCGGCAGGCAGAGCTTTCCGTGGGCCCAGATCGCGCCACTGCACTCCAGCCTGGGCGACAGAGCAAGATTCCATCTCAAAAAAAAAAAAAAAGATATATTCTAGAAGTATGTGGCTTGCTTTTAAAATTTATCTTGCTGTTTTAATGCACAGAAGTTTTAATGAAGTCAGATTAATTAGTATTTTCCTTCATGGTTTGTGTTTTTTCACCATTTTTGAAGAAATTGTTCCTTTATCCTGATGTTAAGATGTCACCAATGTTTTCTTTTGAATTTTTAAAGTTTTGCTTTTCCTATTTAGACCTTTAGCGTATCTGGGATGTATTTTTGTGAGTAGTGGAAGATGGAGATCTGTATTTTTTTCCATAGTGCTAACCAGCTGTTCCAGCATCGGTTACGGAATGGTCCATTCTTTTCCCAATGACCTGCCATGGCATTCATCACTTACCAGGCTGCGTATGTAGATTATATATGCTCACTTTCCCTTGGTGTATTTTTCTGTCCCTAGTCACTGTTTAATTTTAACATGTTATAATATCAGTTATATATCTTATTGTGGTAAAAGACATTACATAAAATTTCCCATTTTAATCATTTTAAAATATACTATTTAGTGGCATTAAGTGTCATTCACAAAGTTATGCAACTATTACTTATCACCGTTATTTCAAAAACCATTTCATCATCCCAAACAGAAACTTTGCACCCATTAAACAGTAACTCTTCTTTACCCCCTTCCCCTAGCCCCGATAACTTCTATTATTCTACTTTTTCTGTCTCTATGAATTTGACTAGTCTAAGTACTCCATATAAGTAGAATCATATAAACATATAAAATTTCACCTTTTGTGTCTGGCTTATTTCACCAAGCATAACGTCTTGAAGTTTCATCCATGTTGTAGCATGTGTAGGAATTTCATTCCTTTTTAAGACTGAATCATATCTCATTGTATTTTTGTACCACATTTCATCCATTCATCTGCTGATGGACATTCAGATTGCTTCTAACTCTTGGCTATTGTGGATAATGCTGCTATGAACACTTTGTGCAAGTACCTGTTTGAATCCCTGCTTTTAATTCTTTTGGCTATATACCTAGAAGTGAAATTGATGGATAACATGATAATTCTATGTCTAACTTTTTGAGGAATGACCATATTGTTTTACACAGAAGCTGCACTATTTTACGTTCCCACCAATGCACAATGCTTTCAATTTCTCCATATCTTAATGAACACTTGCTATTTTCTGTTATTATTATTTTTATAATAGCCACCTTAATAGGTGTGAAGTGTTATTTTACTGTGGTTTTGATTTGCGCTTCCCTAATGACTACTGATGTTGAGGATCTTTCCATGTGCTCATTGACCATTTATTTGTATATATGCTTTTGAGAAATGTCTATTCAAGTCGTTTCCCCATTTTTGAATTGGATTGTTTAGCTGTAGGAGATTTTAATATATTATAGAAATTAAGCTCTTATCAGATACATAATTTGCAAATATTTTCTCCCATTCTGTTGTCTTTCCATTTTCTTGATAGAATCCTTGATGCACCAAAGTTTTTAATTTTGATGAAGTCCTGTGTATCTATTTTCTCTTGTTGCCTGTGCTTTTGGTGTCATATGCAAGAAATCGTTGCCAAACCCAATGTCATGAAGATTTTCCCCTATGTCTTCCAATACTTTGATAGTCTTTGCTTTTAGGTTTAGGTCTTTGATTTGTTATGAGTTATTTTTTGTAGATGATGTAAGGTAAGGATCAAACTGTATTCTTTTGCATGTGAATATACAATTTTCCCACACTACTTACAAGTGTGGCTCCAATATTCCCTTTCTCCAACCTTTGTAAGTTAATTCAGTTGGTTTGTGATTAAGAATCATACAATTTTTTATTATTTTAAAAATCTAATAACTTTACCAAGAAGTGTTTAGGGAGGTACTTAGTGTGTGAGCTAGGATATTAGCTTAGGTTTAGACCTTTCAACTGGGAACATTTGGTTACCAGCAACTTTCCCTCTGGGAGCAAGAGGTCAGCTGACTTCATGAGATAATTTTCAAGATCACACTAAGATGATCTGGGCTTTATTTATTTTCAGCAGCAGCTGCTTAGCTAACTGTTACCCATCTTTTGTTCCTCCATCTTCACGCATGGATAGTTAGTAAAATGCGTAAAGAGAAATAGCTGCACAAAACGGAAATGATGGCAGGAAAATTCCTTCACCCAAGGATTTGAACATTTATACTGATCTTGGACTATAGGACCGTCAACGAGTCAGGGGAAATTCTTCGGTAACAAAGTGCTTTTGAATTCTTCACCTATTAAATCTGGATTTTGCTTTTGATTAAATTTTGGCTTGATAATAGTTAGGATCTTGACTCTTCAAAGCTTTTTTTTTTTTTGTAAAATCCAGCATTTTAAGGTGTTTCAACAGGAAGTTTGCTCCCAATCAGATGGCCCACCATTATCTAAAGCCTTATTTTTGTATTTAAGTAAATCACTTACTTAATGGACTCTGGTATAAACATACTCCCTTAGTGTTGAGGGCATACAGGGCAAATCCCTTCCCAGCCTGACCTCTATTTGTCATCAAAAACAAACAAAACTCACTTTAATCTTTTTGCAAAAAAAGAAAAATCCCATTTGTTTTTAGGTTAGGAGATGTCAAAGTGTAAATTGCACTGGACAGAATTAAACAGGCAAGGAAGACTTTTTAAACAAAACTATTATAATAGGAGAGAGTGTGAACTCAGCTTCACTGAAACAAAGGACTGAAGAGTTTTTAAGAGTCAGGTGGGCATAGGGAGACTGTAGCCTATCTGTATTTGCTAATTGGCTTTACCAAAAGGAAAAGTAAACTCTCTCCTATCTTCATGACAGGAGGTAATTTTAGAATTTGGAGTAAGGCATCCACTAAAGTCAGACTCCTACCCTCTCAAAGAAACTGAGATGGGGTGCTGTCTTCTTTGGTGGTTACGTTTATAAGAGATGCCCTAGTTCCTTCAGAAAGACATTTCCTGGGTCTTAAGGCCGGCAAGAGACTCTTAAGAAGATTTATATATATTTCAAAGAAGATAGAGGAAAAATGTACGATTACAAGTTTTCTAAAGTAAATTTACTGTAGGACACAAAAAAAGGTAGGTCAGGGGCCTGTAGTCTGGAAGAAACCCATGTACAGTTAAGCCAAGCTGAGGGGACCTTAATGGCTGCCTTGGTCAGGGAGCTCCTCTCTGGTCAGGGAGTTAATGTTCTTCAGCCAAGACACTCTCAGGTGGATCTCCCCTTGCCCTCCTCCCCTTTCGTCTTTCCCTACTCCTTGCCCTTCTCCCTCCCATACACTCTCTCCTTTTTTTGAGCCAAGCCTGGCTTCTTTCTCATCCTAGTCTCCACGGCTCCCTGAGCCTGGATGCCCACCTAGAGTCTGTGAAGCAGGGAGGGGATGGGGTGCATGAGCTGGCAGGGAACCCTTTCTATGCAACCAGCCCCCATCACCTGGCCAGGGTGACAGATCCCTGAGGGAGAGGGTGGGCAGGAGAGGAGCTTGTGGCTGGGAGTGCAGCCTTTTCCCAGGGTACCCAACACAGCTGACATCTGTGAACGTGTCTTTCTGGGAGCTTTTTTGGTTTTGGTTTTGGTTTTCAGACAAGGACTCACTCTATCACCCAGTCTGGAGTGCAGTGGCATGATCATGGCTCATTGCAGCCTTGACTTCCCAGGCTCAAGCAATTCTCCCACCTCAGCCTTCCAAGTAGCTGGGACTACAGCTGTGCGGCCACCGTGCTTGGCTAATTTTAAATTTTTTGTAGAGATAGGGTCTTGCTTTGTTGCCTAGGCCAGTCTCCAATCGAGCAATCCTCCTGCCTCAATTTCCTAAAGTGCTAGGATTATTGGCGTGAGCCACTATGCCTGGCCAGAGTCTGCCTTTGTTTGCATTTCTGTGTAATGCTCTGTGCCTTCTTGCTGCAGGATCTACTCATTTGCCCTTGGGCATTTAGAAAGTGAAGGAGAGGATGAGCTGGCTATGAACTATGCAAGGCTTAAAAGAGCCAAAAGGCCACACCATTTACGTAAACAACCCCTGTAAGAACATTTTCTGCAAAACTTCATCAGATAAGAAAAGCATATGTAGTTGGGAGGAGAAAAGGAGGAAGAAGACGTGGTCCTACCCCTGCCCAAAAACGACACTTCATATGGACCAATTCTTGTGAATCAGGCTACAGTGGTTTTCTCAAGCCTTTGAGGAACTTTAAATTTTCATGTGCACTATCAAGAACAGGATGTGTTTTTATCTCACGCAGAAGGGCCTGTCTGCCTGAGTGGGCTCTGCTCTCACTTATTCCTGTTCATAGCCATTACCAAGCAGTCCACTGAGATAGAGAACTCTCTTTAGCAACACCTATAAATATGAGGGAAAGTGCTTTCTTTCTCTTTTTCAAACTTTTATTTTAGGTTCATAGGTACATGTGCAGGTTTGTTACATAGGGAAACTCTTGTCATGGGGATTGATTGTACAGATTATTTCATCACCTAAGTACTAAGTGTAGTACATAATAATTATTTTTTTCTCTTCCTCTCCCTCCTCCCACCCTCCACCCTAAGGTAGGCCCCAGTGTCTCTTGTTTTCCTCTTTGTGTCCATGTGTTCTCATCATTTAGCTCCCACTTGTGGGTGAGAACATGTGGTATTTGATTATCTGTTCCTGTGTTAGTTTGCTAAGGATAATAGCCTTCAGTTCCATCCATGTTCTTGCAAAGGATATGATCTTATTCTTTTTTATGGCTGCATAGTATCCCATGGTGTATATGTACATTTTCTTTATCCAGTCCACCAGTGACGGGCATTTAGGTTGATTCCATGTCTTTGCTATTATGAATAGTGCTGCAATGAGCGTATGTGTGCATGTGTCTTTATGGTAGAACAATTTATATTCCTTTGGGTATATCCAGTAATGGGATCGCTGGGTCAAATAGTAGTTCTGTTTTTAGCTCTTTAAGGAATCAACGTACTGCTTTTCACAATGGTTGAACTAATTTATACTCCCACCAACAATGTATAAGCATTCCTTTTTCTCTGCAACCTTGCCAACATCTGCTATTTTTTGACTTTTTAATAATAACCATTGTGACTGATTTAAGATGGTATCTCGTTATGGTTTTGATTTCCATTTCTCTAATTATCAGCGATATTGAGTTTTTTCATATGCTTTTTAGCCACATGTATGCCCTCTTTTGAAAATCATCTATTCATGTCCTTTGACCACTTTTTAATGGGGTTGTTTGTTTTTTCTTGTAAATTTGTTTAAGTTCCTTATAGATGCTGGATATTAGACTTTTGTCAGATGCATAGCTTGCAAAAATTTTCTCCTATTCTGTAGATTGTCTATTTACTCTAGATAGGTTCCTTTGCTGTGCAGAAACTCTCAAGTTTAATTAGATCCCATTAGTCAATTTTTGCTTTTGTTGCAATTGCTTTTGGCATCTTCATCATGAAATCTTTGCCAGTTCCTATGTCCAGAATGGTATTGCCTAGTTTGTCTTCCAGGGTTTTTATAGTTTTGAGTTTTGCATGTAAGTCTTTAACCCATTGCGTTAGCATGTTCTCACAATGCTAATAAAGACATACCCAAGACTGGGTAATTTATAAAGGAAAGAGGTTTAATTGACTTAAGTTCCACATGGCTTGGGAGGCCTTACAAGTGATAGTGATAGTGATGTTTTTGAGACACAGTCTCACTCACTCTGTCGCCCAGGCTGGAGTGCAGTGGTGTGATCTCAGCTCACTGCAACCTCTGCCTCCTGGTTTCAAGTGGTTCTCATGCCTCAGCCTCCTGAGTATCTGGGATTACAGGCACGCACCACCATGCCTGGCTACCTTTTGTATATTTGGTAGAGATGGGGTTTCACCTTGTTGCCCAGGTTGGTCTTGAACTCCTGACCTCAAGAGATCCACCCACCTCAGCCTCCCAAAGTGTCATTGTAGAGACCTTTCACCTCCCGAGTTAGCTGTATTCCTAGGTATTTTATTCTTTTTGTGGCAAGAGTGAATGAGATTGCATTCCTGATTTGCCTCTCAGCTTGGCTGTTGTTGGTGTATAGGAATGCTAGGGATTTTTGTATACTGATTTTGTATCCTGAAACTTTGCTGAAATTGTTTATCAGCTGAAGGAACTTTTGGGCTGAGACTATGGGTTTTTCAAGATATAGAATCACGTTGTCTGCAAACAGGGATAGTTTGACTTCCTCTCTTCCTCTTTGGATGCTCTTTGTTTCTTTCTCTTGCCTGATTGCTCTAGTCAGGACTTCTGTATTAGTTCATTTTTACACTGCTGATAAAGACATACCAGAGACTGAGCAATTTACAAAAGAAAAAGGTTTATTGGACTTACAGTTCCATGTGGCTGGGGAGGCCCCACAATCATGGCGGAAGGTGAAAGGCACATCTCACATGGCAGCAGACAAGAGAAGAGAGATTGTGCAGGGAAACTCCCCTTTATAAAACCATCAGATCTCGTGAGACTTATTCACTATCACTAGAAAAGCACAGGAAAGGCCTGCCCCTGTGATTCAATTACCTCTCACCGGGTCCCTCCCACAACATGTGGGAATTCAAGATGAGATTTAGGTGGGGACACAGCCAAACCATAACATTCCACTCCTGGTCCCTCCCAAATCTCATGTCCTCACATTTCAAAACCAATCATGCCTTCCCAACAGTCCCCAAAAGTCTTAGCTTATTTCAGCATTAACTCAAAAGTCCACAGTCCAAAGTCTCATCTGAGACAAGGCAAGTCCCTCCTGCCTACGAGCCAGTAAAATCAAAAGCAAGTCAGTTACTTCCTAGAAACAATGGGAGTATAGGCATTGGGTATATACAGCCATTCCAAATGGGAGAAATAGGCCAAAACAAAGGGGCTACAGGCCCCATGCAAGTCCAAAATCCAGCAGGGCAGTCAAATCTTAAAGCTCCAAAACTGCTTCCTTTGACTCCATGTTTCACATACAGGTCAAGCTGATGCAAGAGGTGGGTTCCCATGGTCTTGGGCAGCTCTGCTCCAGTGGCTTTGCAGGGTACAGCCTCCCTCCTAGCTGCTTTCATGGGTTGGCATTGAGTGTCTGTGGCTTTTCCAGGTGCACAGTGCAAGCTGTCAGTGGATCTACAATTGTGGGGTCTGGAGGATGGTGGCCCTCTTCTCACAGCTCCACTAGGCAGTGCCGCAGTAGAGACTCCCTATGCAGGCTCCAACCCCACATTTCTCTTCCTTGCTGCCCTAGCAGACGTTCTCCATGAGAGCCTCACCCCTACAGCAAACTTCTGCCTAGACATCCAGGCGTTTCCATACATTCTCCGAAATCTAGATGGAGGTTCCCAAACCTCAATTCTTGACTTCGGTGCACTGGCAGGCTCAACACCATGTGGAAGCTGCCAAGGCTTGAGGTTTGCACCTTCTGAAGCCATGTCCCAAGTTCTACGTTGGCCCCTTTCAGCCATGGCTGGGGCAGCTGGAATGCAGGGCGCCGAGTCCCTAGGCTGCACACAGCATAGGAACCATGGACCTGGCTCACGAAACCACTTTTTCCTCCTAGGCCTCCAGGCTTATGATGGGAGTGGCAGCTGTGAAGACCTCTGACATGTCCTGGAGACATTTTCCCCATTGTCTTGGGGATTAACATTCGGCTCATTGTCACTTATGCAAATTTCTGCAGCTGGCTTGAATTTCTCCTCCGAAAATGGCATTTTCTTTTCTACTGCATCATCAGGCTGCAAATTTTTTGAACTTTTATGCTCTGCTTCTGTTATAAAACTGAATGTCTTTAACAGCACCCAAAGTCATTCAGGAGAAGATTGTTTAAGCAGACATGAACTAAATAAACAGTAATACGTGGGAAAGCAAGATCTCATCCATGAGAGGCAGTAAAAGGAATGAAACAAATAAGTAAAGAAAAGCAAGCAGAACCAGATTCTTTAGAGATTTTTAGGTAGCAGAATTATCAGGTACACAAAATAACAGTGGTTTATACTGAACATGATAGTATAACATGTTTAAAGGAATAAAAGATGATATTGAATGTATGAATAAAGAAAAAAAGACTATTTTTAAAGACCTTAGTAGATTTGGAAAAGGAACAAATAAGTCTTAGAAATCAAAATACAATACTATATTAAAAAGTCTCAGGGGTTAGGGTTAAAAAAGGGGACAATGGAGACACATGATCAAAGGCAGACTTAATATACTATAAAGTAGATATGAGAAAATACTCCTGACACAACATAGAAAGATGAAGAATTGGAAAATATGAAGAAGTGCTTCAGAAACACAAATTACAGGGTTGGTGGCTCTAGCCTATATCAAATCATATAGTTTCAAAGTGAGAGAATAAGACAGTTTTCAAAGAAATAATGGCCAAAATTTTTCCAGAACAAATGGAAAATGTGACTCTTAAAATTCAGGGACTGTAATAAGTCCCAGGGATGATAAATAAAAAGAAACCCATACTTAATTAGCTGATAGAACAAGTGAGGGCCCCACTGTCAACCTGTATATTCAATCTCCATTAGGCTTAATTTATTTTCTTTTCGATTAAAACATACAAATCGAATTTTTAGTATTTTTTCCAGTGAATTATTTAGGGTATCCTATTTTTGTGACAGCTACTATAGCTCTTTTCATACTACTTTTCCTAACCTGTGAAAAATATTTGAAACTCATTTTTCAGGAGATGAAACAGAGGCAGAAAAAAGCATATAATTTGCCCTTGGTTACCTGGCTGTTAAGCGGCAGGGTCAGAATAAAACCTAAGCCTCTTTGATCTCAAAATCCATTTTCCAAAAGAAAATCCATTTTCTTTCCATGTTAGTACCCAGAGCCTCTAGTTACAGATATTAGTAGATTCTTAAGTATAACAATAAATTTTAGGTACAATCAGGGAGATTTAGATGCAGGAGGGATCTCAGATTACCTAGAACAGAAGAAACATGAAGAAGCAGAGGTGTTGAGAGGTGAAGGAATGCAACCCAGGTTCCAGAGTTAGTGAGGCGAACCCAGGTCCCTGGACAGAGTTAGTGTGTGCTCTTTCTTTTTAAAATTTATTTAAAGAATTTACCTATATCTTCATTCTTAGATGTAAATACTTACAGGTAGGGTACGTATAGCTTATACAGATATATATGAAAAACTAGATTTAAAATTATCCATCTAATTTATTCTGAAGTATTGACAGATGAAATTACATGATGCATGAGATTTACTTCAAAATAATGCAGAAGTCTGGTGGGAAAGTGAGGAGTATGGACGAAACAAAACTGGCCACAAGTTGGTATTTTTTTTTTTTTGAGACGGAGTCTCTCTCTGTCTCCCAGGCTGGAGTGCAATGGCGCGATCTCGACTCACTGCAAGCTCCGCCTCCCGGGTTCACGCCATTCTCCTGCCTCAACCTCCCAAGTAGCTGGGACTACAGGCACCCGCCACCGCGCCCGGCTAATTTTTTGTATTTTTAGTAGAGAGACAGGGTTTCACCGTGTTAACCAGGATGGTCTCGATCTCCTGACCTCGTGATCCACCCGCCTCAGCCTCCCAAAGTGCTGGGATTACAGGCATGAGCCACCGCGCCCGGCCACAAGTTGGTAATTGTTGAAACTCAGAGATAAGTGTGTGATTTCATTATCTAGTCTCTCCATCTTTGTATATATTTGAAAGTTTCCACAATAAAACAAATATTTAAAAATTAGTTGATCAATAAATATTTCTTTCTGTTGGAATCAATGTGCTACAGAGATGTTATAAATATTACAGTCAGGTGTCAACCATAAACTGTCATGCTATCTTTGACAAGTCTTAAAATAGCTCTTCATTCTAAAAGTATATTAGCTAAATTATATCATAACTTCAATGGTTTTTAATCCTATTTTGTTAATATCTCATACTAATGTTTGGTTTTGCCAAAATAGTAGAATTCTAAGACAAATTAAAAATAGTTGGGACTTGTGGGCTTGGGAGAGAAGCAGATTTACTCATAGGAAATAGTATTCTCATCCATTGAGGAAAAGCATGCCTTAATGAATGTTTCATTTTGACAGTAGTTCTGCCCTGGTACAATGTTCTGTGTTCTTCCATGAGATGATCAGTCAGGTGCAGCAAAAAAGGAGACACAGGAGAGGCACTGGGAGACAGAGTTTACTGTACTCATGTGTCTTACAGACAGGTCAGCACATGCCATACAGGGTCACAGGGGAAGTACCAGGTTTTCCTCAGGAGGCAGAAGACAGAAACAAAGGGAGAGTTTAGGCTATAGTCTTTACTGCGATTTCCCTAGGAAAAGCAGGGCAGGGCATGGTGACCAGTTTAGGACTGGCTAGTTTGAATGATTCCAGTGGGTTCTAAGCTAGAGGGATGGTCTTTAGTGGCCTGGTACCTGGCTCTGGGATGATGAAGGCACCCCTTCCTGGGGTGCACAAGCCAGATAGAGGAGGTGTGGCTCTGCGTTGGTTAGTTTTTATATCAAAGGCATGCTCTGGCTGAGTCCTTTGCCGTCTCTAAGAATTGGCTAGCCCTGGAAAGGCAGTCTCTCCCCAGTCAGAAGAGTTTTTAAGATGTGAAAACATCATAATATACAGAAGATAAAAAATATAAATAATACATATAGCCTAGATAGGTAATGTTTAGACAAAAGGTTTAAATTGCTCAGTATATGAAAGTAATAGAAATCTAGGAGTTGACTTGGGTCAACTGACAACATGACATTGGATTCCCTGGAAGCTAATTGGAGGTGGTTTTGAGTGGAACAGAAAGGGAAAGAGAAGACACAATGGGATTTTCTGCTAGGCAGGGCAAAGGGGGAAGAGTGCGTTGAGGTGAACCTGACAAAAACAGCTGAGGAATTCCAGGACACGCCTTTATAATTAAGTTCTAAAATTGCAGAGAAAACACAAACTGCTCAAACATAAAAAGTGTTAGAACCAATAAGATAATTCAGTAAATTAGTTAGGTATAAAGTCAACACAGAAAAATAGTTTTGCCGTATACTAACAACAACCAACAAGTAAACATAATAAAAATATTCTATTTGCAATAGTAACAAAGGTCATGTAGTACCCTAGGGGAAAAAGCAATATGTGTAATATTTTCAAAAATAAAACAAAAACATTTTACTGCAGGACACAAAGGGGACCTAAATAAATGAAGAGACTTCATATTCTTGAAAGGAAAAAGTCAACAGTGTGAAGGTCAACTTTACCCAAACCATTCATACAGTTCATAAAATTTTATTCAGAATCACAGTAGGACTTTTTATTATGGGAATTTTAACAGGTTGAAGGCAAAGTATATCTGGAAGATTAAATGAGCATATTTTTAAAAATATTATAAAAGAATACAGACTGGATTTGCTAATCCAGATATCAGAACACATCAAAAAGTTGCAGCAATTCAACTAGTATGGTATTGAGGCACAAATGGTCAAACAGGTCCGTGGGACAAAGTGGAGAAAACACAAATAGATTCACTTTTATTATGAGATTTAAAATTAATAAAATGACATTTCAAATCAGAGAGCTGAGGATAACTTTTTTTTCTTTTTATGGCCATCTGAATTTTTGTTCCCCAAAATGCAAATGTTGAAGCCCTAACCCCCAGTACCTCACAATGTGGCTGTTTTTGGAGATAGGGTCTTCCAAGGGGTAATTAAATTAAAATGAGTCCATTAAAGTCAGCCCCGATCCATTCTGACTGGTGGCCTTATAAGAAGAGGATCTGAGGACATCCAGAGAGACACCAGGAGCATGCATGCCCAGAGGGAAGGCCACATGAGGACAAAGCAAGAAGGAGGCCATTTTAAGTCCAGGAGAGAAGCTTCAGAAGGAATCGGCTCTGCCAACACCTTGATCTCAAATGTCCAGCCTCCACAAAGGTAGGAAAACAGGTTTCAGTTGCTTAAGCCACCCAGTCTGTAGTATTTTGTTAGGGCAACCCTAGCCATCTAATACATCATCCAACTGTCTCAGCACAATTTATAGAATAATATTAGGGTCCTACCTCACAGCATGTGCAAAATAGTGTTTACATGAATTGTTGACAAATGTCCAAAAAAAAAAAAAAAAAAAAGAAGAAGAAGAGAAGAAGATAGGCTGGATGCAGTGGCATAAGCCTGTAGTCCCAGCTACTTGGGAGGCTGAGGTGGGAGAATCACTTGAGCCCAGGAGTTCAAGTCCAGCTGGGGCAACACAGTGAGACTCTATCTCTTAAATAAAAAAAATAGGTAGTAGAAGAAAATAGAGAACTTTTAATAAACTTATAAAATTGTAAAATTATGATGATGCTGTTATAAAAGCTAGTAGCCAAGTCAAAAGTAGTGAGGTTAAGTTAAAAAGTTTGACATTATAGTATGGGAAGTCCCTCAAAATCAACAGCTTCTAGATTGGGTCTGTGTTTATCGAACTGCACAATTTTGATACTAAGTAGATTCTCTTTAATTGACATGTTTAATATTATCACTTACTTTTCATGCACAGCTCAATATATTTCAGGAAAAAAGAATTTAAGGCAATTTTTTTTTCTAGAGGGGCATTGTTTCTAAGATTTGTAGTTCAGACAAAAATTCTTAATTTTCAGTGAGTAGAAATGATCAGTAGTTTATATCATAGACATCATTTTGACAAGATTTTGTTTAAAATTTTAGCCTCTACAAATCTAAAAATATAAGGAATTGACTTCTTTAAGTATTCTTGTATGTTGAAGCATGGTTAGTAAAAACAATGTGTTTTGAGTCCTTAACTTTTCTTTAATGCTTTCTTCCTTTCATATACTCCTTATATTCGTTATTGTATTTGGATTTTCTGGGTGTCATGAGTGTTGCTTTACCAAATTTTGGAGTTTGAGATGGAAAATTTGTTATTTCTGTTTTTAATTTATTCTCTTCAAATTTGAGGAATTCCCTAGGCAGGATATTTTTCAGATACTTAGCCTAAATGGAATTAGTAATTAAAAACTCATAATGTTTATTATACTTAATAATTTTTTTTTTTGAGATGGAGTTTCACACTGTCGCCCAGGCTGGAGTGCAGTAGCGTGTTCTCTGCTCACTGCAAGCTCCGCCTCCTGGGTTCACGCCATTCTCCTGCCTCAGCCTCCCGAGTAGCTGGGACTACAGGTGCCCACCACCATGCCCGGTTAATTTTTTGTATTTTTTAGTAGAGACGGCGTTTCACCGTGTTATCCAGGATGGTCTCGATCTGCTGACCTTGTGATTCACGTGCCTCAGCCTCCCAAAGTGCTGGGATTACAGGCGTGAGCCACCGCACCCGGCAATAAATTTTTAATATTAACACTAAAAATACTGATATACCAAATAATCCTATAACTACTACAATTGATGAAATAATCTAATTTCGATCTTCTATGACATATTTCTATTTAAAATTTTGTGAACATTTTGGCTCAAAGGCAATATAATGTCCCTGAATTTTATGTATCTAAAACTCACAATGTTTACACTAAATATTAAACTGTTTTCATATTTACACATTTGAAAGTTCTTAGCAATTTTTTGTTAAAATTTACAGCTTTCACAATAATTAATTATTGTAGTATATTTATACTTCTATTAGCTGATCATGTTTTAGCATATAAAGAATACTAATATCTGAAAGCTAATATTCAAATATTAATAATAAATGTAAATAACAAACCCTGTTCATATTATTGACTTTGTTACACAAGGTTCCAGATCATAAATTATGCGCAAGTTAGAGATGGTAGAAAAGAAGTTCAAATAGGAATTCAGCTATTGGGCCTTCAGAATAATGGGGAAAAAAACTTGAAACAAACAAAAAAGGCAAACACAAAAGTAATTATTGCCTAAAATTCTACTGTATAGAAATAACCACTTTAAGTATTTGTTAAAAATTCAATACACACACACACACCCACACACAGACATTCACCTACTGAGACATAGATATACAATTTTATGTAATGGGATTCTATTGCAAATATTGTTCTAAAACCTGTTTTTATCACTCAGCAATGTCATGCAAATCAATATAAATCTGCATAGTCATTTTCAGTGACTATATGATAGTCAATTGAATAATTATCATACTTTTCTTAACCATTTTTTACTAGTAGATATTTATAAATAGACCAACTTTCACAGATACCCTAACGCTATGATAAATAGCTTTTTACATACATTTAAATTTACTTTATATTTATCTATCTTGTTATGGTAAATTCCTGGAAGTGTGAATGCTGACAACGATCTTCCAGGGGATGGATGGGCAGTTCAATCGTCCAGCATACACATATATACACACGTGCTGCTCATAGTTGATCATTCCTGAGGAATAGACGTCTGACCCAAGGTGAGCCATTTGGATCCCCTCTCCTTGGAACTTGAAATTTGAACGCAGACGCAGAGACCTCAAACCATCGAAACTGTGTCATCATCTTATGGAGGTGTTGCAGAGAGAAAGTACTCTAATGTTTGCTGAGGTTACTGTAGCTTCCCTGGCTCCTCTCTCCTACCTTCCTGGAGTCCTGGAGTCTCTGTCTATCTATCCATCTATCCATTCATGTTTCATCTATTCATCCATTTGTCTTTCTAGCTATCCGTCCATCTATTCATCTATTTATCCATCCAATGACTTCTTCTATCTATCTATCTATCTATCTATCTATCTATCTATCTATCTTCTAGCTAGCTAGCCATCCATCTATCCATCTATCCATCCATCCATCCATCCATCCATCCATCCATCCATCCATCTCTTTTTCTCTTTATGCTATCTCTTATTCTGTGGGCAACTACAATAAATTAACCAGAGTAAAGTTTCTAGACCAAAGGACACACTCTGTTTATACTTTTATACAAGTGTCAAATAATCTTCCAGAAAGATTATGCTGTCAGCTTGAGGATTCACATTTCTTCATGTCCTCACTGATGCTGGAATTGGTCAATCCTTTTAATCTTTGTCAACCTGCAAAGTGAAAAATATCTGTTTGTTTTCACTTCTTTGATTGTTACTGAGGATGACTTGTTTGGCTTTTTTTGCCCCTTTTAAAAATAATTACTAGTTTGTGCCTTAGTTCTATTTTCACATTGTGCTATATTTTATTAATAATTTTTAAAGACTTTTTGTATACTAGAGATAATAACACCTTTTTCAAATGCGCTACAAATCTTTTTTTCCCAGTTGTTATTCATGTTTCTTTCTTAACAGAACTTTTCTATTTTTTTAAGGTAGTCAAATTACACCCACTGCCATTGTGTTCTCTGGTTTCTCTGCAAAGTTTAAAATGGACTTCTCTAGTCCAAGATTATATAATAATTATCTACATTTTCTTCTAATATTTCTAGTTTCATTTTTTAAAATTTTTAAAATTTATTAATTTGTTTATAACAGCTTTATTGGGATAAAATTTACATATCATTTAATTTGCCCAATTTAAAGTGTACAGTTTGATGGTTTTTAATATAGTCACAGTTGTGCAACCATCACCACAACCAATTTTAGAACATTTTCATTACCCCAACAAGAAACCCTATACCCATACCCACTAGCAGTCATTCCCCGTTTCCCCAGCACTGCAACTTCCCTCAACACCCCAACCCTAGGCATTCTTTTTTGTTTTAACTTTAAATCTTTCCTCTAGATGGAACTTATTTTGGTGTAAAGAATAAGGTAGAGACCCAGCTTAATTTATTTTTTAATTGGTTGACTAGTCATTTCACCCCCAACTAATTTGTAATGCTCTCCCCATGTTATATAAACTCCCATCTGTTACTTCAGTGTAATTCAGTGTAGGTAACGAGGGTCTACTGATTTGTCTTTTCTTACACTGGAACTGTAGTACCTGGCAGTTCTGATTTCTTATTTTATCTAAGTTCCTAAAAAATGAGAGAATCTGATACTTTCTAAGTAGTTTTTATTTTATTTTTGTTTTTATTTCAGTTATTTAGTTCCAGTTTTATTGCATTGTGGTCAGAGAAACATAGATTGAGTTATTTCTGTTATTTGAAAATTTGTTTTTTAAAATTTGGTTGATTGTTGTAAGTTTTCCATGTTTGAAAGAATGTTTATTCTTCTCTATTAAGGGTACAGGGTTTGATAACACACAATAATATGCACACAGCTCTCTTGACAAATACATATGTGGCATTTTAACTATAATACCCAAATTTTAAATATCCTTTTATTTGGGCAAAGACTGAGAGAATAATGTCAGTATTCTCCACCATTTTGTGTCTGTCGTTTCCTTCTGTTTCCTCCACTTTTAAACCTTATGTAAGCAATGTATTAACTGATGCGTAATGGCTTATAGCACTTGTGTCTTCATTTGTGGATCGTCCCCTTAATCTTTACAAGGTGATCCTCTTTTTCTCCCTAATATTTTTTAGTTTGAATTCAGTGTTGTCCAGTGTTAATATTGAAAACTCTTACTACTTGATTTTATTTCTTTCTCTTTCTAATTTGCCTCCTCTACATTTGGATAGCCATTTATCTGGAACTATTCTGAGACATTTTGTAGGAATATTTCTTTTAAGTTAGGTTTTGTGTTTTGATCCATTCTATGTTTTCTGCCACTTATATTTACTATATATAATGTATATTTGGCCACAGTTCTGTTATTGTGTTTTCTCTCTCTTTTAAAAGCGGCTTTCATGCTGTTCTCTTTGTTTTCTGCAATCCAATGAGCAGAATTATCTAAGAGTGACCCAGGAAGCTCACTCTGGGTTGTCTAACCAGGACCTGTGGCTTGTTTAAGACTCCTTCTGCCCTGTCCGCCCCTTAAACTGAAAGAGCTGCACCCAAAGCCCACTCTTCAAGGTGCCTACGGCTGGGCAGCTGGCTTTTCCATACAACCCATGGAAACAGATGACGCCTGAGCCATGACTCTTGGGGCCTGGCTTTCTGTCTATTCCCCTACTGACAAGGTTGTTCTCACCCTTTTCCTACCAGAGTGGGAGCAACAGTTGGATGGCATCCCTTCAGACCTATTGCCCGTCCAGCAGCGGTGCAGGCTCTGGCTTGCCTTTCAGAGGCAGAATCAGGGACACGGGCCTTCCCTTGATGACGCTCATAATTTCCCCCAGTAAAGCCTGTTTGCTCTCTATACCCATACCTAACTCATATGATGTTGTAGAATTCATCCTGAACCCTGTTCTATATTATTGCCCCATCCTCCACCCCACTTCACTGGGATAATTTGGGATGCGTGCAGTTTTGATTTTAGTCTTTCTGATTTTTAAACCAGAAACTTGTTACACAAAGTAGAATTAAAAAAAAAAAAGAAACATACCATGGGGGTTTTCTCTGTCTGTGACATGATCTAGTCATGTAGATGCAGATAGATTTAGGATTTGTTTGTTGTTTATTTTAGAGACAGAGCTTTGCTTTGCCACCCAGGCTGGGGTGCAGTGGCATGATCGTAGCTTACTGCAGCCTTCAACTCCTGGGGTCAAACAAGCCTCCTGCCTCAGCCTCCCAGATTTAAAATATCTTTTAATAATAAAATACCTATGAGAGAGAGAAGGGA
Organism: Homo sapiens; assembly: GCF_000001405.40. NCBI lineage: Eukaryota > Metazoa > Chordata > Mammalia > Primates > Hominidae > Homo > Homo sapiens. The sequence goes on along the minus strand of NC_000013.11, from coordinate 26,155,111 downwards.
GAAGAATTGATGTCTCTTGTTATTTCTGAAACTATAAGACAGAGGTTGATTAGGAGTTTTTTTTTTGTTTTTTGCTTTTTTTCAGGCAGAATCTGGCTCTTTTGCCCAGGCTGGAGTGAAGTGGTGTGATCTTGGCCCCCTGCAACTTCTGCCTCCTGGGTTCAAGCGATTCTCCTGCCTCAGCCTCCTGAGTAACTTGGATTACAGGTGTGCGCCACCACATCCGGCTAATTTTTTTATTTTTAGTAGAGACAGGGTTTTGCCATGTTGGCCAGGCTGGTCTCAAGCTCCTGACCTCAAGTGATCCACCCACTTCAGCCTCCCAAAGTGCTAGGATTACAGGTGTGAGCCACAACGCCCAGCCGGGAGTTTTGTCGTAAGTATTACAAGCTAATAGAAAATGTGGAATAAGTCTTGCTTATTGCCTTAACATATATGTACACCTAACTTATCATGTTTATTGATTATTGTTTATATGGCTCTATCAGATAGGCAGGTATCTTTGTGTTTTCTCTGATGTATCTCAAGCACCTAGATAAATACCAGTATGTGGCAGCTACTCAATAAATATTTGCAGAGTGAATAAATGAACAAATGGTCTCAATCATTAGTGAAATAAAAGATGGTACTCTTTGTCATCTTCCCCTTTGGATGTGTTTAGATATCATGACTTTGATCTCTGGTTTTCCATGTTAACTCTACACATACTACTTAGTTCCTGAAATGGGGAAGACTATTCTTTTATTCTGAGATTGCTTTCAGATAACAGTCAGTACTTTCAAAAAAAGACAAAATAGCTCTAGAAAAGGACCAGTGTTTTATAACTATGTTTTACTTATAATCCACTTTTGATTTATAACTAACTTTCCCTGTTTTCTACTAGTTGTTTTAGAGTTCCGAATATCAATGGAAAATTGTACTTCTTTTCACCTACAGCACAGCCAAGTACAGTGTGTGGTCATTTCTCCCTCGATTTTTGTACCTGCAGTTTACCAAAGCTGCCAGTGCTTTCTTCTTGTTCATTGCTATATTGCAGGTAATGTTTTTGAACACGTTATTAGATTAGGATTCTTAAAGAGTTTAAGGAAACACTCGTAAGAATTTCATTTAGCTGAAATTAGAGTTTCAAATTAAATTCAATGTAGATAATAAATTTAAATACTCTAAGAAGAGAATTCTTTTCTTACAGTATTTAAGTCATTCAGTGAGACACTGAAATTCCATTTTGGGGCTGAAAAATACGCGGATGAGCAATAGATGCTCTGGCCCGCAGTTCATCCTGATCGAGATCTTTAATGACATATTATTGGAGCAATTTCGGTCATTTTATGGCACCTCCAAAATAGGATAATTTTACTATATTTTGAAATAAAAAATTTAAAGGAAGTCCGAATAGTAGTTTAAATAGCATCTTTTCAAAACGAGTTAAATTCAAGGCTTTCCATAATCTGGTTTATTCCTGTTTGTTCAACCTTATTTCTGTTATGAACCCTGCAATTTAACCAGATACGTCTCCTCCCATTTATTCAATTTTCTTCCTATATCCTAAACCTAGAAGGTATTAATCTATCTATATCCTACCCATTCTTTTAAAATATCTTGACTGGGTGCGGTGGCTCATGCCTGAATCCCAGAACTTTGGGAGGCCGAGGTGGGTGGATCACGGGGTCAAGAGTTCAAGACCAGCCTAGCCAACATGGTGAAACCCCGTCTCTACTAAAAATACAAAAATTAGCCGGACGTGGTGGTGCATGCCTGTAATCTCAGCTACTCTGGAGGCTGAGGCAGGAAAATCACTTAAACCCGGAGAAGGGAGGTTATAGTGAGCTGAGATTACTCCACTGCACTCCAGCCTGGGCGACAGAGCAAGACTCCATCTTGGAAAAAAATACATAAAATAAAATAAAATAAAATAAAATATCTTACATCTTTAGTCTTTTCTTTTTTTTTTCTTTTCTTGAGACAGAGTCTTGCTCTGTTGCCTGGGCTGGAGTGCAGTGGAAAGAGCTTAGCTCACTGCAACCTCCACCTCCTGGGTTCAAGCAATTCTCCTGCCTCAGCCTCGTAAGTAGCCGGGACTACAGGCGAGTGCCACCACACCCGGCGCATTTTTGTATTTTTTATAGAGACAGGGTTTTGCCATGTTGGTCAGGCTGGTCTCGAACTCCTGACCTCATGATCCGCCCGCCTCGGCCTCCCAAAGTGCTGGGATTACAGGTGTGAGCCACCGCGCCCGGCCACATCTTTAATCTTTTAAAAGCCCTAAACCATCTTCCTCCAAACTTCACCAAATGCTATAGTCCATGCTGACTTCTCCCTTCTCTAATGTCTGTAACAATGATCTATGTAACATATTATAACTAGTTTTGTTTCTCCCAGGAAGTTTAAAATCATTGAGAATAGAAACGTCTTAGAAGCTACTAAGCTTTGAGATAAGAATTTGATAAACTTGTTGAATTGACCTTAAACGGGAGAATTCGATTCAGTAAACACGTGTAGAGGACACATAGCATGTGTCAAAATCTGTTCATGGAATTAAACATTTAAGGATGAATGATTAGACATGCTGCCTGCCCCTGGAAAGCTCGGAGTGTAACATACAAGATTTTATAAGACAGAGTATTTATAAAGTGCTGAAGGAACACAGCCTGCTTCTGGCTTGGGGGTGGGTGGTTTAGAAAAAGCTACTGAAAAGAGGTGACATTTAAGCCAAGCATTACAGAAGGAGAAACGTAATCCGATGGACCAAGGAAGACCTCTGGGCACAGCGCGCAGCGTGAGCAAACGCGTGGAAACTGGAAACATTGGGCGTCTTTTTGGAGAGAACTAGGAACCAAGGGGACAGTGGGAAACGTAGAACTTTCACACTGAATCCTTTCATATGTTTTGAATTGTGAAACGTGTTGAATGTGTTACATATTCAAAAATAAATAAGTTACAAATATAAAATATTAAATTTTTCTCTAGTATATGAAGTGTTCCAGAAACAGTAAAAATTTTGTTTGGGTAACATAGGATAGAGTGGAAAAGCAGCTCAAGGTGTTAGCCGAGGCCAGGTTATAAAAGAGGTTGGTGTGTTACCCGCAGAAGGTTGGACTTCATCCTGGAGACAGTGAGAAGGCAGTGGCAGTCGTGAGCAGCTCACTGACATGAACAGCTCTGGTGCCTTGCGTGAGGAAAAGACAGGAAGGGGTCCACGGGTAGAGGGACCAGCTTGGAGCTGCACCCCAGAGAAATGGAGAAGAGGGAGACATACAAGAGATGTTTCAAAGGCAGTTCATTGAGCGCGTAAGCGATCCTAAAATTTCCCCCCTTTTTTCTTCTAGTCCTCAGATTCCCTTTAACATTGTTATAATAACTATTGGGAACTTTATTTCTCATATTCTAAACAGTAGGTAGCCCTAGAGCACTAGCCACAACTAATTCTTACCTAGGACACATTATTCCCTTGGGTCTCCAAAAAATGTCTCCTCTGCCAAAAAAAAAAAAAGAAAAAAAGAAAAAAAGGAGAAAAGGTTCAGTTAAGATATCAGGATATCAAACCATCTGGGCCGGGCGCGGTGGCTCGCGCCTATAATCCCAGCACTTTGGGAGGCTGAGGCAGGTGGATCACCTGAGGTCAGGAGTTTGAGACCAGCCTGGCCAACATGGAAAAACCCTGTCTCTACTGAAAATACAAAAATTAGCTGGGCGTGGTGGCATGCACCTGTAATCCCAGCTACTCAGGAAGCTGAGGCAGGAGAACCGCTTGAACCTGGGAGGTGGAGGTTCCAGTGAGCTGAGATAGCACCACTGCACTCCAGCCTGGGCAACGGAATGAAATTCTGTCTCATAAAAAAAAAAAAGATATCAGACCATCTGGATTTAACTGTTTTGAAAAGATGCTATTTCAGATTAAGATTTAGATTTTGAAATATCCTTTCAAGATGTAATAAAAGTATCCTACAAGGAAGGCAACGTATGACTGAGGTGTTGTTAAGTAGTTGCACTGGTGACTTTTCTATCACGTGATAGTGTCACACTCAAGGGATAGTTTTAATATGCTAAGACTTTCCTTCCCCTTTTTATTTAACATGTCTATTGTCTTCATGCCCTGAGCCATGTCACTAGTAGTGTGACTTTGAGTGTAATAATACTGTGATTTTGAGCAAAATATAACAAGAATTGATAATAAAATTAATAGTGTAACTCTGATTGTTTTGCAGTAAATTCCAGGTATGTCCCCAACAGGAAAATATATAACTCTCTTACCTTTGATGATTTTTCTTACGATTTCAGGCATTGAAGAGGTTATAGAAGATTAAGTAAGTTTACTGTTAAATAATGAAATGTTCTCAAAAGTATAGCCTTGTACATAAAAGTATTATTGTTGATTTTTTTTCAAGCAGTTGATTAAAGCTGGTGTAATTCCTTTAAGTCTATAGTTGTTGTGAAGAGTGAATTCAAGTTTTGAGGTTTTAAATTTTAAGTTATATACTCTGGCTTATATATCTGAGAGACTAACAGGACTTACTAGGTGTCATAAGAACTATGATAGTATCTTTGGGGTTCTAATCCAACTGTAGGTCAAAGTCTTAAGCGGCTGAAAGGGATGCACACACAAATTGTGCTGCATCTTCATTTCACCTTTAGCCTTGTCCCAGGTACAGGGAGGTATTTAATCATGTTTTCTGTTTGCTCTGACCCTATCTGCTATGGCTTAGGTCACTCTTGCAGAGTCTCCTTCCTCCACACTCACAATCCTAATGATCATTTTGTAAAATCGCTAGCTATCGTTATTCGCGAGCTTCAACCCATCCTGTAAAGACATGACATCACTAAAATCAGTGTTGTCCTTTCGATCGGTTTATAATATGAAAGAATCATTAAAACTTGATCAGAAGCTTTAGGTTAAGTTGGGGCAAAATCCGGAATTGCTCATTGTGCGTTTAACAAAATATGGTTAAACACAAATAACATGTAATATGCTAACACTTCAAGTGTATAATACTTACTATGTACCAGACACACTATACTCTCTCTCTCTCTGTGTGTGTGTATGTATATGTATATATATATATATACACATTATATATACACTGTGTATATATATATACACATTATATATACACTGTGTATATATATATACACATTATATATACACTGTGTATATATATATACACATTATATATACACTGTGTATATATATATACACATTATATATACACTGTGTGTGTGTATATATATATATATATATATATACACACACACATTATATATACACTGTGTATGTGTGTTTATGCTCATTTAAATTGAGGCACAGACAAGCTAATGGCTGATGAGGTTGCATTAGTGAGGATGTCAACCAAGGCCTGCTGGCTCCAGAGTCCACACACTTCACCACTTTGCTCTACTCCCTCCCATAGGCCACATCTCAGTCAAGGGAGTCATGTAAGGGCAAAATGAAACTAAAATCAATTATAGCCAAAGAGGACTTTACAATTAAGTTGGCTGCCTCTATTCTTTTTTTCTTTCTTTTTTTTTTTTAGACGGAGTCTCACCCTGTTGCCCAGGCTGGAGTGCAGTGGCACAATTTCGGCTCACTGCAAGCTCCGCCTCCCGGGTTCACGCTATTCTCCTGCCTGAGCCTCCCAAGTAGCTGGGACTACAGGCGCCTGCCACCACGCTCAGCTAATTTTTTGTATTTTTAGTAGAGATGGGGTTTCACTGTGTTAGCCAGGATGGTCTCAATCTCCTGACCTCGTGATCTGCCTGCCTCGGCCTCCCAAAATGTTGGGATTACAGGCGTGAGCCACCATGCCTGGCCGTCTGCCTCTATTGTTTCTTAAACCTAGTACGTCTTGTATTACAAATTGAATTATTCAGATTGAACTTTTGATGTAATGAATTTTTCCCCCATAACAGAAACCACATATGGCAGACAAAATAGTTAAAAAACACAAAAGGTAAATGTGATGATTAATTTTGCATGTCAACTTGAGTGGGCCACAGGGTACTCAGATATTTGGTCATACATTATTCTGGGCATTTCTGTGAGGCTATTTTTGGATGAGATTAACATTTAAATAGGTAGACTGAATAAAGAAGACCATACTCCATAATGTGCGTGGATTTTATCCAATCAATTACAGGCCTGAATAGATAAAAAAAGCTGGCCATTCCCTGAGCAAGAGAGAATTCCTCCTGCATGCTGGCCTTCAAACTGGGACATTGGCTTTTTCTTGCTTTTGAACTGTAACAGAAGCATTGGTTTTCCCTGCATCTGCTGGCCTTTGGACTGGAATTACATCATTAGCTTTCCTGAGTTTCCAGCTTGTCAACTCACCCTGCAGATCTGGGGATTTGCCAGCTTCTGTAACCACATGGGCCAATTCCTTACTATATATAAAATATATATTTATTATATATATTTTATATATTTACACATATATATCTCCCTCATATATATATATATATATATATATATATATATATATATAAAGAGATTTATACTATTGTTTCTATTTCTCTGGAGAACACAGACTAATACAGATTTTGGTACCAAGAGTGGTTCTACAGGAACAGAATTTTGAGAATGGGTTATTTTGACTGATTCTGGGGTTTCTGGAATGTGTTCCATAATATGATTAGATTTAAAAATGCGAATGACTTTCTTCCCAGTAGGAAAGAGAGCACTGATAGTTCATGGTGTGATCTGGCCATAGAAATATGCAAATTATCACAATTAGATCATTGTAATCAATCACTTATAAGAAGCAAGGATCTGGGTACCTGTGTGGCATGGTTTGCATCTGTGTCCCCACCCAAATCTCATCTCAAATTGTAATCCCCATGTGTCAAAGAAGGGACCTGGTAGGAGGTGATTGGATCATGGGGGCAGTTTCCCCCATGCTCTTCTCATGATAGTGAGTGAGTTCTCAGGAGAGCTGATGGTTTTAAAGTATGGTGCTTCCGTGCTCTCTTGCTCATTCTCTTTCCTGCCCCCTTGTGAAGAAGGTGCTTGCTTCTCCTTCGCCTTATGTCATGGTTGTAAGTTTCCTGAGGCCTCCCCAGCCAGGTGGAACTGTGAGTCAATTAAACTTCTTTCCTTTATAAATTACCCAGTCTCAGGCAGTTCTTTATAGCAGTGTGAAAATGGACTAATACACTATATATCACTCTTAAACATTTTTGTCAAACTGATGAGTGTAATGAGGTTGACATGTTGTCCTAATGTCACGGGACAAAGTGGAGAAAGAAGGGAAATAACTCAGGGATTTGAATTTCCAGCTAAAGTGCCACATAAATGACCTGAAAGCTTTCTTGTGTGTCCTGAAGGAGACTCTTGTGTCCTGTAGCCACAGACCTGAGATTGCTGAAAATAAGACCCAGAATCTTATCCTACAATTGGCTGAAGAATAACACAAATTAAACTCCCAGCTTCACAGGGAGTTCTACTCTTAAATGAGAACATGGATTGGGAAAGAATGAGATCCTAAAAGTTGGGATGAGGATGTGTGGGAAGACCCTGATGAAGCTGAGGACATTGACTCCTAAATTTTGATGGGTCTTCTTTGTCAGTGAAAGCAGCCTGTCTACCCTCCACCCCTACCTCATAGAAGCAGCCTCTTCACACCCAGTGGTATAAGCCTCTCTTCCTCCATTAGTATCAGCTCCTCCACACACAGTGGTATCTGCCTTCCCACCTGAATCTGAAAATATTAACCTAACATTCCTGAAGGAACTTTAATAGCCTCCTCTGAGAGAGTTGCCTTGCAAGACAATGCTCATTCTCCTCATGAATCTTCCCCATCACCTCTCTTTGTTTTTAGACTTATAACCAGACTTAAGTCCCATCGGGACCCTAAAGGTAAAGTACAGTGTGTACCAATGAGGGCATGTACTACACTTCAAAAGAAATACTTGAATTTTCTAATATGCACAGGCAGAAAGCTGGGGAACATGTGTGGGAATGGGTATTAAGAGTGTAGGGTAATAATGGGAGAAACATAAAGTTGAATCAGGCTGAATTGATTGATATGGGCCCTGTATTAGTCCATTCTCACATTGGTGTAAAGACATATCTGAGACTGGGTTATTTATGAAGAAAAGAGGTTTAATTAGCTCACAGTTTTGCAGGCTGTACAAGAATCATGGCTGGTAAGACCTTAGGAAATTTACAATCATGGTGCATTTCAAACAACCAGATCTCATGAGAGCTCTATCATGAGAACAGCAAGGGGGATGTCTGCCCCCATGATTCAGTCACCTACCATCAAGCCTCTCCTCCAACACTGGGAATTACAATTCGACATGAGATTTGGGTGTGGGCACAGAGCCAAACCATATCAGGTCCATTAAGCAGACATTGTGCATTTAATTTTGCAGAATCTTGGGAGTCATAAAGGGTTCTAGCTACTGGGGTTGGTTGGCTGAAACATAGATGAAAAGGTGGTCCATAGAGAATGAGGTAGAAGCGTCAGAGTTGCTTTGGTTTAATATAGAAGGCAGGATTCTAAGGCGTAAGGTGATTTGATGCTAGAGTGTATCTGTCATTTAAGATCTATTCACTCACCCTAGGGTGGTCCAGAAAACATACCTTTCACCATGACTGTGAGAAATAAAATTGTGAGTAGCTCTGGCATCCTTAAAGCGTTCTGTGATCACTCTTCTCTGTAGGCCAGACCTTACAGTGGGAACTATGACCACTTAATTGGAAACCTAAATGCAATGGGAATAATTTGATCCCATGGCAGCCAGGGCCAAGTGGCAGCACCCAACCACCAAAGGCAAGGTAGATGTGGTTACCATAATGAACAGCAGTGTCAATGCAACAAATAGAATAGTCTGACTTCCAGACTGTGTTGTTCCAGACTTCCAAACCTGTGTTGCTGAGTCCCCTTGAGAAAGGACCCAGTATACTGCCAAAAATTCATACTGTTAACACTTCTCCCAGCCTTCCCCAAAGGGATCTATAGCCTTTTAATCAGAATAACTGTGCACTGGGGCAAAGGAAATAATGAGACCTTCCTGGGGACTTTTGGACACTATCTCTGAATGGACACTGATTCCAGATGACCCAAAATGTCACTGTGGTCTACCAGTTAAAGTAGGGGTTTATAGAGGTCAGGTGATCAATGGAGTTTTTGTCTAGGTCTGTCTCACAGTTGGCCCAGTGGGTCTCCAAACCCATCCTGTGGTTATTTCCCCAGTTCTGGAATACACAAGCAGCTGGAAAAATCCTCACATTGGTTCCCTGACCTGTAGAGTGAGGTCCATTGTGGTGGGAAAGGCCAAGTGGAAGCCACTAGAACTGCCATTCTACCTAGGAAAATAGTAAACCAAAAGCAATCCTGCAATCCTGCAGTGATTTCAGAGATCAGTGCCCCATCGTATTAGTTTGTTCTCACACTGGTATAGAGACATACCTGAGACTAGATAATCTATAAAGAAAAGAGTTTTAATTAGCTCATGCTTCTGCAAGCTGTACAGGTTTCTGCTTCTGGGGAGGCCTCAGGAAACTTACAATCATGGTGGAAGGTGAAGGGGAAGCCAACACATCTTACACAGCAGGAGTAGGAGGCAAAGAGAGAAGAAGGAAGGGGAGGTGCTATGTACTTTTAAACAAGCAGATCTCAGGAGAACTCTATCACAAGAACAGTAAGGGGGAAGTCCCCCCCCCTCCCCATGATTCAGTCACCTCCTACTAGGCCCCTCCTCCAACACTGGGAATTGCAATTCAACATGAGATTTGGGTGGGGACACAAAGCCAAACCAGATCACCCATCAAGGACTTGAAAGATGCAGAAGTGGTGATTCCCACCACATTCCGATCACCTGAGCGTAAGACAAATAGATCTTGGAGAATAACAGCGGCTTATCATAGCTTAACTAGGTGGTGACTCCACTTTCAGCTGTTGCACCAGATGTGATTTTATCACTTGAGCAAATTAACATTCCCTCAGTTTCTGGTATGCAGCTATTGATCTGGCAAATCCTTTTTCCTTCATTCCTGTTGACAAAGACCAGCAAAGCAGTTCACTTTTAACCAGCAAGGCCAGCAGTAACAGTTTCACTGTTCTACTTCAGGAGTATATCAACTCTGTGTCACAATTTGGTTCACAGGAATCTTGATCATCTTTTCCTTCCACTAAATATCACACTGATCGATGGTGTTGAAGACATTATGCTGACTGGACCCACCAAGCCATAAAATTGGGCATGCACAATAGCACTCCATTGCCAAATGGAAGTGGTATATACACAATTGGGCCAAGCAGGCCCTGAAGCACAAAGAAATTACATGAAGAAGTGGCCCAAATGCCCATGGTCCCCACTCTTGCTACACTGCCTTCTTGCTCATTCTGTACTTCTGGCCTTACGGGAGATCCCTATGATCAGTTGACAGAGAAGAAGAGAAGACAGTTTACGGATAGTTCTGCACAATATGGAGACAATACCTGAATGTGTGCAGCTGCAGCACTACATCCCCTTTCTGGGGCATCCTTGAAGGACAGTGGTCATTGGAACTTATCCTAATAGGCAAAACTTTAAGGAGTGCACCTGGTTGTTTACATTGCTTGGAAGGAGAAATGGTCACATGTGCAATTATATACTGACTCATGGACTATAGCCAATGTTTTGGCTGGATGGCTGGGGACTAGGAAGAAATATAATTGGAAAATTGGTGACAGGGAAATTTGGAGAAGAGGTATGTGGGTAGACCTCTCTGAAATAGTGAAAAAAAAAAATGAAGATATTTCCATGTGAATGCTTACCAAGGGGTCACCTCAGCAAAGGAGAACTTTAATAATCAGGTAGATAGGATGACCCATTGCGTAGATATCAGTCTTCCTTTTTTTTCCCAGCCACCCTTATTGTTGCCCATTGAGCCCATAAACAAAGTGGCCATGGTGGCAGGGATGGAGGTTATGCATGGGTTCAGCAACAGGGACTTCCACTGTCCATGGTTGACATGGAGAGTGGAACATTGGCCGTCACTGAGTGCCCAATGTGCCAGCAGCAGAGACCAGCACTGAGCCCCCCTGATATGATAGGATTCCTCATGGTGATCTGCAATCTACTTAGTGGCAGGTTGATTACATTAGACTGCTTCCATTATGGAAGGGGCAGCATTTTATTCTTACTGGAATAGACATTCTGGACATGGCTTTGCCTTCTCTGTAAACAATGCTTCTGCCAAAACTACCATCTGTGGTCTCACAGAATGCCTTATCCACTGTCATAGTATTCCATACAACATTGATTCTAACCAAGGAACTTACTTCACAGTGAATGAAGTGTGGCAATGGGCCCATGCTCATGGAATTCACTAGTCTTACCACGTTCACCACCACCCTGAAGGACCTGGCTTGATAGAATTGTAAAATAGGCTTTTGAAGACTCAGTCACAGCTCCAGATTGGTGGCAATACCTTACAGGGCTGGGACAAGGTCTTCAGGAGGCTGTACATTCTCTGCATCAGCATCCAATATATGGTGCTGTTTCTCCCCTAGCCAGGAGTCACAGGTCCATGAACCAAGTGGTGGAAATGAAGATAGTACTAGTACCACTTGCTATTACCCCTAGTGAGTCACTAGCAAAAGTTTTCTTCCTGTTCCTACAACCTTATGCTCTGAGGTCTTAGTTTTGAAGAGAAGAATGCTTCCATCCGGAGGCATAACAATGATTCCACTACTGAATTGGGAGTTTAGGCTGCCATATGGCCACTTTGGGCTCCTCATGCTTCTGAATCAACAGGCAAATAAGACAGTTACTTTGCTGGATGGGGTGATTGATCCTGACTACTAAGGGGAAGTTGGACTATTCCTTCACAGTGTAGATAAGGAAGAGTCTAGAATACAGGAGATCCCTTAAGGCATCTCTCAGTATTACCATGACATATGATTAAGGTCAGTGAGAAAGTACAAAACCCTAATTCAGGCAGAATTAATAATGTCCCAGATCCTTTAAGAATAAAGCTTTGGGTCAGTCTACCAGAAAGAGAACCACAACTAGTTGAAGTGCTTGCTGAAGGCAAAGCAAATACAGAATGGGTTATGGAAGAGGGTAGTTATAAATACCAGCTACAACCACATGACAAGTTACAGAAATGAGGACTGTACCTATCATGAGTATTTCCTCTTTACTTTGTTATGAATATGTTTGTGTGTGTATGTGTGTGTGTGTATTGTTTTCTTCTTTCTTTTATTCCCTTATCATGTAACATAAGCTGTGTTGATTGTGATTTTAATTTTATTTTTAGATTCAGGGGCTACATGTGCAGGTTTGTGATGAGTCTATATTGCATGATGCTGAGGCTTGGGGTTCTATTGATCCCATCACCCAGGTAGTGAACACAGTACCCAGTTGGAATGTTTTTAGCACTTTCCCCCATCCATCCCTCCCTCCTCTTGGAGTCCCCCATGTCTATCGTTCCCATCTTATGTCTGTGTGTACCCAAGATTTAGTTCTCACTTATAAGATAGAACATGTGATATTAGGTTTTCTGTTTCTGCATTAATTTGCTTAGGATAATGGCCTCCAGCTGCATCTATATTGCTGCAAAGGACATGATTTCATTCTTTTTATGGCTGCGTAGTATTCCATGGTGTATATGTACCACATTTTCTTTATCCAGTCCACCACTGATGGACACCTAGGTTGACTCCATGTTTTTGCTATTGTGAATAGTGCTGTGATGAACATAAGAGTACATGTGTCTTTTTGGTAGAATGATTCATGTTTTTGGGGGTAGTAATGGAATTGCTGGGTTGAATGGTAGTTTTATTTTTAGTTCTTTGATAAATCTCCATAAATATTTCCACAGTGGTTGAACAAGTTTGCATTCCCACCAACAGTGTATAAGTGTGTTCCCTTTTCTCTGCAGGCTCACCAACATCTGTTGTTTTTTGACTTTTTAATAACAGCCATTCTGACTGTTGTGAGATCTTATCTTATTGTGGTTTTGATTTGTATTTCTCTGATCATTAGTGATGTTGAGTATTTTTTATATGTTTGGTGACTGCTTCTTTGTCTTCTTTTGAGAAGTGTCTGTTCATGTTCTTAGCCCACGTTTTAATGGGGTTATTTGGGTTATTTTCTTGTTGATTTATTTAAGTTCCTTATAGATTCTGGATATTGGTCCTTTGTCAGATACATAATTTGTGAATATTTTATCCCATCATGAAGGTTGTCTGTACTCTTCTGATAGTTTCTTTTGCTGTGCAGAAGCTCTTTAGTTTAATTAGGTGCCATTTGTCAATTTTCGTTTTTGACCAAAGAATAAATTCTTTGGTCATAAATTCTTTTCCAAGGCCAATGTCCAGAAAGGTATGTCCTAGGTTTTCTTTTAGAATTTTTATAGTTTCAGGTTTTTCATTTAAGTCTTTAATCTACCTTCAATTAATTTTTGTATATGGTGAGAGGTAGGAGTCCAATTTTATTCTTCTGCATATGGTTAACCAGTTTTCCCAAAACCACTTACTGAATAGAGAGTTCTTTCCCCATTGTTTGTTTTTGTTGACTTTGTCAACTATCAATTGGTTGTCGATATGCTGCTTTATTTCTGGGTTCTGTATTATGTTCCATTGGTCTATGTGTCTCCTTTTGTACCAGTACCACACTGTTTTGGTTACTGTAGCCTTGTAGTACAGTTTGCAATTGGGTAATCTGTTGCCTCTGGCTGCATTTTTTTTTTTTTTTTTTGACAGAGTCTTGCTCTGTTGCCCAGGCTGGAGTGCAGTGGCACAACCTCTGCTCACTGCAATCTCCACCTCCCAGGTTCAAGCAATTCTCCTGCCTCAGCCTCCTGAGTAGCTAGGATTAAAGATATGCACCACCACGCCCAGCTAATTTTTGTATTTTTAGTAGAGATGGGGTATCACTGTTGGCCAGGCTGGTCTTGAACTCCTGACCTTGTGATCCACCTGCCTTGACTTTGTTCTTTTTGCTTAGGATTGCTTCGGCTATTCACGCTCTTCTTTGGTTCCATATGAATTTTAGAATAGTTTTTTCTAATTCCGTGAAAAATGATGTTGGCATTTTGATAGAAATAGCATTGAATCTGTAGATCAATTTGGGTAGTATGGACATTTCAATGATGTTGATTCTTCCAATCCATGATCATGAAATATTTTCCCATTTGTTTGTGTCAACTGTGATTTCTTTCAGCAGTGTTTTCTAGTTCTCCTTGTAGAGATCTTTCACCTCCTTAGATGTATTTCTAGGTATTTTTGTGTGTGTACAGCTATTGTAAATGGGATTGCATTCTTGATTTAGCTCTCAGTTTGAACATTATTGTTCTATGCAGATGCTGTTGATTTTCATACACTGATTTTGTGTCCTGAAACTTTATCAAATTCGTTCATCAGGTCTAGGAGCTTTTTGTTAGTCTTTAGGGTTTTCTAGGTATAGAATCATATCATCAATGATGAGAGATAATTTGACTTCCTCTTTTCCTATTTGTATGCCTTTTATTTCTTTGTCTTGCCTGATTGGTCTGGCTATGACTTCCAGTACTATGTTGAATAGGAGTGGTAAGACTAGGTATCCTTGTCTGTTCCAGTTCCTAAAGGGAATGCCCATTGAGTACGATGTTGGCTGTGGGTTTGTCATAGATGGTTCATATTATTTTGAGGTATGTTCCTTTGATTCCTAGTTTGTTGATGCTTTTATCATGAAGGGATGTTGGATTTTACTGAACACTTTTTCTGTGTCTAATGAGATGATCACTCACTTCCATTTTCTGTACCTCACTTTCCTTTGGCTGTTCATAAATCTTTCACCACATGGCTGCGCTGGAGTCTCTCTGAGTCTGCTGTGATTCTGGAGGCCATCCAATTCACGAATCGTTCATTGCTCAATTAAACTCCTTTCAATTAATTTTGGCTGAAGTTTTTGTTTTAACACCTGATTAAAGGAAAAAATAGCATATAAGCAATAGAAAATGAAATGAAATTCTCATTTGTATAAAGTTAATATTCATTAATTATAGATTGTCTATATTAATCCCCATCCCCAAAATATTCATAAGTAATTGGAAAGTATTAACAAAGAGATTAGCAAGTTTGTAGACATATTTTGCAAAGTCAGTTACATTTTATATGCCAATAGTTACGTATCAGTCAAAAAGTGAAATAAGGTCAGGTTCATTACAGGCTCATGCCTGTAATCCCAGGTACTCAGGAGGCTGAGGTGGAAGGATTGCTTCAGCCCAAGAGTTCAAGATTACAGTGAGCTATGATCACCCTGGGGGACACAGTGAGACCCAGTCTCTGAAAAAATGAAAAGAAAAGAAAAAAGTAAGATACATCTTAAAATAGCAACAAAAATTATAAAGGACTTAAGAGTAAACATATGCAAGGAAATATTTGCAAGTCCTTCATAAAGAATATAATAAAACTTTATTAAAAGACAGCAAGGAAGGACTAAATATATGCAGAAATATACCATTTTCTTGGACAGGAAGAGTCAATATTATAAAGATGTCAATTTCCTTCAAACTGATCTTGAGGTTTATTGCAATTCCAACCGAAGTGTTAAACAGGTTTTGGTGGATATTGACAAGCTGACTGTAAAGTATTGTCCTATTTGTATCCGTGGGATTTTAATTTATGGAGGTGACTGAGTGGTGACACAGGGTGGTCAATGCTACTGAAAAAAGAATTTATAACAATATTCTGAGAGAGAGGGCATGCCACACAGGGCCACAGGGAAAACATCAGGTTTGGTCAGGAGGTAGAAGCAAGAAGGAGGGGAAAAGCCTAGGCCAGAGCATTTATTGGGGTTTCCATAAAAAAGGCAAGGCAGGGCAGAGGAAACAGCTTAGGAATGGTCAGTCCTCATAATTCCAGTGAGCTCTGGGCTATGGCGGTGGTCTCTAGTTGCCTGGTCCCTGACTCTGGGATGATTTAGGGTAGGGAAATATTGGCTTGGTGTGTGAGAGTTGGAGAAATGGAGTGGTTGGGGGTTCAGTTTGCATATAAAAGGTGAGCCCCCATCAGAGTCCTTTGCTATCTGTAAGCATTGGCTAGCCCTGGGAAAGACAATCTCTCTCTGGACAGCAAAGAATTTTAAGATGTCGAAACATATAAGATACAGAAAGTTAAAAAACATGGTTAATATAATTGTATTTGGAAGAGCAAATAGCTAAGAATAATCAAGGCGCTTACAAAGAAGAAGAATAATTTGAGGATACCCGTCTGACCAGATGTGAAGTGATACTATTTAATTTACGGTGGTTTAAAAAGCACAATTTGGCACAAGATTAGAAAAATGAGGCCAATGGAAGACAGTGGAGAATCCAGAAACAAACCTGCCTTCTTTTATGCTAAATAGATATATTCTAGTATCATTTTCATTCCTTGTTATTTCTTTAACTACATATTTTTTAGTTATTTTCTTAGTGGTTGGCTTGGGGATTACTATTAGCATCTTAATCTTAATTTATAACAATCTCATTTGAATTAATACCCTTTTAATTTCCATAGTATATAAAACCTGCTCCAAAATAGCTTCACCCCCTTTTCCCTCTTTTTGCTATTATTATCACAAATTACATCTTTATTCATCATCTGCCCATGAACACTGATTTATAATTATTGCTTTATGCATTTGACTTTCAAATTAGAGAGGAGAAAACAAGGAGTTACAAAGAAAAAAATATATATAACTGTCTTTTCCATTTACCTATAGAGTTGTCTTAATGAATATTCTTATTTTCTTCATGTGGATTCATATACAGTTTAGTAACCTTTCATTTCAGGCTGAATAACCCCCTTTAGTATTTATTGTAGGGCAAGTCTATTAGTGACAACGTCTCTCAGTTTTTGTTTATTTGGGAATGTCATAACTATTCCCTCATTTTTGAAGGACAGTTTTACTCGATATAAAATTATTGGTTGACAATTTTTTCCTTCCAGTACTTTGGATATGTCATCCTAGTGTCTTCTCTATGCCAAAGTTTCTGCTGAGAAATTAGCTGTTAATATTTTTTAGTGTAACTTAGATGTGATTAGTAGCTTCTTTCTTGCTTTCAAGATTCTCTTGGCTTTGCCTTTCAGTAGTTTGATTACAATTTGTTTAGGTGTGCATCTCTTTGAGTATATACCACTTGGAGTCCTATTTTGTTAAGCTTCTTGGGTGTGTAGATTAATGCTTTCCATCACATTGGGGTAGCTTTTGGCCATTATTTCTTTAAATGTTCTTCTTCATGTGTCTTCCTCCTTTCCTCTAGGATTTTCATTATGCTTATGTTGGTATGCTTGATTTTGTCTCATAGGTCTCTAAGACTGTTTGTTTTTCTTAATTTTTTATGCATGCTGTTTCACACACTGGGTCATTTCAGTAGATCTATCTCCAAGTTTGCTGAGTCTTTCTCCTGTCTGCTAAAATCTTCTCTTGAGCCTCTCTAGTGAATTTCTCGTTTCAGTTATTGGGCTTTTCAACCCCAGAGTTTCTATTTGTTTTTTTTTTTTTTATAATTTCTATCTCTTTATTGATATTCTCAATTTAGTGAGACATATTCTTATATATTATTTCTTTCAACATAATTCCTTCTAGCTCTTTGAAGATACTCAACATAACTGATAAAAAGTTCTGTCTAATAAGCCCAAAGTCTAGACTTTGAGACAATTTCTATTGATTGCTTTTATCTCAGTGAATGGGAAAGATGCAAGATACTTACTTGTATCTTTTCATGTCTCATAATTTTTTTTGTAGAAAAGTGAACATTTTAAGTAATATAATGGGCAATTCTGTAAATCACCTTTCTTCTCTTCAGGATTTGTTTTTGTTGCTGCTCATTCTAATTTTCTTTAAAAAAAAAGCTCTTTAGTTAATCTATTATTTACCCCAATTGCTATCCATCACCTCAGGCAGCTGCAATATTAATGCACTTTTCTGTAGACATTTTCAACAAATTTCACCCTCCTGCATCAGGAAGAGGCTTTGAGCACTGGGTAAGCTTTAGTGAGGTTAAATAAAAACAAGCTTTCAGGGGGAAGTCTTCTAGAGAACCATCAAACAGATCCAGTAATGGATCTTTGGGAATGAGGATTTTCGAAGGAGCTGTAGCTTTGTTTAGCTTCCTCAGTAATGAGAATGTGAGTTGTTATTTTTCAAAGTTACCACTGAGCTAGAAAGCAGGGGATGGAAATAGAGCAAGTTAAAACATCACAAAGCTCACAGCTCTTACCAAGATTCATCCGTTTTTCTTGAATAAAAGCTCCCTGGATTGCTTTAAGCTTTTGGTTCATTTTCACGGCTTTGAAAAAGTTGATTCTGATGACTTTTGCCAGTTTTCTCATTGTGTTTTTTATAGAGGAAAGGGATTTTGGAGATCCTTTATCATATCACTGGCCTCCCCAGTGAGGCCATATTTTTGATATTAGATTACATATTAGTCATTTTTTGGGGGTATATGTCTCAACCAGTTAAATTAATACAGATTGTTTTACTTTAAACCTGATATTTCAGTGAATAAGACACAGCCAAAAGACAGAAGTCAGAGTTTAAGATCCAATAAACTTCCGTGAACGATTTGTGTTATTCTTTGTGGCTTTTCCTCCAAAATTACTCATTTTCATAAATGTGTTGTCATTTGACATGGAATAAAATCTGGCAAGGTAAATGTTAGTTAATTCAGTGCCTTGATCCCCTAACTGTTGAGGTTAAATGGAAGCAGAGAAGCCTCAAGTGTAGTTTTGTCTGCTCTATTCACACTTGTTCTGGAAGATGTACTCTCATTCTAAAGGCCATAGAGCTTGGGCCTTTGGAAATTATAATGGACCCATTTTAGAAAACAACATAATTTTAGATTTGACTATTCTGATCTATATAACATCTGTTCATCCTCAGCAATTTCTCTTCTTGGGGTTAAAGAGTAATCACACAGGACTATAAGGGTAGATGCTTTTCTACTGAGCTGCTCTGCAAGATGAATTTTAGGCTGGTCCAATCAGACTGCAAACATCTCCTGGTGAAGTGGTTGTTTGTAGTCCTTTTAATTTTGAGGAACAATTATTGATGTAGGTCACTGTATTAGTCTGTTTGCATTGCTGTAAAGAAATACCTGAGGCTAGGTAATTTATAAAGAAAAGAGGTTTATTTGGCTCATGATTCTCCAGACTGTACATGAAACATAGTGCCAGCAGCTGCTTCTGGTGAAGGCCCCTGGAAACTTATGATCACAGTGGAAGGCCAAGGGGAGCCAGCATATCACATGGTGAGAGAGGAAGCAAGAGAGCGAGGGAGGAGGTGCCAGTCTCCTTTAAACAACCAGATCTTGCAACGAAATTATAGAGTGAAAACTCACTCATCACTATAAGGACAGCACCAAGACATTCTTGAGGGATCCACCCCCATGATGCAAACACCACCTCCTAGGCCTACCACCAACATTGGTGGTCACAGTCCTACGTGAGATTTGGAGGGGACAAAACATCCAAACCTTAGGAGTCACATTTCATATTTACCATTATTAGGAAAATAATTTGATGAAGAGATAGTAATTCAATATCATTTATTTTATTTTTCTAGTCAACCTCAATTGATGTGTTATATAGCAACAGCTAATCTGGATAGAGAGACAGATCTAAAGATATGGCAGATAAAGACACTGTTTCTTATCCTAATTTTACATCTGGGCCCACAATGTCAAGTTTTGTCAAATGCCAGCTGTGTTTTCACAAAAAAATTATCTCAGCACTATTGAGTGGATGTAATTTATCCTCACCAGATATTAAAATGGTACATTATTATTATTATTATAAAGGGAAGCCAGGTGACTGCTATTATTGCTATAAAAAGTATGTGCTATAAAATTCAGATAATAAAGATAATGAACCCTTAAACATATTGTTTTGAAGCTATTAGTTCTCTGATGTTAAAATTACTGCCATGGCTCAAGGTCATGGCTAGATTGCAAGGGGTGGTTGCAAATGAACTGTAAGAGATCTTATATACCACTGCTTTTAAAACTACCATTTGAATTTCAGAAAAACTTATGATCACAAATGCAAGGAGATGGTTTTCCAATTAACTTTTTGTTAATGGGAAAAACATATTGCTCTTTAAGATAATTCATCCCCTGCCTTATTAGTTTTCTTAGTAAAAAAGCCTCTGATTTTACATTTGTCTATTCACGTTTGTTTACCAATCTTTTTTTGTTAACTTTAACTTAATTAAAAATGGAAAAATGAGAACTTGTTAAAGTAATACATCATCTTTTTAAAAATAATATAAATAATACAGAAACATATGTAGTCTATTTAACCCTCTCCATTTCCAAATTTCACCTTTATTCCCAATGGTAATTATTTTAATAGTTTGGTGGTAACTTCCGGATTTTTTAAAGTGCAATTACAGAGTTTGATTTCTGGGAAGATGGAGTAGATATACTTTTCCCCATTTTTCCTGCTAAGAACAACAAACAACTTTGGGCATTATATAAAGAAAAAACCTACGAAGACTCTGAAAGTTTGGGAGAAGAAAGCAGACTGGGCTAGTGTTCTTGGAACCCATAGAACAACATGGTGGTGAGTTCCCTGAGTTTTCCATTTATCTCATACATCTGGGGCTTCGACAGAAGAAGCCAGAAACCCAGAAAGATCAATGGACACTGACAAAAAAACTCAAAAAACCAAAAAAAAACAAAAAACAAAAACCTCAACCAAAGCCTGTTCTCTCCAGTCAAAAGACCAGGAAAGGAGCAACTTAACAAGACAAAATGTTGACACCATAGTAAAAATGTGGCCTCACGCTCACCCATGCCGGCAAAGGCCGAGTAGGGAGCCTCAACTCCCAGACAGTAGTGAAGTACCCCAAATCCCCTATAAGGGTAGTGTCAGAGGAGGCCAGGTAGGAAGCCAGGACTTTCATTTCTGCCAGGCAGTAATGAAGTCCTTCCCTCTTTTCATAGTGTCAGTGGAGACGATGTGGATGGCAGAAGGCATTCCAATTCCTTCATGCCAGGAAAGTATCAGGAAAGGTCTACGGGAGGGTCAGAACTCTCACCCTTTCCCAGCTGTAACAAGGAGCTCCTCCTTGGCTGTCAACAGAGGTCAAGTGTGCAACTGGTACTTTATCCCCCATCTTGCAGTAATGACGCAATACCTCCTTTCCCCTGTTGGAGGTATGTCAGAGGAAACCAGATAAAACAGACAGTTTAAATGATATCCAGAGTCTCATAACCTAATAACCAAAACATCTAGGTTTCAATTGAAAATCTTCGTCATATATATCAAAAACCAGGAAGATCTTAAACTGAATGAAAAAATACAGTCAATTGATGTCAACATCAAGAAAATAGAAATCTTAGAATTATCCGAGAGATTTTAAAGCATCCATCATATGATTTCTTCAGGGAGCAATTACAAACATGCCTGAAACAAATGGAAAAATAAAAACTCAGCAAAATAAACAGAAAATCCCAGCAAAGAAATAGAAAGTACAAGAAACATCCAGCTAGAAATTTTAGAAATTAAATATACAAAACTGAAATGTAAAAACCTCTAGGGATAGGCTTAACAGCAAACAGGAAGGGACAGAAGAAAGAATCAGTGGACTGAAAGACAAAACAATAGAAATTACCCAATTTGAACAATAGAGAGGAAACAGACTGACAAACGTGATCAGGTTTCAAGGACCTTTGGGAACATAACCAAACAGCTAACCTTCATGTCACCAGAGTCCTGGAAGGAGAAGAGAGAGAATAGGCCAGAAAAATTTGGCTGAAAACTTTCCCAATTTGCCAAAAAACACAAACTGTAGATTCAACAAGCCGAGCCAACCAAAAGAGATAAATCCAAACAAATCCATACCAGCACATATAATAGTCAAACTTATGAAAATAAATTTCAGAAAATGTTGACAGCAGTGAGAGAAAAATGACACTTTACCTATAGGGGAAAGGTAATTTGAATAACAGAAAAATTTTCATAAAAACCCATCAATCTAGAGGTCTTTTATTTCAATACTTAAAAATCCACTGTCTTCCTGTATCTTGTATTCTGTGAAAAAGACTTTGGACAATTTTATTCTTATTCTCTTGAAGATAATCTGCCTCTTCTCTGTCTGTAAAGCTGACATCATCTTATTTTATTGGAATAAGGCATTCTCTAGATCAGTGGTTTTCAAAGTCTGATCTCTGGCTCAGCAACAGCATCATCTTGTGGGAACTGTTAGAAATGCAAATTCTGGCACCCCCCACCGCAGAACCACCAAAGAAAAAACCCTGTGGGTGGATCCCAGGAATCTGTATTTTAACAAGACCTTTTGGTGAATCTGATGCCTGCAAAAAGTTTGGAACCACTGTTCTAAATCCTTGCTACTCAAAGTGTGATCGATAGTTCAAAATCATCAGCTACATACATAAATGTATCAAATGTTATACGGTCATGGTGATTACACTTTCAAAAACAATACTTTCAGTACAGGTGATGAAAACTTAATGTTTCTACCTCTTTTCTTTTTATTAAAGTTATTTGCAAAATGCTGGGATGGCAACATCTTCTAACAAGGTTTATATTAAAGTGTGATGTGCATTATTTTATTATCTAGTGAGTGCAATACATTTTTAGATACTATCATAATCTTTTATTAATTACTAAAGACATGGAAGTTTAAACATAGTACATTAAACTTCTACTTTTATTTTTCTCTCTTTGGTTTTATTTTGTAGGCTTTGCCAGATACAAGCTGAAGTGCTACCAGAAAACCAGTTGTTAAGTCTATCTGGAAAAATAGACTGTGAAGCACCTCATCTTCATTTCAATAGCTTCGCTGGAACCTGGAGCCTAAGGGGTAAAATGTATTATCTTTCTCTTCACAAACAGTTTTTTTTCTTTTATGGAACATAGAATATGACAACATTTGTTTTGTCAACTGATTACATTTTAAAACATTGTACTTGTTCATATTGTACTTGGCTTTGAAATACCCTGAAGCATCTATGGAATTGTAATTTATTGTAATGCAATAAGCATTTATGTAATTAAAAAAAAGCATTCTTAAATATGGCTGGAAAGTGTATGGCAGTTTCTTAGTCAGTATACCTACCTGTAAATATCTACGATCCTTGGAGTAAATCAGTGGGAAGAACAAGGTGTTGAAAGGTTTGATGATGATAGAGGAGTTTGCTCCATACTTCCACATTTTCCACTACAAGTTTCTTAGGAGGATCTTTTTTTTTTTTTTTTTTTTTTTTTTATATGGAGTCTCTCTCTGTCCCCCAGGCTGGAGTGCAGTGGCACCATCTTGGCTCACTGCAATCTCCACCTCCTGGGTTCAACCAATTCTCCTGCCTCACCTTCCCGAGTAGCTGGGATTACAGGCTTCCACCAGCACGCCCGGCTAATTTTTGTATTTTTAGTAGAGACGGGGTTTCACCATATGTTGGCCAGGCTGGTCTCGAACTCCTGACCTCAGATGATCCGCCCTCCTCGATGTCCTAAAGTGCTAGGATTACAGGCATGAGCCACCACTCCCAGCCCATCTTTTACATAGCAAGTCAATCCAGTGCTGGAGGGGTGGAGGCCAAGAAAACATGGCCGACTGAGCTAGCTCTGAATTACCACATGTAATCCTTTCTATAGATTGCTAAATTGGCACACAGGTTTCTATTTGTCTACGTCATCTTCTCTGACAAATAAATTTTATAGTTACCCTAGGTGTAAGAGATGGTTTTTTTCTCTAAAATTTTTGATTGACATTTGTTTGGAATGGTGAGAAATGGATACTAAAACAAAACATTTTTCCAGACTCTTTTAGGAATAGGTGCTTTTTATGAAAAAACATTTGTTGTTTTGTCATTTGCTCAAAAAATTGAACTTGACAATAGGAAATATATGTAAGGTAAAACCTGGGCTTTTTTACATTGTGAAAAGAGAAAATTTCTTTGGTACTTTATAAATGATATTTTTGCATTTTTAGCCCTGTTCCAATTGGGCCTGATCAGGTCTTGTTTAGAGGTACACAGCTTGGAAATACTCAGTGGATCATTGGTGTAGCTGTTTAGACTGGATTTGAAATGAAACTCATGCAGTTAAAATTATCTGTGATGATAAATAGTACTGCTACTCGACTTTTCCTTCTGCTTTGATGAAGTGAGGGAGTTTAGTATATATCTCTTAAATTTAGAAGGCTAATTTGTGTTTATTACCCTGAAATTTTCAGAGAGGTTCGTATCTCATCTCTGGTTTTAGATATTTCTTCTGACTTTTAAAATTATTTCTTACCAGACATTTATTGCCTAAAGCACAATTATCCTGTGTCTTCAGGGGCTGGGGGAAATTTTGTTTTAACTTAGGTTTTCCTTGTTTACATAAGTTGAGTATATTTTACATAGTCCGAAATGAATGATTTTTTGTAAACAATGTGTGTTTCTTTGCTTTCATTTATCAAAAAAGTTTTCATATGAATAATGCTTGTTTTACATTACATCTGCATTGATTGATTTTACTCTATATATGGCCCCTAGTTATGGTTAAGAATTTTTTTTTTTTTTTTTTTTTTGCCAAAATGACATTAGGAGTTCTACCCAACTTTGGCCGGGCGTGGCAGCTCACGCCTGTAATCTCAGCACTTTGGGAGGCCGAGGTGGGTGGATCACCTGAGGTCAGGAGATCAGACCATCCTGGCTAACACGGTGAAACCCCGTCTCTACTAAAAGTACAAAAAAAAAAAAAAAAAAAAAGTTAGCCGGGCGTGGTGGCGGGCGCCTGTAGTCCCAGCTACTCGGGAGGCTGAGGCAGGAGAATGGTGTGAACCAGGGAGGTGGAGCTTGCAGTGAGCTGAGATCACGCCACTGCACTCCAGCCTGGGCGACAGAGCCAGACTCCGTCTCAAAAAAAAAAAAGAAGCTCTACCCAACTTCTCACTCACATGTACCATTTCTCTCTATTGCTATCTTTCTTTTGATCACCCCTCAGGACATCTTGTTTTTGTGTGTGTTGTTTTTTTGTTGTTGTTTTTTGTTTTTTCATCTGAAGAGAATCTCAACTAAGTCTTGTTTTGGACTAGGAATTTCCTGAATGTTTATTATTAATGAAAAGTAAATTGACAGCAAATCTACCCATTTTTTCCATTTTCTAAAACGCATTTGGCTTTCGCTCTTCCTTCCACAGTTAGCATATAATGCAAGACGTTGTGCTGAGACCTTGGGGTACAGTGAGAAACAGGATGTTTCCTGCCCCCGAGGTATTTATAATGTATGGAGGAAGACAGTCAAAGTAATAGCATACTGACAGTAAATGAAGAAGGGAAAGTATAGGATGCCCCGTGTCCACATTGGAGCCCCTTCCAACCTAATACTGAGGCTTCCATGAGGAAGTAACACACAAACTGAAACCTTAAGGATGAGAACAGATGGAAATTAAAAGGAGTTGGGAGGGAAGAATGAAGGGGAGCCTCATAGGAGAGCTCTAGGCCAAGAATATTGCCCATGTCCAAAGGCAATTTGGCAAGTGCAGCTCAGTGTGACTGCTGTGTAGAGGGCAGAAGGAGGCATGGAGTGGTGAGAGACTCGTCAAAGAAAGCTGGGCCCCGTGTGACTGAGGAACTGGGTGCATGCTCTTGCGGAACTATGGCCAGCTCAGGACCACATCACTTCGTATTTGCTTTGCATTTGTTTTGTCATCCCAAAGAGTTAGAATCCTCAGAGCTTCAAGAAATATACTGTGTTTTAGGCCAGGCGTGGTGGCTCACGCCTGTAATTCCAGCACTCTGGGAGGCCGAGGCTGGTGGATCACCTGAGGTCAGGAATTCAAGACCAGCCTGGCCAACATGGCGAAACCCTGTCTCTACTGAAAATACAAAAAATTAGCCAGGCGTGGTGGTGGGCACCTGTAGTCCCAGCTACTCAGGAGGCTGAGGCAGGAGAATCGCTTGAATCCCAGAGGCGGAGGTTGCACTGAGCTGAGATTGCACCACTGCACTCCAGCCTGGGTGACAGAGCAAGACTCTGTCTCAAAAAAAAAAATCATTATATGTATACATACATATACATGTTTCATTTCCCCAACGCTGCTTCAGGTCTCTTTGACTTCACACCTACTGTTATTTCCAGCTAGAATTAGAATACCCTGCTCATTCACTTCCCCTCATCTGCATGTAACGAACTTCTTGTTTCAACTTGGTTCATCTCCTTTCCTGAGATCCCCTCTAGGCCCCCTACTTTGTGCTGTTGTCCCTGTGCTCAGCGCTCAGTGCCACTCTGGAATTCGTCATACTGTATTTCCTAACCCAGCTGACTTTCCCAAGCTTCACGCTAAGTTCCCTGAGGGCAAAGTTGGTATCTTCTTTGATCTTGAATCTCAAAGCTTCCCATACTCCTTATTACATGGCTGGTGTGGAACTAATATACATTTTAAAATATTTAATATTTGTGTCCACTTTTAATCATAATTTTCATAGAGAAAATTCCAAAATTTAAAAATACAATAGTGCAAACAAAGATGAATAAAGGCATTGCCGGAAGCTGTGAGGTGGTGTCTCTGATGTTTTTCCAGAGGTTCCAGCTCCCATGTCATTTTGTTTGACATATTGGTGTTCATCATCTTTTTTTTTTGAGACAGAATCTCACTCTGTCACCCAGGCTGGAGTACAGTGCTGTGATCTTGGCTGGCTGCAACCTCCGCCTCCCGGGTTCAAGCGATTCTCCTGCCTCAGCCTTCCAAGTAGCTGGGATTACAGGTGCTCGCTACCATGCCCGGCTAATTTTTGTATTTTTAGTAGAGACGGGGTTTCACCATGTTGACCAGGCTGGTCAAGATCTCCTGACCTCAGGTGATCCACCCATCTCAGCCTCCTAAAGTGCTGGGATTACAGGCGTGAGCAACCATGCCTGGTCTATCATTTTGTACCAGAACCTCATCCCTATGCTGGTCACTATGGAAATTGTGAAATATATTCAGGCCCAGTTTATAAACTGAGTGAGTATTAAAATCAGAAAATTAAAAAAATTATTTCTTAAGGCATAGCTTTTGTGTTCCTTTTAAGAGTCAATGTAACTGTCCTCATGATGGAACTAGTCTAAGCCAAGCATTGCTATCAACGTGGCTCAGCTCTGCTTGTCCTCTTTGTGTTCATCTTGAGGATGCCATTTTTTAACATATTTGTTTTAACTGATAAAGGTTTAAGAGAGAGTGGTTTAGCGGTAAATGTAGAGAGATAGTTAATCCATTAAGATTGAAAACAGTCAATAAAGAAGGGGAGGAGAGTCCAGTAGACTTACAAATCTAGGCTAGAATGACAGACACATAATCATTCCCGAATTACTTCACATTCAAGAAAAGATTTCTTAGGGGACAACTGGGTATTGACTGTCATAAATACTTAATAAGTTGGGACTGAACTAATTTTCTAGTGTGAACATGGGGTTGCAAAATTTAGTTATATTTAAAAATTATTTTTGGGCCAGGCGCCGTGGTTCATGGCTGTAATCCCAGCACTTTGGGTGGCTGAGGCAGGTGGATTGCTTGAGCCCAGGAGTTGGAGACCAGCTTGGGCAACATGGTGAAACCTGGTCTCTAGTAAAAATACAAAAATTAGTCAGGTGTGGTGGCGCACTCCTGTAATCCCGGCTACTTGGGAGGCTGAGGCACAAGGATCACTTGAACCTGAGAGGCAGAGGTTTCAGTGAGCCAAGATGGCACCACTGCACTCCAACCTGAGCAACACAGCGAGACTCAGTCTCAAAAAAACATTTTTTTAAAAAATTAAATTATTGCTAAATGTCACATATTAAAAATATCCTCTCGATATACCATTGGCTTGCCAACATTTGAAGAGGAATATTATTTTAACAGCCACAACATGAAGCAGGTGCTTTCAAATGCATTCTCTTTCCCAAGAGAGCTGTGAGATCTGTATTGTTGCTTCCATTTTATAGATGTAGTAGCTGAGGCACAGAGATGTTAATTAACTTTCTTAAGGGCCACAGCTTGTCTGAGGCAGAGCCAGGGCTTTGCAAGCCAAGTTTTCCAACTTCAGATCACCAACACATCAAAATTTATTTCTACATGGCACTGCCTCTCCTGATTTGATTCTGCTAATATGTGAGAAACTAAAGATACACTCTATCTTTAATCCAAGTATTCTACATTCTCCATTGTGAAGTCTTTCTAAATGTCAGTCACATAGAGAGCTCAGTGGCAGCGTGAAAGACTTTTTCATTTCTTGCAGGATGAAGATATGCATTATAAAATCAATAATATCTGTGCCATGGCCAGAACATTCAATCTCAATGAAGAACTTGGGCAGGTGAGGGCTCCTTTAAGGACTGGACAATGTGATAGGAGCTTTAAAGAAGCCTCTAGGGAGAACTTGTGCAAATTAAAATGCCAAAGTCAGCCACAGAGTATAGCTTTAATGGACATACATGGAGCCAGGGGGGAATTTAAATCATACTTTGTTCAAAATATTGATAATGCTGCATCATGGGTAATACTGCATCATGGGTAATTGACAATACTGTATCATGGGTAATAATATTGCCTCATGGGGTAGTTGATAATACAGTGTTAGGTTCAAGCAGAACAGATCTAATATAGGTTATTATGTACTTATGAAAGAATGGAAGAGCTAGAGGGGAAGATAGTGAAGGTTATTTTCAGCTCTCAGGTCGCAATGAGCTTTCAGAGTCAGGAACCTGCTGGCAGGAGCCCCCTTGCCCTGCCTCCCTGGGGCAGATGACCCACAGCAAGCATCCCAAGACTGCTAGAAATTTCAGAGGCTGCTACAAAGTTTTACATCTGCCAAACTCAACAGTCTGCTCACCACTGCCAGAAGAACAATAATAAAGCTTCTACTTTTTTACTGAACATTCCTCTGAAAGGCAGAACCTGACTTGGAATCAGGCTGATGAGAGATCAGGAGAAATGCACACCACCCCGGCCAGTCCCTGCAGGACAATAGAAAGAGATGGGAGCAAAGTCAGGTTACCAATGGACAGTCAGCACAATAGCTTTGTTTAATTTCCCTTTTAAATTACAATCACGTCTTTATAGGTGTAAATTACATTTTTAAAAACTCCCACGCTTGTACAGTACCTAGAAAAAGAAAGACATTTAATTATTTTTTTCTAGCCACTTTTTGTTCTTAATATGTTTTACTGGATTGCAATTTTCTATTTTTCAATGAATCGGGGACAATATATAAATTGTGGTAAAAGGCAGAGTTTTGAGTTAAATTTCCTGGGTATGATTCCTGGCTTTACTATTCATCAGCAGTGTCATCTTGGGCCTCTCATGTAACTTCCCTGGTCTTGATCTCTAATCTCTAAAATGGGCATGACAATAGAATCTATGTCATGAGGTTGCTATGAGGATTGAATAAAATACTGTATATGCAAGGCATTCAACACAGTGTCTAGTGTATAGTACCAACTTAATTAATGCTAGTCATTATAACCAGTAATTGGTAGATATACTTTCTAATTTCTAGTTACCTTGTATAGCATCATTTGAATAATGAATTTTCAGTAAGTATTTAAAAAGGATTTTGACTCCTGGAAATGTCTGTTCAGAGAATTACAACAGCAGCCTTTTGACCTTGGAGAACTAAAGATGAAGGAGGGTGGAATAATCAAATCTCCAGTACGCTTTTTTTTTTCTTTTTTTTTTTGAAACAGCATCTTACCCTGTCACCCAGGCCGGAGTGCAGTGGCGCAATTTCAGCTCACTGCAACCTCAGCCTCCCAAGTTCAAATGATTCTCCTCTCTCAGCCTCCCAAGTAGCTGGAATTACAGGTGTGCACCACCACTCCTGGTTAATTTTTGTATTTTTAGTAGAGACAGGGTTTTGCCATGTTGGCAAGGCTGGTCTCGAACTACTGACCTCAAATGATCCGCCCACCTTGGTCTCCCAAAGTGCTGGGATTACAGGCGTGAGCTGCCGTGCCTGGCCCAAATCTCCAGTACTTTTTCTGCTCATAAAAATCTGATTATTTGCTAATCCTTTAGAATGTATGGTTTCTATTGACAGTTGGAAAAGGATCACTTCATTCACGCTGCCTAGTCAAGTGACCCTAGCCTCTTTAGGTAAGTGATTCAATATATTATTAATAAAAGTTACCTTTGGTTCAAGCTTTGAAAATAAATTATATTGTTTATGTAGGTAAAACACAAAGATCAGAAATCAATGACATTTGAAACAGCAAGACGAAAGGGAGTTTAACATCCAGCATATATGAATAACTACAACCCTACAGAAAAAAAATCCAGTTCAAAACTCGGCAAAGGATTTAAGTAGACATTTTTTCCAAGAAGATATACAAATGTCCAAGGAGTACGTGAAAAGCTTCTCAGCATCATTAATCATTAGGAAAATGCAAATCAGAATCACAATGAGCCATTACCTCATACCCATTAGGATGGCTATTTTTTTAAAGCAAAAAAAAAAAAAAGGTGTAGCTGCTATGGAAAATAATATGCTGGTTCCTCAACAAAATAAATATAGAATTACCATATGATCCAGTAATTCCACATTTAGGTGTATACACAAAAAAGCTAAAAGCAGAACCTCAAAGAGGTCTTGTATACCAATGTTCATAAAATCATTATTTACAGTAGCAAAACGGTAGAAAAATCTCTAATGACTATCAGTGGATGAATGGATAAACAAAGTATGGTCTATCTACACAATGAAACATACCCAGTTTTAAAAAGGAGTGAAATTCTGATGGATGCTACAACATAGATGAACCTTGAGGCCTTAT
Organism: Homo sapiens; assembly: GCF_000001405.40. Lineage (NCBI taxonomy): Eukaryota > Metazoa > Chordata > Mammalia > Primates > Hominidae > Homo > Homo sapiens. Next base: position 26,124,417 of record NC_000013.11, on the reverse strand, counting down.
GCTAGATGAAATATGCCAGACACAAAAGGACAATTATTGTATGATTCCACCTATCTGAAATACCTGGAATTCTCATATTCATAGAGACAGACAGTAGAATAGTGGTTTCCAGGATGGGGAAAAGAGGAGAACAGGAAGTGATTGTTCAATAGATATGGAGTTTCGCTTGGGATGATGAAAAAGTTCTGGAGATGATGGTGGTGATGACTGCACAACAATGTGAATGTACTTAATGACATGTAAAAATGGTTAAAATGGTAAATATTATCTTATGTATATTTTACCAATAATAAAAATACTTTAACACTGTTTGTCTCTTGCAGTTATACGCTACTTTTGTCTAGTATTTTGATTTTAAAATCTTTTAACCCTGCCAATAAGACTACTATTGTCATCATTATTTTATGCAGCAGTGCTTATTTAGATTTATCCACATACTTATCAATGTCCTTGCTCACCTTTAATTCTCATAACTCAGAACTTTCGTCTGAGTTTGCACATATGTCACCTAAATGAACTCCTGCCTCAATGATGACCTAAATGATGTGTTTAAAGTTTCCTTTAGAGAGGGGTTGGTGGACAAATCTCTCAAATTTCACGTCTGAAAATGTCCTTACTTCTCCCTACTTGAAATATTGTTACTTTTTCCCAGAATCTTGAAACTATTCCATCATCTTATACCATTGATGGTTTTGAGAAGCTACTCATCAGTCTAGCATTGATAGCTGGGCATGTGGTTGGTCTTTGCTTTCTGCTTTGAAATTTTTCTCTTTAGACCACTATGGTTTCACTACTGCGTAACTTTTTATTTATCCTATCCGGATTCACTGGGCTCCCAGAATATGAGGATCAATGACTTTCAGCAACTTTGGAAAACTCCGATCTATGTTTAAATATTGACTCATCTCCAGCCTCCATTTTCTTTCCCTTTGGATTTCCAACTAGATGTATGTTGGCCCTTTTATCTCTGCCTTCTGGCCTCTTACCCTCCAGTCATATCTCCTATCTCATTATCTCTCTGCACTGAATAATTTCTTCCCATTTATCTTTCTGTTTTTTTTTTTTTTTTTTTTTTTTTTTTGGAGACAGAGTCTCACTCTGTTGGCCAGGGTCAAGTGCAGTGTGGCATGATCTCAGCTCACTGCAACCTCTGCCTTCTGGGTTCAAGCGATTCTCCTGCCTCAGACTCCTAAGAAGCTGGGATTACAGGTGTGTGCTACCACACCCAGCTAATTTTTGTATTTTTAGTAGAGACAGGGTTTCACCATGTTGGCCAGCCTGGTCTCGAACTCCTGACCTCAAGTAATCTGCCCTCCTCAGCCGTCCAAAGTGCTGGGATTACAGGCATGAGCCACTGCGCCTGGCCTCTTTCTGCTTTCTAATTGTCTCTTCATTTGACTCTGTGGTTTAATCTTTCAGAGAAGTTTTAAGTTATACATATATATATGTGTATATATATGTATATATATGTATATACGTATATACGTATATACGTATACATATGTATATACATATATATATATGTGTGTGTGTGTATATATATATATGGTTTTGCTCTGTCACCCAGGCTGGAGTGCAGTCATGTGATCTCGGCTCACAGCAACCTCTGCCTCCTGAGTTCAAGTGATTCTCCTGGCTCAGCCTCCTGAGTAGCTAGGTGCGCACCACCAAACCCGGCTAATTTTTGTATTCTTTAGTAGAGATGGGGTTTCCCCATGTTGGCCAGGCTGGTCTCGAACTCCTGACCTCAAGTGGTCCACCCACCCTAGGCCTCCCAAAGTGCTGGGATTACAGGAGTGAGCCACCATGCCCAGCAAGTTTTATGTTTTTCAACCATTATAATTTTAACTTTCTAGAAGTTTATTTTAAAAATATACGGTTTATTTTTATTTTCTTGTTCCTTGTTCATGTTTTTAAACTGTTTTTAAAAACCACACAAAACCTATTTATTTCATATTCTCAGTCTATCCAAATTATTTGTGGATCTGATTCTTTTTCTCTTGTATCTGCTGGTTTTCACTTAGGGTGCCTTGTTTTAACTATGACCCCATGATCCTTGGAAGTTTTTTTTGGTAGGAATTCTTGAAGGTCTGGGTTGAAGTTGCATCTCTGCAGAAAGATTTGCATTTACTTCTGCCAATCACTTGAGACTACATTAATTTAAATCCTCTACTTGAGAAGGTTTGAATCCATGGGTCATGTGAATTTGGCCACAAGTTCCTGGAGAGGCCAGCTTGCATTGACATTCTCTAGAAAAATATATTTTTCTTCCATCCAGTCTCAGGGTTCAATCAGGCAAATGTGTGTGCCATCCCATTCTGCTGAGCAGTTTACTTCTCTTTAATGCTTGTTTTTAGGTGGTATCCCTCTTGTTCAGATTTATGGAGGGGTGTTCCATGACACTCTCCACCTGGGGCAGCCATGTACTTCTAGCCCCTGTGCAACCTTCAAGATAAAAACCTTAGGATTCCAGGGCACTTTTTCTTAGAGCACTCTTAGAGCTCACTTTGATACTCACCTTCCTTTCATGGTTTGAATTTGAATTTCCACCTACCTTCTACAGGTCTGAGTTTGACCTCGGAGGATTGCTTACTTCTGGAACAACTTTGGGATGTATTTTAAAATATGAGCTTTTTTTCTTTATCCTGCATTATGCTTGTTTTTGTCATAAGGGTTGTTCACATTGTTAGTTCATCATATTCCACAATATAGAAGACTCATTTGCCTTTTTCAATAGTAGATCTTTTTTCACTTTCCCAATATCAAGTTTTTTTTTTCTTTTTTTTAAAGACAGGGTCTCACTCTGTCAGGCAAGCTCACTGCAGCCTCAACCTCCCCAGGTACAAGCAATCCTCCCACTTCAGCCTCCCAAGCAGCTGGGACTACAGGAATACACCACCACACCGGTTTAATTTTTTTTTATTTCTAGTAGAGATGAGGTCTTGCTATGTTGCCCAGCCTGGTCTTGAACTCCTGAATTCTAGCAATCCTCCTGCCTTGGCGTGTATAAAGTCCCAGCTACTCAGGAGGCTGAGGCGCGAGGATCGCGTGAGCCCAGGGGTCAAGGCTGCAGTGAGCTATGATTGTACCACTGCACTCCAACCTGGGTGACAGGGTGAGACTGTCAAAAAACAAAAAAGAAAAAGAGAGAAGAGTATGTCCTCCTAAAAAAAAAAGCGTAAATAATCAGGAGTTTGAGACCAGCTTGGCCAATATGGTGAAACTCTGTCTTTATTAAAAATACAAAAGTTAGCTGGGTGTTGTGGCAGGCACTTGTAGTCCCAGATACTTGGGAGACTGAGGCAGGAGAATTGCTTGAACCGGGGAGGCGGGGCTTGCAGTGAGCCGAGATCAAGCCACTGAACTCTGGCCTGAGAGACAGAGGGAAAAAGAAAGAAAAAGGAGGAAGAACTTCATTTTGTTGTCTTGCCCTCTAAATTTGTTTTAAATTCATGTGGTTTATTGTGTTCATTTTTATTTTGTGTAGGTACAGTATCAATTTTCTAATAAAACGGGAACCCTCACTTGCAATATTATGACATATAAGAAGTGTATCATTGCAGGTGTAATTTACAGGAAAGTGTTTTTATTGCCATACTCTGTTAGAAATTCTCTTTTTGGGGCGGGGGGTGGAGTCTCTCTCTCTCACCCAGGCTGGAGTGCAGTGGCACAATCTCGGCTCACTGCAACCTCCGCCTCCTGGGTTCAAGCGATTCTCCTGCCTCAGCCTCCCGAGTAGCTGGGACAACGGACGCGCACCACCATGCCCGGCTAATTTTTTGTAATTTTAGTAGAGACAGGGTTTCACCGTGTTAGCCATAATGGTCTCGATCTCTGGACCTCATGATCTGCCTGCCTTGTCCTCCCAAGGTGTTGGGATTATAGGCGTGAGCCACTGCGCCTGGCCAGAAATTCTCATTTTTTTTCTTAAAATTAATTAGTTTTTATTTACTCTAAGACTTAACTGAATTTCTAAAGCTATAGCTGTATCTGAATGAGACTGAAATGTAAAGCTTAAAATGCAAACTTGTAGTTATTTTAAAAATATGATTTACATCTGCTTTGATACATGTTAGAATTCCCAAGGAGTTTTATACGTAGAGTCTTGAAACGATTACATTTCCTCCCTCATTTCCCTGTAGAAGTTATTCAGGCAGAAGTCCTATTCTTTTCTACTTTTCCCTTGCTCCCTTTTCCTGCAACCAACTTTTATCAGTACCAGAGTATTGACATATAATACCAGAGTTCTCTCTTGTTCAGATCTCAAATGGCAGTTTCCAGAAGCTCCTCTGGACAGATCTTCCCCGTGCGGTAGTCAGACAGCCTAGAATCTAACCATGAATTTATTGCTTTCGTAGCCACTCTGGCTCAAATTCCCTATAACCGTACAGTTCTCAACACAGGTTTAGGCATCTTCGGATGCCATTTTGCAGCTTTGAGGGCTGGGAGGATGTATCATTGGACAGAACTGTAAGTATTATTATAGTTCTGCAGACTCTTTGTGATCCTCTTAAAAACAGAAGATGGGCTGTGTGTGTATTTCAGATCCTTTTGAATATTGACTGGCACCACCGGGAACTTTTTGTTAATCTTTTCTATTTTTCCTCATAGTCAGACACCTTCTTCCATCCCAGCATCCTGTGAATTTAACGACCCCAAGTTATTGGAGAACTTTGAGAATGGCCATGTAAGCCTGTTATTTTCATTCTAAGTTGACACAGTGGTGCTATATAACTTCAAAATATCTATATGGCTTCCTAAAAGGTATCATGTTCTGAACCCAGGAAGAGGGAGAGGGTCTTGACATTTTTTGATGTTCATATAATAAGCAAGGGATTTTGTACTGATATTATGAGCTAAGCACTGAATTTATGAGCATGAGTGAATTTAAACATTATACAAGAAGTTTTACTATGTAGCAGTCTCTGTTAAGACTGTTTATTTGCTTTTAAACTATTTGGTTCTATTGCATGCTACCAATATCTTCACTTATCTATTTTAAGACATTGATCTACTTGATCTGGAATCTTGATCTTCTCAAAAACTAAAGCGACCTTTTAAAGCATACATTTATACATGTCCGTCCCTTGCTTAGAAACCTCTTGAGGACTGGCACCACACTTAACATAAAATCTGAACTCATTACCATGGTCTACTCTCCAACCTCATTCTGTCATTGTTCCCCTTGCTTGAGATGCTAAAGGCACACTTGCCTGGAAGCTCCACAAACACACCAAGCTGTTTCCTGACTCGGAGCCTTTGGACATACTATTCCCTTTGTCAGCTATGTGCTACTGTCACCATCAGCTATACAGCTAACTAACCTTTTTGTTTCGATATTAATTTTAAATGTCATCTCCTCCAGCATTATTCCCTGACCATCTATCTAAAATATGTCCTTCTCTAGCGCCTGAGTTCCTTGACTAGGGTGACGGCAAACTTTGGGCTTCACCGTGGAGGACTACCTGCAGGCCTGTCGAGCTACCCTGCACAAGTCCCGACCTCTACATGTTGTGCTGGGAAATGAAGCCTGTGATTTGGACTCCATGGTGTCTGCTCTTGCCCTGCTTTTTTTTTTTTTTTTTTGAGACAGAGTCTAGCTCTGTCACCCAGGCTGGAGTGCAGTGGTGTGATCTCAGCTCACTGCAAGCTCCGCCTCCTGTGTTCACGCCATTCTCCTGCCTCAGCCTCCTGAGTAGCTGGGACTACAGGCACCCGCCACTGCGCCCGGCTAATTTTTTGTATTTTTACTAGAGAAGGGGTTTCACCGTGGTCTCGATCTCCTGATCTCGTGATCTGCCCGCCTCGGCCCTTGCCCTGCTTTTTACCTGGTAAAGACAACTGAGACAGAAGGAAGTCTTTGTGGCAGTTTTAAATATAGAACATTCTGAGCTACCTCTGCAAGGTGGCATCATCTTCCTTCTTCAGAAGATTCATATTCCAGAGACTATCTTGGATTTTTGGGATGAGATTGACCTCCATGCGTTGCACCAGGCTGGCTAACTCACCCTTATCCTTGTCGACCATCGTATCTTACCTAAGAACCATCATACTGGATTGTGTCAACATGGACCTTAAAATTGGAAAGGCAACCCTTAAAGACAGCAATATGTGGAGAAGCTAGAGGTCCTCTTCCCAGATCTACCCAAGAGAAATGATATCTTTGATTCCCTACAAAAGGCAAAGTTCAAGGTATCAGGACTGACTACTGAGCAGATGCTGAGAAAGGACCAGAAGACCTTTTATAGACAAGGCATCAAGGTGGCCATTCATGCAATCTATATGGATTTGGAAGCCTTACTGCTGAGGTCTGACCTCCTTGCAGATCCCCATGCTTTCTGCCAGGCTCGCAGCTATGATGTCCTGATTGCCATGACTATCTTTTTCAACGCTCACAACGAGCCAGTGCGGTGGTTGGCTATTTTGTCTCCACGTGGTGCTCTGAACAATGCTCTGTGGAGTCCTGGAACGCTCCCACTCTCCGTCCCTGAAGCTGACTCCTGACCTAAGCACCTCTCTAACCTCCAAGCCCATCTTCAAGGCAACACCCAGATCTCTTGAAAGAAATTTCTGCCTCTGCTCCAGGAAGCCCTGTCAGCATATTTTGACTCCAGATCCCTTTAGGACAGCCTGAGACAGTGGGTGTGTCCAGGGAGCAGGTGGACAAGGAATTGGACAGGGCAAGTAACTCCCTGATTCCTGGACTGAGTCCAGATGAGGAGGACCCTCTGCTGCCCCCCACGTCCATGAACAGCCTGGTGGATGAGTGCTCTCTGGAACAGGGCTGCCTAAACTCTCTGCTGAGGCCATCCTTGAGAAGTGCAGTGAGATCTCACTGTCACAGTCTACCACTGCCTCCCTGTCCAAGAAATGACTGTTGGGAGGGGAAGTGGCAGTGAGTGAGGCTACCCGATTCACCTCAAATGCATGTTTTGAGATGTTTGGAGATTCAGCCATTCTGTCTTCATTGCTCCAGGATCTGGTATACTGTTCTTATAAAACTGAGAGGAGAAAAAAAAGCAGCTGGTTTAAGAATGGCTTTCCGGCCAGGCGCGGTGGCTCATGCCTTGTAATCCCAGCACTTAGGGAGGCCGAGGTGGGCAGATCACGAGGTCAGAAGATCGAGACCATCCTGGCCAACATGGTGAAACCCCGTCTCTACTAAAAATACAAAAAATTAGCTAGGTGTGGTGGCGGGCGCCTGTAGTCCCAGCTACTCCAGAGGCTGACGCAGGAGAATGGTGTGAACCCAGGAGGCAGAGCTTGCAGTGAGCCAAGAATGCACCACTGCACTCCAGCCTGGGCGACACAGCAAGACTCCATCTCAAAAAAAAAAAAAAGGCTTTCCACTTTTTCCCCTTAATCTCTACCAATCAGACACATTTTATTATTTAAATCTGCACTCACTTCTTTCAGTTTGTTTGCCAGGGGCACAATATGATACACCCACAATCCCAGCAGAGTGGACAAAAACAACGTAGACCCCAAAAGTGCCCACAGCACAGATAGTGAACAGAACCAATGCCTGTCACGGAACCAAACATGCATTGGTCATCTCCGTGTATTCATTCATTCACTTATTCATTCAAGTATTGCAGATTTCCAGCTCCGCAACTCTTCCTGCAGCCCCCATTTAGGTGATGGTGTTTGACTGAGGGGTGGCTGAATTTCTATTCTGACCTTGTTGTCACTGTTTCAAGTCTTGTTTGGGAGCAGATTAGGGGCCATTATCTTCTGTCCTGATTAGGTGGCCTGGGTCTCTGTTTCTTTGGATCCCTGTGTCCAGAGCCACAGGAACCTTGAAGAAACCTTGATGACTGCTGATTCTTGAGAATCAAGGAAGCACGCAGAAAGGCCTTAAGACCTCATGGGCAGTCTTCCAAAAAGACAGCAGAAGTGGAATGAGATGCCTGGGTCCGCCCCTGCCTTAGCAAGTCTACCCATTTCTTGTCCATTTTTTTTCTCCTTGCTCATGTTAAAAGGCAGCATGGAATTCTAATACTGCCATAAACTGTGTCTTTTGGCAAGACCTTCTACTCTAGGTCTCATTTTTCCAATCTGTAAAACAGGGTTTGGACTAGATGTTCCCTGGTATTCTGTGATCTGCCTCTGGCTGCCATTCTTTCTCTCCTCTGCCTCTCTGTATTTTTCTTCTGTTTTCCCTGGGGGTGCTCAGGTTCACTTGATCATCTGTATTTATGTGCAATTGTACCAAGAACTCAGCCTCATGTAGCATGGAAGGTGTATGGTTCATGGTGTGGTGACCCAGCAGAGATCTCCCTCCTGCTGACTTGCTCTGTGTGTGGAGAGTCTTCCCCTTTTTTTCAGACCAACCATTTACCCCTTTTCCTACCTCACAGCTCTATTCCGTGTAAGTTGCCAGCAATTTCACTGAACGGTGGGGTATGTGATGGCTTTGGCATGACATCTTTCAGTACGAAGGGGGACAGTCTGACATCACTTTGAGGGTGTGATGTCTATAGCTACGTGGAAGGTAAAAATAGTGGTGTGATGACTGAACCAAAGGAATTTATATTTTGTAACTTGGATATTTTACTTTGCATTTTGTTAAAGTATTAAATACTTTTTTCCTGTTAAAAAAAAAAGGCTGGGCACAGTGGCTCATGCCTGTAATCCCAGCACTTTGGGAGGCCAAGACAGGCAGATTACTTGAGGTCAGGAGTTCAAGACCACCCTGGCCAACATGGTAAAACCTCATCTCTACTAAAAATGCAAAAATTGCTGGGCATGGTCGTGGGCACTTGCAATCTTAGCTACTCAGGAGGCTGAGACAGGAGAATCACTTGAACGTGGGAGGTGAAGGTTGTAGTGAGCCGAGATCACACTATTATACTCCAGGCTGGGCAACAGAGCTAGACTCCATCTCAAAAACAATACAATACAATACAATACAATACAATACAATACAATACAATACAATACAATACAATACGCCCTTCTTTTCTCTATCAGAGTCCCTATTTGTTTTCTTCAGTTTTGGGAAATTCCGTCTCTCCAATGAGAATAAAGCTTCAAGAAGGCAGGATCACCTTGTTTTCTGAGGTCTCTCCAGCCTCCTATACCATCCTGGCCTCGGTAGCCACCCCACAAATACATTTTGAATGCATGATATGGCTTTTCACTGGTGCCTGACTTTGTGTGTACCTGAGGTCAAAACACAGTTGGTGCAAATTTTAGACCATATATACCTCTTGTGTTATTGATGTTGAAAGACACTCACTAATTTTGTGCCTTTCTTTTTTTATAGCCCACAAAAGACTATATAACAGAATTTCTTATCCTGTTATCTGTGTGCCACTCTGTTATTCCCAAGAGAGATGGAAATAATATAATCCACCAGGCTTCCTCCCCCAGGTAGATGTTAAGTGCGCATAGTTCTTTGTGCCTGGCTGGTGATGAGGCCTCAGAAGAGGTAGGTGCTATCACTGATCACCTTAATTGCTTCTGCCTTTCTCCTTCCCTGGAGTTCTTATAGCACTCATGGTTCACCCCCCAAGACTGCCATAAAGAGGCTGTGAGGGTGCTCAGAATTTGGGGCTCAGCAGTGCGTTTGGTTATCATCAGTAACAAAACAGAGGTAAAGTTAAGGCCTTGCAACATTTTATGGAGTTACTATGAATGGCTTTGAGAAGAAACAAGATCATTATGAACAGTAAGGAAGTATTTCACCCTCAGCCTGGTAAATTCATCTCAGCCCCACTGAAAGAGGCCCTTTTTAACCAAATTTCCTCTTTTGTGAACACAAGCTGGTCCCTAGACAGACAGATAAGTGCATTTGGATAAAAAAAAAGCCAAGTTTAAAACATGGACACAGTATTAGTGCTGGAGACTGGAAATCTGTTTTAAATTCAATTCAGTGTGATTATATTTGCTCAATTTCTACTAATATAAACTTTTTACTGACAATGAAGCAGCTTTAGCGAAAGGAGCAAAAAAACTTGGCTTTGTTTTCACTACCAGAACACCATCCTCTGTCACCATAGACACTGTGAGCAGCACCCCGAATGCTTTTCAATGCATTACATTTACCTGCCTTTCCAGAGAGCTGCAAGGGTACAGTGGTTCAGAACAGGAGCCCTGGAGTCACAGTGCCTTGGGTTTCAACCTGGCTCCACACCTGCCCAGCCATCATTCTTGGGAACATTCCTTAACTTCTCTATATTTGCCCCAGTTTTATCATCAAGCAAATCATAGGGTCCTTGTGAGGATAAGACAAGTTAATCTATGTACAGTAATTGAAATTAGTGCCTGACACATAGAAGGTGCACAATTAAAGTAAGCTATTCCAAAGAGTTAGAATCCTCAGAGCTTCAAGAAATATACTGTGTTTTAAGCCGGGCGCAGTGGCTCACACCTGTAATCCCAACACTTTGGGAGGCAGAAGTAGGCGAATCAACTGAGGTCGGGTGTTCGAGACCAGCCTGGCCAACATGGTGAAACCCTGTCTCTGGTAAAAATACAAAAATTAGTCGGTTGTGGTGGCAGGTGCCTGTAATCCCAGCTACTCAGGAGGCTGAGGCAGGAGAATCACTTAAACCTGGGAGGTGGAGGTTGCAGTGAGCTGAGATTGTACCACTGCACTCCAGCCTGGGCAACAAGAAAAAAAAAAAAGAAAGAAAGAAATATATATTCTATTTTTCCAGTGAAGAATTAATACGGTTCAAACTACTTTAGGTGAGTTAAGTTATTATGCTGACTATTTCCTTGTTCTGTCTTGATAACTTTTCACCACAAGCTTTTGATACTATGAGGAAAAAAGTTGAAGCAATGCAAACATGGTGGCCAACACACGGATTCTTTTCCTAGTAATAATGCAATTGTTAAGGATGTTACTAGACATTAAGTCTTTGGTAGAAGTGACTGATTAATTCATCTTTATATCCATAGTATGTGGCATATGGATGACTCTCAAATTATTTAAAATCCTACAGTGCCCAGTGCCATATTAGAGTTGCTGGGAGCTGGCAGATTCAGAGATAAATTGATCTTGCCTAAAGGAAATCAAGAGGCTGGAAGTGGAAAAAATTAGAAAAGAACGCATCTTTGCTGTAAAATTTTATATATAGTATGCCACATCTTTCCATAGTTACCTCTTCAAACTAAGCAGTAAGGATTTCATTTGATCTGTGCAATGTAACACAAAGATGGGTTTGTTCTCCCATTGCTGTCTGCTGATTGTCTCACTTACTGCATGTACCCCTGACACCTGAGAATATCTTTGAAATGTTTCTTATAGTGCTGATTTTAGGTTGGAAAGGGAGGTACTTCTGTCCTAAATCAATGCTCTCCAAATTAGCGCTGTTAGAATTATTTGTGCTCTCAATATTGCCCAGGTTGCAAACACTGCTCTTACCAGGGGAGGGAGACATCATCCCATCAGACTTGCAAGAAAATTTATATTTTGAAAACATGTGTATTTGGAGGACCATGTTGCAAGATGAATGCTTTTTTCCTAAGGTGAGAATATGTTGTCTTATCTTCCTATAGATGGGAGAAAAATACACTTTCGAAAATCTTTTTTTTTCTTTTGAGACGGAGTCTCACTCTGTCGCCCATGTTGGAGTGTAGTGGTGTGGTTTTGGCTCACTGCAACCTCCGCCTCCTAGGATCAAGCGATTTTCCTGCCTCAGCCTCCCAAGTAGCTGGGATTACAGGCATGTGCCACCAAGCCCAACTAATTTTTGTATTTTTAGTTTCCCCATGTTGTATTGTTTCCCCATGTTGGCCAGGCTTGTCTTGAACCCCTGACCTCGGGTGATCCGCCCGCCTCAGCCTCCCAAAGTGCTAGGATTACAGGCTTGAGCCATTGTGCCTGGCCCACTTTTGAAAATCATAATGTCCTGGACTTCTCTAGGTAGGCTACCTTTTTATTAAGTTCATGTTTCCCTCAGGGCTGTTTCTGTGACTGTACAGATTGAGATTTGGGAACATAAATGAAAAGTGCAATGCGGAATCATGAAATTCTAGTTAGCCTCTACCTTGACATCTCAGCTTAGTTCTCAGTTCTTCAGGCCTCTGGGCCAAACTCCCTTTGATAAGTTCATATGGTTCTCTCCTTTACAGCACTTGTCAAAGTCAGGGTGGTGATTCTGAATCTGTTATTGCTTAATGACTGTCCCACAAACTAGAGTGTAAGCTCCCGAAGGCATCCATCACCTCCTGTGGGGGCTGGTTTCCAGTAAGTGCTCAATAAATATTTGACGAAAGGATGGATGTTGGAAATTATTTTCACAGATAAACCAAAAACCGTCTCTTTAAAATAGGGAATTAATTCATTTTGTTCTTTGTGAAGGAAATAATGTCCACCTACATCCTCCTCTCTTCTCATACTTCAGCAGGCCTGTGCCTCTAGCAGCCGTGGCCTGACTCCCCAGAGTACGCTGGGAGGATATTGATGGTGGTGTTATTTTTATTGGCCTTTCCTCAAGACTCATGCAGTCCTATCTCTGGAACCATCGGAACATTTCTAATGTTGAATCTGAAACATTTGGAAAGGAAACGACAAACTAGATCATTCTTCCCAAAGCTGGATGATTTTTTTAAAAAATCATCTTTTCTTAATGACTTAAAAAAAAAAAAAGCTTTTAAGACCTGGGAAAAGTTGTTACCAACATCCCCCCTGTCTAGGAAATCTTTTTCTAAAACCTTTATTACAAGAAAATATACTTTAATGTTTCATGTAGCTTTCCCCTTCCTTGGTTTTTGACTGTTACTACTAAATCAATCATTCTCTGTTACTACAATATGTGCTCATAACTAGGTGCCACTGAAAGAGCTACATTGCCTTGAGCAGTGTTCTAACAGCTTTGCAAGCACTTAAAGCAACTGCTCATCCTTTATTTCCCATTGGGAAGCACTCTCTAGCTTGGGTGTTCTTCAGGATGAAGACTGTACACACTTGGGCCGTCCTTGGAGGACAGGAGCTTTCGCTTGGACTCTCCTAAGTCAGATGGGCACAGAGGAAGACTGTGCTTTAAGTAGGCACAGCTGAGGGGGCTCCTAGGGAGGTTGAAGATGCCTAGATATTTCTCCCATCTCTTTTAGCCAGTCTTGCTGGCACACTGCTCATGGGCAGCCTAGCAGAGCTGCCATCTTGGTGGCAGAATATGCTACATTGTGGCTATTGACTGGGGCCAGTGCTAGAGGAGGAAGGAGGAAGAGGGAGAAGACACACAAGCACAAATCCATGTGGAGAGGAAGGGTGCCGAGGGTGGAAAGAGCATGGGAGATTGAGTGAGGGACAAGCATCGTCTGTGGTCACTGTTGTGATTCTGTTACTGACTAGCTCATGACTTTCCTAGTTACTGAACCTCTCTGTGCATTGGTTTCTTGATGGGAACAATGCTCACACCTTTAATTCCAGCACTTTGGGAGGCTGAGGTGGGAGGATCACTTGAGCCCAGGAGTTCTAGACCAGCCTGGGAAACATAGCACTCTACAAAAAAATTAAACATTAGCCAGGCACAGTGATGCATGCTTGTAGTCACAGCTACTCGGGAGGCTGAGGCAGGATGATCACTTGAGCCCAGGAGGTCGGGGCCGCAGTGAGCTATGATTGCATCACTACACTCCAGCCTGAGCAACAGAGTGAGACCCTATCTCTAAAAAAAGGAAAAGAAAAAAGTAATACGAGAATAACAGTGGTATTGACCTCAAGGATTATTGTGGAGATAAACAACAATACCTGGCACATTGTAAACACGTATGTAACACTCACTGTATTTATTTATTATTACCATTATTTTAATTGGAGCACTGTTTTCTGATGCTTGTGTTTGAATTTTCCTCTTCCTACTAATGAAAGGACCTGTTTTTTCTCTTCTTCAGGAATTATTTCTGTGAATTTCTTACTTCTTGAACGTTAAGTTTGAACGTTCTTTTTTTTTAATATACTTTAAGTTCTAGGGTACATGTGCACAAGGTGCAGGTTAGTTACATATGTATACATGTGCCATGTTGGTGTGCTGCACCCATTAACTCATCATTTACATTAGGTATACCTCCTAATGCTATCCCTCCCCCCTTTCCCCACCCCGTGACAGGCCCTGGTGTGTGATGTTCCCCAACCTGTGTCCAAGTGTTCTCATTGTTCAATTCCCACCTATGAGTGAGAACATGCGGTGTTTGGTTTTCTGGCCTTGCGATAGTTTGCTGAGAATGATGGTTTCCAGCTTCATCCATGTCCCTACAAAAGACATGAACTCATCCTTTTTTTATGGCTGCATAGTATTCCATGGTGTGTATGTGCCACATTTTCTTAATCCAGTCTATCATTGATGGACATTTGGGTTGGTTCCAAGTCTTGGCTATCGTGAATAGTGCCACAATAAACATATGTGTGCATGTGTCTCTATAGCAGCATGATTTATAATCCTTTGGGTATATACCCAGTAATGGGATGGCTGGGTCAAATGGTATTTCTAGTTCTAGATCCTTGAGGAATTGCCACACTGTCTTCCACAATGGTTGAACTAGTTTACAGTCCAACCAACAGTGTAAGTGTTCCTATTTCTCCACATCCTCTCCAGCACCTGTTGTTTCCTGACTTTTTAATGATCACCATTCTAACTGGTGTGAGATGGTATCTCATTGTGGTTTTGATTTGCATTTCTCTGATGGCCAGTGATGATGAGCATTTTTTCATGTGTCTGTTGGCTGCATAAATGTCTTCTTTTCAGAAGTGTCTGTTCATATCCTTCACCCACTTTTTGATGGGGTTGTTTGGTTTTTTTCTTGTAAATTTCTTTAAGTTCTTTGTAGATTCTGGATGTTAGACCTTTGTCAGATGGGTAGATTGTAAAAACTTTCTCCCATTCTGTAGGTTGCCTGTTGAACATTCTTTTCTTAAGCAACATTATTCCTGAGGAGAAATAAAATTCTTTTTGTTGAAAGAGCATGAGTCCAGGAAAGAGCTCATGGCTGAGAGCCAAATCAGTGCACTTACATGTGCAAAGCAGTCCTCTAAGGCAGACAGACCTTAGAGTTGGCTCATCCATTTGGTTTTCCATCACACTGAAAAATTTGTAGCTATAGCTCCATTTAAATGACCCTGCCAACATCACTGGGAAAATAAGTGGCAGAATCGGGATTTTGATCCAAGTCTATCTGATTCCGAATCCCCTGATGCTTTCAACTAATCTGTGCTTCCAGAAGTGAAAGATAAGCTAGAGAATGCAAAAAATATATCTTCGTCCTCATGGGTTAAAATGCAGTTTATGCTGCTACAAATAGTTTTGAGCACCTTCCACATGTCAGCCACTTTTCTAGAACCACAGTGGTCATGACCACTGCCTGTATGCAGGGCTTATGGTCTAGTGGAAGGAGGCAGATACTAAACAAGCAAGTAAACAGATAATTCCAGGTCGGCTGGGTGCAGTGGCTCACGCCTGTAATCCCAGCCCTTTGGGAGGCTGAGGCGTGTGGATCACTTGAGGTCAGGAGTTCGAGACCAGCCTGACCAACATGATGAAACCCCATCTCTACTAAAAATATAAAAAATTAGCCAGGTGTGGTGGTGTGTGCCTGTAATCTCAGCTACTCAGGAGGCTGAGGCAGGAGAATTGCCTGAACCTGGGAGGCAGAGGTTGCAGTGACCCAAGATCGTGCCATTGCACTCCAGCCTGGGCAACAAGAGTGAAACTCCATCTCAAAAAACAAACAAACAACAACAACAACAACAACAAACCCAGATAATTTCAGGTCATGATGAGTGTTATAAAGAAAATTAAACAGTAAGATCCAGCAGAGACAGGCTATGGTGCTGTTGGTGGTGGAGATTTGCCTTTAGTTGGGTGGTCATGGAAGCCTTTCTGAGGAGGTGGGATTTGAGCGAGTAATTGAAGGATGGAAGAAGGCAGCCATGAGAAGATACGGAAGAAGATCATTCCAAGCACAGGCAACAGCAAGAGCCAAGACACTGTGAGACAAAGGCCTTGGCACCAGTGTAGTAGAACCGGAATGAAGGGGCAGGGGCAGGCAGAGCAGGAGCTGGGCTTGGTAGTGCTCATAGCAGGATGTGCAGAGTCTTTGTAGTCTAGGGTAAGGAATCTGATATTTCTCCAAGCATGTCAAAAAAATCAGTGGAGGGTTTTAAGCAGGGCAGTGTTCTCCGATTTGCGTTTTAAAGAGATCACCGTTTTCTCAAACTCTGTCCTCAAGTGATGCTCTCACCTCAGCCTCCCAAAGTGCTGGGATTATAGGTATGAGCCACTGCTCTTGGCTTACATCACCACTTTACAGGTGTATTTATTCCATTTTTACTTGCTGTACCGCTACCACATATTAAAGTAAAGAACGTATTACCACATATTAAAGAGCAGAAGATCTTTTCATTCTTAAATTTGTAATATTTTTATTCATTTGCCAACTGGCCACTTAGGTGTAATCATGTAATTATCTAACTTTTTACTTCTAGTTTTCACTCCTTTAAGTCTTTTTCTAAAGCACGTTAGGAAAAAGGAGAAGGCATGGTATCTATTTAAGTCACTTTGTAGATTTACTTTCAAAAGAGAATGTTAAATTACTAAGTTTAAGATTAGCAATTCTAATGCAGTTTAGAATTTAATATATCTTTTATTTACCTGGGTACCTCTGTGTTCCACCATATTTGAAAGTTGTGTATAAAACTTTTCACTGGGAGAAGTTCTTGCTATTAAGGGAGACGTTCTTGCTATTGAAGAAGTTGTTCTTTTTACTAATCATTTCATAGCACATGTAAGTATTTACCTTGTATTAAGAACTGTGCTAAGGAGTGGAGATTTGTATGAAGATGAATGCATTGCCCTGGCCCAGAGGAGCTCACAGTCCATTTGAAGTCACAGTTATCTGCGGAAAAAAAAAAATTGTACTAGACAGATCTAAGCAGATGAGCATATTACGTTCTCGGTAAACATAGAAGAGGTTGTTTCTGATTGAAGAGTTTTTGGAAGGCTTTGTGGAGAAGGTTGTATCTTTGTGGAAGGATAGGTAGGATTTTAACAGGTAGATATGGGAGTTGGGAGCAGCACACATACCTTAGGAAGAGGATATGGAGGCAGTGATCACAGAGGAGAACATAAGCTATTTGGGGAGTAAAGGATGTCCTGGTGTGATTGAATCTCTGATTGTGTAAGACGTATGGGTGTGGGATTTGAGGAGGAGCTAAGAAGTCGTGGGGATTTGAAGTTTATTTATAGGAGTCTCCTGAAATATCTCTATAGGACATACAGAGCCACCCGTGGTTGAGAGTAGGGAAGTCACATGATGAGAAAGAAGCACTGTCTCGGTCAGTTTGCTTTGACAAGAGTGTGGGATTAAGGTAGAGAGGAGAGATCTTCAAGCCTATTTGGACTGCTAAATCAGGAATAATAGGAATGAGCTTAAATTCTGTCTACAGTAGTAACCAGAAGAAAAAAATACAGAGGACTTTGAGGCAGAACTATACATTAAAAACTCTCTGGGATCTACCAAGCAAGCAGTTTATTTAACATCTTTGTATGGCAAGATAGGGACAGGAAGGCCTACTTGATAGAAATGTTGTGAGGACTTAAAAATACACAGAGGTCAGGGCAGCTTTCTTCTTTCCTCACTAGTTTTTTAAAGTGATTCTATTGTGACATATAATGTATGATATATATTACATATATGCATATATATGATAATCATATGTGTATAATGTATATATGTGTATAATATATAATAATGTTGTTTATCTGCTGTTGCCATATGATTGTTATTTATAATAATCATGTATTATATATACAATACTATAATATGTATTACATATAGTTGTGCTAGTAAATTTCCATGGAAGAAAAGGATAGTAACTGAGAAACAGTAGTAGTAGAAAGATGTGGGGATTTATAATAGAAGCCAAGTTTAGGGGATGTGGTGAAGAAAAATAAGTGAAGAACAGCAATTAAAGAAACATGCTGGCTGGGCATGGTGGCTCACACCGGTAATTCCAGCACTTTGGGAGGCTGAGGCGGGCAGATCACCTGAGGTAAGGAGTTCGAGACCAGCCTGGCCAACATGGTTTTTAGTGAGTTTCTTAATCCTGAGTTCTAATTTGATTGCACTGTGGTCGGAGAGACTGTTTGTTATGATTTCCATTCTTTTGCATTTGCTGAGGAGTGTTTTACTTCCAATTATGTGGTCAATTTTAGAATAAGTGCAATGTGGTGCTGAGAAGAATGTATATTCTGTTGACTTCGGGTGGAGAGTTCTATAGATGTCTATTAGGTCCACTTGGTCCAGAGCTGAGTTCAAGTCCTAAATATCCTTATTAATTGTCTGTCTCATTGATCTGTCTAATATTGACAGTGGGGTGTTAAAGTCTCCAACTATTACTGTGTAGGAGTCTAAGTCTCTTTGTAGGTATCTAAGAACTTGCTTTATGAATCTGGGTGCTCCTGTATTGGGTGCATATATGTTTAGGATAGTTAGCTCTTCTTGTTGAATTGATCCCTTTACCATTATATAATGCTCTTCTTTGTCTCTTTTGATCTTTGTTGGTTTAAAGTCTGTTTTATCAGAGACTAGGATTGCAACCCCTGCTTTTTTTTTTTTTTTTTGCTTTCCATTTGCTTGGTAAATATTCCTCAATCCCTTTATTTTGAGCTTATGTGTGTCTTTGCACGTGAGATGGGTCTCCTGAATACAGCACACCGATGGGTCTTGACTCTATTCAATTTGCCAGTCTGTGTCTTTGTATTGAGACATTTAGCCCATTTACATTTAAGGTTAATATTACTATGTGTGAATTTGATCCTGTCATTATGATGCTAGCTGGTTATTTTGCCCATTAGTTAATGCATTTCTACATAGTGTCGATGGTCTTTACAATTTGGTATGTTTTTGCAGTGGCTGGTACCAGTTTTTCCTTTCCATATTTAGTGCTTCCTTCAGGAGCTCTTATAAGGCAGGCCTGGTGGTGACAAAATCTCTCAGCATTTGCTTGTCCGTCAAGGATTTTATTTATCCTTCACTTATGAAGCTTAGTTTGACTGGATAAGAAATTCTGGGTTAAAAATTCTTTTCTTTAAGAATGTTGAATATTGGCCCCTACGCTCTTCTGGCTTGTAGGGTTTCTGCAGAGAGATCCACTGTTAGTCTGATGGACTTCCCTTTGTGGGTGACCCGACCTTTCTGGCTGCCCTTAACATTTTTTCCTTCATTTCAACCTTGGTGAATCTGATGATTATGTGTCTTGGGGTTGCTCTTCTCGAGGAGTATCTTTGTGGTGTTCTCTGTATTTCCTGAATTTGAATGTTGTCCTGTCTTGCTAGGTTGGGGAAGTTCTCCTGGATAATATCCTGAAGAATGTTTTCCAACTTGTTTCCATTTTCCCCGTCACTCATCAGGTACACCAATCAAACATCGGTTTGGTCTTTTCACATAGTCCCATATTTCTTGGAGGCATTGTTCCTTCCTTTTCACTCTTTTTTCTCTAATCTTGTCTTCACGCTTTATTTCATTAAGTTGATCTTTAGTCTCTGATATCCTTTCTTCTGCTTGATTGATTCGGCTACGGATACTTGTGTATGCTTCACGAAGTTCTCTTGCTGTGTTTTTCAGCTCCATTGGGTCATTTATGTTCTTCTGTAAATTGGTTATTCTAGTTATCAATTCCTCTAACCTTTTATCAAGGTTCTTAGCTTCCTTGCCTTGGGTTAGAACATGCTCCTTTAGCTCAGAGGAGTTTCTTATTACCCACCTTCTGAAGCCTACTTCAGTCAATTTGTCAAACTCATTCTCCATCCAGTTTTGCTCTCTTGCTGGCGAGGAGTTGTGATCCTTTGGAGGAGAAGAGGCATTCTGGTTTTTGGCATTTTCAGCCTTTTTTCACTGGTTTTTCCTTATCTTCGTGGATTTATCTACCTTTGGTCTTCTGTTGGTGACCTTCAGATGGAGTTTTTGTTTGGTCATCCTTTTTATTGATATTGATACTATTGCTTTCGGTGTGTTAGTTTTCCTTCTAACAGTCAGGCCCCTCTTCTGCAGATCTGTTGGAGTTTGCTGGGGGTCCACTCCAGACCCTGTTTGCCTGGGTGTCTCCAGCAGAACAGCAAGGATTGCTGCCTCTTCCTTCCTCTGGAAGCTTTGTCCCAGAGGGATACCTGCCAGATGCCATCTGGAGCTCTCCTGCATGTTTCCTGTCAATTCCTGCTGGGAGGTGTCTCTCTGTCAGGAGGCTCGGGGGTCAGGGACCCACTTAAGGAGGCAGAGCTTGAACACTGTCCTGGGAGATCCACTGCTCTCTTCAGAGCCAGCAGGCAGGAATTTTTTTTTTTTTTTTTTTTTGAGACGGAGTCTCGTTCTGTCGCCCAGGCGGGAGTGCTGTGGCGCGATCTCCGCTCACTGCAAGCTCCGCCTTCCGGGTTCACGCCATTCTCCTGCCTCAGCCTCCCGAGTAGCTGGGACTACAGGCGCCCGCCACTGCGCCCGGCTAATTTTTTGTATTTTTAGTAGAGACGGGGTTTCACCATGGTCTCGATCTCCTGACCTCGTGATCCGCTCGCCTCGGCCTCCCAAAGTGCTGGGATTACAGGCGTGAGCCACCGCGCCCGGCAGGAATTTTTTAAGTCTGCTGAAGCTGTGCCCATAGCCGCCCCTTCCCCAGGTGCTCTGTCCCAGGAAGATGGGAGTTTACCTATAAGACCCTGACTGGGGCTACTGCCTTTCTTTCAGAGATGCCCTGCCCAAAGAGGAGGAATCTAGAGAGGCAATCTGGCTACTGTGGCTTTGTGGCACTGAGGCGGGCTCCACCCAGTTTGAACTTCCCGAGGGCTTCGTGTACACTGTGAGTACACTGCCTACTCAAGCCTCAGTAATAGTGGATGCCCCTCCCCCAACCAAACATTCCAGATCGATTTCAGACTGCTGTACTGGCAGTGAGAATTTCAAGCCAGTGGATCTTAGCTTGCTGGGCTCCGTGGGGGTGGGATCCGCTGAGCTAGACCACTTGGCTCCCTGGCTTCAGCCCCCTTTCCAGGAGAGTGAACGGTTCTGTCTCACTGGCGTTCCAGGTGCCACTGGGGTATGAAAAAAAAAAAAACAACAAAAAACTCCTGCAGCTAGCTTGGCGTCTACCCAAACAGCTGCTCAGTTTTGTGCTTGAAACCTATGCCTGGTGGCATAGGCATCCAAGGGAATCTCTTGGTCTGTGGGTTGCGAAGACCATAGGAAAAGCATAGTATCTGGGCTGGAATGCACGGTTTCTCATGGCACGGTCCTTCAAGGCTTCCCTTGGCTAGGGGAGGGAGTTCCCCAACCCCTTGCACTTCCCGGGTGAGACAATGCCCCATCCTGCTTCTGCTTGCCCTCCATGGACTGCACCCACTCTCTATCCAGTCCCAGTGAGATGAGCCAGGTATCTCAGTTGGAAATGCAGAAATCAGCCACCTTCTGCATTGGTCTCCCTGGGAGCTGCAGACCAGAGTTGCTCCTGTTTGACCATCTTGCCCGGGAATATTTTTGTTTTGTTTTGAGATGGAGTCTTGTTCTGTCACCCATGCTGGAGTGCAGTGGTGCAATCTGGGCTCATTGCAACCTCTGCCCCCTAGGTTCAAGCGATTCTCATGTCTCAGCCTCCTTAGTAGCTGGGATTATAGGCTTGTGCCACCACGCCCAGCTAATTTTTGTATTTTTAGTAGAGACAGGGTTTCATCATGTTGGCCAGTTTGGTCTCAAACTCTTGACCTCAAGTGATCCACCTGCCTCAGACTCCCAAAGTATTGGGATTACAGGTGTGAGCCACTGCACCCAGCCTATCTTATTTTAAATACATGAACATTTTCCAAAATGTGAGTACAGTTTTTTACTTTCACTTTGCAACTTGATTTTTTCCAATAAACTCCTTTGAGATCTGCTCCAAAGAACTAAAGCCAGGCTGATTGATTTATTCCCAGGGTGAAGAGAATAACTTCCCAATCACCTAAGTCACCCTCCAACAATGTCCTCATGAACAGCTCTCTTGGTCTAAATGTCCCACGTAAGTAATGTACTGTAAAGTGGCCTATGACATTGAAACCCCATCTACTCGTGGGAAGAATCAGTAATTAAAAGGTCATTCTACTGGAGAATATCACACTACGTGAAATAAGCAAGACACAAAAGGACAAATATGCATGATTCCATGTATGGGAGAAAGCTATGGTAGTCAAATTCACAGAGACAGAAAGTAGATGGGCGGTTGCCAGGGGTTGGGAGGAGAGAGGAATGAAGAGATTGGTCTGCAAGATGAAAAGATGAAAAGCACTCCAGACATGGATGGTGGGGATGGTTTCACACAATGTGAATGTAGTTAATGCCAGTGAACTGTACACTTAAAAATAGTTAAGATGGAAAATGTTGTTATGTGTATTTTACACAAATATAAAAAATAAATGAAAACTACCTGAATTATTATCTTTTTTATTTAAGTAAGGTAGTTCTCATAGAGAAGGAGAGCTCAATTACATTTGAGAAATTTGTGTACTTGTCCTAAAGTAAGTGCAATTTGGAAGAAGGTCATTCCTGGTCTCTCATCCCTAAATCATAAAACTTTTAAATGTAAAATCCTGATGTTTTCAAGATTCTTTAACAGATTCCCAATATGCCATTTTAAAGGTAAAAGTGGTGTTTGACTCCAAATAATTTTTACCAAAAAAAATTTGCATATACTTTTTTGGTATAGAGTTAATATAGCCCAGTTAAGCATGAAAACTTTTTAAGGTTATTTCATTTTCCCCATTCCCCCACCTTTAATAAGCAATACATCTAAAAAGTGCCTCAATGGAAGGCACAGAGGCCCTATGTGAGCTGAGTTAGGTAATATGAATGCTGAATACTGTACTGGGAAAGAGAAAAGTCAAACAAAAAGGTAGTAACAATAAAGGAACACCTGGTATTTGTTGGAAATGAGAACTCCTTGCTCCTCCTCTTTTCTGTGACCAAGGTGTTCATTGAAAGCTGTAGAATTTTAAAATTCTAAGTTATCTTATTGTTGATTTTTCTTTTGTTTTACTGAGATTTAGACCTCTTTGGATGGATCACTATGTCTCTGTTGCACACAAGCGGAAACACATACACACACTGCTCTTGCAGCCTACCCTACGCCCAGTACTTCACTTTTCCCAACTCCCTAGAGACATTTAGGAAGAAACAGCTGCACAGTAACAAAAGGTGAAAAATGAACCAGGACAGGAACACATCAGGCAGAGCACGTATCTTAGGGATTTAGGTTACATCTCTCCCACCCTCATTCCCAACTGTGACCTTGATTTCTACTTCCCTGAGAAAGTGGAACAAGAAATGACCTCCCCTGTGCTCTCACCACACCTCTCCTTCCAGCAATACCCACCCACATGTTCTGCCTTCCCACAGCTTTGCTGTTCACACCTGTCTAAAGCCCATCTGATTTGCACCATTGAATCCATCCACTCTTGCTTACTGAAGAACACCACTCCAGCAATTCTCTCCTATTCCCTACATCATCCATTTTCCACTCTCTGCAGGATCATTCACACCAGCACACACAACAGGCTGTCCTAAAAAGTGGAACTTTCTCTTGACCACATGTTATCCATTAGATTTCACTTCATGTCATTACACTCCCTTGCAGTAGGAGTTCTTGATAAAAGCATCTGTGCCCACTGCCTCCAGTTCCTCTTCTCCCATCCTCTCTTAAATCCACTACATTCAGGCTTTCACTCTCACCATTCAATTGATGTCGGTCACCCATGACCTTCCTGTTGCTAAAAGCTACTGGTCCCTTCTTGCTCCTCATCCCAGTTGATGTACCAGCAGCAGGTGGCATTGTAGGTGGCTTCCTCCCCCTTGGGACATTTCTTTACCTGGTTTCCAGGGTACCACATTCTGAGTTTCCTCCTATCTCACAGGTCACCCTTCTAAAATTTTGACTGACTTCCTTCTTTTCTCTCCAATCTCTTAATATTTGAATGTCCCACGGATCCATTCGAATTTTTTTTTCTTTTCTCTGTCTATACTCACTCCACTGATAATCTCATCTAGTCTCATGGTTTTAAACATCAACCCTATGTTGATAATCCCCAAATTTATATGTGCAGCCTACCCACACCTCCCTCTCAAATCCCAAATTCAAACATCTAACTACCCATTTAGCATCCCCATTTGGTTGTCTACTAGATATTTTAGACTTCACATATCCAAAACCAAACTCTAGGTTTTCCTTTCCGCCAAGCCTGCACCATCCACAGCCTTGGCCCTCTCAGTTGATGACAACTCCATATTTCCAGTTCAGTTTGGCTCAGGCCAAAATCCTTGAGTCACACATTAGGCCACTGCATTGGCTCTGCCATTACATTGTATTCAGACCCCGACTGCTTCTTGCTCACTTCACTGTGGTCTGAACCACCATCATCTCTGTCTGCACTACCACGACAGCCTCCTAACAAGTCTTCTTGCTTCCACCCCAGCTCCATGCAGCAGCCAAAGTAATCCATTTATAATACATCAGAGCAAGCAGATCAGTTTTTGGCTCAAAACTCTGCTATCCAGTGGCTATCCATCACACTCAAAGTAAAGTCAAAGTCCTTACAATGACCAGCAAGGACTTGCTTGATCTGGGCTCCATCACCTCCCTGGTGTCATTTCTCACTCTTCTTGCTCTTCCCTCATTCCATTCCAGCCTCTGTGCTTTTCTCGTAATGTACCAGGAATGCTAGAGCTTTTGCACTGGATCTACCCTCTGCCTAGATTGCTAATCTCTCATATCTGGTTTGGCTCACCTCTTCACTTCCTTGATGTCTTTGCCCAAATATCACCTTTTCAGTGTAGCCCACCCTCGCTGCTCTACACAACTCCCACCCTCTATCTCCAGTTTATGTTTTCTTTCCCTTGTAGCTCTTTATTATGCTCTTGGCTACTACATGATTAGCTTTTTATTATGCCCTTGCTTATTATCTGTCTTCATTGCTAGACTGTAAGCTCCGTGACAGCATTTTTTGTTTTCTTCATTGATTTATTTCAAGCATATAGAAGAATGCCCAGTATATAGTATGCACTCAACAAAAAGTTTGTTGGATGAGTGAACTAATTTATTAGTTAACACTCCATGCTGAATTATACGTATGAACAGATACCCATTCCTTCTTCCATCTCTCCAACGTAAACTATAAATATGGGCAAAATGGAATTGATACTTATTGAGGACATACTGTGAGCTTGGTCCTCTGTTAAACATTTGAGCTCCTTTATTGCACTAAATCTTTAGAGACACCATGTGGAGTTAGTGAACAGATACTTGTTGAATGAAAGAATAACTGAATGGATCCCCATTTACAGAGAAGGAAATGGTGGCCTAGCAAGGTTAAGTCACTTGCCTTCAATTATATAGCTACTAACTGGTGGAGCCCAGACTGGAACTTCACTCTGCCTTGCTCCAAAGTGTTATATTGTTCAGTTCCAGAGCAGAGACATGAAAATCAGATAGATGGGCATCCCAGTTCTGCCGATTAACCAGCTACGGGGCATTAGATAAGTTAGTTATCACCTCTAAGCTCCAGTGTCTCTACTCTTTTGGGATTTCCTGCTGTTGGCATCATTATAGGCAGTGTGAAGTGTAAAAGGCCTTATGTATCTGGATTCAAATAGAGGAATAAGTGCTTTCTGAAAGAATCATAACATCCTAAAACCAATGTAATATGGAGAGTGTGAATCACCTCAGAATAGCATTGAACGGATATGAGAAATAGAAAAAATATATTTCAATTACTTTTTTAAAGTTATTCATTTTGTAGGAAGAAGTTATTTTCATGACTTACTATTTTTTAATATTATAATAGGAAATACTATTGGATGGTTAGATATTTTATTGAATCAAAGTTCTAAGGTGTTTTTTCTCCTCACATTCTTCCTCATTTCTGGAGAGAAAGACCCTCAGCCAGTTTGTAGCTTTTTAGATCCTGTATGTGTTTCTGTTGTATACCACGATATTGACTTTAATTTGTAAAGCACTCTAAGCAATTCAGATAGGAAACAAAAGGGGAAAATTCTCTGTTAATTTCAAGATGCCGGTTCTTTCTCATATTCTTGGCTGTGGCTGAGTATTGAGGAAGCAGATTCGTTAGGAAGCCAGCCAGGGAAAAGTTCACAGTTGTTGGGTCCATGGAGGGCTCCCTCCAGGCCCCCATCAAGACTCTGTGTCTGTTAGGACTTCCTGAAAGATGAATGAAAGTGGGGAATGCAAAGAGCTGGAGGCTTCCTCTGAGCTCCCTGTTTGGATGCAAACGGCAGTTAAATGTTCAGTAGGCAGAGCTGAGAGCAGGTCTGCATCCTCATCAGGTGCCATGGAGGCTGGTGGCCTGGATTTCTGTTCTCCCACTTAACTTCAGCTCTCACTCTTCTTCCCTGGGAGACTGTGAAAAGGAAAAACAGCTCAGTTTTCCAAATGATGTATATTGCCTCTGAATAAACGTCAGAACCAGGTTTTGTGAGGCCAAAACTTTATACAGTTGGGGGACCATCTTTAGGAAAATAATACAAAACTACAAATGCAAAATTAGGTTCAAAAGCAAATATTTACTTAGAATGAGAAAGAAATCGTCATATTTCACTAATGTATAAAAGTTGACAAATTCCAAAACATCGCCCAGAGCCTTGGATGGGGTGATGGAGTGGAAACTATGAGCTCCGGAAAGCCCACTGTGCGCATGCGTCTTGGTGCGCAAGGAGGAGAAACATTCCCTCCAGACCAAATCCGGCCATCCTGCTCCCTGCAGGTATTAGGTCAAGAATGAAAAGCAGGGCAATGGGCCTGGCAAAAAGAGAACGTTGGTTTCTTCCTTTGGGGAAGAGACTTTTAAAAATGTGAACACATCTTCCATTAAGAGGGAGTGGGAATATTTTTTATCTGCTCATTTTTATAGTCCTAAATGTTTTTATGATTAGAACATTAAAAATAAAATAGAAAGGGGCCTGGCGAGTGGCTCATGCCTGTAGTCCCACCACTTTGAGAGGCCGAGGTGGGTGGATCACTTTAGGTCAGGAGTTCGAGACCAGCCTGACCAACATGGTGAAACCCTGTCTCTACTAAAAATACAAAAATTAGCCAGGTGTGATGGCGGGCGCCTGTAATCCCAGCTACTCGGGAGGCTCAGGCAGAAGAATTTCTTGAACCCGGGAGGCGGAGGTTGCAGTGAGCCCAGATTGCACCACTGCACTCCAGCCTGGGCAACAGAGCAAGACTCTATCTTAAAAAAAAAGTAATTAATTAATTAGCTAAATTAAATTAAATATAGGGAGAGGCCTTTTCCCACTGTGATTGTTTGCGTAGCTGACTTAGCGTGGGCCCCTCCTTACACAGGGAGCTCAGGGCACCTTCCTCATGGGTTTCCCGCCACACCCAGGAAGTGTGCCATCCTCTCTCCCCCAGGAAATCCCCTCTCCCCAAGGGCATTCCCTCCTCCTCCTTCGTGCTGCCTCCGAACCATTGGTCATTCATACATGGCTATTCCAAGAAACACCTGAGTGCTTTTATAAAACTCTAAATTTCCACCTTGAGATTCTAAGTGAAATGTTCCTGAAGTGGGAAGGAAGGAGAAAGAGAAGGAAGAGGGAAGGGAGGAAATCCCAAAGGGTTGGGAAATACTCATACCAGCGTCCATCCAGAGACTGTGATGACCGTGACCTAAAACAGTGGCTCTCCATGCACAGTCCTAGGCAGCAGCAAATGTGTTACCTGAAAGGGGTCCCAATCCAGGCCCCAAGAGAGGGTTCTTGGCTCTCGTGCAAGAAGGAATTAGAGACGAATTCATAAAGTGAAAGCAAGTAAGGAATAAAGAATGACTACTCCATAGGCAGAGCAGCAGCTTGGGCTACTCAACTAAGGATACTTATAGTTATTTCTTGTTTATATGCTAAACAAGGGGTGGATTATTCATGAGTTTTCTTGGAAAGGGGTGGGCAATTCCTGGAACTGAGGGTTCCTCCCCTTTTAGATCACATAGGGCGACTTCCTAACGTTGCCATGGCATCTATAAACTGTCCTGGTGCTGGTGGGAGTGTCTTGTAGCATGCTAGTGCATTATGATTAGCGTATAATGAGCAGTGAGAACAACCAGAGACCACTTTCGTCGACATCTTGGTTTTGGTGGGTTTTAGCGGCTTCTTTACTGCAACCTGTTTTGTCAGCAAGGTCTTTATGACCTGTGTCCTGCACCGACCTTCTATCTCATCCCGTCACTTAGAATGCCTAACCTCCTGGGAATGCAGCCCAGTAGGTCTCAGCCCTATTTTCCCAGCCCCTATTCAAGATGGAGTCGCTCTGGTTCGAACAGCTCTGACAGATGCATCACCTGGGAAGTTGTTAGAAATGCCCGTTGTTGGGCCACCCTCCAACTCACTAACTCAGAAACTCGAGCTGGGGCCCGGCCATCACCAGGTGAATTCCTGGTGCTCACTCAGAGGTGAGGAGTTGCTTGGGCAGGTTACTCCGAGTTTTTCTAAATCCTCAGGGGATTCTAATGTACAGAGAAGGTTGAGGACCACTCAGCCTTCCTTCCACACAAAAGCATTTCATTTAATTAATAATTTGGTAGATAACATGTGGATACAAGTTCCACGTATAATTTATTTTTCTTCTTTCAAAGAGCATTCATTAACTGCTTACTAGTAAATCCATTGTCATTAATGAGCCAAGCTATAAACCTTAGATACATGTGGGTGGAAATAGTGTTTGTCTAGCTTGATGTGTTGTGTTTTAATGAGAATGTATTATTAAAGGGTGGGCACTCTATTGTTCAACTTATCAAGATCAAGAGTTAGAGGACAGGAACACTTGCTAGCTCTCTGTAGTGAGTTACACTGAGTGCCTGAACTACTTTCAGAAATGATTATAAGATTGCTCCTCCAGAGGGCACTGTGCTTATCAATGAATTGATGCCTCTGGGAATCTTATTATTTATTTAAACGTGCATAAACCACTTTGAAAACCTATTTAAATCATTCAGGTTTTAAGACAGGAATGTTTCCAGCATGATGGATTCTTTACCAAATTTAATATTGTGTGTCATCCCCCAGCAAATTTTCAGCTTTGTAAATTACTTTTCTGGGTTCCAATTACAAGTGTTAGTTTCAA
Organism: Homo sapiens; assembly: GCF_000001405.40. Lineage (NCBI taxonomy): Eukaryota > Metazoa > Chordata > Mammalia > Primates > Hominidae > Homo > Homo sapiens. The sequence goes on along the minus strand of NC_000013.11, from coordinate 26,095,319 downwards.
GACATCTCCAGAGCTGCTCCTCTCCAATGCTAATGAGGAAAGGAAGCCAGGGGCCCATGGGGCCACTGCTCGGCCACACAGACAGGAGCAGTTGCCCCCTCACAGTCTCAGCAAGCACCCAAGTTGGTCAAAACAGCAAGATTGACATAGCCCTGGCCAGGCTACATCTGTAGGATAGCAGTTTTCTATGTAGGACATCATGTACCTTAGGATCCTTGGGAGAGCTTTTAAAAGCACACACTGACATCCAGCTCCCCACAAAGCAACTGTGGACCCAGAGATGGATATATTTAATTGTATCCCTAAGTAGTTCTAATATGGCTGGGTTTGCAGACCACTCCATTACCACACCCTCATCATATCTGCCATTTTCCCTGCCCAAGTTGCTTTCCTAGCTGATGTATCCAACATATTCAGTCCAGCTGGAGTCTCCATCTCTGTCACCAGAATGTTCACTGGGTGTTAGTGCTCCTAACATATTTCCCTGTACTTTGCTCTTCCAGGTGGGTATGCATTTTCTCAAACAGTAGCATGTGTGGCTACGCAGGAAGAACTAGTTTGTTCTTACAACACTACTGAAAATAAATGCAAGAAGAGTTGCTTTTCCTAATTCACCTAAGACTAAGATTCTGATTACTGTAGTGTGTACTCATGCTCTTCACTGAGACTGGTAGAATGCACTGGCACTCCCAAACATTCAAGATTCTTGGGTATAAATAACGGGGGACCCCGATTTGCTTTTTTTTAATTTGTCTTCAATGTTTTACCAAATGTATTTCTTTTTCTTTGTCTGTAAAATGATTTGTTCATCAGCTCAGCCTAAAGTATAAAATTAAGATCATTATGTTTCACCAAAATTTAAACTTTGGTACAAGTTGTTTTGCGAAGCATGATAAAAGATGTCATGTTGCATAATAAAGCTATCTTGCCTAATAGGAAAGAGGTCATGAAGAAAACTCACAAATTAAAGGCAAAAGGCAGCATAGAAAACATTCTTCTAAGCAGGATGTTCTGTCACTTTGAATCACCTTTTGTTTGTATGAAATTCCTACCATATTATTGATTTCAATGAATTCACATAGTATCATCTCAGGCCTTAAAGTCAGGTGTACAAGAATGAATATATCTCATTATTTTCTATAAGTCAGTTTAATTTCCATTCTGATTTTCCCATCCAACAAGACTAGTAGGAAATTTGACCTCAATCATTCTTGTGGCTCTGCCTCAAGAAGTACCAACTTTCCAGGGTCTTACACAGTGCAAAGCATTGGAACACTTCATTCTTCTGTCATCTGCCCACACAGTCACCAGCAAGACACATGGTCCTTTTTGGTCTGGCAGCTCGACGAGGCTTCTGTGCCAGGTGTGGGGAGCTGGAACCTTTGGGGAGGTTGGAAACCCCCATACCCATGTCTCCAATCCCCAGGAAAACCCCCATATGCCACTCCTGGAGCACATTATCTTCCTGGGACTTTTCCCAGGAACAAAGAGATGCCTTTCAACTCTCTCCTCTAGTCCAGGGACAAACCCCGTTTTTCAGACCCTATTCTATTTAGTGGATTCTTAGAAACAAAGACCAGAAATCTTGAAGGCTACTTCTATTTTCTGTCTTGCCAAAAATGACACCTCTGAGGAAATGAACCAAAAATCCTGATACCAGTTTGAAAGAAGATACGGCAAAAAGGAAAATATTGGAAGTAAAACCCAATTAAATTTTCAAAAAGTTATCCATGAATGGATTATCAATATGTTGTATATCCACACAATGGAATATTAGTCAGCCATAAAAAGGACGGAAGTACTGATACATGCTCCAACATGATTAACCTTGAAAACATTATACTAATTTTTTTTTTGAGACAGAGTCTCGCTCTGTCACCCAGGCAGAGTGCGGTGGTGCGATCTCAACTCTCTGCAACTTCCACTTCCCAGCTTCAAGCGATTCTCCTGCCTCAGACTCCTGAGTAGCTGGGATTACAGGCACATGCCACCACACCCAGCTAATTTTTGCATTTTTAGTAAAGACAGAGTTTCACCATGTTGGCCAGGCTCATCTCGAACTCCTAGCACTAAAGCAAGAACTATTCCAGACTTTTAATCTTATTTTAACAAAGCTTACCTTAAATCTTAAAAAAACAAGCCTCTAAAGCATCAAGAGGCTCCATAACTAATATAACTGCCTGCAAAAAAAACAAAACAAAACAAAAAGTAATGGAAAACAAAATCGAGACACTTAAGAATGTAACAATCACAATGTCCAACATCCAGTCCAAAATGCTGTTCAGAACAGGAAACTATGATCCATAATCAGGATAAAAGTAAGTCAATGGAAACAGACCGAGAAATGACAGGGATGATGGAATTAGCACGTGAGAACTTTAAAACAGCTATTGAAAACGTTTAAGGTCTTAAGGATAGTATGATAGGGAGAGAAATAGAAACCATAGTAAAAGAACCAAATAAAACTTCTGGATCTTAATCGTACAATACATAAGTTGAACACTTCACTGAATAAGCTTAGCAGTAGATTAAATTAGACACTGCAGAATGAAAAATAAAAAGAAGACATAGTAATGGAAACTATCCAAACTGAAGCACAAAGAGAAAGAAGGTTGAACAAAAAAATGAAGACAGCCTCAGTTACCTATGAGACAATATCAAGCAGTCTTACATGCATTATAAGTTGCTTTGGAGTTGTAAATAGAGAAAGGAATGGAAAAAGTGGTTGAATAAATAAAGGCAGCACATTTTCCAAACATCAAGATCCAAGAAGCACAACCAACTGAAAGCAGGCTAAACACACACACACACACATACACAGGTGTGCACGCACACACACAAAAAGCACACACACCCTCAAAATACAACATAATCAATTGGCTGAATTTCAAGAATAAAAACAAAAATATTGAAATCAGCTAAAAGTGAAAAACATGTTATAAAGTTATCAAAGGGAAACCAAATAGAGGACGACTTTGACTTCTCAGAAAAGCCAAAAGACAATTTGCTGAAAGAAAAATAATGGTCATCCTAAATTGTGTAGCTAGTAAAAATGTTCTCCAGAATGAAGGGGAAAGAAAAGATATTTTCAGATGAACATAGAGATTTTATCATTAATGAATCTGAACTAAAAGAAATGGTAAAGGAAATTGTTGAGGCAGAAGGAGCATAAGAGATGGATAATCTGATCTACACAAAGGAATAAAGAGCTCCAGAAATAGTAATTCTAGTACAAATATAAAATAATCTTATGTTCTCATTTGAATAAATATCTTATTTATATTTAAAGCAAAACAAAAATGTGTTGTGAAGTTTATAACATCTGGAAGTGAAAATATATATTAACAATAGCATGAAGGAAGGGAGGGAGAAAATGAAAGTATACCATCATACGGTCTTTACACTTTACATTATATGGTATATTATTTAAAAGTAAGCTGTTATAAATTAAAGATATACACTGTAAATCTTAGATCAACCAATAAAACCTTTCTGCCTAATAAACCTGTAGATGAGACAAAACACAATACCACAAAATAATTAAAAAGAAGGCAGGAAAAGAGAAAAAGACAGAAAATGAACAAATTAAAAATAAATAGAAAGTTGTCCAGGCACAGTGGCTCATGCCTGTAATCCCAGCACTTTGGGAAGCTGAGGCTGGCTAATCAATTGATGCCAGGAGTTCAAGACCAGCCTGGCCAATATGGTGAAACACTGTGTCTACTAAAAGTACAAAAACTAGCTGAGCATCGTGAAGCACACCTATAATCTCAGCTACGCGGGAGGCTGAGGCAAGAGAATCACTTGAACCTGGGAGGCAGAGGTTGCAGGGAGCCAAAATCTCACCACTGCACTGCAGCATGGGTGACACAGAGAGAGGCTCTGTCTCAAAATATAAATACATAAATAGAAACCTGGTAGATTTAAACCCAGCTATACTGATAAGTACACTAAATGTAAATGTCTTAAATACTCAAAAGTCAGAGACAGACTGAAAAAAAGCAAGATGCAAGTATGTGGTAGTGACAAGAAATAAACTTTAAATATAAATACATAAGATTTAAAAGTTTTAGCAATCTATTGCACAACCAAGTAAATATACTTAACAGTACTGAAATGTACACTTAAATATGGCTAAATGGTAAATTTAATTCCATGTGATTTTTACCACATTAAAAATATTTAAATATGTAGTTAATTTTAAAAGGATGGAAAAGCAGATAATTTATGAAAACACTAAAGGTGGGTTGCCTATATTAATATCAGAAAAAGTAGAGTTCAGGTCAACTAATATTACTAGAGATAACAAGGTACATTTTATAATGATAAAAGGACCATTTTAATCAATAATATATAACAATCCTAAGAGTATATGCACACAATTACAAGCCTTCAAAACACATAAAGTAAAAAAATTATAGAACTTAAAGGAGAAACAGACAAATTCACAATTATAGTTGGAAGCTTCAAAATTCCTCTCTTAGTAATTGATAGAACAAGTAGAAAATCAGTAAGTGCATAGAGGATTTGAACAACAATACTATTGACTAAGTTAATTGAATTAATATTTATAATGCATTACTCACACCAACAACAGGATACACATTTTTTTCAAGTCCATATGGAGCATTCATCAATGTAAAATATAGGTTTGATAAATTTAAAAGCTTGAAATCATATAGACTATATTCTCTGACCATAATAAAATTAAATGAACAACTACAGTTTAAAGGTAACAAGCTGGCTCAAAAACCCCTAGATATTTGGAACTTAAAAAACACAAATATAACGAACTTATGACTTAAATAAAAAATAAAGAGAAAAAATACTTAATATTCTTAACTGAATGGTAGTAAAAAGATAACATATCAAAATTTTGTAGGATGCTGCAAGGTAGTGCTTAGAAGGAAACGTATAGCTTTAAATGTTATATTAGAAAAGGAGAAAAACCCAAAACAATGAACTAAGTTTTCTAGAAGAAGAAGAAGAACAAATTAAATTTAAATTTAAATTTAAATAAAAAATGGAACATTTAATTTAATTAAATAAAAATGGGAAACCAATTGAAAAAAATAAAAGAAACTAAAAAAGTGATCCTTGAAAGCATCAATTAAATTGATAAGCCTCAACTAGATTGATTAATCAAGAAAAGAGATAAGACACTAATGATCAATATCAGGAATAAAAAGGGGGTCATCCACAGAGATATTACAAACTTTACAATGATAATAAAGGAATATTATGAACAATATTATTCTGGTAAATTTGAAACCTGGATGAAAAGGACAAATTCTGCGAGTGAAACATTACCAAAACTCACACATAAAAAAATTAAAAATCCAAATAGTCTTTTATCTATTAAAGAAAATGAATTTTTAGTTTGAAAACTTCCCTTAAAGAAAACTCCAGATCCAAATAGTTTTGTTGATGAATAGTTCAAATATTTTAGAGAGAAACAATATCAGTTCGATACAAATCCTTCCAAAAAATAGAAAGGAACACCTCCCAACTTATTTTATGAGGATAGTGTTTACCTGATACCAAAATCACACAAAGACATTGCAAGAAAATAAAACTATATACTAATATTCTTCATGATCATAAATACAAACATTCTTAATAAAATATTTACATATTGAATTCAAAAATATATAAAAGGGATAACACATAATAACCAATTGTAATTCAATCCAGGAAGGAAAATTGGTTTAGCATTTGAAAATTTATCAATGTAATTGACCATTTTAACAGAGTGAAGGAGAAAAACTGTATAATCATCTCTACAAATGCAGAAAAGGCATTTGACAAAATTCAACAACTATTAATGGCAAAAACTCTCAGCAAACAGGCAAAAGAAAGAAACTTCTCAAACTAATTAAGGGCATTGGCTGGGAGCAGTGGCTCACACCTGTAATCCCAGCACTTTGGGAGGCCGAGGCAGGCAGATCACAAGGTCAGGAGGTGGAGACCATCCTGGCTAACATGGTGAAACCCCGTCTCTACTAAAAATACAAAAAATCAGCCAGGTGTGGTGGCATGCACCTGTAGCCCCAGCTACTCGGGAGGCTGTGGCAGGAGAATCACTTGAACCTGGGAGGTGGAGCTTGCACCACTGCACTCTAGCCTGGGCGAAAGAGTGAGACTCTGTCTCAAAAAAATAAAAAACTAATTAAGGGCATCTATAAAAATCCCACAGCTAACGTTAAATAGGGAAAAACAGAATTTTTTTTCCTTAAGATCAGCAACAAAACAAAAATGTCTGCTCTCACAACTTCTAACCAACATTGTTTTGAACGTTCTAGCAAGTGCCATAAGAGGAAAAAAAATACAGATTGAAGAGGAAATAAAACTTTTTATTTTCAGATAATTTTAGTTTATTGATAAACTCCTAAAGTGTCTTACAAAAAGCTACTAGACCAAAAAAAGAATGCAATATTGATATATGCCACAACATGGATTAACTTTGAAAATGTCAGGGTAAGTGAAAGAAGCCAGACAGAAAAAGCCACATCTTTTATGATTCCACTTAAATGAAATATCTGGAATAGGCAAATCCACAGAGACATAAGGTAGATTTGTGGTTGCTGGAGACTGGAGGGGGAAGGGTTGGGGAATGATGAGGTGACACTGCTAACAGATTTAGTGTTTCTTTTAAAGATGATGAAAATGTCCTAAATTTAGAGAGTGGTGATAGTTACACAGTTCTAACCAATTAAAATGCTTTGAAATGTATACTTTAGAAGGGTAAATTTTGTGATATGTGAATTACATCTCATTAAAGCTGTTACATTTTTAAAAACCTACTAGAATTATTAAGTGAATTCAGAAAATCTGAAGCTATGAGATCCATATAAAAAATCAAATGCAAAAACGTTTGCATTTCTACGTCCTAGCAATTATTGGAAAATGAAATTTAAGATAACATTTGCAATAGTACAAAAAGATAGGAAGTAAGAGTAAGTCTAAAATATATATGTATCTGCAAGATATGTGAACTAAAAAATTATAAACATTGTTCAAAAGAATTAGGAAGACTTAATAAATGGAGAGATATACCATGGATTGGAAGACTCATTATTGTTAAGATGTCAGTTCTCCACAATCCTAATCAACACAGTCTTAATTAAAATAATAAATAACAATACCATTTATAATAGGATTTATACTTAGTGATAAATTTAACAAAATATTAACGAACACTGAACATTTCAAAACATTGCTGAGAGACATTAAGGATGATCTAAATAAATGAAGATACATGTCATATTCATGAATTGGGTAATTCTGACTAAAAATTGATAGGATACCAGTTCTTTCCAAATTTATCTTCAGATTCAAAGTAATTCTAAACAATACCTTAGCAGGCTTTTTTTTTTTTTTGGTAGAAGTTGATGGGTGGATCTAAAACTTATTGAGATATCAAAGACCAAGAATAGCCAAAATAATTCGGGGGGAAAAAGGTTAAATTTGGAGAACATATATTCTCTAATTCTAAGATTTATTATAAGGCCAGGTATAGTACTCAAGATAGTGTGTATGGTAAGACATGTATATTAATGGAATGGAATAGAAAGCATACATGTATATGGTCAATTGATATTTTACAAAACATCAGAGGTAACTTAATTCAAGACATGATCATCTTTTTTCAACAAACCATGCTGAAATAACTGAATAACCATGCTGGAATAATACATATATGTTTTTAAAATTTAACTTCAACCTCTACCTCACACCATATGAAAAATCAATTTGAAAGGGATGATAGGCCTGAAGGTAACAGCTGATGCTATAAAAATTTCTAGGAGAAATTTTTAAGGAGGAAGGAAGGACCCATGATTATAATAATATTTGTACTTACCAAGGAAAATAAATTTTAGCTCATCAGAGGTACTGGTTTTGAAAAGAGACTAAAGGAAAGGAAAGAAATGAAACTGATGAGTAAGACTAAAGAAATTTTACCTCCTTTTCACCCTATCCTAGGAAAGAGAGAGTTTGTTCCTTTGGTTGGTTTTAATGCTAAAATTTCAATGCCAGTTAGGTTCAGCAAAATGCTGATCGTTTAGGAAAATCTTCAGTAGTCTCACAGCAAAATTACAATAAATGTATTTATAGTCACCACAAATCAAGGTGTATGTTTGTATCCATATTCTGGACCCATATATGAGGATATTTGCAGGAGAAAGCAAATTGTAACAAAGATCTTAAAAGCCAACATTTAAAATAACTTTAACATTGTGAATATTTTATTTCACTTGTGAATCTAACTCATTTGAAGAATGAGCCAAAATTCAATTCTTTTTGAAATGCTAAGCTAGTTCCTGAACTTGATTCTGAACAAGATAAATCCATAAATCAGACTTTTTATACTCCTTACCACATTTCCTTTTTTCCTTTCTTATTTTCAGGAATTTATAGCCACCTGTTAGGGTGAGATCCAGTTCTCACTGTGATGGAATTGCACAAAGTCATTTGGCTCAAAGATAATCTAGAAGCTGATTTTGTGCAGATTTTTCCTACACATTATTTGACTGATTTAGTTTTCTTTTTTGACTGGGTTCTGTTTCCTATTTATTCAAAATAAAAACAAATTTCTGGGAGACCACAGATTAAGTTAAAATACAAGTTAAAAGTTGGGTAAAGGATTTATGATAGCTATGATGAATAATTAGAAAAAGCAATACCTCAGTAGATTTTTTAAAAGAAGGCAAAGAGAATAAACAATTTACAGATACAGGGGAATACAAGTGACCTTTAAAAATTAGAAAATTAACTTCACTTGTAATCAGTAGTAAAATTAGTGAAAAACACAGTGAGCCACCACATTTTGCCTTACTGGAAATGCTTGACAAATAAAGCCAGCATTTATGAGAGTATGGTAAACTAAACCCTCTCATTCTCTGTTGGGCAAAATGTCAAAGTGTGCCAAAAGTTTCATAATGTGCCTCCCTTTTACCCGAACACAGTTTGATTTTAGAAGTTTACTTTAAGCATATAATCAAAATTGCAGGTAAAGATCTAAGTACAAGAAGGTTCAGTTGAAAATACTGTAAAGAAGCAAAAATTGGAGAAAGATCTAAATGTCCTATAGTAGGTCACTGGTTAAATATTTTATGTTATATACATCTTTTTAAATATCCAAAAGCCATTTAAAATCTTGCTATAAAAGGATTTATCAGCGTGAGAAAATGTTCAGATTTTATAAAATGGGAGAAGAAAACGGGCTTCAAAATAGCATGTGTTGTATGATTCTGTTTCTTGTGTGTGGTACCTATGTACATCAGACAAGACCAGAATCCTATGTCCTGAAATGTTAACAATGATTATCTTGGGATGATGAAAATTCAAGCAATGTTTTCTACTGTTCATATTTCCTACATGTTAAATATGATTTGCCACATTGCTAAGATGCTTGAGAATGGGCATTTCAATATTAGGTGTTTGTTCTGACCTGCAATTCCCTTTTGAAGTTCAAGTTGAAACTTTTGCCAGCCACCAAAACATCTGTAGACTGTAATATTTTCTGCTATTGAAAACTATTCTGAGAGGCATAAATGATGCTTCCATTCTAGGACCTCAGTGTAAATTGTCACAAGTTGATCTAAAGAACAGCCAAGAAACAGTGCAGTGTACCCAGATGAGTTATTTTTAATGGAAAAAAAAATTGTTTTTGGGAGTGGAGTATTTGCTCTCCACCCACCGTACATTGCATGACATCGTGTCAAATGGTATTTTAAGTAGTGGTCATTCTAAGAAATGCTCAACTATCATGTTCACCATCTTGACTTATGTTATTTTCATATTAATAGCAGCTTTGTTTAATTGTCAGTCCAGGCCGGGCACGGTGGCTCACGCCTGTAATTCCAGCACTTTGGGAGGCCGAGGCGGGCGGTTCACGAGTTCAGGAGATCAAGACCATCCTGGCTAACACGGTGAAACCCTGTCCCTACTAAAAATACAAAAAATTAGCCGGGCATGGTGGTGGGCACCTGTAGTCCCAGCTACTCGGGAGGCTGAGGCAGGAGAATGGCGTGAACCCAGGAGGCGGAGATTGCAGTGAGCCGAGATCACGCCACTGCACTCCAGCCTGGGCGGCAGAGCGAGACTCTGTCTCAAAATAAATAAATAAATAAATTAATTAATTAATTAAATAAATAATTGTCAGTCCATTTTCTATTTCTGCAAATCACTTTTGAAAAATAGCTGATTATTTTAGTCAAAACATATTGAATAAAAGATCAGCATTAAGGAGTTTCCAGTTATTTGAGTGTTTATAATTTGTCCATCATGGACAGCACCATTTACTGGATTTTCAAATTGAAAATAAGACGAATCACACCCCAACCAGTTTATGTCTCTAGAATAGCATCAGAAACTTAGACCCAGAAAGGACCTTGAAAAGTCAACTCAATCCCTATTTTTGTTTGTTTGTTTGCCTTTAAGTAAAACTATACCCAAATCTTCTTAGAAAAATTAGTCTTTCCCCTTTTGTACATGTCATTTATATTCAAAGATTTGTGATGTTTCTCATTAAAGACAAACAACTGGAATATAATCCCCACATGAAACCAGACAGTGAAGCCACCCCAGATGCCAGTTTTCCTGGTCCTGCCCTTCTGAACCTGTCCTGGACACATGCAGCAGGGTCAGTGTGATGCCCAGCGTCTGCGATTCCTCCCAAGGGGAGAGCCCCTCATACAGCAACTTCTTCTGCTCACTGGAGGCCCGCACATCTGTGGCCTTGGCCATGAGTGTATTTTATGCTTGGACCTGAGAGTGTTGCAGGAACAAAGGGCTGTGCTGCATTTCCTTATCCTCGCTGCTCCCAGCTGTGATCCTGGGTGTTCCTATCTCCTCCAGCTGCTCAGATCATTTCCTCCTCTGATATTCGATAAAAAGTGTTAGAACCCACAGCCAAAATACCATGGGAAATCCAGCCTCTTTCTGCACTTATTTTCAGGATTCTTTGATATTCTGTTTCTCCTATTCATCTTGGCTCCAGTTTCCTACCTTAATCAAATCATTGATTTCTTTTTCATCTCATCTTTTACAGCTATTTTCTTTTCTCTATTCTCCCTCAACCTAAACTGGGAACACCTCCTTTTTTTCTTTTTCTGAGACAAGGTCTTGATCTGTTGCCCAGGCTGGAGTGCAATGGTGTGATCACAGCTCACTGTAGCCTCCCGGGCTCAAGTGATCGATCCTCCCACCTCAGCCTCCTGAGTAGCTGGCACTACAAATGCGTGCCACCACACCCGGCTAATTTTTGTATTTTTTTTGTAGAGATAGGGTCTTGTTATGTTGCCCAGGCTGGTCTGGAACCCCTGGTCTCAATCGATCCTCACACCTCAGCCTCCCAAAGTGTTGGAATCACAGGCCAGAGTCACTGTGCCTGGCCCTTTTTGTCTTAGATTTCCTTAAACACCACCAACACAAAACCATTATATTAATAGTAGTAGACTTCTACCGAATATTTGAAAGTAATGGGGAAGTAAGATGAAGGGGAATTATATTTGCACTAACAGTAGGATGACCACTTGTCCCAGTTTGCCTAGAACTGATGGTATTCTTGAGATGCGGGACTTTCAGTGCTAAAATCAGGAAGGTAGTGGACAAACTGGGATGAGTTGGCCATCTTCACTAAAGGCAGCAATTAGAGTTCAATTGCCCAAGAGACACAGGACTCAAAATGACAATGGCCACAAATTTAGTTTATTGCAGGAAAGGAATACACTATAGCAACTGCATTAAAGTAAGGTTGCACTTCATGGCCAGGGGCTGCCTCAGACTCCGGTAGTGCTCCCTCTGTATGGGCTGCGTAGACACACTTTCTCTCTCAGATCAGGAGCCACTGGCTGGTGCATGGAACACCTTAGAACCCAGGAGTCCAAAATGTAATCTCAGCTGTTTCCCACACCCCACTGGTCACATAGGCATCTTCTTGTTACTTCTTAACCAAGCCCAGTGGCAGAGCACTCTGGGGAGAGTCTCACTGAGACAAGGTTTGAACCATTCTTCTTGCTATTATCAATAAACAATCCTGACAGACTCATACAAAATTGTCAGACCCACTGTTAAAAAGAAACACCAGGAGTTAGTATCTTTCATGCCTTGACCAGGGGTGAGTGCCCTGCAAGTACTTTAGTAAAACTACTCAAGTCAATTCCAGGTCAGCTGGACTTGACTTCACAGCCAATATTACACCCAGCAAACACAAGACATTTAAAATAGAGGCCAGGCACAGTGGCTCATGCCTGTAATCCTAGCACTTTTGGGAGGCTGAGTCAGAAGGATTGCTTGGGCTCAGGAGTTCGAGAAGAGCCTGGGCAACGTAGTGAAACCCCATCTCTACAAAAAATTCAAAAATTAGCCAGGCACGGTGGTGTTCACCTGTAGTCCCAGCTACTGGGGAGGCTGAGGTAGGAGGATCTCTTGAGCCTGGGAGATCAAGTCCACAGTGAGCTGTGATTGCACCATTGCACTCCAGCCTGGACAATAAAGTGAGATCCTATCTCAAAATAAATAAGTAAATAAATAAAAATAAAATAGAATGGTACTTTTTCTGTTATAAGTCCTTTGGCTTTTCCTGCCAACAGAAGCTTCCATTTAGCTCTCCGCCTGTGTTCCAGCCTTCTAACAGCAAACTCAGCCCACTTTCTCTCTCATGTCTTGTTTCTAACCCAGCTTTCTTATTTTCCTTAGGCCTCTTTCATGCTACTTCTCAGAATGCTGCACAAACTAAAAATTCTTCACATTTTATTTTGCAATTTCCCTTTTACTTCAAGTTTTTGAAAAACACCCCAATTTTTTCATCCTAGACATAGTTCTCAAGTTGGCTTCAGTTTTTTTCATCCTAGCCCTCATGACTCTCTTCTTCCTTTTTTTTTTTTTTTGACAGAGTTTCATTCCCGTAGCCCAGGCTGGAGTGCACTGGTGTGATTTCGGCTCGCTGCAACCTCCACCTTCTGAGTTCAAGTGATTCTCCTGCCTCAGCCTCTCAAGGAGCTGGAATTACAGGCACGTGCCATCACACTCAGCTAATTTTTTGTATTTTTAGTAGAGATGGGGTTTCACCATGTTGGCAAGGTTGGTCTTGAACTCCTGACCTCAAGTGATCCACCCACTTCGGCCTCCCGAAGTGCTGGACATGCCTCTCTTAATGACAGCTAACCTGAAGTTATCTGTTTAAGTGGGAAAACCACACTGTTAATCTGATCTTGGCCACAAGGCTCAATCATGCCATACAACCAAGACATCTCACTAAGCCATTCCATCAAACCCTTTTAAATACCATTTCTCACCACTCGAAGTTAGTATTTTCAGTCCTTTAGGACTTAGAATCTTTGGATTCCCTCTTCTCTTGCCTTTTTGCTTGCAAATCAGCCAATTCTCTCTGAGCTCTTCTTTTTCTTGCAATCACTTGCTAAATAGAGTCACTAACAATGGGATTCTAGATCCACCGGTCATTGAGCAAGTGATGTTTGCAAAGTTATTGCGGGTGACACTTTTGTCAGACATGCATAACATGAACCTTTATTTTTTTTTATAGTCTGATATCAATTTTCTTGCTGCTCACCACTTGACCACTGAGCCAGTGCTCCATGTGAGAGTTTGTGGCACTATGTGCAGCATGAATTTCTGAACTAATCAGAATTCGCTAACTGCTGAATCCAAAAACTTCCCAAAACCATAACATTCATTTTCACCCACACAGTCTAAAATACATGATCCTGGGTGGCTTTTCACCAAGTGGTTTCTCAAATATAGAGATGTCTTCTATACTGTGATGCCACCATCATCAACGCGATCATCTACACAGATGTTGATGTTGATCAACATCATCAGCCCAAGACTGTTATGAAAGGGGTGATAGTGGAGATTGTGTGTGGGAGATTTCTCATAGACTAGAGGTGAGAGTGGTGGGCGTCGCATCTGACTGCATTCCACTGGCCAAAATTAATCACATGACATCGCCTAAATGATCTGGGAGAGACAATCTTTGTGTGTGCCAAGGAAAAACTCAAGCAGTTTGGTGAACATACAACTTTGGCTTTTCCACAGAAAATGATCCAGATTGAACAGAAGGTCTTAATGTTCTGAAAATGATGTCTTAAAGCATGAAGAAGATGACCTACAGTAGGTAACATGATTGAGACTTGGGAATACATTAAAGATGTGAAAAAGGCATAAATTTCATTCAGTTAGAAATGACAGGAAACCCCCAAAACTGGAGTAGAAAATTGTGTTCCGAATTAGCAGAAAATAAAAAGTTTTATGATATTCACGGTATGGAGAGAGAGGGGAGAAAGAGAGAGAGATGATACATTTGTTCCCCAAGTCTACTGTAGTTTGACTAAGGAAGACAAAACTCAATAAAATTGAACATAGGAAACTGTAGACAAGACAATGTAATTTTCAGATACTAGTTTGCTCTGCAGGGAACACATACGATAAAAATCATGTAAATATCATTCATTGATTATCAATGTGTGGATTCAACTCATGAGAAAGCACATGAGACTCATAATAAAAACATTGACAGCCTTGGAAACATAAAGATAAAGTTAATAGGAGAGGAGGTACAGAAGGAGGAAAGTAAGTAAGATTTCATTTTATATAGCGAGGGGCAAGAGTAAAGTTGATGAAACAAAAATAGAGGTTTAAAAATAATTTAAAGTTAGGAAGGTAACAGAGAAAAGTTAAAAACAATGCAATTATCAATATTGAGACAAGAAAGTGTGCTATGTGTGTGTGTGTCTGTATGTTTTCGAAAGAATTACATAACTCAAGCAGGCAGAAGGGAATGCATTAGGAAAGATGAGCCCAAACTGTCCTTACTCTTGGGCAACTCCCTCTGAACTCTGTAAGGAGATGGAACCACTCATCCTAGAAACAGCACAATTTGTGACTGACATTGTGGTAAGTAGCTTCTAAGATGGCACCCCATGACCCCGCTTCCTGGGATTCGTACCCCTGTGCAATCTCATTCTCTGAGTGCAGGCTGCATCTAGCAACTTGCTCCTAATGAACAGAACAGGACCAAAGGGATGGGATGTCACTTGTGAGATGAAGTTATAAAAAGACCCAGGATTCCATCTTGCCATCTTTCTGGCTCTCTCACTTGCCTGCTGTGATTAAGGGCAGATGCTATGTCATGAGCTACTGCATGAAAAAGATCACATGGAAAGAAATGGAGGGAGTCCTCCAGCCAACTGCCAGCAAGGAACTAAGGCCCTTAGACCAAGGGCTTGTGAGGAACTGAATCCTGATGGCAACCACTTGAGTGAGCTTGGAGTCAGACCCTGCGCCCGCTGAGCCTGCGGATGGGACTGCAGCCCTGGCCAACTCCCACCTTGATCCCAGTCTGTGAGACACCCTGATTCAGAGGGCCCGGCTAGCACACAGTTGGATTCCTTCCCCAGAGAATCTGTGAGATAAGAAATATTTGGAGCTTTTAAGTCTAATATTTGGAATAAATTGTTACACAGCAAAAGATCCTAATAAAAATAATTATCACTTGTATACCTAAATTTTGATTTACTTTTCTCACACTTGTGACCAATGTCACACTCTTCCTCAGATCTGGGTGTGGTAGAGACTGTCATTGGTCTACCCTACATGCATTCTCCTCATCTGCCCTGTTGACACAGTCTGATGTAGTTAAAAGATATGTTTACCTATACCTCCCTTTGCTGCATTTCGACGATGGTAGTAAGTGTATCATGTCCTCCTCTCTTCCCCAGAAATGCTAAGTAAGTCTCTTCCAGATGGTGTTCAAGGTCTTTCACAAACTGACCTCACCTTACTTTTCTAGGTAGGCTCACGGCTATTGTTATGTTGATCCTAAGGTAAGTAGTTTAACGTGGGAATCTCTACGTGCTTTTCCTAATTATGTAAATGAAAACTATAAGCACGTGGGTGTAATTCAGAAGAAAAGGCCATGCATACTATTTCACAGTATGGATATATCACAATTTATTAACCCAACCCCATGTCTTGGGCACTCAGCTTGTTTACAGTGAAGATCTTTACCAAAGCAATACTACTTTGAATATCCTTTAAGCACATCCTTGTATAATCCCAAATTGAAGTATCTTAATGATAAGATTGTTTTCTGCTGGGCGCCATGGCTCGGGCCTGTAATCCCAGCATTTTGAAAGGCTGAGGCAGGTGGATCACCTGAGGTCAGGAGTTCCAGACCAGCCTGGCAGGATCTCAGCTGACTGCAACCTCTGCCTCCTGGGTTCAAACAATTCTCCTGTCTCAGCCTCCGGAGTAGCTAGGATTATAGGCGCACGCTACCACGCCAGGCTAATTTTTGTATTTTTAGTAGAGACGGGGTTTCACCATGTTGTCCAAGTCGGTCACAAATTCCTGACCTCAAATGATCCACCCACCTCGGCCTCCCACAGTGCTGGGATTACAGGCATGAACCACTGCACCAAGCCAACAATAAATTTTAAAGCACTTAAACTTGAAGCTCAGAAAATTATTAATCAGATAACATGAAGGAAAACAAACATTATTTAAAAATTATTTAATATATTCCATCAGTGTTGCAATGCCTATTTCATGACATACATGGTTATATATATATGTAACTGTATTGTAACACATTACATTACAGTATATTTAATATATTACTGTTTTTAACATATTACATTACAGTAATATATTTAATATATTACTGTATATTTAATATATTTCTGTAACATGGCAAGCATTGTTGGTTCACTACCAACAATTCTTCTCTACTTGCTTGTTAACAGAAAGACGGTTCAGGTAGCCATACTTTCTTCACATTAGTCAACTCAAAATAAGTCCCTTTTTTGGTTTAAGCCAATTATGACGGTTCTCTTTCTGCATCTGTGATTAGCTTAGAAGTGGGCATGTGACTTCATTCTGGCCAATGAGATTAGAGGGGAGTCCTGCAGAAAAGCTTATAGGAGAGATTGTTTTCCTATGAAGAAGGAGACCAGGAGCGGTGGCCTCTTTCTGCTTCTGGATGTTTCTGTACCTAGATGTGATACCTGGAACCGCTGCAGCAATCACGTGAGCACAAAAGGAGCCAGCCTGGGTGGAGGCAAGGCCAGCGCTCAGAATGGTGAAACAGAGCGGTGGGGAAAACTGGGTCCCTGCAGTGATATATTTGAGCGGCTGTCTCAATCAGCAATTGGGCCACCCTTAATAATAAGTTGTCTTATTATTTAAGCCAGTTAAGTCAGGGGCTTCTGTTCATTGCAGCTGAAGTCATCCCAATTTACCTAACATAAATTACTTTAAAAATAGTACCAGATTACCATATTTGAAATGCTAGCATTTATCATTTTCAAACCTTTAAAACTTTTGCCCTCAAAAACATTAAACATTAGAGCATGCAAAAAGCAAACATACAAACAGAAAACCACCTAAACTTTGAGGGAGAAGTAATTTCACCCTATCAATGTTAGGCAGTTATTTAAGTCAGTTCATATTTTGAAAGATCACAGGTTGATCTACACTGGCGCTATAAAAAACATCAGTGCGTTTTTACAATTTATTTCTAGTTTTTACCCAAGACCTAATTCTAACATGAACACATAAGCCATTGGTAATATGAACCGGATAATACGTAGTTACTCTAGTTCACATCACATGTTTAAACACTTCTGGAGAACTCCAGATCACGTGATAAATGGCTGTCAGTGGCAAAGTAGTTTCCTCTCTTAGAGAAAGGGGCAGGAGGTGGTAACACTCTCAAAAGGTGGCTAAGACGCACTTGAAATGTGTCCGGAGCATCATAAAATTGCATGACAAGAATAGAGAGGGAAAGCCTGGAAGAGAATACAGAACCCTCAAGGGCCCACCATGCCAGTGTACCCAGCACCAGAATTATCTGCAGCTTAAGGAGAAGGTGTCCCATGCACTAGTGGCCATGATCATTATTGGCAGCTCCTCCAGTACGTGACTTTTGTTTATGTATTAACAAAGACAAGAAACCTAACCAACATTATCACCCCTCTATAAGTTCAGAGAAGAATAGGTTGGCAGTAGAGAAATATGCTTGGGAAATGCTGTGAAACGACGTGTATGAAGTGAACCAAGCAGAAGCCAAGAAATGACAGAATACATTGAAAAGAGAGTCGCCCCTCATCACTGCTTAGTAAAATCCTTGTCCTATCGCAACATCATGCAGTGCAGCAGCCTGCTGGGGTCTGAGCACGTTGCAGCAGGAGCTTCCTTTCTACTGTTCCAGGTTTTGTCAAGTAAGTAAGACTGAGGAGCCTGTGCAACATCCACATGGAGATGTAAGGGGAGCAGCTGAGCGCACAGATGGAGAGCGCAGAGAAGGGGCTGCAGGCAGAGCTCTCAGTCATTGGTCTATGGGAGGCTGCATGAGCTGGCTCAGGAGAGTTGAGAGAAAGAAGAGAAGGAAACCAAGGCCTGAATCTCCAGGGGTCTTAGGATACTTGCTATTTGTATGATAACACAACCCCAGTATTAACCCCCAAGTCTTCAGTTAATGTCTAAAACACACTGCCACCTTAATAGCGTTTGGGAAATCTGGGGAAAATGCCTGGGTTCTATTCTGGGTTCAGCACATACAGAATGACTCTGAGTGAAAAGGGAACGTCTGCAGGGTCACCAACAGCAACTCACTGAAATCTCTAAAAGGGCTGAGCTCCCAGAAGGATGTGTGGGGAGTGGGAGAATGGGAGGCAGTTGAATTAATATATATATGTATTTTTTTTGAGACGGAGTTTTGCTCTGTGGCCCAGGGTGGAGTGCAGTGTCAAGATCTTGGCTCGCTGCAGCCTCTGCCTCCCAGGTTCAAGTGATTCTCCAGCCTCCCAAGTAGCTGGGACTACAGGCGCCGGCCACCACACTTGGCAATTTTTTGGGGGTGTTCATCATGCTGGCCAAGCTGGTCTTGAACTCCTGAGCTCAAGTGATCTGCCCACCTCAGCCTCCCAAAGTGCTGGGATTACAGGTGTGAGGTGAGCCACTGTGCCTGGCCAGTTAATGTGAATTTAATGTCAGCACATAGAGTGCCTTCAGCTGATACGTGGCTCACTTGAGCAATTTTCAGTCATGTCAGGTGTATGATATGATTCGTCAATACTTTAATCTGCATGTGTATTGTAATAAATATTTCCTGTGCAGTCACTCTGCCACACATTTTGCTGGGCCCTGGGGTGACAGCAGGAAACAAAAACCTGTTGCCTGAGCTCATATAGGTTACAGTCAGGTCAGGGAATAGATACACAATTTGTTTTTACAGAGTCTTGTCAATTCCCAGAAAAATTCCCTGTCCCCAGCCAGGAGGCTCCTTGAGAAAAGATTTCCTAAAACTAACAAAAACAAAAACTAACCCAACCATGGACCACCCTAGGTAAATCATTTGGGAAAACTTCCTGCTCCAAAACTCCTTGCTAAAGTGTCTTTTCTGCTCAGGAAGACTTTTATTTTTTAAGGCTCCCTCTTGGGATGGAACTTTCTAAAGGTAATGTGTCTGCAGTCTCTTGCCTGCCTACATTTCTCAAAGCTATTTGCTCAGACTTTCTGTTTGCTCTTTGGTTTTCCCAAGAAAACCAAGGACACTAGATGGAACCCATGGTCCATCATTTTCCTCTCAATACAGGCCAGCCACCGGCCACATGCGGCTTCGGGTGTTTCCTCCACTCTGCTGACTTCTGCACGTGGTCCACTGCTGATCCCCAGCTTAGGCAGAATAAAATGCATCTTCACTAGGAAATACGCGATTACACACCAAGATCAGGCTTTTCCTGAATGTGGCTTTTTACCCCTCATGTCAGTATTTTTTTTAATTAATTAATCTCAGATGAGGTGTCACTATGTTGCCCAGGCTGTTTCAAACCCCACGCTTAAGAAATATTCTGCCTCAGCCTCCTGCCTACTGAGTAGCTGGGACTGTAGGTGTGTGCACTGCCCCTGCCCAAGTCAGGATTTGTCAGGTTATCCTAAAGATGACTTTTATGGAACTACGCCCAGAAAGACCAGCCACATCTAATACTTAGAAAAATAAAAACAAAAATTAAGATACCCCTGGATAAGTCACTTCTCAAGGATTTTGCTTCTGCAGAACCAAGAAAGCCACCTGCCCCTAAAGCCTCATGGCGTTTTCAAACCAAGGAATCATCTTTTCTATGCGGGTGGGAGCCAGGACCACTCCAGGTCCCAGAAAAGAGAACTCGCTATATGGTTTTTGTTTGTTTGTTTATTTTAAGGTCCAGGGTGGTCCTGAAATTTGTGTGAGGAGTCAGCCTTGATTTTTGGGAAGTCACCCGGTTTCAGTTCACGGCCGCCCACGCTGGTAACTCTGGGCTTTTTAGGGTGGAGTGAGGCCTCGGGAAGCTCTTCAGCCGACTCAAAGGGAAACCAGCTTCTGGACGTGGCCAGGGGGAGTGTGCTGCCCTCTCCCGATGACACACCGTGTTCCTGGGTTCATTCAGTGGATATAGCCGAAGATTGTTTTACCAGGCATAGTTCACATTCTTTTAATTCTTGGGAAAAAGTAAGGCGTGACTGTCATGTTCATCTGCGGCATCTCAAAAGGTCAGAGACGCTGTGTTTTGAAAATATTATCCCTGGACCGTGAAAGCACGAAGCACGGGAAGCTGTGGACTTAAACCTGCTTCCATTCTTCCCACTGCTTTGGATTCACTTAAGTCAAACCAGGGGTGTTAGTCAATAAAAAGTGTTTCTATTTCCTTTGAATACAATTGAATTATCTTGCAATTTTATTAGTAAGATAAGTTTTGTTAGCTGTTATGCCTTATGATGTTTTTGAGCAGCCACACTAATTGTGCTCTGAAAAGTAGCGCCTTTGTGATTATAATAATTCAGTGTAGGAAAGAATGAACAGGTGGCTTTCTGATGGAAATAATATTTATTTATTTATTCTTATTTTTTTTTTTTAGATGGAGTTTCACTCTTCCCCCGGGCTGAAGTGCAGTAGTGCAATCTCAGCTCACTGCAACCTCTGCCTCCCAGGTTCAAGAGATTCTCCTGCCTCAGCCTCCTGAGTAGCTGGGACTACAGGCGTGCAGCACCATATCCGGCTAATTTTTGTATTTTTAGTAGAGATGAGGCTTCACTATGTTGACCAGGCTGGTCTTGAACTCCTGACTTCAGGTGATCCACCCACTTCAGCCTCTCAAAGTGCTAGGATTACAATCGTGAGCAACTGCGCCCGGCCCAGGAATACTTTTTCATTGAGGGGAAGAGGGAGTGGGTGGAGACTGACAATAAGGTACTCTTGAGGAAATATGGTAGAAGGGTGGATAAATATCAGCACATGAGGAGTTGCTTCACAAAAATATCCAACCTACTGACAAAAGAGTTGTGGAGTATTTCATGATACAATAGTGATCATTGTTCTGTGTCTGTGAGACCTCCTTGCGTCATTTTACCTTGGTCACTTCAAATCCTATAAACAAACATTTACTGAGATCTCATGTGCAGCGGGCACGGTGCTGGGGGTTTGGTCTCAAGGCTAAGGAGGTGGAGGAGATTGGGCTTCCAAGGAACAGGTGAATAAATAGATTCATTGAGTTGTGGTGGTTCTATTTCCTCTTCCCACCAAAACCACATGCGGGAAACATAGTTCCTCAAAGTCTGTGGTGTGGGTTTTAAGTTTTTTCATGTTCTTAGATCTAAAAGAATCAGGCCGGGCACAGTGGCTCATGCCTGTAATCCTAGCACTTTGGGAGGCTGAGGCGGGCGGATCACGAGGTCAGGAGATAGAGAGTATCCTTGCTAACACGGTGAAACCCCGTCTCTACTAAAAATACAAAAAACAAAAACAAAAATAGCCGGGCGTGGTGATGGGCGCCTGTAGTCCCAGCTACTCAGGAGGCTGAGGCAGGAGAATGGCGTGAACTCGGGAGGCGGAGCTTGCAGTGAGCCGAGATCGCGCCACTGCACTCCAGCCTGGGCCACAGAGCGAGACTCCGTCGCAAAAAAAAAAAGAAAAAGAAAAAGAAAAAAAAGAATTTTGAACATCAAATTTTAGAAGCTGCTAGTACAACTGGAAGAGCAGATATAGGTAAACCATTTTCTTCACTAGTTTGACCACATTATTTGATTGCTTCTCTAAAATGGGATTTCTTTTCTTTTCTTAATGGCCTCTCGTTTGTTTACTGAGAGATGCTTACTCTACTGTGTGTCTTACATCTAAACTAGATGGAGCAACACTGAATTCCGGGTGTAGTCAGATTCTTCTTCCTCCCATGGTCCAGTGTACACAAGGGCTTCCCGCCAAGTGCCCACCTCTGGTTCTCCTCCTGTCCTCACGGTTTTCCTCTTTGGCTATGGTCTCTGCTCAGCACTGGTCTTCTCTTTCCCACACTCTACTGCAGTGTATACACACGCAGCCTTGGTCCCTGTCCTCTCAGTAATTATTTCAGAAGACCTCCCGCGTTTATTCACGGGTAGCAGGCACCTCATCACGTCCTCGAGCTCCTCTTGGCATCCTTAATTAGCCCCCACATTGCAGCCAGAGTGAATTCCATGCACACAGCCATCAGCAAGCACCAGGCCTCTGCCTACCGCGCTTAAATATTTATTGTTATAATAATAAAAAAGGAGGAGGAAGCTTTCGTAAATAAGGATGATGAATTAAAATTCACTGTGATGTAAATTGTTCTGGGTTAAAGGAAAAATCGACAGGATTTTCTCTAAAATGATTGAAAAATCTCTGGATGCTGCAGGTCAGGCCAGTAGACAGCAGGGGGCATGAGAGACATTTCTCCCGTTCTCAGTCCTGTCCCCGAGCTTGTGAAGGCAGCGCACACTTGCTTCCAATGCGATCCTTGCAGCTTTTCCACCCATGACATCTGTTTGTTTTTTTCAATTTTATGTATTTTTCTATCACAAACCTTGATTTTTTCCCCCTGCACTGTGTAAGAATCTATGCATTAGCCGATAATAAAACATCTGGGCCAAAAGACTAGTAGTTTTCTGTTCCTCATAACTTGCTCCCAAAACAGTGGCCGAGCATCCTTCTACTTCAGAATATTAGGGCGCATTGCAAAGGTGCTTCAGTAGCATTCAACATTTTAAAAACACATATAACGTATAACATTTTTAACCTTTTTAACATTTTTTAAACACACGTAACAACTTAAAACATTATTTCTGTTTTTCCTTTAATAATATTGGAAATTTCAAAAGAAGTCTTTTGTTGATTTGTTTGTTCCATTTTGCAAATAGTCACTGATCTTATAACAGTGAATTTTATCCTGCAGGAATTCTGGCCTATTTTGGTTGGGGAAGTGTCAGCTGTGGTTTGGGAAGATGAGAGTTTATGATGTAACTAATTGGAGACAAATGAAAATATTCAGTTTGCTTCTCCTGTAGTCTCTGTCTGGTCTGTCTGCCCTCCATCCAACCTATCCAGGCCATCTGCAAACTCCCAATGGAGTTATCTTCTAGAGTTTGACCTTGGCAGACGATGTTAGCAACAGCTGAATGCTCTTCCCAGCTCCATTCTGCAGCCGCTCTCCAGGTGTGGCCTGCCAGTCAGGAGGACTTCTCAGTCCTTTGGATTTTCAGACTGATCTGTCTTTGCAGAGTCCCCTCCTCTTGCTTTAAACCCCCTCTCCCTCTTCTTCACCTAGCTTGGGAGTCTCCTTTTCAGGGGGGGTTTCTTCACTGCCCCCTCCTCTATGCCCAGGTTGAACAAGATTCACCAAAGCACTCACTACGTCTTATTTAATTCATTCTTTATCACATTTGTTTCCTTCCTATAGGTTAAGTATCTTCTTACTTTTATATTCTGTGTTAGTTTAACACCTAGTAAGTGCTCAATAAATGTTTGCAGAGTAAATAAAATTATGGCTAATTTGATCCAGCAATCCTACTTCTAAGCATATATACCCCCCAAAAGCAATAAGTTTATCAAGATATCTGCACTCCCATGTTTATCACAGTCCTATTCACCACAGCCAAAATGTGGAACCAATGTAAGTATCCATCAATGAATGAATAGATAAAGAAAATGTGGGATATATACAGAGTGGAATACTAGTCAGCCATAAAAAGAAGGAAATCATGTCATTTGCAGCAATGTGAATGGAGCTGGAGGTCATTGTGTGAAGTGAAATAAGCCAGGCACAGACAAATATTGCATGTTCTCACTCATATTGGGGAGCTAAAAACATTGATCTCATAGAGCTATGAAGTTAGAGTGATGGTTACCAGGGGCTGGGAAGGGTAGGGGGAGAGGAGGAATGAAGCGAAGTTGGTTAATGGGTTCAAACATACAGTTAGAGGAAATAAGGTCTAGTGTTTGTTAGTACAGTAGGATGACTATAGTTATCAATATTGTGTATTTCAAAATAGCTAGAAGAGAAGATTTGCAATGTTCTCAACACAAATAAATGATGAGTAGGCCGGGTGTGGTGGCTCATGCCTGTAATCCCAGCACTGTGGGAGGCTGAAGCGGCAGATCACGAGGTCAGGAGTTCGAGACCAGCCTGGCCAACATGGTGAAACCCCGTCTCCACTAAAAACACAAAAATTAGCTAGGCATGGTGGCAAGTGCCTGTACTCTCAGCTACTTGGGAGGCTG
The DNA here is from genome assembly GCF_000001405.40 of Homo sapiens. Taxonomy (NCBI): domain Eukaryota; kingdom Metazoa; phylum Chordata; class Mammalia; order Primates; family Hominidae; genus Homo; species Homo sapiens. Next base: position 26,070,745 of record NC_000013.11, on the reverse strand, counting down.
AAGTAGGAGAATCGCTTGAACCCAGAAGGCAGAGGTTGCAATGGGCCCAGATAACACCACTGCACTCCAGCCTGGGTGACAGAGCGAGACTCCATCTCAAAAAACAAACAAAAAACAAAGAAATGATAAATGTTTGAGGTGATGGATACCCCAATTGCCCTGATTTGCTCTACACATTGTATGTATATATCAAAACATCACACATACCCCATAAATATGTATATTAGGTATCTATAAAAAATACAAGTTATGGCAACATTAATGGGATGATCCATGGACAAACTTTTCTGCAGGCTTAGTGTCCTCAGGCAGTGAATGATTGGCAGGTTTTAAATGGACATTTGAAACTCATTTTTATGGAGAACAATGAACTTGGAGGGGAAAAAAATTCCGATCTGAGGAATAATTGGAATCTGCCGTGTCTGTGGTAAAAGGCATTTTTGATTTCCATGCGGTATTGCATGGAGCGTTTCTGAATGTAATCAGACAGTTCACCCAGGCAAGCGGTCAACAAGGAACGCACCTTCCCCAGAGTCTGCATTTCAGCTTCTTTTTCATCTAATTCCACAATCCCTTAAATCCCCAAAAGCTAAATTTCTTGATTCCAATTTCAGAAGGAGTTTTATTACAATTAACTAAATTTTAGGCTATTGGACCAAAAAATTCTAATATAGGAAGTAAAATAATATTGCATTTCCTCATACATTTCTTCCCCTGTGTGTGCCATTTCCCAATTCGGAGGAAAAGAATATTTTAAAACTGTTTTTTTTTCCTGTACATAATACACAATCCCTTCCCCTCTCACACACTCTTTTTTGTCCAGGTTTAAAATAGCAACTCCAGCTGATGGTAGACACTCTTTGGGGATTTTAAGCCACTAATCAATTTTGCAGCTGGAGGCAAAGCACTTTGCTTGGAAATATTTTTCACATGACATACAAGGTGCTTCGACCTCCTCAGAGCAGCCAGAGGATTCCGCTGAAGGAGAGGGGAGGCTGCTGACCCACCCCGGAAACCAGAGGAAAGTGAGGTGGCGGCAGGAGGCCACGGCCACGGGCAGGCCACGGGCAATCACTAGCTACCTTCTCCTAACCTTTTTCTCCCACACACTTTCATTTTTAACAAACTGAGCCACAGAACAAGGAAATTCCAACTTCTGCAGGAACCTCTGGGAGCAGAGAACTAGGAAGGTAAGAGCTACCTGGTTCCACCTTTCTGGACTGAGAGTAAGACACAAACTTAAAGCGTAGGAAGAAGGAAACCCTCCTTTGGAATGACACTGTTCTCTCGCCTGGTGGTGCTCAGGCTTCAGCAGGATCAGAATCAGAGAGGGTATGTTAGAGGCTGGACGTGGTGGCTCATGCCTATAATCCCAGCACTTTGAAAGGCAAAAGTGGGCAGATCACTTGAGCTCAGGGGTTCAAGACCAGCCTGGGCAACACGGCGATACCTCGTCTCTACAAAAAATACAAAAATTAGCTGGGCGTGGAGGCATGCCCCTGTAGTCCTAGCTACTCAAGAGGCTGAGGCGGGAAGATCACTTGAGCCCAGGAGGTGGAGGCTGCAGTGAGCCGAGATCACGTCACTGCACTCCATCCTGGGTAACAGAGCAAGACTGTGTCTCAAAAAAACAAAAAACAAAAATCTGTGTGTTAGAGCCCAGATAGCTGAGACTGACTCAAGTTCTGATTCCGCAGGCCAGAGTGAGGCCCGAGAATCTGCCTTTAACAGGTTCCCAGGTGATGCTGATGTTGCTGGTCCTAAAATGACCTTGGGAGCCACTGATCTTATCTACCTCATCCGTTTGCTTTCTATCACTGGCATCTTTACTCACAGGCTACTTGGCTTCCTTTGTGCCAATCTTACAAACACACTGCTTGATTCCCCAACAACTTCCCCTCAAATGGCAGTTTAGTTCAATCTAAGGAGGGTGAACACTTAGACCCATGTGGTCACATTATTACTCTAATTTTAGAGTAACTACATCAGGAGAGTAACAGAAAGGACTGTATTGTAAAATCATAACTTTAAGAGGCCAGGCACAGTGGCTCACGCCTGTAATCCCAGCACTTCGGAAGGCCAAGGGAGAATCACTTGAGCCCAGGAGTTCCAGATCAACCTGGGCAGCATAACAAGATCCTGTCTCTACAAAATAAATAAATAAATAAATAAATAAATAAATAAATAAATAAATAAAAATCAGCTGGGTGTGGTGGCTCACACCTGTAGCCCCAGCTACTTGGGAGGCTGAGGTGGGAAAATCACTTGAATTTAGGAGTTCAAGGTTGCAGTGAGCCATGATTGTGCCACTGCACTCCACTCAGGGTGACAGAGCAAGTCTCTGACTCAAAAAAAAGAAAAAGTAAGAGATTTTTCTTTAAGCTGCAAAATATTTTTCACTGAAACATGTTTCATCAATTCAATAAGCTTTTATTGAGTGTCTGTGTGCCAGTACGTGATGGGATTATAATACTTCTGCTATCAGACCCTTTTCCCAGAAAATCATCAAATTAATACTATTTTTTTGAGATGGAGTCTCACTGTGTTGCCCAGGCTGGAGTACAGTGGCATGATCTTGGCTCACTGCAACCTCTGCTTCCCAGGTTCAAGTGATTCTCCTGCCTCAGACTCCTGGGTAGCTGGGATTACAGGTGTGAGCCACCACACCCAGCTGATTTTTGTATTTTTAGTAGAGACGGGGTTTTACCATGTTGGCCACGCTGGTCTCAAACTCCTCACGTCAAGTGATCCACCCACTTTGGCCTCCCAAAGTGATGGGATTACAGGCATGAACCACCGCGCCTGGCCCAAGTTATTTTTGATAGTGTACACAGGTATCAGTTTTCAAATGGAAGCAGCTTTCTTCATTTTCTACCCAGAATAAATCATCTATCATGCCATAGAATGACTTCTCCATTCTTGCTAGAGCTCATTCCTGATGTAGCTGGGGTTGTTTTGTTTGTTTGTTTAAAGATAGCATCTTGCTCTGTCATCCAGGCTGAAGTGCATAGCGTGATCACAGCTCACTGCAACCTCAAACTCCTGGGCTCAAGTGATCCTCCCACCTTAGCCTCCTGAGTAGCTGAGACTACAAGTATGCAACACCCTGCCTGGCTAATTTTTAAATTTTCTGTAGAGACCAGGCCTCACTATGTTGCCCAGGCTGGTCTTGAACTCCTGGGTTCAAGTGATCCTCCCTTTTCAGCCTCTTAAAGTGCTTGGATTACAGGTGTGAGCTGCCTCAGAAGGATGTACCTTAGTGGTTAAGAACACAGCTCTGGAGTGAGATAGACTAGAACTTGGGTCTGAGAAACCCTCATGAGCCTCGGTTGCACGTGTGATTTTTAAAAATTATTTTTAAGTTGAAAATAACAATTATTACCTCTTAGAGATGCACCAAATCCATACTTTGGCTGAATTCTAAATGGCTAAGTGTAAAAGTTACTGAGGACAAAGCCAGATATTACCATCATAACATGGATTTCTGGAATAAAAGGATAAACCTGATATTCTTATTAAAATGTAATACTTGGCTGGGCATGGTGGCTCACACCTGTAATCCCAGCACTTTGAGAGGCCAAGACTGGTGGGCCACCTAAGGTCAGGAGCTCGAGACTAGCCTGACCAACACGGTAAAACCCAGTCTCTACTAAAGATACAAAAATTAGCCAGGTGTGGTGTCGGGCACCTGTAATCCCAGCTACTTGGGAGGCTGAGGCAGAAGAATCACTTGAACCTGGAAGGCAGAGGTTGCAGTGAGCCAAAACCACGCCATTGCACTCCAGCCTGGGCAACAAGAGTGAAATTCCATCTCAAAAAAAAAAGTAATCATTAACTATATCATTATTTTTGTCATAACAATGCTATGTAACCAGTAACCATAAACCTTCAGTTGTATTTAACAAAACATCTATTCTTCACCACTCTCTAGGTCAGTTGGGTGGTGCTACTGACCTGGGCCAGACCTGTAGGGTCTCAGCCGGGCTGACTCAGCTCCTGTGGCTGCAGCCACTTGCCACGTGGGTGGAGGGCTGCCTGGTACAGGCTGTTATCAGCTTAGACCACCTGTCTCTGCTCTACGCGGTCTCTCATCTTCCAGTAGAGAACTGCGCTTGCCCTCATGACATGAGAGGGTTCTAAGGGTGGGAATGGAAGCTTGCAAGGCCTCCTGAGAACTGAATTCAGAACGGTCACTTCTGCTGCATTCTGTTAGGTAAAGTAAATCACAACGCTGCCCAGATTCTAAGTGTGGGGAAATAGACTACACTTCTCGGCGGGAGGGGCTCCAAAGTCACATTTCAAGAGTCTGAATATGTGCAGGGGTAGAGCATTCGAGCCATTCTTGCATTCAACCTGCCACATTAACATGTTTTTATCATTAAAGTTGTATCAGTTAAATGTTGTAAGTTTGACATGATGGGGAAGATACAATAATTTCTTCACTGTCAGTAAGATTTCTTCTCTGTCAGCTGCCTAATGAACATATAAATAAAGCCCATTTTCACCTGTGATTGTTGGAGAAACAAGATGTTTGAGTGGCTCATTTTAATATAAATATTCTATGTTTCTCCCTTTAGTCTTTATTATATCTGAATCAAAGATGATGTATAACATACTTTGTCGTAGAATGATTTGGGAGTTTTTCCTCCTTGTGATTTTTTCTTTTTTGAGACAGAATCTCACATTGTCACAGAGGCTGGAGTGTGGTGGTGCAATCACAGCTCACTGAAGCCTCAACCTCCTAAACTCAAGTGATCCTCCTTCTTCAGCTCCCCTAGTAGCTACGACTACAGGCTCATACCACCACACCTAGCTACATTATTTTTTTTGTAGAGACAGCGGTCTTACTATGTTGCCCAGGCTGGTCTCGAACTCCTGGCTTCAAGCGATCCTCCTGTCTTCGCCTCCCAAAGTGCTAGGATTACAGGCGTGAGCCACCATACCCGGCCTATTAATCTTTTTTATTCTGCCATGTATTATCATTTAAATTTCTATGTATGTTTGTGGACCCAAAAAAGAATATGTATCCTAAAACATGCATTCTTTTACATAAGATTAATGACTTTTGCGCTCACCACAGTCTTGCAATAAGAAGTATGAATTCGGCCGGGCGCGGTAGCTCACGCCTGTAATCCCAGCACTTTGGGAAGCCCAGGCGGGCAGATCAGGAGGTCAGGAGATGGAGACCATCCTGGCTAATACGGTGAAATCCTGTCTCCACTAAAAATACAAAAAATTAGCCGGGCGTGGTGGCGGGTGCTGGTAGTCCCAGCTACTCGGAAGGCTGAGGCAGGAGAATGGCGTGAACTCAGGAGGTGGAGCTTGCAGTGAGCTGAGATCGCGCCACTGCACTACAGCCTGGGTGACAGAGCGAGAGTCCGCCTCAAAAAAAAAAAAAGTATGAATTCATACTTGGACTGATAGAATTCCAATCTCTAAACACTTAAAGGAGGTTTTTCATTCCAGGTTTCATGTAGAATGTTCGCCTATATTTAAAAGTGAACACTGTATTGTCCAGGCGCGGTGGCTCAAGCCTGTAATCACAGCACTTTGGGAGGCCGAGGCAGGTGCATCACCTGAGGTCGGGAGCTCAAGATCAGCCTGGCCAACATGGCGAAATCTCATCTCTGCTAAAAATACAAAAAATTAGCCTGGTATGGTGGTGGGCACCTGTAATTCCAGCTCCTCGGGAGGCTGAGGCAGGACAATGGCTTGAACCTGGGAGGTGGAGGCTGCAGTGAGCTGAGATCACACCAACGCACTCCAGCCTGGGCGACAGGGTGAGACTCTGTCTCAAAATAATAATAATAATAATAATAATAATAATAATAATAATAATGAGAAGAAGAAGAAGTATGAATTCATACTTTGACTGACTGATAGAATTCCAATCTCTAAACACTTACAGGAGGTTTTTCACTCCAAGTTTCATGTTGAATGTTTATCTATATTTAAAAGTGAAAACTGTATTATAATATTAACAACAAATTAAAATGTCACACCATCTTTGTATCAGTGATGTTCTTATAATGATTAGATACACTGGTAACCTATGCAAGTAGATGACCATTGATCTGATGCAAGTTCAGGGGTGACATAAAGCAGGTTTCCAGAGAGGAAGCAAAGGCAGACAGCAGGATTTCAGCTGAACACGAGGCCAAAGCTGAGCTCTGGGTGTCTCTATGACCCCAAATGGTGCTTAGAAGATGAAATGAGCGATGTATGTAGAGAATATTGGGCGCACAGTAGGTCTTTGATAAATGGCAGGTCTTCTTTTTCACTATTTTTCCCTTTGGTCAGAATTAGTTATAACACTGCACTGTATTTTTTTTTTCTTTTTTTGAGATGGAGTCTCGCTCTGTTGCCCAGGCTGGAGTCCAGTGGCACGATCTCCACTCACAGCAACCTCTGCCTCCCAGGTTCAAGTGACTCTCCTGCCTCAGCCTCCCAAGTAGCTAGGATTACAGGCATAAGCCACCATACCCAGCTAATTTTTGTATTTTTAGTAGAGATGGGGTTTCACCATGTTGTCCAGGCTGGCCTCAAACTCCTGAGATCAAGAGCCCACCTCCCAAAGCACTGGGATTACAGGTGTGAGCCCCATGCCTGGCCCTGCATTGTATTTTAACCCTCAGTGAAACTTATCAGCAAAGCTTCTTGAGTCAAAGTATAGATGAGGTTAAGGACAGGGAATATCTATGCAAAAAGGATCCTAGTCCCTGGGAGATTTAAACTTGATGTTGTGTAGAAACCTGTCTCCATGCGTTGTTGCTTCAGTTATCCAAAACCTTCATGTTTCTCACTGTTGAGACAGTCACTACCATGGCATCATGACAATTATTTCACCTCTTTTAAGAGTATGTTGCAAATATTGTTAAACCCAGAAGAGGCCAAAGTATATGGAATCTATAGATAGGATCTGTAGAATTGTTTATGATGATTTTTAAAAACTAAAAAGATAACTGTTAATTTTGGATTTAAACCATGTACTCATTATAGCCCCCTCCAGGTCTAGAATAATTAGAAATCTAAATAGATCATTTGTTTCCACAAATAGGTTCCATCTCAGGAGCAAATAGAAAAATGTGACTACATAGACATATTTCTAGATACATTTCTAAATTTAATATTTGTGTGTCAGATTAGTTTAAATAGCATGGCTGCACATTTTTTTTTAAAAAGTGAATACATTAGTGGCTCATTCTTAATTCACTCATTCAACAAGAAACTGTGTGGTCTGTGGATGATACGAAGATGAACTGAACTCAGTTCTTGTCTTCAAGATGCGTAGATCTCAGAGCTGGTGACTTGGAGAAAAGTTACCTAAAATGTAAAGTAAAATCGCAATAATCAGACCATGGCTCCCTGTGCCTAACCCCACCCCCACCTGCCCCCCAGTGTTCCCCCCACCTCTTTCTTCTCTGCCTGTGTCACCTGGCCATAAAACCTTGGCCTGCATACTCCTGATGTGGGCATCACAGATCGGCATTCCAGGAAAGCACAGGATGTCATTTTCGCTTTGTAGTCATCTTCCTTCTGATCCTGTAAATTGCTTTTTTCTATGGAGGTAGTACATTTTCATGGGTATAACATTCATGCATTTCTTTTGCTGAAATCAATCTAATGCTCCAACGGCTCTATGTTATGTAACTGATTGTAACAATGGGTGTATTCAGTTTAAACCTCTCAAGACCAACTTTTGGCCAGAAGATGGAGTGCAAGAGCCAAAGCCAGGAAATCTTAGGCCCGTTATGGTGTTCATGTATTTTTCTCTGAATGGAAAGACCTAAAATTGTATTCAGTTTAGCACTTAGGCCCAAAGTTCAGCCTCATAATATGTGTGAAGTCAGCCAAGCTGCTAGCAGTGGGCTGCCCAAATAGTATTTCACTAAGCATAGGATTTAGATTTAATAATTTGTTGAAAACAGGGAAAAATCAATGACCAGTGCAAGAGAATGGTTTGGGTTCTGTCATACCAAACAATGTAAAACTAGTAATGATGGTGCTTTTGTCTACAAGTCTATATGACAGATAGCCCCAAATCAGAAGGAGCAGGGTTAATTCAATTTTGCGAGTCACCATGTGGACATAAAATGGATCACCCAGAATCTTAACAATCAGTGGTTCTTTCGTACTATTCTTAATTTTCGCAACTTTTTTCTCTATTTTGAAATTACTTGCATATAAAAAGTAAAAAAAAAAACAAAAAACAGAGTTTCTAATTCATTTTAGTCAATTAGGCATAGCATGATTTTATCACTCAGTAAAAACTAGAGCACTTAAACTGCCCTTAACCTACTTCTTAGTGGTGGGAAAACAATCAGTGTTGAAGTTTGCTGAGATCAATAGCTCATGGCGAAATTAATTAAGGGAGTGTGAAAATTTGATACACATCAATGATCAGAATCCCAACTTTTCTTTATTCTTGGAATCTTGGAATCTCCAGTGAGTTGGAGACAAAGCAACAATGTCAGAATATTTCCGTAGGGAGGTAGTGTTTTCTTACCATGACACACAAACAGGCGGAGACGATCTGCTCTTGGATTTCTCTAGTCATCTTTTAGAAAGACTTCTGGCTTAGTGAGCTTGCTCCCTACTCATGACTCAGACACCACAATGCTAGCTCACACTAGAGTTCAACAACTGGAGGACTGTGCTTCCTGTAATTGGAAGGCTAAATGTATTCCAACACTTGGATTGTAAAGTAAACCAAGCTCCAATCTTCAGTTTCGCTTCTAAGACTACCAAACAGGACCCACCGTAATGAATAAAACAGCAGTGAGTGCTGTGCCGTGGGACTGGTTACCCATTTTTTATTACTTGGAGTTGGCTTAATCTTTCTCTTCCTATCAAATGACATATGGAGTATATTTTCTCAAAAATTAGGCTGAGTTTGGCAGTCTGGTATAGATTTTGGAGATTTATGAATGAGTTCAAAAGGAAGTGGTTTGCTTTTTGGTTTGGGGCGTTTTGTTTCTTTGTTTATTTGTGTTTTGTTGTTTTTGACATTTCTTAGCACCTATTACCCATTCTCTACCATGGGATAGTGAATATTCAAGTGCATCTGAAATAGTACAACAGACGTTGGAAGTTCAATATCAAGAGCAGAGTTTGCCTCTCCTGTGGTTTCAGCACTCAGTATCGTGACCACTGCTTTCAATCCAGTTGGCGAGATTTCTCCAAGTGGGGAGAGATACGGATTTTACTGCACTCCATAAATATGACCATTTATAGGCCCCAACATATTTATGTTCCCATTCATTCAGTGCTCACTTAAACTGTCCAATTTGCTTGACCTGGTCTATAAATGTAAATTGCCTACATCTGAAACTGACTCCTGCTTTCCAGAGTGCAGAAGTCGGAACTGTGTTACTCCCACAGATCACTGGGTCTCCAGGCAGCAGCCCTGCGGCAAGTCACTCTTCACTCTCCCTTTCTTCACACTCTCAAAAGCACTAAAAATGCTTATTGTTCCAAAGCATTAATTGAAATACTATTGGAATCAGTTACCAGATACATTTAATAGCAGTAACAATTTTGTCTTGTTTAAAAATCTTTTTAGGCTGGATGTGGTGGCTTAACGCCTGTAATCCCAGCACTTTGGGAGGCGGAGGCAAGTGGATCACCTGAGGTCAGGAGCTTGAGACTAACCTGGCCAACACGGTGAAACCCCGTCTCTACTAAAAATACAAAAATTAGCCAGGTGTGGTGGCACATGCCTGTAATCCCAGCTACTCAGAGGGCTGAGGCAGAATTGCTTGAATCTGGGAGGCAGAGGTTGCAGTGAGCCGAGACCTCACCACTGCACTCCAGCCTGGGTGACAGAGCCAGACCCTGTCTCAAATCATCATCATCATCATCATCATCTTTTTATTGGTTTGAGGAAGTCAGGAAGCTTGACCCATGTCAAAAGAAGAAATATCAACCATGTTTGCTGTTTTCTTTATGACAAGCCTAAAAATGTTTCACTGTATAGTAAGGTAGAAAGAAATCCTAGTAAGAAGTCTCCAGGATTTTAACCAGTGCTGGCCCTCTCCACTGGCATAGTAATATCCTAAGTCTCCCCCTCTCCTTCTAAAGCTAAAGGTGATTTCACGAGTCTTTAAGAAACAGAGGGTTTGGGAGATCTCCTGACCTCTCGAGTCATCTGCATGACTGCTTCTGCATCTATGCTGGTTGGAGAGTGTTCTTTAAATATCACTTTTCTGTAATTCAACTCCGCTTCCTCTCGTCTGTCTTCTCTGTACCCAGGGCCCTCCTAAAATATTCCTTCAAGTTGTTGAAGATAGTTCTGGAGCAACTTCCCCCTTTACTTTCTTTGTGCATAATAATAATCATCTTAAACTTTTCTATACTTTCTGCTTTGCATTTTTCTAATATTTTCTTCTGGGCCTCATGTCTCCAAAATAAATTGTTCCACTTCCAGGAATAAAGTAACTAAAAATATGTACACCTAATAAAACCAAACCGCTGTGCACCAAAAAGGAAATTAGTAATAGAAATTAAGAATGCCAGTGCTTTGTGGATTTTTTTCTGATAAGACATTGCATCTTATTTGTGTAACATTAGAAAACAGTTCATTGAAAACAAAAACTGGAAAAGGCTTTGTGTTAAAATACTTGGATAACATTGTGCATAGGCTGGAAATTTCTTTTTAGGAAATTTTAGAAAAGCAGATGAAGCGAAACCTTTTTTTTTTTTTTTTTTTACCTTACTTAATAATGTATTTATTAGACGAGACACTATAATGATGTCAAAAAATTTAGCACAATGCCTGGTACATACCAGATGCTCAATAAATAGTGGCTATTAGCTGATTGAACTTCACCTGTTCAAGTACATTTTCTAATGTAAAAACATTAAAAAACAAACAAACAAAAAAACCCTTCCTTCTAATTCGGTAATGAAGGTAGTTAGTTGGAGACTCTCCCGATAACTGTTATATAAGAATCAACAATATGAAGCCAGAAGTGTACTGAATGCTGTAAAGCTGCGAAATGGTCTGAAATACTCAACGAGTCTTAAGGTGTTACTGGGACATTTCAGAATATGGAACATTTTCAGAATATGGAACTTGTTAAACATTGTCCTGCCCTTTTGGATACCACACAATGCAGAACATTCTCTGTTTATTCTTTCATCGGAGACATTTTGAGGAAAGGCAGAGGTGGGGTACTACTCAAGGACTCTTTAAACAAACATGAAGTTTAATTCAATTGTTTCCTGAGAGGTTGACTTCTTCCAAAAGCCAAAGAAAATCTCTTACTAATCCAAAAGGTACAAAAATGAGGTTGAAACCATAGAACGAGGGAGGGCTTGGTTTGAAAAAGTTAACGTATTTGGACAGGGATAATTATGAGCACTGTGAGGCTGCGCTGTGAAGGCAGTAATTCTGCTTCTGTTAAAATAAGCAGCACAATGATTCTTTTATCTTTTTATGTTTTTACCAGGAGGCTGCTAAGGCAGCTTTGATAAAGGGAGTTCCTATTTATACCAAATCTAAACACCCAGGATCAATGGGACTTTTTTCCCTATGACCTGATCATATAAAAACAATGATTTTAATAATGAGAAATCTCAAGGAAACTATAATCCAAAAATGCCTTCTGAATTATTTTAATTAAAAATATGAAATTATATTCAAGCAATCTAGTTTCTCAGCCTGAATGTAAAACAATATAATTTCGTACAAAACATTTCTCTACCTCCTCTTGCTCCATCCCACTCAGAAATGTTTCTCCACTGTGGGAATCCCTGAAAGTGTCTCCAGGTGCTTCTCGAACTCATATTCCTGGTAAGCAGGAAGTGGGCACAGTTTCCTCGTCCCTCCTCTAGCTCTCAGCCATGCCTTCTATTCTGAGAGCAGAAGTCTGGGAGATACAGCTAGTGTCTGCTGAAGGCACTGGTACTGCCACTGTCCACCAATACTGAACATGAAGCAGCTACAACCAAAGTGAAGACCGCTAATGACAGCACGTAGCTGCCACGTCCTACCATCCATCTGTGGATAGCTTACATTTTTCTTTCACATGGTAATGGAGAGGAAACAACTTGTTCCTTTTTTGCATCTTCTTTCATTGCAAAACTCTTATTTTAAGCCTCAAATCTGTGGGGGCAGGACCATGGGAGGCTATGTACTAGTAATCACCTTCCCTCTGAAACCACTCTCCAAGGATTTATTCCCAAGCATCAGTTATTTTTATTTATTTATTTTTGAGATGGAATCTAGCTCTGTCGTCCAGGCTGGAGTGCAGTGGCACAATTTCAGCTCACTGCAACAGCCACCTCCTGGGTTCAGGTGATTCTCATCCCTCAGCCTCCCTAGTAGCTAGGATTACAGGTGTGCACCACCACACCTGGCTAGTTTTTGTATCTTTAGTAGAGACAGGGTTTCACCATATTGGCCAGGCTGGTTCCTGAGCTCAAGTGATCCCCCCCCGCCTTGGCCTCCCAAAATGCTGGGATTACAGGCGTGAGCCACTGGGTGCAACCAAGCATCGGTTATTTTTTTTTCCCCTAGTCTTATCAGATAGCCTATATCTGAGCTGCTGTACAGTACTCAGAATGTTTTTCACATTTAGGTAATTTCATTGATTTCAAATTCCTTGAAACTAATAAGTCAATACTGAGGATTTTTGTGCCTGGCATATAGTACACACTTAATAAATATTTATTGAATGGATAAACTGAGCCTACTGTATGTCCAGCACTCAGAGGACTCAGAGACAAGCAAGGGCCGGGTGTAGTGACTCACATCTGTGATTCCACCACTTTGGGAGGTCAAGATGGGAGGATTGCTTGAGCCTAGGAGTTCAAGAGCAGCCTGGGCAACATAGCAAGACCCCCATCCCCACAAAAATAAAAAATTAGCCAGGCATGGTAGCACACGTAGACCCAGCTGAGGCTGAGGCAGGAGGATCTTTTGAGCCCAGAAGGTCGAGACTGCAGTGAACCGTGATTGCACCACTGCACTCCAGCCTGTGTGACAGTGAGATCTTGTCTCAAAACAAACAAACAAACAACAGCAGCAAAAAACAATGAGCAAGGTTTAGTTTCCGCCTTCAAGGAGTTGATCGTCTAGAAGAAAAGTCAAGGGAATAAAAGAAATCATAATTCCATAGGGACCAGAATAAAATGTTCTGGAGGAAATTGAACCTGGATATGTACAATATTCAAATCTTAGCAGCCAGTTGGCCTCACTCCATTCTCCAACCATTTCACATCAGCACAAATTTACTGTCTCTTATTCTAGACTGAGATCTAGTTTTCTCAAACTGTTTCTAGGGCATACATAGCTCCTGTCACTTCAAGTCTTCCCTGTATGATCCATAGATAGAGCTAAGGCCCAAGCTGCCTTATATTTGAGGACCATGGTGAAGGAAGACCTCATGCTTGCATCTCATGGCATTCCTGATGTTAGTGGAGAGGAGAAAGGGGAGGGAGGGTCTATTGGTCAACTTGGGCTGCCATAATAAATGCCACAGACTGGCGCTTAAACAGACGACATTTATTTCTCACAGTTCTGGAGGCTGGAAGTTTAAGATCAAGTTGCCTGCAAGTTTGGGTTTCTCCTGAGACCTCTCTCCTTGGCTTTCAGACAGCTGCCTTCTCACTGTGTGAGGCCACCTCCTTTGCTCTGTGCCAGCACATGGCTGGTGTCTCTTCTTCTCATAAAGACACCAGTCCTTTTGGATTAGGACCCCACTGATTTAACCTTAATTACCTCTTTAGAGGCACTATTTCCTAGTAAAGTCACTTTGGGGATTAGGGGCTTTAACATGTGAATTTTGGGGAGATACAGTTCAGTCCGTAACAAGGTTTGCAACATTTAGCTTAGGGACTTGGAATTATGCTCAGAGGTATCTGGCTGTGTTTCAGACTTCCTAAATGATTCTCTTTCTGGGCCATTCACTGTTAAAAGAATAGATCCTCTCAAAATTGGTGCACCTGCTTCAGAACCTTCAGGTGACATCATGGGCAGATAACTACTTTCACAGCTGCAGACTTTTATTTATTTATTTGTTCTAGATTCTTTTTTATTATGGTGAAATACACACAACATGAAAATACCATTAGTGACATTTATTATATTTGTAATGTGTGCAACCATCACCACTGTCTGGTTCCAGAACATTTTCACCCCAAAAGGAAACCCTGTACCCATTAAGCAGTCACTTCCCCTTCTTCCTTCCTCCCAGCCCCTGACAGGCTCTGATCTACTTTGAAAGAAAAAATTTGTAGAGACAGGGTCTCACTATGTTACCCAGACCAGTCTTAAATTCCTGGGCTGAAGCGATCCACCTGCCTCAACTCCTACAAAGTGTTAGGATGACAGGTGTGAGCCACCAGGCCCAGCTCTGATCTACTTTCTGTCTCTATGGATTTGCCTGTTCTGGACATTTTATATAAATGAGCTCATACAATATGTGCCTTTTGCGTCTGGTTTCTTTCACTTGCCCAATGTTTTCAAAGTTCGTCTGTGTTGTAGCATGTATTCATACTTCATTTATTTTATGTCCAAATAATATTCCAATTGTATGAATATAACACATGTTGCATATCCATTCATTAGTTAGCAGATATTTTAGTTGTTTCCACTCTTTGGCTATTGTAAGTGTGCTGCTATGAACATTTATATAGAAGTTTTTGTATCTACATATGTTTTCATCTCTTTGGGGTTACCTAGGAGTGGACCTGCAGGGTCATATGGTTATTCTATGTCTGACTTTTTGAGGAACTGTCAAGCTGTTTTGCACAGTGGCTGAACCATTCTACATTCCCATCAATGACAGCATTCAAGGGATCTGATTTCCCCACAACCTTACCAACATTATTTCCCATTATCATTATCATTACTATTATTGTCAACCTAGTGAAAGTCAAGTGGTATCTTGTGCTTTTGATTTGCATTTCTCTAACGTCTAATGATGTTGAAGGTGTTTTCATGTGCTTGTTGGCCTTTTGTAGATCTTATTTGGAGAAATGTTTATTCAAGCCAGTTTTTTGGTTGGGTTGTCTTTTTGTTCTGGGTTGTAAGAGTTCTCTTATATTCTGGATATTAGACTCTTTTCGTATATATGATTTGCAAGTCTTCGCACATTTTGCTTTTGTTTATGCCATTCTTTTAGATAGGAAGGCATTAGTGAAATAAGCCCTCCGTGAAACTCCATATCTCCAAAATGGAAATATATCCATAGTAAACATCAAAATCAAAATTAAAGGGGGTTCAGTAAAACAATGGAGTAAGGAGGGGGGATGAGAGAGAACTATGTCAATAGTTTATAATGACAAATGAGAAGAAATATAATTGAAAATATGGAAATTACTTTTCTGGAAGTCAGTATGTCAATTACAATAAAAATAAGGAGGGTGAAAAATTAAAACTTTTAAAGCAAGAACAATTTTTTTTCATAAATTTATGAACATTTTTGAACATAAGTTTAGGTAAACAGAAGACAAAATTAAAATAAATGTAAATTAATATATTTGTTTGGGTTTTCACAAAAACACTCTAACTTAAAAGAACTTTTGGTAAACCAAATGCCAATTTTCAGTACTATTTCTATTTATGAGAGAAGAGGAGAAAAAAAAATGAATGAACCCAGTGAAAGCCATTCTCCCTAAACAGACTGCTGATGGATGTGCAGATGGTAAGAACCTTCTGCTCTTGCTGAAACTTGCAGAAAAACACTGTAGATCTTGCAGCTTTTAGAACTGCCAGCCAAATGAAATATTATTACCTCCATCTGATTTGTATCAACTCCAGTTAGTAAAGTTGTAAGTAATCATTTCTTTAGTTATATGACTTGCTATTTGTACTAGTGAAGATATGTCAGAAGTTTGCTTTTAAATCAATTGGATTTTATTCATATATATATTTATATATATATGCACAGGCACATACTGAAAGGCAAAATAACTTGAAAATATACTTTTTCAGTTAGTGACTATAGAATTCAACTTTTTTAAAAAGAGGGCTGCACTCTTTCATATGTTTTTCAATATATTTTGGCAGACTGCCTAACATTTCATTTTGATTATCATAAATTATGATTACTACTACCTATATGTTGTAATTACTAGTTATAGCTTCTCAGAAGAAACGAGTGAAATAGTTTTGGTTGTCTGTTAAGACCAATGAGGGAATTTCTTTTTATTTCCTATGGAAGGAACAAGCCTATTTTAATATCTCCCAGTGGCACCTCCCATGCAGAACCTCACTAAATACTTGGCAAGTTATTTTATAAAATTTCAGTTCAACATTCCAGATACACAAAGAAACGATAATACAAGAGAGACAAAGTGACATAAAGGACCTTTCAGCATTGAAGACAGTCAACCACTACGTAAAGTAACTATGAAAGGGCCTCTCCTTAACTTTTAAGGAAGAAAAGAAACACAGTAATTAAAAAAAAAAAAAAAGACGAATTTGCTCAGAGCGCCATACTTCTAAGTTCACCAATTATAGATTAAATTGTAGACTATTTGGCAAAAACATTGTGTTTTAAAGGTGGCACTATCCAGTCACCAAATCAATTCCAATATGAAATGTTAAACAATTTTTTTTCTTCATAAATAAACTCTGACAAATTGTGGATGTTTTGGTGAGTAGGATAAGTGGATCCTGGAAGGAGGTTATAGGCATAGGTACTGTCTGAAATAATACAATTCTAAATAGAACAATAAGTACAATTCTCTCGCATTAATTGTTTTTCCAAATGGCAAAATTGAAAGTATTCACCCTCTGAACACTACCCAAATCAACTCGTGCTGCCATAGGAGCATCTCATGATCTGTACAGGACTCCCAGTTAATCAATCCTGGGCTTTCTGTAGTGGCGGCTGTGGTGATCAGCAGTGCGGTGAGTGGGGTTTGGAGTCAGGAAGAATTGGGTGCAGTCCAGGCAAACCGACGCTCTCTATCTTTAGGGATTGAGCAAGTATCCTCACCAGTAAAATGAGGATAGTAATACTGTCTTATTTATAGGGCTGATGTGAGGATTAAATGAAACCATGCACATGAAATTCTTAGCGTGGTGCCTAGCCCATAGTAAGCTCTCAATAAATGTTGGCTAATGGTGTCTTCTAAGAAAATGACTCATTCTGAAAAACTCAATCTTCCCTTGGCTTCTTCTGGTCTCTTTTTAAGTGTTACTCCTTTGATGATTTTTCTGACCTCCTTCCCCACCCTAACCTAGATTATGTGCTTAAATTGATGCTGTTCTCATTGTGGGTAAGAGCTTTGATCATACTTGCATTCTCTTTGCTTATTCAGTTCTTTGTCTTTTTGTCTGATTTCTGTATTTTACCCTGGAGACTTTAGGCCCTATTTGAAGGAAATGGCCATGCTGTCTGGCTTCTTGATGAGTCCCAGTACCCAGCACAGAGCACAGTACACTGTAAGTGCATGGCGTGTATTTCTTGAATGAATGATTTCTTGACATTGAAATTTTTTTTAGCTTACTAGCTTAAGACATTTGGTGAATAGTGCATTTAAAGTATATAATTTTGTGTAGCTTAAAACGATACACAACCAAAAAACTGCAAGAAAACAAAGTGCAATGCTTGGAGAGAGGTTTAGTGAAAAGAATAAGGTGTGTGTTGGGGAGCAGGGACATAGGGTAGGGTTTTTTTTCTTGGATTTGACATTGTTGGGGCAAGTGGAAGAATAATCAACAATGTCTGAATCTTCACATTAACCAGGCATACACAAGCATCCAATGGCTGCTTGAACCTGAGTGTCTTTGCTGTGAATAAAACTGCCTGTGTTCTGAAGTCATGGACTTGAAAGGGACCTTAGTGATCGTCACATCCTATGCTCCACTTTATAGATGAAGAAACTGAGACCAGAAAAACGCAGTGATTCCCTGCTAGTAGGGCTGGGTCTAGAATTCAGGTCTGCTGACTCCCAGACGGTGTGGGAAGGGGCATTCGTTCCTTTAAAAATAAGCACTGCTGCTTTAATAACATCAGCACCTGTTGTTCCAGCTTCTGCAAGAGAGAAGCTATTAATTTCTCCTTCATCAAAGCTGAATTTCTGGTCTGTCTGAACCTTGTTTTCTTCCTGACTGCAGCTGTCTAAACCACTAAGGCCACATGTTGGACGGAGGCACTTTCCTGCTGGAATCCGATAAATCACCACACCCAAATATAGAAAGAAAAAGGGACACAGATCATCCACACCGTGGCCGAATGTGTGACATCTTTGCTGAACTCTCTCCGTTCCACCTTGTGGTGGAGGCCTCCAGTCCACCAAACACAGCCCTAGGCGTGTGAACCCTGCCACAAACATCGGTGCTCTTCCTGCACAGGGCCTGGGACCAACCGTGGCCAGGACATCAGCTGCTGGAAGCCGAGAGAGTTCATCTGAGTGGCGATTTTATGATCTGCAGAGTGGAAAGTAATCATAATCCCTTGAGAAGTTTGCAGAATCGAACCGAATGTTGAATGCCAAAGATCTTCACAAAGCAAGTTGAGTTTCTTCCGTTATTATTGTTATTTGTGTTAGCGAGGCCTGGATTGCTTAGGTTGGGTTTCCTCCCGCGCCTATTCCAGCAGGCAGACCCCGCCCTTGGCCACACCTTTCTCCTTGCCCGGGGTAGGAAAGTGAGGGGCTGCCCGGCGCCCGCGGGCGTCCCTGAGGTCGGGGGTGGGGGGGAGCCGCGCAGCGCGCATGCGCGCCGGGGAGCCGCCGGCCTCTATAAGAGCGCGGCTCAGCGCGGCAGCGAGCGGAGTCGGAGCTGGTCTGGCGCCGGGCGGGGCGAGGCGAGGCTGTGGGCGGCTGCTGCGCTCGGCTTCTCCCGTAGCCCGGAGGAAAGAAACTTCCGTGGGAGGCTTCCATCGGTGCGCACACCTCCCGAGGGCGAGGCAGCGACCGGGAGAGGGAGAGCCGGCCGGAGGCTGCCGGGCTCCTGTGGGACCGCGCTGCAGCCGGGGAGGCGGAGAAGGGGAACCGGGGCGAGCCGCCCGCCTGGATCCGCGCCCAGCAGCAGCCGCGGCCGCCGCCAGCTGGGCAGGCTCCCGGGACTGCGGCTGGGGGCGCGCAGGACCCTCGCCTGCGTCCTGGACGTTCCCGGGGTCAGGAGCGCTCCCTCGGCGACGTGCTGGGAAGATTGGCCGTCGGCCCCGCCGAGTGGAGCGTCGGGGCTGCACCCCCGTGGGCTGCCCGGGCGGCCCGGCCGGAGCCATGCGGACCAAGTTCGGGGCAGAGGAGGCTGAGCGCGGCCGGCTGCGTCACTTGCTGCCCAGAGCCTTGCGTGCACTGCCCGCCTTCGCCCCTTCTACCCGCCCGAGGAGGGAATAAAGGAGGGGAGACGGGCCCTGATTCGCGCGCGGGACCCTGAGGCTTAAACCCTGCGCAGAGCCCTGGCTCCAGGTCCGCGGCGGCGCGCCCAGCGGTCATTCGGCTCGAGTGAGCATCCCTTCGGGGATGCTCAGGGAGGGTCCGGTTGCCAGTGAAACCTCCAGAGGCTTCCGGACGACAGCCCCGGGGGCCTTCTGACTGCATCCCGAGATTTCCATCAGCGAGTGCAACTCATAAGGCAGTCCCTAAGGGGACCGGGCCACCGGCTGAGGACGGGGATGGCTTAGGAGCTCCTGGACCTAGGGCCCGGCGTCGTCGCCTCCTGGGCGTCGCGGCAGAGGGGAGTGGCCCGCGCGGAAAGCGCCGCGGGACAGTCAGTGACGAGGCCCGGGGGTCGCCGGGGCCACGACTTCTCGGAGACCGTCCTGCGCTCTCTGGAGACGCGCTGTCCGCGCCCAGGGTGGTGCCATGTGGGGCGCTCGCCGCTCGTCCGTCTCCTCATCCTGGAACGCCGCTTCGCTCCTGCAGCTGCTGCTGGCTGCGCTGCTGGCGGCGGGGGCGAGGGCCAGCGGCGAGTACTGCCACGGCTGGCTGGACGCGCAGGGCGTCTGGCGCATCGGCTTCCAGTGTCCCGAGCGCTTCGACGGCGGCGACGCCACCATCTGCTGCGGCAGCTGCGCGTTGCGCTACTGCTGCTCCAGCGCCGAGGCGCGCCTGGACCAGGGCGGCTGCGACAATGACCGCCAGCAGGGCGCTGGCGAGCCTGGCCGGGCGGACAAAGACGGCCCCGACGGCTCGGCAGGTAGGGCGGCCTGCGCCCAGCGCGAAAGGGAGGACGGTTGGCGTTGCCTGGACGTCAGGGACCTGGGAGTTTGAAGGGGGGAAATTCAGGAAAGGGCCTAGGACCAGGAGGCGGAGTCTGCCTTCTGGCTTATTATTTGGTCGGTGTGGGTCCCTAATTCACCCTCACGGGCCTCAGTTTCTCCATCTGTCAGCCAAAGGGTGGCTTAGAGTTAATTTTCCGAACAAAATCACACTCCTAAGGCAGTGTGGGCCACAGACAGCCCCCATATTCCTTCTGACCAGGGTCCTCCGGGCCCCTCTGGCGTCTCCTGTCTCCATAGGGCTTCATGTCTTAGGGGTACCCAAGGAGACGGCGAGGGTGCGCCCCCACCCGTGAGGGCCTGGCAGCGGTGCTCCCCTGAAGGCTCCCCGAAAGGAAGGCAGCTCCTCAGGGCTTTCCCGGGGCTGCTGCCCCGTGCCAGACGCCGCGGATTCCCATCTTCTCCACGCGGCGGCCCCTCTCCCCTGCAGCGGCCCGCCTGTGGGGCTTCTGGACTGTTTTCCTTACCACGTCAGACTTAGTAGGTGTAACATCGGAGCAGTGCCCAGCCTTGCTCTTTGTGGCTTTGATTTTTTTTTTCTTTCAAATTGCCAAAGCCAGAGTTGGAAAGTAAACCCGTGAAAGAATTTGGTAGGTTGCACTTCACTCTTCAGAAACCTTCCGGAATGCCTCCCTGGGGTGTCTACACCAGTCACTCCGTGTGTGTGTGTGTGTGTGTGTGTGTGTGTGTGTGTGTTATTTATTTCGGGGGAGGGGAGGTGTAGAGGTAAAATGGCAAACGTGTCCCCGAGGGGGCGGCTCCTCCTCTTTGTGGGCCCGTTGTGTTTACCTGGGAGGCTTTTCGCTAGCATCCTGAGCCTGGGTTCGGGCTGCTTGAGCTTTGGCACAGCGTAGTTTGTGTTTATAGAGCTGCCTCCCAGGACCTCGTGAGAGACAGCTCTTTTCAGTGCCGTTCCCTTTCGCAGTCAAGCATTTTATTAGCATGCTACTCCTATTGTTCTGCTGTCTTGAATCTGAAGAGAGCGTAATTCCAGAACCAGCGCAGTCTTAAAACGCAAGCTCAGTCTCGCAGACTGTGTGGCCATGGAAGAAAGCCCAGAGAAGGGAGCCAGACCCCGAACTGCTACAGTGAGATGTCTGCTAGATTGGGCTCATTAATGGTCTCCAAAAAGTTGGGATGGCTTTGGATTAGTCGGGACTTCTCAGGACGAGACTTCTCATGACGCCCTGTGTTGTGCATGGATGCCTTCTTCATGCTACTTTTAAACGTTTTTTTCCTAAAAATTGTATTTCTTTCACTTTTCTTCTGCAGTGAAGGGCAACATGCCTAATTAAGCCTGCCGGGGGGCTTATAGTAGCGTTACATTCCTTATCCCTGTGTAGTTATTTACATTTCCAATTAAAAATCCTGGAAAGAGAACACTTATTTCTCCCCAAAACTCATTATGTGGACTGAGGCTGGTTTCAGCTAGTTTCTGCTATGATTGGGGTACATTTTTTTTCCTGCTTTACTACTATTAATTTATTTTTTGATAACATATTTAGGGCTGGTGTCTTAATTTAGAGAATGAAATATTTATAACACGCCAAGGAAAAAGCCTGCATCCACTTCTCCAGTGATCCGTAGTTAGCCTGAAGTGATAGTGTAATTAGGACAGTTCTACTGCTGGGCGCCAGCTGTGCTGCAGACACTGTAGCAAATGTTTCTACCTGCTAAAGGGGCGCTATATATAGAAATTGCTCTGTTCAGCATTGAAACTCCAGGAAATATTCCACAGTCAGCCTTTGGTTAAATACCTATAAAGTATTGTTTTACTTACAGGGCATTATTTCTCCATAATTCCACCTGGTATTATACTTTAAAAACACTGACTCCAGCAATACCAGAACAGTGAAAAGGAGCATAATTAGAAAGCCCGGCTGCTCTAATGGATGATGAAAGGGTATTCATAGAGCTGACCTCAAAGGCGTGGTCTCCTTCCTAAAATGCTGCCCCATCCGACTCTGGGCTGGCATTATGCTTTGCCAAGACCAGTAAGACCCAATCCACCCCTGTGCTTATGTATTTCCCAAAAATATAGCCAGGAGGTTGGGGCAAGAACACATCAGAAAATGCAGGCTCTTGGTAACATAGGGTAGAATTCCACAAAAGTGGCTCAGAGGCATTCTGCAGGCACCTCCCATCTGATTCTGTCCCTGTCAACCTGCGTCTATTTTCTAAAGCCTTGTAGTGCCCTCTCTATGGCTCCTAAAAGATTTTTTTAAGAAACTAATTTTATGTATTTATTTATTTATTTGAGATGGAATCTCAATCTGTTGCCCAGGCTGGAGTACAGTGGCACAATCTCGGCTTACTGCAACTTCTGCCTCCTGGGTTCAAGCGATTCTCCTGCCTCAGCCTCCAGAGTAGCTGGGATTATAGGTGCGCGTCACCACACTCAGCTAAATTTTGTGGTTTTAGTAGAGACAGGGTCTCACCATGTTGGCCAGGCTGGTCTTGAAGTCCTGAGCTCAGGTGATCCACCCACCTTGGCCTCCCAAAGTGCTTGGATTACAGGCGTGAGCCACCGTGCCCCGCCAGAAACTAATTTTAAAATGGAGTTTGCTAGTGGTTTTATCAAAAGGTTTTTATTTTTACTTTTTATGGTTTTCTATTTTAAAATCAGCTTCCCGGGTGAAGTGTGATGGCCGTTGCTTTATGCTCTGAGGGCTTTCCCTGTGTACTCTTGCCTTCTTGGCTTGCTGTGGGTGACTCTTCTTTCTGGAACACGTCTTGTTGCTCCTGATGTTTGCTCTTGGACATTGTTTCAGGATGGCCCAATGCCTGGAATAACTTCCCTCCACCTCCACACAGACCCCATCACCTGGACCCAATGCCACCCAAGGACCCTGGCTTTTGCTAAGGAAGAGTGAAGAGGGTCTTTTTTAAACCCCTCCTTGACCCTTCTGTGCCTTACCTCTTGTACATCTGCCTTTTGGAAATGGTAGTGACTTAGAGTCTGGCCTAAATTTTTGACTTAACTGCTTATGAAAAAAGAACTTGCTAAAAAATGGTAAAAAGAAATTTGCAAGGAACTTAAATAACTTTCTGGGGGAAAAAAGACTTTTAAATAAGTTGAAGTCATTATTACTATGAAGATCCTACAACAATATGGTCGGGCAGACTTAAGTTTGGACAGTTTGATTATGGTAGGAAGTTTAGAACCATAACTGTCTTAACCTGTTAAACCCATACTTTTGCTAAATCGGATATCTGGCTCAGTCAGTCTTGCAGTTGACAAGTTGAACTAAATATTAACAGTTTGCTTCTAGGGGCTGACCTGCCATGCCTGTAGGGTCTTAGGACCTTTCTAAGCACTTGATAAAGAATGGTGCATCTTATGGACTCCTAATATGTGAACAAATTAGCCCAGTGTAGGTCCTTCAGCTGTGGGTATCAGTGTTGCTCATTCATTCATTGCCATTGCCAGTTGGCGATTGGTACTGTGTTCCTAGAGTAGATCATAATGTTGTGTTTCTGTCCTTTGCTTCAGTGCCCATCTACGTGCCGTTCCTCATTGTTGGCTCCGTGTTTGTCGCCTTTATCATCTTGGGGTCCCTGGTGGCAGCCTGTTGCTGCAGATGTCTCCGGCCTAAGCAGGATCCCCAGCAGAGCCGAGCCCCAGGGGGTAACCGCTTGATGGAGACCATCCCCATGATCCCCAGTGCCAGCACCTCCCGGGGGTCGTCCTCACGCCAGTCCAGCACAGCTGCCAGTTCCAGCTCCAGCGCCAACTCAGGGGCCCGGGCGCCCCCAACAAGGTCACAGACCAACTGTTGCTTGCCGGAAGGGACCATGAACAACGTGTATGTCAACATGCCCACGAATTTCTCTGTGCTGAACTGTCAGCAGGCCACCCAGATTGTGCCACATCAAGGGCAGTATCTGCATCCCCCATACGTGGGGTACACGGTGCAGCACGACTCTGTGCCCATGACAGCTGTGCCACCTTTCATGGACGGCCTGCAGCCTGGCTACAGGCAGATTCAGTCCCCCTTCCCTCACACCAACAGTGAACAGAAGATGTACCCAGCGGTGACTGTATAACCGAGAGTCACTGGTGGGTTCCTTTACTGAAGGGAGACGAAGGCAGGGGTGGATTCTCGAGGTGGAAGTCCGCACATGTCGGTGGTATTTATGGCACGATTCCTTTGGATGGCTTCATTTGCCCCCAGACTGTATGAAAACATCTCCGAATTAGCATTTCTGGATATGTTTCATCCAGGGTATCATTGATTTATGATGGAAAACCGGCCTCAGCTGGAGATGACTGTGATGTTGCTGATGGGTGTATAACAAATGCTTGAGTCCGAAGTGCCCTTGAGATATGGTTGACGAAAGAATTTTATAAACTGATAAATTAAGGATTTTTATTATGTTGTTATTATTATTTCTTTTTTGTTGTTGACTGCACAGGATCAAAATGCCTGTTATCTCCCTTTTACCTGGGACTTTTTTTTTTTTTTTTTTTTTTTTTAATCAGACAGGGTCTTGCTCTGTTGCCC
This sequence comes from Homo sapiens, assembly GCF_000001405.40. Lineage (NCBI taxonomy): Eukaryota > Metazoa > Chordata > Mammalia > Primates > Hominidae > Homo > Homo sapiens. The sequence goes on along the minus strand of NC_000013.11, from coordinate 26,046,054 downwards.
AGGCTGGAGTGCAGTGGTGCGATCTCGGCTCACTGCAACTTCAGCCTCCTGGATTCAGGCAACACTCCTGCCTCAGCCTCCCACGTGGCTGGGATTACAGGTGCCTGCCCCCATGGCTAATTTTTTGTATTTTTTGTAGAGATGGGGTTTCACCATGTTGGCTGGGCTGGTCTCACTCTCCTGACCTCAAGCAATCTGCCTGTCTCAGCCTCCCAAAGTGCTGGGATTACAGGCGTGAGCCACCGCCCCCAGCCTGAGCCTTTTTTTTTTTCTAATGCATCCAAGGTTAAGGGGAAGACGCAAATAACAGGACTATTCTAAAAGGAAACCTGTTTGAACTCTGTGAGATCAGTCATCAGTCTCAGTATTCCACAGGCACACCTTAATTTCATTGTAAAAAGATATATATATTTTGTCTATTTTTGTGCTTTTGGGGGCCTATTTTGTGCTTTTTTACCTTATGTAGAGATCTTATTACAAAGTGATTTTCTACATTAAAAAGAGACTGAAATAAATTGTATAGTTACTTAACTAATGAAGACATTTCAGAACTCTGGGATGATTTTAATCTTGAAGTAGTAGGTGGTATAGTCATAAAACCATTCATCCCCTTCTTGATTGTATCTTAATTTTCTGGCTTTAAGGTGACATCTGAGAGGTAATGCATTCTTTTTTATATTGAAATCATAAACTATCACCCGCTGCTTCTCTGAGTTACTTTTAATTTTGCCTTGTGGTTATGGTTTGGCGTTTCCTTCTGTTTGGTTTTCAGAGCCCCATGTCTATATAGTCCTGAGTGCAAGTAATTACTATACTTGTAAATGAAGATCAGTATTTCTGCCTAGATCTGATAAAAAAATTTTCTTGTCTTAGTTATAAAAATTCAAAGAAATGTGTTACAAAGATACTTAGTATAGCTCCTCAGCCATAACCTGAGACTTGGGATGAAATTTAAACCAGATACGATTTACTTTGCAGATCATAAGGCTTTTTATACTCTTGTTATCAAAATGGCTTATTTTTCAGGCACTAAGGATTGTTAAGAGAAAAGCTTTTCAACGAAGGATTGCCTTTCTTCTCCCACACTGTTCTTGATTTCCTCTCTCTTTCAGGCCTCAACAGGCACTGTATTCATTGCCAATGTTCCAAATTATCAAATTCAAGTGAATTTATTTGTGTGTTCTTTACTTATATAAAAAAAGATAACTTTAAGGATGTGCAAGTACATTTCCAACTGCTAGCACAACCAGTATTTTGTAATTAAACAAATCGCTGTATGGTATGGTCTTCTACACATTTATGTCTATAGATATCTATCGATCATCTTTCTATTCTGTTTCATGACTGAATAATGTAAAACCAGTGTTGGCAATTGGTATCATCAATGATACTCATTTTTTAATAACCAAAGGCAGGGGAAAATCATTTTACTTATTAATAAATATTTTATGATGTGAATTCCTAGCGGAGTTGGGTTTCTTTTTTCATTTTCATTGTACTTGGTAATTTTTCAGATGGTCTAGTCAACCCTGTTAATAGAATAAAATTTCTAAAAATTATGAATGTTGCTTTCTAGAACCAAGAGCCTATTTTTCAAAGTAATATCTGGGAAACTTACGTGAATGTTCTGAGTCAGTGAGTATTATTTTACAGGTTGACATGTTGACAACACAAAAGAAACAGTTCTTTTGGAATCATTATATTATGAGGCTAATGGGTGTTCCCTGTATTGTCTTTGATGGTGGATTCCTGCTTACCTCTGGAAGTGGAATTCCTAGAACTTTGGAATTTAAAGGGATCTCAGATGTCACCCAGCCTAAAGATTGGCAAGCTTTTTTTTTCAGTAAAAATCCAGAGTCTGGCTGGGCTCAGTGGCTCACCCCTGTGATGGCAGCAATTTGGGAGGCCAAGGCGGGAAGATCGCTGGAGACCAGGAGTTCCAGTCAAGCCTGGGCAACATAGCGAGACCCCATCTCTACAAAAAAAGAAAAAATAAATAAAAATTAGCTGGGCGTGGTGGCGTACTTGGTAGTATCAGTGATTTGGGAGGTTGAGGCATGAGGTTCACTTGCAAGCTCAGGAGTTGGAGGCAGCAGTGAGCTATGATTTCACTACTACATTCCAGCCTGGGTGACAGAGTGAAAACCTGTCTCCAAAAAAATAAGAAAAAAAGATCCTGAGAGTAAATATTTTAGGTTTTGCCAGCCATATGGTATCTAGCAGCCATTCACCTCTGCAGTAGCAGCACAAAAGCAGCCATACATAGATACACATAAACAAATGAGCAAGTCTGTATGCTCATAAGACCTTTTTTTTTTTTTTTTTTTTTTTTTTGAGATGGAGTCTCACTCTGTCGTCCAGGCTGGAGTGCAGTGGTGCGATCTCGGCTCACTGCAAGCTCCGCCTCCCGGGTTCACGCCATTCTCCTCATTCTCCTGCCTCACTCAGCCTCCTGAGTAGCTGGGACCACAGGCACCCGCCACCACGCCCGGCTAATTTTTTGTATTTTTAGTAGAGACGGGGTTTCACCGCGTTAGCTAGGATGGTCTCCATCTCCTGACCTCGTGAATCGCCCCCTCCGCCTCCCAAAGTGCTGGGATTATAGGCATGAGCCACCACGCCTGGCCAAAACCTTCTTTATATGCACTGAAATTCAAATTTCGCATGATTTTGACATGTCACAAAATAATCTTCAGTTTTTTTCCCGAAAACATTTCAAAATGTAATTGTAAGCTCCAGTGCTGTACAAAAGCAGGCAGTGAGCAGGATTTCCCTGGCAGGCTATAGTTTGTCAGTCCCTCATCTAATCCTCCTTTCCCCTATGCAGGAGTCACCTCTGTGGACATTTTTGGCACTCTTTTTTAAACAGGGATGGAAAATGCTTGCTTTTCTTAGCATGAGATTGTATAGTTCTTCTATGTGGTAATTAAATACCATGATTAAAGCAAAAAAAATACACCTTAATGAATGAATTTTTCATTTAGTGACTGCTACTTGGTTTTCCAAAAGTATAACATTATTAGAAGCAACCTCAGATCTTTTCAGTTTTGGTAAGAGCTGGAAAAATTTAGCTGACAAAGCAAAAATGTTCAACTACCTGTTTTAAGGACACCTTCCTTATCATGAAATATAAATCAGAACCTATAAAGGGTAATTTGCACCTTGTAGAAATATTCCAAATTCTGTCATTTGCAGATAGAAAAATAGTTTGCTGCTGTACATTTTCTGCTGTATCTAAACCTCTAGTGTCGGTTTATGATAGTTCTAGGGGATTCCATTTCCTGCTTATAGGACAGAGAAGCAGACTCTGACTGCAAAGAAGAAAAAATTAGCTCATTGTGTCTATGAAGAGCGTGAAAACTACGCATCTGTCATTTCTGCTGCCACTGGAGAAGTTAAGATTTAGCAATAAGATCAACATCCAAAGTGGCAAAAATACCATTAAGAAAAGTGTGTTTTGGTTTCGCGTATTTCCTCTGCAACACGCACTTTCATGTAGCCTTCCATTTCTGATTACATTCTCATAAGCTTGACTAATGAAATATTTCATCTATTAAATTGACCTTGAGCTCATTCTTTTAAGATTGCAGTTTTATTTCAAGAGCTCTGTAACCCATATTTTCTCCTTGTTTTGTTATAAATGCTGATTTTTGTTTTGTTTTGTTTTGTTTGAGACAGGGTCTCATTGTGTCACCCAGGCTAGAGTGCAGTGGTACCATCATAGCTCACCACAGTCTTGAACTCCTGGGCTCTAGGGATCCTCCTGCCTTGGCCTCCCAAAATGACAAATGAGGATTTAAGTTCCTTTCAGAAGCCTTGCCTGAAGAAACCATGAAGGTTAGAACAAAGTTGGTGATGACAGTCAGGGCAAATGTTCAGAAATGGACTGAATCCCAGAGAGAAAGTTTGAATGGTGCTAAAAGTTGAGATAGTGAAGAGTTTAGAATAACACATTCTCTTCCGTTTGGCCCTTACCTTGTAGTAGCGGTCAAGACTAGTCCTTTTTTCTCTCAGGGGCTTTGTCTCTGTTTCCTGCAAACTCACAGTGGTCTTTTGCTAAAAGTGCAAGTTCCCTACCATACATATTCTCAATGATTTTTTCAAGTGGGTCAGCAGTTGAAATTAATAAACAGCAAGCTTGCTTTTAGTTGCTTGAGCTTCCTAAATGCTTAAAGGGAGTAAGTTTGTTTCTTTTTAGTGTATTTCAGAATGGAGACTTCTCATTCACTTAGCCTGGCCTTCCTCCAGTCAATCAGAATGGTCTCATGAAAATACGCAGTGTGCACTTCACCCATGTCTGGGGCTGACTTCCACTCATAGAAGTTGGGGGGAGCCCGTGGGAATCTGGGGAGAGAGGTGATGCTGGGCAGACAGAGAGACCAGACTGACCCTGTCAGTCGTCAGGATAGAAAATAAGCATCCCAGGCACTTGCCAGCCCTACTGGACTGAGTTACTGCTAAGTAAATAATGCATCAGCAGTAATGGCTCAATGAACTTTCTAGGATTTTAAAAAATGTGGTCACTTCCCATTTTGCTTATTTCTCTTGCCTCTTAAGAGAACAACCAAACCCTCTGAGGAAGCTGCATGATCTTACAGTGGCACTGCTCTCAAACAGAGCAATCTCAAGGCATGGGATGGGGAGTACCGAGGCTTTAAACTCACCAGAAAGTATGTCGACTCCCTGCGGCCTGCCAGAGAAGGGACAGGAAAGACCTGGGTCTGGGTCTGGGCCTGGCCACTAAGGAAGCCACACCTTTTGTGCTTAAGTTTTGTGCATCTTTTATGTTTAAAAGGGGGCAGCTGAAATATTGCAATGAGGAATGAAGCATGCATACAAAAGAGAACACCCTTCCTCATCACTCAACCTTAATCCTCCTTCTATTCTACTTGCTTAGATGGTAAAGCTTTGAGGACATGTTTCTCTCTCTCTCTCTCTCTCTCTCTCTGTCTGTCTGTCTGTCTCAGAGCTGGAGATCAGCTATTTTCATTCAGCCCATTCATTCAAAAATACCTATATCAAATATTTCTTTGCCTTCCGAAATGTTTTCCTAATTGAAAACACTAATGTTATTGTGATTCAAGTGCCTATCAGAGATTAAGGGAGAGATGACAAAGAATTAGAAATTACTAACTCTGGCCGAGCGTGGTGGCTCACGCCTGTAATCCCAGCACTTTGGGAGACCGAGGTGGGTGGATCACCTGAGGTCAGGAGTTCAAGACCAGCCTGGCCAACATGGTGAAACCACAACTCTACTAAAAATACAAAAATTAGCTGGGCATGGTGGCGGGCGCCTGTAATCCCAGCTACTCGGGAGGCTGAGGCAAGAGAATCGCTTGGACCCAGGTGGTGGAGGTTGCAGTGAGCCAAGATTGTGCCAGTGCACTCCAGCCTGGGCAACAGAGCGAGACTCTGTCTCAAAAAAAAAAAAAAGAAAAGAAAAAAAAAGAAAAAGGAAATTACTAACCCTTCTCCTTGAAAATCACTGTAGTGTACTAGATAGATATGTTTTTTAGGGCACTAATTTGCATTTTCTCTCCTTTGCTCTCTTTTTTTTTTTTTCCTGTATAGAATCATTTATCAGTGAAAAATGGAAAAATAAAACCCTAGGAAAACACTCAATTACTCTTGTCAAAGATGTTAGGTATTTTTGGATATCAACTATAACCCCGCGTCACCATGACAGAATAACTTGGAGATAAAATTACAGCTTTGAATGGAGATTTGGCTGTGAGGGTCATTTTGCCGTTCCCAGTTAAATCTTCATAATATCTTCACCATTTATACTGAGAATTGAAGGTCCTAGATGCAAATCAAAAACAAGAAGTTTAAAATTAATGCTTTTTAAAACTTCTAAATTAGAAATAATGAAAGAGTAAAAAAAAAGTTGATAATGGTAGCCTTAAGACGAATTTTAAGCATGACAACTTGCATCTTAATTTTAACCATCTTGAAATGTAGGTCTTTCCATTTAGAAAAATCATAGGTTACACAATACATTATTTACTCAGCAGACTTCACAGCTGGAGAAGACTGATTGCCATCCGTAACATGTATATAAAATTGCCACATGTCTGTATACACATGTGTACAGAAGGATCATAGGAAAATTTGAAACAGAAAGAACTTATTATATGAGGCTATCTTATCCAAGACTCTGTTCTCAATTCTTGGCTGATTTTTAAAAGAGGAGTTTACAGTGCTCAGCTCTGCTTGTCTCAGCTGTAGTTGATTCTATCAAACCTCCTCTGGAATGGGATGGACCTGAGTTAGAACCTAGTTCTACCAATTGTGTTGTGGCCTTTGGTGTGCACTTTATGTCTCTGAACCTTGGAGCGTTCTCTTTAAAAGGGGATTGGTGTGGGGACAGAAGCATATAATATTGCACCATGCTAGTGGTATCCAATAGATTTTTGTAATAAGCATATAATTTAACTTCTTTCCAGACATTTTAAATCTTTCCAATATAGAAAAATATATACATTTATATTCACAAAATATGTCAAATAGATATAGATCCTTAGAACCAGTTTAAGATATTTTTCTTATTTTGGTTCCAGTAACAAATCAGTAGTATTTTACCAAGGAAGGCCTAAATTTATTGTATTTTTAGATTGACTAAGCAACTTGTACAGAGTTGACTTTCTCTGTCCCTTGAGTCAATACTACGCTTTGGAATGCCCTAAGTGGTCTTGTCTTACTTCTCTGCACTGTTGCTTTGTAGTCACAGGACATCTCATTCTTCTATCTCTGCTGGGCTTGGCTCCTCCCCGTGAGCCTTTCTAGCCTGCCTCTTGGCATCTCTCCGAAGCGATCAAGGTTCAGTCAGGAATATAGACCGAATCATTTTATTTTACAATTATTTATTATCTATTTATTTATTTTGAGATAGGGTCTCGCTCTCCCCCAGGCGGGAGTGTAGTGGTGCGATCATGGCTCACTGCAGCTTGGACCTCCCAGGCTCAAGCAATCCTCCTGCCTCAGTCTCCTAAGTAGCTACAGGGTCACCACCACACCTGGCTAATTATTTTATTTTTTGTAGAGACAGAGTCTTTCAACATTGGCTAGGCTGCTCTTGAACTCCTGGGCTCAAGCAATCAGCTGGCTGTGGCCTCTCAGAGTGCTGGGATTATAGGCATGAACCACTGAGCCGGGTCTATTTTATTTTATTTTTCTTCTTATTATTTTTTTTGAGGCTGAGTCTCGCTCTGGCACCCAGGATAGAGTGCAATGGCACAATCTCGGTTCACTGCAAACTCGGCCTCCAGAGTAGATGGGATTACAGGCACTCACCTCCACACCCAGCTAATTTTTGTATTTTTAGTAGAGACGGGGTTTCGCCATGTTGGCCAGGCTGGTCTTGAACTCCTGACCTCAGGTGATCTACCCATGTTGACCTATTTTAATTTTCTACTGAATTCTTTATAACCTACACACAGTGAAGTATACAAATCTTAAATGTATAGCTCAGTAAGCCATCACCCAGATCAGGAGACAGAAAAAATCCGGTTAATAGCCCCCTTCAAAGACAAATGCTCCTCTGATCCCCATCTCCATGGATGAGCTCCGCCTGGCTTTGAACATCATATAAATGGAATCACACCGTAAGTACTCTTTAGTGTCTGGCTTGTTGTTGTTCCTTTCCATTGCTGTCTAGTATTCCATTCTGTGACTGTACCATAATTTTTACATCCACTCTACTATTGATTAACATTTAGGTTCTTTTCAGTTTTGTGCTATCTTAGGAAGAATGCTGGCAGGAACAGTTAAAAACATTTAAACATCAGCCTGGGCGCAGTGGCTTACACCTGTAATCCCAGCATTTTGGGAGACCAAGGTGGATGGATCACCTGAGGTCAGAAGTTCAAGACCAGCCTAGCCAACATGGTGAAACCCCGTCTCTACTGAAAATACAAAAATTAGCTGGGCGTGGTGGCATGCACCTATAATCCCAGCAACTTGGGAGGCTGAGACAGGAGAATTGCTTGAACCTGGGAGGCAGAGGTTGCAGTGAGCCAAGATCACACCACTGCATTCCAGCCTGGGCAAAAAGAGTGAAATTCCATCTCAAATAATAATAATATTAATAATAAAATAAAATAAAATCATAACATCAGCACTCAGTTCTCTCCGTGGATTCCCAGGGGTGGAGTTGGCTGTGTCACAGGATGTATGTGTATTTGCTTGTGTAGATACGGCCACAGTCATACCAATCATTTTAACAGAGAAAATTTGTATGAGGAATTGGTTAAACAGATGTTGGAGAACTGAAATAGAAAGCGGCAATGCTGAGATGAATAGAAATAGTGAATGGCAGAAGCTGTTAACACTCCTAGGGCTGAGGCACAAAGGAAGAAATTGAGGGCATTGGAATCTAAAAGCTTGAAGTAGAGGCTCTGCCATGCCAGAGGGCAGCTGGTCCTGGTGCCCCACGGGGACACAGTGAGGCTGGTTCTGACAGTGCAGAGAAAACTCTGGAGACTGGTACCAGCTGCTGCCAGGGTGAATGAAGGCTGAGACTACAGAAGACACTAGCAGGACAGAGGGAAAGCCAGCCCCTCTCTCTCCTTCAGGCTTGCAGTCTACCTCTACTGCCCCCTATTGGCAGAGCCTAACACACCAGCTTTGCAGAGTCCAGGCTCCTGCATGGCAGAGCCTTGTATGTAGGGAAGGATCAGGTTGGAAGTCAGTAACTGGCACACCTCAAGGAGAGACTATGCCTTGCGACATGAGTAGTTCTTATGACATTCCTCATCTTTCTGATGTGAGTATTGCAATTGTATTAGTCTACTTATTATAAGCATTTATAAAGTCAGCGATACTTAAAATATTCATACATCTCATTTTAATGCAAAAATAAAAATTGGATACTCCATTAAAACTGAGTTTAATAGCATTCCCTGGGCAGTTGTATTGCTGAGAATTTTGCAGGCATCTTTTTCAGGGCCTGTTTGTAGATGGACATTGTTTTTTGTTTTCTGAGACAGGATCTCAACTTTGTTGCCTGGGCTTGAATGCAGTGGAATGAGCATGGCTCACTGCAGCTTTGAACTCCTGGGCTCAAGCGATCCTCCCACCTAAACCTCCTGAGTAGCTGGGACTGCAGGCTACTCAGTGGACTGCCACCACACCTAGCTAATTAATTTTTTTTTTTTTTTTTTTAGAGACGGAGCTTCCCTGTACTGCTCAGGCTGGTCTCAAATTCCTGGACTCAAGTAATCCTTTGGCCTCAGCCTCCCAAAGTGCTGGGATTACAGGTGTGAGCCACTGTGCCTAGCCTAGAAGTCACTCTGTTGAGCTGAAGCACAGGTGCTGGAGGACATGAGAGTTAGATTTAGGTCCCTATTTCACCTCTGACAAGTGTGTGACAACCAGGAGACCTCTCTGAGCTTTGGCTGGTTGAAATGGAATTCACAGTCACAGGGAAGTGACTACTCACAGGGAAGTTGTATGGATTAAGTGAGACAATACAACAGTGCCTACCACCACAGCTTTCTCCTAATATGGTATTGCTTTTGTAGGCAAGAGTCTGGTTTTAGGTAAGTGGTGAGGTTTCCTTGGTTAAATTTTAAACCATCTTTAAAACCTCACCTAGCCACATTCTAATTCGATCCTTTTTTTTTTTTTTTTTAGATGGAGCGTCGCTTTTGTTGCCTAGGCTGGCGTTCAATGGCATGATCTTGGCTAACTGCAACCTCTGCCTCCTGGTCCAAATGATTCTCCTGCCTCAGCCTCCCAAGTAGCTGGGATTACAAGCATGCACCACCACATCTGGCTAATTTTGTATTTTTACTAGAGACAGAATTTTGCCATGTTGGCCAGGCTGGTCTCGAACTCCTCACCTCAAGCGATCCACCCACCTCGGCCTCCCAAAGTGCTGGGATTACAGGCGTGAGCCATCACACCCGGCCTGGGTCCTTTTATAGTTCCTCTGTTTTCATGTTATCCCACAATCCTTAGAAATCAGGCGACAGGAACAAAAAGCAGTAGCAATGGGTAGAAGATTGTCCTGCTGTCCGCTCCTCTCACATACACTTCGTATAGTTAGTTCCTCTTTATTCCTCATTTCCGTAGCACTTGCTGTATTCTGATTTCATTCTGCCTGGCACCGCATCTAAATGTGTACATGTCCCCTTAGATGGTGAGTTCCTGAAGGTAGAAACCAAGATTTCTTCATCTATAGAGGGCTCCTCAGCACCTAGTACAATGCCTGCACACAGTAAAATAGTCCTTGCTAGTACAATGCCTGCACACAGTAAAATAGTCCTTGCTAGTACAATGCCTGCACACAGTAAGAGAGTCCTTGACTTACGATGGCTTGACTTATTTTTCAACTTTGCAGTGGTGTCAAAGCGATACATACTTAGTGGAAACTGCACTTCAAGAACCCATACGACCATTCTGTTTTTCATTTTCATATAGTAATCAATAAATTACATGAGATTTTGACACTTTATTATAAAATAGGTTCTGTGCTAAATGGTTTTTCCAAATTTCAGGCTAATGTAAATGCTCTGAGCACATTTAAGGTGTTCCATAGTTTAGGAGTATTAAATGCATTTTCAATTTCTAACATTTTCAACTTGCTGTGGGTTTATCAGGATGTAGCCACATTGTAACTTGAAAAGCATCCGCACATTTTAAATTAGTATTTGTAGAGGTAAAAAAAATGTGTACATAAAGATTTTAAGTATTTCAAAAGGAAGTTAAGAGATAGCCTTAGGCTGAGACAATACCATATTTATTTAAACTAAGCATTATATGGACTATATAACTAGGTGTTATATGGACTAGCTACGGGCTTTTCTTTGATTACAAAAATTTTTAAGTAGCCAGTGAGTTCACAATGCCTGAGATAGAATAGGAATATTAGTCCCTTTTCCTTTGTTCCAGGACCTTTTGTTTGTGCAGATGATACTTGCTGCTTCTTTCTAGATTTTAGTTGCTGTTTAGCAACAAACATTTGGTCTAACAGAACCAAGTGAGGATGGCAAAGGTTTAAAATCACCAGAGCTATCCTAAAACAATTTCTTTCACTAGTAAATTGTAAAGCTAAGCATGACCCAGAGTGGATTTTTTCTAGCTTTTATTCTTAATGAATTTTCATTTTTTGACCAGGGTAATATTTCTATATTAGTTTTAGTTTTAAGAAACTTTGTATCTAATGAAAGGCGCATTGGAACAGAAAGACTTCTTTTTGTCTAAGGATCAGTATTCATCCAACAACCATTTATTGAAATATAAAAGAGGTTGGGTGCAGTGGCTCACGCCTGTAATCCCAACACTTTGGGGGGGCCAAGGTGGATGGATCACCTGAGGTCAGGAGTTCGAGACCAGCCTGACCAATGTGGTGAAACCCCGTCTCTACTGAAAATACAAAAATTAGCTGGGCCTGGTGGTGTGCACCTGTAATCCCAGCTGCAGGTGCTGAGCTGAGCTGCAAGTGGGAGGCTGAGACAGGAGAATTGCTTGAACCTGGGAGGCAGAGGTTGCAGTGAGCCGAGATCACTCCACCACACTCCAGCCTGGGCAAAAAGAGCGAAATTCTATCTCAAAAAAAAAAAAAAAAGAAAAAGAAAAAGAAAAAAGAAAGAAACATTAAAGAGCCTGATTTGATTCAGTGACATTTTCGCAATGTGGTTGTTAAGAAGAACTGTGCTTGACAGATGGCCTTTGAGCCCATATGCATCTCTATGATTAACAGAAAATGAATTGGCTATGTTGGTATGACCACAGTTCACCTTGCAGTACATGGCATATAGTGTTCAATGCCGGCCTGTGGCCTTGATTTGCCAGAGAGAGGAATTCAGAGTGAGAGGCTCTAGTTGGACATCACCCACAGGCTGCTCAGTTCCTGAAGTACGCACATATTTCTGTTTGGCGGGCCTGCTGCAGGCACTGCCAGATCAGTAGCACAGAATGTCTTTCATGAATTTAATGGGAATGCAGGTCAGGTCTATGTTTTATTACATCTTACATCTTATTGATTGGGAAACAGCTGTAAAAGCTTGTCTTAATATTTACTGTAGCCATCATTGATAATGCATCAGTGGAACATTTTATGGTTTAACTTTACAAGATCTTTTCACATGAATGAACTCATCCTAGAGGCAATCTTCTCCTTTACCCTATTAGTCTCTCTGAATCCCCAGAGTTATCCTGTCTCCATACTGTCTTGGTACCTTGAATGCACTTCACTTATCACATCTTGGTACAACAGAAATGACCACAGATTCTTTCAAACTCCTTCCATGGAGAAGTGGGAGTGCAAGCCCCTCCCCTTGAACCTGGGTGCGTACTGTGGCTCTGTACAAAAAGAATTTCACGAAGGGATGCTAAGCCTGTCTCCTGGTCCAGGCCTTGGAGCCTGGCAGCTTCTATTTCCTGGCTCCTGGGACATTCAGTCTTGGAGCCCTGAGCTGCTGCATAAGAAGTCTGACTATTCTGAGGCTATCATAGTGGAGAAACCACATGGGGAGGCCACAGGGAGAGGCCCTAAGATGTCAGAAAGAGATGGAGATGCCCAGACAGCCTACTTTGGTCTGTTCCAGCTACTATAACAGAGTTCTACAGACTGGGGACCTTAAATAGCAAGCATTTCTTTCTCACAGTTTTAAAGGCTGGAAGTCTGAGATCAGAGTGCCAGCGTGGTTGGGGTTTGTGAGAACCCTCTTCCTGGTTTGTAGATGGCTGGCTTGTAGATGGCTGGTTTGTAGATGGCTGGCTACTCTCTTCTTCTCAGGGCACTAATCCCATCACAAGGGCGTCACCCTAATCACCTCCCAAAGGCCCCACCTCCTAATATCATCTTGAGGGTTAGGGTTTTAACATATGAATCCGGGTGGAGGGACAGAACATTCAGCTCACAGCACAGCCCCAGCCATTTCAATCATCCCAATTGAGCTCCCAAACCTCATGGATCAGAGATAGGTCATTCCTGCTGGGCACTCTCCAAATTGCAGATTAGAAAAAAAAAAGTTTGATTTTGTAAAAATTGTGGTAACGTGTGCATAACAAAATTTTAACCATTTTGAAGCGGACAGACAGTTCAGTCCACTGAAGAACCTTCACAGCGCTGGGCAGCCACCGCCACCACCACCTCCAGCACTCTTTCAGCTTCCCAAACTGAAACTGTACCGGTTACACACGAACTTCCAATTCTCCCTCCCCCAAGCCCCATTCTACTTTCTATCTCTATGAATTTGACTACTCTAGGCATCTCGTATAGGTGGAAACGTATAATATTTCTCTTTTTGTGTCTTGTTTATTTCACGTAGCATAATGTCTTCAAGGTTCATCCAAGGTTTATTCATACACTTGTTGTGGCAAGTGTGAGAATTTCATTCCTTTGAGAGGCTAATATTCCATTGTCTCTATAGACCACACTTTGTTTTCCCATTCATGTATCGATGTGCATTTGGGTTGTTTTCATCTGGCCATTGTGAAGACTGCTGCTGTGTGTGGGTGTACTAATATCTCTTTAAGATCCTGGTTTTAATTCTTTTGGGTATATACCCAGAAGTGTGACTGCTGGATCACGTGATAATTTTATGTTTAATTTTGTTGGTTGGTTTTTTTTTTTTTTTTTTGAGATGGGGGTCTCACCCTGTTGCCCAGCCTGGTCTTGAACTCCCAGACTAGAGCGACCTTCCTGCCTCAGCCTCCTGAGTAGCTAGGACTACAGGTGCCTGCCATTATACCCAGCTATTCAATTTTTAAAAGAACCTGTTGTTATTTTAAGCCACTAAGTGCTGAGGTGGTTTGTTGCCTAACAATAGATAACTTTTTGGCTGTACCCTGTATATTTACATGTCTGTCTCCCCTCCTGGGCTGAGGTCTTTGGGTGCCTTATTTCTCTGTATCATTAGCATAGAGCAGAGTGCCTGGAATAGTTATGAAATGGCATAGTCATGAGAGGAGTGAATGGAGAGTCTCACTGAGAGTTGGAGCCAGCTGGACTTCCTGGGTCAAGTGAGGACTTGGAGAACTTTTCTGTCTTACAAGAGGATTGTAAAAATGCACCAATCAACGCTCTGTAGCTAGCAAGAGGATTATAAAATGCACCAATCAGCAGGATCCTAAAAGTAGCCAATTGCAAGGAAAATTGAAAAAAGGGCACTCTGATAGGGAAGAAATGGAACATGAAAGGGGCCAATAAGGGAATAAAAGCAGGCTGCCCCAGCCAGCAGCAGCAACCCGCTCAGGTCCCCTTCTACGCTGTGGAAGCTTTGTTCTTTTGCACTTCACAATAAACCTTGCTACTGCTCACTCTTTGGGTCCGTGCCATCTTTAAGGGCTGTAACACTCACCGCGAAGGTCCGCAGCTTCATTCTTGAAGTCAGCGAGATCACAAACCCGCTGGAACAAACAAACTCCGGACAAGTCACAATCAGGGATGTTATTATAAAAACACTTTTCAGGCTGGGTGCAGTGGCTCAAGCCTGTAATCCCAGCACTTTGGGAGGCCAAGGTGGGTGGATCACCCGAGCTCAGGAGTTCGAGACCAGCCTGGCCAACATGGCGAAACCCCATTTCTAATAAAAAATAGTCACGTGTGGTGGTTGGCGCCTGTAATCCCAGCTACTTGGGAGGATGAGGCAGGAGAATCACTTGAACCTGGGAGGTGGAGGTTGTAGTGAGCCGAGATTGCATCATTGCACTCCGGCCAGGGCAACAAGAGCAAAACTCTGTCTCAAAAAAAAGCACTTTTCAATCTGGAGGACAGTAGGCACTGACCAGTCATAATGGACAAGGACCATCATGCTAAAACTGGCCTAATTTCTCCACAGAACGAAGTTTATGTTTCTTTTGAATAAACATAGAAATGGATCCCCTAAGTCTTAACATCTGAGAAACTTATATTTGTCGTATCTGAGTTCCTTTCTCAGGAAACTGACCATCAGTTCTCCCAGACAGGAGCAAGGAACTGAAATTTATCAGATCACTGCATCTGGACAATGAGATGTGAGACCGCTCACTGTCATGATTGCCTAAGACCACGTGTTGACCAGCTCCCCTTCCTTACCTCTCCCTAATTCCTGTTTTCCCACACGTAGTTATATTTCTTCCTTGCTAATTTCCTCCATTTCAGTTATAGAGGAAATGGATTTGAGACTCATCTCCCATTCTCCTCGCTGCAGCCCTCCCTGGCAGTACTTGTCTCAGCGACTAGCTTCCTGTGTGGACAGCAACAGGACCTAGAGTAAGAGTGTTATATGGTAAGGAGGCCCCCATGGCCAGCATTACCTCTTCATTGCTGGACTGTGGGAAGGTCCGGAGGTAGTGGTGGGTGCCCCAACTACTTAACTGACAAGAGAAATGGCTATTGATCAAACAGTAATAGTACCAGGCAGTGTAGATGCAGCAGGTCAGCCCTGTTTATATATCACGTGAGGAGGTAGGAAGGTAGCGTCCCAGTCCTGTAGGTGAGGAAAATGAAGTGCAGAGAAGTGAAATGATTTCTTTAAGGTCATGAGGCTAATAACTGGGCAAATAAATACTTGAACACAAGCATTCCAATTCCAAGTCCAATGTTCATCTTGCTACACAAACGACATCATGTGCTTGTGGAAACAGGTCCTTGTGGGAAAGTTTATAATCTTCTTGGAGATATAAGGCTGACACATGTAAGATGCATAATAGAAAAAACTACAAGACTGGGTGCCCAGATACTGCAGGAAAAGCTATCTGTCAGGAGAGAAGGGAGCACTGTTGTTTGAGACGGGTTCATGGAGGAGGTTGATGAGAACAAAGCCTCCAAGGGTAGGAAGGATTTAAGGCATGAGGGAGGAGAAGGAAGAGTCAGCAGCAGAGTTTAAGTGAGGAGGATAAGCTTGAGACATTAATAGACCCTGGGATCTGGCTGAGGCAGATGTTCTCTTTGGTGAGCAGAGAGATTGCCATTAGGTGGGAAAGAACAGAGGACATACTATACTGCTCTCCCTCTCAGGCACTTATGTGTGTGGCCAACAGGTACAAGTCAAGTCAGAGTTTTAAGAGGTTCTTTTGAAAAGAAAAAGATGATGGCATTTGTTAAGACTAAACTCTCCACTGGGAGCCACAGAATCTAGCCCTGTGCTTACATTACCACCTACACTGTAGGACATGATATCACATTACATTTTCCTTTACTGTCTGTCTCTCCCACTAGAATGTAAGCTCCATGAGGAAAGGGACTTTGGTTGGTTGGCCACTACCTCTCCAGTGTCTGGAAGTCAGCTTGTATTCACAAGAGCAGCACGTAAGAGCATGGCAGAGGCCCCAAAGCTGAAGCTCCCTCGGATGGTGAGATTCCAGATCGCTAGCAAGTCCGGCTTCCCATGTTCTAACTGCAAGGCCCCCTGCTCCCCTGCCTCTGCCCACCAGTTGAGGCCTCTCCTTGGGAACAGGAGCCTCAGCAATTTTAGAAGAAAGCCCCCTGGTTCTCAGACAAACATCCAGCTGGCTGTTCAGCTGGGACTGAAAAGGCCCAGAGCATTTTCCCTTTAGCACACACAGTTTCCAGAGAATGGGTTATCTCTTGTCTCCTAAAACAAGACTTGGGTTAAGCCCTTACATACCTGCCGTGGCACTTTTGGAGCTGCTTTGCCAAATTCTCAAAGTTAAAAGTGAATTTTTTTCTTTTGCATTTCTGTACAGTTGTTTACTTCATTTTTTCCCATAGAACTACTAGGTACGTATGCATGTGTGTACTCATGCACACAAATGCAAAAGCATCCTGTCTGTCTGAATAGTTTTCCCTCACTCACAAGGACAGGTGCTTCTGTGGAGCATCCCTTAGCTCTCTGCTGTGCATTACAGGGGGGTTTTTCATCATATAAATCGGGAAGTGAGATTGAATGAAGACATTTTCCAGCTAAAGTATTAAAAACATTGCTTGGAGGCAGTTTCTTGAATAAGGGCCTCCCAATCTCATTCTCTGCAACCACATGCAATTTATATGTAATACTGAAACAAATTCAAGGGCTTTTCCTGCAGCCATCTTTGTGAGTAATTTGCAGGCAGCTCCTCTTAAGGACACTGGGAAGGGAAAAAAAGTGAGCTTAACAGCTTTGTTTGTGGCTACTGGGCTGTTCTCTTTCAGCTCCTAACAGCTAGTCATACCCTCCATTCAAGGCCACTCGGGAAGCAACAACGACAAGCAACAACCATCTGGCCTCCCAGCTACAGGGCAAGATGTGTTAGGTTGGCGTAAGAGCCTCCCCCACCCCGCTTTTTTTTTTTTTGAGACGGAATCTTGCTCTGTCGCTTAGGCTGGAGTGCAGTGGCGCGATCTCAGCTCACTGCAACCTCCACCTCCTGGGTTCAAGCGATTCTTCTGCCTCAGCCTCCTGAGTAGCTGGGACTACAAGTATGTGCCACCACACCAGGCTAATTTTTGTATTTTTAGTAGAGACGGGGTTTCACCATATTGGCCAGGCTGGTCTCAAACTCCTGACCTTGTGATCTGCCTGCCTTGACCTCCCAAAGTGCTGGGATTACAGGTGTCAGCCACTGCGCCCTGCCAGGCATAAGAGCTTTTAATCATACACCACAGTTTTAAAAGTTGGGGGAAGGTCGGGTGCGGTGGCTCATCCCTATAATCCCAGCAGTTTGGGAGGCCGAGGCGGGCAGATCACGAGGTCAGAAGTTAGAGACCAGCCTGGCCAACATGGTGAAACCCCGTCTCTACTAAATATACAAAAATTAGCTGGGGGCAGTGGTGGTGCCTGTAGTCCCAGCTACTCAGGAGGCTGAGGCAGGAGAATCACTTGAACTCAAGAGGCAGAGGCTGCAGTAAGCAGAGATGGCGCCACTGCACTCCAGCCTGGGTGACAGAGTGAGACTCCATCTCAACAACAACAACAAAAATTGGGGGGAAAATCAGGAAGGGTTTCTCAGCAATTTAGAATATTTCAAATCAAAACCCATTTTTTTAGAGTAGAGGAGAGAGTACCTGTAGCATTAAATTTTGACAACTATCTAGTGACAGTGATATAGAAACTCCTGGGGCAGACAATTCAAATCCAAGGTTCAGGTCAACGCTGTTGCTTTAACGATTACCTGCGCACCCTTTCTTCAAATATCCATTGCTCTGGAATCTTAAGTCAACAACAGTTCATTGTAGAGAGAGACAAACAGCTGAAGATTGAAGATGGAGCTTTGAGACCAACCCTCAAGAATTTTAGAATTTTAAATCATCTTATTTACGTGCATGGCCTACTTTTAATAAATGAAAGCTTAATGCTTTTGAGCTGGACTGGATGTGCTTGGTGCTTGTAGCTTTAGTAGGTGGAAGGGTTTTATTTTTGTCCCCCTCTGGTAATCAAGTTCCAGAGCCTCATCTATAGCCCCAGTTAACATTATCTCCTTGGCATTCCAACCAGCACTGGAGAGTTCCCTCAAAAGACTCACGTGTGGGACAAAATGAGGTGGAAGATATCAGAGGCAGAGGAGCCCCACGTCACATGCCCTGTTGCTCTGCCATACATCCAGGGGTGTCTGATCTTCTGGCTTCCCTGGGCCACACTGGAAGAATTGTCGTGGGCTACACATCAAATACAGTAACACTGGCCAGGTGTGGTGGCTCGCGCCTGTAATCCCAGCACTTTGGGAGGCTGAGGTGGTTGGATTACTTGAGGCCAGGAGTTCAAGACCAGCCTGGCCAACATGGTGAAATCCTGTCTTTACTAAAATACAAAAAATTAGCCAGGTGTGGTGGCGGGCGCCTGTAATCCCAGCTACTCGGGAGGCTGAGGCAGGAGAATCACTTGAACCCGAGAGGCAGAGGTTGCAGTGAGCCAAGATCGTGCCACTGCACTCCAGCCTGGGCGACAAGAGTGAAACTCCGTGTAAAAAAAAAAATTCGTAATATTTTAACAAAGTTTATGAATTTGTGTTGGACTGCATTCAAAGCTGTCCTTGGCTGCAGGTTGGACAAGTTTGCTATACACTTTAACCCCTCACATTACATATGTCTCTTCCATAATAAACATTTTGAAAATAGTAGCAGAAGCTGAATGATTTTTCAGAGTATCCTGAGACTTTTCCGGAGGACATCATTACAAAGAACACTGCTTTAGGCAGAGAGGTTAGGGTCTGCACACTGTTTTCAGCTAATAAGAGCCTCTCAATGGTTCGAGTTTATTCTGCTGAGCATCAGTGAAGAATGACATTTCAAGAAAACCATTGCAGCGGCAAAGGCAGATTTTGTAAAGATATGAACAAGAAATGGCAAAGGTTGGAATTTAACACTTCGCTGTTGATTGTATTAAATCATTTTTATTTTCTCACCATTGGGGAAGAAAAGGCCTGGCCAATGTAGAGCAGGAGATGAAAGCCCTTCCCTGGTGAGCTCTAAACTGTAGAACTCTCTGCCTGCAAGTGAGGCCTCCCGTGTCCTTGCCATGCCTGAGACACAGTCACTGAGGTCAGGACTGCCTTGGGCTGGTCAAATCCAGGTCTGATAGGAACTGGACCATCTGGGAGGAATCAAAGTCCGCTATGGAAAATTGCAATAAATTCAGAGTGCAATTAAGAAGTCTTTTGGGATCCAGGCTCAAGCCTCACCAGAGAACTGTCATCTAACAGGCTGTCTTTCATCCCCAGGTCACACCCTGCTGGGGAAGTAGAGAGCTACCCAAACAAAGCCAGGCAAGGGGCCAACATCTGGGCCCGCCAGCTTCCTCCCACCTTACCCCGGGTGCGAGGAGTCTGCCTTGGCTGAGGCATCACAGAGAACCTGGAGGCAATGGATGCTTACCTGAATGCAACTCCTTGTACCTAGAGAGAAAGGGCAGGGGTGTCTTTCCTCTTTTTAAAGTAACAATGTCATGACTTCCTGCTTTCCAATTGAATTTGAGCTGCCTCCTCAGTTTGTAGCCAAATGAGATGAACTAGAGGGAGGGAAGTAATGGAGGAAGGAGGTCTTGTAAGCACCATTCTTTCCTTTGAGTGACTGAATCCAAACTCTGTGTGGCCCCCTGGACTCTCTTCTAGAAAATGGGGCCTTGCCTCAGAGCAAGGAACATGTGTTCATCTGGAACTCAGACTCTCCTGCGCTCCTGCCAGTGAACACTGTTGCCTGGGCCTCGGCTCTCCAGGCAGTGTATGTGTCCTTGAGCCTGCACATGCTGACAAACCCCTGTGTTACAGGCCGCAGTCCCTGTGGCAGTAAATGCTGATTAGTGGAAAAGAAAATTCCAAAATAAAACAGTCCAATCACTTACTTTAACAAAAGATTTATTTGAAACAGGTTTGCGCAGACATACACCAGTCAACAGGATTGATCAAAGCCACAAATCACTAAATTCTCCCAAAACTTCTAAAAATACAAGTAGATGCCCTCCGTTTGTATTCACTCCAGGAGGGAACCCAGTGCACTGTAATGTGCTGCTGTAATTTAACAACCAGAGGACATTAATAGGACGTGAAAACGGTAACACTTCTAGAGGGAGGCAACAAAAAACCCCACACACCATAGAAGCACCCCCCACGCTGCTGGGAGCCAATTAAACGTGCCCCCACAGCCCTGCTTCCCTCTGCATCACCAGATTAAAACCTCCCCATCACAAACAATATTTAAGCAATCCAGGCACAGATGTGACAGCAGACAGGAGAGCACGTGGCTTTGCTCGCATGAGAAAGACGCCACAAAGATGATGCATTTGAACGACAATTCAGTGACCGGCAGCCCCATCCTGCAGCTGGCCCTGCTGCAGCTGCCTGCGTGGCCCTTGAGAGGGAGGCTCAGAGGGAAGCGGCATTGCACAGGCCTGAACTTGGCCATCTCGGGCAACGGGGGAGAGTGGGGCGGGAGGGGAGAGTAGGAGTTTCAGTACTGACATTGATTTTATCCATGAAAACCCAAAAGTCTTTACTGTGCAGGGAAGGAGAGAAATTCCATGACAGGGCTGGTTTCCTTTTTTTCTTTTCTTCCTTTTTTTTTTTTTTTTTTTTTGTTGTTGTTGGTGTTTATTGATTCACCTATAAACCACATATCAGGCTATCTCTTAAGAATACAACAGACTCCAATCCCATTGGAAGTGAGTTCGCAGCCTGCTCTCTGGGCTCTCTCCCTCTTTCCGGCCTTTTCTCTTTCACACGGAAGAGCTTACCTATAAAAGGCTCTTGATAAGCTCTCTTGACCCCCAAGTTTCCTGGGCAGGGTTATTTGGATAGTGCTATTACTCCAACTTTCTTCTTCCTCTTTCTGTCATAAATCAAAGCCACCTGACACTTTGCGCCCGACTTTTAAAACAAACAGGTCTCCTTTCTTTCTTCAGCCAGGTCACAAGAACTGCCTATGGGCTAATCTTGAGAGCATGTTTTTCTTGGTCTGAGGCCTGGGAGAAAGAGCAGAGTGGATATCTCAAAGGCAACTAGAGCCCGAGATTGTCACTTGAAAATGCGCCAGCCTGGGTGTAAAAAGAATCCCTCTTTTGTCTCTCCTCAGTTGGGAGAGCCGAGGTGTTCCTCAGAGGTTAACACTGGATTATACACGGGGTGCGGCGCGGGGGAGCTCGCCCTTCTTTTCTGCTCCCATTTGTTTGTGGCTTCTGCCCATTCAGATTTATGCTGGCTCAATGCCCTTTTCTCCTCACTCAGGGTTACATCCCAGATTCACAAATCACTCATAGCCAACAAATTAAGAGAGCTTTAAACAGAACATTAGTTACAGACTGGGCATTAAATGAAGATCAGGTAAGGTGAAGGGGAATGTACTGATGGACAACTTGGGATGCTGAGAAAAAAAAATAAATGAAGGGTACAACACATCGAGCGTGCTGGTCTGTTAACACCTTTCAAGAATGCCTAATGATGTCATTATGGGGGTCTTGGGCCCTCACCTCCGAAACCCCTCAAAAACCCTTCTAATAGTCCTTCTTGGCCTTCAGGATGGAAAAATGGCTAGAATGAGGTTAAATCTCCCCGAAGGCTATACTGAGACAGTTAACTGCCTTGAGCCAATGAAGAACCAAAACCAAACCCAACTGATATAGATTTTCTTTTTTTGAAGGGAGGGGGTTTTAACTGTTCCCATTGTGATTATATATGCCCGTATAAACATTTACATGAAGAAAACATTTCTTGAGTGTAACAGGGGATGCCATGTTTTGACTCGACCTGATAAACTCATTTCTTTGCCAAGTTATTATTTCAGGCTCTGCTTAGCCACCATTTCCCTGTTCACATTTTTTTATGGATCCCAGGAGATGAAGACTACATTTCAAATGCTGATGTTAAATCACTCCTTGAATTACTTTGAGACGATGACCCTGGGCAGTAACTCAAACCCTGGCTGAAAAGTGTGCAGTCCTTTCACACGTTCAAAACTAAAGACCACCTTATCCTATAGCAGTGTTTTGCAAACATTCAATTCAGCTATGGTCTAAGACATAAATCCCTTGGAACAGAGGTACCTGATAAAAATGCTTTATGGTTCCAAATGACAAGATTAAAGGTCATTATTATAACAAATGGAAATTACAGACTATAACTTTCTTTTTAAAAAATTCAACCTTAAATCCTGTAATATTTACATACATATGCATTATAAGACATTAGTTACCTAGGCTCTTTCCACCCCCCCGCATTTTTCACTGCTTCTTGACAAGTTATTACTGATTTTCACAGCCAGCTCCCTATAGTGAGACGAACCTGAAGCCTTGTCAAGGGAAAGAAAATGTCAACAGAATTCTCAGCTGAGCTCTCCCAAAGCCCAGGTTCACTTCTCAGGATATTCCTCTACAAGTGTTAAAAGAAACAGCACTCCTCGCCCCAAAGCACGTTTTGTATGGTGTGCCGAACCAAAAGAGTTACCATGTTTTTGTTTTCATGTGTGCATGTGTGTGTTGGGAGATGGGTGAACATAACCCTGGTCAAGAAGCCTGGAATATTCTGCACTGAGGCAGGACAGACACATCAGCTCCACTCCTAAATTATGACCGAGCCCGTTCTGATCAGCACAGAGTATTCATCCAGACTACTCTGCTCTCCTGATACGTGTTTTCCACAGCTACCCTTGCTGGCACGTGTCAGTGTGCAGTGGAAACCCAGAACTAAGCCCACAGTACAACTGGTCTCTTCCTTTTGCAGGGTCATCCAGGAGAAGAGAGACTCAACACAGGACTGGGCTGTCTGTACACAGCAGTAGACCAAGGGTTGGCCTGAGTGGATTCTGCCAGTTTAGCTCAATCCAGAGTCAGGCCCTGGAGCGCTAACCGAGCGTGACCTGCCAGCCCGTGAGTCAGTGAGTGTCTGGCGGAGTGACAAGCCCCATGTGGCATTTTTGCTGAGCTGACAGCCAGCGTATGCAACCTAGTCCAGTCCACCCTGCCCCAGGGGAGGGGTTGTGTGTGACACTCTGACCTCAATTTAAAGATAGGACAAATGACACAGCCCCTGAGTTGGCCCTGGCTAAATATTATACATCACACGTAGTGACAGCTGCTCCTCCTAGAAACCAATTTACAGCCAATTTAGTCATTTGGCTGTAAGAATGCTCAACCACATGAGAGGATAGAAAGGCATCTCTTCTAATGTTTTCTTCTGTGTGCGTCTGTCATCACTGCAAATATTGTTTAGTCTACTTCTCAAGAGAATAGGAAAATACACCTGTATCCTTAAATCCCAGAAAATATGAACTCTAATGTAAGAAACAAAAACCCCAAACAAACACAAACACACACTTAAATACATAATTCTGATTTGGAAGGCTTCAAGTTCAAGACAGAGCTAACTGTTTGACAAAGAATTCAATTTCTAATCCACTCTTTCCAAATAGGCTTAGTTCCCAAATGAGACAAAATATGAATAGTTAAGATGCCTAATGCACATTCAATTCCAGTTTTCGTTTCTCCTCTGTATCTTGGCCATCACCTTTCTGGGTGTGCAAAGAAACCATACACCTTGGTTTGTCGTGTTAGTCATAGGCACATTTTGTGTTAGAGTTCCTGCATGACAGTCCTTCCGTCTTGCTGGGTACTCTGATATTTAAAAATGTTCTATGCACCTTGGGGAGAAAGAAATGGCCCTTTTTGGAGCCTCACCTGTGAATTGCATTGTTCTGCTGCCCCTCAGGCCCTCTCTGCATCCTGGTCACCTCATAAGTGAGGATGAGTTTTCTTAGTCAATGCAGATCATATTTTAAATCATTTCCATGCCCAGTAGGTTGTAGATTTCTGACAAAAAAGGGTTAGGAAGCAAAGTGCACTAAAGTGTTATTTCCTAATTTAGCACAATCATTCCTACAGGGTTGACTCATCCTCCGACTCTAGAGCTAAGAGTGACAGGTGTGCTCCTTCGCTGCACAGTCATGTGATAAATTCATTCATTTCCCCACAGTGAAAATCCAAAACATGCTCTCCACTCCCATTTTTCACCAGTAACAGTTGCCCACAAGTATTTAGGCCATCCAAAAATCTGGTTTGGCAACCAGAGCAGAGAACAGGGCTCCAGGCAGGTTGTTTAGTAAGGGCTCCAGGTGCTCACATTCATGCCTGAAGACATCTAGGTTCTGTTGAGATTTAAGTGTGGGACTCTGCAGTTGGGAAAGTCAGTGATTCCGCTCTTCACTTCCTTGTCTTAGATAATTCAGGATATGCCGTATTCTGATAGGTACCTGTGTCTAACACTGATGGGATACAGAAAGGAAACCATGTCAGTATATTTTTTAAAAAGGTGTTTCCCTGAAATGTTTGGAATTCTTTTCAATTAGAACTGTGTGTGAAGGTCTTGTTTAAGCTCTCATACACACTGGGCTGATCATGACAATTGTCTGGGTCTCAAGGCCTATTTCAGAGTTTCTACTGCAAAGATCTGGTGGCGATTCCTCTGTGTCCTCCTCTCAGTGTCTCCGTGTCCTTCCTTCTCCTTCTGAGGACTTCTGTGGTCGTCTTGTTCTCCCCACTCAATGTCCTATACTCTTGCATCTGGGTTTACTCATCCTCTGACTCTAGAGCTAAGAGCGACAGGTGTGTTCCTTCGCTGTGCAGGCATGTTATAAATTCATTCATTTCCCAACAGTGAAAGTCCAAAATGTGCTCTGAAACAAACGTGGGTTCTAATGTAAGTGGATGCCAAAGGCCCAGCAGTCTGGATGTTGGGAAGGGAGTATTCAGAGCCTGACCACGGCTGGGAGTCCTGAAGGGGTTCTACCACCACTCTGACCTGTGGGGTGGCCCCATGTCAGACAGAGGCAGAGAGACGTTTAGAATATATGCAGAAAGGCTATGTTTCTTTTCTTTCTTTACAGAACGAGAAGGGCGGTGGAAGAAGGAATTTTTCGCATCTGTATCTGAGTCTGCAGTGGAACAAGGAAAGGCGCGGGTTTGGGTTGGCTGCCCATCGGCCGCCATGCACTGAGTGGTGTGGCCAGCCATGCAGCAGGTGTGGGGGTGAGGGGCGCCTGGACACGGCGGCAGGACTGGGCCGAGTGCACCTGGAGAGGGTGCGGAAGACTCTTCCAGGGCATCAGTTGGTTTGCCCTGCTGGAAATGTGGCTAAGAGGTTCAAATAAATGTTCTCAGGTTGACCACCCCGATAGAGAATTTTGTGATTTCACTGCAATCAAGAAGTTTATGCCAATTTTACACACAAAACAGGAATCAAAGCAGGAGAGCAACCTGCCTACAGTGAAGTCTGCATGTGGCCCGTTGGACTTAACCTCTGAGTTAACTCAACAGGAAGCAAGTGTGCCCTGCTCCAATTACACAGGATGGGCCTCTCACGCAACATAAAACTCCTTTCCCTTTCTCCCAGGACAACTAGTACTGATGTTTAAATATTGGTGAAACATAATGTTTTTAATTTCACACCTCACAGAGCACAGTTGAATGCTTCATAACGACATAAACAAAAGTTAGGCTAAGCACTGCAGACGAGTTGGGAGGGCAAAGATAGCTTCCCCTGTGGTCTGCACTCCAGGTTTGCGAGGGAATATGTAACTAACAAACTGCTTGGCTAAGGCCACAGAAATGTGTTTCCTGGTGTTTTGGCTGCTGACGCCAGTCTTCTCTGACAAAGATGTGTTAACACTGGGTGCAACAAACTGAATCTCTTTCCTAAGATCAGTCAGGAAAATTCATGTCTTATTTCTTCCTGGATTTCTTTTTGGTGGTGTCATAAGCACGGATGACTTCTTCCTGACTAACAGCTCCGTGTTCTTCTTGAGAAAAAGCATACCCATCTGAAAGTGAAGCACACAGGAGAAACTGGTTAACAGGAGAATTGGGGGAGCACACTAGGTTTAAAATAAGCTGCTTTTTTTTGGCAGCGTGCGGGTGAGTGCGACATCTGGCCTCCTTAGCCTTGGATAGGTGGAGGCTTGAGATGAAGAAACCTGTGGCCATAGAGGGGCCGTGGCGGCCGTGTGCAGGCTAACTGGGGTCCCATGGTTCTAGCTGCTGATGCTGGGAAGGGAAAGCCTCTGAGGGTAGGTTTCCTATTTCTAGGGGGCTGCGGCTGAGCTCAGTGTGGGAATCACACACAGTGGGTCACTGGTCCCCGACTCCACTTTCCCACTGCCAATTAAGAAAAAACACTCCTGTCTGCCTGATGCTGTAGGGCAGCCAGCTAATTTATGAAGCTGTAAACATGCCAGGGAAACACACACACAACACTAATAGTGCAAGCTGGCAAAATGCACGTGATACCTGGAGCCTTCCTGTTTATTTATTTGAGACAGAGTCTTGCTCTGCCGCCTAGGCTGGAGTGCAGTGGCGCGATCCCAGCTCACTGCAACTTCTGCCTCCAGGGTTCAAGCAATTCTCCTGCTTCAGCCTCTTGAGTAGCTAGGGCTACAGGCATGCACCACCACGCCCAGCTATTTTTTTTTGTATTTTTAGTAGAGACGGGGTTTCACCATGTTGGCCAGGCTGGTCTCAAACTCCTGACCTCAAGCAATCTGTCCACCTTGGCCTCCCAAAGTGCTGGGATTACAGGCCTGAGCCACCACACCCAGCCCTGTTTTTAAATCAGACTGATCTGGACTGGTAATAAGTAATCAAAGTAGGGTTGTTTCCATGTAAAGAAAAAGGTTACACAATAAACTCAAAAGGAATTTAGTGATTGATTGGACCTGTGGCCATACAAAGACTATTCTTACACAATCAGTTCATATACTATTAATAAAATAAATAATAGCCAAGACTCATTAAATGCCATGTGTCTAAGACACTGTGCTATAAAATAAAGCTCATTTAATCCTCCCAGAAACCCTATGAGATAGGGGATTATACTCCTCCCACTTCACAGATGAGAAAACTGAGGCACAGAGATTTTTGTGACCTGCCCAAGGTCACAGACCTCGTGAGTGGCAGAGCTGGGAAGCAAACCCAGGGTCCACACTCTAGAGCTGAGAACCAGCTTTAGTGTTCACAAGCCCAGAGTGGGGCTTTTCTTCCAACTGGCCCTTCCCACAGAAAGACATTTATAAGGCCTGCTCTCCATTGGCTAACCCTTCTGTGTCAGGGGTCTGGAAAAGTCCCACAGCTCAATTAGACATTCTGGCCAAAAGACAACACAATAAAAAAACCTGACAATCTTGAATTCCATCCATGCATGCGTACAACTTATCAGGGGAGCTGTGAGTTCACTGTCATACTCTTTAAAAGGAGAAAAGAAGTCGAAAAGGGTGCCCATGAATCAGTTCCTGGACTGCCTGTTAATTTCCTGAGGCATCTGGCTTAAAAAGGAAATTTCTAGAGTATCAAGACATACAGTAACAAGACAGAAGAGTCCTCGTGGGATGGAGAAGAGGAGGAGACTTTAAAAGAAGACACTCAGGCTGTTTTCTTACTCTGTGTGTTCCCATAACTGAGAGTCCCGGTCCTGGGCTGGCTTCCTGGCTCTTCCAGAGAGCATGCCTTCTGGCCACTGCCTGAGAATCCCAAAGGCTCAGGGGGGTTATCGGGGGAGGCAAGGGCTTGTCTGCAGAGGTGGCCTGAGAGTTGACTGAGGACATGGGCTGAGCAGCAGGGAGGAGGGCCCAGACCAGTGAGGCCACAGGAGGAAGAGACAGTGGGCGGGAGAGAAGGTGATACAAGCTGAGCCAGGGTGAACAGAACAGAAGAGAACAGAACAGAGAGGAATCTTCCACAGGGGGCTTTTGTCTACTTGCTCACCTCCATTTCTAGCAAAACAAAACCTACAAACCAAAAATTCCCACCACATGGTAGCCACAGTGAAGCAGCTCCCAGACCATTGTGAGCCCTCAGACAGCTGGGTACAGGAGCAGGTGGGTGTCTGAGCCTGAAGGCAGCATCAGCCTGGAGGGGAGCTCCCTTGGGGGCGGATATGCTTGTGCCAGCCTTGGGCCCACACCTAGTGCACTTGAACTTCCTGACCAGGTAGGTGGCTGTGCTTTGATTCTCAGGGCTTTAGAGTTTTCACATGATCTGCTTTCAAGCACCGAAGAGCAAATGCCACCACTCCTGTTCTCCTAAGAGCTTTTGGATTTTCACCAAGTTGCTTAATCAGAGATTAGCAGCAGGGACAAGGAAACCTCCGTTGCCCAGCTTTGGAGGAGCTGCCCCAGCCTCCTGCCTCCCTCTGGCACCGTGTGGCACACACACTCTCATCCCCAATCCTGTACAAGCTGCCCTTTATGAAGCATTTTTACTGCAGTCCAAGAGGAGACGTCTTTCCTTGGGATGTTTCAAAGCAAAATCTAGCAAATAACACTGCTTCGTCTGCTCCAGTAACAAGGCTATGTACTGTGGTCAACTTGGACAATTTCCATTCTCCAGTTCTTTAACAAGGAACGTTTCTAGTCCACATCTGAAGTCATCCTGAGGGGGCCTGGCAGAACAGCAGCTGCAATGGCAGGGTCGTCACTGGCTCCACAGCTGCTGCACCACTCCCGGGGCTGCTCCTCAGTCCTACAGAAGTGGTTCTGAGTAAAGAACAGTCACCCCAAAGAATGGGACATACTCTTTTATAAACTCTTCCGGTGGGAAGCTGAGGACTACTGAGCTCTCCACCCTGAAGATGTCTTTCTCCACTCGCTTGTTTTCATCTTAGATTCTGGTGGCCCCAAGTGGCTGCAGCATGGGGTCAGGGTGGTGGCCAGGAAACAAAGGGTGGTTCTAGTCCTTGCTTGCTGCTACTTGTCCATGTGACTTTGGGATCTTTAAGCTCCCTGGGTCTTGATGTACTTTTCTGTAAATTAAATGGCCTGGACCAGGCAAGGCCCAAGTTCTCTCAACCTCCAGTCCTCTCTATGGGCTCCAGGACATGTTCATGGCCCGTCACACCCAGGCTGCAGGATTCTCTCCCTCTGTCAGTGCTAGTTCACACTGCACCAACACGGAGGCCTCTGCATCCACGTCAGAAAAGAAAGGGTCGGTGTCAACAGTCCATCCAAAAAGAATAATTAACTACCTATTATACCTCTTTTGGCCTGCTTTTTTCTCCTGGTTGGGGGGAACTCATGGAGACATAAAAATAAATTAGGGAGTGTCCTTTCGGGAAAGGTATCTTAGCCTTTGGAATAGTCTACTCCCTGTTCAAATGGAAGGTGCAAAAGCCTTTTCTTTTATTTATCTTGTTTTCCATAACATGCCTGTGTCTACTGGAAACCCAACTCCGGGGGTTTCTTCAGCTCATAACTCTGTCACTTCTTCTGTGTGCATTAGTGCCATGGCCACAAGGGCCTCCCATGGGATTGCAGCGGGATGATTTGGCCCCTCTGGGATGGGAAGGGTTTCGAGGTTTCCCTTTGAAGAGACAGGCAGAGAAGAGTTGCCCCTCCTGTTGTAAACCTCCCAGGGTAAGTAGAGCAACGTGAGGTCTGTGCTAAATGTCTCCCACCATCCTCCCTAGTTCCCATTGGCTGCACCTACCACCACATTTCCAGCGTGTTGTACGCTAAGACTTTCTTAACCTTAACCGAGAATGAAAGTGGACTCTACAATTCAAGAGTGAAAGGAGAATGGCCTGATAGGTTTATCTTGGGAGAGGGAGTCCTCCCATGTTCAGATAAAATTTCAGATTAAACATTTTCCTCTTAGAAACCAGGCCTGGCGGGAGTTAGAGCTGTCATGGGAGGAGTTTTACTGGAAAACCAGACACCATCACCCCTCAACCAGTCCTGCCTGCCCAGCCTCTGTCCCACCGGATGAAGATACAGACCTGCTCCCCAGCTCTGCCTAATGAACCTTTAACTGTCATTTGCATCCAAACGGGGAGCTCGGAGGAAGCCTCCAGCTCTTTGCACTCCCTACTTTCACTCATGTTTCAGGAAGTCCTAACAGCCAGAAAAGTCCTGATGGGGGCCTGGAGGGAGCTCTCATGGACCCAACTAACTGAACTTTCCCTGGCTGGCTTCCTAAAGCATCTGCTTTCTTAAACAGCCACAGCCAGAATGGAGAACAGAATCGTGTAGGTGAAAGGAGGTGGGAGGAAAGACGGATTTCTTAGTTGTTTTGTCTTCTCCGGGTAGAACATTTGGTGAAATCCATAAAATTATGTCTTTTTTTTTCATTATTTTGGAATAAAACTCCCCTTAAGTAGCATTCCTTTGAATCTGTGCTCTGATAGCATCTTAATGAAAATAGCAGTTTCCTGTCTGGAAAGATTCCTAATAGCCATAGAAATGAGAAGACCATGGGGACAAAGAGGAAATCAGACTGTGTAGGAAATGCTGATTACAAATATTGTATGTTGGTGGCTCACAGGAACTAAAATACTACCAAGATTAGAGTTTTTCCTGCTAGTTTCCTGGACAGACCCAGGCGGAACATCAAAGGCTGAGACCTGCTATATGCCCATCCTGCACCCCAGGACCAGCTCTGACCACCCGACGATCTTCTCTGGCTGTTAGTGACAGAAACGTCCTAAGTTATCCATCAGGTTCTGGTACTAGTCACTGAATGTTTAAAAAATGTGGTGTGATTTCAGAAGCCTTCTTATTTCTTATATTTATTCAGTAGATTTTTTTTTGGCCTTCAAAATATTGACTTAAGAAAAGCATTTAGTAGTTGTCTTTAAGACATTTATGACTCTCCCATAAAAATTCTCATTCGGTCTTTGATCACAACATATATATCGTGTATATTCTGTCTATGGTTATTTTGAAACATTCATCAGAGAGGCAACACGGCTCAACAGAACAGACCCTGTAGAGTTCTGGGAACCTGTATGTGTTTTCTCTGTGTCTGGCATACAGAAGGTGCTTTACACATGCTGTCATGAAGACTCACAGGACTGTGTAAGATGTATATCATTAAAATTCTTTTTTCTCCACAGGAGAAAATAAAAATTTAGAGAAATTAAGTTTCCCAAAATTATTCAGCTAATGGCAGAATAATAATACCCAACATTTATTGGACCCTATATTGCCTATATAGACACTTTATCTTTATGATCTCATTTAATCCTCCTAATTGAAACCAACCCAATAGTCCCATAGACAGTTTTGTTTTTGTTTTTTTGTTTTTTTAACATAGAAATGACCCTTCTGGTCTTAAAGCTTGACATT
Source organism: Homo sapiens (assembly GCF_000001405.40). Taxonomy (NCBI): domain Eukaryota; kingdom Metazoa; phylum Chordata; class Mammalia; order Primates; family Hominidae; genus Homo; species Homo sapiens. Next base: position 26,014,595 of record NC_000013.11, on the reverse strand, counting down.
TGTATTTGTTTTATCTGAGTTCCTTCCTTAGGTAGGGACCCACAGGCCTCTCGAAAAGTAGCAAAGATCTGAAACTCACCCAATGATCTCATCCAGACAACGAGATGCTAAGCCCCTCATTCATCTTGATTGCTTCCTTACCCCTACTGATTCCTGTTTTCTTACACATTGTTAACATTTCTTCCCTGCTATATAAACCCCTAATTTTAGTCAGTCAAGGATATGGATTTAAGACTAATCTGCCACCTCCTTGGCTATAGCACCAGATAAAGCCTTCTTCCTTGGCTATAATTGTTGTTTCAGTGATTGGCTTTCTGTGCAGCTGTGGGTGGCAGGACCTACACTGAACCTCTGGCATCCAGTAAGTTCTCATATTACCCAACTTTACAGATGCAGAAGCAGACATTAAGTAACATGCCCAAGGTCACGAAAAAGCAGGGGAGCAGGGACAGGAACCCAGGCAGCCCATCTCCAGAGGGCTGCCCTACAGTTAGCACTCCTGTCCCATCAAACTTCTTGACTTACCTCTCTTTTGGGCCAGAGTCTGAGGCTGCAATCCAGACCTCATGGCATGCCACTGAGCAATGCTGGGCCACCCACTTTCTGACCTGAGCCTCTGCTTTGTGTCCTTGGGGTGGCATTACCCACCTCCCAGGGCAGTGGAGCATTAAAGGACAGAAGCATGTCAGTCCCCTTCTTCCCATACGATATTCCACATGGGAAAGTGAGGACAGGGGGTAGATTACTGAAAAGCAATGATACTCTGTCTCCCTCCTTCTCTCTCCATTGAGAAAGTCTGCAAATACCTGTTGACAGGCAGAGCTCAACAGAACACAGATCCTTCACTGCCTGTACTGTGTGAACAATGATTCTTCACGTTCATAAATCTGTCTCTTTCTTTCTTTCTTTTTTTTTTTTTTTGAGACCAAGTTTCGCTCTTGTTGCCCAGGCTGGAGTGCAATGGCATGACCTCGGCTCGCTGCAACCTCCGCTTCCTAGGTTCAAGTGATTCTCCTGCCTCAGCCTCCCAAGTAGCTGGGATTACAGGCATGTGCCGTCACGCCCAGCTAATTTTGTATTTTTAGTAGAGACGAGGTTTCACCATGTCGGTCAGGCTGGTCTCCAACCCCTGACCTCAAGTGATCCACTCACCTCAGCCTCCGAAAGTTCTAGGATTACAGGCGTGAGCCACCGCGTCCGGCCCAACTCATCTCTTTCTACCAGTCGTTTCCCTCTAAACTCCTCCGGAAGGGAAAGGGAGGCAGGGAGTAAGTATGGGAGGAAAAGCTGGCGTGTGCACGTGATGGGGGTGGAGAGGGGGCTGGGGAAGGCCGCAGGACACAGAGAGGCAGGGCTGGGTTGGCCTTGGCCCTGGGGAAGGTGGCCTGGATCTGCCTCAGCTGGGATCTGATGACTGGATTGCTAAAAACAAGCCCATGAGCTCCCCCTGAGCTCCAAAGTCGGGGGCAGTGGAGAGGGGATGTTTCACAGCCTCCCACTCTCCTCTGGAATCTGGAGGTGGGGGCGGGGGTGGCAGGGGGACGCCAGGCTTAGACGTGGGGCAGCCTTCCTGGGAGAAGCATGATGTTTTTCCCCAATGATGGTCATTGTTTCAATCAATATGGCAACACTACACAAAACAGTTCATATTGCTATCTTTAGGGGCAACAGTTTAAAAGTCATACTGCTTCAACCTTAAAAAACTCCTCTTGGGAGGCTGACGGAAGGATCATAACCACACCAGGATTTTAAGTTTACGGATTTTGTGGTCCCAGGGAATTGCCTACACTCAAGCTGCACGTTCCTGGGGCCAAATACACATTTTGCAGTTCCACTTCCAAACGCACGCCCCGCCCCCACCCCCCGTCAGCACTCACCCGGCCCCCCATCAGCGCCCGCTCCCCCAACTCCTCATCAACCCCCGCCCCGCACCGACACCCACTCCTCCATCAGCCCCCGCCCGCGGTACTCACGCGGGACGCCCTGCTGCAGGGAGCTGCCCCGGAACAGCGTCGGGGGCGTCTTCCGGCCCAGCCTCTTGATCAGGCGGTCGCGCTCGTTCAGCCTGCGGATAAAGCAAGCGCGTCAGTCTCTTGTCACCTGAACACTCGGGTTGCACAAGGAGACAGACAGAAGGGGGTGGGATGAGGTGGGGGATCACCTCCCCACGTCGGGTAAGGCGTGGTGCTTCACCAGCGGCCCGTGATTTCCAGCAGATGCCATCTGGGCGCCTCAATGCTGGCTCCCTGTTGTGGAAAACGCCGTTTCCAGTCCCTCCCTTAGCCAGCGCTTCCTGCTCGCTGAAGTGTGCATGTGCCCGGTCCATACCCGCGGGACCGTGGGCTTTTCAGGACACTTCTCCAAGGAGAGGCCTGTTTCCGGGTAAACATCTCCGCGCCTCACTCCTGCCTGCAGCCCCCTGCCTGCACGGGGTGAGAGCCCCGCGGAGGCCTCAGGACCCCAGCCACAGCCCAGCTTCGTTCTGCAGAACTTGATTATTTTGAACCCCAATGAACATCAAGGCGAGTTTTCTTCTAAAACAGACGGCTAAGGAGCAGTCCCTGCCTTTCCTGAACCTATTCCCTTCAAGGTTGCCACTGCTGTGAAGACATGTGGAACTGTTCTGGAGCTTGGCTATTTCTATACTATTTTATTTTTTTAAAAAGATGGGGTCTCACTGTCGTCCAGACTGGAGTGCAGTGGCACAATCATAGCTCACTGCAGCCTCGAACTCCTGGGCTCAAGCAACTCTCCCACCTCAGCCTCCTGAGTAGCTGGGACCCCAGGTGTGCATCACCACACCTGGCTAATTTTAAACATTTTTTGCAGAGACAGGGCCTTGCTTTGCTGCCCAAGCTGGTCTCAAACTCCTGGCTTCAAGTGATCCTCCTGCCTCGGCCTCCCAAAGTGCTAGGATTACAGGTGTGAGCCACCATGCCCAGTCTGTTTATTTCTATAAGCCCAAAGGGACTGCTTGAAAACTGCCCAGGCAGGTCAAAGTGCTTTGATTTTTACTATCAGGCTCTCATTTCGCTTGTCATTACAGGAGTTTGCCAGTGACCTAGAGGCATAATAGATTATGGGCTGAATGGTGTCCCCTCTAAATTCACATGTTGAAGTCTTTACCCCTAGTACCTCAGAATGGGACTGTATTTGGAAACAGGGCCTTTAAAGTGGTAATTAAGGTGAAATGAGGTCATCAGGGTGGGCCCTAATCCAGCATGGCTGCTGTCCTAATAAGAAGAGGAGATGAGGACACAGGCATACACGGAGGGAAGACCACAGAGCACACAGCCACCTGTAAGCCAAGGAGAGTGCTCGCATGAGAAACCAATCTGTAAGTAGCTCGAGTATGGACTTCCAGCCTCCAGACTGTGACAAACTCAATTTCTGCTGTTTAAGCCACACAGCCTATGGCACTTTATTGCGGCAGCCCAGGCAGACAAATACAGACCCCCCTTACGTTTGTGGGAACGTGAGGGGATACGGAGTTGTAGAAGAAGCTGCAGGTGCTTGAATCCCATGTACCCTGCCCCCGATCGATCAGTGAGCCTGGAGCCTGAGGAGGCCCCTCCCATGACTGCAGACCCACCTAGCTCCCTCAGGGCCATCGAAAGAGGAGTGGGGCCCTGGCTCTTCTTCACAGTTCTTTGAGCTGAAGTTCATTTTGAATTTCCAGGAGAGGGCATTTCTGAGTGCCTTGGTTGAAATAACAATGTTTAATTCATTCCCAATTAAGGGTGAGCCTCAGCTAGCTAAGCTTGGCAAAACGTCTCATGGCTGAGGAAGAAAAATACTTTCTCCATCCTTTCACACTGGTCCTCCCTCCCGTCTCCTCTTTCTTCCATGGGCCAAATTAATCTCACCGGGTCTGGCTGAGCAATTGCCCTGGAAGGCATGGTTGTGCAAACACAGGAGGAGTGAGCCCGTGGCACCTGTCCCTCTGTGTAGCTGCCATCACCGACTGTCCACAGCTCCCTGTGCTGCCTGGTTTCAGAATGTGGCAGGTATAAAGAAGGGCCTGTCCTCCCTGTCCAACACGTGCCCAGCACTGGCCATGACTCCTGCACAAAATAAAGGGCACTGTGTGCAGAGGGGGCCCCTCACCCTGCCTGGCCCCAGGGTAGCCTCACCAGCCAGGCCCCACATGGGGACATAATGGGCAACTGACACATTATTTTCTCAGAAGCTGGAGACCATGCAGGACTAGGCTCTGCCCCCATGCCCCTGGACCACAGGGACATGCCTCCTGAACCACCCTGGCCATCCCAGAAGCTCCTCCTCATGATGGGGCTTATGAGAATGTCACAGATCCTCAGAAATGGGAGGGATCATTGAAATTATACATGTTGGCCTCTCACCAGGCAGGTGAGAAAACAGACTCAGCTGTGTCAAATAACTTGACAAAGGTCAGATGGGGCTTTGCTGGCAGGGCTCCTGTGCTGGCAGACGCCGCCTAGATGCCGCCTAGAGTGGTGAATGCTTTTCTCTGTCTTCTTTTTTTATAATTAATTTTTTTCTTTTTGTTTTTGAGACAGAGTCTTGCTTGTTGCCCAGGCTGGAGTGCAGTGGCGCAATCTCGGCTCACTGCAGCCTCTGCCTACTAGGTTCAAGCGATTCTCCTGCCTCAGCCTCCTGAGTAGCTGGGATTACAGGCACTTGCCACCAGGCCTGGCTAATTTTTGTATTTTTAGTAGCGATGGGGTTTTGCCATGTTGGCCAGACTGGTCTTGAACTCCTGACCTCAGGTGATCCGCCCACTTCAGCCTCCGAAAGTGCTGGCATTACAGGCATGAGCCACTGTGCTCAGCCTATAATGAGATATTATTTAAAAATGTGACTTCTTGCTTCAGAGGGACCCACTCTGTGCCGCAGCCCTTCCTCCACACACTGTGAGGGGTCCACAGCCAAGGAGGTACACCCTCCCATGGCCCAGGCCTGCCATCCACCACCTCAGTTATTTGGGACCCTAGAAGTCCCTGCTCAATGACCACCCAGGCCTCCATCCAAGGCTAACTTGACTCCATCCTGAGCTCCATCCCCCTAAAAGTAGACCATATAGCCAATGTGCACACCCCAGGTCTGTGGGGGTGGCCAAGGGGTGCTTTTTGCATGGGGATGTGAACAGAACCTGGATGTGTGGGCTGGGATGTTCACCACACCACACGTGCGCAGATGCCCTCAGTGCAGGGCAGAGCTGGGGTTCTGAAGCATGGAGAGGGTGTCCAGGGAGTGAGCTCTTTCCCACGCTGCCTTACTCTGGCTAAGGCCTTCAAATAAGCCAGGAATCAGGAAGCGCACCAGGCTTTATGAAGGTGTCATCATGAAGGGACAGAATTCTTTGCTAGCTTGATTTGTAACTTTCACATATTTATGTGTGGTTCAAGGTCTCCACTGGTACTCTTATACCAAGTCCTGCAAATGTCAGGACCAGGCCTAACTATGATTACTTCAGATTTTAATAAAATAATAAAGTCTTAAATATAAATTCCTTATACTCGCCATTCTTCTCCCTTCCATAAAAAAGAAACAGCTTTCCAGTCTATATTTCATACTGTTGCTTCATAGATATGTATGGGTAATTAATATCCAATTATATTTAAAAATACGCATAAATGGTGTCATTTATTTTATGCTTCCTGTTTATCATGTTTTTTGCTTTTATTTTTTGGTTTAGAGGAATACTTTATTATTTATTTCAGTGGTCACCCTTACATTTCTAGCCTTCATATTTGACAAGGTCAAAAGTTAGAAAATAATTTAACCCCCTTCTTCAATAATGCAAACACTTCAGAACACACAACTCTGATTTTTCCATCTCTTCTTGTCTTCAGCACTGAAGGCTACTCAGTTTGCCATTTTTTGCAGGGAATCTGTCTTTTCCTTCTGGTTGCTTTTACAATAATTCCCTTTGTCTTTGATGGGCTGTAGTTTCATGACAATATTTAGTATGACTGGTTATAGGTTTGTTTTTATATCCTGTTCAGCTGCTCAGGTCTGGAAAGCTACAACAGCTTGAATGTTTGTGGATCTTCACTTACAGAAAACACTGAGATTCCTGCCTCCCCTCCGTTCTCTATTTTACCTTCTCCTGGAGCTTCTATCTACAGTATCTCCATATTGATCTCATTCTATCTTCCACATCCCTCAATCTCTCCCATGTTTTTCATTCCCCTTCTCCCTTCAGCTTTATCTAAACTACTTTAAAATTTTCTAATATGTTTTAATTTAAATCACTGGACTTTTCATGTCTATATGTTTTATTTTTCTTCCAAATCCACCTGTTCTTACATACTACCCTTCTCTTGCTTTTTGATATCTGTATCTTCTTTCATCACTATTTTATAGAATCTTTCAGACTTTCCTTGCAATTCCAGCTAGTGGGAAGCTAATTTTCCTATCCTTAGTACAGAAGGACTCTCTACTTCATTGTGGTTCATTTCCTGTGTGTGCTCTAGTTCTTCAGAATGAGTTTTCTTTTGCCTCTGCTAGGGCCCTGTGGGTTACATCAATTTGTATATTAATATATTAGCATGTAGCATTGGGAAGCCTGAAATTGGACCTCTCATATAAGCATGGGCTTCCAGTTTCTAGTGGGTAATTCTTTCTTTCATCTATTTCCCTGGGCACACAGGATGACTCATTGCTTCTCTGTCAATCTAAGGAGAAAAATTTTTCTAGTTTCTGTTTCACTAAAATGGCATCCCTACAAAATTTGCAACTTTATGCATAGGGTTCTGTTATATCTCACATGGGACTAAGCTGTTCTCTCCCTGCATTAACCCATGAAACCTCTGCCTCTGAGCCCTTTGCATGGTCTGATACTCCCATGCAGCCTCCTTGGCTTCACCTCCTCTAACCCTGCTGGCTTTGATGCCTCTGTTTTTGGTATCTGGATTTATTTCTCGTTCTTTTGAGCTTAGTTATGTTTTGAGAGCCTGCCTTTGTTTATATTTCACCTAACATGTATGTGTGTTTGGAAGGATCTTTTCTGAGTTAGCTCAGTCCATCATATTGACTCCACCTGGTTTCTATAAATAATCTGTTATTTCACTGAACCAACTACTGGAAAACACCATGTCTACAGAACAAGATCACAGAACTATTCTTTGCAGAGTCTTGCTATCCTTAGGAACAACCTTTTCTGAAACTTTTAAAACAGCAAAGGATATGACAAAGCTTTAGAGGTCATAAAACAGGAACCAGAGCTTATAAAAACACTCTACTGGAGGTGTAGGAAGCACTGATTTCTCCATGCACTCCAATGTTGAAATGTCAAGGAACATTATTTTTCCAATTTACCCTTCTCTTCTTTGGAGGAAAGGAGACCATTGTGAATAGTTGTAACTAAAATTTCTCATGAACAATAATGTTGGAAAAGCTCAAGATTGAAATGGGTAAGAAAGGATAACATTTACCATTTACAATATTATATCATCTATATATGGTTTGGAAGCTATCTGTTCACAAAAACAAAGTAAAAAAGGTGAACAAAACACAACAAAATATTTACTTTGGTTAATTCTGAAATAATGAGAAGAAAAGAGGAGTACAGATTGGCACAGAAAAAGCAATTTAGATCTATGTTTTCCTTTTTTTTTTTTAAAGAGAGAATCTCTTTAAAATACTAAATTCTAGCAAACTAAATTCAGTATATGAATACTAAATTAACAAAATACTAGCAAACTAAGTTTAGTATATTTAAAAAATTATATACTATGACCAAATGAGATTTATCCCTGGAATGCAAGGGTGGTTCAACATATAAAAATCAAGCAATATAATATACCGCATTAATAGAATGTAGGAAAAAATATCACATGATCATTTCAATTGATGCAGAAAAAGCACCTGACAAAATTCAGTACTCTTTCATGATATTTTTATTGTGGAAAATGCTAAAGATATAAGGGAAATTCCTTATCATGAAAAGAGCATTAATTTAAAAAAACCCAAAGTTAACATCATACTTAATGGTAAAAGACTGAAAGCCATCTTTCCATGTTCAAGAAGAAGACAAGGATGCCAACTTTCAGCACTTCTATTCAACAAACTTACTGAAGTTCTAACCAAAGCAGTTTGGCAAGAAAAAGAAATAAAATACATCCAAATATGAAAGAAAGAAGTAAAACTATCTCTATTTGTACATGACATGATCTTATATGATGAAGAATATACACAAACACACATATTCAAATTACGGGAGTTAATAAACTCAGTAAAGTTGCAGGATACCAGGTGAACCAATAAAAATCAGTAGTATACAAATATAATAGCAATGTACAATCTGATAAGAAAATTAAGAAAACAATCCAATTTATAATCAAAAGGAATAAAATACTCGGGAATAATTTTAACCAAAGAGGTGCCACACTCATACATAAAAAAACTATAAAACACTTCTGAAAACATTAAAGACATCCCAAATAAATTGAAAAATACCCTGTGTTCACAGATTGAAAGATGATACTGTTAAGATAGCAATACTAGTCAAAGTGTTTTACAGATTCAGTGTAACTCCTATCAAAATCCCAATGGTTTTTTTTGTTTGTTTGTTTGCAAAGATAGAAAAGCTGATCTTAAGATTCACATGGAATTATAAGGGACCCAAAATAACCAAAATAATGTTGAAAAAAGAACAAAGTCATAGAACTCACACATACCTATTTCAAAACTTATTACTAAACTACAGTAATAAAAATAGCATGGTACTGACATAGACTTACAAATCAAGAGAATATAATTGAGAGTCCAGAAATAAACCCATACATCAATGGTCACTTAATTTTTGACATGGATGTGAAGACCATTCAATAATAAAAGAATAATCTCTCCAGCAAATGGTGCTGGGACAACTAGATTTCTACATGCCAAACAATGGAATTGGGCCCTTCCCACCACATACAAAAATTAACTTAAAATGGATCAAAGATATAAATATATTTGAAACAAATGAAAATGGAAACACAGCATATCTAAATTTATGGGTTGCAGCAAAAGCAATCTTAAGAAGGGAACTTATAGAAATAAATGTCTATATCAAAAGAGAAGAAATAAACAACCTAATGTTACACTTTGAGGAACTACAAAAGGAAGAACAAACTAAGCCTAAAGTTGGCAGAAGGAAGGAAACAAAAAAGACCAGAGCAGAAATAAATGAAACAGAGACTACAAAAACAATGGAAAAATATCAGTGAAACTAAAAGTTGTTTTTTTCCAAAGATAAGATCTACAAACTCCTAGCTAGACTGACTAGGAAAAAAAGGAGAGACGCAAATAAAGTGAGAATTGAAAGTTGAGACACTATAACAGATACCACAGAAACATAAAGGGTCATTAGATATTACTACAAACAATCATATGGCAACAAATTGGATAATCTAGAAGAAATGTTAAGTTCCTAGACACTTACAACCTATCACAACTGACCAATAACAAGGAAGGAGATTGGATCTCTAGTAAAAAATCTCCCATCAAAGAAAAGGCCAAGACCTGATGGCTGCTCTTCTGAATTCTACCAAACACTTAAAGAACTAATACCAATTCTCAAACTTTTCCAAAATACTGAAGTGGAAGGGATACTTCCAAACCCATTTTACAAAGTCAGCATTACCCTGATACCAAAGCCAGACAAGGAATCACAAGAAAAAAAATTACAGGCTAATATCCCTGATGACTATATATACAAAAATCCTCAACAAAATATTAGCAAACTGAACTTAACAACACATTGAAAGAATCATTCACCATGGTCATGTGGGATTTGTGCCTGGGATACAAGGATGGTTCAATATACACAAATCTATAAACACTACATTAACAAAATGAAATATAAAAACCATATGATCATCTCAATAGATGCAGAAAAGCCAATCAACACCTCTTCATGATAAAACTCAACAGATTAGTTATAGAGGGAATATATCTCAACACAATAAAGGATATATGACAAACCCATAGCTAACATCATACTCAATGGTGAGAAGTTGAAAGCTTTTCCTCTAAGGTTAGAAACAAGACAAGGATGCCCACTCTTGCCAATTCTTTTCAACATAGAACTGAAAGTCCCAGCCAGAGCCATTAGGCAAGAGGGTAATATAAGGTATCCTGATAGGAAAGAAAAAAGCAAAATTATCTCTGTTTGTTGGTACACATAATGCTATGTATAGAAAATCCTAAAGACTCCACCAAAAAACTGTTTAGAACTAGTAAATTTAGTAAGGTTGCAGGATACAAGATCAACATACAGAAATGAGTAGTGTTTTTATATATTAATAATGAACTATCCAAAAATGAAATTAAGAAAGCAATTCCATTTACAAGCACAACAACAACACAAAATACTTAAGTGTAAATTTAATCAAGGGGTAAAAGACTATATAGAGAAAACTACAAAACACTGATGAAATAATTGCAGAAAATACAAGTAAATGGGATGCTATGCTCATGAACTGTAAAACAACACTATTGTTAAAATAATCATACTACACAAAGTGATCTACAGATTCAATGCAATCCCTATCAAAATGGCAATGTCATTTTTCACAGAAAGAGAAAAAGATAATCCTTAAGATTATATGGAACCACAAAAGACCCTCAATAGCCAAAACAATCTTGAGCACTAAGAAAAAGGCTGAAGGCATCACACTCCCTGTGTTCAAAATATGTTATAAAGCTATTGCAAATAAAATGGCATGGTACTGGCATAAAAACAGATGCATTGACCAACGGAACAGGCTAGACTGCCAGAAATAAACCCGTACATTTATGGTCAACTGATTTTCAACAAAGGTGCTAATAACACACAATGAAGAAAAAGCAGCATCTTTAATAAATGGTGGTGGCAAACTGGATATTCACATGCAGAAGAATGAAACTTGACCCTTATCTCACACCATATACAAAAACAACTCAAAATGAATTAAAGACTTATATATACGAGTTGAAACTAAAACTGCTGGAGGAAGATAGGGGAAAGGTCTATGACACTGGTCTGGACAGTAATTTTTTGAATATAACTCTGAAAGCACAGGCAGCAAAAGCAAAAATAGACAAATGGGATGACATCAAACAATAGAGCTTCTGCACAGCAAAGGAAACAATCAACAGAGTGAAGAGACAACCTAAAGAGTGAGAGAAAATATTTGCAAGCTATACATCTGATAAGAGGTTAATATCCAAAATACACAAGGAACACAAACAATATCAAGAAAGCATAGCTCAATTAAAAAAAAAAACAAAGGACCTGAATAGACATTTCTTAAAAGACGATATACATATGACCAACAGGTATATGAAGAATGATCAAACAACTAACCATCAGAGAAAGGCCAGTTAAAATCACAATGAGATATTACCTCACATCTGTTAGAATGGTTATTATTAAAAAAAAAAAAAGAAAGCTAACAAGTATTGGTGAGAATGCAGAGAAAAAGGAACCCCTGTACACTGTTGATGGGAATACAAATTAGTATAGCTACTATGGAAAACAGTGGAAGTTCCTCCAAAAAATTAAAAATAGAACTATCATATGATCCAGCAATCTCACTTCTGGGTATATAATCCAAAGGAGTGGAAATCAGTATGCTGAAGGGATATCTGCACTCCTCTGTTCACTCCAGCATTATTCATAATAGCCATGATAGGAAATCAACCTAGGTGTCCATCAATGAATGAGTGGATGAAGAAACTGTGGTACATACACACACACACACACACACACACACACACACACACACACACACACAGTGGAATACTATTCAGCCTTAAAAAGGACATCCTATCGTTTGCTATAACATGGATAAACCAAGAGGACACTATGCTAAATGAAATAAACCGGGCACAGTAAGACAAGTGCTGCATGATCTCATTTATATATGGAATCTTAAAAAGTTGAACTCATAGAAGTAGAAAGTACAATGATGGTTACCAGAGGCTGGGGTTGAGAGTGGAGGAGTGAGGGAATGACGAGCTGTTGGTCAAAGGGTACAAAATTTCAATTAGACAAAAGGAGTGAGTTTTTTTTTTTTTTTTAATACTTTAAGTTCTAGGGTACATGTGCACAGCCTGCAGGTTTGTTACATATGTATACATGTGCCGTGTTGGTTTGCTGCACCCATTAACTTGTCATTTACATTAGGTATTTTTCCTGATGCTATCCCTCCCCCATCCCCCCACCCCACGACAGGCCCTGGTGTGTGATGTTCCCCCACCGTGTCCAAGTGTTCTCACTGTTCAGTTCCCACCTATGAGTGAGAACATGTGGTGTTTGGTTTTCTGTCCTTGTGATAGTTTTCTCAGAATGATGGTTTCCAGCTTCATCCATGTTGCTATGAAGGACATGAACTCATCAAAAGGAGTAAGTTTTAAGATCTATTGCACAACAGGGTAACTATAGTCAATAATAATGTGTTATATACTTCAGAATAACTAAGAGTAAATTTCAAATGTCTCATCACAAAAAATGATAAGTTGGTGAGGTGATGACAATGTTAATTAGCTTGATTTAATCATTTCACATTGTATAGCTGTATCAAAACATAACTTTGTACCCCAGAGGCTTATAAATTACAGTTTGTTAATTAATATTAATAAAAAGCATAAATATAAGAGCTAGAACAATATAAATCTTAGAGGAAAATACAGGGGCAAATCTTTATGACCTTGGCTTTGGCAATGGCCAAATGCAAGTAACAAAATAAAAGACAGATAAATGGGACTTCATGGAAATTAAAAACTTTTGTGCATCAAAGGTCATTATCAAGGAAATGAAAAGACAACTACAAAATGGGAGAAAATATTTGCAAATCATATCTGATAAAGGTCTAGTATCCAGAATATATAAAGAACACCTACAACTCAAAAGCAAAAAAACAAACAACTTGATTAAAAAATGGGCAAAGGACTTCAATAGACCCTTATTCAAAGAAAATACACAATAGCCAAAAAGCACATGAAGATAATCAGTATCATTAGTCATTAGGGAAATGCAAATCAAAACTACCATGAGATAGCACTTCACACATACTAGGATGGCTATTAAAAAAACCCCAAAACCAAAATAACTCAGAAAATAAGTGTTGGAGAGGATATGGAGAAACTGGAACTCTTGCACATTACTTGGTGAGATGTAAAATGGTGCAGCCACTGTTCCTTGGTAAGTTAGACACAGAATTATCTCATCACTCACCAATTCCATTCCTAAGAATATACCCAAATGAATGGAAAATGGACTCAGACAGATACCAGTACAATATCCCTAGCTGCGTTATTCACAAAAGCCAAAAGTAGAAACGACCCAAATGTCCACCAACTGACAAATGTGTAAGCAAATGTGGTCTATGCATACAATGGAGAATTATTCAGCCATATAAAGAAATATGGTACAGATGGATACATACTTCAGGGATAAAGACTGAAAATATTATGCTAAGTGAAAGAAGCCCAACCTCAAAGGCTGTGTATTACATGATTATATGAAATGTCCAAAATAGGCAAATATGTAAAGACTGAAAACAGGCTCGTGTTTGCCAGGGGCTGTAGGGCAGGGAGGTGGGGGAAAGGAAGTGGGAAGGACTGCGTCACACATATGGGGTTCCCTTTTGGGGAGATGAAAATATTCTGGAACTAGGTAGTGGTAATGGTTATACAACACTGTGACTCTACCAACTGCCATGTATGGCAAACTATAAAATAGTAAATGTTATGCTATGTGCATTTTATCACATTTTTTTGAGAAAGAAAATTGAATTAAAAAAAGGTGGATTGGGTGCCAAATCAAGGTCAGTTCCCTCCTATCACATGAGCTGTTGGTAATGATGCCATTTTTACAGTTTATTTTTCCCATGGTGGGGGGTATTGGCATTAAAGTACTTAATTTTTTTTTTTTTTTTTTTGGCTCTGTACTGGCAGAAGCAGGTATGCTAGCTGGGAACTATTGCTATGAAAGGTGTTGTGTAGACATTACTTCACCCAGAGATATGTGCAGTCTTAGTGCCTCCCCAGTAATGATGGTGAAACCCAAGCTCATACAAGTCCTTACAAAAGGCTCTTTTTAGAAGCTGACAAATCCTAGAGAAGGTGTTATGCTCCTGCCTCAAAAAATGATCAGTCTCAGGAAGAAGTGGAGAGCTGAGTTATGATGGAGAAAAATAAACTCTTGTGTCCACATTTCTGTTAGAAAGCTATTCCTGCAAAAATCACACATGCATAACTGCCAAAGAGCGGGAGTGTGGAGTACACAGCAAATAACTCCAAATCTGAATTTTAGATCTTGTCAATAGTTACAACTGACCGGAATCACAGCTGACACTACAACAAAGCCAAAAACAAGTAGGTAATTTTAGAAACTTATTTTTAAATTAGCTACTGGGCAGTCTGCAAAACACAGATGTGACAGGCCCTCAAGAAAAAAAGCTGGTCCCCAGTTCCCTGTCCTTCAGGGAAGGCCAAACATCTACCAATCCACCAGGCTGTTAACATTCTAACCTGCTTTATTAGAGAATGATATTTCATAGCCACAATTGGCAACTTATTTTACTCATTATCATTAGGAAATGAAAACCTTCGGGGCTCAAGTGTATTCCAGACCTACCTAGACCTTTGTTTTATCTAAAACTTTACCTTAGTTAAAGACACTTATGTAATGAAGGAAAATCACAAGAATAAAACAAAAACAAAATCGGTTTTCCAGCCTAAAACTTCAATAAGAGTTATATTTATTTTATATACCACGGAACTACGAGCCCTCCAGAAATTCCATTCTGTTAGATGGTAGTAGATGATTCTCCTTTCCCCTTTCTGCCAATCCATATGCATCTTCTTTTTAAAAACATGACCTCTTGACCTCCCATTAATTCAGCATTTGTACTGCGCCTACTGTGTGTGAGACCCAATGTTGGAAACAAAGTTACCCAAGACACAGCCTCTGCCCTCATGAACTCACAGTCTTTAAGGTGACCTCGCCGTGCAGACACTTACCATGCTATAAGGTGATGATGCCCTTACAGAGATTGTGCTAGGCTCAGGAGAGGTGACGTGGAGGAGTGAAGAACTTGGAGCAGGGCAGAGAGAATCAGCACTGAAGCTGGGTCCTGAACAATGGATGGCCCTTTGCTGACCATCCAGATGCAAACACAGGAGGAGAAAAAGGTTCAGCAGGAACAGCAATGAATCCAGTTTCAGATGTGGGGCCTGTGAGCGCCTCTGAGGTGTTCAGAAGACAGGGGACCAGAGAGAGGTCAAAGCTGAGATGCAACTTTGGACTCAGCTTGTAGAAACCCATGGAGAGCTGGTAGACTGAGAAGCAGCACTGTGCCTAGTGATCCCTGGAAAACACCAGCACACCATCTGTGTGTTCAACTAGAGGGTTCATTCAGCCGGAACCAAGTCTTACACTTTTTGTTATGTTTTTCACAGTACCTATCCTGGGCTGAAAACAGAGGACACGGTTCAATATGTAAAATTGCATGTGTGCTTTGTATTAACTGATTTGTGGTGCGACTCTCTTCTTATGTTGTGTCTCCACAACTCAATCCTTCACCATTTGTCTCGTGTCTATCCATAACGCCCAGCATTGAGCTCAGGACACAGTAGGTTTTCCAATAGTGGCCAAGGTAAATTCCTCTGTATTATTCTTTTAAAATGCCAGAATATGGACATTGTCCCTATTCTCTTCCAGAGAGAAAAGCTCACTCCAAATTCCAGAAGATATTGTGAGCAGTGTTTGTGGATTTATAGAGATGAAACATTGTAATTTTTTAAGAATTCAGGTTACATGGGACAGTTTGGGGGACATTCTGGCTGAAGACACCATAGGGTTCAAGGTTAACTAACCCTAATACAAATTCCGTTCCAAAAATAAACAACAGATTCCTCCAGTCCTCCCTGGACCCAACTTTCCTCTAATAATAAAAACTGGGCACTGGAGAGAAGAGAGGCTTGTAGCAGCACAGTGCTTGATTTCCTCTGTCCCAGACAAGGTTTTCCCAGTAGAGGCAGAGGACGATTCTGAATGTCCACAGGCATGAACAAAGAAGCCTACCTAGCAAATGCCTTTTCTCTCCAGACAAAGGAACAGGAAAGGGGCAGCCTAGCAAGACAGAAAACTTTCAGGCCTGAAGTACTCATCTGCAGCCAGATACCCCAGAGAAAAAGGTGGCCCCCTCACCCCCAACCCATGCCAGCAAAGACCTAGTGGTGCTCTTAGACTTCTTCCCTTAGGAGACTGTTATGAGGCTCTCCAACACCCTTATGGGGAGGTGAAAAAGAAGACCAAGCAGGGATCCTTGACTTTCATCCCTGCCAGCCAATAAGGACCCCTCCCTTCTGGGATGTCAGCAGAGATCACTTCGGATGACTAGACTTCCATCCCCAACCCAGTGAAATGTGAAGGCATCCTTTTCCCTCTTCACTGGGTGATGTCAGAAAAGGTCTTATGGAGAATCAGGACCCCTGCACCTGGAGAGCAGGAGCTCCCATCCCTACCCTGAAGACATAAACAGAGGCCATTAGTGAATCTGGATTACCTCTACCCGGCAGGAGCCAGGCTGCCATGAAATCCAGAGTCCATAGCATAATAGCCAAAATGTCCAGGTTTCATTTGAAAATCACTTATTTTACCATAAACCAGGAAGATCTCAAACAGGGAGAAAAATAAAAATGATCAATAGATGCTAACACCAAGACGTCAGAAACAGTGGAATTGTCTGACAAAGATTTTAAAGTAGCCATGGTAAAAATGTTTCAATAAGTAATTATGAACACACTTAAAAGAAAAAAAATAGAAAGCCGCAGCCAAGAAATATAAGACTTAAAAGAACAAATAGGAAATTTCAGAACGGAAAAATATAACAACTGAAATAAAAACCTCAGTGGATGGGCTCAACAGCAGAATGCAGGGGACAGAGGAAATCGTTAGTGAACTGAAAAATAGAACAGTAGAAATTACCCAGTCTGAGTAATAGAGACAAAATAGACTATAAAAATTAACAGAGCCTTGGGAGCCTGTAAGAATATAATAGAAGATCTAACATTCACGTCTTCAGAGTCTCAGAAAAAGAGGAGAAATACGGCAGGGCTAAAAGAGCACTCAGAAATAGTGGCTGAAAATGTCCCAATTTTGATGAACAATATAAACTTACAGAGCAATTCTAAAGAGGATAAACTCAAAGAAATCCACAACAAGACAGATTTTAATTACACTGCCAAAAACCAACGACAAAGATTCCAAAGGCAGCCAAAGAGAAATGACACCAATAGAGGAAAACCACGTAGGTTGACAGTGGATTTCTCATCAGAAACCACTGAGGCCAGAGCAACTGGCACAACATTTTTCAGGTGCTGAAAGAACAGAACTGTCAACCCAGTGAAAATATCTTTCAGGAATGAAAAAGAAATCTCTTGAATGGAAGGAAAACTAAGAAAATTTGTCACCACCAGAACGATCTTACAGGAATAGCTAAAGAAAGTCCTATAAGGTGGGGGCACGGTGGCTCACACCTGTAATCCCAGCACTTTGGGAGGCCAAGGCAGGAGGATCACTTGAGGTCAGGAGTTCAAGAACAGTCTGGCCAACATGGTGAAACCCTGTCTCTACTAAAAATACAAAGATGGGCTGGGCATGGTGGCTCACGCCTGTAATCCCAGCATTTTGGGAGGCCGAGGTGGGAGGATCATCTGAGGTCAGGAGTTCGAGACCAGCCTGGCTAATGTGGTGAAACCTTGTCTCTACTAAAAATACAAAAATTAGCCAGGTGTGTTGGCAGGTGCCTATAATCCCAGCTACTTGGGAGGCTGAGGCAGAAGAAATGCTTGAACCCAGGAGGTAGAGGTTGCGGTGAGCTGAGATTGTGCCACTGCACTCCAGCCTGGGCAACAGAGTGAGACTCCGTCTCAAAAAAAAATTAGCCAGGCATGGTGGTGCACACCTGTAATACCAGCTACTTAGGAGGCTGAGGCAGGAGAATTGCTTGAACGCCAGAGTGCGGAGGTTGCAGTGAGCTGAGATCACACCGCCACACTCTAGCCTGGGCAACAGAGTAAGACTCCATCTCAAAAAATAAAAAATAATAATAAGAAAGTTCTATAAACAAAAAGGAAATGATAAAAGAAGAAATCTTGGAACATAAAAAAGAAAGAATATAGTAAGCAAAATATGAGTAAATACAAGAAGCTTTTCTTTTGCTCTTGATTTCTCCAAATTATGTTTGATGAGTTAAAGTGAAAATTATACATGGTCTGATATGGTTTTAAATGTATGTAGAGCTAGGTGT
This sequence comes from Homo sapiens, assembly GCF_000001405.40. Taxonomy (NCBI): domain Eukaryota; kingdom Metazoa; phylum Chordata; class Mammalia; order Primates; family Hominidae; genus Homo; species Homo sapiens. The sequence goes on along the minus strand of NC_000013.11, from coordinate 25,996,323 downwards.
GATGGCTCAAAAAGGTAAAATGGCAGACATATGCCCCAACATATCAGCAATAAATTAAATATAAATGGTATAAATATGCCAATTAAAAGATACAGAATGACATGGTGAATTTAAAAACATGAGCCAATTACATACTGCCTTTTAGAAGCTAGCTTCAAATATAATGATATAGGCAGATAGAAAATGATGGAAAAGATACATCATGCAAACATTAATCAAAATAAAACCTAAGTAACTATATTAATATTAGATAAAGTGGTCTTTAGAGCAAAGTAACTTACTGGAGAAAATGAAGGACATTATGCAATGACAAAAGGATCAATCCATTCAGAATACATAGCAATCCTGAATGTCTATGCACCAAGTAACAGAGCTGCAAAATATGTGAAGCTAAAACTGATAGAACTGAAATAAGAAATAGACTAATTCACAATTATAGTTGAATTTTTCAATATCCCTCATTCAACAATGGATAGTACAAATGGAAAATCATCAATAAAATTTAAAGAACTGCCAAACGCCATCAACCAACAGGATATATTCATGCCACACTCTACCTAATAACAACAGAATGCACATTCTTTCCATGTGCACATGGAATATATAACAAGAAATAGAATATTCTGGGCCATAAAACAAACTTCAACACACTTAAAAGTTATACACAATACATGCTACAAACACAATGGAATCAAACTAGAAATAAATAAAAAAGATAACAGAAAAATCTTCAAACACTTGGAAATTAATAACACACTTCCAAATAATAAAGGATAAAGAAAAAGCCTTAAGACAAATAAAAAATTACTGAATTAAATGAAAAAGAAAATACATTACAATTTGTGGTACATGGTTAAAACAGTGCTGTGAGGGAAATTCATAGCAGTTAATCTATATATTAAAAAAAATTAAAGAATTCCAAGTTCTCACATGAAGAAACTAGAAAAGAAGAGCAAAATAAACCCAAAGCAAGCAGAAGGAAGGAAATCATTAAGAATAAAAACTGATAGGTTAAAAACAGAGAAACAATAAAAAAGCTCTTTATTGAGCTTCTTATTTGAAAAGAACAATAAAATTAACAAACTTCTAGCAATACTTACAAAGAAAAAAAAAAGAGAAGACACACATTACCAATATTAGGAATTAAGTGAGATATTACTCAAACCTTGCAAATATCAAAAAGATAATTGTAGGATACCAGAAACAATTCTACACATGTGTTTGACAAACCAGATGAAATGGACCAATTCCTTGAAAAACAAAGACTACCAAAATTCACACAATTTGAAATAATTTTAATAGCTCTCTAAATATTAAGGAAATTGAATTTATATGGCCTCACTGGAGAATTTTACCAAAAGTTTAAAGAAGACTTACCACCAGTTCTACATAATCTCTTCCAGAAAACAGAAAAGGAAAAGACACTTCCCAATTTATTTATGAAGCTACTATTATACTATACCAGTCCATACAAAGACATTACAAAAAAAGAAAGCCCCAGTCCAATGTACCTTACAAACATAGATGCAAAAAAACCTGACATTAGTAAGTGCAATTCATCAACATATAACAAGAATTACACAACACAATCAAGTGGAGATTACAGAGATACAAGGATGGTTCAATATTCAGAAATCAATGTAATCTACCATGTTAACAGGCTAAAGAGAAAAAAAACACACTCATATTGGTTCATGCAGATAAAGCATTTTACAAAATTCAACACCCATTCATGAGTTAAAAACAAACAAAAAATCTCTTAGCAAATTAAGAAAAGAACTCCCCCAACTTGACAAAGAGCATCTACAAAAACACCTGCAGCTAGCACCACACTTTATGATAAAAAGTTGAATGATTTCTCCCAAATATTGGGAACAAGGCAAGGATGACCATTTTCACCACTTTTATTCAACACTGTGCTAGAAGTTCTAGCTAGTGCAATAACACAAGAAAAGGAAATAAAAAATACAGGGACCAGAAAGGAAGTAATAAAATTGTAGCTATTTGCAGATGACATAATTGTCTGGAAAATCCCAAGAAATACATATATATGCACACATAAATATGTATATATATATATTTATGTATAGATATAAAACTCCTAGTACTAATAAGTCAGTTCATCAAAGTACATGATGTAAGATCAACATACAAAAATCAGTTGTATTTCTATGTATTATCAATGAACACACAGATGCTAAAATTTAAAATACAATGCAATTTGGGATCGTTCAAAAATATATGAAATACTGAGGCGCAAACAGAGCAAAACATTTACAAAACTTGTGTGCTAAAAGCTACACAATGCTGATGAAAGAAATCAAAGAAAATCTAAACAAATGGAGAGACTTACCATTTTCATGGATTGGAAAACACAGCATAGTAAAGACGTTAATTCTCCAAATTGATATACAGATTTAAAGCAATTCCTGTCAAAATCTCAACCATTTTTTGTCGTTACAGATGAGACCATTCCAAAAAGTATATACGGAAAGGTAAAAGAACAATTGTTAAAATTTTGGAAAAGAAGAATGAAATGGAAGAAATCAGTGTATCTGATTTCAAGACTTATGATATAATTACAATAATCAAGACAGTGTGGCATTCATAAAGAAATAAACAGATAAATAGACTAGAAGACAGAAACAAAAAACAGGCTCACATAAACATACCCATCTGATTTTTGACAAAGGTGCAAAAGCAATTCAGTGGAAGAAAGCCTTTTTGACAAATGGTGCTGGAACAACTATATATGCACAGAAAAAAAGAACTTTGATCTAAATCTCATACCTTACACAAAAATTAACTCAGCATACATACTTGAAAGTAAAATATAAAACTATACAACTTTTGCAAACAGAGACAATTTGACTTCCTCTTTTCCTAATTGAATACCCTTTATTTCCTTCTCCTGCCTAATTGCCCTGGCCAGAACTTCCAACACTATGTTGAATAGGAGTGGTGAGAGAGGGCAACCCTGTCTTGTGCCAGTTTTCAAAGGGAATGCTTCCAGTTTTTGCCCATTCAGTATGATATTGGCTGTGGGTTTGTCATAGCAGTGTGGCGATTCCTCAGGGATCTAGAACTAGAAATACCATTTGACCCAGCCATCCCATTACTGGGTATATACCCAAATGACTATAAATCATGCTGCTATAAAGACACATGCACACGTATGTTTATTGAGGCATTATTCACAATAGCAAAGACTTGGAACCAACCCAAATGTCCAACAATGATAGACTGGATTAAGAAAATGTGGGACATATACACCATGGAATACTATGCAGCCATAAAAAATGATGAGTTCATGTCCTTTGTAGGGACATGGATGAAATTGGAAATCATCATTCTCAGTAAACTATCGCAAGAACAAAAAACCAAACACCGCATATTCTCACTCATAGGTGGGAATTGAACAATGAGATCACATGGACACAGGAAGGGGAATATCACACTCTGGGGACTGTGGTGGGGTGGGGGAAGGGGGGAGGGATAGCATTGGGAGATATACCTAATGCTAGATGACGAGTTAGTGGGTGCAGCGCACCAGCATGGCACATGTATACATATGTAACTAACCTGCACAATGTGCACATGTACCCTAAAACTTAAAGTATAATTAAAAAAACAAACAAAAAAAAAACTATACAACTTTTAGGAAAAAAATAGGAGAGTATCTTTGAAATCTAGGGCTAAGCAGAGTTCTCTTAGACTTGACACCAAAAGCATAATTCACAAAGAAAAATTGATATTTGGACTTCACTAAAATTAACTTTTCTTCTATGAAAGGCCCTATTAGGAGGCTGAAAGAACATGGTACAGAATGGGAGAAAATATTTGTAAGCCACATGTCTCACAAAGAACTAACATCTAGAACATATAAATAACTCTCAAAACTCAATATAAAACAAAACAAAGAATCCCATTAGAAAATGGTCAAAGGCCATGAAAAGACGTTTCACCAGAGTGACTATAGTTGGCAAATAAACACATGAAAAGATGTTCACATCATTAACCATTAGGAAAACACAGACTAAAACCACAAAGAGAGATCACTAAGCAGCAATCCCTATGGCTAAAATTAAAAAAAAAAAAAAAAAAAGGACAGCACTGAATGCTGGCAAGGATATAGAAAAACTAGATCACTCATGCATCATGATGAAAATGTAAAATGGTATGCCCACTCTGAAAAACAGCTTGGCAGTTTGTTTAAAAACCAAACATACCACAACCTTGTGAAAATACTAAAAACCACTGAATTATACACTTTAAAATGGTGAAGTTTATGTGTTTGAATTATGTCTCACACACACACAAATCAGGTAACCCTCCACTAATGTGCAGCCCAAACTGTCAACCCACAGAATCATGAGCTAAATACATGGTTGTTATTGAAAAAAAAAAAAAAACCTAAAAGTAAAACTAAATATGCATCTACTATAAACCCAGCTATTGCACTCCTGGACATTTATCCCAGAAAAATTAAGACCTAATATTGACATAAAAGCCAGTAAACAAATGTTTGTAAGAGTTTTATGTATAAGAGCAAAAACTGGAAATCCAGATCTCCTTCAACGGATGAATGGTCAAGCAACGCGTGGTACATGCATTGGGTGGAATATTACTCAGCAGTAAACAGGAAGAAACTATGGACACATGCAACAACCTGGATGAAACTCCAGAGAATTATGCTGAAAGAAAATGTCACTAACAAAAGGTTACACGTTATAAGATTCCATGTATATGCCATTCTTGAAACGACAAAATCATAGAAATGGAGAACAGTTAATGGTTGCCAGGAGTTAAGGAATGAATAGAAAGTAGGGGTACCTATAAAAGCACAATGGCGGGATGGAAAGGGTAGGGAGGAAGTGGTCCTTGTGGTGATGGGTATGTTTTGTGTTGACTGTGTCAGTGTCAGTTTCCTGGTTGTGATACTGTACTACAGTTTTGTAAGATGTTACCATTTAAGGAAACTGAGTAAAGGGTATATGCGAGCTTTCTATTATTTTTTACAACTGCCTATGAAGCCACAATTATCTCCAAATAAAAAGTTTAAATTAAAAAAGTCAGTCTGTCTCTTCCCTTCTATTCCCTTTTATTTCATGTTTTTCTGCAGTTATCCTTTTGTGAACAGTGCTAAGCAATGCTATCTCGCCAAGCTTCCTTTAAAGCGGGTGGGGAGACTTCCTCCTGTATCTCCTGCAGGCACACTACCCGAGGGAGAGGCTGTCCACCTCAGGCAGAGCCGTTCTGACCTCATTAGCTGAGCAGGCAAAGAATTTGAATGACAGCCCCAGCACATATGGAAACCATCACCTCATTCCACGACTTGCAAGGCTGAGCTCCGTGGTCCTGTCGGCAAGCCTATGAAAAGGTCAGGTTGGAGTCACGGGGCTGCTAGGAACAGATAAATTAGCAGGGCACCTGGCTGACCTGGAGAGACCCCAAGCAAAATGCCGTGCCACGGGTTGAAAAGGCCTGGGTGTCACCAAGCAAGTGAAGAATAGTCTAGGCTCTGTGCATTTACAAATAGGGGCATTTGGGAAATGGAGAAAACATACTATAGCAGTGAAGCTCTAAGTTAATCACAAAGATGCAGCTTTATAAGCAGAAAGTTCTGTTAAAATTCTATATCCACAAACAGGACCATGCTGCTTACCTACTCAGAATCATACAATAAACGCAAGGACCCTGGCTTCCTCTCAACGCTATTTCCTACTGTGCTTCCCTCCCTCCCTCTGCCCCAGCTGGCCACATGGCCATCCTTGCAAGTTCCTGGATCACTCTGGTTTCCCACCTCAGGGCCTTTGCATATGCTTTCCCTTGGCCTGGGATGTTCTTCCCGTGGACAAGTCTCTCTCCCTCAGTTCACTCAGACCAGACTTCCCAGACCAGCTTCCCAGAAACCCTCCCCTCATCACTGTCTGCACCCACATCTAGCTTGGTTTTCCATGCCACACTTTTCACGACATAGTTTGTGTGTACTGTCTGTGTTCCTCATTAGAATGTAAGTTCTATGAGGGCAGGAATTTTGCTTTTTTTTTTTTTTTTTTTTTACAGTTACATGCTTGGCACCCAAAACAGTGCCTGGTGCACAGTGGATGCTCAAAAACTATTTGTTGAAGGACTGAAGAAGTGAAGCGATGAAAGAGTCAATGTAGGCTGGGCCAACGTATAAACGCAAAGACAAAGATGGAAATGGCAAGGCCACAAGGCCTTTCTCCTGCCAGAGGCTCCTGGGAGCACCTCCCTGAAACCATGTCTGAGATTCTGCTTCTTCCTGGAAGGGGAAGGGAGGCGCTGGCCTGCTGACTTTCTAAAACCCGCTCTAAGGGAGGTGCTTTGTTAAAAACACAATCTCCAGGGCCAAAGGATTACCAAGGCTACATCCTAACTTTGCCAAAGAACAGTGGATACTTTGCAGACAGAGGCACAATGTGGCTGAGAGTTACTGTCCTGTTGAGTGGAAATCATGACTTTAGCCAAAGTTCACCCTTCCGGGAAGCATGAGAACAATGGCCACGTTGAAGGAACAAGTAGGTGGAAGTGAGGAGGAAGGAAAGAAATGGAGGGTGGGAAGGATCCTTATAAAAAGGTAAATATAGATCAACTTTAAAGTGTCTGGTGGTCACTGAAAATAAATAGAGGAGAGAATGAGCATAAGGTGCTAGAAAAAAAGAAAAGGAAATGTCAGCCAGGCATTAAGGAGAGTTTCTGAAGCAAGGCTTTGGGCTGGAATATAATTTCCCAAAGTTGGTAGCTTTATCATGTACAATACTGAAAATTAAATGTGACTGGACAAAGCACCTAAGATGTCAAGACATGGAGTAGAGACCTAATAATATTTTTTAATCAACTAATTATTTGAATGTGAACTTATCCTTGTATGAAAAATAAAATAAATGTGCTAATTGGAGCTTAGGAAGATTTGGATCCAGTTTGAATCATTGATATCTCTGATATGACTGTGATGCACTTTTAAAACTGCAAACTTTCTGGGCTCATTCAGCTGCAAATTAATTGCAATAAAAATAACCTTCCCCATACTCGTCTCTCCTCTTTCCCTAACACTTTCTTCAATGCACACAGGGTCTAGGTCTGGACAATAAACATCCAACTTTACAAATTCAAATAAGCATCCAAACAAACAGAATAATTCAAAGCTGGCTGCAGGGACCCCCTGACTGAATTGTTGAAGTAATTAAAGAAAGATGAGCTTCACCACCGATTAACCTCCTAAACACTAATTAAAGATAATGAGGGTTCAAGGTGCTTGGCACAGGCTGACCTCCATGTCCTGCCAGAGTTCACAAACAGGCTGACGGCCCGTGCAAGACTCACAAAGAGGAAAAGAATAAAGTGGATGCAGGTGCCTGCTTCATGCTGTCTCTCTGGGAAAACACACTGCCCAATCAGTGGAGAATATAATAACTCCCTCCATAAGAATTGCAAATAGAACAATCTCCAGATCTCAGCCTAGGGTATTTGTTTCTTGGACTTCAGACGGTGGGTGAGTCACTCAAAGTTCAGCCCAGCCCATGGAGACAGGCAGAGGACTTTGAGAAATTATTTTTTAACTATAGCTCTTTATTCCTTTCTTGAGCTACTTGGAGTCCTTTTGGAAATAAGGTGGGGTGTGGGTAAATAAGCTGTCACAAAGGGGTGAATGAATTAGCAGTCCTGGGCACTTTGGAATCTAGCCCTGCCACAGCAAACGGGTGGAAGTATTTTCCTGTGATCCTTCTCCCACTTCATCCCACATGGAGGGAGGCAGTATTAGCAATTAAGTCCTGGGTAGATGCAGAAAAGGCCATAGAAAAAAAGTAATGTGTGTGCAGCTGAGTTCCCCTCCCTTTTCCAGTGCATGCATTTTAACTGGGATGTGGCATGGGACCTAGACTTTCCCACATGTCATCATTATGGTATTGTAGGTTGGAGGCTGAGCTGGATGCATGAGAAAGCATATGGCTGCCATCCTCATTACCAGAGAGTTGGGGGCCTTTCACCATCTGCCTGTGCAGGTGCTGGTGCCCAGCGTCTTCGCACTCACAGCGAAGATGCCATCTGAGCCACGTGATGCTGCAGGACCAGACAGGGACCCCAGCGGCTGAGGCTGGCATGCATGCTCAGCTGGACCTGGACATGCAAGTGTTTCAGGTGGACCCTTCTCAGTCACCAACCTGTGACAAGTCTCCATGAACTGGCTGAGCCGCTTTGTAGCTGGAGCTAAAATTTCATTTTCTGTAAACCTGTATAGATACTTACGACTTTGTTTCTTGTGGCGAAGCAGTTGGGCTAAATATATGAAAACTTCTCTTGAAAAATACTGCATCATCCAAAGTAAATCAACTATCCCATAGCCTTTAGCCAAAGGTGAATGTAACTAATGGATCTGCAAATCAGCCACACGAAGAAATCCAAGGGTGCAGCCATTTTTCAAGGGAGGCCACACCTGGGAAAAAGTTCTTTGTGGAACAAGCAGGACACATCCCATGGTGCCTTTTTTATTGTTAGTTGTGTTACTGTTAAGATTTAAGGTAAATGGAAAGGAAAATTAGCATTCAGTTATCTGGTGTTATGCGAAGGCTGTCCAGATCAAGAACCAGGCCTATCACCTGTGTTGCTGTGGGTTAAGAAACATGACCCCACCCCTGCATGGCTGGTGGCTACAGGTGGTCTTGGCAACATCTTGGATCCTCTCTGGGCCTTATGTTAAAAGAGGAGGCTTCACAGTGGTGACGGGGAGTGAGGCAACAGCATGCTGACTTTGCCAGTGTCTTTCTTCATTGCTTCAGTGCAGGGTTTACTTAAAACTGATCAGCACATGGACAGACAATGCCAAATGGTCCTTCACAGGTCAAGAACCTTGCCATCTTCCAGGTGGAACAGCTGCTAAACCTTCCCAGTATTTCTGGCAAACCCTTTCTTTTAAAACTTCAAAATAAGATGACTGGCTGCATTGTTGCTTGTTGGCATTTTCCAGTTGGAAGAACAGCTCTTATTGAAAAGCCTCACCTGGGCTCCACAAAGTGAGGCTGTCCTGACTAATTTGGCTAAATTACCTTACTCTTGGTACCTCACAGTCAGTGAAAAGATTTACGGCAACCAATGATGGGAGGCTGCTATGAAAGACATGGTAAAATATAACAACATACAGGGCGCAGGAGTGGGAAACTACATTTCCCCGTCCTTTCCCAGTGGAAAAAAACAACCAACAAACATTTGGGCTATGAGTTTTTTAAAGAATGAGCTGAATGTTTAAAATTAATTATTTACATATTATTACTTGGCCTATCTCTAGATCATCTGTAAAAATTATGAAATAAAAGCTTAAAACCACTATTTATCTCCAGTGTTTGATCACTGTAGTTCCTCCTGAATGGATAAACAGTACAGAGAGTGCTGAAATCTAGGAATAAGGTGCACTTCTGCCTCTGGGAAGCAATGTTATTTTTCTAAGGTAAAGAATGGTCCTTATTCTTTACAGTATTGGTGGAAATGTAAAATGGTGTAGCCATTATGGAAAACAGTATGGAGGTTCCTCAAAAAATTCAAAAATAGAGAATAAGCATATGACTCAGCAATCCTAGTCCCGGGTATATACATCCAGAGGGGACAACATCAGTATGTTGAAGAGACATCCGCACTGCCATGTTCACTGCAGCATTATTTACAATAACCAAGATATGGAATCAACCTACGTGTCCATCAACAGAGGAATGAATAAAGAAAATGTGGTACATATACACAATGGAATACTATTCAGCCATAAAACAGGAAATCTTGCCATTGGTGACAACATGGACGAACCTGGAAGACTTCACATTAGGTGAAATAAGCCAGGCACAGAAAGACAAACACTGCATGATCTGACTTGTATGTGAAATCCATAAAAAGTCAAACTCACAAACAAAGAGAAGAAGGGTGGTTACCCGGGGTCAAGAAGTGAGAAAAATAGTAAGAAGTTAGCCAAAGGTATAACCTTTCAGTTTTAAGATGAGTAAGTTCTGGAGAGCTAATGTATAGCATGATGATTATAGTTAATAATAATGTATTGTATACTTGAAATGTGCTGAGAGTAGATCTTCAGTGTTCTCACCACACACACAAGGGTAACTGTGAAGTGATGGATATGTATTTAGCTTGATTGTGGCAATCATCTCCCAATCTATACGTCTATCAAACCATCTGTTGTACACCTTGAATACATACAATTTTTATTTGTCAATTATACCTCAATGAAGCTGAAGAGAAAAAAAAAGAATGACAGTCCTCAGTGGGTTAGTGAATCCTCCAAAAACTGAATGCAAAATTAACACACAGGGATATAGCACGTGGCTTTCATGAAATTCTCAGAGGCCTGAAGGAGACATGTGAATATTCTCTCCAACATCCATTTCTTCCCTCACTGCTGAAGAGCATGGATAGTCACAGTGATACCCCCACCCCAATCTTCCTACATGGACAGGTTTTGGTAATCCAAGTCTAAACCAACCCACCATGGTATTTCCTGGACTGTAGGGATTGGCTCAGGGTGGTTCCAGCATGGTGAACAGTAACTTCGGTCAATTGGTTGTCAAGGGCAAACACACCCTCTCCACTGGTGAACAAGGATGCCCATAGTCCCCATTACTTTGGGTCACCTCCCTGTTATTTCCACAGGGGCCATGGGCCCGACTCAGTATAAAGCACTGGGGGCAAAGTGAAAAGATGGAAAGAGACTGGTGGGTCTCTGATGACATTCTGGCTGGGGATTGATCGACCATGACTGCCCCCCAGCGGGACGTTCAAATTAAACAAGCTAGGTGCTTCTCTAATCCTGAAGATCAGTTTGAAGTGAGGTCTCTGGTATCGGCAACTGAAAGCATCTTCTACTGACATAAGAGTTCTTTAAGAACCACTGGCCCAAGGAAAGACTTTAAGGAACCATGAGTATATGCGTGGGGTGACAGCAGAGAGAATGAACTGAAAGGATATGAAGAAGAAAGAAAGAACTTGGCTATTTAATTTTGGCCTTCTGACCTTGAGATATACACCTAGTGGTTATTTTTTTGTGTGCTTTTTGGATGTAGTTGATAATAGTAATTTTAGTTCTATTCTCTTTTCCATTCTTGTAACCAGCATACACTATTTCTACTAAATAAACAGCTACCCAGTAGGTCTTGTATGACAAACCACGTTCTCCGCATTAGCAGTGCCCTGGGGATGGAGGGTACTTTATGGTCAGCCCAATGCAATGTCATTCTAAATTTGCACATTTGGTTCCTTCGTTCTTACGTGTAAGGCGGTTGTTAAACTACAGCTTTTCATTTCTCCTCAAAAGGGTGTGTGTGAGGCCACTGTAAGAAAACGTTTCTCTAATGTAAGTTGTTCTAGAGTGGGGGTGAGAGGTGACTTTCCAAACAATCTCAAATGAAGTATGTGTGTCCTAACACAGCCCTGCATGAGAGAGGAATCCTGGTGACACATTCCTTTGTTTCTGTTTGTTTCTGCGTGATCATGCTGCCGAGATCTTGATAAATTCTCTACTCACAGGATCTCATTCAATAACTAGTTCTCACAAGTGAGGCTTTTGATGACTCTTCGTGGCTTACAGAATACAGCCCCAACTTCATCACAGGTCTTATGATTTGGCCTTCACTTACTTATCCAACCTAACCTCTTTGTTTTTTTGTTTTGTTTCGTTTTTGTTTGTTGTTTTTGTTTGTTTTTTTTTTTTTGAGACAAAGTCTCACTCTGTCGGCAAGGCTAGAGGACACAATCTTGGTTTACTGCAACCTCTACCTCCCGGGATCAAGCGATTCTCGTGCCTTAGCCTCCCAAGTAGCTGGGATTACAGGTGTGCACCACCACACTTGGCTAATTTTTGTATTTTTAGTAGAGGTGGGGTTTCACCACGTTGGCCAGGCTGGTCTCGAACTCCTGACCTCAAGCGATCCACCTGCCTTCATCTCCCAAAGTGCTGGAATTACAGGCATGAGCCACTGGGCCCAGCTCCAACCTACCCTCTTAGCACCTTTCTGGACTCTCAGCTCCCATCACACCAAACTTTTCATTACTCCTGGATAACTTTTTTTTTTTGAGACGGTTTCTTGCTCTGTCACCCAGGCTGGAGTGCAGTGGTGCGATCACAGCTCACTGCAGCCTGGAACTCCTGGGCTCAAACGATCCCCATGCCTCAGCCTCTTAAGTAGCTGGGACCACATGCACGCACCACCACACCTGGCTAATTTTTTTTAAAACTTTTGTAGTGACGGGGGTCTCGTTATGTTGCCTAGGCTGGTCTTGAACTCCTGGCCTCAAGTCTTTCTCCTGCCTCGGCCTCCCAAAGTGCTTGGATGATAGGTGTGAGCCACTGCACCCAGGCTCCAGATAACTTTTTATATCAGCTGTGTCATTCTCGTCCCCTGCTTCACTACCTGCTTGGGAATTCTAATTTTCCTTGGGCACTCTGGAATGTCACTCATCACTTTATTAAAATGTTTTTCACATTGTGTTCCCATTCTCTGTCTACTATTTGTCATCATTACCTTACTGTTTCTCTGTTTCTTCAATGCTCAGCTTGACCTCTGGCAAATCGCAAGGGTTTGATACATGCTTTTGCCTGGATTCACATCTCCATAAAGGATGACAATATTTACACCTTTAAGTTCACAACTACAAGAAAGGAACCATGCCTGGAAAGTTCTCAGAAACCCTAGTTTTATCCAAGTTGACCCCTGAAGATTAGGGAGAAAACTCACCAAGGTTCTATAAAGGAAATGTACTTTTAGAACATAATTCTCTACAACAGGATATGCCTACTCACAGGCATTTTTAAAAACTTATAATGCTACTTGCTCAGCAGGTATTATGTGCAATTTTTTTTTAAGGATTAGAATGTCAATGGTTAATGGTTTGTAGAAGACAAAACCAGGTGCATTATGTTCTGTGCTCCTCTCAGTTGGGTGAACAAAGTTTTGGGAGAACAAATTACAGACTTTACTGCTAGCTCTATTATCTGATTTTTCACTTGCTGTTGTTACTTCATTTTCTTTTGTTGTTGTTCTTCATGGTGTAAGTAAATGAAAAATGTTGCTGAATATATATCAGTTTTAGGAATGTAAAATTATTTTCTGTGGACACTATCATGAAGGCAGCACAGAAAATCAAAGCAGACACACAGAAGGTGCATCCCAGAGCCTACAAAACATTGCTAATGATGTCATAAGTTGGACTCACTCCAACAGAGCTACAAAAGAACAAAAGTCAGAAAACATAAAACCTAAACATGGTATAAACTGCTGTGTTCCAGAAAGAAGCAAATGCAAGAATAATGCATTGACACAAACCATGAAGTAAACTTGATGGAATGATGTGGTTATATCCTTTGAGAATATTACATAAAAAGGAAGAAAAAGACATCCTATATGGAACAAAAAGAACAGAGAATCTGAGGCACATAGATGAGGATGTCTGCTATGCCTAATGGAAGAATTGCCTGAAGATCCATATAAAGAAATTTATTTATCTGGAATCAAATGGTGCACTTTGTAGACATTTTTTGCAAAACAGTACAGTTACAAAGATTAATAAATTGTTTTTGAGGGCATAGGTGTATTTTCATTTCCAAATACCAAAGAAACTAAAGTGAAAAACCTTGACGCCACAGCAGAAATGTTATCTCCAGCTGGCTGCATTGCAATCACATAGTTTATGGGTCCAAGAAGCAGAGGCCAAAATGGAGCAGAAATGTGTGGCCACTGCATTTCTCTGGGTTATCAAATAAAAAAGCTCACTTGGATTTCACTTTGAAATGTCACTGTGTCTCAAATGCTCCAGTGTACAGAATATCTTTAGATGTTTGATCACAGAATACAACCAATTTGTCCGGCAACATGGCAGCAAGCTTGTGCCCCACCCAGCCCCGGTGTCTCTTTGCTTTTGAGTGCTTTCGTGTCTGCAATCTTCTGCGTCATGTGAAAAGCACTGTGCATAAATTGGGAACATGCAAAAGGAATTTGTCACAGGCGAGTCTTCAGTTTTCAACAGATTTGTGAGGATGGTGAAAAGATGATAGCTTAGACAATAAGCCCAAAGTTCCATATGACAAAAGTGTATTCAGCCAGTTCCTGTCCTCAGTTCTTTTTTAAAGAGCAAGTGCTTTCTGAATAGGTGAGACAGAGCAAGAAGGGCAAAAGGTCTGGGCAACAGATCAATGCTTTGAGAAACAAAACCACCATCATTCTAGAAATAGCTTAAGAATCTAAAATTTCTCCCATCTAAAATCTTTGAGTATTTCTGATGAACTGGCCAAAAAAATAGATATGGGAGAACTAAAAATTTTTGATTCCACTAGTAATGAAAAGTTGTATTTATCAGTAAATTCAGTGAGCACATGTACAACTCTTAAATTATACCTTTAAAATCATTAAAATTTTAAATTATTCATTTTATGTTCCTAAACTAAATGTATAATATTAAATAATTAAATGTGCCTTACTCTCTCAAAAATGTCTATTCTTACTAAAGACTTCACATTTTTTCAGGAATGTATCCATCTGTATTTTGTGACTAAATTGAAATGTAAAGTTAACACAAGCTTTTAGGATTACAGTGCTGTTTACTATTCTTTCAGCCACTCGTTTTTAAATTGCATTTTTTATACATTGAATATTTTTAAAAAATATTTAATTAGTATAAGAACATACGAATTGTTTCATATAATACATATAAAATCTTAATATATTGAAATCCAGAGATATTTTCAAGTTAACTTGCTTCTGTCAGGATCTCAGATTAAATAAAAGTTCTTATTTTTGATTTTACAAATAGGTCACTGATTAGTAATTAGTAATTGTAATTACATATTGCTATTTTTCAAACAAGCATTCTTACGTGTCCATTCACATAAAATAATACTGGCAACTAGCCTATTCTCACAAAGTGCATTACCTGATCCATGTTCCTGTCTGTGTGGAACATGTGACTGTTATATTATGTCAGTCACATAACAAGAGATCAATTATCACATGATGCTATTTTGATTTCAGAGACAGTGTGTACACAAACTGTTGGTTCCTTCTTTGTATGACTTGTATACTTAAGCAACAGTTAAATATAATCAAGAACAAAAATGAGAAAGTCTGAGGTCACAAGGCAAAGTATGAAAACACAAACTTGGCAACTAATCTTTATCCCTCAAGGCTTTTCTCAACACAACCCAAAACAAAACAAAAGTAAACTAGATATAGAGATGATATAAAGCAAACTGTCTTCCATAACACTCACTTCTAATTTTTGTCGTTTTGAAAAATCAACTCATTGCTAACGCCAATTGACTTTAGAACAATAAATGTCTTAATTTGAACACATATCATAAATTCATACTAATAAATATTTTGTGTATTTTTATATACAGTATTGAGGTTTCACTTAACTTTTTCTTTATTTTTAGAAACCAGGTCTTGCTATGTTGCCCAGGCTGGAGTGCAGTGTCTGTTCACACGCTGTAATCACGGCTCACTGCAGCCTCAAACTCCTGGACTCAGGTGATCCTCCTGCCTCAGCCTCTTGAGTAGCTGGGAATACAGGTGCATGCCACCGTGCCTGGCTAGAGATTTTACTCAATTTTTAACTTTGAGAATGGGATTCTATGGCTTTTAAGTAGTATGGTAATCACACATTCTAAAAATTTGTGTCATGTATGTCCCTTGCTTAAACTCCTCCCATGGAAATGTTTCCTGGTGGCTACAATCCAATGCCCTAGGACCCTGCTCACAAAGGCCTGTGTGATCTGGCTCCTGCTGCCTCTTAGATCTCTTAGATGACTTTGTCATGCATTTCCCAGGCACTGGTCACACCGAGCATCCCTCCCACTCCCCCTACAGGCCTTCTTATCAAATTCTGGTGCCTGGAACGTTCCTTCCCCAGATCTCCTCTTGGTTGACTGCCTGTTTAGGTCTCAGTTTAAATGTTGTCATGGCTCAGAAAATATGACCCTGAGCACTGTGAACTGAAGGAGACTGAGAAGGCCTCAGAAGCAAGAGGGTTGCTCTGATCCTCCCTACCTTTCAGTGGGAAGCACAGTCATGAAGGTGCTCACTGACCTTCCTTCCCTGAGAGGAGGCCGTAAGACCTGCGTTCCACAGTGGTCCTGCCCCACACCCAGCGGGAAGGAAGGCTGCACAAAGAGGCCCAGAGTCACAACAGACAGGTCTTGCTGAATTCCCCATGCTTGATAAATTACCCCCTTTTCTTCCAATCACATTTTTGCATGACTGTCCGTTCTTCATTGGCATAAAAATACATACGGTTTTCCCTGGGTCTTTGGATCTTCATTTCTGAAGGCTCCCATGTCACAAAAAACTTTGACAAATAAGTCTGTTACGCTTTTCTCTGATTACTCTGACTGTTGTTACAGGAGTGTCAGCCATGAGCCTTGTAATGGATGAGGAAAAGACATGACTTTTTTCTTCCCCGACAGTGTCATCTTAGGAGGCTTCCCTGACTGCTCCAGCCCAGCCATTCACTCCCCGTTATGTCCTCTGGTTCATTTTCCTCCCAGGAGCCACCACTCACTGTCTCCCACTACCAGGCGAGCTCTAAAGCAATAGGAATTCCCTCTCTCATTCTAGGCCGGAGTCTGGCCTGGCACTTCCTCCGTTTTTAATAAATGTCTGTTGCGTGGATACATAAATGACTCGCCCCACATTAGGCCAATCACTGGTTCTATTTGCTATGAGGCCAACATGTTTACTCATTAGTAACTGTGAAGTCCCAATTACCACCACCTAAGGGGCCTTGAGCCAATCCTAATTGCCAGAGAAAGAGAATAAACACTGAATAATCATATTATCACTGCCCTATTAGAAAAGGAAGACTTAACTGGGACTCACTGAATCACTAACAATCCAGGCTCTGTGACAGTCATTCACGTGTCCTGGTCTACAGAAGAATTTACTCTTAGATACACCAGCATGAGATCCATGCCAGGTTTTTTTAAACCCAAGAATAATTTTTTTTTCTGTTCCTGTTAATAGAGAAATGTTTCCAAAAATCCAATAAATCTATTGCTAAATGCAGTGATTCCTGCTACAATGACCATCTCTTGGTGATAACTTTTACATATTCTCCAAGTTCCTCTCAACCACAAGGCCAATGATGTCATTCACCCGTGACCTAACTGGACCTTGACTGGCTTTCCAAGTGCTGGCTTTACAGAACTAGTGTATACATAAATGGTGACAGAGACCACTAGTGACAGAGACTAGTCACTAGTCTAGTGACAGAGACCACGTCAGGGGCCTGGGAGGACATGCTCTGTGCTGTAGTGTGCAAAAGCAGCCATCAAATATGAATAAAAAACATCCAGCATTTCTCCTGAGGCTTTTTTTTTTGAGCCGTAGTCTCGCTCTGTCGCCCAGGCTGGAGTGCAGTGGCGCGATCTCGGCTCACTCCAAGCTCCGCCTCCCGGGTTCACGTCATTCTCCTGCCTCAGCCTCTCAAGTAGCTGGGACTACAGGCGCCCGCCACCAAGCCCGGCTAATTTTTTGTATTTTTAGTAGAGACGGGTTTTAACGTGTTTGCCAGGATGGTCTCGAATTCCTGACCTCGTGATCCGCCCGCCTCAGCCTCCCAAAATGCTGGGATTACAGGCGTGAGCCACCGCGCCCGGCCTCTCCTGAGTCTTCTTTTTGCCTGTAACAGTCCAGGACGTCCCAGGGATCCAGCAGTTCTCTCAGATGCACTACAAAGTCACTTTAACCCTGAATGCTGGGGGGCCTGGGAGTCTACACTTCTTCTCTACGCCTTTGTAAGAATTTAGGGAGAGGCTCATTGAGAAATGAACAGTAGAATCCGGTTATTCCCAGATAACATCTAAATTGTAACTCAATTTTAGGATGGGTGTACCTGCCTGTTTGTTTTCAGGCTGGAATGTCTTACTCTCAGAGATCAGTCACAGTTGGAGGTAGGCAAAACGGGAAGCCGAAGGGAAAAGCAAACAACTCACTGATAACGCAGGAGAAAAGCGATTAGCAAAGAGATCCCAGAACCTCCTGAAGAACTAATCCCCGCCTGGAATGTATAATATCACTATTCAAATTATGTGACCTATACAATGGCAATTTTTTTTTGGCAAATCTACCTTTAAATGTTTCTATTGCTGCTCAAGTGGGTTAAATAAAACTATCCTCCCCAAAAAGATTAAAATATTTCATCACTACTTAAAAAGGGATACAGTGAGCTAGCTGTCCACACTAGTTTTGTTTGGAACTGAGAATAAATTCATCAGTAAAAATGGTTCTTGAAAAAAAGTCTTGTTGGCAAATAGAGAAAGTTGACATGGAACTAATTTAAGTCATAATTCAAAAAAGGAAATGTACTCAAGTCATCCTGGAAATACAGCCTGAGGCCGTGTTACTAGCAAACCGCTAACACTGATGGTC
Organism: Homo sapiens; assembly: GCF_000001405.40. Lineage (NCBI taxonomy): Eukaryota > Metazoa > Chordata > Mammalia > Primates > Hominidae > Homo > Homo sapiens. The sequence continues at coordinate 25,977,889 of NC_000013.11, read as the reverse complement.
TCTCCACACTTACCTCCCTCCATCAAGAGGACACTTCTTCCCATTTTCTCTCCAGGCATTTTCTAAAGATGCTGCACTTCTTCATCGCAGCACTGGGCAAGTAGCTAAGCTCCTGATTAGATTTCTGATACAGCCACAGCACCGTTTTAAAGGTGAACAAGATGCTTAATAATAAATGACATCTGGTATTTAATTTAAAAATTTTCTAATTATTAAACATCGGTCCATAAGAACAATAACAACAACAACAACAACAACAGGCTCTTGGAATTCAACATTCCTAAAATAACAGAGAATCAATTATTTTTAGTTGACACAGGCAGCTTAGGCATTAACTAAATGCTAATGAGGTGTTTCACTTCCTGAAGAGTTTATTTTCCTCCTCCTCTCCTTCCTGTGCCCAGGATGCAAACAGTCACCAGAAGCCCGGCTGGGTCATGCGGGCAGCCTTTCGGTAATTTCCTGCCACATTCACTCCCTTTGTTCCACTAATGCATTTCCTCACCTGTCGCGAGTATTTGTCAGCAAGGCGAGAGCTTTAACTGGCCTTGCCTGGGAGCGTCGTTGGCTCTCCAGCTGTTCTCCTAAGAACTCTCCCCATTGTCTCAACTAAAATGTTTGCCGGCATTAGGCTTTGCCCAAGGTTCTTTGCTCTACAAGATTAAACGCATTCAATTAATTTTTTCATAGACCATACTAGGCTCCACGAAGGTGACTGTGGGTGGAAATTGGCTTCTTTAGCAAGGCTTCTCTTTCCTGAGCCATATCAAAATGTGAGCTGCGGCTGGGCACGGTGGTTCATGCCTGTAATCCTAGCACTTTAGGAGGCCGAGGGCAGGGAAGGGGGGTGGGGGTGGGGGTGGATCACAAGGTCAGGAGTTCAAGACCAGCCTGGCCAAGATGGTGAAACCCCGTCTCTACTAAAAATACAAAAATTAGCTGGGCATGGTGGCGGGTGCCTGTAATCCCAGCTACTCAGGAGGCTGAGGCAGAGAATTGCTTGAACCTGGGAGGCAGAGGTTGCAGCGAGCTGAGGTCGCACCACTGCACTCCAGCCTGGGCGATAGAGCAAGATTCTGTCTCAAAAAACAAACAAACAAACAAACAAAATGAGCCGCTTTCACACACTCTTTTCCCTTTATTTGCTCTGAATTTGTCCGCTGGTTTGGCTTCAGCATTTCTTGGGGGGAGGGTATGATTTCTCTGCTTGGTCCAAGTTCTTCCTACATGTAGGGATCTAAAAGACAACAACATGCAACTACAATTCTCTAGCTTCCTTGGATTTTGCACGCAGCTTCACCAGACAGCAGACTGTGACCCTTTTCATCAGACCATGCTAGAAGGTAAGCACCCCTCCTGGTCTCTCTGGGGGCTCCGTGGCTTTCCAGTCTCTCTAATAAAGATGTAATTGCAAATGCAAGCATTTGGGTGGCTCTCCACATCTTGGCTTGGTGGAAAGAGGCCTGAAGTAAGAAGATGCAGGTTTGCCTCTCTTTAGTTGGGTGACACTGAGCAGACGTGACTCCATCTCTCTGAGGCCTCATCGCCTTTTCTGCACATGAGGAAACTTTCATTTGCTGCATGTGGGGATCAGTGTTATGATAAAAAAATAAAGTGGAGCATAATGAATAAGTCCATGGCATTAAAAACCAGGAAGACAGGTCTCAGCATGGCGGCACATCCCTGTAATCCCAGCTACTTGGGAGGCTGAGGCAGGAAGATGGAGTGAGCCCAGAAGTCAAGCCCAGCTTGGGCAACATAATGGGACTCTGTATCTTAAAAACAAAACAAAACAAAACAAAAAAACAAGAGAAAGTTCTCCAGATTCAGAGGAACTTGAGGAACACAGAAACCAAATGCTATGTGTGAACCTTGCCCAGATCCTAACACAAATCAATCAATCCTAAAAGGCAGGGCTGAGGCATCCAGAGAGTCTTTTTATGGACGGGTTGTTTGACTGATACCAAGGAATTATTATTAACTTGTTAGATGTGATCATGGGGACTGGAGTTCTACATTTAATAACATAAACAAGCATGCTGTGTATCACAGATGTTATAAAGTCTCGTGGAATATTTAGAGATGCCTCCTAAAGCATAGGTGGACTGTCGTGATGCCTGGGATTTGCTTTATGTTTCAGGAAAGAAAGACTCTGAGCAGAAGGGGTGAGATGAAGCAGTTCTGGCCGAATCTTGATAATGATTGGACCTGGGCAATGATTTCATAAGAGCTTATTGTGCTCATCTCCCTACTACTATGTATGCTTGAATATTTGAATAATGAAAATAAAACTTCTTTTTTTTTTTTCGAGATGGAGTCTCACTCTGTCCCCCAGGCTGGAGTGCAGTGGCGCGATCTCGGCTCACCGCAAGCTCCGCCTCTCGGGTTCACGCCATTCTCCTGCCTCAGCCTCCTGAGTAGCTGGGACTACAGGTGCCCGCCACCACACCCGGCTAATTTTTTTTTTTGTATTTTTAGTAGAGACGGGATTTCACTGTGTTAGCCAGGATGGATGGTCTCCATCTCCTGACCTCGTGACCTGCCCGCCTTGGCCTCCCAAAGTGCTGGGATTACAGGCGTGAGCCACCGCAACCGGTCGAAAATAAAACTTTTAAAATGAGTGTTTTAAGGGAAGCTCAGGCTGCCATCAGCACAGCAGGGAAGTTGGTGACATCAGAGAGTGTGTCCTGAGGTGGACGGCATTTGTTCCCAGGACAAGGCCTGTCCTGCTGCCCCTGAGTAGCCCACGTGTGGCCCAGTGCTTGGGACACAGTGCAACACCATCGTATAAAACCAGTCAATCAAGAAGAGCCAAGGGTAGCACCAACCACAGAAGGGCACAGCGTGGGGAGGACAGGGGAGGTGGAAGCTGAGGGTCGCACACGTGAGAAGAGAAGCAGAGGCGGAAATCACTGTGGTTCTGGTCTGCACTGGCTCAGCAGGTGGTGGGCTGAGGGCAGAAGGTGGCATGATGAGGCTGTGCTTCACAAAGGATGTCTTCAGCTGTGGGATGGTGGGTGAAGAGGGACAGGCACCACCCCAAGGGACCAGGGGGGATGACTGTGCAGATGCTGGGAAGACGCCGAGACCTGGCACCCAGGGATGCGCAGGACATGAGGGGACAGTGTGGACACTGAGAGCGAGTCTGCAGTGTGGGAAAAATTCATCCCGATGGAGCAGGAGACTCCGAAGGAAGGGCTGGTTCTGGGGAGGAGTGGCAAGGACCGGCATAGACGTTACAGACAGACTGCAGCTCAGATGGACAGGGGTAAGCTGGCGAGAGATCCTGGGGCAGAAGGGACAGCCTGGACTGGGTACACTGTCCTCTTCACAAAGAGGAGCTCCTTGAAGCTGTAATCCAAAGGCTGTCTTGAGGAGACCACCAAGATTCAGAACTCACTACAGTCCCCACCACACCCCCATCCAACATTCACTACGGCCATTCGTCCACACCACTCCCATGTCCCTGGGATTCTGTTAGATTTCTCCCTTTTACCTCAGACTAGGGGGCACACCCCGACGATGCAACTCGGAGAGCCTGCTGCATTCACATCTTCCCCAGGCTTACATGTTAGATGGTAAACACGGCCAGTGAAATGTACTTGTTATGCAGCTTTTCAGTTAGGGGACGCTTCCTGAACATCTACATAGGCTATAGATTTAATCTGCATTATTTATTTAAACCTCAAAGCGAATGTATGATGAGAAAACTGAAGTTCAGAGAAGTTAATAACCCAGCCAAGGCCACACAGCTAAGCTAGAGCCCAGCTCAGGTCATCTGTCTCCGCCGTCTGCACTCGCTTCTCTGCTTCATGACAGAGCTGAGGAAAAAAAATGCAGCTGGAAGGAAAATAAATCTCAACCAGGTGCTGGAAGCAGACATTTGCCACCTGGCCTGGAGAGGTTTGCTGAAAGGATGCCCTAATTTCCTATCCTTTTGGCTGGAAAAAAAGCCAATAATAGGTATTTTAGGAGGAAAGTGTGGGAGAGGTGGGACAAAAGCAAAAGGGAGATGCACCACATGTGCACTGCCAACGGCCAGTACTGTGAAAAAACCGATTTCCTGAAGTGACGCAGTCATTGTTGGAGTCCGGTGCAAAAGGCCTGCATCCCTCCTGCCTCAGGCTGGCTCAGCGACATGCTCAGCCTGGCAGTGGGACTGATTTTGACTTAGAGGTGTGATGATACTAAACAGTTTTTTCAACACTGTTTTAAAGATCAAAGGATTTCCGTTAAAGATCAAAGCATGACAGGTATTTTTGAGTTGAGTACTCACTCAGAATGCATTCGGGAGTTTGTGTTGTTTCATTTTTTTAATACGACTGGTTTTCAAAGGAGCACTCGAGAGCACTGCCTGGAGTGGAGGAACAATCTTTGGTTTGTCTGAAATCTTGCTGCTGTGGTTCAGGCTCTGTTCCTATTTTTCGGCAGAGAGAGCTCCATTAGGATCCCAGGCCACCTGTCCAAGGCTGTGACCAGGGCCCTGCCTGTTTAGAGGCAGCCTGGATGAAATGGAAGCCGCAGAGCAAGAGTCAGGTTTCCCTCCTGAATTCCCTGGCGGTGATGGGCCGTCCAGATTACCCCGGGTCACAGGGCCACGCACAGATGTTCACAGAACACAAAACCGAAGGGAGACGAGGCGACGGCTCGCCAGAAGGTTTAAGACCAGCCACACAGCTACCTTCACCAAAGTCACAGCGTAAGCTACACCCAGGGAAAGCACTTAAGGGGAAGATAATCCACTGCCTTCCTGGCAAAGGCAGGGGCAGCAACCGGGTCTGTTTACCCTTGACAATGGAGAATATCAGCCCTGGGCTCACCCCACCCCACCCCACTCCCACCAACTGGGATGAACAGAGTGAAAGGTGATCTAGAAATAGAACAAGCTCTCCTTGTTTATTCAGGCTATGCATAACTCAAAAACTAGATGTTTTCAACAAATATATTCCCCCTTTTTTTTCTTGCTTGCCATTGTACCTAAAATATTACAGGGCAACCACTTATCTCATTCCAAAAAAAATTAAGGAACAAAAGTCTGTCATCTTACACGCCGTCATCGGTTTATATTGTATCTGTAAAAGTGAGTGGCCACAGATAGATTTTCTTTCACCAGGAAAGAAATTTGCATGGCTTACACTTCAGGAATAAAGAAAGGAAAGATATTACCAAGACATTAAAAAACAAAGAATTTTCTTCCATTTAGCTCCTCATTGTTTAGACACTCAAAATAACGACATGCAGGGTAGACTATTTCATGTGCGGTGCGGGGGGGTTCCTGCTTCCCCAGGTAGGGATTACTGGGAAGACAGTTTGGGAAAAGGTATTCTGATCAACCCCAACAGTCACACGTGTCCAGTGTCTATAAGGCGCACAAACACCACATCGTGAAAAACACTCCTTCAAGAAGAACAAACTAAAATCAAGACAAACATTTTATTCACTCCCTAAAGCACTTTCTTCACTGTGCTTTCTGGATATCTAATTCCCTGATCTCACCCTTTCTCATTATCTGCTTCTTCATGAGAACAGGCTTATTAAAGTATCAATTCCACAGGTTGATTTTGGAAGACAAGATCTACTAATGAGAAAGTGCAGAAGCATGTTCATGAAAATTTAACTTTATCAAAATAGTATAAAAGTATGAGGCTTAGACAAGTTCAATAAAATGTTGGATGAAAATATTTTATTGAATGAATAAAAGGCACAGAGAGAAACTTAGAATCCCTGGCTACCATTTCAAAATTGTAATTGTAAATTTGGTACAAGAGGGTTTTCTAAAAAGATTAATGCATACAGATTTTTTTTGTTCTACTTCCTGTGGTTACATTCCTAAGAAAAACTGCTAGAATATTTGCCAGTGACTTGGACCTGGGTTTTATGACCTGGCAGAATGTCCTTTAAGGGGCCCTAAGCAATGCTGTCAGGACTGAGCTGAGTAAGCCCCTGGGGTTAGGGATGCTGAGGACCCCTGGGGGTGCCCTGGCTTGGCTGGCACAGGAAGGCAGGAGAGGGAGTGGGTTTCAGGGAGGATGGGCTCCTGGCCTGTGCATCTTTGCAAGGGTAAGATTTGCTAATCTTACATCACAGATGCCTCTCCATGTGTGAGTCTATGTTAGCTGTACTCTCAAGCAATGAGATAAACTGCCCCCTCCCTGGAGGCCCGGTGACTGTCAGCATCTCTCTGTGGCCACTTTGTGCACATCCGACACACGAGCTGACACACAGGCACCAGTGTGTCAGCTCATCTGGCACTGAAGTCACCGTCCTTTCCTCACTACCACCTCACTAGACTTTGGTATTGCCAGTCAGTCAGCCAGCAAATATTGACAGAGTTTCCTGTGCGGTTAACAGCTAGAGAGATACACAAATCAGCTGAAAGATCAGATGAGGGTAGGAAAGAAGGAACAGGGAGGGGTGAGAAGAGACAAAAACACTCAGGACCCCTCAAAGAGGTGGGGGTCTATAAGATCTTTAGAAGGGAGGACAGAGCTGAAGACAGACTTCTTAGTCTCTACCCTCCACCCCTCAGGAATCTAAGCAGGTGTGAAAGAAGAAAACAAAGGTTGTAAGAGAACAATTGTGAGGCAGCTTAGGAGGCCAAGCAGGACAGCATAGACTCTGTGCAGAGAGCAGCACGCCACCATTATCCAGTTTGCAGATGGACCACCCAGAAAATCTGTGAGTAATTAGGAGTGAGAAAAACAAATGGGAGGGGGTCACTGAGGAGGATGAGCGGCAGAGCCCCCAAACTGTGTTCTGGCTAGGAATTCCAAAGTGAAGCAAGATGCTGGGACTAGAAGAAAAGGAAAATGGTGCAACCAAACGGGAGTATGCAGGCCCACCCGTGCATGTGTGCGCGCACACGTGCACAGAAACACACACACACACCCCATCATATGAACTACAAAGTGAAATTTACAAGGAACCAGAAAATAAGACTTTCAAATGTAGACGGTAGGAAACCGCATTTAAGCTCTTATTTTCTGATATCCATTTGAACATTTAAAAATGAATTTTGAACAGGATAAGTGAATTTTAAAAATAACATTCATTTATCAACAACAAGCAAAAATGGGCTCACACACTCTTTCAAGGCTGACAGCCCACGACTTCCTTCAATACAATTCAAGGCCGACAGCTCATGACTCTCCTGCCAAAGTGAAGATGAGCAGCTGACCTTTTACACACCTGAGATGGGTCAGGCAATATGCTGCGTTGTACATATTTCACGAACCTTAATCCCCCAAAGAAAATATTAGCCTTCTTCTATGACAGATGAAGAGACAATCTGATCATATGAAATATCCTGCACAAGGCCTCACCGGTAGGTAGCAAAGCCAGAATTCAAACGCAGGTTCTGTATCTCTGCAAAATGCATGTGGCCCTCCAAACTGGGTGGTTGGTCCCTGCACACAGTGTTGGACCTGAGCCTTGGCATGTGCCACTCCCTCTGCCCAAATCAGACTCTCAGCAGTTCTGTCCATTCAAGACCCTCCCATCCTCAAAAGCCTGTTGTTCATCCATCTCCAACATGAAGCCTTTCTTGATTGCTCAAGCCAGATGACCCCTCCCCACATCAGAACAAACACTCTAAAGCACATTCTCACACCACATTATATGTGATGTCGTCCTGTAAAATGTTTGAGAGGAGTTTGAGAGTTTTGCTCTGAAATTCTCATTTTACTTAGAAATTACTTATGCCCCCTCAGCAATCATTGTGTATACTTGATATATAAGGGAGCCTGTAAGTTGTTTCTAAGTATAATAAACTTATTGTCCTTACTAAACTTAACGGTTAAGAGTGATATGCATTTTATAGGGTTTTAAACATTTATTAATTTCATTATGCAATGTTTCCTGCTCCCTAATTTTTGGAGCTTATGAATATGTTTTTTTTCAGGTCTCAAAGAGCACGGTAGGTCCCTGAAACTCTAACAGGTCCTGAGCCTTATGCCTCAGCTGTCTGATGGATAGAACAGCCCTGAACAAGCCTCAACCACGCGTAGTGGTTATATGTACATCTGCGGTAAAATCAGCCCCCATCCCCATGTATTCACAAACTTAAGCTTATGGAAGACAGTGCTTTTTGTCTTGTTGACTGATGATTTTTTACAGTGGCTAGCATAGCTGCTATAAAATGAATGCTTAATAAACTTACTAAAAAATAACTCATAAATAAATACAAAACCACAACTTCAACTCTATGCCATCATCCCTTTTCTAAAATCTGTTTGAAATTGTATTTTGAAAGCCTCTCAAAATGTTTGCATTCTCTTTCTTTAACAAAAAAATTATTTTGTCTTCATTGCTTTAAAAGATGGTACAAATAAACACAATATAAAGCAAAACACAAAGTGGGGACCTCTATAAGTATTTGATTTCTTGATGTTTGTTTCATTAGCAGTTGGTTACTGATTTCCTTCTAAGCATTTATAGGAGAGCTGTACTCAGAATATTATAGATATTCCATGTCCTTAATAGAGCAATGGCTTTCTAGTACCCTGCAAATTGTTCTCAGGCCCAAAGAAATTTCCCTTGATGGTACATAGATTTTAACAGAGTGCACTCTAACAACATTTTAACATCTTGTGTGATGAAACAAAAACTGCACACAGACCCAGCTGTTCCTTGTGGGGAAGGGCAGGCTCATGTTCAGGAGGAATTAGGAGAGCAAGCGGCAGTGTCTGTTCCAGGAGTTCACACGATTCCTTTCACTCCCAGCAGAAAATGTTAGCATTAAAAACTACTCCCCCATTTAGATATGCTGAAGTGGAATGTAACAGGTTTACATGAATAACAACATGCATTATTTCACATGCAAACCTTCACACTGTAGATACTCATCCTTGGGTACAGTACTTGGGTTTGAAATTCAAAGGCCTAGCTTTAACTCCTCTGTGGTAATACTGCTAACTCTGGACTCTTCCACCTTAAGATAATACTGCCACAACATCGATTTTCTGCACATGAGTTGTTTTGCTCACTTCTAAACCCAATAAAACCCCCAGTCTTACCTGGAGACTTCCAGAGATTTAGGTTTCATGTAGTCACTGAGAGTGTGATTTAAATCTGAGAATAACCAAAATTCTTAAGCCTGAGCATACTGTGCTCCCATCGAAAACCAAGATGAGAAAAAGAAATACAGGAAGGAATAAGGGAAAAGGGCCGGGAGCACCTGTGTTCTGTGCGGACTGGGACGGAGTTCCCCACCTCTTTCCATTGCTATCCCGCAGCACCGCTTTTCCCAGGACTCGAGACTTGGTTTCCAGCTCCTGCACCTCCTCCAGCAATGTCTTTTTGCAGGTGTGCTTGGCTCTGTGTTATGAGGAAAAGACAAAACGAACATGGCATAGAGACTTGACACAGCTGGGAAAGACAGGCCGCTCCCCTCTCAGGCCACAGCCAAATGCCCTTTGGTGGAGGCCGAGGCTCGGGAAGTGGTGGAGCTTTCACAGTCTCCATGCATGACCCAGGTTCCATCTCCACAGCCCGGAAGTATCCTGAGTGCTGCAGACCAGACCCGGATCATGCATGTCAAGAGTCACCCCCACCCCGCAAAGAACCGGAAGTCGGCCGAGCAGCCCAGTCACTCAAAGACTGGGTGGGGTTCACGAAGACCCAGGGTCTACCTCTACAGCATTTCTTGTCAGGAACTGAAAACCAAGAAGACACTTTAAACCCTCACCTTAGTGAACAGGCACTGGTTCCCTGGTCCAAGGACCCCAACTGCAGTCAGAGAGCCCAGGGGTTAGCAAGTTTCCTCCCTCCCTCTTTAGCGTGAAAAGAGCCACTGCCACAGCAGCCACGGGGCTTAGGATGCTAGAGTGCATGGTCTGGATGCAAAACCAGAGGCTTGAAACGTGGAGTCAACACAAATCCAGAGTGCAGGTTTCCCATCTTCCTCTGGCAACAACTCACCATTGGAGTCCACACACGCAGGCCTCAGTGACATTAATACAACTTATGAAATAACCCGCAGCCTGGACAGCTCACTCTTCTTGAATGGTAGGAAGAGTTCCCTCTACCCTTTTACTGAGGACACTAAGATGAATACCTCACAATGCTCAAATAATTGGCCAATCTCAGAGTCTTTATAAAATGAAAACTAAACTAAGCTAAAAGTGAGCTACCAGTTGGAAACAATCTAGCTACTAGTTGGAAACAGTCTAGGTGAAAAGACATTTAACCAGATATAGGTTATATAAGAGAAAAAAACTGCAAAGGGAAAAGGCTCAAAAATTAGTAACACACCAGACTGAAAAGCTTTGCATCGGTTTAATTTAAATATAAATACATGTGAGGATCCTGCTATGTACCAGGACCCAAAGACAGAATGAGAACAAAAACTGAGCACCTTTGCCCAGAAATGAAAACGGTGTCATGGGAACATTCTGAAGATGTGGGCTCTTCCTGCAGAATCCTGTACCACCTCACCCACCCTCCACCTTCAAGGAAAGAAAGCCTGTTAAGATAATGTGAGCCATCTCCCGACACTCCGAGTTAATCTATAATGGAGTATTAGCACTGAGACACTGTATATGCCCCTGTCATCCTTTCCCCCAAAGTAAACAAGGGAAAGCCACACAGGCTTTAACACATAATACCTTACTTAATTCCATCAAACAGTGTCCTGAGACTCAGGATTGATAAAATACTGCAGTTCAAAGCAGAGCCTGTGGAATTTTAATTTAAACAAGAAATGAGCAAATATCTAACAGTTTGCTGGAAAGGAGAGTCAAAAACGATGTTAAAATGTACCCCGTTCATTATTATGTAACATGTGGGGCCCCAAAAGTGGTCTTTTATCTCCTGGGCTTCTGGGGTTAGACTGACAACAAAGCCACCGAGTGCCTGCCCCGCCTGCCCTGAGCCATGGGCTTGCATGGGTCCTAGAACAGCCTGGCTACTCCTGAAGGATGAGCAGCATCGCTGGTTCTTCCAGGATCCCTCTCTCCACCATCACCCTCCCTCTCTCTCCCTATCCCCTTTCCCCTGCACAGGGGTAGAACAGACCCCATTGTTATTTCCCAGGCTGGGAGGAAAGGGGGTTCCTAAGTGGGAGGCTGGAATAGGAAGGTTGGCCACTGGGAACCTACAGCTTAGGTCAGAATCCAACCCACTGTGGAAGCTGCTGGTTTTTACTCAATCACAACATGGCCTCAGAGGGCAATGGTCTGAGCATGTCAGTGCTCCCAGGCATTGTGCGTGCTCTCAGGGGATGAAACTGCGCCCATATTCAAGAGTTACTCAGCAATTTGATACTATTTCCACTAGTTTAGCCCCTGTGAGCTAGCCTGGGAACTTTGTTGCTATTGGAAAACACTGAATTGCAATGCTGGGGATGATTCAACTTCTCTTTCTGCATGCATTTAACAGCACCTGAGTAAAGGGAGGCTGGCAATTTAAAACCCTGTTCCCAAGCACCTTTATCTAATAACGCCTGAATTAGAAAAACTGATTCTAAAATCTCCCCTGTCTAAAGGCTACATGTGAGTGGTCTAAAATTAATATTTATAGGTTATAAAGTCAGTTGTTAAGCATTAGCCACTGGCATGTCACTTAGGTCTTACCAGGAGCTGGCGTTTGGCGTGTTCTGAGTCATAGCTTTGACAGAGTAAGTCCCTTATCTGTAAATGGCTTATTGCCCAGTGGTCCAGGGCTTGCTTCATCTAACCCCACATCGAGAGGCTGGATGACCACAGAAGGGACAGAGTTGGGGTGCTGGCTACTGACTCAAGAGTGTGAAAGTTGTCTGTGGGTCTTCAGATATACCTAAGGGTGTCTCCAGGTTCTCAGAGACTTTTAAAAGAAATAGACTGTTTAAGGATCTTGAACTTTCCATCCTTTTTTTTTTTTTTTTCTGAAACTCTTTCCCTGGACTCTTCTTTTGTATGCAAGAACAGCAAGTCAAAAGGAAACATATAATTCTAAACCTGGATGGAAGTGTAAATGTAACGTGCTGCAAAAGAAATTAGTTTAGTTAGAAAGTTAAAAGAAATCAAGGCCCATTTGTGTATAGAAATTGCTCATTACCTCTTCTTTCCATTTAACTGCCTATCTGGGATTATAATAAGGAAATGAAGTCATTCTGGAATCGGGGACTGTATTGTTGATGTACAGTAAAATACAGGAGATACAGCTAGATAAAAGCAAATGGGTTCCTCTGTGTTCAGTGGCCTTGAGCTTGTATTATTTTTATAAAGCAATACTAACAAATTTCACCTAGATGAAAGTGGGTATGTGGCAGCTTACCTAAGCATGCTGTCATCAGTAAACATTTTGGATGAATATAAGCGCAGGGATATTAAAATAGTTCTGGGCAATTTAAACTTCATGCATCTAACAAAATTACTCATTAGCCAGGTATCACATATAATCAATCAATTATTTTAATAAAAGGTAGCTTAGTTTTGTCCCATATGAAAATTTTGGTTAGCAGGATAATAGCGTAGGCATTTTATGGCGTGCCAAATCTGACTTAAGATAGTCTAATAATGGATCTTCATCCAGAAAGCTGACAGACTTCATGGAAAAAGTGATTGAATTACCTCATTCTGGTTCTCTTTTCTTACTCTTAACAGCTCAGGTCCTGAAATGGAAGCGAGAAACTGGGCAAAGAAATGGGGAAAATGTAGAAAGATGGAGCAACTCACTTTCTTCAGTGCTCACAGAAATATACTTGAAAAGGCAGGCCTGCCTTAATCTGGAATTTAAAAGCCTTTTTTTCTTTGAGATGGAGTCTCACTCTGTCGCCCAGGCTGGAGTGCAATTGGTGCGATCTCGGCTCACTGCAACCTCTGCCTCCTGGGTTCAAGCCATTCTCCCACCTCAGCCTCCTGAGTAGCTGGGATTACAGGCACTCGCCATCATGCCCAACTAATTTTTGTATTTTTGTAGAGACAGGGTTTCACCATGTTGGCCGGGCTGATCTTGAACTCCTGACCCCAGATGATCCGCCCACCTCGGCCTCCCAAAGTGCTGGGATTACAGGTGTGAGCCACTGTGCCTGGTCTAAAAGCCCTTTCAAAAGAGAGTGATAACCACCAAAGTTCAGAACAAAATAAAACATCCTTAAGATGGGCCCAAGGCAAGATGAGAGGCCCGCAGCACCCCTGTGGAAGCTCTCTCGGCATCACCACATGCTGCCATCACAGGGTAGGGTCTTCAGCTGCCCCTGTGCCCACTCTCAAATACACACCCTTTCTGGGAACCCCAAGGTGCATCACAGATATCGTGCCTCAGTAGATACTTGACAACTCAAATCCAAGGATGGGTGGTTCGGGACAAGCAGGATTAATATTTTTGTTCAGTGCATGGGAAGAAGAAGCCAACAGCGTTTTCTAAAGCTGCAGTTCAGAAAGAGAAATCTCAGTGAAGCACTGTAGCTTCTCAGAGGTAACTGATTCACAATAGGCATTCTCTTTTTGTGAGAAGCCTCCGAATTTACTTGCCTCAAAAACAAATACTTCGGGTTTGGAGCATAATATGAGACATAATATGGGCCTCACGATCAAAGGGAAAATGCACCAATAAACTGAAAAATGTCTTGTTTTTGAGGAGAGGGGTGAGGGTAGTTTAGATATTAAATAGATATTACAAATTGAGCATATATGTGCTTCGGACAAATATTCCAGCTCACAGCCAATATATGCTATTTTCCCTGCTCCCCTAAATAAAACAAGACAAAAATCCATTTTAGAAAGCACCTCTGGAATTCAGCAGGGGCCTTTCTGGCTCAGCCCAGAGCTGAGATGCTGTTGGCTCCCCGGAAAAGCTGAGTTCTGGGCCCGTGGTGCCAGGTGCTGGGTGGCCGAGTGCTCCTGCTGCAGAGTGACGACCCTTAGCCTTCCTTGCTTGCCCTGCGGGCACCTCCACTGCAGAGCCCGGGTTTATGCTCTGACCCAGTTGGCAAGCTCCTTGGAAAGGAAGTGACTTTTACTCTTTCCATGTGGTGAAGCTGGGAGTAGTGTCATTTGATTTATCCTTGTTAAAATGTAAATGGTGCTAATTTTATAGTGCCAGGGGAAACCAAAAACAAGTCCTGTTTGAGGGAATAGATAATTTGCTTTGTGATGACAGGGAATGATTACTCAGAACGCACTGGAAAAGAGCCAGAAAATGGACAAAGAAGCACAGACACTTTGTAATCTATAAACATTCTCTTTCAGATGGAAGAGACTATTGCTAAAGTCTTCTGCAAATATACAGTCTCAATAGAATTGTTTTAATGACACTAATTTGAGATAGCTGAATTAAAATAAACTAATTTATAATCATGTTACTAGTTTTCAATCACTATAAATAGAAAAGGCCAGCTGATGTGGCCTATTTATCTAAAACTGACTTATCTTTGCAAAACAAAGATTTTGAACAAATTCAGCAAGGGACTAGATTGTGTCACAATTGGGCCTATTGGCTGAAAGAGCAAATAACAGAACTAATATTTTCTTTCTTTTCTTTTTCTTTTTCTTTTCTTTTCTTTTTTTTTTTTTTTTTGAGACGGAGTCTCGCTCTGTCGCCCAGGCTGGAGTGCAGTGGCACGATCTCAGCTCACTGCAACCTCTGCCTCCCAGGTTCAAGCGATTCTCCTGCCTCAGCCTCCCAAGTAGCTGGGACTACAGGTGCCCGCCACCACGCCCAGCTAATTTTTGTATTTATAGTAGAGACGGAGTTTCTCAATGTTGGCCAGGATGGTCTTGACTGCTTGACCTTGTGATCCACCCACCTCGGCCTCCCAAAGTGTTGAGATTACAGGCGTGAGCCACTGCGCCTGGCCAAAACTACTATGTTCTTATGGTACATCTATTAGATTAAGAAAATATTTTTTTCTGGCTGTAATCTTTTCATTTCTGAGGATTCTGATTCTGTTATTTGCAGAATATGGTTTTACCAAATAAAATGGAAGTAATGGTAAATCAAAGAATTTAAGAAATGAGAATTATTTAATTTTTTAACAGTTAAAAAACTTAGTGAACAGGAAAAAAAAAGAAAATCCATGTTATAATATTCTTTCCCCCTCTATCTAGATTTGCATGAGGTATCATCGGTTGTCAAGATAATGCCAAAATGAGGACTTTTTCAAAAGACTTCCATAACTGTCAGGCAAGAAAAATTCTGAGTGTGGGAGGAACGGAGGGCTAAAAATGAAATCTGATGTCTTTCCCTGGAAGGTTTGGATTAAAGTCTCACTTCTCTATCTCAGAGCCCCAAAATAATTGTGTTTTGCCCAAAGTAAAGCCGAGCTCGGAGTCTCAATTTTCAGAGAAGTTGGCACCTATTTGTAGGAGAAATTGGGTCGACCCAAAACAAAAATCAGTCCTATTTTACTTGGAGCAGCCCTCCTTTTGCTCATGGATAAAATTAAAATTTACATGACCTTGGAACTTAGTCGCTTCTTTTATATTGTAACAAGGTATCTTGAAAACAATATATGTTAAAACATAAAAGCAAAATTTAATATGAATGATTTCCTATTTAACCTACATGATAATGCCATCTTCATGACTGGTTTTCTCACAGACCTGTGAACTAATCCTCTAGAAGAATTTTACTGAAAGTATTCCTACTATGAGTTGTTTGGAAAAATGAAGAGTACTTCATTCTTGTAATTTTAAATGACTTACCTATACATAGCTTCCCTCTAAGCATGGGAAGTGAAGCCAGGCCATATCCGTGACCACTTAGCACTGAGTTTATGATATAAAGAGAGATGAGTTTTGAGTTATACTTTCTCAATTTGATGGAATGGGTGTGTACTCAGAAACTCTGCCTTTATATAAGGCAACATTCCTATTGATCTTCATAGTTTCTCTCAGGGCTCCTTTGTGTCTGTATTTTTTCTTTTCTTTTTGTTTCTTTTTATTTAAAGACAGGGTCTTGCTCTGTTGGCCCAGGCTGGAGTATAGTGGCACGACCATAGCTCACTACAGCCTCAAACACCTGGGCTCGAGTGATCTTCCCACCTTGGCCTCCTAAGTAGCTGAGACTAGAGCTATGCGCTGCCATGCCCAGCTGATTTTTCTATTGTTATGGTTGTCTATATTTTCATATCAAGATGAAGCACAAGTTAAACTAAAAAAATTTTTTTTTCATTTCTGGCAGGTGGCAGGAGACCCATTTCTTCCGAATTCCTGTCATTCTCATACCCTGTAGCAGGACTCATGAGAAAGACAATTCCAGGGACAGATGAGCCAGACTTAGGGTCCCCGCTTCACTGTTAAACTTACGCTCTCCATGCCACATCTTCAATCAAACAGGCAGTAGGAACCAGAAATAATCCCAACCAGAAGTGTGCGGAGCTCAGGACCATAGTTGCCTGCAAGAAATAGAAGTGACACTTGCTTGAATACTTTCTCTTTCAAAAACAGAGCAACATAATGTAATCAAGGATAATATTTCACAACACAAAAACAACAGACCGCACTAAATGCAATGAGAGGTAACCCATGCACTGGCAGGACCATCAGGGGGACGGATGGGGCTTGCTCCTCTCTGCAGCCTTCTCTCTTCTTACTTTCATTCTTCTAGTTTGACGTGTGCCCTTGCCTCTCTTTTATAAAGTGCTTCAAGCCCCTTCCGAACAGGATGTTGTCTTAAATCCTTCCTAAAGAGAGCTGTTGGAGTCACCAACACTGCTTCACTGAGGAGTAAACGTTGCCTCACTAGGCTCCTCCATTCACTCATCATCAGCTCCTTTTCTCTCAATGCCCGTTCATTCATGGAGCCAGGACCCATGTCATCGCTACTTGGTACAAGGCATGGTGGTTCTCCCCACCCAGGAAAGGAAGATGAATAGGTTATAGTCCTTGCCTTCAGGAGATTAAATACTCTCTGGTGCAATCTACATTACACAGTGGAATATGGTATATATCACGAATATAAACGATGGGGTTTCTGGGAAGACTTCTTAAAGACGACAGAGTATGAGATGTGCCTGGAAACATGAACACGATTTCAGTAGCTAGAGATGGGTAGAAGGACAGAGATTCCAAGTGGAAGGATAAAGGACAGGGGAGAGCAGCAAGGAGTGCAGCTTCCAAGACTTCCTTGTTCCTGGCATGCTGGTCAGGGATAGCTTGGGAGGGAACAGGTAGAGAGGGTTTTGGGGATCAGAGCTGCAGGGCCAAGTTAGATGTTAGGTGAGTTGAAAAGAGAACTTAGGGCAAAAGCAGAGGGAGGGAGGAGTTTACTCTGAACAGAGATGGGGGCCTGAGCAGGGCAGATGCCTTCAATTTTGGTTTTGAATGAGCAAAAGCCCGGAGCCTGGAGCTGGCTAGGAATTGGGAGGCTGGCCTACAAGGGTGGGCCACCTGAGAAAGGGACTCAAGTTAGTGTGACAAACCCTCCGTGTTCACCGGATTTCTTTTCTGGAGGCCTCAAACATTTGGTCCTACTGGAATAGAAGTTTCGCTAGAGCTCACTGCAAAGGAGAGTGAGACTTACAGAGGGAGGGAGAGCAGAGGGCCTGAGGCACAATTAACCACCTGTGGGACCCCCACAGGGACTGGGAGGGTCTAAGACTCCTGGAGGCCTGGAGTAGCTCCCTTTATACAGTAAAATGAGGGCAGGATTCACCTGACTCAAGCCTGGCATCCAAGAGTCAACCCACTCTTCGGTTTCCATCCTCTGCTCCAGCTGGACGGCCAAATGCACTGCAGCCCTGCCGCTCCCTCTGCCCTGCAGGGCTTCCCTGCCCAGCGTCTATACTCACAGCATCCCCACCCGCTTACCCTGATCCCAAGCACCCAGCTTCCCCATCTGGCCAAAGCCATGCCTAACCACAGCCCTCCTGCCTCTGGGCCCCTTCCCATAGCCCTGTTGGTGGTGCTTGGCATTTTATGACAATTAAACCAAAAAGCAGTGAAGTTTACAGGAAAAGAGTCAAAATCCAACCCTGGAATGGGAGGACTTGCTTTCCTTTTCAAACAACCAAGAGTACCAGCTTTTGACCGAAAAGTTTACAACCCTTAAAAATGTGTGAGTACATTTTGCCCCATCAATTACATCTCTCAGAATTCATCCTAAGGAAGGAAGAAAACATGCAAAGAAGCAAGTACAATGATATTCACAAGAGTGCTAGTCTATCAAAGAAACCAGAAGTAGATGTCCCAGGACAAGATCTATTAAATGTACCATGGCACTTACATACAACGGATTTCCATGCAAGCAATTAAAGTAATGTAGAATTATATTTGTTGACAGAGATGTCGTATTCTACTGCCACTGAGAAACATGGGTTCTGTGATAACATCTCATAGAGGATCTGTCATGGTGGTTGTGGGAAAGGAAGCACCACTGGCCCAAGCTTCAAAATTAAACTTGAAGGTGTCACCCCTAGATGAGGTACACCCACACGTACACATCTTTATTACACATTTGTCAATACATATCAGTAGATACCATCATTTTTGTAGTCTCGTTTTGGTATTTCCTTACCTTTACAAAAACATTCCAGGACTTCAAAAACAGTGGGGTGTCCCAGGCCCCGATGGACTTGAGAGTGCCTCCTTCAAGTGTGGGCATGCTTACATGCTCAGGAACAATGCATGGAACGGTATATGGAAACCAGGATCTGGGTGGCCCAACTGGTGATTTGTATTGTCATATCTCTTTGTGTATCTCCATTTCCTGTTTCTTCTACAGAACACATGTATTTTGGCAAAACTCAACTCTCTCTCCCCAACCAAGAAAACCACAAGAAAGGGATTGGATCAGCCTGCTCCTTCCAGCTCCTGTTGTCCTGCCTGCAGGGTAAACAGGGTCTCCAGAGGGGACCTTGGGTTTTGCTCATGCTACAGATGCCTGAGGTGGTGCTTGGCCCCTGGAAGATGGACTTGTTCAAGCTGTACTTGTGGGGATACATGCAGGATCATTCACTATGTGTATTTATTTAAGAACACAGTGACTTTACATAATGTATCATTTAAAATAGATTGTAACTCAAATGTACCCTGTAAATATGTAAAATATTATGTATCAATAAGAAACAGATTATGAAACTCAGAACTTTAGTTGCTGAGGGAAAAAAGGAAAATGAACTTTGAATTCTCTTGTTGAAAATATGAAGCCTGTCCTAAATTAATAAAGGTTATATGAAGACTTGAAAGTATTGTTCTGTTGCTGGTCTTCAAAACTAGGAGCTGTGAATGTGACACACATAACTAATTTTAAAGGTGTATCTCAGAGAGGTTCCTACCATCCTAATTTTCACAGATGGACTGAGACCCAGAGTCTGAAATCCTTCTAAGGTGATCTACTGACCATTTACATGCCATATGCCTAGGAACTCACTGCAGTAAATTACAGGAAAGTGAGCGTCAGGTGGGTAGAATTATTGATTCATTAGGACACAAGCTGGTGAGAGCCAGACACAGGATTGGAGGTTTGTCTGACTGTAAAGCCAATGAGCTGTGCAGCACTGCCCTGGGTCAGACTAGGCGCATTAACAAGGGACACCCATGCACCTGCGGATCAGGATTTGTGAATGCATTAGCTTCAGCCATGCCACTAATCATATGCACCCCAGTGCCCCAGGACTAGCTGTCCACGAATGTGGTGACAAACTAGAAAAGGTTAATTTTTTTTTTTTAAATTATACCTTAAGTTCTGGGATACATGTGCAGAACATATGCAGGTTTGTTATATAGGTATACACGTGCCATGGTGGTTTGCTGCACCCATCAACCCATCACCTACATTAGAAATACCTAGCATTAGGTATTTCTCCTAATGCTATCCTTCCCCTAGTCCCCCACCCCACAACAGGTCCTGGTGTGTGATGTTCCCCTCCCTGTGTCCATGTGTTCTCATTGTTCAACTCTCACTCATGAGTGAGAACATGCAGTGCTTGGTTTTCTATTCCTGTGTTAGTTTGCTAACTAACCATCATTCCTGAGAATGATGGTTTCCAGCTTCAACCATGTCCCTGCAAAGGACATGAACTCATCCTTTTTTATGGCTGCATAGTATTCCATGGTTTATATGTGCCACATTTTCTTTATCCAGTCTATCATTGATGGGCATTTGGGTTGGTTCCAAGTCTTTGCTATTGTGAAGAGTGCTGCAATAAACAAGCGTGTACATGTGTCTTTATAGTAGAATGATTTATAATCCTTTGGGTATATACCCAGGAATGGAATTGCTGGGTCACATGGTATTTCTGGTTCTAGATCCCTGAGGAATCACCACACTGTCTTTCACAATGGCTGAACTCATTTACACTCCCACCAACAGTGTAAAAGCGTTCCTATTTCTCCACATCCTCTCCAGCATCTTTTGTTTCCTGACTTTTTAATAATCACAATTCTAACTGGCGTCAAATGGTATCTCATGGTGGTTTTGACTTGCATTTCTCTAATGACCAGTGATGATGAGAAACTTTGTTTCATACGTTTGTTGGCCGCATAAATGTCTTCTTTTGAGAAATGTTTGTTCATATCCTTCAGCCACTTTTTGATGGGGTTGTTTTTTCCTTGTAAATTTGTTTAAGTTCCTTGTAGATACTGGATATTGGTCCTTTGTCAGATGGATAGATTGCAAACATTCTCTCCCATTCTGTAGGTCGCCTGTTCACTCTGATGATAGTTTCTTTTGCTGATGCTCTTTAGTTTAATTAGATCCATTTGTCAATTTTGGCTTTTGTTGCCATTGCTTTTGGTGTTTTAGTCATAAAGTCTTTACCCATGTCTATGCTTGAATGGCATTGCCTAGGTTTTCTTCTAGGGTTTTTATGATTTTAGGTCTTATGTTTAAGTCTTTAATCCATCTTAAGTTAATTTTTTGTATAAGGTGTGAGGAAGGGGTCCAGTTTCAGTTTTCTGCATATGGCTAGCCAGTTTTCCCAACACCATTTATTAAATAGGGACTCCTTTCCACATTACTTGCTTTTGTCAGGTTTGTCAAAGACCAGACAGTTGTAGATGTGTGGAATTATTTCTGAGGCCTCTGTTCTGTTCCATCAGTCTACACATCTGTTTTGGTATCAGTACCATGCTGTTTTGGTTACTGTAGCCTTGTAATATAGTTTGAAGTCAGGTAGTGTGATGCCTCCAGCTTTGTTCTTTTTGCTTAGGATTGTCTTGGCTATATGGGCTCTTTTTTGATTCCATATGAAATTTAAAGTAGTTTTTTTCTAATTCTGTGAAGAAAGTCAATGGTAGCTTGATGGGGAGAGCATTGAATCTATAAATTACTTTGGCAGTATGGCCATTTTCATGATATTGATTCTTCCTATCCATGAGCATGGAATGTTTTTCCATTTGTTTGTGTCCTCTCTTTTTTCCTTGAGCAGTGGTTTGTAGTTCTTCTTGAAGAGGTCCTTCACGTCCCTTGTAAGTTGTATTCCCAGGTATTTTATTCTCTTTGTAGCAATTGTGAATGGAAGTTCGCTTATGATTTGGTTCTCTGTTTGTCTGTTATGGGTGTATAGGAATGCTTGTGATTTTTGCACATTGATTTTGTATCCTGAGACTTTGCTGAAGTTGCTTATCAGCTTAAGGAGATTTTGGGCTGAGATGATGGGGTTTTCTAAATATACAATCATGTCATGTGCAAACAGAGACAATCTGACTTCTTCTCTTCCTATTTGAATACCCTTTATTTCTTTCTCTTGCCTGATTGCCCTGGCCAGAACTTCCA
This sequence comes from Homo sapiens, assembly GCF_000001405.40. Classification (NCBI taxonomy): domain Eukaryota; kingdom Metazoa; phylum Chordata; class Mammalia; order Primates; family Hominidae; genus Homo; species Homo sapiens. The sequence goes on along the minus strand of NC_000013.11, from coordinate 25,956,253 downwards.
ATACTACGTCAAATAGGAGTGGTGAGAGAGGGCATCCTTGTCTTGTGCCTGTTTTCAAAGGGAATGCTTCCAGCTTTTGCCCATTCAGTATGATATTGGCTGTGGGACTGTCATAAATAGCTCTTATTGAGATACGTTCCATCAATACCTAGTTTATTGAGAGTTTTTAGCAAGAAGAGGTGTTGAATTTTATTGAAGGCCTTTTCTGCATCTAGTGAGATACTCATGTAGTTTTTGTCATTGGTTCTAGTTATGTGATGGATTATGTTCATTGATTTGCGTATGTTGAACCAGCCTTGCATCCAGGGATGAAGCTGACTTGATGGTAATAGATAAGTTTTTTGATGCGCTGCTGGATTCGGTTTGCCAGTATTTTACTGAGGATTTTCACACTGATGTTCATCAGGGATATTGGCCTGAAATTTTTTGTTTTGTTGTGTCTCTGCCAGGTTTTGGTATCAGGATGATGCTGGCCTCATAAAATGATTTAGGGAGGCGTCCCTCTTTTTCTATTGTTTGGAATAGTTCCAGAAGGAATGGTACCAGCTCCTCTGTGTACCTCTGGTGGAATTCAGCTGTGAATCCGTCTGGTCCTGGGCATTTTTTGGGTGGTAGGCTATTAACTATTGCCTCAATTTCAGAACTTGTTATTGGCCTATTCAGGGATTTGACTTCTTCCCAGTTTAGTCTTGGGAGGGTGTATGTGTCCAGGAATTTATCCATTTCTTCTAGATTTTCTAGTTTATTTGCATAGAGGTGTTTATAGTATTCTCTGACGGTAGTTTGTATTTCTATGGGATCAGTGGTGATATCCCCTTGATCATTTTTCATTGTGTCTATTTGATTCTTCTCTCTTTTCTTCTTTAATAGTCTGGCTAGCAGTCTATTTATTTTGTTTATCTTTTCAAAAAACCAGCTCCTGGATTAACTGATTTTTTTGAAGGGTTTTTCATGTCTCCATTTCCTTCAGTTCTGCTCTGATCTTACTTATTTCTTGTCTTCTCCTAGTATTTGAATTTGTTTGCTCTTGCTTCTCTAGATCTTTTAATGTAATCTTTTATTGTGATGTTTGGGTGTCAATTTTGGATCTTTCCTGCTTTATGTTGTTCTCCAAACTGGTTATTCCAGTTACCAATTCCTATAACCTTTTTTCAAGGTTCTTAGCTTCCTTGCATTGGATTAGAACATGCTCCTTTAGCTCAGAGGAGTTTGTTATTACCCACCTTCTGAAACCTACTTCTGTCCATTCGTCAAACTCATTCTCTATCCAATTTTGTTCCCTTGCTGGTGAGGAATTGTGATCCTTTGGAGGAGAAGAGGCATTCTCGTTTTTGAAATTTTCAGCCTTTTTGTGCTGTTTTTTCCTCATCTTTGTGGATTTATCTACCTTTGGTCTTTGATGTTGGTGACCTTCAGATGGGGTTTTTGAGTGGACATCCTTTTTGTTGATGTTGATGAAATTCCTTTCTGTTTGTTAGTTTTCCTTCTAACAGTCAGGTCCCTCTGCTGCAGGTCTGCTGGAGTTTGCTGGAGGTGTTTGTCTGGGTATCAACAGCAGAGGCTGCAAAACAGCAAGAATTGCTGCCTGTTCCTTCCTCCAGAAGCTTCATCCCAGAGGGGCACCCGCCAGATGCCAGTCAGAGCTCTCTTGTATGAGGTGTCTGTCAACCCCTGTTGAGAGGTGGTGTCTCCCAGTCAGGAGGCATAGGGGTCAGGAATCCACTTGAGGAGGCAGTCTGTCCCTTAGCAGAGCTCTAGTGCTCTGCTGGGAGGTCCGCTGCTCTGTTCAGAGCCGGCAGGCAAGAACGTTTAAGTCTGCTGAAGCTGTGCTCACAGCTGCCCCTTCCCCCAGGTGCTCTGTCCCAGGGAGATGGGAGTTTTATCTATAAGACCCTGACTGGGGCTGCTGCCTTTCTTTCAGAGATGCCCTGCCCAGAGAGGGGGAATCTAGAGAGGCAGTCTGGCTACTGTGGCTTTGCAGAGCTGCAGTGGGCTCCACCCAGTTCAAACTTCCTGGTGGCTTTGTTTACACTGTGAGGGGAAAACCACCTACTCAAGCCTTAGTAATGGTGGACGCACCTCCCCTAACCAAGCTCGAGTGTCCCAGGTCAACTTCAGACAGCTGTGCTGTCAGCAAGAATTTCAAGCCAGTGGATCTTAGCTTGTTGGGCTCCGTCGGGGTGGGATCCACTGAGCTAGACTACTTGGCTCCCTGGCTTCAGCCCCCTTTCCAGGGAAGTGAACGGTTCTGTCTTGCTGGCATTCCAGGTGCCACTGGGGTATGAAAAAAAAAAACTCCTGCAGCTAGCTCGGTGTCTGCCGAAACAGCCATGCAGTTTTGTGCTTGAAACCCAGGGCCCTGGTGATGTAGGCACCGGAGGGAATCTCCTGGTCTGCAGTTTGCGAAGACCATGGGAAAAGCATAGTATCTGGGACGGAATGCATGGTTCCTTACAGCACAGTCCCTCACGGCTTCCCTCGGCTAGGGGAGGGAGTTCCTCAATCCCCTGTGCTTCCCGGGTGAGGCAACGCCCCACCCTGCTTCGGCTTGCCCTCCGTGGGCTGCACCCACTATCTAACCAGTCCCAGTGAGATGAACCAGGTTCCTCAGCTGGAAATGCAGAAATCACTCGCTGTCTGCCTTGATCTCCCTGGGAGCTACAGACTGGAGCTGTTCCTATTTGGCCGTCTTGCCTATTTCCCTTGCTTTTTTTTTTTTTTTTTTTTTTTTAAAAAGGCTGGAGTAACCAGGGCTACATAAGGTCAGTTTGTGTTCCCCAATGTGGCGTGGATTTGAAAAGATGTAATAAAGGTGGAGCAGCAACAGTTCACCTGTGAGGAGAAGGAAGCTCAAATTTCTTCGTGCGTCACTCTGTGCCAGAACTTCCCATAAAGCATTTTATTTAATCCCCCCCGTCCCCATTTTACAGAAGAAAATTTAAGTCTGCCCCTTCCCCACAGCACCTGCAGCCAGAGAGTTGAGTCCTCAAGATGCTGGTTGGCCCAGCAACACCAGTGCCAACTTCAAATTGTAAGTAAAAGAAAATGAGGAGCACTTGTAAAGTTAAAAGACGAAAAGAAACACAGGAGGGGACAATTTTTCCAATCCATTCCCACCCAGCATCGACAACACAACAACAAAATAAAACAAAACCTGTCAGGACAATCGGATTTGGAAGAACCCTTGCAGTTGCCATTGCCACCTTCTCTTCTCAGCCCTCCTTGCCCCTCAGTGTTGCCTCCTAAAATTTCTTTCCATTCAAACGTCAAGGGAGCTTCTTTGTATTGTTTTTGAGGTTTGGCTTTCTGAAAACCTTGGTTTTCATGAGCGTGCATGTCAAAAGGTAAATCTCCTTCTCTTTTTACTATGAACCTTTTTAGGAAGGATGGCAATGTACATTCCAAACCTATTTGCTCAGGGTGGCTGTGTGGCGCTGACACAATAAAGAGCTGTGCTCCCCTCTAAAGGCTTGGCTGAGGTGCAGGTGTGCTGAGCTCACCCATCATCTGCTGGGAAGGCAAATATCAGTGCAGGATGAATGAAATTGGCCCTAACTCTGCAATGCAACAGAAAAGAAAACTGGCTAGGCGTGGTGGCTCACGCGTGTCATTCCAGCGCTTTGGGATGCTGAGGTGAAGGACGGTTTGAGGTCAGGAGTTTGAGATCAGCCAGGACATCGTGAGACCCTGTTTCTACAAAAAATAAAAATAGCTGGGTGTGGTAGTGCGCTTGTAGTCCCAGAAATTTGGGAGGCTAAGGTGGGGGGATCGCTTGGGCTCAAGAGTTCAAGGTTGAAGTGAGCTATGATTGTGCCACTGCACTCCAGTTTAGGTGACAGAGTGACCCTATCTGGGAGCAAAAAAAAAAAGAAGAAAAAGAAAATACCATGGCCAGATGAAGTGCTTAGTGAGCCCACGCTAATTTGCCACAGGAGGGAGGAAGCAAATTCCAGGCTGAAATCTAGTTCTTCATTTCCCGAAATCATTCATGCCCACTCTCTCCCTGTACGAAATGCCTAGAGCTTGGTGTCAATTTTAAGCTTAATTCCACAGCAAACAGGAAGGCATCTCAGTTCAACGTATTGGGACATCCTCTGAAGATGATTCTACTAGCACTCATTTCAGAAGCCCTGTGTGAATGCAAAGGAATTGTTAAACAATGAAGCGATCCCACAGCACCTGCATCCCTACTATAACTTAAAAACCACCCACACACCCGATCCCAATGTTTAAATAACAAGCCACTGGTATGTCTAGGACACCTGCACAAAGGAGATGTAAACCCACAGCTTCTAGCACAAAAATCTGCCAACTTAACATCCCTGTCACCTGCAACTGATGGCGGGTGAGATTGAGCAACCACCTAAAAATATCATTCCTACAAATTTAGTGTCATTAAAAACAAAAATAACAAACACACTTACTTTGACAGTGGGCGGTATCAGTGTTTTTTGTCACCAAGGCACAAGGGAGTTTTATCAATGAACCTTGCTATTTTGAAACCACAAAAATTAGTGGTGGTTCATTAACATAATAACATGGTAAGGGGTTCTCAAAAGCACCCCCAGTATGCTCTTAACAAGCATATACATCCCCCAGGAAGATGAGGCAATGCTTCCTGGGGGTTATAATTTAAATATGCTAAAATGCACAGATCTTCAGCCATTAACACAACTGTCTACACCTGTCTACCTACCACCCAAAACAAAATATAGAACATTTCCATTATCCCAGAAAGCCCTCCCGTGCCTTTTTCATTCAATCTCCACCCTCAATAGGCAGTTCCTGCCCTGCCTGCTATCACTATAGCTAAGTTTTGCCTGTTCTCAAACTTCATATGAATGAAATGACAGAGTACAGTTCTGTTGAATCTGGCTTCTTTCACTCAACATGATGTCTCTGAGATGGATCCATGCTGTTGCACATATCTGTAATTCATTCTTTTTAGTTTTGGAATCGTATTCCATTGCACGAATAGATCACAATTTGTTTATCCGGTCTCTTGTTGATGGATGTTTGGGTTATTTCCAGTTTGGGCCTATTATTAAGAATAAGGCTGCTATTTACAAGCTTCTACAAGTCTTTTTTTGCGTGTGGACATATGTTTCCAGTTCTTTTGGGTCAACACCTGGGAGTGGGGTTGCTCTATCATACAGGAAGAGTGTGATTAGCTTTATTAGACACAGCCAAAGAGATCTCCAAAGTGGCTGTCTGAATAAAGCAAGTGCAGGCGCATTCCGGTTGCTCCACATCCTCAGCAGCACTTGGTATGGTGTCTGTTTCCACTCCAGTGGCTCATGGGGGAAAGGGAGTGTGCATGAGGTGGGACAACTCTGGCAAACCTTCCCACCACCCTGTGAGCTATTCAGGACCGAAGCAACTGCTCTCCACTGATTTGCAGGATGGCCCAAGGTTACAAGCTCTACAGAGGAGGCTGGTCTGGAGGCAGCGAGTTACCTCCACTGTTTATTCACAGTCAGGTACAGATCCAACTGCCCCTTCTTCTCTTTCCCCACTTCTCACTACTGCCCTTGCCCTTGACTAGTTAAACAAAATAAAAAATAAATAAATAAAGCTCCAGAAAGGAAACCCTGAAGCAAACAAGAACTCTAGACTCCCTCTCCATTCAGGACATAGAGAATGGGGTGTGTTTGGTTTGAATTGGTGGTAACATTTAAACTCTTGTTCATTGTTAAATAAACAGGCAGGCAGTGAGAAGAAGACATTTCCCAATTTTCCTAAACAGGGTGTGAGGAGGGGGAGTGCTGTTACTGTTCTTTGCCTACTTATTTGAGAGAAAGGTGAGGCCCTTGACTCCCTCAAATTATTACCTGATTTTTCTTTTTCAGGTAGTGATCATTTTAATTTCCTATTTTTCTCCTTAGGACCCAATTTTAGAGACCAAAATGTTGGTCTAACCAAATAGCTACTTTACATCACCCAGAACGACCCCTGTCCTACTCTGCTGTATCTTCCTGAAGCTGTTATCTGGATGTAAAGACAGGTGGTTCCTAGGCCATTCTCCACAGGTCGTGACGTGGGAAACCAGGCAGAGAAACAGTATATCGCCCCTGAGATACGCGACTTTTATTTCCAAGGTAAAAATGGGACAGGTTTAAAACGAGTACTGTGTGGTTTAAAAATAAGCAGTCTGGGCTGGGAGCGGTGGCTCACACCTGTAATCCCTGCACTTTGGGAGGCAGAGGCAGGTGGATCACCTGAGGTCAAGAGTTCGAGATCAGCCTGGCCAACATGGTGAAACCCTGTCCCTACTAAAAGTACAAAAATTAGCCAGGCGTGGTGGTGTGTGCCTATAGTCTCAGCTATCTGGGGGGCTGAGGCAGGAGAATTGCTTGATTCTGGGAGGCGGAGGCGGCAGTGAACTATGATCTTGCCACTGCACTCCAGCCTGGGTGACAGAGCGAGACCCTGTCTCAGAAAAAAAAGGCAGTTTGTACTCTCTTTCACTTTTAACAACAACATAAATAAAGCAACGTTCACTGAAGACACACGTGCAGTCTCTATCTTCCGTGTCTCAGGGGCAATTGTCCAGCTGGAGCCACGGGAAGGGCTGCAGAGGCACCTGGATGCCCAGCCTCAATCCTTGCTGGGGCTCTTCTCTGGCAGAGGTGAGACTGCAGCTTCCAGGAATTATGCTGGGGGCCTGTGTGTCTCTGGCATATTGTTTATATTGTGTACTTATAGGCAATTTTAACAATCACTATTTCTAGATTGCAATCTTCCTGTGGTTACATAGAAAGCCAAGAGAGGCACTGTGCTGACATAGCAAAGGTATGCCCGTCCAGGAGAGAAAAATTGGATGCCTAACGATTGCCAAACCCCTGATAATTCAGACTATTAGCGTCAATGTCAACGCGCAGTATTTAGGACAGATACTGATAAAGATAGGGTGGACGGCCACCTCACCTTGTCACCATCTGAATGAGGAGCCCTGAGATGGGTCCCCTCCCACCTGCAATGGCCCGCTGGCATCTGCAGGTGGAAGGTGCAGGGATGCAGAGACTAAAGCTGTTCTCCTGCCCCTGCAGAGCCCAGCCTTGGAACAGACAGACACCATTTCATTTCATTCACTCACTGCTGGCTGCACTACCTGAACACACGCCCTCTGACACCATCTGTGAGTTACTCATGCTTCCCACAGCAGAGGGAGAAGGTACTTTGCTCACCCCTCCTCCCACAGAGGGGGATGAAGTCAGGAGCCTGGTGGAGGCACCGCTGAGGAAGGGCCTCTGAAAGGACCAAAGACAGTGACCAGCAAGTGTTTCTTGCAAGGCCAAGGAGCTAAAGCTTCCAGGAGGGGCTGCACAGTCTTGAAAAGCATCATCTGCGTCCCCTTGGGCTGCCACAACAAAACACCATAGACCGGGTGACTTAAACCACAGATATGTATCTGCTTGCAGTCCTGGAGGTTGGAAGTCTGTGATCAGGGAGCCAGCATGCCTGGGTTCTGGCAAGCACCTCTTCCTGGCTTGCAGAGACCTCCCATCTCACTATGTGCTCCTTTTTGTGTATGAATAGAGAGTGTGATCAAGCTCTCTGCTGTCCCTTAGAAGGGCACTAATCCCAACACAAGAGCTCCACCCTCCTGACCACAGCTAACCCTAGTTATCTGCTCAAGGCCCCATGATGCAGCCATCACATTGGAGGTTAGGGCTGCAACTCTGGGATTTGAAGCAAGACACATTCAGTCCATAGCAAGCATGAGCAGGCTGCCGGGGCTCCAATCCCAGCTCTGCCATTGACTCGTTACTTAACTACTGTGGCTCAGTTTTGTCCTCTGTAAAATGAGGAAAATATACCTTGTAGGGCTACTGTGAGGCTTAAGTGAATTACTAAGTGTAAAGTACTATAAAAGGTGCTTGGCACATGGTAAATGCCATACATGTTACCTATAACTAATGATTTTTTACACTATCGATTATAACCACAATTATTCAGACATCCTAGATGTGGCCAGCGATGATGTGTGATGATTCCTGAATGAGTTTTGAGGGGGAACTGGGTCCCAGGGAGTACGATCTGCTCCTGCTGTCAGGAGAAGGGCTACCCCACCACTCCTCTCAGAGAGGTGGAAGGGTTGAGCTGTGCTATAGAAGTCCCAGATTATACTGGGAATAGGTTGCTGATTGGTGACAGACAGTAAGTGTTAATAGTGATGCTGGTGCCAAGAGAAAGCTAAGTCTAAGTCTCTTTTTTATATTCCAATACAAACATCAGCCCCTGGTGCCCAATGCCCATTGGGTGTCTTCTATTTTAATTAATAGGTGCAGGTGAACGTCCCCTCATCAGGCAGTGGCAAGCATGATGTTCTCTTATCTGCTCTTATCTCCAGAGAACACCACTGAAGACGCACTCAGATGTCGCTCTTTGATGATGAAGGATGTTCACCAATAATTCTGTGCCCAAACAGATGAGAAAAGAGGGGATGATTGCTCAGGAAAAGTGTTGTCCACGTAGCTGCACATCAAAAGGCTGACCACGGTGTCTGCTTGAGTCACGGCCCCAGGAAGAAGAGGGTGATTCTCAGCCCAAGTTGTGCTCCAGAGCCTCAGCTGCTTCCACAGGGATGGGGAAGGAGTGAAGCTGCCTCCATCACACAGAGTGAAACTGCCCAGGCCACATGTTTATCTTTATCTTCTCCTTATCACTGAATGAAAGGGGACTTCTGAGCTGGAAGTCCTGGAGACCCTCTTGGCCTTGAGGCTTTTATGGAGACTCCCAGATGGCAGGAATCATACACTGAAGACTCTAGTCATTGTCACTGATGACGGTAAAGACTTCTCCCACCCCACAGCGGGCCTCACCAGTGCTAAAGGCAAGCAGTCACCCACAGGGCCTGACAAGAGTGATGCCAGGAAGGACATGGTCCCCAGCCTCTATTTTCCTACTTAGAATTAATGAAGATGTAGACAATGGAAATCACATAACAGAAAGAGTACATGCACGAACATACCCTGAATATGAGATATTTCATTTTACCGAAAAGTCCCTGTCAGTCACTCTTTTGGGCATTCAGAATACCCCTGAAAATGCTAATTCGACCTGGAAGACCCCTGGATCCTAAATCAGAGTACTGCGTGGGTACTTATGTCAAGCCATATGATCAACAAGATATATCCTCCTGGATCTTCAATCTCACCCAAAGATTTGGAAAACAGATCCTTTCATATTAAAACCAATAACATGGCCGGGGGCGGTGGCTCACGCCTGTAATCCCAGCACTCTAGGAGGCCGAGGTGGGTGGATCACCTGAGGCCAGAAGTTCAAGACCAGCCTGGCAAGCATGGCGAAACCCCGTCTCTACTAAAAATACAAAAACTGGCCAGGCGTGGTGGTGCATGGCTGTAATCCCAGCTACTTGGGAGGCTGAGGCAGGAGAATTGCTCCAACCCAGGAGGCAGAGATTGCAGTGAGCCAAGATCGTGCCACTGCCCTCCAGCCTGGGCAACAGAGTAAGACTCTGTCTCAAAAAAACAAAACAAACAAAAAACCAATAACATTTTCACAATACATTTGAATAATTTATTTTTACCTAAAACTAGCATCTTTGAGTAAATATCATTTTTGAGATGTAATGCCACAGGATACATACTCGGGCCTCCCAGGGTGTGCCCTCGCTCCCCTCTGTTAGAGGCATTCCGTGGGCGAGTTTGAGGAGAGTGGAATTAAGTCAAGAATGTATATCTGGGTTTGAAAATAATTTATATCAGCTTGCAGAGGACATCCACTGGCGACGTGAGGAGGAGCTGAAGATGTTGGGATGGACATGGAGGCCTTGAATTCCCCAACCTTGAACTACATCATGACTGTGCTCATAGCCAGGCTTCTCTTGCTTGTGGTCACTGCTGTGGCTCAAGGTTGTTTTGCCTTCCATGCAGTGGATTTCCTGGGGTGTTTCTCAATCTGTATCTCAGATTTGAGATGTATGAGAGAGACTCTCAGGAGGAGAGAGATGTCCCCGTGGGGACATGGCCATTGGCCTCCTTAACTCACTGAGTGGCCGGACTCACAGGGATGGTCTCAGCAGTGGAGTAAGGTGGTGAATCGGGAGTGAGGACTCGGGATTCAGACAGACCTGGGATGGAACTGTGCCTCTGAGCCTTAGACTGCGACACTCAAAAGGTTAATTAACCTCTCCGTGCCTCATTTTCCTCCTCTGTAAAATCAAGACTGCCTCACAGGGCTGTCCTGCCTAGCCTGGTCAGCTGTGCTCCCACTCTCACATGATCCATTTCACCAGAACCCTGAGAGGTCCTAGAATGAAACCTTTAAAACTAAGCATATACTTCTTCCTTCCACAAATTCTACTCCTCCCCGACCCCAAACATCTGTACAGTGCCGTGTGCTGATCTTGAAACAGCTCTGACTGTAAAATGACTTAGGTGGAGCCAATGAGCTCAGTGGCTGCAGCACAGTACCAGGCGTCTGAGCCCCTGCCAGCTGGCCGCGATCCATCCCTCAGGCAGCCTTCCCGGAGCAGAAAAATCCGGGGACCCCTTGATGAGACATTTTCTCCAATGTTTTCTTTAACTCTGACAACTGCAACTGAAATTTAGCAGCAGCTTGTTGCACCCCCACAGGGATTCTTCTTTCTCTCTCTCCCTCTCACTATTACTCTTTTCACTGCCCCTCCACACCAAAGTTCATGGTGGTGGTTGTTATTTTTTAATAGAAAAATGTTCTTGGGGGAGAAAAGACTTGAATTAATAAAGATTTTATGATAACCCAGTGAAAATTGTGAAGAATGTCCATTCCAAGTACCCAATTCAGAAATTAAAACAATGCTTTCTAATTTTAATGTTGATTTCTTTCTTTCATGAAATGAATAACGTTACATCCACCATTAACGTGCCTTCCTTCTGCCAGCAGTTTTTGAGAACTTATTTGGTTACTTCTGAGAGACACAAAGATGAAGAAAGCACACTCCCCCAGAACCTCATCAATAAGTAGCCACGCATTTGACAGAATGAGGTGCACATTGCAGGCTAACGATTCACACACATACATACACACTGCTGGGGGCACAGGCAGATTCACCAGCACACCCTGCAATCATTCCGACTTCCAACAAGGTTATCCCAAATCATAAATATGTATATGTTTTGCCTAAAACCAACCCTCACTTCCTCCCACCCCGTCCCTAGTATTTCCTGTTTTCATCAATGACACACTGGCCTCAGGCATAAGTGAGAGGCAGGTCTTGGTTTCAGGCTCCCCTCTCTTCTATCAAACCCTTCTTTCCTGGGTATGCCTATATACATTATTTCAAAAACCCTTGTAGGGGAGATACTAATTATTCCCATTTTACAGATAAAGGAAATAAAGCTCAGGAGTTGAATGGACAGTCCAAGGTCATACAGTAAGAGACTACCTCAGGATTTGAATCCAGGTCTCTCCAATTCAAGAGTCAGTGCCTGTCCCATGGTGTCAGAGATACATATTTTTTAAATAATTTTTTTATTAGCGATAAATACACTCACATTATGCTGCCCAGGCTGGAGGGCAGTGGCTATTCACCGTTGTGAGTCCACTACTGATCAGCACAGTAGTTTTGACCTGACCTGTTTCTGACCTGGGCTTGTTCATCACTCCTTAGGCAACCTGGTGGTCCCCTGCTCCCAGGAGGTCACCATATTGATGCCAAATTAGTGCAGATTCCCTACTGGTATGACACACTACAGAACTCCTGGGCTTAAGCAATCCTTCTACAGGCCTGTATTCTTTTCTTTTTTTTTGAGACGAATGTTGCCCAGGCTGGAGTGCAGTGGTGCAGTCTCGGCTCACTGCAACTTCTGCCTCCCGGCTTCAAGTGATTCTCCTGCCTCGGCTTCCCAAGTAGCTGGGATTACAGGCATATGCCACCACATCTGGCTATGTTTTGTATTTTTAGTAGAGACGGGGTTTCACCATGTTGGCCTGGCTGGTCTCAAACTCCTGACCTCAGGTGATCCGCCCACCTCAGCCTCCCAAAGTGCTGGGATTATGGGCGTGAGCCACCCGCCCAGCTCTTACAGGCCTATATGCCTAACAGACAATGGCTTTACTGAATACTTCATCATTTACTAATATTTTCTATATCATGATTTGCTAGCATTTAAATAACTTTCATTTTAATCAACTGCAAGCCTTTAAATTTGTATAGTCCAGCTTCAATTTTTAGCCCAGTAATCCTAGTCTGACTTTACCATACATAAATTAATTATTTTACTATATTTCTGACCCTTGTCTTTTTCTATTTTGCTTAAAATGTAACAGTTTAAAACAATAAACGTAATAACTGGACTGTTTCCACAGGATTTCTCTATTCCTCCAGCACACAGCAGTTGTGCTAACTGAGCAAGCAGTCATGCATCATTACGCAATAAAGCAAAGCTGCTACATCTTGGTGCTCAGTTAATAAGCAACATGCAGCTTATCCATGAATAGAAGGCTGGGAGTCTACACAGGCAGCCAGGTTTGATTGGATTTCACGGTTCCTCACTATTCCTTAGTAGTACAAGTCCCATTAAAGTTGGGATCTATGAAGCGAAAATAACATTCGTTTTCAAATCATACAGGCAGAGATCGACAGGTTACAAAATACAGATGCGTATTGCTTAACAATAGAGACACATTTTGGGAAATGCATAGTTAGGTGAGTGCGTTGTTGTGGGAGCATCCTGGAGTGTACTGACACAAACCTAGATGGGATTGCACACTAGACACCTAGGCTATCTTTTATAGCCCATTGCTTGTAGACTACAAGCTGTACAGCATGTTCCTGTACTGAATTTTGTAGGCAACTGTAACACAATGCTAAGTATCTATGCATCTGAACATATAAAAGGTACAGTACAAATATGGCATTATCATCTTAGGGGACCATCCTGGTCATATGTGTGGTCTGCTGTTGACTGAAACGTTGTTACATCGTGCATGACTAGAATCATTTTTATAAAAGGGAAGTAATTTGAGTGAGGAGAGGAAGCCTCCAGTTGACAGCATAGCAGTTCTCCAGGGATTTCAAGCTTGCAACGGCTGAACTATCCTGGAGGTATTATTATTGTTCTGAGAATCTCTGGAGAGAGGATGCCTCTCCAGATGGCCCACTCTGGACCATCTCAGATGCTCCCTAGGTTCAAACCCTGGAGGCGCATGCTCTCGTTCCTCTAATGGAGCACACAGAGCAGCACAAGGGCTCCAGCTCAGACCCCTCCCTTCTGTGCAATGCCCAAGACTCTCAGCGGGGACATGAAAAACCTCACTGGACAATGCTTGAAATCTAGCAAATGCCCTGTCCATGGACAGGGGAGGGAGTTCTGGCAAAAAGGCAATACTACTCGTCCAAATGGAAAACATCAGGACCTACTTTGTACCACAGGCAGATGTTACTTCCAGGTAGAGCACAGAGCTCACAGTGAAAAGCATTCAACATTTTTAGAAGAAAACATAGGAGAACATCTTTATGACCTTGATTAGTTTTTAGAGAACATACAAACAGCAGAAACCATGAAAGAAAATCGATAAGTTGGCTGGGCACGGTGGCTCACGCCTGTAATCCCAGCACTTCGGGAGGCCGAGGTGCGTGGATCACCCGAGGACAGGGATTTGAGACCAGCCTGGCCAACATGGTGAAACCCCATCTGTACTTAAAACACAAAAAATTAGCTGGGTGTGGTGGTACGCACCTGTAATCCCAGCTACTCGAGAGGCTGAGGCAGGAGAATCGCTTGAGCCCGGGAGGCAGATGTGGCAGTGAGCCAAGATCATGCCACTGCACTCCAGCCTAGGGTACAAGAGCGAGACTTCATCTCAAAAAAAAAGAAAATCGATAAGCTTGCCTACATTAACAATGGAAAACTTTTGTACTAAAAGACACCATAAAAAAAGTTAGAGAAAAGCCACAGACTGAGAAATTTGCAATGTGCATTTCATTCCAGATTATGCCCTCTTGGGAAATTCATTCATGTCCACAAATAGATATGTTCAGGAGTGTTCACTATGGCATTTCTGGCAACTGTAGGGAAAAAAAGGAAACTCAAATGTTTATCAATGGGAGAATAAAAAAAATTTGGCAAATTTATATAATGGAAAACAGCATTAAAAGGAATGTGCTACAATTATATCACTATGATAAACTTCAAAAACAGTTGTTTTTTTTTAAACCCAGTGTTGAGGAAGAGTACATATAATACAATCTATTTAAAGTTTCAAAACCCTGCATGATTAGCACTGTGTATTGTTAATATTTTCTATAGGTTTATGCACGCAGAATACATGCATGAAAACAGTCAACAGTAAAGTAACGAGAGCATTTCTATCTCAAGGGGAGTGAGACTGGGAGGACAACGAAGGAGACTCATATAATGTGGTCAGCATTTTATTTATTTTCAAAAAGATATGAAGCAAATGGCATGTTAATATTTGAATAGGCCACTTATTTAATTCCTGGACTTTTGTCTCTTGGTGCAAAATTTGCCACAATTTTGATACATTCCACTCTCTGCCCTGGTGCTTGGTGTGAGGCCTGAGATGCTGGTTTAAAGAATGGACACAGGCATGAAGTCACCACAGTTGGATTCAGTGTGTGCTGCTGCCAGGACTATATGGGGAACAAGAGGGACAGTGGTTGTCCTCAAGCAGCAATTGGTCAGGATGGGACGGGTGAGGAGATACTTCTAGGGCAGAGCAGAGTCACACGGGTTCTGGAAGAGACGCCTGTGTGGGGTTCATTGAGGATCCATTTCGGCGCAGGTAAGAAGAGCATTGCAGCCAGAAGACGGCCAGACACGCTGCCTCCTACAGAGGTGCTTCCTGCAGGAGAACAGTGTGCTTGGGTTTAGGCCATGCATGGAGGGGAGGGAAGCCTGTGAGGAAAGAGGGCTGCTGAACTGAGGAGCTCAGATTTCCTTCAGGACACAACAGAAAGCCATGGGATCGTTTCAAACAGGGAACAGTCACCAAGGCAGCAGCTATGAGAGCAACTGAAGGGCAGACAGGATCTGGGAGGCATAGGAGGAGGCCCCTGAAGTAGTGGAGGGGACAAGTCAAGCAAGAGCCAGATGGGAGGGGGAAGTGTCCCCCAGGGAAGCAGGAGCAGTACTCGGGGGAGGTGGAACTAGCGGCTCTGAGGCTCCGTGGATCTCCCTTCCTGGAGGAGTCAGAAAGTTCTCGATCTGGAGAGAGGCTGAGGAATTGTGGGTGTGGAGTGCTCCACAAAGATGGATCCATGTGGCCGGAGAAGGGCGGCTGTGACAGTGAGGAAAGAGCCACGTGGACTCTGCTACCGCACACCATGGCACGTGCCCAGCCCTCTCTGTGAATCAGCTCAGCTCACCCTCCTGACAACCCACGTTGCTGTTGATTCTCCTCTCACAGGTGAGGTCACTCAGGCACGATGGGTCACGGAGCTTGGCCAGGATCGTGGCAGAGCCAGCATCCAACAAGGCCCTAGAGCCCAAGCTCTCAGCCTCTCTCAGAGGCCAGGCTAGTCCTCTGTGGGGAGGGCCGCCTGCACCTGCTGAGGGGTGAACCCATGGAGATGCATGTGATCACAGAGGAAAGGAGCACACGGTGGGCAAAGGCTTGTGACCAGAACCTGGGTGACAGCTATGCTAGGAGGTGGAGGAAGAAGAACAGCCAGCCCTCCATGAAGTCCTCGTCAGTGGGACCTGTGCTGTGAAGGTGAAGGAAATTCTGGGAGGACAGTGAGGGAGGGGAACCGGGGGCGGTAATATGCATGAGTCAGTGTGGAGGAAAGGCCGGTGGGGCCTGCCCAGAGGACGGGAAGGCAGCAGGAAGCGGGCAGGAGGGAGAAGGTCTTGAAATGTAAAACCTCAAGAGGGAAAGTGGTGCAGGGAGGCCCTGGGGTGAGGAGAGGAACAGCTTCAGGAATGGAGTTGAAAGCGGCAGCTCTGAAGGCCAAGGCCAGGTCTTAACTCGGAGATGGGAGGCATCAGCATCAGCAGAGGACTCTGGGAAGAGGCTTCCAGGGTGGCGAGGAGGACGCTGAAGAGCCACCGGGAAGGGGCCTCACTCTCTGTGGTGAGCAGAAGGCGGAGTCAAGTTCGGCATGAAGAGCAGAGGAGTCCAGCCCCTGGAAGCTGCTGTGACAGGCACGGGAAGTCAGCAAAGGAGAGCCCAACTGCCAGCGCCACTCGAGGACTGAGGGCAGGAGCCACAGCCCTTCACGCTCCCGAGGACTGAGGGCAGGATCCACATCCTTTCACGTTTCGCCAAACGTGGAGCAGCCTGAGTGCACGGAGTCAAGCAGATGGTGGGGACGACAGGGCAGAAACCCAGAACCAAGAAGGGCAGGGGAGTTAAGGACAAGAAGAAATGTCCCACCTACACAAGTGGTTTTGGAGCCCCACTGGAAGAAGAAAGGCGAAGCCTGGGAGAACTGGTAGGAGTGGACGTCAACTGCAAGGCAGAGAGGTTGGCAATGGCAGTGAAAGTTCAGAGCAGTTTCAGTGGGGATGGTGGCAGGAGGCAGCCGAACCAGGGATGGCTGTGAGTCGGGGAATCGGATGCTAAGATCTTGAGGATGACACAGATTCCAGGTTGTGGAGGGCCAGCCCTGCCAAGGGATGGGAATGAATTGTGGACATGGACCTCCCAGGAGCCAGGGAAGTCAAAAGAGTATGAAGACATGGTAACAGAGGAGTCTCCACATTGGCACAAACATCCCCAATATGGCGAAAGTCAGGAAGAAGAGTGGCAAACCACCGCATTGCTGTGATGAGAAAAGGTGGAAGACGCTAGAAGCAGACACATGAACCAGAAGAGAGGCCTGAGCAATGATTCAGGGAGGCTGCGGACTCCTCCGTCCTGGTCCTGTGCCTGAAGTGAGAGATGTGTTGGAAAGCACACCATGTAAGTTGACTAAAAAATGTTTACAAAAATCAACCAAAACGGGCAAACAAATAACCAGATCCATAGATTGGAAGCTCTAAAAGGAAAGCACTGCCTCTTAGCACCTGGAACGAGCCCTCCAAGACAAA
Source organism: Homo sapiens (assembly GCF_000001405.40). Classification (NCBI taxonomy): domain Eukaryota; kingdom Metazoa; phylum Chordata; class Mammalia; order Primates; family Hominidae; genus Homo; species Homo sapiens. The sequence continues at coordinate 25,939,250 of NC_000013.11, read as the reverse complement.
GGGGTATGCAGAGGACAAACTGTGGTATGGAGGCAAAAAATGGGGGTAAAAGGAGCACGCTGGTGAAAGAGAGAGTAGTTCCCATGAGGCAATCAAAGGAAAGGAGAAGGCCTGGCGTGGTGGCTCATGCCTATAATCCCAGCACTTTGGGAGGCCAAGGCGGATGGATCACCTGAGGTCAGGAGTTCAAGACCAGCTTGGCCAACATGGCGAAACCCCATCTCTACTAAAAATACAACAATTAGCCGGGCGTGGTGGTGCGTGCCTGCAATCCCAGCTACTAGGGAGGCTGAGGCAAGAGAATCGCTTGAACCAGGCAGGCAGAGGTTGCAGTAAGCCAAGATCAAGCTTTTGCACTCCAGCCTGGGGGATAGAGTGAGACTTCATTTCAAAAAAAAAAAAAGGAAAGGAGAAGGGATGATGGAAATCCAATGCATTGTCTCTGGAACGTGTTGCAGACATCCTTCCATCTACCCACGACACTCACGACTTCCTTAATAATTGTCAAGAAACAGGTGTCTCTTCCTAGCCCCTCTGGAGAACACTCTTTGAATCAAAGCATGTCTCCCTGCTTGCTCTATTCCATGGTGGATGAGCAGCTTGGGCCTAGAGGCTCCTGGGAGACCCATGAAAGGAGCTGGCGATCCATTCCGTGTCCTGTTAGCACCTTTGTTCCCTTTACAACCATAATTCAGGTGAAACACACACACACATGCATGTTTAGGCATGAAAGTTAACACCACAGACGGTAATGTGAAATACTACATATGTGCAATGGGGTTAATTTACAGTTACTGCGGGATCCATAACTTTGTAATTTCCTGGCTTTGGTCTGTACAGTTTTTCAGACTTCAACGTTTTATTAACTTTTTCTTTAAACTAGCTATCTGACTTTTGGCTGGTATTCCCTGTCGTATTCTCCCGCATATTTCCAAGCTGAATATCATGCTGTAAAAGTCCGTCCGTTTCCTCTCATCTCTTTCAGTCCATCTGTATTTTCTATGTTTAACCTCCTGGGTCTTCACCTTTTCTGGCTCTGTAAATTTAATTAATGTACTTCAACTTTTTTTTTTTTTTTAACCAGGTCACTGTTGAAAATTTACATAAAACAGATCCAGTTTTTCTCATTGTACCCTAATGGAAACACTTTAGCTACATTTCCCGTTCCAATATATTTCAATTTATCTTTTCAATACAGTTTCCCTAGTTTCAGAATTCTTAGACATGAGCAAACAGGAATACTTTTGACTGATTCTTCTATGGAGAACTTCCCACGTTTATAGCATTTTCCCATCTTAAAGCTGGATTAATATATAAATAATATTTGATATATACTCTTCATAAAAATCATCTAGACCTCCTTTCCTATGTCTTTGGTCTTTTTTTTTTTTTTTTTTTTTTTGAGACGGAGTCTCGCTCTGTCCCCCAGGCTGGAGTGCAGTGTTGCCATCTCGGCTCACTACAAGCTCCGCCTCCCGGGTTCATGCCATTCTCCTGCCTCAGCCTCCCAAGTAGCTAGGACTACAGGCGCCTGCCACCATGCCTGGCTAATTTTTTGTATTTTTAGTAGAGACAGGGTTTCACCGTGTTAACCAGGATGGTCTTGATTTCCTGACCTCGTGATCCGCCAGCCTCAGCCTCCCAAAGTGCTGGGATTACAGGTGTGAGCCACCGCTCCCGCCTGTCTTTGTTCCTTTTAATTGTTAAAGGCCCCGAGGTATTTCTTTTGCTTATATAGAACTGTCTTCTTATATTTCTCCATTAATTGTGGAGAATGGAAGCTGTTTTCAGAGCAAGAAAAGCAAAGGACAATAATTAGCCTTTTCTTTCATTTTTCCAAACACAACCAATGGAGTTACATTGGGCTGTTCAAAAAAAAAAAAAAAAAGAAAGAAAGAATAGAAAGACAAAGCAAAAAAAATAAAATGCCACAAAAGTTGAGTGAATGACTTCTATGACTGCACTTGAGATTTTGGTTCACAGAATATTTACTACAAGGGTACATTTTGTTTTCCCTTATAGTTTTACTTGCGTTTTTGTATGGCATTTAATGTCAATGACATACAGTTGTATGTGTCCTTTATCCCCTCTTCTTTAAAAAATATTAATCAACTATTGTCAGTTGCTTTGTTTTCCTTATTACCAACTTGCTTTCTCCTGAGATGAAACATTTCTATGCTTATCGCAGAAAAAGACTCATACACAGCTATGAGGAGTGCAAAGCTTAGGTTCACTAAGTCTACAGAGTAACTTGGAAACACTGAAGGAAACAAGAAGCCACCTCTGGTGAGCTTTCTGCTGCTTCAATAAGCGGAGGGCTGTAGGTGGGTGGTTCAGCAAAAAGTAAAACCCTTTCATAGCCCACAGAGTTCCACGCCTCAGACCTCTGAGAGTGTCTTGGACAGGTAGCTGAGGTGTAGACAATACCATCAGTGGAGCAGCTTGACAAAGAAACTCCAGGACAACCAGAACAGACCAGGAAGAAAGAGTCCTGTGTCATATTGGGGAAAATTGGGCCCAACCTTAAAAGAGTTTTCCCACGGGGGCAGTCAGCCTCCCTCTGCTCTGCAAACTGTCTTCCGATGATTCCTCATGGAATTAATTAATCAGAGGATTCTACTCGGATGCTTACGTGCCATGATCCCACTAATGAACTCCTAGATTAGAAGTCAGATGAAAACTTGTGGGATTGGGATTATTTCCCTTCCTCATTTAGCCTGACTTGAAGATGATGATTTATTATTTTTCTTTCAATTAAGGGATACCTGGAAAACATTTGTTTTGCGTCCTGATACGCAGGCCCATTGAGGCTTATTTAATCAAACTTCTCACTGAAGACTCTGCAGGGCCTGTCTGCGTCTCCACAATGAATGACTTCCGCAGACACTCAGGCCCATGGCCTCCCGAATCCTTCCCTATAATCCCCAACATCTGTTCTGTGTCCAGTGCTGACCAACGTGGGAATCAGCAAGGACTGGCCGTCAGATGAGCATACATGCTCATGAGCATCAGCTGGGTCTGGATGAACATGCCAGAGGTATGCAAGGCTCCAGTTCAAACCATTTGCAACACAGAGGAAACACCTGTTTAGAACTCATCCCAAATCAATGTGAGTTGGGTACTTTGAAGGGTGGGAGTGACAGCAGGAATTCAGATTATAGGACTCTGGGTACTTGATGAATGACATACCCCATTTCTAAGGCTGATGCTAACACCTACTTTCCCATCTTTTGACTGAGGATGATTCATCTAAAGTTAGTTTGAATCTTGTTTATGGTAACATTCAAAATTTTATGAAATCCTTAGGCTTAACCTCCACCAAAGGTCTCATATTACCTGCAACTCAAGCCTAATATCTATCATGAAAAATTAAAATATAGTGTGCAGTTTTTAATATAATGCTTGATTTATTTGGGGAGTGATATAGTTTGGATGTTTGCCTCCACCATATCTCATGTTGAGATGTGATCCCCCACGTTGAAGGTGGGGTCTCATGGGAGGTGTTTGGACCATGGGGGCAGATCCCTCACTAATGGCTTGGTGCCCTCTCCATGGTAAGGAGTTTGCAGGAGATCTCGTTGCTTAAAGGAGTGTGATGCTTCCCCTACCCCTTGTTCTCTCCCTTGCATGTGATATACCAGCTCCCGCTTTGCCTTCAACCATTACTGGAAGCTTTCTGAGGCCCTCACCAGGAGCAGATGCTGGTACCATGCTTCTTGTTCAGAGTGCACAACTGTGAGCCAAAATACCTCTTTTCTTTATAAACTACCCAGCCTCAGGTATTCCTTTACAGCAATGCAAATGGACTGACACCAAGTAAAAATGAATCTTTGTATCAGAAAATTACACTATAATAGTGAGCCACTTCTCCTTCTATCTAATCAACTGCCCAGCAGGGGAAGTTGACTAAACTCATTCAAGTCTGACAATGGTGGAGAGTTTATTTGCTTGCTGTACCAAGGTAGAAAAACAATGAGTGATTATGAATCCGAAAAACAAGACAACAGAATTTACATGAAATATCAACTGAGACAACATGTCCTTCAGGGAGGCAGCTGCCCAAATCCACCATAATTTAATAGGGTGAGTTTAATGATTAAGTAACTTAATTTCCATAAGCCTGAGTTTACTCATTTGTAAAACAGAGTGTCATCTTTGTAGGGTGTTTGCTGGACATCCAATGTTTTACATATATATATAGCTTAGCTTAGTAGCATCCTTAGCACTTAGTAACAGTAGCTGGGATTTTTGGCACATTCTTGCTAAAGTTGGCAAATCGAACTCTCCAGAATGGTATCTGAGTCCACTCCTGGTCTTGCCCCTTCATTCAGGACCCAGCTCCTGGCCCTTAGTCACCAGCAGCCTGCACTTCAGCCACACCGAACTGTATGAATTTCTTCAAATCCTCAACGTTGTTTTTTTTCTTTGTCTTTTCCCGTCTTCACTCAGCTGGCAGTGCCCCTCCACCACTGTTCTGGCCTTTAGAATTCCTCTTCCTCCTTCAAGACACAGCTGAAAGAACACTGCCTGAGCTTCTCCAGGTAGAATGGTCTGCTCCCTCCCGTGTTCCTCTATGATGGTAACAGTTCTAGAGCCACCATTTGTTGTATGATGACCATTTGTCAGGCACTGTGCTGGTCACTGGCCTTCCCTTCATTTAATACATATGGTGGCCTTACCACAAGAGCGTTATCCTTCATTTGGTAGATGAGGATGGTTTGTTCAGAAATGTCAAATAATCTTCCTAAGGTCACACTGCTGACCGGAGGTAAAAGCCACCATTGGAATCAAGGCTGCAGACCCTGCAGAGCGTGTTCCTGCCACTGTGCCTTGCGATCTGTATCAGCTCAATGCCATGCCTATGTGTACTCACTTCGTCACTAGACTGACAGCCTCCTAGTGTGAGGTACACGTTCTCTACATCCCTGTATTCTCAGTGGCTGCTCTGTCACAGGCAGACACTTACCTAATGGATTCACTAGAGACAATGAAAGGGAAGCTGTTTTCTACACAGCCTACCCGTACATACTAGAAATCCTATACAGGCTGCTTTGTTGGGGTAGAAACATCTGGAAAAGAAGTTAAGGCCCAGCACAGGTAACACCACTTCATAAACTGTTAGCAACTGACACTAAGTATTTTCATTTGGATTCTTAAGTTAGCATCAGGTAAACCTTTTCTTTTGGGTAGTTTTCCTCCTAGGCCTTTGCATATGAGTTTATTTGGAGCTGGTTAGCTACAAGCATACATTCTAGGAGGGGCCTGCATGGTACTCACCATCAGCCCAGACTGACTCAGCCCCAAGAGACAGAGCTGCCTGCCTCCAGGTCTTGCTGTGGCTGTGATCTTGGCAATAAATTCCTCTGTGAATTGGACTCTGAGTTCCATTTTCAGAGGGAGAGTTTCATGATGTAATGACAAATTAGCTGCAGCCAAGCTCACTGCAAGAGTCCTTGTCACTTGAAATGTACTCTGGGTAAGCCAGTCCCGTGGACAGACACTCCACCAACTTCAGCTTGTGTGAGTATCTGTCACGTGGCCTTTGAGGCTGCCTTAGACTGGGCTTGAGTGCAGCACTGAAGCTGGGTCTACCCCCATGCCCTTGGGAAGGCCTAGGTGTGCACCCTCCCAGTCTTCCCATAACCACTGGCTACACCTGACTGATAGGCACCTACCTACGTCCTAGTGTAATCACGATCACTGCTGTCATTTACTCAACACTCATCCTGAGCCAGGCATTGTGCTAAGCACTTTAACATGAATTTAAAAAGAAAAAAAAGAAACTGAATTAACAGAGGAAACCCTGTGATCTTGAATTTCATTTTGCAGATGGTATTAAGAGGCATAAAGAGATTAGGTGATATGTCTGGGGCCAAGCAGACAGAAGCGGTCTAGCTTAGAGATCCTGTGCTCAGAACTGCCAGGCTATCCTGCATAGCCAAAACCATCAGGGAAAATAGGAAGGGAATCCAAGAACATCCCCGCCAAGCGAGGCAGAAAATTAAGATGGGAAACTGAGCTGGCCCTGCCATGTTATCTGGCATCTGTAGAAGAAGCAGCTGAGGAAACAGAAGTTGGAATAAAAATCCACACACAGGGCAGGTGCAGTGGCTCATGCCTGTAATCCCTTTGGGGATTACTTTGGGAGGCCAAGGTGGACGGATCACCTGAGATCAGGAGTTTGAGACCAGCCTGGCCAACATGGCAAAGCCCTGTCCCTACCAAAATATACAAAAATTAGCGAGGTGTGGTGGCATGCACCTGTACTCCCAGCTACTGGGGAGGCTGAGGTGGGAGAATCACTTGAACCTGGGAGGCGGAGGTTGCAGTGAGCCGAGATCACGCCACTGCACCCCAGCCTGGGTGACAGAGTGAGACTCCGTCTCAAAAAAAAAGAAAAGTTCATGCACAGCTCACAACAATGCACTGGTAACGGGAAGCCTAACTAAGAAGATGAAAAGTGAAATTTGGGGGGCATTAACTATGGTTCCTTTCAGGTCTAAACCTCATAACTGACTTCCCCAGCAGGCTTTGAGCAATCAAAACACCCAGGACAAATCCCATAAGCATACCTAATTGAATAATCCAGATTCTGTTTGCTTGGGTTTTTGAAGCATCAAAACAGTTCCTTTGTGTGCTTACTTTGGCTCCCCTGCAGTTTTAATTAAGCCTCCCAAGGCTCACAAGCATATTAAAATTAGGTGGAAAGAAAACCTGCAGCCTTTGATGCCAATGACCACAAGGTGCAAGTATTTGGGTTTGATCTTTTGCTACAGCAGCTACAGCTGATGCTCGAGAGCCACCCCAGAGGGAAATTTTCCTGTTTATTTTCCTTTGTGGGGAGGGGGCAATGGTTACTCAAGTGATGAAAAGGGTTCTTTCTTGCGGGAAGCTGCGACAAAACAGACACCAAGGAATCCCCAAGCAAAATGCTCCCTGGCGTTTCTTCTCTGGCTAATCCCAAGAGACTGGAGGTAGGTGCTGTTTTCTGAGGACCACACCAGAGGCCTTTTTCCTTTCTGTTCCCCTCTGAGATCCACATTCAGCACAACATCTGCTCAGCCAGCTAAGCTGACGTGCTTCCGTGCTACATTTTTTCTACTGTACGGGGAGCATCCATCACTGTGTGGGTAAGTTTATAACAGGTCCCCAAACCTCAACTCTCCAGCTTTCCCCTTTCTTTCTTTCTTTTTTTTTTTTTTGAGATGGAGTTTCACTCTTGTCACCCAGGCTGGAGTCCAATGGCGTGATCTCGGCTTGCTGCAACCTACACCTCCCTGGTTCAAGTGATTCTCCTGCCTCGGCCTCCCAAGTAGCTGAGATTACAGGCACCCGCCACCACACCCAGCTAATTTTTGTATTTTTAGTAGAGACGGGGGTTTCTCCATGTTGGCCAGGCTGGTCTCGAACTCCTGACTTCAGGTGAAACGCCCGCCTCGGCCTCCCAAAGTGCTGGGATTATAGGTGTGAGCCACCGCACCTGGCCCTGGCTTTTCCCTGTCTTGGATGCCACTTCACACTCTGATGAAGGCTCTTTTCAACGTTGGCCACGGGCTTCAAGATTCTTCCCCCAGCTCAAGCTCCTTCTAATTTACTTCCATTTGGTTCAGGTATTGCAGACTGTTCAGTGCTCTCAGCCTCACGACGGGCAGAGCACCCACCATCACAGCCCACTGCTTATCCAGCATGCCTGTCAAACAAGGTTCTGCACTCGTCAGTCGAGGGGGGTGGGGGATGACACCAGAGCCCATGGGGCACAGTCACTTCTGTGGCATCTTACATTCGAACTGCTTAGCATAGGACAGGAGCCATAATGAAGATAAAGCAATATACAGGTTGAATATCCCTTAATTGAAAAGCTTGGGGCCAGAGGTATTTTGGAGCTCAGATTTTCTTGAATTTTGGAATAATTGCATATACATCATGAGGTATCCTGGAGATAGGACCCAGGTCTAAACACGAAATTCATTTACATTTCATATATACCTCACAGACATAACCTGAAGGTGATTTTCTTTTTCCCTTAGGGACGTTAAATGAACCGTGTTCTATGCATCTGTGTTTTGGCTGCGACTCAGCACATCAGCCCAGGTGTGGAATTGTCCACCCGTGGCGTCCTGTCAGGTCTCAGAAAGTTTCTGATCTGGGGGCACTTCAGATTTTGGATTTTCACATTAGGGAGGCTCACCCTGTACTGTGGAAGAACAAGGGAGGCAGAGGTCACTTCTGGTTGGGGACAAATCCAAAATGTGTCATGAACTGGTCTTGTCAAAGTGGGTGCAGTTTTCATATTAAAATAGCAACAGGAGGGAGCTGGAGAGGCAGGACCAGCAGGACGAAAGGAACACCGGCGGCAAGGCTGAGTAGTTCCTCCCATGTGGGGGATGTGGAGGAGGCGTGACAGGTCGGCTGCAGCCAGACCCTAAGGCCCATGCATGGCAGCTGGGTGGCTGAGATTCTATCTGACAGACAGTGAGATGGCACTGAGCCTTCATTTGTTATCCAACCAAAAAATACTTTTGAGCCCATGTTATGTGTGAGACACTGAGCCACTTGCTGGGCACACAATGACGAAAAAAAAACCACATAAGGTTCCTCATCTGAAGATGCTTACATTCTGGGGAAGGGGAAACATGTTAACACGAAACAAATAACACAATTAACATTCTTGTCATAAATGGCAATGAAAGAAAGCATTTTGATGCCATTGCAGAGAGGGCTTAGGGATTCCCTCACGAGGTAGTATTTGAGCTGAGTCCCCCAGAAGGTGCAGAAATTGGCAAGAGAGTTTGGGGAGCTGCACACAGAGGCAATAGCCCACACAAAGGCCCTGAGTGCAAGGCCTAATGCACAGGAGGAACTGGGCGGGGTGGGGGATGGGGGCGGAGGTGGGCAGATAGTGCTTTACGGGGAAGCTAACAGGACAGGGCCAGGCCAGACTGGGACTTGTTAGCAGGTATCTGGGTTCTAAGTATAATTCTACATCATTAAAGGGTTTGAAAGAGAGAAGGAACATGGTTTGATTCACATTGTTAAAAGATCATTCCAGGTGCAGTGCAGAAGTGAGGGGAGAGTGTCAGCGTGGAGGGAGAGGAGAACAGCATTAAATGCTGCAGGCAGGCTAAGGGGCAGACTGGCAAAGACCTATGGGTCTCAGAGACTAGAAAGACCCTCATGACCCATGAGAGAAAAGCCCCACGTTGTGCAAGGAGCAAAGGCACGTGGGGCAGCACAGGAGCACGTGGGGCTGCCCTACCTACAAGCTGGAGAGAACCGTGGAGCAACAGAGCACAGTCATTTAAAGCATTTTGGGAGTTCACGTTCGGGAAGTTCAGTGACATTAGGGAAAAGCCCATGGGGATAGGGGAATTAAAAATGTACAAGTAGTCACAGGATTAGGCAAGGTTTGGATTTTGGGTTTTTTTTAGAGACAGGGTCTCGCTCTGTTGCCCAGGTTTGAGTGCACTGGCATGATCACAGCTCACTGCAACCTCAAACTCATGGGCTCCAGCCATTGTCGAGGTGCAGCGCCACCACATCTAATTTTTTATTTTTTGTAGAGACGAGGTCTCACTGTGTTGCCAGGCTGGTCTCAAACTCCTGGGCTCAAGGGATCCTCCCATCTCGGCCTCCCAAAGCACTGGGATTACTGGCATGAGCCACTGAGCCCGGCCGCTGGCAAGGTTTTTTGAAAATCTTCATTTTGTTCAGGGGTAGCATGGAGGGGAGTATCAGGTTGTGTTTGTATGTAACTAAAAATTCGGCAAACAGTGGCTCAAACAAACAGTGGTTGATTTGTGACCCAATGTAATTCTGAAGGATATATCTGCCTTCTTGGTGCTCTCAGGTGCCCAGGACTTTCAGTGCTTTAGCACCGCCACCCTCATGTGGGCCACCTTTCCTCTTGCTTGCAGCCTCACCGTTCCAGGATGGTCACTATGGCAACGGGCATCCCATCTGCCTTCAGGGAAGGGAGAGAAGGCAGCCCCCACCAGCTCTGCCTGCGTGCTGGACGTCCGGTGACTTCCCTGGTGCTCTCCAGCCCACTCTGGCTCACATGGTCACGCACATTTACGATGGAGGCTGGGGATGCCCATATTTGTCTCTTCAGCATCCTCAGTGGGAAGTGGTAGGAATGAAAGAGGTTGTTAGCGGCTTGTGAGTCAGCCACAGAGATGCAGAACATAACCTCGGGAAGAGGTTGTTAGCCTTAAGCACATAGAAAAATTGCAGGGATTCCCAAAAAAGACAGAGAAGATAGATGATACAGAGAAGTTTTGAAAAAGAGAGGCATCTGTGTTTTGACTGCGACTCAGCACATGAGCTCAGGGGTCGAACTGTTCACCCGTGGCATCCTGTCAGGTCTCAGAACGTTTCCGATTTGGGGGCACTTCAGATTTCGTATTTTCACATTAGGGAGGCTCACCTTGTACTGTGGAAGAATAAGGGAGAACTTTCACTGCCATTTATGAAACAGTGCAGCCATCAGCCTGAGGCATGGGACCACCCTCTGAATGCAAGGGAGGGAAGAAGAGAGCTGGTGAGTCTGGGAATGTCATCTTGGACAATAGTGACGGAAAGTCAACAAGATGGGTAATCCACGGAGTTACCACGGCACAGGAATCCTACAACTGTTCTATTATTGAAACACCACTTCTGAGTATCAGTTTTCTTTTAATTATTTAGAGTAATCATTTTCTTTCTCTTTAAAGGTTGGCTTTCGAATTTGCGTGGAGTTCTTGCTCTCTATTCCCTGCTCTGATATTCCATAGGAATTCTTCTCTATATAGAAGGGACTGGCTGAGCTAATTTTAGAGAGGATGAAAATCAATACAGGCTCAATGTAAATGAAGGAGAGAGGACTAAGAAAAAATTTCAATGATGTTCATTTGAACACAGAGAAGTCAACGGAATAAATGATTCCTCTATATTCTTCGTGACAGAAATAATATAATTCTGAATCAACTGAAAAGGTTCTAGTATCTATGATTCCAAAGGGAGTCTTTAAATATTCATGTCTGCTGACTCTCTCCTCTTCCCTAACACAGGCCCCCTGGCCATCTGCTCTGGAAAGCCCCAGAGTGTCAAGGGGGCTGTGACTTCTGCCAAGCTGGGGCCACTTTCCAACTGACGGGGAGAAGATGTGGGTTTGTAGAACTTACCAGTTGTTTTCTCTAGGGTTTGAAACCATAACATTTCCATTCAGAGGAAATAGTCTAGGATGTTTATTTTTTCAACCTTCATGAATATTAAAAGCACTGAATTGAAGCCAAAACATAAGAGAAATGAATGCAGTGATACCAAATGTGGGTGTTCTGCTTTCAAAGCCATCTTCGGCAATGTAAAATGTTTGAAGCAAAAGAAGATAAATGGTATCAACATAAAGCTAAATCAAATACAGTTTGGAGACAAAGCAATCGCAATTTCATCTGGGCTTTTGCCATACTCTAGGCAGGACAGCAGCCTGAGAAAGAAACACCTTGTTATATGAGTGAACAGCAGAGATGGATGAACATCTACGAAAAATTCAATGTGCCAATTCTTTTTTAAGGTTCAGATTTATTCAGCCTGGATATACCATGAACCTCTGAGGATTTACATATCTTTCACTTGCTATGAAGAACTAATAACCAGTGAGTGGCTTTGATAAGACCGTATGAATATTCAGGCCTTTTAAATCTCTGCGTGTGGAGACACGTATTTCTCAGCATGAACTCATCTAACTACAACATACATCCTATTATTTCTTTTCGGACTCTGCTGGCCCAAAAGCAGCGCCATGGTTTGAGAAATGCTAACTGGCATTATGACCCAGAAAAGCTCAGAATTCTGACACAGGCAGCTACCAGCCTATTTTGAGATTGGGAATCATTTGGGGGCCCCCAAAAGTCAAACCTGATTTATTTTCAAAGAAAAAAACCAAACACTGAACTCACTCCTGAAATGAAGAAGCCATGGACTTTTGTTCAACAAAGGTGATAAAATGCAGACGTTTAATCTTTCTGTCAGATGCAGTTTCCAGTGTGTGGAGCAGCCGAGGAGGAGTGGGGCTCCGGGGCACAGGGACCCGCCGTGCAGCACGGAGGGCAATATCCAGCTAGTGTTTGTGTGCTCGTATCAGGACAAACCATGCATGTGAGCTACAGGAAAGGGAAGAAGGTGAATGAATGAAGACTGGGTAGGAGGCAAATCAAACACAAAACAATCACACAGGAGAGAGTGGCAAGGAGAAGGAGCGGGAGGCACAGCAGGATGCAGGGAAAGTGCCTTGCTTATCTGCCTGTGGCCCTCCCAGGGCTCTCTGGGCACCAATAGAAGTCACTACCAAGTCATTTTCAATCTATTTGTTCATGCTTTCAAACATTTCCGAGAGCTCTGCAATAATTTAAAATTTTTAAAAATTGTAGAATTTCTGTAGAGATGGGCTCTTGCTATATTGCCCAGGCTGGTCTCAAACTCCTGGCCTCACATGATCCTCCAGCCTTGGCCTCCCAAAGTGCTGAGATTACAGGCGTGAATCACTATGCCTAGCCTACGATAATTTAAAATTTAAGTTTTTTGTGACTGGTAATAAATCATTTATTTTTATTTTCAAATTTTAAGCTTATTTTGGGGACATGATCCCCAAATCCCCATGATCTGTTGCATGTTTCATTCATTCATTTAGCAAAACAGCCATTGAACACCTATTACATGCCAGACACAGTATTCCATGCAGCAGATACCATGGACTATAAGGGAGACCCAGTTCCTGCTCCCCAGAGTCCCCGTCCATGTATTGGAAAACAAATATATTAAATGAATGATAAATGGCATAAAAGTTACAGTCAGTGCTCTGGGAGTTGATGGTAGGTAGGGGAGGAGTGGAGAGTGATCAGGAAAGATCCTGGATGCCTGAAAGATGTGTAGGAGTTGATGTGGTGACAGGGGAGGGGCCATGGAATGGGAAAAATAGACGACCCTGCTCTAGGTATAGGCAAGGCCCCAGATGCTGGAGAGGGCCAGGAACATTCCAGGAGCTACCATGGTGGAGCACAGAGTACAAGGGAAAGTTGCCATGGAAACAAGTTAGATTGTGGAGAGTCTTTAAGTCTTGTTAGGAATCATGGACTATTTCATAATGTCAAGCTGAAGCTTATTGAAGGGTTTAAACAGCATAAAAATACACTCAGATCCACATTTAAGACAATTTAATTATGGAAATTTACTATGAAAATTGAGAACTGACTGGGTGCGGTGGCTCATGCCTGTAATCCTGGCACTTTGGGAGGCCGAGGCAGGTGAATCACCTGAGGTCAGGAGTTTAAGACCAGCCTGGCCAATATGGAGAAACCTCGTCTCTACTAAAAATACAAAAATTAGGCAGGCATGGTGGCGCGCCTGTAGTCCCAGCTACTTGGGAGGCTGAGACAGGAGAATTGCTTGAACCTGAGAGGTGGAGGTTGCAGTGAGCCGAGATCATGCCATTGCACTCCTGCCTGGGCAACAAGAGCAAACTCCGTCTCAAAAAAAAAAAAAAAGATTGACAACTTTAGCCAAGTTAATTTTTTTGTTCTGTGTATATATTTCAATCATTACATGAAACATATTTTACATGTTTGTTCCCTTTACTAGTTCTTTGAGGACAATGGCCAAGCATTTCATTACATTCTCAGCAACTAGTTCAATGCCTGTCAAGAAGGAGACCCATCTACAATTTTGTTTTTTTTTTTTTTGAGACAGAGACTCACTCTGTCGCCCAGGCTGGAGTGTAAGTGGCGCGATCTCAACTCACTGCAAGCTCTGCCTTCCAGAGCTCACGCCATTCTCCTGCCTCAGCCTCCCGAGTAGCTGGGACTACAGGCGCCTGCCACCACACCCGGCTACTTTTTTGTATTTTTAGTAGAGATGGGGTTTCACCATGTTAGCCAGGATGGTCTCGATCTCCTGACCTTGTGGTCTGCCTGCCTTGGCCTCCCAAAGTGCTGGGATTACAGGCGTTGAGCCACAGCGCCCTGCCCCCACCTAATAATTTTTTTAGTCTGAATAAAAACAGTAAGCACCTGAAAGTCACTGTGACTTCACAAACCCAGCTGAGAGAGGATTTTTTTCAGGGAATAAAAGTACCACATCACTTATTAAAAAAAAGAAAAAGGCAATTCAGTCTTTTATCTGGTTAGTTATTACTGAGAATTTTATACAGAAGGAACCCAGAACACCTAGCATTAGTCTGTTCTCATGCTGCTAATAAAGACGTATCTGAGACTGGTTAATCTATAAAGAAAAAGAGGTTTAACGGACTCACAGTTACGCATGGCTGAGGAGCCTCACAATCATGGCAGAAGGCAAAGGAGGAGCAAAGGCATGTCTTACGTGGCAGCAGTCAAGAGAGTGTGTGCAGGGGAGCTACCCTTTTTAAAACCATCAGATATTGTGAGACTTATTCACTATTATGAGAACAGCATGGGAAAAACCTACCCCCATGATTCAATTACCTCCCACCGGGTCCTCCCATGACACATGGGGATTATGGGAACTACAATTCAAGGTGAGATTTGGGTGGGGACACAGCCAAACCATATCATACCTCAATGAAAAAAATATCATTATACATTAAGTATTCCCCCCCAATCAAATGTTGAAGCCCTAGCCCTTAGTATCTCTGAATATGACCTTATTTGGAAATAGGGTCATTGCAGATACAATTAGGTTGAAATGAGGTAAATAGGGTGAGCCCTAATCCAGTATGACTCATGTCCTTATAAAAAGGGCAAATTTGGACACAGACACAGACACAGGAAGGCCCGCACGTGAAGAGGAAAGAAAAATCAGGGTGATGCTTCTATAAGCCAAGGAATGCAGAAGATTGCCAAAAAAACAGAAGTTAGGAGAGACCTGGAACAGATTTTCTCTCACTGCTCTGAGAGGGAACCAACCCTGTCAACACCTTGATCTTTGACTTCCAGCCTCCAGAAATGCAAGGCAATCATTTCTATGGTTAAAGCAGCCCGGTCTGTGGCATTTTCTACCAGCAGCCCTAGGAAATGAATCCAGATATCTACAGGAGGTCAGGTCTGTGACCACTGCATTAATTGTTCTTGTTAAGCCTTTAGTGACTCTGTTCTGAGTGGGAGAGGCACAGCAGACAACGTGGAAGGAGGAGGGACTGTGCTGTAGGACATCATCCATCCATTCAGTTCTTTTGCAGATGGGGGAAGCAGGCTGAAGGGTAGCTTCCTGGCTAGTACTGGTTTCCCCATCCATCTCAGCTATTTGGAAAAGAATTATCCTTTGATAATGATGAAAGTCCATCATTTAACAAACCAGACACTGTAACTATACTATCATTTTCCTGCAATGTCTTATGCAGCCAGAGAACAACCACACAGAAGATGCTAGGATTACATAATCTACCTATGTGGCAATCTTAGAAAAACAAAGCCAGAAAGAATTTAAATTGTTAAACCCCATGTCTACAGAAAGATGAAGATCAAAGCCATCATAAAATATTCCTACGCTGGATCTAGGTAGCATCTTTTATGAGAATAATGGACATCTTTCATGTCCATTTTTTTTTATTATTTTGATGTCTTCTAGGGGACAGAGGGACTTATGATCATGCCTATTTTACAGAAAAAAAAAAATGGAGGCTAAGGGTTGAATTATCCCCAGGCTACACTGGATCTACATGGCAGGATGGGATCTGGACTTGTTCACTGTTAACTTCAGTCTTGACAATTTACAAAAAGAAATGTTGGCCTGCTGGACATCAATATTAATAGCGTCATTTTTCTTAAGTTGAAAAAGGTGGTAGGAAAAAGCAGATAAGGATTTCACAACCTGTGCGTTTCAGGCTCTTAGCACTTAGCCTGGCCCTCTACAGCTGTGGACTGCAGCTTACCCTTTCTGTCCCAAATGTCTTGCGGTGTGCTGGCTTGTAGGAGGCAAATAATAAATGTTCGCTGAAAGTGAAATAAAAGACTTTAATAAAATACAATTTTAGAAAGACTTCATGAACTGGCAAGTAAATTGCTGCTGCTCTTGGCAGGGCTACACTGGTGGATCTGGGAAGGGGAAACTTGACTGGTATTGTTAGGCTAAATATGATAATTGCAATCCTTTTCTGGTGTGAGGAGGGCCACTATTTCTTAATTTGTGTTCCTACTAAGACATGTGTTTCTAGGTTGTTCCTTTGCTTTCTAAAGTAAACAGGGTGGCCAGGTCTGGTTCTATTTAACCCCACTTGTCCCTTTCCCTTCACATTGAAAATCAACGGAAAAGAGTCCACATCAGTTCTGGATCAACATGGCGCAGGGTCCAAGACTGGTTCCCTGTAAGAGAAGGCATCTCCTGGGCTTCCTAGCAGGCAAGGGTCTGGGTACAATTGCAGGAATGAGGCTACAAGGATTAGAATTTGTGTCTGTCACAGTCAGGAAGCCCAGCCAGCTCACAGTTGCCTGAGATGCAAACAGATGAGCAACAAATGTGTAGGGCCTACCGATCCCCCCTTCTTTGGGAACCCACACCCCTGTGTAGGATATCTGGACCTGTGTGGACGTATTAGATGTGGCCTACTAATTCTAATGGCCAGCCAGAAAAAGAATGCGAGAACGTCACTGACCCTCCTGCCTTGTGCTCTCCGAAGAGCTCCGGGAATGCGAGTGTATAACCTCTGAGCACTTGGTGGCCTTCTACAGAAGGTGCAGGCAGCTGCCTACGGGAAACCAACTCCCTGCCCACTGACTGGAAACAGATGTCCCTTTCTGTCATCTCTGCAAATTGTTGCAATTCCATAGTGTGATAGTTGTCAACTTCCTTCTATTTGTGGTTCACTGAAACATCAGGATCTGAAGATTTCATCGTCTTGTCACCAGCTAACATAAATGCCTAAAACAAGGTTGCAATAATAAAACTAATTGTACTGATTTATGTAAAAGCATCCTTTTATTCTAAACACCTATAAATCCACCTGGGGCCCTGCTCAGACTCACTCAGATCATCCAAATTCTGTATGTTACTTTAGAAGAAAAACTCTTAACAAGCATAATAAACTGACCACAGAGATTTTTTGAAATTGCGTGTTACTGATTAGGATGATGGACCCACCTGCAGAATTTTAGGGTAAGGAGAACTTTTATTGATGATGTGGTACAATTCCACGTCCTTATTCTTCTATATTGAGGTTATAGGCAATCATTAACACCAGAATTTTCCTGCTCTATTCTAAAACCCCAAAAATGTAGTTAATTCTTATTTCCCAAACTTCACAAAAGTGCCAATGGTTTTACAAAATCTAACAAATGGTTTTACAAAATCTAACAATGGTTTTACAAAAATCTAACAAATAAACTATAGAAGGAAAAAGATTCACTACCTCAATACGTTATTTACTTAATCTGGTTTAGAACTATATTAATATTTCAATATACTTTTCACTTTAATACACATTCGATCAAATAAATACCATAAACTATACTTCAAACCATAAATATTATACGGTTCTACAACATATCACCTAATCAATCAAAATAGCATATTCAGCTTTAGACCTAAGTCTTTCATGACAGTACAAGATTTCACAAGTAAATAAATTACACGTAGAACAAAATATGAACTTCAACTCAGTTTTTTTCTTTTTTTTTTTTTTTTTGAGACAGAGTCTAGCTCTGTTGCCAGGCTGGAGTGCAATGGCGCAATCTTGGCTCACTGCAACCTCCGCCTCCCAGGTTCAAGCAATTTTCCTGCCTCAGCCTCCCAAGTATCTAGGACTACAGGTGCCCGCCACCACACCTGGCTATTTTTTTTTTTTTGTATTTTTAGCAGAGACAGGGTTTCACCAACCTGGCCAGGCTGGTCTTGAACTTCTGACCTCGTGATCCACCCGCCTCAGCCTCCCAAATTGCTGGGATTACAGGTGTGAGCCACCGTGCCTGGCCTCAACTCAGTTTTTCTGATGTCTGATAATTTTTCAGATAATTTGAGGAAAAAGAGTCCATGATATGTACTCTAATATTAGCATACTGTTTTGTAGGAAAAGTCTTTTAGCCTCACTGTTAAATTTTGCTAAGATCTCATTCCTGAGTCATTGCTTTTACAACGCAATGGGAGTGAGGAAAAGAGGACTGTATGGCTTCTCAGGCTACAAGGAAGGAAGATACAGTTTCTGCCCTCTGCTTTTGTTTTGTTTTGTGGTTTATGTTTTGAGACAGAATCTCACCCTGTTGCCCAAGCTGGAGTGCAGTGGCATGATCTTGGCTCACTGCAGCCTCGACCTCCCAGGCTCAGGAGATTCTCCCACCTCAGCCTCCCGAGTAGCCAGAACTATAGGCGAGCACCACCACACCTGGCTAATTTTTTTGTATTTTTAGTAGAGACAGGTTTTCACCAGGCTGGTCTCGAACTCCTGGGCTCAAGTGATTCACCCACCTCGGCCTCCCAAGTGCTGGGGTTACAGGCAGGCCCAGCCTGCCCTCTGGATGCGAACAGTTTTTCTCAGATCATAAATAAGTAAAAGCAAAATAAAGAAATGTTGACAGTATTTAGGAAAAGGAGTCTGTCAAAGGCAGAGGAAGGGCATGGGAGCCTCAGAGCACCAGAAGCTGCAGGATGGGCCTCCATGGGCATCCTGGCCAGAGACCGTGAGGTTCTTGTGAGGCTGGGCAGGGTAGCCTGCAAGGAGACTTGGCAAATTACCAGGCCTGGTGACTGATGAGTCTGGTAAGAGGGAGGACTTCGGCTTTTGGCTCTGTGAGCTGGTGGATGGTGGAGCCATTTACTAAGGCAGAAACACAGGCAGAGGAGGAAGTGGGCAGGGGAACACAAAGACATCTTTTTCACAAGTGCCGAGCTTAGGATGTGTGTGTGTGTGTTAATAATGTGTGTAGATTGATACATCTGGAGGGCACTGGGTCACTGAGTCCAGCACCAGGAAGGGTGACCTAACTTTTCAGAGATTTAGATTTGGAGGTCATACACGTGCAGGTATGAATGGAAGCCAGAAGAGTACAAGGACCATTCAGGAAGAATGAGCCAGTATCTACGGGCTCAATGCTGAGGTGTAGAACCCAAACCTGTAAGTTACAGAAGAGGGAAAAGGCCGAGAAGGAGTTGGGCTAGCTGGAACACAAAAAGAATCTGAAGAAGGGTTTTTAAGAACCAAAGGAAGTGAGTTCAAGACAAAACAACGCTGGTCGCAGTGGTTCACACCTGTAGTCCTGGCACTTTGGGAGGCTGAGGTGGGAGGATTGCTTGAGCCCAGAAGTTCGAGACCAGCCTGGACGACATAGCGAGACCCCTGTTTGTATAAACAGTTGAAAAATTAGCCAGGCCTTGTAGTACATGTCTGTGGTCCCAGCTACTTGGGAGGCTGAGGTGGGGGCACTGCCTGAGCGTGGGAGTTCAAGGTTATGGGAGCTATGATCGAGGTTATAGTGAGCTATGACAGCACCACCGCACTCCAGCCTGAGCAACAGAGCAAGACTCTGTCTCAAGAAAATCTCCCAAAACTGACAAAAGTACAGAGAGGTCTATAAGAAAGATACAGAAAATCTTTGGAATTGGAATTAAAAGCCAGCTGCCGACTCAGGTGAGACTAGTTTCAGAGTATGAGGGGCAGTGATGGGCTCTGACAGGTAAGGGCTGACCTGGAAGTAGGGAAGTGGGTTGAGGGAGGGTAAACTTCCCTTAAAGTGACACTGTAGTCTCTTAGGGCAGGAGCTGGAGGAGGGGTAGAGAATCCTGAGGCTCCCGCAGCCCACCTCGCAGCACCTTCTACAAACTCAGAGCTCAGACAGCCCTCCTCAGCAGAAAGATATACATTCTTTCACATCCCGAAACCAAAAATGCAAAACCCAAATCCCTCCAGTCTCTCAGATGTGGAGATCTGAATACAGTTATAAAGGAGAGGGTACGCTCAGATAAGAATCACACCAATTCTAAATGTTGTAAGTGGCTATCCCTGGCTGACATCATCTGCCATATGCTGGATGCTTTAGCGGAGGCCTTGTCTATATTTTCCCCAGATGAACTGATGTTGTCTTCCCTCAGGTCTGAGTCTTAACTGTGGGCTTACCTGAACATTTTGAGTAAAAAGGACAATGTATACTTTTGGAAAAGAACATATTAAAGGATGGGTAGCTTCATATCTGGAAAAATATACATTCCTTTACATGTGAATTTCACTTACTTTCCAGGTATTACTTAGTTCAGGTTTAAAAAAGAGAATTCATTATCTATGGTTTTCATGCAACACAGTTGCTCATATCTACTTTTGGGGATCACATGTGTTGTATCTCTGCCTATGAGGAATAGTATTTTAAACTACCTTTTCTTGCTGTTTAGCTCCCATTTGAACACCAACCCCCAGGGTGCAATTTGCACCCTTTAATAATTTTTATGAGGAATACACAATAAGTTATTTAAAATAATCACAGTAACCAATACAGCAGTCCTCTAACATCATGTTACAAGTGGGGTCCAAAATGAAATGAAATAACCAGGATCGGCTGCTGGGAGGGATGGGAGACAAGTGCCAATCAAACACCAAATCATCTTATCCTTGGTTTCACTGCATCCAAATTTTCTATGTGTTGACTTGTGCAATTCATAGAAAATTTATTGTTGCGGGGGGGAGGCTTTCACAAACTAGGACAAATTATCTTTAAAATAAGCAATTATAATATATTATAACATAAACTGCTGCTTATTCCCTTCCAAATTAAGAGCCCCTTTGGACTGAAGGGTTCCCTTTGGTGTCCTGGGTAACAGACATTGGTTTTTCACTGTTGGATGTTAATATACCACGTTGGCTTTTTTCTTGTTTAATCATGGATCTGGCTCTTTGGGCAACAACGGAGCCACCATCAACAAGTAACCTTGTAACTGGACTATCACATAGTTGAAAGCATATGCAGCCCAATCAACAACTATCACACTTTGGCCTCTTCATTTCTTGTTACAAATTTCCCTCCTTCCTATTTTAATAACTGATGCTCTTCCCAGGAAAAGCTCCTATCTATCACCCAGGAACCTTGAGCATCTTGAGGCATTTTATTTTTATCAGAATGCTTTTGGAAGCCTATCCTTCAAGCTGCACCATTGCCCTTTTATTTCTGAAATGCTCCTTATCTGGCAGTCAGCTCAAATCCATTTATGTGGTTTGGCCAGGATTTCCACTTTACAAGTGATGAATTCATTGAATCTAAAAACATGTCCCTCTACAGATAATTATTCTCTTCAAACATCTGCCTTCTCATATTTCCCTCATCTTCTTCTTCATGGTCAACTATCTTTTGGGGCTTCCAATATTCAAAGAACAAAAATGTATTCTCTGATATTTAAGAAATTTTAGAATTAAATAAGGTTTTACAACTTCTGCAGTCCATGGCTGTGATACATCTATTAACTAATTTAAAATAATACATCGAATTTTGAAGAAATTATTTTTATACTTGCTGGGAAAAAACAAATACATCTTTCTTTAAATATTTATTAGCACAGTGAAAGCCATGCTATTTTAAAACTTCACCAAAATAGAATTTTCTAGTAAATTATTTATGTCAACATTAATGAGTGATTGGTCTTGAAATTACACTTATTTGTATGAATTGTAATTGTTATAGCCACCAGCTGATGCTGTACTTCCTAATGCAGTAGAGTGAGTGACACAGTGTAATGGGCAGGTGTGAAATCCATGAGGCCCAAGACTATAGCCTAGCTTTGCAGCTTAACATCTCTGTGACACTGGGTAGATTACCTCTTCTCTGTCTTTCTCAATTTCTTCATAAGATGCAGACTATAAAAACCCCTTCAGGGTTACTATGAGGAGCAGATATAATCAATGCAAAACAACTACTACTGTATCATATTTGCCTTGACTTTGCATCTGGTAATTTCAGCTGCGGAGTAAGTTAAAACTGGTTCTCTGCAGATTTAGAAAGTCTTTAAATGGGGGGACAAAAAGAAGGAAGGGAAGGGAAGACAAGGGAAGGAAGAAAACCAGGCTAATCTCATTATGCTTAACATTTGGTGTCAACTTTGCTAACTGTATCCATGAAGATATCTAGGACAGGAGAGATCCCTGCCCTGGCCTGGGTTGGAGGATGACTTCAAAGACAAAGACTCTAAAATTCTACTGACATGAAGAGAGGTTACTACCAGGCATGGGCGGCTAGAGTCAATCCTTCTGAGTTGTGTACAATCTGTTAACGCACTAAGAAGTGAAAATAAGTGCAAGATTTAAGGACTTTGAAGTGAGAGCAATTGGACTGATGATAAGGATGTTGGTGCCAGAAAAAAACCCCAAGTTATATGGACCCTGGATATTATCTAGGACTCAGCAAGTGCCCAACATGTGATTTTTGAGTTCAAGTCTCAAGGTAATAAGAAGAGGTATATAGAAAAACATAAATAGAGATAAGAGGAGGCAGAAAGAAGAGAAGCAAACTAATTTACAAATACAACCACAGTGTAACACTCTGTTCAGAGTTAAGGTTTAAAACAACTTCCAGAGCTTGTGCAGCAAAACAAAAATGATGATGGGTTAGGAGTGACATGAGTTACAGGCCAAAAGCTACAAAAAGTGACCCTTTTCTGGGCTTCGATTTCCTCATTTGGAAACAAAGAACTTGGGGTGTTTTCTAAGATTTCCTCCAACCTCGCTGGACCACGTACATCAAACATTGGATCCCATGGCACAGCCGACGCGATAACTTTATGTCTGATCAGTGCAATCGACAAGATTCTGCAGCGGGCTGGTGACAGAAGGGTGAGGCTAAAGGTTGACTCGCCTGCAAGACAGCAACCTGTGAAAATGCACGCAGCTGAACACCAGCACCACATGCACCTGCTGCGGGGACTGTCTGTCTTCTTTGGAATGTCCCCACCAAGGGAATGCAAGACAATTTAAAAAGGAAGGCTGGTACCGTCGACACAGTTCTCTGGCTCAGACCCGGTGTGCTGTGCCCACGGCCTTGTGGGCTGTACTGCAGAAGGTTTGTGCTGAGTGGCGCAGAGGGCCTGGCCACAGACCAGCAGGAGCCTGTTCAAAGGCATATTTAGGATGAGTTATGTGAAAATGGTCTGCAACATAATTTTTTCCCTTTCTGTCACATTGTTAGTGTTTATTAAATCAATGTCTCCATTTCCCTTCCTGTATTTAATCTGACGCACAGTTGGTGGAAAATGTTTTCAAAACCAACCAAGAGCTGATAAATAGCACTGGCTTCATGTTAATAAAGGAATAGGATTGAGACTGCACTAACGCATGGGTTTAAGTAAATAATTACACAAACTCTACGATAGAAAAAAAGAAAAATTTCTTGGTAAATGTTTCATGTTTTTGTTTCAACATTATGATAAATGGACCAACGCACTGGTAGAGAACAACATAATTTTAGTCTTGGAAGGAAACCTTAGAGTTCATTGCAATTCACTAAATACTTATTAAACCTTACTTGGTGCTAGGCACTGCAGTTGCAAAAGCAAGTAAGATGAGGTTCTTGTGTTTAAGAAAACACATGAGGGAGACAGATACAGCCTGGGTCTGTGCTGGGTCTCTAGGACTGGAGTCAGTTCTGCCTCACCCCTGCAGGGGCCAACTCATGCAGGCTGCATTTTCTAGCACCTTCCAACTGGGTCCTCCCAGTGGGAAGCGCTGGCAAGAGGTTAGAGAAGAAGGGAGAAGCCAGGACTTCTCCCCCTGTGCCTGGAGGTTTCCAAAATTGGCCATGTTTCACTTATTGCTCCCGCCCCTGCTGGACTGGCCCACTAGGGCTCCAGCTCCTGAGCTAATGAGCCCAGCGACCCAGCTACTGAGCTTTGGTATATTTATTGCTTCTTGTCTTGGTCCTTTCATCACAGGGTGGTGGCGATTTTCTGCTGTTGTTCACCCCCAGGTTCTCTCTCAGTCCCCTCTATGACATCTGCAATGAATTCCTTTAATTAAATGACAATCTTTTAAATAATTAGCCTGGCTTCTCTGTCCCCAGTTAGACCCTGACTGATACACAACCCGTTGATGGTAACACAGTATGACAGATGCTCCACTAGCGTGGGTTTAAGTACATAATTACACAAATTCTATGATTTCTATAAAGAAGAATTTCACAGAAATGTTTCATGTTTTTGTTTCAACATTATGATAAATGGACCAATGCACTGGTAGAGTGCAACATAATTTTAGAACAGAAGCACTTTAGAACAGAAATGCTTAAGAGCTGTGGGTCGGCACAGAAAGAGATGAATTCTGCTAGGAAGTTTGGAGAAGATTCCACACAGGCAGTAACACCTTTCATGGCGAAACCTTAACAAATGATGAGAGTTTGGTGCTTGAAAGGTGAGCCAAATCCTAACAAATCGGGAAGGGGGAAGAAGGGCGTTCCACAGAGGGATGCACGGCATGTGAAAGCCATGGCTTGGTTCCAGGCTTGGAGTCAAGAGGTGGAGTTAAAGAAAGGGTGGCTGAGGCGGGCAGACAGAAGCCCCATGGGGGAGCACTGCGAAGCCCCTCTAAGGAGACTGGGGTTTGCTCTGTAGGTAGCTGTGACCCTTAACAATTGTCTGTGCAGTGACAGGGGTGTACCATAAGGTAAAGCATGGCGGGAAGGGGATTATGGTTTGGAGTAACTGCTGTAGTTGAGCAGAAGATGACAGGGCCACACCAGTACATCAGCATTGAGAATGTGGATTTGAAGACATACTGGTGAAGGAGAGGAGGGATGGAAACAGATGGATGTGTAGGTTAGGGAATAGTAAGAGCATAAAAAAACCTTCCACATTCCACTTCTGAGCATTGAGATGGATAAGGGTGCTCATCAGTACACAGGTTGTAGAAAATAGATTTTATTTTCAAGTATGTTGATGTTTAGGTGGCCAAGTAAACACACAGGTGTAAAGTGGGAGAGGTTCCTAGAAAAGCCAAGTCTGGCACTTAAGAAAGAGGTAAGGGCTGGATATTTATACTTGATATTTATATTAATATTTAATACACACATACACATTGCAGATTGTCATGGGAATGGAAGTGATACCATAGGAAAACACAGGAAATCCAGGAAGGGCTGAACTCTAAGGAAAAACACACTTAAATGGAAGCCAGGGAAGGAAGAACTGGCAAATGAGATGGAAAGAGATGGATAAGAGGGAACTAGGCAAGAAATAATTTGGATGTCCACAAAGAAGAGTTTCAGGAAGCAGAGGTAGCCATAAGTATCTAATGGCACAAACATCAAGTGAGATGATGACGAGAGTGTCTTTTGGTCTAATGCTGAGGAGTCATATGAGGTCACCTGGTTGTGTCCCTTCATTTTACTGCTCAGGGAACAAACATCCTGGAGTGATGGACAAAACCACCCAAGGGCTCAGAGCTGCTTAGTAATGAAGCTGGACTAGAACTTTGACTTCCATGGTCAGCTAGAAGCCCTCCTGCTAAAGGATACACTTTCTGGGATAAAAACCAGAGCTGCTCCCAGAGAAGCTCAGAAAGACTTTGTACACTATACTAATTTCCTAACTCAAATCACTTCAAAAAATGCTGCTTTTCACCATTTTTTAAATTTGATTCACATTAACCTAAGATAACTTAATTTCTAAAGACTGAACTTATTCGCCAGATCAAGCATCTGAACAAACACAACATGATTTCTGATTGAGACCCTTGAAGCCTAAAGGATGCTCTACACCAGCTTCAGGCAGTGGCATGAACCCCACGCTCTGGTGTATAAATCAGACCTTTTTCTTTGTGAGAAACTAATAAACTTGAGAACTAACAATCAATATCTTGCTTAAATGGTCTCCTTCCATGGCAGACATGCACTAGAAAAAAGTATATTATAGTTTTATGAAAGGAAAATAATTTTCTGGCAAAGAAGGTCAGAATGATGTATCTGAATTTTGTTATATTTAATGGATATATTTTTTTCTCACTTGCTCTTTTAAAAGATGGAAACAAGCATTTCTATTTTTTCACCATTTTTGAGGTGTTTGGATATTTTCCCTTAAATTTTAGGAATGAACTGCCAACGCAGCATCCTGAAACAGTGTAGGCTTCAGAGTCAAACAGCAGTCAGTGTGAATTGCATCTCTATTCCTTCCTGGCTATGCGATCCTGGGGCAATGATGACAACAGATGGCCTATCCAGTACTACTCTATATCTGGCACTGTATGGAATAACATGAGATCAGCTCACTTTGCTCTGCGATTCTTTAGAAAATTGCTATTTTTAACTCTTTATCCCTTTTTGAAAGCAGGAACCTACACGTAGGGATGATAGTAACTTGCTAAAAGTCACACAGGTGACAAGTTGGGAGGGAGACGCAGGGCTATCTGACCTCAAAGGCTACTCAGTTGACCAACGCACTGCTGCATTTAGTGCTTCCACAAACACCTCCTTCTCAGATTGGGCTGTCATAACCACAAAATGAAGCTCCCACTCAGCACCATGTAGTGCCAATTGTTACCGTAATGGAGGTCGGAGACAGCTAGTTTTAAACATTAACCTTGATTGGAATTACAACCCAAACCTCAAAGTAAGACTACTCTGTAGTGCATACTATACCATACTTACACAGTTAATTAAAAAAAATTTAGGTTGTAAATTCACAGATTCAAGTTACATGTATTTATGGGGTGCAAAGTGATGCCATGATTCACGAATACAATGTGGAATAATTAAATCAAGCAAATTAATATATCCCTCACATCAAATACGCATCTTTTTGTGGAGAGAACTTTTGAAATTTACTTTTAGTGATTTTTAAGTGTATGATACATTATTATTTACTATATTCACTACTCTGTATAATATATCTCAAAGAAAAAAACATATTCCTCCTGTCTCACTGAGGCTCTGTACCCTCTGACCATCATCTCTCCATCCCCCATCCCCAGCCTCTGATAACCTCCATTCTACTCCCTGCATCTTTCAGTTTGATTGTTTTAGATTTCACATGTAAGTGACAACATGCAGCACCTGTCTTTCTGTACTTGGCTTATTTCACTTAGCATAATGTTTTCCAATTCCAACCATATTTTTGCAAATGACTAAATCTCTTTTTTAAGGCTGAAGACTATTCCACTGTGTGTGTGTGTGTGTGTGTGTGTGTGTGTGTGTGTGTGTCTCACATTTTCTTTATCCATTCATCCATTGATTGACACTTAGGTTGATTCCATAACTCTGCTATTGTGAATAGTGTTGCAATTAATTTGGGAGTGTAAACATCTTTTTGACATACTGATTTGAAATCTTTGGGTAAATGCCCAGAAGTGGGATTGTTGGATCATATGACAATTCTAGTTATTCTTTTTAAGGAACCTCCATATAGTTTTCCATAATGGTTGTATTAATTCACATTCCAAACTACAGTGTACAAGGGTTCCCTTTTCTCCACAGTTAATTTTTTAAAACAAATTCTAGAGCCTCAGTACCAGGCAAAACGATCTGTAAGATTTCTAGCAAGTTGGGATAGTAAAGAGTGAGATAAGAAAAGGTTTGGGGGCTCATTTAGCCTAACATCTGAACTGGAAATGCCTCTTCTATAAAACGAGCAGCGAAGGTATGTGCTGGAAATAAACCTTGTGTTTTCCTGTGTGGAAGTCAACATTCTGCGGCGTCTCCACCTGTCTAGAGTTGTTGGGCCCAGGTCCTATCCTTCACCATATGAGTTCGAAGCTGCCAAGCTACTAACTCACTTCTTTCAAACTCCTAACTCATTCCTTTATGCAACTCCTTTATGATTCTGAGGATAAGTTTTAGTGGCTCTTAGCACATTTTCCCCCTGTTAAGCTCAAATTAGTCCCCTCTCTGGGACTCCCACTGGGCTGCCTTGGTACATCACAGAACGCTGGCTGAGAAAATCTCTTTTTAGTCCCCTGCAAATCACCCTAGTACCTGCTACTCTGATAGGCCTGTGCCATGCTGTATTATGGAGTAAGAGCTAGCTGCTGAGGGTCAATTATCCCATTGACCAGGCATTACAATAATTCCCAGGAATTAAAAGAGGTACTTATGTGAATCTGGATGCATATTGAAAGAAACATTAGTTCTTTTGTCATCTTGGCAAGTCTATTGTTCCAAGCCAGGCCCAACCAATTAACATCTTTTGCCAATCCCTGTCAGCAGGGGCTTGAAAAGAGGAGAGAAAGGGGTCAGTCAGATGCTAATTTAGATACAATTGTGTCAGGGCTGTTTGGAGGGGCTGGCTCTAAAGAAGCCACCAGGGTTTAATGAAGCAAACAGCTTGGGTCCTGGTGACCCTGCAGGGGTAATTTTAAAAAGACCCCTCTGTGTTCCTGCGCCAAATAACAGAGGAGCATCACAAGAAGCCCTTCCTTAAAAAAAAAAAAAAAAATTGAGAGGGATAATCATCCATTTAATCTGCTCATTAAACAAATCTCTCAGGCGGACTTAACATGAATTAGCACTTCTCTAAAAAGGTAAAATGTGACATACAGCAGACAGTTCAGATAATTTGAAAGGGCACAATTCTTTATTATAAGCTCAATTGTTATTAATGTATTAATACATGGATATTGCGCAAAGACCACCATCTTCATTCAACCTTGTGAGCGAAACAGCGTGTTTTCCTAACTGGAAAACAAAAACACTTTCATCAGGTTCTAGTAGACATCTAAGCACAAATTAAATATAGGAGACACCCGTTGTCCCATGTTTTTCCAATACAGAAATTAAGAAAAAAAATCCAATCTGTTGACTTCTCTCTACTGCTGTCCACATAACACCTGCAGGGCTCACACACAGCTGATAAGGTAACAGCTCAGCTTTGACCATACTGCAGTTCTGCACAGAACTTGCAAAAACCTCTCTCACAAATCTCCTGGCCTTATCTAAAGAGGGATAATGAGTCTTCTCTTTACATTGACTTAATCATTTACAGGTGCCGTGAAAGGGCTCGCTACTGCGTGAAGATGGTATTTACAGTGAGGCATGAGGACTTACACAAATCTGTAACCAGCCAACCTAGAACCCAGAACTTCCAATAAGGGCCTATACCCATTCAAGTATTATTCCATTATGAAAACAGCAAAAATGCCAATTCTGCACCACTTTTGGAAAAATATTTAATATTTCTTGTCAAAAAGTATTACCTATTATAGGAAAAAGAGTGAGGCACATTTCAAAATTAATCAATGCCAAAACAGAAACTTGTGCATCCCTTTTCACTGCGGTATTCTTCACAAAAGCCACAGGCGCGAACACTACCACCATCCCGCAGCAGATGACGGGACAGGCAAAATAGGCCAATACAAGACGGAGCATTATTCAGCTTGAAAAAGGAATGGAAATTGCACACCTGCTACAACATAATGAACCTAGAAAACACAGTCAGTGAAATGAGCCAGACACAAAGGAAAATATTGTATGATTGCACCTGTATGGGGTTCCTAGAATAGGTAAATTCACAGAGACAGGAAGTAGAACAGTGGATATAACCGGCTGAGTTGGGGGAGGGCGGCGGGAATTCCTGTGGGGAATTACTGTGTAACGGGATCTGTTTGGGAAGATGAAAAGGTTCTGGAAATGGATGGTGGTGATGGTTGCAAAACATTATGAATGTTCTTAATGCCATTGAATTGTACACTTAAAAATGGTTAAAATGTATTATTTTACCAGCCACATTATTCTGGGAACTCATAATTTAAATGTGCATTAAGGATTTCCTTTTCAAGGAAGTAAATATTGTATTACGTATTTTAGGTTGGTATAAAAGTAATTGCGGTTGACTTTTGCACCAACCTAAAATGCATAATAATACGAAAAATTAATCAACAACTCTACTGTATTTGCAGAGCTTTCACACTCAGCTAAAATATATCAGCTTTTTAAAAAGTTATTTTTAATTGAAACATAATTATACATATTTATGGGGTACGATGTGATGTTTTGGTACATATTTACATTGTGTAGTTATCAAATAAGTCTAATGAGCACATTCATCACTGCAAATATTTTATCATTTATTTGAGGTGGGAACGTACAAAATCCTTTCCTCTAGGTATTTTGAGATATATAATACCTTGTTGACTAGAGTAGCAGGTACTAAGATCATTTTGGGGGACTAGTATGTCACTCTACTTTGCAATAGAACACCAGCATTTACTGTTCCTTTCTAATTGGAATTCTGTACCCATTGACCATTCTCTCCCCACCCTCCTCCTCCTGATATCAGGTTTAAATAAAGATTTAATATGTAGATATTACTGGTAAATAACAATCCTTGAAGTTCAAGGTACATGGTACCAAACCTAAAAATTTAATATTACGATTCAATTTAAATCCACACTTTAAAAATATTCCTTAAGGTTGTTTGCTCCTCTTATCATCCAAATAATATTTTCAGCTTTGTTGGCTTGTTTTGTAAAAGTTAAGCATTGCACACTAAAATTATTCACAATCACTAGATCGACTGTCCCCACCACAGAAGGGCTGGGAAATGAAAATGCTGTGGAAGTCATGGAACCAGGATCATGAGCACAGGGAAGAGCTTCTCCTCTGAAGGCAGTTTCTTTTGAAGAAAGCAGCAGTCAGTTGGTATTTGAAATGTTTTCTCTATTTGGAACTTGTTGCTGAAGAGCAAGTCATGCCAGCTTTGGCTCAGCCCCCTTGAGGCTTGAACCAAGTGAAGCCTGAAGTCACCATTCAGCAACTGTAGCAGCCATGGGGCGTCTGGAATTTGTGGAGTGCACTGAGCCTTAAAACAGAACAGCTGTTGTGGAATGCTGTTACAAGACACCTCGGAAGGACCTGAGGCCTTGTGGACACCCTGGTCTATTCTAAATAGGAAGAACAATCTCGGCTTCATTACTTTCTTGTAAGACAAGACGTTGCAAAGATGAAAGTATCCAAGATCAGTCTAACTGACTAATTAGGAAATTCTCATTTCCTCTGTAATCCCAGCTGGACAAGACAACTTGAAGGGTGAAACTATGTTCAACACACCTAAGTCACTGTTACCACAGACCTAAAGTGCTCGGACTAGAGCTGCACACAATGACTGCTGACTTACGGTAACTACTGACACCACTGCATTAGAAAACTGCCCTACAGACATAGGAGCAAAGAAAGCACGCCTCGGTAGAAAACCATGGGGCGTTACATGACTATCTTTAAATGAGATTTCTAAGGTATTTATCTCAAATGACGAATGT